>NC_000012.12:4254190-5668920 GCF_000001405.40 Homo sapiens | reverse complement strand
GTACAAAAAAAGGCACACAGACCAATGGAACAGGATAGAGAACTCAGAAATAAGACCATACGTCTACAACCATCTGATCTTCGAGAAATCTGGCAAAAACAAGCAATGGGGAAAGGATTCCCTATTTAATAAATGGTGCTGGGAGATCTGGCTAGCCGTATGCAGAAAATTGAAACTGGACCCCTTTCTTACACCTTATACCAAAAGTAATTCAAGATGGATCAAATAGTTAAATGTAAAACCCAAAACTATAAAACCATAGAAGAAAATCTAGGCAATACCGTTCAGGACATAGGCACGGGCAAAGATTTCATGACAAAATTGCTAACAGCAATTTCAACAAAAGCGAAAATTGACAAACAAGATCTAATTAAACCAAAGAGCTTCTGCACATGGTAAGAAACTATTGCAGAGTGAGCAGGCAGCCTACAGAGTGGGAGAAAATTTTTGCAATTTATCCATCTGATAAAGGTTTAATATCCAGAATCTGCAAGGAGCTTAAACAAGTTTATAAGAAAAAAAAAACATTAAAAAGTGGGGAGAGGACAGGAATGGACACTTCTCAAAAGAAGACATTCGTGCAGCCAACAAACATATGAATAAAAGCTCAACATCACTGATCATTAGAGAAATGCAAATCAAAAACCACAATGAGATGCTATCTTACACCAGTCAGAATAGCTACTATTAAAAAGTCAAAAAACAACAGATGCTGGTGAGGTTGCAGAGAAACAGGAACGCTTTACACTGTTGGTGGGAATGTCAATTAGTTAAACTATTGTGGAAGATAGTGTGGAAATTCCTTAAAGATCTAGAACCAGAAATACCATTTGACCCAGCAATCACATTACTGAGTATATACCCGAAGGAATATAAATCATTCTATTACAAAGATACATGCACATGTATGTTCATTGTAGCACTATTCACAATAGCAAACACATGGAATCAACCCAAATGTCCATCAATGATAGAGTGGATAAAGATAATGTGGTACATATATACCATGGAATACTATGCAGCCATAGAAAGGAATGTTATTATGTTCTTTGCAGGGACATGGATGGAGCTGGAAGTCATTGTCCTCAGCAAACTAATCCAGGAATGGAAAACCCAAACACCGCATGTTCTCACTTATAAGTGGGAGCTGAACAAATGAGAACACATGGACACAGGGAGGGGAGCAACACACACTGGGGCCTGTTGGGAGATGGAAGGGGGTAGGGAGAGCATTAGGCAAAATATCTAATGGATGCTGGGCTTAATACCTAGGTGATGGGTTGATAGGTGCAGCAAAATACCATGGCACACGTTTACCTATGTAACAAACCTGCACGTCCTCCACATGTACCCTGGAACTTGAAATAAAAATAAACATTTTTTAAAAAGAGCTATCAATACTTCCAAAAGTTGTGACCCTGGAACCATGGCAATTTGTACTCACACTTATACAATCCTAGAAGCTGACTACTAGGTTTAATCTTTTCATGAACTAGGAGTCTTCATTAGGTCAATGTACCAGATTAGGAATGACCACACCAGGAGAGGTGCCATCTACTTATCTATTAATCAATATTAACACTGAAGTTTTAGGCCAACTGTAAAGAGCTAACCAACTGTGAAGTGTGGGAACTTGATCTACACTTCTGACAGCAATTGCAAATTCAAGGGTCCCGATAATTTGTTAGAAGGACTCATAGAACTCACTAAAGTCTGTTGTACTTAAGGTTATGGTTTATTACAGGGAAGGGATGCAGGTCCCTTCTTCAACCAAGGGAAGAAATGCATAGGGTGGGGTCCCAGAAAGCAGCAAACGCAGAGCTTCCGGGTGTCCTCCTTCCATCAAGCCAGGACAGTGTTTCTTTCTCAGCATCGGCATGTGACAGTAAGTTCAGAGTATTGCCAGCCAGGGACACTCATGCAAGCCTTGTGTCCAGAGTTTTTACTGAGGCTTGAGCACATTCCACCTGCATGGTTGACCTTCAGTCACCAGCCCTTCTGGGGGTAGACCTGATACAATGTGGCTCAAAACCCCCTTCATAGATCTCGTTAGAAGATTGTCCAACGGCCAAAGCCCCAAGGCAAACAAAGACACTCCCATCAGGCAGGGCATTCTATGGAGATCACTTCCCAGAAGCTGGGGTGGGTGGGGGGGCCAGCTGCTGCAAAGGCGCTCTTTGGTTGAGGTTAATTCTTTGCCCCACAGCCACCAAAGAGTCTTCATCTGAGAACATCTAAATGGCCAACTTTTGGAGATCAGGGGGAAAAAAGGGGTGGACTAAGTAATGAGCATAGTTCTGAAAACTGTTTTATTTTTTCAAGGTAAAATTTGGTAACGAGGAGCTTAAACAATTTTTTTTTCCTTCTGGGTCATGAAACGTCACACAGCAGATAAATAATGGCAGAGCTCAGGTCGCTGTGCATTTCATGAGTGCTTGTCAACCAGTGGTGATGGTGAGCCCTGACTCGGGCAGTCCTGGGATACCTGCCCAAATGAATAAGGGGTGAAAGAAGAGGACACAAGGGTGGCCCCCTTTGGGAAGAGCAGAAGTTGAGGCTCTCGTTCCTTCCCTTCTGTCTTCACTCCTTCCCTACCATCAATGTTTCTCTACTGCATGATGAACAAAGATGGGTGGGAAAGAGAGAAAGACTCTCTTCATTTCTGTTATGTATTCATTGTCCTGGTAGCTTTTTCCAGGTTGCCTACTCTTTTCAGTGAGGTAGGTTTCTCTTCTCTTTCCCAGCCTCAACCTTCACTATTCTGTTTCTGTATCAGAAGACAATCAAAACCTAACACATCATCCACAAATTCTGACCTGGCATGTCCAGGATTCCAGAGGGCCCTGGTTACCCTTTGTCCAGGGCCTGCAGTTGGGTGATGATGATGAGACCAAGGAGAGGGCAAGCTCTTACATTAAGCTGTGCATTTTGTTCACTAAGTAAAGAGTTGCCTTGTGCGTGTTCTGGAGGCCAACTCCAGCCACTTCTGTGCGTTAATCATTTGTTATGATTTGAGCTCATTGGAAAAAAATCCCCCAGCCAGTGGCACAGGGGGGTGGCTCTGTACCCTGTGGTACAGAGTAGGAAGCCTGGCTGGATCAGCTGAGGCTGTGGATTCCCTGGCCGTCACTCCCCAACCATGCAGTGAGTCAGGGCCTGGAGTGCAAAGAGATGATGTGTTGACTCCCTGGGTGGGGGTGGGGGTGGGGGGTGGTGGGACCAGAGTGGGACCAGGGACTGGAATGTGGGGCAGGCTGCAGAGTGGAGAGGCTCGCTCAGGTGAAGGCACTACTGTGTCACCATTGGCTCCTGGGTCCTGGCTCCAGGTGGGGAGAAGCAGTTTCTCTTTCTGGGGCAACAAATAAAATCCCTCCGAGCACAGGAGTGCTCATTGCTGGTTGGTTATGCCAGTCTGTCTCTATTTTTAGAAAGAGCTACAAGAGGGAGGAAAAGAATCTAGAGAAATAAGTACAGATGGATTCCTCCCTGAGGCAGAAGCTGGGGTCTGTGGGATGAAGCACAGACGCAAAGCCATTGTCCTGCCACCCAGCAGTGGAGTCGGAGATGGATGGCATGAATCTAGAATACCATGGGAATGGGTCCTTGCCCTGGGCCAGTAAACATTTGAGACTCAGAGCCAGGAGATAGGATGAGAAGATTGCAGTGATGAGACCCACAGAGGGCAGCAGCCATCTCTTAAGGGGTCAACTTGGAGACCAAATCCATCACTTCTTGGAGGTCCAGTAGCCCCTGCACCCTCTGCGCTTTGCAGAGACATCCTGCAGTTCAGGGAAGAAACGGAGCTGAAGGGCATGTGGAAGAAGAATGTCACGGAGATGCAAGGGGTTGGGTTATTGGTTGGCTTAAGGTCAAATCACTATTTGCTGCCTGAAGAAAAAAAAAAGACCTTGCTTAGGGACAGAAGTCCTTGTCCTGGTCTTAGGTCAGATGAGGGGGTAAAGGAACTCTTCCAACTGTCAAGGAATTGGGTATTTTGCCACCAAAAAGTTTCATGATCAAATAATGATGATCATAATCAGTGAAAGCTGGATTAAACTGAAAATAGTACAGGACTTCTCCAAGCCTTTCCTATGAATTTGCCCATTAAATTCCCTAAAAGAGAGAGAGAGGCTATGCGTATTGAATATCTGTTAGTACCTGGAAAATCCAGTTTTCTGTTTTTCAGTATGGGGGAGAACAGAACCCTGCTTGAGTGTTGAAACAAATTCCTCTGAACACAGTATGGGGAATTCAGAAGAGATTAAAAGAACATACGATTGGAATTATTCAGATCTGGATGAGAAGCCTGGGTCAGCTGTTTACTAGTGTACTAGTGTAACCCTGGTCAAGCAACCAAACTTCTTGGGTCTTAATTTTCTTATGTATAAGATGAGACTAATAATTCATATCTCATAAAGTTATTGAGAGGAATAAATGAAATCAGATAAGTAAAGAATCCTTAAAAGAGCCTGTAACATAGTAAGCATATAAGAAATGGATGGATGCATGTATGGATGGATGGATAGATGGGTATATGAATGGATGGATGGATGGATGGATGCCTGGATGGATGGTTAGATGGGTGGGTGGATAGATGGAAAGATGGGTAGATAGATGGGTAGAATGATGGATGCCTGGATGGATAGGTAGATGGGTGGGTGGATGGGTGGAAGGATGGGTAGATAGATGGATGGAATGATTAATCTTGGCCCACTACCTTAGCTAGATAGGGTCATTGTTCTAGCACATACCCAGACCACCAAGCATGAGTTTGTGTGTATGCACATGCATGCGTGCGCACATATGTGCATAAGTATATGTAAGCACTCATGTATGAATTTTCCTGAATCTTTTCCAAAGACAGAAAATTTAGAAGCTCTTCCACCATGCTTCCATAATATCCTGGCCATGGCTATATCACAACTACTCCACTGCACTGTAACTGTTTCATAGCCCATCTATCTCTGTTAGAACACTAAGCATCCTGGACCACAAAGGTCATAGCCCAGTCCCCACAACACCATGAATGCTTATAAAATCATTGTAAAATGATTCTTCTCAATTGTCTAGGCAAGTAGGGCCACTGCACCAGTGACATCTTAGAGGCCTGACCCGACCAGCCTATCAGTGTATCTTAACCCCTCTTGAGGGTCAGAACAAATTCCTCTGAACTCAGCACTCACTAGGGAGTTGGAGGGGGCTGATGACAGGGCTGGTGTCTAGAGTAGGATGAGATGAGTTCTGGGAGCCATAGCAGTGCAGAGGTTCCTGCCATCAGCATTTCAGGGTATGGGCTGAGCATTTCAGCATTTCAGGGACCTGGGCCTGGGTCTCAGGTGTTCCCTTCCTTGCCACATGGGATGGTGAGTGGGTGATCATGTGCAGGAGCTGAGTCTTAGTTGGATTTGTGGAGTTCATTCAGTCTGCTCTCCAATGCTAAGACCTGCACATACTGCTGTATTCAGCAGTCCCCTGCACACAGGGCCTAGTCCTGGGCCCTGTGGGTGAGAGTGAGAAAGGAGGAAAGAGACTCTACCTGCTCATTCACCCACAGTGTAACCATTCCCTGCTTCATTTCCTCCGCTTAATGGATTTTTCTTCCTCTGTTTGGCTCCGCTTTTCCTCTCTGCACCAAGGCTTGTTGAGTTGAGGCCCATGCCCAGCTGAAGCCCCTCGTGCCAAGGACACAGACTTGCTTCTGCCACTGAGCTGTGACTCTGTCCAGGATGCCTTCAGCCTAGCAGGACAGGGCAGGCTGCTGGACACGGAGAGCACTGGGCCCAGAGAAGAGGCAGGCATGTGTGGGGCATGGTCTCTCCTCGCCTGCAGGCCACGCAGGAAGGAGGAATCCTTCTTAACGGGTCATTTCACTTACTCATTTCAGAACTGGTTACTGAGCAGTATGTGTTATAGTGGCTCTGAGTGTGTCTGCAGGAAGTGTCAGGGCCCAGCTTTGGAAATGATTCTGTTCCCCTGAAACATAATGGACAACTTGTCTCTCAGGGTGTTCCCAGGTTTGGAGAAGGTCTAGGAAGTGCTTCCCCATGTCCTACCCAACTTGCCTTTTTTGGGGTCCTATCCCATTTATTCTGGCCCCTTGATTTTAATAAAGAAGAAGAACTAACCACCATTCTCTGTTAGTTAACAAAATTTGAAACCAAACCAACAAACATTGCGTGCTAGGGGAGTTCAGTGTTATCAAATACCATGATGAGGGCCAATTGCAGCGTCTTTTTTTGGCCAGTTTATTATTGTTGCAAGTTCCTGAAAATGGTTTCTTCTGCCATCCTAGTTAAAAAACAAACACTATTTTAGATGTATGTTGTCTGCATCCTGGCATAAGAGCGATGACTGTCCATAGGTGGAGGCTAGAACTGATTGATGTTGCTAACAAAACAATGAACAATGTTTCTTTACTTTTCTGACCAGAGCACATGGCTGTTGGCAAGACTCATTATTGTGCATGTGAAATTGATTTCAAAGGGCACAATCTTTAAATAAAAATTACCAACACATTTCAAAATGTCATTTTTTTTTTCACACTAAGAAGCCTGGCACCTCTGCTTTGAATGGAGGACACCAACCATCTCTTAAGTTGTAGGATCTAAGGTACTTGTTAAAGTGCTTTGTGTGTAGTGAGGAATTTTAAAACCCAATAAATTCACAAAATGCAAGGTAGCTGCATAGGTCTAGGTCTTCTCTGGTGTGTCAAGCAGATGCTTTGAAAATCAAAACAAGCTTTGGCTGCAGGCCTGGCGGCACGCCCACCTTCAGTTCTTGCCCTTCTTACTCCCTGAACAACTGCGAGAGTGCAGTGGGTCTGAAGTTCATCCCTGGACTGAGTGTCATCAGCATCTGCCCCAGCCCTGTAATCAGCTTGAGGGTGGGGGAGAAGGGAGGGGCGCCATGGGAGCCAGTTGGCGAGTTGGCGGGGCTGCCTGACAGCTGACATGGCGGATCCTGTGTTGACACCATGCATGAGGGAATTGTCTCCAAGCTTGTTTCCACCCTGTGAGCTCCTCTCAGAGAATCTGTTCACAGAGGAACAAGCCACAGGAATACAGGCCCTGGAGCAAAAACAGCGAGGGAGGGGTAGTTAAAAAACAGCATTTCCCAGCATTGCCCGTGAAGCATTTTCAAAAACAGATTCCTGGCCCTCCCCCAGGTTCTGAGTTGGCAGATCTAGGGAAGGGCCAGGAATCGGGGTATTTTTAAAAGCCCCCCATGTGATTCCATGGATTAGCTAAAGTGGGACCCAGTGGCATCGCCCTCATGTCCCATCCCAGCCTCTGCCTGTCACAGTGGTGGCCTGTCTTCCCCATGGCCTGAGCGTCACTGAGTGCCAAGCCCCAGCTCTCCTCTTCCCATCCTCCTGGGCTGAAGGCCTGTGTTTCAAGTCCCCACCCACCCCCAGCACAGTAAGCTATAGGCACCCCTTAGAGCTCCATCAAGGCACAGAAGGGAGTTGATACAGACAGGAACAAAGGATTCTGATTCCCTTCCATGTTTATGTAGTAGGAAAACTAATGGTAGGAACTAGGAGTATTGAGCCTGAAGAAAATAAGAATAAGAGGAGATTTCATCAAGAACTTTAAACAAATGCTCTAAGGTTCCGTTCTCCAGTCTGTGGGCTAGAACATAAAGAAAAGGACCCAAATTAAGCTGCAGGCCTGGAGTTCAGACTAAGAAATTCTATGTGACCCAAAGGGACAGGAAGCACTAGGCAGAGGAGCTGAGTGTGGCTGCAGGATGGCCGTTGTAGACGTCTTTGTGATGAGCACAGGAGGCTCATGGCCTGCTCGCTAGAGGCAGGAGGGTAGATCAGATCATAGCTGGGTGTCACTTAACACTCCTTGCTGCAATGCATATGAGAAAAGCTGCTCTTCAGGTCTGTGGGCCACGCAATTGACTATTTTTCTCAAACTGTTGAGAGGTTGCTATGAACCTTTTGCATTTTTCCTTCGGTTTTCCTCAGATCCATGAGAGATTGGCACTGGTGTGTCACCTGAAGCAGTGGCACAAAATTGCTTTGTGGGGTTCTTCCTATGCAAAACTAGATTTGACCAACACAGCGACTGAATACTCATTCCCAATATTATGAGCATGGAGCACCACCAAAATGAGCCCGGCTATTGTTTCCAAACTGATATCCACTCTCTGAGTCATCCATGCAAATGAATTCTGTGATCAGCGTGACCCAAGTGCTGGATCCATGTTGAATGAGATTTGAAGTTCCTTGCTTTTATGGAGCTGATGTTTTCCTTAAAAAGCCAGTTAGGAGATGAATAAATAAACAAGATCACTTTGGATAGCAATAAGTGCTGTGGTAGAGAATAACATGGACCAGGGATGGACAAGGGGCGTGGGAAAGTTCTCATTGTGGGAGTGATGCTGGAATCGAGAATTGAAGGCTGAGCTGAGGGAGGAGCTGGGTGGAGAGTGAGGAGAGGAGTCATGCTAAGGTTTTGCTATGGAAGCCGGCTTGGCGTGTTCTAAGAACAGGAAGGAAGCCAGTGTGGCTGAGATGGAGTATACAAAAGATTGCATGGCAAGAGATAAAGTTGGAGAGGAGTCAAAGCCCGGATCATGGTAAGCATTGGAGGCCACAGCACAGGGTTTAGATGTATTCAAAGTTCATAGTCATTTGGCTTAAGATGTTCGTATGATGGTATAGAAAAGGCTGTATATCAAGGATTCATATCTCAGGATGCTCCTTGACTTACAGTGGGGTTATGGTGGATAAACCTGTCATAAGTCAGAAATATTAAAAGTAGAAAATGCATTTAATGGCCTGATAAACCTGTTGTAAAGTCGAAAAATTGTAAGTCGAACCATCATTAAGTCAGGGACCTTCTGCAGTACTAATGGAGGTTGCTGATAGCTTTAGGCTGGCCTCTCTATTTTGCAGACAAGAAGGCTCAGAGAGGGATGACGACTTGCTTGCCCCAGGCCTTCCCACCTCATTAGGAGCAACCCATCAAAGACTCATTGTACCACTATCACAAAATAAAAGGGCCTCCCTTGAGAGTGACTGGGGAGAGGCGTCTCCAATCCCAATCCAGGCAGGGCACACAGCAGAACAGCTGGGATTTAGGGAATGACCACAGAGAAGCTCAGCCCAGTACTGGAACCCAGGGAGGACGAGGCAGCGAGCTGAGAAAAAGAAAGTGGAGCTGCAAGCTCTCTGGGGAGCCAGAAAGAGCAGAGCAAGTGAGCTGGACCCCAGGAGGGGAGAAGGGGAGCCAGAGTGTTTTCTGTGTCTGCTAGGAAAACCAAGCAGTGGGAGGAAGAAAAAATGTTTTCCATTTTAGCCACAAATTACACTGCGTTCTGTCCTGGGCTTTAGGCATGCCTGCAGACTTAGGTGCTGTGCCACATGACTGCCTTATGCCCTTTTGCCAAGATTCCCCTCCTAGACTGAGGCCCTGTCCCTGAAGTCTTTCTCTACTGCTGGAAGGCTTCGAGGGTCAGTCATAGGTGAGTCCACGGGGCTGAGGGGTGGGACCTGGAGGCTCAGCTCCAGAGAGGCTGGGTGTGCTTGGGCTGTGGGGAGCAAGACCATTTTGCAGGCTGACATTATGGTGACAGGAGCTATGGGAGGCTAATGCTCAGTGAAAGGAAAGATGTGCATTCAAATACTGGCCTTACTCCTCTGGTCAGGCCATGAAGGCTTCCTGGAGGAGGAAGTATTTTAAGAGGGAGACCTAAAGAGAGAAAGAAGATGATGAAGTTGGTGGGGGAACCTCTGCTGCTATAGTAGGTGCTGTTTGTGAGAGGCCTTGAAAGCTCACCCAGCAGAGAGAGAGAGCATCGAGCAGCTTGGGTCTGAGGGGACAGTGGGACCAGGTGGTGGAATGAGTTCACACAAGGCAGTTGTGAGATTTTGGGATAAGAAGAGCAGCCCCTGGGTTTGTGCTGTAGAAAACATTGCCCATAATTAACTGGGTTTCCTTATCAGTTGGGGCCACAGGGTCCCTGGTGGATAAAGCAATGATGATGATGATGCTGCTGTTGCTGATGATGATTTTAATGATGATAATGATGTTGATGATGATGATGATATTGATGACAAGGATAATATTGATGCTGCTGATGATTTAATGATGATGTTGATGATGATGATATTGATGACAATGATAATATTGATGCTGATGATGATTTAATGATGATAATGATGTTGATGATGATGATGATGATATTGATGACAATGATAATATTGATGCTGATGATGATTTAATGATGATAATGATGTTGATGATGATGATGATGATATTGATGACAATGATAATATTGATGTTGATGATGATTTAATGATGATAATGATGATGATGATGATATTGATGACAATGATAATATTGATGTTGGTGATTATATTGATTTTGATACGATGATATTGATGTTGATGATTATATTGATTTTGATACGATGATATTGATGATGATGATGATAGTGATGATATGATGATGATGTTGATGATTATGTTAATTTTGATGGTATGGTTATGATGATGATAACAATGACGATGATGATGTTGTTGATGATGATGATGATAGGCAACAAGTATTGGGTTCTAACTATGTGCCAGGGACAGTTCTATGTATATTCCATGCATTACCTCATTTCATCTCCATAGCAGCAATCTCATACCGTTGGCACTATTTTCAATCTCTTTGTTATGGGTGAGGAAGTGGAGGTATAGAGAAGTTGGTAACATGCCTGAAGTCACACGTTCAATTAGCGTGCAAGCTGGGAATTGAACCCAGGCAGCCACCTCCAGGCTAGACCATACTGCAGTATTCCCAGGACATGGTGAGATGCCCTCCAGCAAGGAAGAAGAAAAGGGGGATGAGGAGAGGGAGAGAAAGACAAATGAGCAAATAATATTTTTTCTCAAATGTAACTTTATGGTCCCATTTCACAGATTGCTGGCCTTGAACCTCACTATCTCTTTCTCCTTTGTTTCAGTCCACATATATGTGGAGGGCTAAGGTGGCCTGAAGTCACAAGCCAGGAGATCACAGCATAACTCCTCTCAGTGTATGGCTTGCATTTATTTTGTGAAAGCAGTCAGAGTCCCCTCTCTGCCCTTGAACATGCCATTCTGTGAGAGGCTAAATTTATAGCATTGGCTGCCAGATTATTAATCTCCACCTGAAATTGCACTGGGGAATCCCCCACACTCAGGGCAACTGATGCACACAGTGGGCTGGCTCATAAAAATGCATAAAGCTCATTAACCAGAGACCTTCAGCCATGTGAGACCAGATGGCCACTTGTACCTCCTCCCTGAGCCCAGGAGCACCTGGGTTTTCCTTGATTCTCATCTCTGACAATGTCCCAAGGGCCCTCAAATGGAAAAGCATACTGCACTCCAACCTGGGTGACAGAACAAGATCCTATTTCAAAAAAGCATAACAAAAAAAAAAAATGGAAAAGTATATTGCACTTCTTCACATTTTTCCTCTCTTTCTGGAGTTTCGCTGTTTCTCAGCCTTCCCTCCCCTAAGCGCTCCACATATTCATGTCTCCTCAAGCCAGCCATATCAAATCACAATGTGTCATGGAGGCACCCAGCACGGGAATCTCATAAGTGGTGCTTGATCAACTTTAGGAGCTTGTGTTCTTGATGAGGACTTTGGAACAAACTACTGCTATTTGACTCTTTCTCAGACATAGTTGAACCTGGGCTTTAGCCTTCCACTGCCACCTCCACCCCCCATCAAGTCAATCTCTAAATCCCACTCTGCCGTGAGTCCTTTTGTCTGGGACCAGCTCCTATCTGTCATGCAATTTAAGCTGCCCTGGTTTACTGAAGTCATTCGTGGAAACAGGCTCCCCCAAGTGACTTCCTTCAGAAACCCTGTCCTGGCCCTGCCAACCTTCTCCATCCACAGTTCCCTGTGGTGTCTCTGACCACAGGCATTTGGCTTCAGTCACCTCCCAATCCGTAGATGACCTCGGCCTGCTGCAATGTCTGGGTCCCCTGTCCTGGGAAATCAAGGCAGACAAAGTGTCCATGAAGACAGGGATGAGAAACTGTCCATTTTATTTCTACCTGCCACTGGCCTCAGTGAATTCTAATAGTGTCTAGGCCATGCCCTGCATGCCTCCTTACATAGAGAGGGATCTAAGTGAGGCTGGTTAAATGCTACCAAGATTGTTTTCAGAACTGAGGTCCTGATAGCACCTGATAGGAGACACACTGGTTGAACAAACAATTAAAGAGCTTGCACTATGTATCTGACACTATGGTTAGACACCAGCTATATGGCCTCTGCTCTCCTGGAACTGACAGTTCATGAAGAGGAAAGACAAGAAAATCAATAGGTACAGTGGGTGGGGAATGAGTCAGCTGTGCAGGGCCTGAACTAAGCCATCAGAAGTACGAATGGACAGGAGAGGAAGATCAGGAGGTTTAAGAAGTAGACCCCATGACAACTGGGGCTGATCAAATGTGAGTGTGTGGGAGGAAATAACCCAAGGGAATGCCTCTGTTTCAGGTGTTGCCCGCTCAAAGGGTCATGGTTCAGTTCACGTGGTTGAGTTAGGATAAAAAAGAAGGTTTAAGGAACAAGATGATCCATTCTTTTTGTGACATTTGAGCTTAGGACATTCCACTGAAGATGCTCACTAGGCAGTTGGACAAATGAGTTTGGAGCTTAACAGAGAGATCTGGGCTGGTGATAAGAATTTGAGGGTCCTCAACAGGTGGGTGGTCACTTTTAGCTAGGAAAAGAGTATGGGGAAGTGCTGGTATTAAACTCACTGCAACCCTGTGTTCCCTCTAACTTCTTAAGAAAGCAAACTATAGCTGCTCTCCCCTCACCTTCCATCCACTTCCTTATCATCTGCAGTGTTGGTTTTACTCCCACTATTCCCTTGAAATTTCCTCACAAGGGTTGCAGATGATCTTAATGGCAAATTCTAATGGACGCCTTGCTGCTCTTAACTTACTTGAACTCTCTGTCAAGAAGAGCTGTGCCTCTATGTCCCTTCCTGAGTTTTGGTCACACTGTTCTCTTCTTACTCCTTCCAATATTTTGGCTACTTCATGGTCCATGTATTTTTTAGATGACAGAGCATTGCACGACATGAGAGGCTGTGGAGTACAAGGAAGGCACTGGACTCACACACATTGGATTCCAGAGCTGCCACTTATTCACTTGTGAATGAGTTCCATAACCTTCTGGAACCTTCAGGTCCTACGGCTATAGAATGGGAATAATAATCACACCTCACGAGTTATTGCAGTAATTAAATGGGATATGTCTAAGGCACATAGCCAATTGTCAGTCACATTGCCAACAATTTAAAAATGGTGGCTCTTATTTTTTGGTGCGTCTGCAGGCTGGGTGGCCACACCCAGCAGAAGGAAATGGTTTAAGAGAGTTAATACAGTTCCCTGACTAGCAGCAATACAGCAGCAGCAGCACTCACTGTACCTGAAAACTTATTAAAAATGCAAATTCTCAGGCCCCATTCCAGAGCCACTGAATTAGAATCTTTGGGAATGGAGCCCAGAAATCTGTTTTAACAAGTCCTGCGGGTGATTTTTAAGGTACCTGCAAAAGTCTGAAAACAGTTTTAAGATAAAGGAGAACAAAGTCCTAGAGGAGAGGCTGAGATTTAAAGGAAAGGCGGAAAGACTGGCAGTCAACAAGAGGGAGGGACATCTCTCCAAATGAGACAGAAAGGTCAGATGTGAAAAAACGAAGATAAAATTGTAGGTGGCAAAAGGAGAAGTTGAGATTCTCACATGATGATCTTGAGTTTTTTTTTCCCAATAAAAAAGTGAGGTTATGTAATGAGTGGGAGAAAAGGGATAGAAGAATAGGGGACTTGCGTAGAGAGAGGGGCAATTTGGACACAACCGATGGGTGTATAGGAGAATGAGAAAAGTATGGCCAGGCAGCAACGGGGGCACACCTGATGTTGCCAGTTGTGACTGCATAGTGACATCAATCCATGCAGTTGTGTAATTTTTTAAGTGGCACTCAGGATCCCTTATCTTATTGAGAAGTGGGATGGCTGCTCTGATTCAATATGAGGCACTGTTATGTGGCTCTGTTGGAAGAACTCAGGCACAGAAGCATGTGTGTGATGTTTAGTGTGACTGGAGTGATGGGCCAGACTGTAAATAAGAGACTAAGAGTAGTGGAAGAATAGGAAGTGAAGAGTTCCAAATATCAACATTACTTGGACTGTGGTGAGGAGCTGCTGGCCAAAGTGAAGTAGGGTTGACATTAGGACATTGAAGAGCAAGTCAGTTTCTGGATCTCAGTTGCTTGTGATGATGGCAGGATTGGGGAAGATAGTGATGCAGATGATAATCACAAAGTACAAGTCCTTATGGCTGAATGGTGTGCCCCCCAAAGGAGAGGCTCTCATAGACAGAAGAGTAAAGGCTTGGAAGTGATAGGCAGACAGCACCTCAGCTCCGCTCCTCAGACAGTACACAGAACTGAATGCAAGTAAGCAATTGCTTTCAATATTTTCCACCATCAGAATAAATCAACTACTATGGCATTAAAACATAATTCATGTTTTAAAGGCCCCTGAATATTATTTAGAATTAAAAATCTAGAAGCAACCATTCCTTATAAAGGAACCAGTTAGCAACAGCCTTCTAAACAACTGAACAGAAATATCAGAGGCCCTGTTCTGGTGTTGCCTGGAATGAAGTCACTCACTAGCCATGGGTGTGTCACCTCTCCTCCTGTACTTCAGGACTGATCTGATCAGTAAGGGACTGGATTATTTGTCCTCTATGACCCCTGCCAGCCTACTATCAGATGACTTGCTATCTGCTAGTTAGAAGTCTCATTCTGTTCTGATTTTTGATCCTTCATGTCATAATGAAAGATGCACTGTAGATTACCAGATAGTCAGGAATCTGAGTTAACCTTATCTACCTAAAACCCTGCTGCTGTGTATAATACTAACTTCTCATTACACGGAGCCATTTGATCATACTCTGTGTTATGGTATCTCCATGCTTTTGCATATGGTGCTTTCTCTGGAATACCCTCATCCCCCTTTTCATCCCGGGAAACTCTAATCATTCTTTAATCACAGTTGAAATGTCTCCTAGTCATTGAAGTCTCTCTTTAATCCTCTGGGCTGGAAGTCACTCCCTCCTCTATGTTTCCATGACACTTTGTATGTCACATCATGTCATAATTTGCGTTCATCTTTCTCAGTTTCTGCTACTACCTAGGGCCAAGAATTTGAGCTGTTCTTCTATGTATGCCTAGTGCCTGGTGCTAGCATGATGCTTGGTACATATTTGATGTTCAATGTATGCTTCCTGTATAGAAACAAGAGTAATACAACTCACAATTATACAGAACTTATAATTTTCCAAGTACTGTCACATATGTGGTATACTCATTGAGTGCTCAGTAAGGAAAGTTACCAGTTGTCCCATTAGACCCCATTAGAGATGCTGATTTGAGGACACAGATAATTTGAACAATATGCCCTAGGTTGCTCAGCTTATAAAGAGGTGGAGACGGAATGAAGCCCACATCCTGTATTTCCAAATCCATTGTATTTCTCTTCTCTTTGCCACTGCCCCCAAAATATTTGCCAGAACATAGGGTCAATGTATGAACATTTTGATAGAAGCCAGTCTGACCTATTCCTGGCCCTCTTGTTATTATCTGGAGGGTTGAGGCAGATGATGATAATGAAGTGGCCAGTGACGATGGCAAGGTTTGGCTTCCTGTCCTTTGTGGGCTTCCCAAAGAATGAGGACCACAGCCTGCTTCTTTTGAAGCCCAAATCCAGTTCCACTCCAGTCCTGGCCACTTGGCATTTATCGTCTTCATTCTCTTTTTAGGGTTGGGAGTAACCTGCACTGGTTTCACATTGGTATGACTGAGTATCTCTTCTTTACAGTCCTGCTTTAAGCAAATTCAAAATATAAAAATCTGGATTAAAAACCTAGGAGAATCTGTAGATACTGCCCCTTCAGAGAGGTGGAGTGTAATTCCCCCACCTTAAATGTGGGCACTTTGTGACTTTCTTCTGAAGAGTAAAGTATGGAAAGGAGAAAAAAAGAAACTTTGCAATAGAAAAATCTGACAGATATGATCTCCACCAGGAGATCAAGGTTGACATCATCAGTGATCAGTCATATTCTAGCCTGTACCCTTGATATGATGTGATGAAAATGGCCCCTTCCCTCTGTGGTCTTCCTCCCCCAAATGCATAACTTCAGTCTAATCATGGGAAAAACTTCAGACAAGCCTGTGTTGAGGGACATTCTACAAAATACTTGACCAGTACACCTCAAAACTAACAAAGTCACCACCACCAAGAAAAGTCTGAGAAACTATCACAGCTTCGAGGAGTCTAAGGGGACATGACAACTAAATATAAGGTGTTTTCTTGGAGGGGACCTTGGAACAGGAAATGGATATTAGGTAAAAACTAATATAAATGGTACATTATTAAATTTAAGTAATATTAGATTTTATGTTATATTTATAAGAAAATATGGATAAAGTATGAACTTTAATAATACTGTACAATATCGGTTCATTGGTTGTGAAAAATGTACTTAACTAATGTAATAGGGGAAACTGGGTGCAGGGTATATGGGAACTCCTTTGAAGCTTTTCTGTAAGTCTAAAACTATTCTAAATTAAAAATTTATTTAATAAAAGAAAGAAAATAGAGGAAGGAAATACCATATCTTATTAATGGAAATTCAAAATGGTACACCCACTTTGGGAAATTGTCTGGCAGTTTCTTATAAAGTCAAACATATACTTACCCTATGACTTGGTAATTCCATTTCTTGGTAATTATCCAAGGGAAATGAAAACCTATGTTCACACCAAAAACAGTGCACAGCCACTTTTACAATGGCTTTATTCATAATTGCCAAAAACTGGAAACAATTCAAACATCCCTCAGATAGTGAAAGGATAAATGAACTGTGGTACATCCACACAGTGGAATATTATTCAGCAATAAAAACGAACAAACTACCAAGACATGCAACCACATGGACAACATGAATTTCAAATGCACTATGCTAAGTCAGAGAAGCCAGACTCAACAGCCTGCATACTCTATGAATCCACTTATATGACATTTTGGAAAAGATAAAACCAGAGGGGCATAAAACAGATCTTGTCAGGTTCTGGGGATTGGGGGAGGTGATAGACTACAAAGGGACATGGGAGAATAATGGGAAGTGATGGTATTGTTCTATGTCTTGATTGTGGTCGTGGTTATATGACTATATATTTATCAAAACTTACAGAAGTAAACACTAATGAAGGTGAAATTTACTGTGTGTAAATTATATCTTAATTAAAAATGAAGCCAGCTGTGGTGTCCTATGCCTGTAATTTCAGCTAATCTGGAGGCTGAGGCAGGAGGATCACTTGAGCCCAGGAGTTGGAGGTTGCAGTGAGCTATGATTGTGCAATTGCACTCCAGCCTGGGTGGCAGAGTGAGACTTTGTCTCTAAAAAAAGAAAAAGAGAAAAAAAAAAGAAAAGAAGAAAACAACTCAAGGATGATTGCCACTTTACAAAATTATTCTTCAAGGGATTTGTTTAAATAGCACTCTCACCTATTGCCTTTTCAGTGATTTCATTTCCAAATGTTTAGCTTGCCAAAAGGGCACTTATGTGGTTTTATTACTGTGCTACTTGCTGTCTGGAGGCTCAGAATGGGAGCCATCATCAAGGGACATAGACACAAAGAGCTGAGACAAAGAAGCTAGCACAGAGGACAGCTAGGCTCCTGTCTTAACAACGATTGCATTAGCTAAGTGCTTTATAGTCACCTGCTTTTGATATAATCATGAAGCTGGTTAGACCTTACTTTTATGAGCCTTCCAGTTTACAAAGCTCTCTCATATGCATGCACTCATGTGATCCCACAATACCTGGGCCACTTAGGTGGGACAAGTGTTATTTCCATTTTAAAAGGAGAGAGAGGTGCTAAGAGTTCTCATACCTCTGTGTGCCTGCACTCTCTTGACCTGCTTCATAGGTTGGGTAATTTTAAATGCATGGCAATTTGGTGTGATAGATCTAACTATATTTTGCAGATAGGGCACATAAATTATTTTACAGATAAGGAAGCTGATGATCTGGGAATTTCCCAAGGTCACTCACCTAAGAAGTACCAGAGCCAAGAGTTCAGAACTTGGATGTCCTGGTTCCAAGCCTACTTCTCTTTGTACTGTCTTATATGCTGGCTATAGGATTTTTAAGCAGAGTATATTTAAATTAAGGATATTTTGCTGCAAGTCTTCGTATTGTTAATGTATCCGTGAATGGAGAGTTTTAATTGGCTTCCATTATTAGAGCCAGATTATTATAAGTAAAGACTACTTTACTCACTGTCATCTTTACTAGTGACTTTGGCAGCTTGGAAGACAGTGGTGCAATCTTTGTGTTTCTCTTGGCTTCTTATGTTGGGAGTGTCTGAATGCATGAGCACTGTGTGTGTGTTGGGAGCTGTGACTTCCAGAAAAAAGAGATCACCAATGTAAACATGAGAAGGGGTGATTTTTCAACATCCACTAGAATGTTATATCAAAATGAGCATTTTTTCTTTAAGTTGCTTTGAGAGGACATTTAATTTGGTTGCTTTTTAGTTATGTCTCATTTTTATGCAAAATAGTAATGCCACCTTCCTAATCTGGTTTAGCTTAGAAGTGCTTTTCCTTGTTTCCTTGGTGGTCTCTGAGCTCCTCCTGGGCAGAGCTGAACCTTCTCCTCAGCGTGTCCTCAGTATCTAGCACAGAGCCTGGCCCATTGGCACTGTTCAGACTGTGTCTGTTGAGTGGGACTGAACCAAGACTCCAGGGGGACTCAGGAAAAGTCCCTCCCTGGCCCCTCAAATTTCTCTTCAGAATCCCTATTGAGTGTTATCATTCGTCAGCCCATCCTCAGTTTTCCTTGTCAACAGCTTAAAGAAAAATCTTTTAAAAATACCCTTAGGTGGCTGGGTGCAGTGGCTCACACCTGTAATCCCATCATTTTGGGAGGCCAAGGCAGGCGGATCAGATCACGAGGTCAGGAGATCGAGACCATCCTGGCTAATATGGTGAAATCCCGTCTTTACTAAAAAAATACACACACACACACACACACACACACATGCACACATGCACAAACTTAGCTGGGGGCATCGTGGCATGTGCCTGTAGTCCCAGCTAGTCGGGAGGCTGAGACAGGAGAATCACTCGAACCTGGGAGGTGGAGGTTGCAGTGAGCCAAGATCATACCACTGCACTCTAGCCTGGGCAACAGAGTGAGACTCCATCCCCACCCCCCAAAAAAATACCCTTAAGGAAAACTTTAGTGTGTGAGTGAAACTAAGAATTAATACTGAAGGAAAATGAAAGAAGCTCTACTCCCTCTTGATGTTTGGCCTTATCTGGAAGAATATGAATGAGTCTTGTTCTAATCCCATCAGAAATAGGTTCATATGTTCTTATTTCTTCAGGATGGCCACAAGATGTAGTTACCTTGTTCTCATTGTGTGATGGAAAGCCTGTTGGGCTAAGAGTCTAGCAACCGGATTCTATCACTAAGTCTGTGCAAACCTGAATCTATTGCTTGTTTACATAATCTGTAAATGCAAGTGCTAATTACCAAGTGAATTCAGCTATAACACTCATTTCTACCACAATTTAGTAAGCCAACTCGACCCATCGCTCAGTTCCAGGCATGCACTGAGAATTTTCCTCTTCTCAGCTCCCTTCAGGCTCGCTCCCAAGATAACCCTCACTCCCAAACTGACCAGGGATTCTTAAACCTTTCGGTGTGTGGGTGTCATCTCTGTTTCCTTAGCCTGTGAGCTCCCCAGGAGTAGTGATCATGTCAATTTTCTTCTGTCTCCCACTGTGCGTGGCACCAAGATCAATGCACAGTGGGCCCCAGAGGGATTTTTAGAAAGAAATCTTTTAGTATAAGAATGTCCTTCACTTACAGTACAAGCTTTCAAAGGCTAGATGGCACTGTTGCTAGCACCAAATCAGGTGTGTTCTGAGTATCAGTGGTGAGGAGGGGAGAGGAGAGAGAGCAGGGGCCCTGGAGCGCTCACCGCTGAGCCCCATTCAGACACCTTGCAGAAGTACTCCTGGATTCTTGCCTTACTGGCAGGGAGTGCTCTGCCATATTCTCGGCACCTTCCCAAACACGGCTTCAGATGGTCTTCCCAGCTACCTTGTGTAGTAGGCAGGACAGCTGTATCAATTCTAATTTTATAGAACTGCAGCTCAGAGAAATCAAGTGCCTGAACTAAATTTATACAGCAGAGCTGTTTAATTAGCAGAGCTGTTTACCATTCATAGCTGTTGGCAGCCCCTCCCCTGTCCCCCACCAAATGACGGTCCTCAGAGCACGCTGAAGGAGGACTCTGGTTACTGATAACGATTGTCGCAGGATAATGGCCTGGGTGAACTGGACCCAGTCCGAGGGGAAAAGGGTAGGATTCTCAGCCAAGTTGATTGAATGGATCAGCTTAACCTGTGCCTCAAAATGTTTGGATTTGTGACGAGGGGGAGCACATAATACTACATGTAGCCTCTTTGAGGAACAAAATTGTGGGTAATTTGCACAACGATTAGGCTCTGAGATCAGTGGTTGGTATTTTATTTAGCAGATAATCTATTTATAGGATGCTGCCCTGTGGTTGGGTCGTATCTGTCATTTGTCCACTGCTTTACTATATTCACATGGTTCTCACTCAAACAAAACAAAGAAAACTGTCCTGTGTAGTAGGCAGGGCAGGTATCACTACCGTGCCCAATTTACAGATGAAAAAATAAATGTCAGAAATGTTAATAAGAGACATATCTAGGATCACACAGCTGATAAGTGGTTGAACTAGAAATTCAGCCCCGTGTGAGGCTGAAATCAAATCTTGTTTTTTCACTGTAGTTTTTCCAGGCTATGCCAACTTATCTAGAAATTACAAAATTAGAAGGGCAGTTGTTGATATGGAGAGTAAGGCATCAGTGACTAGAAATATATCTATATAGAGTGATAATGATCAATCGCATGCAAATATATGCAAATGAGAGCAAATTAATATCTGTTATTTGTGCCTCCTGATTGTCTCTACTCTCCCGTTTCTCCCCAGGATGATGAAGATAAACTGACCTGGAAGGATCGTTTCCCAGGTTACCTGATGAACTTTGCCTCCATCTTATTCATGGTAATTTCCTTGAGGGACCACTTGCCTGTGACTGCATGCATGTAGATGCTGTTATGTGACTACTGTGGGTATTATATTCTGCTATGGAAATAATGAGAGGCTGGTAAAGGGGAAGCCACAGTCCTGTGTAGAGGGGCAGGATCTTGTCTGATAGTGAGGCCATTGACCACCCATGCTAGAATTTGGAACTTCCAGGGAGTGGGTTGCGAGATGGTGCTTCTGCATGGAGACAGACCAAAAACTTGGAGAAGGAATCAGGTAAGATGGCTGCAATTGCAGCAGCCTGTTTGGGCTGTGGGGTGGCCCTCTCTGACGTTTGTGGATAGACCAGGGTCTGGAAGCCACAGGAGATAGCCAGCTTGGGCTCGGTAAGTGTGATCCTTCCGCTTTCCTGTAGTTGCTGGGTTTATTTCCTTGCGCTTTACCTTAGAGTTTGGTACAGCCCTTCTGCAAGACCCAGACGGTCTCAGCTGCGTCAGGGAAAGCTCAGGGAAAACCCTGTGATTCGTATTTGACTTAGATCAATAAAGTGGTAGCAGTTCATTCTTCGTTGCCAGCATGGGCAAGACAGCAGTATCTGAAGCTAGAGGACCTTGGGGAAGGCAAAAATCAGAGGACTAAGTTAGGGTTACTAATACCCCATATCTCTTTATGGAAATCTTCCTTACAGTATTCAAGATTGGAGGTTCTGCTTTACAAAGGAGTGTGTGTACTCACAGCTCAGAGCATTTCTAAGTAGGGCTACACATTAGTTGCAGGGTGGAAGAGGGATCACTTATTCCAAAAATTGGTCTGGAAATTGTTGTAACTCTGACTCTGGCCTGAGGTTACCACTACCATTATTTTTGCCATCGTGACCGTTAACTACAGGAATTGTGTTTTCGTCTCAGAAATTTAAAAGGTGAAGGAAACTTAGATATCACCAATTCAACTCCTCATTTTTCAGATGAAGTACAGAGTTGATGGGTGCCTTGCCAAAGTTTAGAAGTCTAAATTTGTTTTCTTCTCATTGCTTAACAAGTGCAAGCCATGTGGAATTTATTCAAGAGGATGTGGTGAGTTGCCGTGTGTTAAGCTGCAATGATAGAAAGTTTAATTTAGCACTTCAAAGCCCCCCGCAATATGCATATTATTGTTAAAGAGTTTATTCATTCATTCAATATTTAATGAGTCAAACGATGTGCTTGACACCATGCTTAGACACTGGGGATACAGCAGAAAACAAAACAAAATAATCCCTCTCTTAAAAAATTTGCAGACAATAAATGAGTAAATAAATAATAAAAAATAGGTAAAAATAAACTTCTATCTCCAGTAGTAGTAGGTTAGGATATTTGTAACATCCCATTTTGCTAAAATTTATTTTAAAAAATTGGATAAATGTATTTTTCAATCTTCTCAAAGCCTCGAAGGGCTGACAGGATAGGAAGTAATACCAGGCTAAAATCTAAAGGAAAATGGGAACCAAAGAAACAAATACCTGGGCACTAGAGCTGCTTTTACCTTGAGAACATTTTCCCATCTCGGCAAACCTAGGCTTTGGTTTTGGTGGTTTTATGGGAGCAGGGAGGATAGAAATTAGGGTTGATGGATGGCCCCAAATGGGGATTGTAACAGGATGTCCTCACCAAATTAAATCAGAACTCCAAAGGGCTATGTTCAGAGTAAAGATGAAACTGAACTATACACACCCTTTCCCACTTATGAGACTGCAGAAAAAACTTGTTATGGATCTAAGCAGAAAAGGGAGAAAAGGGGAAACAAAATCCTGTGCTTAAGAAGTGGCCAGGGGCAATCCCTACTGTGGCTTTCTATCCTGGGTCACCACATAAGAGGATCAGGGAACCTCAGGTTGTGAACTTAACCTAACACTAGTAGGGCTCCCAGGTGCTCAGCAGAAGCAAATACAACCTCTCTCTGTAGGGAAGCATATTTATGCCAGGCCTCAAAAAATCACCCAAAAGAATTTTTCAAGGGCAATAAAGAGAACACAGTCAAAAACAACTAATTACTCAAGAAGTTGAAGCACCATATGAAAGAACCAGTGGGAACAGACAGCAAAGACCAGAGATATTGAAAATATCAGTCACAGGTTAAAACAGCAACCTTAAAAATATACACAAAGAATAAGAAACTATTTTGAAAATTATCTAGCAGATAATGAAAACTAACCAATAAACCTCTATCTGCTAGAAATAAATATATATAGAAATTAACAAAAATATTATTGTTATATATATGATTTTTATATGCCATGTATATATGTGTATATATATGTGTACACACACACACACACACATTCACACACACACGACCATGGATAGATTTGTTTTTTCTTGAGACGGAGTCTGATTCTGTCACCCAGGCTGGAGTGCAGTGGTACAATCTTGGCTCACTGCAACCTCCGCCCCCCGGGTTCAAGCGATTCTCCTGCCTCAACCATGGATAGACTTAACAACAAATTAGACAAAGCTGAAGAGAGAATTTGTAAACTGCAATACAGGCTGGAATAAATTATCCGTAATACAGCATAGCGATAAAAAAGATTGGCAATATGGAAAACAGGTTGAAAGAGAACAGGTAATGAGGGAGATATAAGGACTGGTGGTTTCCTAATTTGATGCAGTACACCAATCCATAGATTGAAGAATCCTAGTGAAACCCAGGCAGAAAAAGTAAAAATAAATCTGCATCTAGATGCATCATAGTGAAATTATAGAGTATATAAGGCACAAGAAAAGTCTCAAAAGCAGCCTTAAATCCAAAGGCAAATTACCTTCAATGGAAAGACACCTGGACTTACAACTGATATTTTATAGCACATTGGAAGTCAGAATACAATGAAATGCCCTCTTCACGTGCTGAAAACAAAACAATTTCTAACTAAGAATTCTATGCCCAAGAAAAATATCATGTAGTGATAAGGATAAAATAAAGATATTTATAGACAAATAGAAACTGAGAGTTTGCTATCAACCGAATCTCTCATTAAAAGAAATTCTAAGAATGTACCTTGGATGTGATCCCATATGGAAGACCATGGTTTTAGAAAGGAATGAAGAACTTTTAAAGTGGTAAATATGTGAGAAAACCTATATGAACCTTGACTGTGAAAATAATAATGCCAATTCTCATGAGGTTAAAAAAGATAGAACTAAAATATATGCAACAATACTATGTAAGTTGGGTGGACAATAAATAGAACAATAATGTTCTAAGGTCTTTAGATTGTCCAGTCGATAAACTGATTTTAAGATTTATGTGGAAGCACAAAGGCTAAGAATAGTCAAGAAACTCTTGAAGGATGGATATGTTACTCTAATTATAAAACTACAATGAGTAAGATAATGTTACATTCTTGTGAGAAGAGATGATGAGACCAATGGAACAAAATAGAAAACCAAGAACCAGATTAATGCAAGTGGCACTGCATATAAGTGGGGAAAAGAATGAACTTCTCAGTAAGTGCTTCTGGGACAGCTGGGTGTCCAAACAGAAGAAAATAAAACTGGGCCTTGTTCACACCACTCAAAAACATCAATTTTAGGTGTATTTTAAAGAGGGACTGTGAAAGGCAAAACAATCGAGTTTTTAAATATATAAGAAAAAAATATTTTCATGACCTTGGGGTAGGGAAGAATTTCTTGAGCAAGATACAAAAAGCACAACCATAATAAAATGCTGGTAAATTTGACTATATTAGAATTAAGAATTTAAGTTCATAAAATACCTAATAAACTCTGTGAGAAGACAAATTATCAGAATGGGATAATATATTTGCAACAACTATAACTCTCAAAGAATTTTTCTTAACATATATAAAGAATTAAAAAACATGGAAAACAGTAATTCAGTACAAAATAGGAAAAAGATGAATATGTACTTCACAAAAGAGGGAATCCAAATGGCCAATGAGCCTATAAAATGGTACCCAATCTCATTAGTAATCCTGGAAATTCTAATTTAAACCACAATGAGATACCATATATGCCCAAAAGTCTGTCAGTAACAAGTGTTGGAAAAGATATAGATCAAAAGAGCATCTTAAACTCTACTATAGGGAGTATAAGTTGAAAAAACAAAAACACTTTGGATATAGTTTGGCATTATCTAGTGAAACTGAAAGTACATATATCCTGGGGCCCAGAAATTCTACTCCTGGATATCTGTCTTAGAAAAACTTGTGTACATGAGCAGCAAAATACGTGTACAAGAACGTCTATGGAAGCCCTGCTTATAATAACTCAACCTGGAAACAGTCCAAATGCCTGTCACCACCAGAATGGATACATAAATTGAGGCATATTCATACAATTAAATACTACACAGTCATGAAAATGAGCAAACTAATAGCTATGTATAACATCAAGGGTGAAAAAAACAAGATGAAAGAATATATACAGTTTGATTCTACTCATAGAGAGTTCAGAGACAATACTCAACTATATTGTTTAAGGATGCATACCTCTGTGTTAAAACTATCAAATGAGCAAGAGAATGATTATCATAAAATTCTGCACAGTGGTTGGATCCAAAGGAGCAGCAGGGATGGGAGATCATGTATGTGTACGGGGGAGAAGGGAATTCAGAGCTGCTGGCAGTGCTGGTCTGGGCTATATTGGTGTTTGTTTTATTCATTGTGTGTGTGTGTGTGTGTGTGTGTAAAATGGATTTTTCTGCATGTTCACAATAAAATTTAAAAAGACACAAAATACATATATTAAATAGGTTGGTCAGGTAAGTTCTCATTAAGATGACATTTTATCAAGGATCTGGAGGAGGTGGAGGAGCCAGCCACATGGATATTCTAGGGGAAACATTCTGGGCAGAGGAAACAGCAAGAGAAAAAGCCCAAGGGGAGCAATGCCTGGCATCAGGAGGGACAGCAGGAAAGAGCCACAGTGTGGCTGGAGCTGAGCACTCTGCAGCGGGGAGTGCACAGGGAGACACAGTGAGAGAAGTAACGAGGAGCCCTGTAGGTAGGGCCCTGGAGACCACAGTAAGGACATGGGCTAATTCTATGTGAGATGAGAACACCTAATAGGAGGTCTTGCAAGGAGTGACATGACCTGACATACATTTCAAAAGGATCATTCTGGCTGCTGGGGTGAGAAAATGCTGGTAGAAAGGCAAGGGTGGGAAGAGGGACATCAAGTAGGAATCTGTTGTGATAATGCAAGAAGTGCGGTGGCCTGGGCAGGGTGAGATTGAAGAGTGTTCAGATGCTAGTTCTATTTTGAAGGTGGACTGAAAGAATTTGATCATGTGGTACAAAACTGAAAAGAAATCAAGAATGACTCTAAGGCTTTTATCCTGAGCAGCCCAAAATCTGCCAGTTATTCCTTAACTCAGTTGCCCTCCTGATGCATATGAGTCTGGAGTTCAGGGAAGACGTCCAGGCTGGAGACCTAATCACTATAGAAGGCATTTAAAGCTATAAGATTGCATGAGATCACCAAGAGAATGAGAGTAGATAGAGAAAATTTCCAAGGACCAAGTCCCGGGACACTGCTATGCTGAAGTTTGGGAGCATGAGGAGGAGACAGAAAAGAGAATTGAAAAGGGATAGGGGAGAATAGAGAGTCCCAGAAGTCAAGAAAGCATTTCAAAGGGGCAGGACAATCAATTGTATTAGATGCCACTGATAAGTCAGGCAAGGAGAGGACTGAAACTAGGAGCTTGTCTGCTGCCTGAGAGAAAAATCTGTGTCATCATCAATGTCATCATCATCATCATCAACAACAAATAGATCACTGGACCACCATTCAACAAATACTAAAAACTGGGTCAATGGTGGGTCATCTTGCCAAAGTTCTAAGTTTTTTCTTTTTTTAAAATTCCATTGATACCTCCTAAAGCTAGACTGGAAAGTGGGAATATTTTTATTGTTCACAAATAATACATAATTATCTCTCCTTTGTAAAATCTTCCCTTTCCCAGCCCCACCCAACTCCAAATCTTGATATAAATGCAAGATTCTGTATCAGAACCAATAACTAATTGAGAATCTCACTATGCCTGGGGTCCCACAACTGCCACCAGCAAGTTCCGGGAACTGAACCATGTGGGCAGGAGCTGGGAGCAGAGTGGTGGGAATGGGGAGAGCCCCCTTTACACATCACCCTTCACAGTCAGGTGCTCAAGCTCGTCCAGGCTTAAGCTTCCAGACCAGGGAGAATTATTAATAGCACTTCTTCTTTACTCTCAAAAGTATTCCAGATTGGACAATACATTATATTGTTTCCTGCCTATTTGATTTTTTAAAATCCTTATTTGGCACTAACTTGTCCCCGTTTCTTTTTCCCACTTAAAAAAAAGCCCAGTTTTCTTTATTTTTTAATTTTTAATTTTTTGTTATGCATTAAGTTCTAGGGTACATGTGCACAATGTGCAGGTTTGCTACCTAGGTATACATGTGCCATGTTGCTTTGCTGCACCCATTAACTTGTCATTTACATTAGGTATTTCTCCTAATGCTATCCCTCCCCCTGCCCCCCACCCCCTGACAGGCCCCAATGTGTGATGTTCCTCGCCCTGTGTCCAAGTGTTCTCATTGTTCAGTTCCAACCTATGAGTGAGAACATGTGGTGTTTGGTTTTCTGCCCTTGTGATAGTTTGCTCAGAATGATGGTTTCCAGCTGCATCCGTGTCCCTGCAAAGAACATGAACTCATCCATTTTTATGGCTGCATAGTATTCCATGGTGTATATGTGCCACATTTTCTTAATCCAGTCTATCACTGATGGACATTTGGGTTGGTTCCAAGTCTTTGCTGTTGTGAATAGTGCTGCAATAAACATATGTGTGCATGTGTCTTTATAGTAGATTGATTTATAATCCTTTGGGTATGTACCCAGTAGTGGGATCACTAGGTCAAATGGTATTTCTAGTTCTAGATCCTTGAGGAATCGCCACACTGTCTTCCACAATCGTTGAACTAGTTCACGCTCCCACCAACAGTGTAAAAGTGTTCCTATTTCTCCGCATCCTCTCCAGCATCTGTTGTTTCCTGACTTTTAATGATTGCCATTCTAACTGGTGTGGGATGGTATCTCATTGTGGTTTTGATTTGCATTTCTCTGATGACCAGTGATGATGAGCATTTTTTCATGTGTCTGTTGGCTGCATAAATGTCTTCTTTTGAGAAGTGTCTGTTCATATCCTTTGCACCCTTTTTGATGGGGTTGTTTTTTTCTTGTAAATTTGTTTAAGTTCTTTGTAGATTCAGGATATTAGCCCTTTGTCAGATGGGCAGATTGCAAAAATTTCCTCCCATTCTGTAGGTTGCCTGTTCACTCTGATGTTTTCTAAAGAAAAAGGACTTAGCATTACCCTAGAACAAGGTGTGGAGCATGAGATGAAGGGGTCAGGGTGGTGCTTAGAAGGAAGTAACTTTCTGTGATAAAGTTCGGGTAAGCCAAAGACACCTACCGTATCTCTCATCTCATTCCTTTCTTCACCCCTGTGCTTGAACCTAGGCAGAAGATGCCAGGACCATGGGCATTAGGAAGGTTTCAGGCATGCCAATCTACCGAGTCAGTTGGGAATGCTTTTCATGGGGTGATGAGAGCAAAGAAATGCCCCAGTGCTATTTCATCTGCCTCCTTGTGTTAGAAACCAGCATGGACAAAGACGAATTTCCTCTCCGCCAATCCTGTGTGTTCAGCTAAAGTTTCCTTTTTGAATGGTCCCTCCTGTTTTCTTCTTGTAAGGGGGGAATTGTCGGAGGCGATGTCCCTCCTCTAGAGCTAGGTGCCTGAGCTTTCCTCCTGTGCCCCAGATACTCATTTTCTTACACTTGGATATTGGGAGTCCACCATCAGAAATCCTCCTCCACAGCCTGGACTCTCATCATAGCCCCTTCACTGATCTCCCTATTTGCACACTGCCCCTGACAGATCATCAGCATGCTAACTTTTAAAACCTAAACCAACTCACATCACTCCTCTGCTCAGAACTCTCTGATGGCTTCCCATCTCCTGAGGTGTGGAAGCCCACATCCTCACACTACAGGGCCCCCTCCTGGCTGCCTGCCCATCTCCCACTCCACCTGTCCCCTTGCTCACTCAGTGTCAGCCACTGCCTGCCTGAAACACCCTTCCCTTAAATCCTTCCTTTAGGTATTTGGTAAAAGGTCACTTTCTCAGCTGTCTCTTTCCCAACCACCCTATTTTAAATTGCAACCGATCCCTATACCCTGTTTGCCTTCTTTGTCTCCACGGTATTTCTCGTGCTGAAGGTACTACTTATTTTACCTATTTATTAGTTTATTGTCTATGTTTTCCCACTAGAAGATCCACTCTGTGAGGGTAGTGCTTTCTGTTTCCTTTTTCCACTGGAACCTAGAACTGAGACTGGCACAAGGAGGAGCTTAAGACACATTTTATGAATGACTGAATGGGTAAATAAACTAGGTGGAGGTCATAGGCAGCGTACTATGTCGATGATGAAGTTGCTAGTGTGTGCGCGTGCCTGTATTTTTATACTTGAGCTACTATCGTGTGCCATGCTGGGGATCAGCAGAGGTTACTTGTGCCTTGTGCATTGCTACTTGCCCCTCTTCCCTTTTCTGGAAAGTTCTTCCTTCTTATTCTTTCCTCTAAGTCTTTCCCATAGGAAACTGTCCCAAAACTTTTTTCTGTGGAGTTTTCTCTGACTAATCCCCCTGCTCTCTGCTAAGAGCATACCAGAAGCTCGTGAACGGAGGCCTGTGACTCCATCCAGCTGCTACTAGGATCATCTTTGTTGTATGTGTGCAATGATTTTCTCAACTTTGCTTCAGAATGCAAGTTCCGGAGGGTGGCGAAGAGGTCTTCTCTCTTACCTGTCTCTCTCTTGGCGTCAAGTAGGACTCTGGACTCTGTAGCCTGGCTTATGTTGCATTTTGTTTATGTCCCAGAAGTAAAGTTATGATATTAAAACACCAAAAGCAACAGGAACCATAATAAAATGACCATGTGCCAGGCAGCCAGATCCCCTAGAGCTGCTGACCAGCGAATCTTTACCAAACCAGTTCTACGGGAGGCGCTGCTGTGAAGTGGCTTAAGGCACAGAATGTGGTAAAAGACAAACCTCCTTTTGACCTAGTTGGAAGAGATTGACCACAAACATGGAATATACCCAGTGCAGTGGGTCGCACAATAAGCGGCCAGAAAATACGTATTGAACTTAATAAAGAAAATCAATAATGTGGGCCGGCCATGGTGGCTCACGCCTGTAATCCCAGCACTTTGGGAGGCCGAGGTGGGCAGATCGTGAGGTCAGGAGATCGAGACCATCCTGGCTAACATGATGAAACCCTGTCTCTACTAAAAATACAAAAAATTAGCCAGGAGTGGTGGCAGGTGCCTGTAGCCCCAGCTACTTGGGAGGCTGAAGCAGGAGAATGGCGTGAACCCAGGAGGCGGAGCTTGCAGTGAGCCCAGATCGCACCACTGCACTCCAACCTGGGTGACGGAGTGAGACTCCGTCTCAAAAAAAAAAAAAAAAGGAAAAGAAACAGTGCTAGTGAAGATATGCATCGAATAAAGACATCTAGAAGGCACAAATGGTTCAGCTGGTATTGATGATGTTATCACCATTAACATCTCAGCTCTACCGTATACCCTCCAGACCTTGGATCAATCACATTGTTGCCTCTTGGGCTTCAGTTTCCTTATGTATGAGACTAAAGACTGTACATAGATGATTCCTAAATGCTAAGATTTTAAAATTTCTACCATGATCCAGAAGAGTAGCATTGTAGTCCACACCTTGTGGACTTCAGCAAATTGCATCACTTTTCCATGCCCGTTTCTTCATCTCCAAAATGGTCACGTGACTGGGTTGGTACTCTGCAAGTTCCTGCAGCTCGAAAGCTCTGTGAATCTTGAGATGCTCTGGGAAACACCAAACGAGAGGTTCAGAGCTTGATTTCTATAGTGGGATAGGAAATTAAGACCAGAGAAGGTAAACCTGCAAAGAACCAGAGAGCTGAAGTGAGGTGTGCCAGGGGTGGGGCTAGGGAGGAAAGGAGGGTGGGAAAGAAGGCTTTTCTAGATAAGGAGAACAGTGCTCCTTGAATTTGAAAAAGAATTCTGTTACAATGCAGGTTCCAGGTCAGTAGGTCTGGAGTTGTGCTTGAGATTCCGCATTTCAATCAAGCTTCCAGCTGATGCAGCTGGTCCTTGGACCACATTTTTGAGTAGCAAAGAGTGTTCTTCCTTCTCTAGTTTAGCAGCTGGGCCTCTTAGAGAAGAACAGAAGCTGATCTCCCCACGTCTTCCTTCATGTCCCTCCCACAAGACCCTAAACAAAGGATGTTTTTGCCATTGTTTTTTTTCCCCTAGTCCGTCTCCCAATCCCAACCCCAAATACACACACACGTACACACACACACACACACACATTCACTCACTCCTCAATACCCTCACCTCCCCAGCCTCATCAATACTTTCATCACTGGTCTTCACTGCAAAAGTGATTTTTGGGGAAAAGAATCTCACACCACATTTTCTAGGCCCTTACTATCTGGCAGTGACAATCCCAGAGAAATGGGAAGTGAAAATGTCTACATTGTTGGAGAGGGGTGATGTCATGTCCAGGTTTTCCCAGTTACACGATAGTAGTCCCTACTTAGTCCTGGAGGCTGGTGTTTCTGCCGCTCCCCACCCCCACCCTGCAGCAGAAGAGGGGCCTCACACAGAGTGTTTTTCCCATCTAACCTCTCCTCTCCCCACACCCACACACACCCAAACACACACAGCCTTCCTCTACCCAGAGAACGCCACCTTTCTCCCTTCCTTACCAAGGGCTTCTTTTTCACAACACGGCCCATAGGGCAATTACTGGTATTTTTTGAAGCCTACCAGGATAAAGAGCTGAGTCTGCCACCAGCACACCCCAGGTACCCCCCAGAGGTCTGAAAACATCCATACCTGGACACATCTGCCACCCATTAGCAAGCCACTGGAGTGTCATTCACACTGCTTGCAAAGCACTGCCCAAGCCAGAGGCCCCCACTTCCCCTCCCCTTTCCTCCTGTGCCTCTCCTCCCCTCCTCTTACCCCCTCCTTCCTGCCTCCCTCCCTGTGCATGCGTGTGTGTGTGTGTGTGTGTGTGTGTGTGTGTGTGTGTGTGTGTAGTCCAGCACAGCTTATTTTTTCAGGGAGCCTTCCACCTGCTGTTTTCTCTCCCTACGTTTTCTATTTAGTCCTTCATAGCCAGTGCCCATTCTCTGTCCTGCGGAGGAAATAGGACCTGAACAGCTTCCTTTACAGAAAGAGTCCTAAGAAGGAAGTCTTCTTTCTTGAAGAAGTCTTGACTTGACTGAAGCAAATTAGAATTTGCTCTGAGTGGGGCATGCACCTAGCAGTTGTCTCTCCTTCTTCTATCCCCTCTAAGAGGCTTTACTCAGGGCACTTGCTTCTCATAGCATCCTTGTGCTTCCTGGAAATGATCCTTCCTTGGTTGCGATGGGGACAGGAGGGGACGTGGGGACAGAAGAAGGAAGAGGGGCTGTTGGGCAGATCTAGGTCTAAGAGAGTCCCTTCTTATTCTTAGGTTCTAGAGAGAGGAAATGAGGGGAACCCTTAGAGGTCACGTGGCTATAACCCTCCTTTTGGAGCACAGCAGCTAGACATTTCTCTACCAAATGAGGAATCTGAGTCCTCCATTTCAAGTCACCTAGTAGAGAAATCTTACAGTGATATTTTGTTCATCTTGAGGACTGAGATTCCTAAAATCTCACTCCTGATGTATTCCCTCTTTTCTCCTTTGAGCAACCTTCTTGCCTCTACTTATCAAGCTGTAACTCATCCCTTCTCAGCTCAGGTACCTTCAATGGCTTTCTATTTCTTCTCATGAAAACTCCATTTTAAATCCCACTGTCTCCACAAACTATTCCCTGACCACTCAAATTTACTTTCTCCCGTGTACTTGGAGTTCCTTCAGCAATTATACTCCTCATTTAGCACTTAATACCTTCTTGGGCATTATTTACTATGGTTTATTTAAAAGGAGTTCATGTTATCTCTTTAGAAGATCAAAAGCTCCCTAATGAAAGAAATTGCGTCATGTGTGTTGAACACTCCACAGGGTCCAGCATGTTCATCCTTATTGTGTGTGTGTGTGTGTGTGTGTGTGTGTGATAAATCATTTGGAATCTGACAAAAATTAAGACATTCTCCCCTGGAAAATGCACCTCCACTCAGAACTCTGCCTAAAAATTTGTTACCCACCCAAATATTCCAGACTAATAATATCTGGAATCCCTTGTTACCCAACAAAAGATTCCAGATTAATAATATCTGATAACAGCAAATGGTACTGTTGGCAGAGCAAATAGTAGGTGCTCGGTAATTGCCGGCTGATGTGTACTTCTCTCTGTTTTCCCAAACAGATTGCCCTGACATTCTCAATCGTCTTTGGGGTGATAGTGTATCGAATAACAACTGCAGCCGCTCTGTCTCTCAATAAGGCTACACGCTCCAATGTCCGGGTGACAGTGACAGCAACAGCAGTCATCATCAACCTCGTGGTCATCCTCATCCTGGACGAGATCTACGGCGCTGTGGCCAAGTGGCTCACCAAAATTGGTACTGTGTCACCGAGACTTCTGGCTGTCCTAGGCCCTCTTTAAGTCAATGCGTGCAAGGCTTTTGGTGATAAAATAAAAAAAATGGGACAGGGACAGGATGCTTTGTACAGTGCATTTTAATTAGAGAAATGGGGAAGTGCAACGTGTGTGTATTTGTAGGGCTGTCAAAGGGCTTTCTCTAAAGGCGGGAATCCTTCCTGTAATGTTCTTGATCAAGTCCTCTGGCCTGTGTTGATTGCCTCATGTGACAGGGCACTCACTATCCCCTAAGGGTAAACCGTGGGGTCTGTTCTTTTTAGCCTAACCTGGGAAGCAAGGCAGACTCAAGACTTCCTGTTAAAAATTACAGAGCTTTAGCTCTCATTTTCCCAGCAGCATCTATAAAGTTGAGGAAAGCCTTTTGACACTTGAGCCCAAGAGGGTCTTACTGGTCTTATCTATCCCCGTATTGTCAGAGGCCCCAGAAAATCCACACATTCCCCAGGCACTGAGTAGACTTCAAAGAGGCATATCAGACTTCCCACGCTTCAAGCCAGTGAGAAAAATGCAACGGCCTCAATATTCAGGTGTGTCATTTGAGCTGCAAGTCGCTGTTGCCCGAGCACCACATCTTGGCATTTGGCATTCATGCTTATTGGGTGGGGGAGGCTGACAGTCAAGACCCTGTCCCATTGTATTTACTCTGGGTGGCCTGGATTCATCCCTTCCCTCTCTGAATGTAGGGATTTCCCTCTCTGACCCTAGTAACGAGGAGCCCCAGCTTCTTGTTAACCTCATACGGAGGTTGCATTCATAGTACGTATGATGCCTTTAATTCATGGACCCTTGATAGGATAACCACCTCCTCAAGAGCCTTCTCCTAATGACTGGAGAATTCCGGAAAGTTGCTCTGTCTGTGCCTTTCCCTTGCTTGGCCTCTACTGTAACACTACCCACGGTGAGCACTTTGCTTTGACTTCTGTGTTGCTATCGGCAGCTTACCATCCTCAGGGGCAGCTCTGCTCTTTCCAGGCATGTGCATATTTGTGAACGTTATCTGTGTTTCTTCATAAGCATCTTGAGAAAAATAAGCAGAGAATTTTAATTCAGCATATTTAATGACAGACAGGATTCTATGGAAGCACTTCGGAAGAACATCCAACACTCCTGGGGACTCAGGAGGCTTTGGAGGGAGAGGCGTTTGACTGGAGAGCCCAGAGATAAGTGAGAGTCAGACAGGCATGCATATAGGGAGGAGGGGATGGGCAGGAGGAGAGGAAGATTCCTGGCAAAGGAAACCAAGTGAGAAACACGGCACTGAAGGGAGTGATCAGATCCCTGGGGTCAGGAAAGGCATGCAGGAAAGTGGCAAATGAGCCACTTGGGTGGTTGGGAGAGTCTTGGTCAAGCTAAACACCAGTGGAACAGGAGCTGAGCTCAGCGTACGGGAGAAAGAAAGCATGAAGTGTACGCAGGATGCCAGGGGAGCCCGGTGCCGGGGCTCTACGTCCAGGGCACATCCAGGGCACGATGGAGTGGGAAACTGTGCTGACGGAGTTGACCAGAACGTGTTTTTTTTTTTGTTTTGTTTTGCTTTTTGATGGAAAATCTAAAATGCCAGGCTGAGGACTCCGATTTTTTTCATAGACAATGGAAAAGTGTTTGCTGGAGTTCCCAGGGGCATTCAGCCATAAACAGTACCATCTTCCTGGCCTGATTACTGAACCAGCTGAGAAATTAGATCAAGGCAAGAGTGGACAAAGCCAAAATATCAGCTGTAAAACTGAGAGCGGCTACATGGGAGGTAGTAGCTTAGGAAGAGAGCCAAACAGACATTCTCTCTCCATGGCAGGCAGTGGCGGATGGGCCAGCCCTGTGAACTTAGAACTTGGAGAGGCATAGAAGAACACCTGCTTCCTGCAGGCCCTTTGCTCCCCTCCAAGGAAGGGCAGAAAAAGAGGCTAGGCAAGGAATGCCAGCGTCCTCTTCTAGACTTAACAATAAGATAAGCTACTCCTCCTTCTCTCACCCAAGAGGAGAAATGGTTGAGCTGGGGGAAGACAAGCTGAGCCATTACAACTAATTACACTCCCACCGCATGGAGGAAACACCAGGAGTAGAAATAAATGTCCCCTACCCGCTCCATGTGGTCCTGATCTAGCACCACTGAAGATTTTTTTTAAGAGCGTGGCATGACGGGAGCTGTCTGCAAAATTACTTAGCAGGGAAATAGGATGTGACAGAATAGGGAGAGGTAGGAGATCCAATGTAAAGGGTATTGCTGAGTGTGCGGGCAGGAAGTAGGGAAAAGAGGGACAGAAAGTCAATGGTGATGTAGACCTTTCTCCTTCCTGTTCATTTGTGTCACATTATCTCACTTTTCTTGCATTGCTCTAGATAGTGATAAAGATGAAAGACAAATAGAGTTGGCAACAATAGAAAACTCATTAATAAGTATTTAGTGAGTACTTCCCATATGCAAGGCGGGGCCTTAACTCTTCTGTTTGAAGCCATAAATAAAATGGGCTGTAACAGAGCTTTCACATCATGAAGCTATGTTCACTGTTTCTACTGGCACACCCTCCTTGCCCAGACCAAAGCGGCTACCCTGGGCTGTTAGATCAATGTCCAGGACTCCATAAGAAAGTCTGTGCCCTGGAAAGGAGATAAAATCCTAACAAGCACATTTTGTTCTCTCTGAGAGTGATACTCATAAAGTATTTTTAAACTTAAAATAAAATTTGTAACTCCATTTCATCTTCACAAAAACTGCATGGCCAGCAAGGGCAGTGTTATACGCTCACTTTACTAAGGTTCAGACTCAGATTCTACCTCTAAAATGTGAATCTCTTTTGTGTGACTTTGATGTCAGTTTCTCACCATCTGTACTGAAGTGGTGTGTTGGGTCTCCATCAGGAACCCCAGTGAGCATTGTTCTGGGGCATTGCTCTTGTCTACCTTATACTGGGTACTCCAGAGAGCTCAGAGAGGGACTGCTGAATTTGAGAATCCAGTGGAAAGAAGCTTTGAGCTCTAGACTTGGCTCCTTCTGCTCCCTGAGCTGTGTGGCAGTGGGTATCGGGGAAGTTTTTTGGACAAAGATTTCCTGATCCTTCCTTCTTCATATTCCTCCTGTCCTCTGGTCATCCCCTCTGTCTGGATGGTTTTCACAGCCTAACGCCTGTGCCATTGTCCTCAGCCTCTTTCAATGGGCCTCTAGCTTGGAAATCCCCATCCAGCCAACCTTTCCCGAACAGTGGGTTTGGGGACATTGCTCCCAGTCAGCACCCTCAGACAGCTTCCCTTGGTCCTAGAGCACCTATAGTTAGCATTTCAAGCTCTCAGCTACTTTCTTCCCACTGTGCTCCTCCACCCCAACTGACCCACTCAGCTCATGGTCACCCTAGCCTCCCTGTGTTGTCCCACCCCGGCCTTGCTCATGCTGCTGTGACTGCCAAAACGACCTCAGTGACCCTCCTTCAAAGGGCTTCTCCTTTGTAAATCCTCTTCTGGCCTCTCGGCTGTCAGTGGTCATCCTCCCACTTCCAGACTCCCCTGGCACACACCCTCTGTTTCTGGGTTCATCCATCAGCTGTTGATGGAGTGCTTGCTCCGTGCCAGGCACAGTTCTGGAAACACAGCAAAGACAAGCGACAAGGTCCCTGCTCTCATTTTGCTTTCACTGTGACCAGGGAAAGATGGACAGCAAGCAGGGCCATTCCACAGAATCTGAGGAAGGTGTGATGAGATAGACAGTGGTCTGGGGCTGTGCACTCTGGGGGAGTTGGTCAGGAAAGGTATTTCAAGGTGGTAGCTTTATAGCTGAGACCCAGATGGCAGGAGGGAGCAACCCACAAAAAGATCTAGAAGGAGAACTTTTAGGAAGATGGAACAGTAAAGGCAAAGCCTGCAGACCAAGGCTAAGCTTGGAGACTCTTATCCACACTATTCATTGGATGCTGATCAGGTACTGTCTGATCTTACCGCATCACACATATATGTGTGTTCCCAGTGTTAGAATAGACTAGGCTCTGCTGGGGTAATAAATTCATCTCAATATCTTGGTTGCATCACATAAAGTCATCTGTGTTCTTGCTCAGCCCACATATCTAGTGCGATCAGGCAGGGGTCTCTGCTGCACACAATTGCTCAGGGACCCAGACTGATGGGGGCTGCCGTGGACACCATGTCAGGGGAAGACAGCTGGAGAGTTGACTGGGGCTGTTAAATGCTTCAGCCTCCAAGTGTCATCATTCATCCCATCTGCTCACAGATCACTGGCTAGAATCGGCCTAATTATGAAGAACTTGGAAAATTTGTTAAAGTACATGGTCATTCTGTAAGCAGGAAAAGTCTCTGTCACTTGCTCCCAACCAGGCTGCAAGGCTCTTGAGAACAGTGACCCTGTCTTTCATTTATTTTTATTTCCTGCGCAGTGCCTGGCCCATGGCAGATCTTAGCACATTTTTGTCAATGCAGTTATTGGTGAAATACGTCTCTCTCTTCATTCATGCATGTAAAAAGACATTTTTCAAGGAATGCCCATAGGCTAGGTATCTTTTAAGTCACAGTAGAGGCTACAGTGAGCATTTATGTATTCCTTATTTCAACTCTGTCTGCCTACAGAAGGATGTGATCTTATTGAGATGAATAAGGCCAAGGCAAAGCTGACACAATGGGATAGTGACTGAAAGAGGCACCAAGAGTATCAGGAGACTTGAAGTTTCCTTAATGGCAAAGAATACCCACACTAACAGAGATGGTCTCACAAAGTAGGTCCCAGCAGTATCCCCACAGGCAGAGATACGGTTACAGGGTTCCCCCAGGCTCCATGGGGACATAAAGCTATGGATAATGCCACCTAATGGAATGAGAAGTCTGCCAGGCTTAAGACTTCGTTTGCCATTCTCACGCTGGGTTTAACACCCGCTTGGCTTCCTGCCCCAGATCTCTTGATAGTTGAGGAGGCTGTGAGTATACGCTTTGCTCACCAGGTGCAAACAGCTGGTGTCAATAACCCCAGTAAGTCCCCAAGTGTTTCCCACAGGGCTGAGTAATGGAAGACCAGTTTCCTGGGAGCATCCCTCAAGAGGCTGAGGTGTCAGGCCTATCTGAGGTCCATTCTTGCTGCAAATATGTATCACAGAAGGCAAGATTTGTTAATTTCCTTGAGAATGATATCTACCGCTAGCAGCAGTGGCGGATAAAAACAGTGATTGTCCTCCTGGCTGCCATAACAATACTCAGGAGCGTAGATGCAAGGCATGCTGGAATCTGGAGGCAACGCAGCACTGGTGAGGCAGGACTGAGCTGAACCCTGGGGTGGTGGGAAGGGGGCTTTCTAGGGAATGCATTTGGAGCTGTGTCCTAGAGGGAGCCTGGCTGGCCAAGACACAGTGTACAGAGTGTGTTGCCAGTGTCAGCAAGCATCAGTATTGGAGTTTGAGTGCTGCGGGGGTAGGATTCCAGTGGATGGGTGGGACAAAGTCTCTTAGTCCCCAGTGATCCATTCACTCCAGGAGGGGATACAGGTGGTGGCTGTAGAGAAAGGGTCCGGGTCCTAGGGGAGGAAGCAGGCAAAATCTGGGCAGGTCACTGGGCCTCTGGACATACAGCAAATAGGGCTGCAGCATGGTAGGAGGATAAGGCAGGAGGCAAGAAGAAAGAGCAATGGAGCTGACTGGTGCAAGGTGTGCTTCCTCCTCAGGTCAGGACCCAGTGGGGTATTGTGCCTTTGAGCCATACATCTGGGAGCAGGAAAACTATAGGATCTTAGCATAACCAACATAGGCAATGGTCAGGCTTGGCCTGGAAAGGCGGCCTGTCTCTACTCTAGCTTTGGAGAATTCTTCAAATAAGAGGCAGTATGGAGGAGGCACAGCTGATGGCAGGCTTCTAGGCTGAATACTCAAAATGCTGTTGGCTTGCTGCCTCCTTTTCCTTCTTGTCTTTTCTTTCAAAACTCTTTGCAGAATGCTGGCTGGTGTACGGGGTGGTGCACTTCATCCCTCCCTCGCCGTCCAACCTCTCCAAGTCACAGGGTTGGGTTCATTGTAGTTGCTTGAAAAAAGAGTATTAGTCAAGTCAAGGTTTTTAGGAAAATGGCTGTGCTTGGGAGGTGCTTAGACATTACTGACAGCCCACTCCTGAGTGTCACTGCCCCAGATGCTCCTGAAGCGGGGCCAGGGATGAGAGTGAAAGGAGGGATGGGGAAAGGCCGTGAGTTCCATTGAGGGCCCACCTCATACCAACACTGGTTTGCATACTTTGCCCCACATTATGACAGTAACACTGGGAATGGGTCATTTCTTTCATTTTACTTATGAGAAGGCTGAAGAGGTTTAGAAACTTGACCGAAGCATACAGTTAGTAGTGTGCATGAGTGTGCATTGATGCACACCCTGCTTACCCTATATCTCACACACATGCACACACTTGTACACATGCATGCATGCACATGTGCACGCACGCGTGCGCGCGCGCACACACACACACACACACACTCTCTGCTTACCCTGTACCAAACACTGTTCTAAGCACTTTACATATATCAGTATGTTTAATCCTTAAAACAGCCCCAGGAGGGTAGGTAATCTTAATACTCCCATTTAGAGACAGGAAGACTGAAGACACAGAGAAGAAGATCAGAGGCCCAAGGTCATGGAACTGATAAGTGGTGAGTCTGACCTCATTGTCCTTGCTAAAACCATGACACTCTAGTGCCTTTTAATATGTAGCTGTCCTTGTTCCCCAGAAAAGTTTAAATTTATTGGGAGAGCAACAGGAAACACCACAAAGGTTCCAGAAGATTTAGAATGCAGTGCACTCACATATGTGAATGACAAGAGGTCGAGTATTTCTGGGGATGGGGACAACCGTGTGGGTCAGATGACCCAGGCAGGGAGGACAGCAGGGAGGCAAGCTGTGAGTGCAGCCGCCTGTCCCACATGCACAGAGAGAGAGGAGCTCCACAGGCTTTGGGGTCCTGCGAGCTTTATAAGTTTTAACAAAGAAAGAATTTTTTTTTAAATTTGAAAGGCCACCAGGAATCTCTCTCTCTTTTTTCAAAAATAGACAGGGTCTCACTCTGTTGCCCCGACTGGGGTGCAGCGGCATGGTCATAACTCACAACAGCCTTGAGCTCATGAGCTCAAGGGATCCTCCCACCTCAGCCTCCTGAGTAGCTGGGACTACTGGTGTGTGCCACAGCATCTGGCTAATTTTTTTTTTTTAACTTTTTGTAGAGAAGGGGATCTCATTTTGTTTCCCAGGCTGGTCTTGAACTCCTGGGCTCAAGTGATTCTCCTGCCTCAGCCTCTCCAAATGCTGGGACTACTGGTGTGAGCCAGCGTGCCTGGCCCCTACCAGGAAGTCTTGAGTCTAAACTTTTCCTCCAATTCTAAGCTACTCTAGCAAAAGGCAATATATTATTACTGAGGAGAGAAGAGCAGGAGGAAAGGAAAAGGATGGGGGAAAAATCAGTGTCACAGGTACAAATGGCTGCCGGGGCACCAAACATTCTTTAAAGAAGAATATTTTGAGCATATATGAATCTAATCTTCTAAATGTGGACAGTGTTTGTTTTTGGAGCATGGGGTGAAAGTGTTGGCTTTATTGGATGCAGTGCTCTGGGATGGGGGGTCTGCTCTCTGCAGCGGAGCCTGATCAGGGACAGAGTCCAGCACAGGACATGGGTGGGCCTGGCCGGCGTGGGCTGCAGAGGGGAATGGGGCCTATGCCTCTCTGCGGGGACGCCACAGTGCTGGTCATTTGCAATCTGGCCTGAAAGTTGGGTCTGCTGGCTTGTATTCTCTTCCTGCTTTGCACCAGGATCCTGGCTCTCTGGGGCTCCCGGCTCTCTGGGTGGCCTCAGGCAGTGGGGGAGAAAGAACCTCCCAGGGTCTGGCCAGGGGGGATTCTATGCTTGTTGGGGGACCCCCTCCATGATGTTGGCTTAAATTATTCTAAATGTTGTCTGGGAAACAGAGAGGATGGCAGGAGGCTGTGACTACTAATAAAACGATGTGAGTACGGTTATAGGCCAAGTATGTGGAGCACCCCTACCAGTTATGTAAGACTATGGTCAGTAATTCTACTGTTTAGAACACAGTGTAACTGGTAAGAATTCCTTCCCAGACATGAGCTGTGACCATGAACACATCTCTCATTTCCCTGCAAAGTCCTTGCAGCACTCATCTCTTCTGTTAGCAAGAAGTCCAATATCTTCCTGTCTTTCTCTTTGGATTTTCTAGGAGCCCAGGGACTAAAGCATCCAGAAGAGAAGGAAGGGCTGTGGTGCTCCTCCTTTGTTTGCACCTTTTCTCCCTCACTAGGGAATTGGGGTGTTTTCCTCTGCTTCTCCCTGATGCTCCCACATCTCTGGAGAAAATTCATCTCTTCATAACTGCAGCTCTTGCAGGATGAATTCTCCCTCTTGGTTCTTCCTGGGCATCAGCCATGCCATTTCCTCTCCTTGTCTCTTCACTGCTGTGAGTAAGGGCTTCATTAGAGTCGCTTCCTTTGAACCATCCAAGGGGAATTGTTTCCTGCTGCAATCCTCAGTGGTAGAGGGGTCAGGCCAACATCCGAAGTTAAACATGGAGATGCCTGGGTAGAACCTGCCCTTCGCTCCTTGGGTCTCACTCCTATGGAACATTGCTGCTGGACACTAGCCCCACCCCTCTGATGGGAGAGGCTGGACTGCGGCTGAGGTGGCCCCTCCGTACTCCAGGCCTGGACAGCATGGGCTCTTCCAGGGAGGACAGTCTTCTCCTTTAGGCTGGGCTCAGTCTAGGGGCTGCAGCTGTCAGGGTTTCCTGTTTCTAGGACACATATGTTACCTCCACCCGCATCTCCAGGATGCCATCCGACACCCTGACCCATAGCAAGGGCCCCTGCTCTCCCTGGGAACTCACCCTGGGAGCACACAGCTTGCCACCTTCAATCTTCAAAACGCAACAGATCCTGTGATTGCCTATTTCACCTCCCTGGCCCTCAGCGAGATTCCTAGGGACCTCACCACCCCAAGTGATGCCAAAATGCACTCCCCAACCTTCTAAGAGAGCTCTGTAGGGGATTTTTAGCTAACTTGCTAACACTTCTTTTACTAAGGAAGTGGAAACAAATGTGCAAATCTCTGCAGTGCCTTGCTGTGCCATCAAAATAAGAGCAAATCTTTGAGCCCTTACACCATGCTTGATGCTTTCCATGCTTTATTTCCCAACAAATGTTGAAGGAAGGTACCATTTTATGAATTAGGACACTGAGGCTCAGAAAGATAAATTCCCTTATCTGGGGACTCTTAGACAGAAAGGTCTTCTGACTTCCAGCCCAGAGTCCCCCTCTAGTCTTCCGTCAAAGCCTCGTGAATCATATTGTAGAGCACAGAAGACCAGAAGCAGGAAGAACCTGGGAAATCACCCAGTCCAACCTTGACGTTGAGGCTTGGATTTGCTTGAGGTGCTGACTCCTCCAGGCTGGCTGGCTACTTCGAAGGATGATTCTCGGTTCAAACAATATTCTAATGGCCTTGGGTCATGAGCTGGGGTTTGGGGGTTTTGGGTTTTGGGGAGCAGAATCACAGGGGCCAAGGAGAAGCATAGGGGCCAAGAATTTAATGTGTCCAACTTTGAGAACTTAATTTTTCCTCCAAACCTGGTGCCTTTCACCGATTCTTCCCATCTCAGGAGATGGCACCAGCAGCCACCCAAATGCTCACTTCAAAGTCCAAGTGCTATCCTGGCTCTCTCTTTCTCTCTCTCCCTGGCACTCTCACTCCCTGGAGCTCTCTCTCTCTCTCTCTCACCCCTAGGATCCAGTCTGCTGGTAAGTATTGTTCTTTCTACCTTCAAACATATCCCAGATCTGACCATTTTTCACAAGTTTCATCCTCATATTGACTGGTTTGTGCCTGGACAACAACACACTCACAATTTGTCTGTCTGCTTCCACTTCTGTCTCTGTGCCGCACTCCCCCCCACACCATTCACTTTCTGTGATTTTTTAAAAATTTAATTTTGTCACATCCTTCCCCTGTTCAGAAATCTACAACAGCTTCCCGTTGTACTTCCTGTGGCTCACAGAGCCACACATTTACTCTCCGGCCTTCCTCTCCAATTCCCCCTCCCAGTACTTCCACCAGGCTCAGGATGCTTCGCTTGTGTGGACTGGCCAGTTCCTTGCACAGCCTTGGGGCTCTCCATCAAGACTTTGCCCAGGCTGATGCGTCCCCCTAGAGCTCTCCCCAGCCCCTGGGGCTGGTTCCTCCTTACCCTGCAGGTCTCAGCTTAGAGGTCACCTCCTCAGAGGCCTTTCCTGACCACTCTGACCAAAACAGCCTTCCCATCGCCCTTTCCTTCTGCTTCTCATTTCACTACATATTCCTTCAACACTCACCGCTCTCTAAATCTAAAACGGTTGCAGTTGTCGCCCTCACCCTTCTAGACTGGGAGCTCCACACGGCGGGAGCTGATTGGATTGTCCACCACTGCACAGCTGGGGCCCAACACCAGGCACATGATCATCCTCAGTAGATATTTGTCGAATGAGAAAAGATAATGGTGGGAAAGGCAGGAGAATTTCCTGTGGGTTGTTTTCCTCTGGGAAGACATGAGGGGTGGGCTGAGAATGGACTGACCGTATGCCTCCTCCCTCAGGTTTTAGACCAGTGTGTGCATTTGCCAGATGACCCAGGGGTGTTGGGGGTGTCTGTGATCAGGGACAGGGCACACCTTCCTGCTCTCTCCTCACTCCTGTCCTTGTCACAGGGAGAAAAATCTTAGGGAAGTTGTCAAGTGCTTGTATGGTGCTTGGCACATAGTAGGTGCTGGATATAGGAGGATTCTCATGATTGGCCTATAACAGAATACGCCTCTGTCTGTCTGTCTCTCTGTCTGTCTGTCTGTCTGTTTCTCTCTCTCTCTCTCTCTCCAGTGCTCCCTTCCTGTTTAGGTCCCTTTTTTCTTAAAAGGAGATGTGCTGGGGGTGCTGTCACCCTGGCCTAGGCTGCTAGCCAGCTCAGTAGGTCTCATGCTCCTTTGCATAGGGGCAAGAGTTACCTTTCTGACTCTGAGGGATAGGCCCCCTGTGCTAGGAAGCTCTCTGGGCCACAGGAGTATCTCAGGCACACCCTCTAGATCCCCAGTTCAGGGGCTTTCAGCTCCCTCAGGTCATGCGCTGGCTGCCTTGTTACCCAGCTGGCTGGCTTCTCCTAGGGTGATTTCCACCCTACCCATGGCACTACCAGGGCAACAGCATGACACCAGGTACCCAGACAGTCCCTCCACCCACCCCCCATTCCCAAATGAAGGGCAGCCCAGTTGGTTGTGCTGTCAGCAAACATTGCTGTTTGCAAAGGCATGACCTGCCTTAGGGAGAGGTAAGGGGAAGAGCAGGCACTTTTGCTTGGGCATCTTCTTGTTCTTTTTTGCTGCCATCGTTATGCATTTGCCAGCTGGGCTGTCGAAGACACCAGTCAGGAGGAGCTGCTTTTCCAAGATTCAGAGCCTGCAGCTGGCGTCCTCTCCTGGCCATGCTGTTTCCATAGGATTAAGATGGAGCTCTGGGGACTTTCAGTCCTGAGCTGGCCCCCTGGGATGAAGCTGGGCTTTCATACTAATTGTTTTCCAAGGCAGTTTACAGCTGGGTCATTTGCACTCATATTTTTTCATGACACGATGCAGCAGAGGATTAACACGTAAAAGAAAAGGGCTGATGGTGGGAATGGCTCTGCACAGAAATTCCCGATTGTCCTTTCTGGCGGGAAGTGGAGTCTGCCCTCTTTGTTGGGATCCTGCTCCACAGTTTGGAAGCAGGTGAAACTTTCAGATGGCCTCTAATCAACCTGGGGTGCTTCCCGGCGGAGGTGCTATGTTAGGGGGCACGTGAATAATAGAGAGGGTTGCCTATCTCCTCACCCTCTCTCCATTAGATTCCCCTCCATCGTATCCCCATAGCCATGCAATCTGAAGGTACTTTATTTGGAGTTGTTCAAAGCACAAGGCTGGACCATTTTTTCATGGGGTTGAGATTCAGACCCCTCCAGAAGTCTGTCTTATGAGGAATCCTGCCTAGTGGCCTGAGATGCAGACAGCCCTTCCTGAACCTCAGATGTCACCCCACCCCACCTGGCCTCTGGAAACACTTGCTCCATTCCATTTCTTCATTTCTTTCCTTCCTTTCTTTTCGTTTCTTTTTTTTTTTTTTTTTGAGACAGAGCCTTGCATCGTTGTCCAGGCTGGAGTGCGGTGGCACGATCTCAGCTCACTGCAACCTCTGCCTCCTGAGTTCAAGAGATTTTCACGCCTCAGCCTCCCGAGTAGCTGGGATTGTAGCTGCATACCACCACGCCCAGCTAATTTTTGTATTTGTAGTAGAGACAGAGTTTTGCCATGTTTGCCAGGCTGGTCTCAAACTCTTGGCCTCAAGTGATCTGCCCTCCTCAGCCTCCCAAAGTGCTGGGATGAGCCACTGCACCTGCCCACTTGCTCCATTTCTTCAGCCATGTAGTCTCTGTCCTAGGCAGGTGAGGCCCTCTGTGTTGGCTTGTGAGAGAGATCCAAAAGTCAAAGTGGCACTCCAGGCTGTGGCATCCCTCCTTGCCTCAAACCTTCATTTGTTCCCTCACTGGGAGGTGCTTCCCTGAGGCCCCTTTCCCAGAAGTCTCGGCCAAGCACACACTGTGACTCAGAGCTGCTCCAAGCTGGGGCACCGAGCTGATTTTGTGGCCTGTCACATGGATTTGGATCGTTTATTGGAAATGCTCCTTGTTTATGGTGGCTCATGGCCCTAAAGCACAGGCACAGGCTGTTTTTTAGAAGTAAAACTCATAAATAATAGCCAGGCCTATGATTTATCAGTATGGAGGAAGGGAATCACTCATTTCCAGTTGGAGGAAAGGCCTCTGAAATGACTAGATCCTCTTTGCAGGGAACTTGGAGGGAATTGCTGTAGGGACTGGGAGATCTGAGGACACACAGTTCAAAGGGGATGATAAAATAAAATTAAAGACATATGCCACTCCACATCTCATCCTGATCACCTTCTAGATATGTTTTCAAGATATGTTTTCCAAATTTTCGGACCCTCAGATCTGATTACTTATTTTTTTAGGTGACATGGGCTTAAATTTTCTTGCCCCCAAAATATTTAAGAGAGATGAGATGTGATTGTGTTGTTGTTAAATTGGATGCCTCAGGCACCCTGGACAGAGGCTCAAATTCCTATTGAAAAAAGGAAAAAGAAAAAGAAAAAACATCCTATTGAAAAGTTCTCCCTTTCTTCCTTCCCTTTCCTTTCATCCCTCCTCCCTCTTCCTCCTTCTTTTTCCCCCTTCCCTTCTCTTTCTTCTTCCTCTTCTCCTCCTCTGCCTTCCACGGTGTCTGCCTGTTTCCCTAATCTCTCTCGTTGGTTACCCAGATCAGTCTCTGCTCCTTCCCCATGCTCATCTGGAAGTAGAACCCAGTCCTTCAGCAGTCCCCCAAGAGTGAATCCAGAACAATTTCAAGGAATCATGATTGAAGATTCTGTGGAGAGGCACACGAAGAGGTCACACTGCAAACCTCACAGCAGCACTTAATGAAAATTCCCAGCGGGCCCTCCCCGCACCTGTCAGTCCATTTCCTCTCTGCCCTTCCCCTCCCATCGCACTGGCCCTCACCCTTCCGGGTCCTGCCTCCAACTCCAGCACCCCCGCCTCTTATGTTAGGTCGGTGAGTTTGAGTCTTCTGGCTGCTCCTGTCATATGGTTACACCTGTCATCTGCTCAGAAAAAGACGTCCCTCCTTAGAATTTGTCCTCCTTGGAATACGACAGGGAATTTTTAATATGGGACAAAATTTTTTTTCATTCTTCCAAACACATTTTTCCTGTCATTCATTCACTCATTCATTTATTCAATGCATGTTCATAGTAGAGCACATCTGGCAATAGCTGGGGTCTGCCTGGAAGATGTCTCTCTGGGACTTTGCTTATGGAGAGAAGCCCTCCAAACTGTATGCGGGGGTGGGGCAAGAGTGGGAGTGTGGCGAGCGCGAGGGTTCAGAGTCACATGAGGGTGCAGAGTGATGAGATCTCGAAACCGAAAGTGACCTTTCAATGGCAGACACTTCCACTGGGCCTCAGAATTGTCTCCTGTAGTTAAGGGGAATGAGAATCAGGCCAAAGATGGGGATGTGGCACGTTCAGGCTGGTGAGGACCTGATATGCACAAATCAGGCAGGGAGGACCTGGCCTCTTGGTGGCAGAGAGGGGAAAGGCCTAAGAAGCTAAAGATCTTATGGGGCATTTGCTAACATACATAACTATAGAAGAAATGACAGAAGCGGCAGCGCTAGCTGTAAATGGTGAGCACAGATCATTATCCAGATGATTATTTGGTGAAGCAGTGCAGGATCACCCAGGTCTTTTATCTCGGGGGGCCATACCCACCCAGGCAGGACCGGAAGGAGAAAACCACAAAGCTTTCCACCAGCAGAGGAATATCACGGAAGGCTTTTCCTACTCCTATAGAATTCTAGTTCAACTCCTATAGAATTCCAATTCAACGCCTGCTATAGAATTCCAATTCAACTCCTGTAGAATTCCAATTCAACTCCTGCTATAGAATTCCAATTCAACTCCTATAGAATTCCAATTTAGCCCCTATAGAATTCCAATTCAACTCCTGTAGAATTCCAGTTCAACCCCTGTAGAATTCCAATTCAACCCCTGTAGATTTACACTGCTGTCTCCAGATTCCCTAGCGGGCAATGCTCTTTGCAAAGTAGCGCCAAAGGATCGCTTAGCTTTCCCACTCTCAAGTCCCTTCCCAGGGCTGTGGGTCCTAGGGTCTCACCCCTGCCTGTCTCTTTAATAGGTCTCTGATCAAGCTTGGACTATGACAGATGCTGTTGGTCCCCTGGCTCTGCTGCCTTTCTCCACTAATACTGTTTTACTACTGTATCTACAGCTTAGAAATTTCCTCTCTGAATTACTGCAGGTCTTTCTTAGAACTCCAAAATGTTGTTTAACTTGCTCAGTTTTGGAGGATGTGCTGTTTGGATAATGTTGGCATCAATTCCCAGTGATTTATACTAGACGGTATTAGAGTGTCACACTCAAACACTGTTTCTCTCAAACACATTTCTCCTCACCTACAACTGACCACTGGTTCAACAGGCATATAGGCCTTGGACTTTGGCCCTAGCCACCCTCAGTGACCTCTGGGCCTGCTCAGAAACAGTGTCCATACTTTACGAGGCCTTGAGTTGGGGCAAGTCTTTCTCTTCACTTAGGAAAGTTACAAGTGGTACCTCAGGACCTGCCTGTCCCAGTTTCCCTCGCCAGCTGCAGTAGTTCAGTTTCAGCACGTCTAAATGTTGGAGCACATTCAGGAGAAATGTTGTAAACCTCCAATATTTAGTTCTTGCTTCTATTGTAGTTAAGCCAGACGTTTGGAGGACAGCGTTCCACATGGCAATTCAGGAATCTGGGCTTCCTCTTTCCAGTGGTACTATTGACATTTTCCACAGGAGATGAGGGAAGAGAGATAGAGAGAGCAGAGGACCTCACAGGAAAAATTAAGGCCCAGGCTTGGAAGCAGCATACGCCACCTCCACTCATGTCTGTCTGGCCACAGCTCCTTCATATTGCCCCCATCTAGCTGTGTATCCAGGAGGAGGGAATGCGTGTGATGAGCCCCTGGCCAATCTCTGCCTCCCTATCTCACCCAGGAGGCTGGGGAGGCCTCACACAAGTAGGACTCTTGTGGGTCTGCTCTTGTCCTCCAGCGTTATTCTTCCTGCAATAACCCTTGCTATAGATGAATTTTTAATATTAAAATCTGTACGTGTCTACCTATATTTCTATTAAATCTTTTACAACATTTTTACCAAATACGGTATTTCCTAAACAATGCATTATGCGGTTGAAGATGCTCGGCAAAGTAATCCTATTCACTACAGTTCTCAATCCCATTGAGTTTTCTCTGGCAGCTTAGTCCCCATACAGAGACCCCTACATTGGTGGTCTTCAAGCCTTGGACACATTAGAGGCTCTCCAAGACTCAGGGGAGGCCTACATGCTTTGATCTTCCTCTAAAGGGCCATCTTTACACATGCAGTTGTGCAGTGTGAGAGGGTTGTTGGTAATGCACCAGTAAGAGCAGTCATCACTGCCAGCAGCATCATCTCCTAATATTGAAGACAGTGTTGTAGGATTGGCAGTGAATTAAGGGCTCACTGTGCTGTGTGGGAAACTGGAACATGGCAATGCAGCCTTTCCCTAAGACTCTTTCTGCCATGAGACGGGAGATGATACTCTGCTGCTGACAGGTCAATCTGGGAGAGACTTGGCAGTGAGCAAAAGCCTCTCCACAGAGACCTTGCTCAGTGAAGCTCCTTGAAGGAAGGGGAAAACTTCATTCATTTTGGCCTGGCACCTGACACACAGCTGGTGCTTGATGAATGTGACCTGCCAAGTACAAATATTTCTTAGGCGCATCAGGTTAGACTGGGAGTGGAAAGTGGGGAGGTGAAAGAGAGTGTTTGATGAAAACAATAATGGGTCAGACATTCTGATTGCAAAAAGTGGTGTTGTTAAAAACTAGTTTTTTTGAGGCAGGCAGATCTGGGTTCACATCTTACACCTGTCACTTATCTGCTGTGTGATCTTGAGCAAGGCTGTAACCTCTCTGGGCCTCAATTCCCTTCATCCACAGAAGTGAAATGTAATACCTCGCTCACCCAGGGAGGTGAGGATTAAGTGAGATAATGACAGTGCACACCTACGTATGATGCCTTCTGTCATACACAGAGGATGGGAGCAGACGCTTTTGTGCAGCACCCACCTCCCATTGGCCCACGCTGGAGGTGACCTTCAGATGGTTCCTCTTTGCACCAATGGCTTCCTCCCACTCTCTGTCTATGGGCGTTCTCTGATTGTGGGAGCAGGTTCACCTGTGCATAGGACAGGCTGGAAGAGCCAGGGAGTTAGCCCCAAAGGTGACCTTCAGGCAGGGAGGGGCTCCTGTTTGGTCTCCCCTTTCAGTGTGCAAATTTGGAGGTGTGCTTCACACAGTTTCTTAGGAGGTCTCCAGTGGGACTGAACCCCAGTTGATGCAGCATTAACCTGTTCATGAGCACATTTATCTTAGGTTTCCACTTTCCTCATTCTCACCATCCTACTCCTTCACAAAGCTTTCTGGGAGCCCCTCTCAAATAAACCACTTCCTCCTAAATCCTCGCCTTAGGGAGAATCCAAACACATGGACTGAGGAATCAGTGATAATGACTATTGTCAATTTTCAAAGGGCGTGGGTGTGGGTAGTTAACACAGGGACATATAAAGCATAACGGAAGAAAACAAAAAAATAACTACCTGCTGAAGGCATGTAGTAACGCTTCCGGAAAGAGAGCGTGGCACTGTGTGATCTGGAGAGTGTGGCACACTGTGATCCGGAGAGTGTGGTACAGTGTGATCTTGAGGTTGTGATACAGTGTTATCTGGAGAGTGCGGTACGACGTAATCTGGAGAAGGTGGCACACTGTGATCTGGAGAGTTTGGTATGCTGTGAATTGGAGAGTGTGGTACATCGTGATCTTGAGGGTGTGGTACAGTGTGGTCTGGAGAGTGTGACACACTGTGATCCAGAAGGTGTGGTACGGTGTGATCTTGAGGTTGTGATACAGTGTTATCTGGAGAGTGCGGTACGACGTAATCTGGAGAAGGTGGCACACTGTGATCTGGAGAGTTTGGTATGGTGTGAATTGGAGAGTGTGGTACATTGTGATCTTGAGGGTGTGGTACAGTGTGATCTGCAGAGTGTGGCACACTGTGATCCAGAAGGTGTGGTACGGTGTGAGCTTGAGGTTGTGATACAGTGTTATCTGGAGAGTGTGGTACGATGTAATCTGGAGAGGGTGGTACACTGTGATCTGGAGAGTTTGGTATGGTGTGAATTGGAGAGTGTGGTACATTGTGATCTTGAGGGTGTGGTACAGTGTGATCTGGAGAGTGCAGTATGGTGCAATCTGGAGAGGTTGGTACACTGTGGTCTGGAGAGTGTGGTACAGTGTGATCTTGAGGGTGTGGTACAGTGTGATCTGGAGAGTGCGGTACGGTGTAATCTGGAGAAGGTGGTACACTGTGATCTGGAGAGTGCTATGGCGTGAATTGGAGAGTGTGGTACTATGTGGTCTGGAGGATGCGGTACTGTGTGATCTGGAGAGTGTGTTATGGTGTGATCTGGAGAGTGTGGCACTGTGTGATCTGGAGAGTTTGGTATGGTGTGAATTGGAGATTGTGGTACTGTGTGGTCTGGAGGATGTGGTACTGTGTGATCTGGAGAGTGTTGTACAGTCTGATCTGGAGAGTGTGGTAGTAACTCACCTATATATTAAAGGATATAAAGGATTTCTGTATAAGGTGATGGGTGAGGGAAGGGTATTCCTTGGAAGAAACAAAGTTTTGTGTCCATTTCTTCAGCGATTCCTACAAAAGCTATATGTGAATTTGTGGAGCAGGCAAGTTAGGGGGCCCATACACTAGTCTCATCTGGACGCAGAACTCCTCAGCTGGCATGGCCCTGTTGTCATGTATCTGTGCTTAGTCCACTTTCAGGCTGTGCTTCTTGGTCCATATGATGTAGTATTAGTGCTTTTCTTCTACCTCTGAAGACTGTGGCCCTGTGCTATAAGCCTAATACTTGTGTTCCCCAAAATTCCTATGTTGAAATTCTAACTGCCAAGGTGATGGTATTAGGAGGTGTGGTGTATGGGAGGTGATGAGGCCATGAGGGCAGAGCACACATACATGGGAAAGAGTCCTATGTAAGAGGCCTGAGAGAGATGCCTTTCCCCTTGACCATGAGAGGACAGTGAGAAGGTGCTGTCTATAAGCCAAAAGACAGGCCCTCACCAGACACCAAATCTACCTTGATCTCAGACTTGCAAACCTCCAGAATTTGAGAAGTAAATGCCAGGTTTTCTTGAACACTCAGTTTATGGTAGCTTGTTATAGCATCCCAAATGGACTAAGATCACCCTGTCACCTCTTGTCCTTGTCATGCCATTTGTCACTGTCTGTGGAGTCCCTTGGAAGTGTCCTGAACCATTGTCCACTGGTTCCTGTGTCTCTAGTCTTCTGAAGGCACCTCTGAGGTTTCTGCTCAGTGTCTCTGAGTCCTTCTGGGAATGCCAGCTGACTCCTCTGCTTGGATCTGATAGAACACCCAGGGCCCGTGACCTATGAGTCAAACCTTAGGCTCAAGCTGTTTGTTTCACTCATCTTGTCTATGACAAGCCTTTATCATTTGAGTGTATGACTGGGAAGTGTCTTAGGTTCCCCACAGGACATGCAGATGAATGCTTTCCTGCATTCATCCAAATTAATGCTCAAATTCATTCAGCATTTTTTCTGCTAAAAATGAAGGAGAGAAAGAGGAATCAAGTCATGGTACCCTTGTAACTCTAGTTCAGTGGCTAATAAGCTTTTTGACCAGGGACCTTGGTTCAAGTAAAATCTCATGGAAGTGGAAATGACACAGGTGAAAACTGAATTCCCCTTGGTGCAGAAAAGGGGGTGGTTGCAAGCTCTGCATGCTCATGGCCCTCTTTGAGGAGGGCGGTGTGAAACCACTCCTTGAGTAGACAAGAGGAGGAAGGTGGACGGAGAAAGACAGTGATCCTATATTTTTTATCCTTCTGTAACTTCGTATTACCTGGCAGACCACCTGGGGCCTCCCAGATGACTTCAGTTCTAATGTGCCAGAGAGATGGGTCTCGTGATTTTTGCTGTGAAGGAGTCAGCTGAGAGATAGTAGCTCATGTCTAGGTCAAAACTCTGGAGAGGTGAGAAATCTCACCCCAATCTCATCAGCCTCGCTCTTCTCTTACAGAGGTTCCGAAAACAGAACAGACTTTTGAAGAGCGCCTGATCCTCAAAGCTTTCTTGCTCAAGTTTGTCAATGCCTACTCCCCCATCTTCTATGTGGCCTTTTTCAAAGGGAGGTGAGTATAATGGTGTCATGTGTAGAAAGGCAATTTGCCACTAAGACTGGGTTCTCTACTGTCAGGACAATAGGGTCAGCCTGTCCCCATTGTCCACTCAGCGTCAGCCCCTTCTCCGCCCCACTTTCACCTGCCTTCCCATGGAGAAGGAATGTTAGCAGGCAATCATTTTGAATTAGCATCTTCAGACTCTGATGACCCTGGCACTTTACAGGGATTTGGCTGTGGTCCCTGAAGAGAGAGTTTTGAAAGAATTTGTGTCTCTCAACTTTGAGGATGAGGCAGGAGGGAATTTCATGTCTAGCCAGTGGCTCCTGGATCTTGTAATGCAATTCTGATGCCAACTACCTGTAGTTAATACAGATTTCATAGGTTAAGGGCACGGCCCCTCACAAGACTTCCCTCATTTCAGACACCAGTGGCAAGCTCTGGGATTCTCAGGCCACCGGCAGTTATGACCCACTGGCTATAATTCCAGAGCTCTCATTACTCCATCAGATTCAATAATTCACTAGAATGACTCACAGAACTCAGAAATGTGCTATACTTACAACTGAAGTTTTATAGTAGTAGAGGGATGTAAATCCAAATCAGCAAATGGAAGAGACATATAGAGCCAGGTTTAGGAGGTTCTTAATCATGAAGCTTCCATGTCCTCAGGATGTGTCACCCTCCTGGCACACTGGATTGTGATTCTATCAGTCATTTGTGATTGATGGAATCATTTGCCATGTGAGTGAACTCGATCTCCAATGCCCTTCCCTTGCCCTGAGATTGGGCTAGTATCACATGACTCAGAGCCTCAACCAACATGGTTGATCTTTCTGGCATGGCCTGCCCCCATCCTGAGTAATCTCATTAGCCTAAATTTAGGTATAGTCCTAGGGGTCTGCCAGGAATAACAAAGATACTCCTATGGAGGGAAATTCCAAGGATTTAGATGTTCATGCAGGAATCGGGGACAAAGGCCAGTGAAATTCTTTATTTTACAGTCAGTCTGGATGTAAAATCACTTTGATAAATATTTTTTATGATCAAGCCAGTTGGCTACTTACAAGGAAATTTCCCAATAGGCGTCAACCAACAACATCAGGAAAGCTTCCCTAGAACTAAAAGTTCATTAAGCAGGCACTAATAGCACGAGCTGTCATCATCCACACTTGATAATTTCTTACAGAGGTGTTTGTCATCCAAACCACAGCCCCCTTCTCAGGACCTCTCCCCTTGGCTGTCATGAAATTATGGAAGCAGAGAGACTGTCCATATTAAGAAGTATACACTTCATTGGTGCTTTCAATGTCGATTTCGTGGCAGTAGCAAATTACATGCATATGACGTTTTAGGCAAGAAAAAAGGATCCTGAGGCTTAGAAGAACTGTGCTATACTAGAAGAGATAGCCTTAGCAACAGCACACTATCATCTCCAGTAAGTGATTCTATCCAGTAAGTGATCTAATAAGAGGTATAAATAAAGTGTTGGGGGAACAGTTATGAACGGAGACAACAAGAAGACTTCAGCAAAGGAAAGGCTTACACAGCCTTAAATGGATGAGTAGGATTTCAACAGGTGAACACAGGGATGACCCTGCAAGTAAGTAGGATTATTCTGATTGTCTGTCTGGTTCCATGGTGGGCTTTTACTGTTTTGCTTCCCCGACCTGCACAGTCTTATTGTCCCCCAATAAAATAGACTCTACTTAGAAGAGGAATGAGACAAGCTTCTTTTATTCCTTTGAATATTTTCAGCAAGAAGTCAAGATTTTTCTTTTCTGACCCCAGGAATCTCTATTCGCAACTTTAGTCCATCTCACCCTCGCTTTCCTGGGAATCAGAAACTCTTACTAAGGAGTTGCAACCAGAGCTGTGTTCTTGACACCAGCTAGGGAAGAAGGTGTGACGACAGTGCACTTAGAGATAATCCAAACTGCATGGTGTTTAGGCTCACACACACACACATACACGCACACACACCAGGCCCAGCTTCATCCTCTGCCCAGCTTATTCCTATCGTCTGACATTTGACTGGGTTAAGAAGTGAACCCCAGGTGTTATAGGGGATTACTTGCTGATAACAGTGTGCACTCCTATCCCTGAGTGATCTAGCACTCGCCCTGACCAGTGCTTTCGAAGAGGACAGTGGTGGTGGTATTCCCCTCAGAAGACATGTCCTTGAGCCACCCTGCATGCTTTCTCTTCCCCTAACTCTTCCCACACTGTTTGATTTCAGGTTTGTGGGCAGGCCTGGAAGCTACGTCTATGTATTCGATGGTTACCGCATGGAAGAGGCAAGTACAGCCACTGGTGTTTCATGCCTGGCACCCCAACCCAGCCCCATTCTTATCTCCAGCACAGCATGGCTTCATTCGCGCCCCTGCTTCTCAGAGCTCCCTTTTGTTCTAACCGGTCCTTTCCTTATCTTCTCCCTGCAGTGTGCTCCAGGGGGCTGTCTCATGGAGCTCTGCATTCAGCTCAGCATCATCATGTTGGGGAAGCAGTTGATCCAGAACAACATCTTTGAGATTGGAGTCCCGTATGTAATGAACTCCTCTAACCTCTCTCCTTGCTGCCAGGGGTTAGCCCAGAAGTGCCAGCCTTTCAGCAGGTTTTCTATGGCCTTTCCTCTTCTTAGACAGCTTGGTGATTTAATTCTCTGTCAATTTGCCAATAACTTTCCCCATGGGGCAAACTTTGCTTGCCAATCTGATTTGAGATGTTGGAGGCTCAGAAGGATTTACCCTTTGCTTAAGTACACATAACTAGTAAGTAGCAGAGCCAGGAGTCAGATGTCTTGGCCCCCAGAGTGCATAATATCTTAATGCTATTTGTCCTCTCAGTGAGTAAGTAAAAGAGATGTTCAGTATGGTGGATAGATGAATGTGAATTATTGAAATGTAATGGAATCATTTAGGACAATCTATACGAAGAAAATGTGGAATACATAATCTTAGGAGGGGAGGGTGGAATAGTTGGTGAATGAGTTATTATCATGTGGATTCCCCCCTATGCTCCCCAGGGTTTTATGAAAATGTCATAGGACTTCTTTCAATCAGGTTTTGCATTTAGATAGTCATGAAAATAAACACGGACTCACTTTATACTGGACCTAAAAGAAAGAAAGATGGAGCAAGTTAAAATATGCTTACAGGTCAAAGAAAAATGTAACCCCCTCTGCTTTTCCTTCCTATTGCCTGGTGGCTTTGAAGAAGAATCTGTTTCAGGGGATGCTTTTAGGCAGCCCAGCATCAGAAAGCTAGGGAATGATAGAGATGCCCAGGGGTAACTGAGAGGCTGGGCCAGTTCTGCTTAGGAGGATAGGATGGACAGCTTGTTCCAGGCCCAGGGTTCTTCGAAAATCACTTTAAAGATGACCATTCTGGGATGGGTGTAATCGTCAGACAGGACCCATAAGATTCTGTGACACATTTTTCATCCTCTTAGAGATACATTAATTGTTTTGAGAAGTCCTCCAATAATGAACCTTTTAAAATCACTTTCTTTCCAAATATATTTCCTCATGTTTGCCCAGGGTTCTTAGCTGCAGCAGTTGGAATTCAGGGTGGCTACTTTAAGCAACAAAGGCATTTGTTTCAGAATAAAGTGGCTGACAGAGAATACTGTATTCTTTAAAGGCCAGAGAGTAGGCCCTGAGCTACATAACCAGGAATAACACTGTTTACACTGTAGGGGGACTTGCAGGGGACACCACTGCCTCTATCTCATGGCTCATATGGCTAAGACAGTAAAAGAAAAATGTAGATGAAACGGCCCTTGTCTTCTCAGAGCTTAACTTTTTAGTCTGGGAGACAAAATAGACTGCATATAACCGCATATTCTATGTATGAATTCAGAATTCAGAATAAGTAAAGGTCAGGAGTTTGGGAGCAGTCAAAGAAGTCTTCAAAAGCAGAGAGGTTTCTGGCCAGGTGTGGTGGCTCACCGCTGTAATCCCAGCACTTTGGGAAGCTGAGGTGGGCGGATCACGAGGTCAGGAATTTGAGACCAGCCTGGCCAATATGGTGACACCCCATCTCTCTTAAAAAATACAAAATTAGCCGGGTGTGGTTGTGTGCGCCTGTAGTCCCAGCTACTTGGGAGGCTGAGGCAGGAGAATTGCTTGAACCCTGGAGGTGGAGGGTACAGTGAGCAGAGACCATGCCACTGCACTCCAGCCTGGCAACAGAGCAAGACTCTGTCTCAAAAAAAAAAAAAAAAAGCAGAGAAGTTTGTTCCAGGATGTGTCTGTGTCTTGAAAGAAGACTACCACCATCATATGTTACAAGATGGACTGCCATCATTTTCTTTATAGAAATAATTTCCCTTAGGGTTGTGTGTGTGTGTGTGTGTGTGTGTGTGTGTGTGTGTGTGTATGGACAACTCTGATGGGCTGGGCCAGCTGGGCCATGAACATGATAGGCTGGGCCTTTTCCATGTTATTTATTTTCATATATATATATATATATATGTATATATGTGTACACATACATGTATTTGCCCTTGCCAGGTTCCTGACATGCCCCAAGACCCTGGTCAGAGATTTATATATAAATATATACATATATATAAATATATACATATATAAATATAAATATATTTATAAATATAAATATAAATATATTTGTTTTATATATATTTTATAAAACATAAAATATGTTTTATACATATAAAAATTTGTATATAAATTTATATCTATATGAAATATAGATATATTTTATAAAATGTATATATATTTATGTATAAATATATGCATTTATATATTTATGTATAAATATATGCATTTATATATTTATGTATAAATATATGCATTTATATATTTATGTATAAATATATGCATTTATATATTTATGTATAAATATATGCATTTATATATTTATGTATAAATATATGCATTTATATATTTATGTATAAATATATGCATTTATATATTTATGTATAAATATATGCATTTATATATTTATATAAGTATATATTTATATAAGTATTTATATAAGTATATATTTATATAAGTATTTATATAAGTAATATAAATTTGTATATATAAATATATTTATATAAGTATGTGTAATATATACTTAAAAAATAAAATATAATATAAATATATATATTTATATTATATATAACATAAATATTTATATATAATATATTTATATTTATCTATAATATAAATATATTATAGATAAATATACTTATATATAAATATATAAATGCATATATTTATACATAAATGTATGTATACATTTTATAAAATATATCTATATTTCATATAGATATAAATTTATATACAAATTTTTATATGTATAAAACATATATATATATATACATTTTCTAAACAAGCAATAGACTAATTCTGGTTTATCACAAACACCTATGACCCAGTTGGTGCTACAGGTAGAGAAGGTAAGGCCCAATGAGCTGGCAGTTCTTTGACCAGGGTCTTGGGGTGTGTCAGGGACCTGGTAAGGGCAAAAGCCCAGAATCTCTCTAAATCTATCGAAAGATTGTGGAGTCCTAGGTTGCTTGGGCTGAATGGAACCACTAAAGGATGTATATCCCAATCCCCCATTCCATGTAAAATTATACTGCAGCCACCTGCTCCCTTGGTCCTCAGAGAAGGCTCCCTTTTGGTCTTCCTCAAAAATATATTTGTAGAGCTAAAGTTATAATGGAGACAGTTTAATTTACCTGGAAATAATATCATTTTTAATGAGAGCCCTGCTTCAAGGAATGAGAATCCACAACATTCCCTTCTAACACTGGGTCATCTAAGCATGCAGGGTGCTTTTCTGACCTTGTACTGGGACAACCTCAGAGGGCACTTGGGCATGTATTTTCTTTGGGGAGGATTGGCGGGATCATTGGTGTCTGGTTGCCTCACTCCACCTCCCTGCCTAAGCCAGCCTCTAGTCATCAGTCAGGAAGTCAGCAACCTTGAGAAATTCAGCCTTTGAAGCTGTGCCCCCCGTTCCCTGCTTTCTGACAGAAAGTCACTCAGTGATAAAGTCAAGCAAAGCTAGATGATGCTTGTTCTTGTTCCATGCAGATGACACTTGTTCTCTAGGAGCTTACCATCTTAGAGAGACATCATTTGTTATGGAAAAACAACCAGAGAATATGCAGATGGTACCAAAGCCGCATCTGGCCCCTTTGAAACCATGAGGCCAGCTCCTCCACAACTGCTATAAAGAAAAGTCTTCATCCTAATTAAACATCTGGGAAAAACACCAGCCTTCCCAGTACATTGTTATTTTGCTGTGAGTAGAATTATTTACAGCTTTCATCCCTGGTCATCTGATCTACAGCTTAGCCCATTCTCTCTGGACCCAGAAGGCTTTTGTAGAATACAAGAGAGGCAAGAACTCGGGCATGTGTTTGGACAACACGTTGGCATGTCTCCACCCCTCAACTCCATCCACCCCATAACAGGTGAAAATAGCACATGGCGTATGCCTTGAAGGCTAAATTTTCTTGTTTATGACTGATGTGTGCTTAATACTTTGTATGTTTTAAAATATGCCACCCTTTAAACAATGGCAATTGCACAGTAACTCATAAAGCCATGGGCAAGCTGCTTCTCAGAGTCTAACTGTCCTCATCTCTTGATGAATATGGTGGCATTAAAATCATATGTAAGGTGTCTTCAAGCTCTAACACCCTATGAATTTCTCTCGAATGAGCAAAGCTGGTCACTGCTGATTCCAAATACAAGCCACCCCTCTTTCAAAAGATGTTTCCTTTCAATTTCTACTCTGCCAGAGGATGTGTACAACATAATTATGTAGTTAAATTCAAGGATGTAGAACAAAAATTCTTTTGCCAAATCCTAGGATCTTTTATCCCCAAAGTTCTTTATAATTTGTACAATTATAAAGGTTGTATTTTGAGTTTGGTCATACGAGATCACTATGATTATGATTACTGGATCTTCGACTCTCAATAAATCAGACCCCTTCAACTCAGAGTTGAAGTACCTGGCATGGATGACACAGATGAAACATAAACAAGAAAAAGAAAGTCTTTCATAGTCAGAAGAGAAATGATGATTGAGCCTGCCAGTGAGGAAGGAGTCATGTAAATTATAAAAATTAGACCCAGTAGTTTTCAACACATCTGTAGGGCAAAGATTTGGTGGCCTAACACAGTGGTCCCCAGTCTTTTTGGCACAGGGGACAGGTTTCCTGGAAGACAGTTTTTCCGTGGACCGGGGGAGTGGGGTGTGATTTTGGGATGATTCAACTGCATTACATTTATTGTACACTTTATTTCTATTATTATTAAATTGCAATATATAATGAAATAATTTTACAACTTACCATAATGTAGAATCAGTGGGAGACCTGAGCTTATTTTTCTGCAACTAGACAGTCCCATCTGGGGGTGACGGGAGACAGTAACAGATCATCAGGCATTGGATTCTCATAAGGAGCACACAACCTAGATCCCTCGCATGCACAGTTCACGTAGGGTTCACGCTCCTGTGAGAATCTGATGCCGCCACCGGCCTGACAAGAGGCAGAGCTCAGGTGTTAATGAGGATGGAGAGTGGCTATAAATACAGATGAAGCTTCACTCACTCACCTGCTGCTCACCTGCTGCTGTGTGGCCCGGTTCTTAACAGACCAAGGACGGGTACTGGTCTGTGGCCCAGGGATTGGGGATCCCTGGCCTACCAGATCTGGGTTTAAATCCAGGCTTTACAATATACTCACTGTGTGACCTTGGCAAAGTTATTCTAGAAATATTGCCATCTAACTTAAAAAAAAAAAAGGTTTTTACGTTAAAACAAAACTAAACTAAAAACCAGCTTGGATAAATGCTTAGCTATCCAGAAAACATAAAATGTGGACATCGGAGGAAAAAAGAACCATTCTTGGGGTTTCCAGGTGGCCAACATTTTACTGTGTGGCATAGGCTTTTGTGTTTAACGGTGATGCTTTGGAAGTGTTGGGACTCCAGGGAGTGAAACCGGAGAGAACAACTCAGGGACAGTCGTTTTCTCTTCTGTTCCTGGCTCAGTGGCTTTTAGTGGGCAGTACAGCTCTTATGTACCTTCAGAGCCTACATGGAATTCTTTCCCCAAGGGAGGTACATATTCATTTTAAAGGCCAGATTTGTTTTTTTTTTTTTTAAATAGAGGCAAGTCTGGGGGGTTAGATGGGTGATTGTGCTGGATAAGAATGTTTGGGAATAAAAATGTAATAAGAATTTACAATTAAAAGATTTATCATCTTTAGTTGATTCTTTACTTCTAAAAGCAATTTTCTAAGATTCTTCCAAAGAAAATTTTTAAATGTTTAAGAGTGTCTAATTGACCCTTATTAGTAGGCCAGGTAGTCAGCTATAATTTATCTCTTTCTCTGAGGGTGCAACATTCTCATTAGATTCTGTATGTGCGTGTGCACAAACATGCATGTGTGTGTGTGCATGTATGTGTATTGAAAAAAATAACATAATTTTGATGGCCTTGAGAATCTTACAATCTAGCAGGCTTCTTGAATTAGAACATTGCTTCCCACTCTTCAGTCATTTTTTAATCAACTTTTAAATTTCCCCCCATTACCTATGCAAACAGCTATTTGCATATTAGTTTCCTCCAAACCAACTTGCTTTTTAATTAAAATCCTCACATTTCTGAAATTGGAAAACTAACACCATCAGTTTCCATAAATAGGAAATGATGTGAAAAGAAATACAACAAAAACAAACCATTATTATTAAACAATCAATGACATTATTTCCTCTCCAAGGCTTTCTGACTAAGATCTGCCTTCTCTTTGTAAAAAATGAGAGTGCAAGCCCTGGCAGTTGTCAAAGGCATACCAGTAGCAAGCCAAAGATGTTTTTTCTTGATGGTAATGAGAGAGACTGAACAAGAGCAGCAAAGGAAATAACTAAATAACTCCTTCCCAAGGGCCTCTAATGAGATGCAAGGCCAAGTGCAGGATCTTCCAAAGGGTCACATGAACTGCCACCTCTACTTCTGGAAGGTGCCCCAGACAGGACCACTGTGGAAGCCCCACTCTCTGTCCAGGCATCTTCCATCAGGCAGCAGCCGCCCCCATCATTGCTAGGCCTGGCTTAGAGACCCTGGAGATGGGAAACAAAATGCTTCAAAGGGAGGCAGTAAAATGGGGTCACCGAGCACTTGAAAGGCAGCTCTGTGACTAATGCCATGATAATAGATAAAACTTGGTTGCGTGATCTGGCTTTGAATGGTCCCCACTCACACAACCCCAGGCTCTTGGGGCCTGACACAGTTGTGGCCGATGCTTCCCAGAGAGGATCGGATGGTTTTAAACATTTTGGGCCCCAGGATGATGTTCATACGCATCTCCTTCTGAGATTACTTCATACATGGCGAGCAGCGTGGCTGAATCTGATCTTGTGGTATTTATTATCTGAATCCATGGATGGGAATTTCCCTCCTCCCCTCCCTGCACCTTGCCTTTCCCATATATGTTCATGCAAAATAGACTTTGGATCCAGACTGCATAGTGCCCCCGAAACACATGCCACACCACAGCCCAACTCTTTGCTATAATTCCATCTCAAATTTAGCTCCGGTCCACATCGAAGCAAAATTGGAAATGGGCTCTTCTCATATGGAGAGGTGGGTTTTTGGTGAAAGGGTAAATGCCACCTTTTTCACGTACCACATTGTTTCCTGGGCATGCTTTGAGACAGACAGAGCAGATAGACAGATCAATACTGCCACGGTCAAAATGTCTCGCCATCTCTATTCTAACTAAAAGCTCCAGATCATATCCAAAAATAGCTGTTAAATGTACCCCTGGACACAGCTAGTAAGATTTCATAAACTTTCTGCTTTCTTTTTGTAAATGTGATAAATGTTATATTTCCAGACATAAAACAGGCTCTCTTTAAAGCCAACACGGGAGGGAGGTCTGTGTTCTCCTCAAATACAGTGGAATCTGGCCATAAATCAGAAGTTTAAGGAACAAATTTGAACCTTGTCAGGTATCAGGAAAAGGAATAGGAATACATAGCTTAGAAGTGGATGTGTTCCTCATCTTTGGTCATTTAGGGCTAGGTTCTGCCTTCTTTATTTAATGAGGCTAAAGATCTGTGGAGCCACGTCTGTAGGGACCTGTCTAGGGCCCAGATTCCTGCTGCAGGGAGGCCCAAGGTGTGATGGACACTCACCATGGTCCTGGGGTGACCCTGTGGGGCACAGGCAGAGGGAATGCTCTGAGCCTTCCGGAAAGAGTTTCTGAGACTTGTCATTAAAAAGGGACGGAAAAATAGCAAATTAAAAAAAAAAAAGAAAAGCAAGGGGGGTAACATCAAAGGAGTTACTTTAATGAGTGAGTGCATCATACGGTCGGAATCGTAATCTGAAGGTTTCCAAAAGCCCATCTGTATGTTATACAACTTCCAGGATTCCTGTTAAATTCTGCTCTGGAGGGACTTCCTTTATTATTATTTTTTTTAATGGTCACTGGGATATCCAGGAGGAAATCTGGGAATGATAAATTCACAGGACTATTTGTGGATATTTTCCCCTGCATTTGTTTTGACCTACCCACACTGGATGGGACTTTGATCACAAAGCCCCTCCCGTAGCCCCTGTGTCTTCCCTTGCCTTTGCCACACAGTCTTACAGTTGCCTTCTGTTCCCATGACTCTCCTTCTTTGTCCTTTGAAGGCTCCTTTCCCTCTATCCCATCCCATAACTTTTCTGACGCACGCTCTATCCATAGTTGGCATTGCTCATTCCTAGGGCTTCCGCCGCTCTTTCCACGATGATTCTCAGATCTCCATCAGTCCCAGATCGTTCCAGGGCTCTAGGCACAGATATGCAGTTGCCTACTGGACATCTCTACTTAGTTGTCTCGTGGGTTTCCCCACTTAGACATGGCAAGAACAACTCCTCCTCCTCCTCCTCCTCATCCTCATCAAAACTGCCTCTTACGTTGTATTCTCTATCGTAGCCATCGGCACCACCAACCACACACATGCCCTAAGACCATGAGAATCATCGCTGATTCCTCATTGTCCTTCCCTTCTGTGTACGATCCACCATCCACTTTTTAATTCTACCTCTTATGCATGTCTCAAATATATCTACTTCCCTTCATGTCCGTTGCTATCACCCCAGACTCTGCTACCATAATCTCTCGCCTGAACCACTGCATAATATGGTGTACAAGGTCTTTGATGCCATGAGCCTACACTACCTTTCAAGACTTACCTTTCATCATTTTCTTTTTTTTTTTTTTTTTTTTTGAGACGGAATCTCGCTCTTTCACCCAGGACGGACTGCAGTGGCGCTATCTCAGCTCACTGCAACCTCCGCCTCCCGGGTTCATGCCATTCTCCTGCCTCAGCCTCCCGAGTAGCTGGGACTACAGGCGCCCACCACCGTGCCCTGCTAATTTTTTGTATTTTTAGTAGAGGCGGGGTTTCACCGTGTTAGCCAGGATGGTCTTGATCTCCTGACCTCGTGATCTGCCCGCCTCGGCTTCCCAAAGTGCTGGAATTACAGGCGTGAGCCACTGCGCCCGGCCTCATCATTTTCTTGATTGTACTCTATGCTGCAAGCATTTTGAATTCCCTTCAGTCCTTTCTATGAGCCATTTTCACATTTGCCTTAGGCTGTTGCATAAATAACTCTCCCTGCCTAGAATAACCTCTTTGCCCCTCACACTCTCTCCACCTTTCTCTTTCTTCTTCTACCATCTTTCATTATTTAGTCTTAAATAGTAAGAGTAAATTATTTATTTAGTAAATTAAGTTAGTTTACACATCTCTTCCTCAAAGAGAACTTCGCTGCCTTAGGCCAGGTTAGGACTTTTATGTTCTCATAATCACTAAACTTCTCCCTTTATAACACTCTTATATTGGTCACTCTTGTTTTATTGGTCGTTATTGGTCACTTTTGTTTAAATGTCCCCATTGCCAGTGAGATTATTTCATCAAACACATCACATGTCTTATTAGTCACATTTTTTTTTCCTGGAGATGATTTCTAGGAATCCTCTGTTCTCCCGGGCAAACCAGAACTGCTCATTTGCTAAACCTTCTATAGAGCTATCAAGCTGAGTTGCTTCAATACCTTCTTTCTTTTGTGGGGTTTCTGTTTGCTGGATTCTGTATGTTTTCTTCCTTGCTTTATATCCTTGGTTGGTGAAATTCATCCTCCAGGAGCTTCATGAGAATGGATGCATGCATAAAAAGTTCATTTTTTTGAAACCTTGCATACTTAAAAGTGTCTTTAGTCTGTCTTTGACTTTCGTCTATACTTTGGCTGGGTATAGGAGTCTATGCTGAAAATTATTTGCCTTCTGAATGTAAATACATTTCTGCAGAGTCTTCTAGTGTCAAGGGCTGATCTGGAGAATTGTAACCTATTTTTGATTCCCAATTATTTGTAGAGGATCTATGTTTGTTTCTCTGGATCTGGAAGCTTTTAGAATCCTTTCCATTATTCCTAAAGTTCTGAAATCTCATGACGATATGTTTTGCTGGAGGCTTTTTTTTCACCATTATGCTGAGTGGGTCCTTCCAATCAGAAAATGCATGTCCTTCACCTCTGGGACATTTTCTTTTATTTCTTTTGCACTTTCTTCCCCACCATTGTCTCTGTCTTCTCTTTCTGATTAAGTGTTGGAGTTTCAGGCCGGGTGTGGTGGTTCGTGCTTGTAATCCTTGTACTTTGGGAGGCCTAAGTGGGTGGATCATCTGAGCCCAGGAGTTTAAGACCAGCATGGGCAATATGGTGAAACCCTGTCTTTACTAAAAATACAAAAAATATTAGCTGGGCCTGGTGGTGCATGCCTGTAGTCCTAGCTACTTGGGAGGCTGAGGTGGGATGATAGCTTGAGCCTGGGAGACAGAGGTTGAAGTGAGCCGAAATCACACCACTGCACCCCATCCTGGGCTATGCAGCAAGACTCTTGTCTCAAAAAAAAAAAGAGTTCCTAGATCAATTAATTTTTTAATGTTTTCTTTCCTATTGTCCATTTCTATGTCTGTTCTACTTTTTTTCCGAGAGATAGTATTGATTTTAATCTTTCTGTCATTTTATTGAATTCATTTCAGATCTAGATTTTTCCTGGCTCATTTTTCTCTTCAGAATAAACTTCTTGCCCCTGTTGGTATTGGGAAGTGCTAGTCACCTAGGCAACATGCGTACAGAGCCATTGGCGTCTACTGTTCCTTAAGCAGAGCTTTGACCAGTCACCACCCCCTGCCTTGGGGATACCTGGTGCCTCCAACTCCTGAGCCTTTCTGAGATTTACAGCATGAGTTGGCTTGTTTCTCTCTACCATCTTCCACTGTGAACAGTTGATACCAGTCACACAGCTTTGCTGACTCCCTCGTACACTGTCCGTCTTCCAAGATATTCATCAACATTCCTCACACACTACTATATTCATGACTATTTTCATTAATTTGTGGTTTTATACTTTTTAAAATTCATTCATTGGTATTTTAGTGGCATTTCAGAAGTGGATAAATATATGTTTATATTCAATTTTCTATGTATAATCAAAACCACTAATTTTTTACTAAAGATTTGAACACGTCGTCTGATTACTGTTCATGGAGGAGAAGTCTCACTTTGAATTCTGGTTCTAGACTTCCCTCACTTTCCTTTCTTCTTTTCTTCTCTCTCTCTTTGATTTTTCCTGCATCTTCTCCTTCTGTTCTGACTCACAGACAGGATCACAACCAGCTCACATATTTAGCTTCAGAATCTGTAGGCTCCATCTAGTTTTTTTTCAATTTTTTATTATCACAGAATTATTGCTTACTTTTTTCTTAGAAATTTTTTACTATGAAATTTTTCTTATGAAATTCTAAAGAATTTCAGCTCACTCTTTAAATCCTTCTGTGATAAAGATGATAATAGGAACAATGATATATTTGTCTATCTTTATTTATCTTGATAAATGTCTATCAGAGCATGTATCTTGGTACATGCTCTTAACATGTATCAAGCCCTAAATGAAGCATGCTGTATAGATTATGTCTTTTAACTCACCCTGTGGGCAAGTTAATATTTATTTCTCCATTTTAAAGATAAGAAAACTAAAGCTTATAGAGTTGTAATAACTTGCCCATGGACATATAGTTGGTGATTTGTGAAATCTGGTTTTATACAATTTCTGGCACCAAAGATGAGACTTTTATCCACTATACTACATCCTCTTGATAGGAAATAGGAATATTAGACCAGAAACTGATCAAAACATTATTTTGAACTATTAGATTTTCATTAGCTGTTAGAGGCACTTTCAAACAAGGATGGGATGCCTAATCATACCAGAAGTGCTCCTCTGGAAATATCTACACAGGGGTTGGGTGGTCTTGGGTGAAGAATGTTGGGGGACATGGGGAGGTTCCTACATCCAGATGAAGCATGGACTTCAAAATCCCGTTTAAACACTTCAAGTCTTTGATTCTTACCATTTTACTGTCTCCCAACTATTAGGTTGCTGCTTAAAGTAATTGCAGTTTTTGCCATTAAAAAGTAATTGCAAAAACTGCAATTCCATTCCCTGTACATTGTGCATCAATGGGAAGTATGAAATAACTCCACCCTAAGGTGTATTTTAGCATTCGGTATTAAAAATAATAACAGGTATCATCTATTCAATGCTTACTGTGTCCAGATATTGTGCTAAGGACTGTATAAACATTGTTTCACTTAATTCTTATTTCAACCCTGAGAAATTGGGCCATTATTATCATTCTACACCAAAAAAGTCCTGAATGTAGTTGTCTTAGTCTGCTCAGGCTGCTGTAACAAAATGCCATAGGCTTAACTGACAGAAATTTATTTTCTCATAGTTCTAGAGGCTGAAAGTTTCAAGATCAAAGTCGAAAAGGGTTGAATTTCTGATGAGGGCTCTTCTTACAGGTAGCTGCCTTTTCTCTGTGTCCTCAGATGGTCTTGAGATATCCCTTTCTCTCTTCCTCTACTCATAAAGCCACCAATCCTATTGAATTAGGACCCCACCTTTTTGACCTTATTTAATCTAAATTACCTCCTAAAAGTCATATCTCCCAATACAGTCACATTGGGGATTAGAGCTTCAACAAATGAATTTCAGCAGACATCATTCAGTCCATAGTAGTGGTGGGCAATGTTTAGCTTGGTTTTAATGGAAAGATGATGCTATTAATGTTATTGAGACCTGAAAAATGTTTCACCTAGGAGGAGAACAGACCTGTGTTCCCCCATGAAGAGGGTGGATAGATCACCTGTTGGACAATAGGACTGGTGCCGTCTCAGCATTGGCAGGAAGGGCCAACTCTCTTGTTGCTTGTCAGACAGCAGGAAGAATTCAAAAGTATTTTGGGGTTTGAAGAAACCTCATCCTTTGTGGAGGGAGTCTGCACGATCTTTATAAAGGACTTCCTCAGGTTGCCTTTAGGAGAAAAGTAGTCTCTTTAGTGTCTCTCTATCTCTACTTGTTTTTGGATCAGAGATGGCTTTAGTGTCAAAACTTTTGTGTTCTTTTTCTTTTTTCTGTCTGCAAAACCAACCCTGTTCTCCAGAGGCTTTTTGTAACTTAATCCATTTCTTTTCCAGGAAGCTAAAGAAACTATTTCGAAAGCTGAAAGATGAGACCGAAGCTGGAGAAACTGACTCTGCCCATTCGAAACATCCAGAGCAGTGGGACCTAGACTACAGCTTGGAACCATACACAGGACTGACTCCGGAGTACATGGAAATGAGTGAGAACCCATGGTCCTGCCTTCCACTGGGGGCAGGTTCAGACAAGGGGTCTGTGGGGTTGAAGGGGGAAGGTAGGGGATTGGGGAAAATGACTGGGACAGCCTCTGCTTCTTCATGAGCTTCATGGCTATTCAGTGTTCCCTTCAGTGCCACATGAAAGTTGAGAAGAATGGGGCAGAAAGAGACCTGGGAGGAGAACCTGGAGCAGCTCAGTCAACAGTTTGGTGGATAATTCTAGGATGATGTTCTCTTTTCCTTGTGATTCCTCTCCTCATCTATAAACTAAAGTTTGATCTCTCAGGCCCCTTTCCATGGTTTCTATTATTGATAAAGCTGAAAGGGAAATAGTACAATCTGAAATTTAAGAATATAGTTTCCATGAAAGTCTTCCTTCATGGAAAGTATCCGATGACACTTGGGTCAAGGATATCTACATTTTGACTTGGAGAATATATAAGAGCATCCCCTACTTTGATCAGATAAGGCTGGATAAGATGAAAGCTTTTTAACAAAAGTTGGGTCTATTTCGGTAGGGAGTGAGAGGTGTATTTCTAGTTGCAGAGCCTCTAGTTGTTTTCGATAAGGCTTGAAGGCAGGAGCACATGTAGTACAGGCTGATGGAACACAATCATTTTAGATGTGGCTTGGAAGCCATGAGTTCTTTATTATGAGAAGGGTCCCAACTTAGGCCAGCTGCCTTTGCACTGTTGGCTACTTGACTATAATCCTGATCTTCTATTGGGATGGATGTTTGAGAAGTCTCTTTCCAAGACTTGGGGCTAATGAATTAAAAGCATAGGATACCAAAGATCAAGAGCTTAGGTATAAGACGAGCGCAGTGGCTCATGCCTGTCATCCCAGCACTTTGGGAAGCAGAGGCAGGTGGATCACCTGAGGTCAGGAGTTTGAGATCAGTCTGGCCAACATGGTGAAACTCCATCTCTACTAAAAATACAAAAATTAGCCAGGAATGGTGGCAGGCACCTGTAATCCCAGCTACTTGGGAGGCTGAGGCACGAGAATTGCTTGAGCCTGGGAGACACAGCTTGCACTGAGCTGAGATTGTGTCACTACTCCAGCCTGGCCAACAGAATGAGAGTCTGTCTCAAAAATAAATAAATAAAGATCTTAGCTATAATGTCTAAACATTCTAAACATTTACTCAATGGGGAACCATCAATAAGATCCATCAAAAAAATCACTCAATGTTTAATTCAGTGCTTAGTATCATTGCACCTATCACTGTGTTTGCATATGACTCCTGCTCCCTTCACCTAGTCACTTGTAGCAGAGGGCCGTCAGTACCTTTTTGTGCACAGGCTACCTCACTCATCATTTCTAATGGGCATTCCTCCTATTCTGTTATAGGAAATTGCATGTGTTTGTTAGCAGTGGAGTAATGGGCAGGGTCTAGATCAGACGGCCATGGAAATATTGTCCTAGCCCTGGGATGTCTACAATTCTAGGGAAAGCCTCAACTTTGTAATCTGAAACAACTCACCAGAGAACAAACAATCATTAAGTCTGCTTCAGAAACAATATGTAAAGAAAATATCAAGACCTGGTTTAAGGAAACGTGTAGCCCCTTTATGCCTTTCATGTTTGGCTAAGAGCTACCTCTAATCCCTCTCTGATGCTGTATTTACACAAAGGATATTGCTCATATTTCAGACGCCATTCTACATCTGCCATTCTCTCACCCAGAATGAAAGAAAGTGCTGCCAGAGATTGGGACTTCCATTTGGGGAAGGGCCTACATTAGGAACCCCTGAGATCTGTTTGTCTGCCTCCACCCTCTGACGCCAGTGGTCCCACTTCCGTCGCCACCAATTAGCTGTGTGGGTTTCACATGCTTGTCAACCTTGTCTGTTCAGCTATTTCAAAGCTTCCTCTTTTGGGTGATTAGAGCAGAGACCCCAAAGTTTTCTAGTTTATGTATATAGACGTGTTCATAATAGCAAAGAATACATTCCACCTAAATGCTCATCAATGATAGGCTGGGTAAAGAAAACGTAGTACACTGTGGACTACCATGCAGCCGTGAAAAAGAATGAGTTCGTGTTCTTTGAAGGAACATGGATGGAGATGGAGGCCATTATCTTTAGCATACTAATGCAGGAACAGAAAACCAAATACTGGATGTTTTCACTTATAAGTGGGAGCTAAACCATGAGAACACATGGACACACAGAGAGGAACAACACACACTGGGGCCCATCAGAGGGTGGGGATGAGAAGAGGGAGAGGATCAGGAAAAAGAACTAATGGGTACTAGGCTTAATACCTGGGTGATGAAATAATCTGTACAACAAACCCCCATGACACAAGTTTACCTGTGTGACAAACCTGCACTTGCACCCCTAAACTTAAAAGTTAAAAAAAGAGAAATAAAACATTAAAATACAACAAAGAGGAGCAGAGACCCTTGAACCATACTTCCTGGGCTCAAATCCCAGCTTTTGACCAACTAGCTGGGTAACCCTGTGTAAGTTACCCACTTGCCCTTATCAAGACTCCTATGTGTCTTGATTTGCTTGCCTATTAAAAAAAGATAATAATATAATAGGATTGTCAGGAGTAGTGAATGAATTAGTATCTGTGAATAGAAGAGGGTCTTAGTGCTTAGTGCTAATACAGTGCTTAGAAGAGGGCCTAACACATACAAAAGCTGTGTATTAAGTGTCCAGTGTTATTCCTCTTAATGGTCTTGAAGCCTGAGGAAGGCAGAGTTAGGGAAATATACTCTACTTTGTCAGGGCCATGCCACTGAATACACATCTACCATGTTATTATGTGTTTCAACTTGGGTGCTTACCAAGAAATGAGAAGAATGAAAAAAAAAGTAAAGAACTAGAAGATTTACTTGGTGACTTTGGGAAGGAACTCACACCAAGATTGTAGAGAGTGAGATTCAGACCATAGACTGAAAAACCAGAAAGAAAAACAAACCCCAAACCCCACACCTTAAAATGAATAAAACAATCTTATACCTGGAATCTTGAAAACAGAAGAGAACCTGTCTCCCAAATCCAACCTTTTAATTTTTTTAAACCATTTTGGTGCTGTTTCTTAGACCCTTTTTGTATGTACATGAATTTAAAAATAAAATTTTGATCATACTCACATTTATTTTTTTATTTCCCATTATATGGATAAATATTTTAAGTTATCACATAACATTCAAAATGAATAGCTGCGTAATAATCCCTTTAATAAGCATGCCATAGTTCACTTGCCTATCTTCCAGTGAAGGCTTATTTAACAATTCTCCCTATTTTAATCCTCTATCTTTGTTGCTCAGGCTGATCTTGAGCTCCTGGCCTCAAGCAATCCTCCTGCCTCGGCCTCCCAAAGTGCTGGGTTTATAAGCACTATCTTTGTGCATATAATCTTTTATTTATATTATTATTTCACCCAGATAGATTCACATAGGTGTGATTAGGTATGGTCATTCTATGGTTCTTGATTCATTTTACCAAATTGCTTTCTGAAAGAATAAGAACAATTCACCCAGGCATGGGCAATATATGAGAATACCCTTTCAGTGAGTATAAATCACTTAATATCCTGAATCCTAAAGTCATGTGATATGAAAGAATTATCAGTGTATAGGAAGCTTGGGATTCCCAGCCCCCTACGCCACTCCATTCCACGTTGTTGACCTGAATATTCTAGACTCATCCTTAGCTTAGTTTTACACGGTGCTTCCTCTAGGAAGTCTTCCCAGGTCAAGCCCCAGTTCCTCTTGAGAGAAATCATCACTTGTTTCTGTCCTAGTATTGTGTTTGGTACACACGCTGATGGCATCTTACTGAATTATGGTAGTATTGCTTACACATATGTTTTTCAACAGACCCAGTCAAGGAGTGACTCTGAAGAGCAGTAGGTAGGGACCATGGCTTATTCATCTTCACAGCCTCCAGAGTCTAGCACATTTCCTGGCATATAACAGACACTCCAGGCCAGGTGCAGTGGCTCATGCTTATAAACCCAGCACTTTGGGAGGCTGAGACAGGAGGATTGCTTGAGGCCAGGAGCTCAAGATGAGCCTGAGCAACATAATGAGACCCTGTCTCTACAAAAAGGAAAAAGAAAAGAAAAGAAAAGAAAAAAAAACAGTAGAGTGTAGTGTTGTACACCTATAGTCCTAGCTACTTGGGAGGCTGAGGTGGGAGGATTGCTTGAGCCCAGGAGTCTGAGGCTGCAGTGAGCTATGATTGTGCCACTGCACACTCCAGCCTAAGTGACAGAGTGACACCCCATCTCTAAAAAAAACAAAAACAAAACTCAAACACTCGGTATGTCTGATACACAAAGATGAGGGAATGAATGAATGCATGCATGCGCTAATTAATGAGAAAAGGTTTCTTGACAGAGTTAACTCTATAATAATAACTTTACAAGACAAGTAAAGGATTTACATTTTCAAAGCAGGGCTTAATTGATGGTGAACTACGGATGTTCTGAAGAGGTTTCCAGCTGTAAGTGGGAGGTTGATTTAGTAATCCCAAGATCTCTTCTGATTCTGGAGATCTACATATAGATGATAAGAACAGAGAAGAGCACTCCAGGGAAAAGGACTGGCAAGTGCAGCGAGTCTCCTGGCCATGAGTAACTGTTTTTGTTGTTGTTGTTGTTTTGTTTTGACACAGGGTCTTGCTACATCACCCAGGCTGGAGTGCAGTGGCACCATCATGGGTCACTGCAGCCTGGACCTCCCAGGCTCAAGTGACCCTCTCACCTCAGCCTCCCTAGTAACTGGCACTACAGGCATGCACCGCCAAACCCAGCTAATTTGTTTGATTTTTTTGTAGCTGTGAGGTTTCACTGTGTTGCCCAGGCTGGTCTCTAACTCCAGAACTCAAGCAATCCTCCCGCCTTGGCCTCTGAAATTGCTGGGATTACAGGCATGAGCCACCACACCCGGCCACGAGTAACTGTTGACAAGGAAAAGCAAATGGTAGTTTTGAGGTATGGAAGGTTCAGATACAGACCTGGGATTAGTGGAAAACCCTGAAGACCAGACAGGTTTGCATTTCACATCAGACCATATGAAGTAGTTGTAAAATCTTGGCCAATGTGGTGACTGTATACTCTTTGCTTGGGAAATTGGGCAGCAAGTGCAGAGGAGGGATAGTAAGGCTCAGGAGGAAAAGAGAAAACACAGGTGCAAGAATTCACTTATCAATTCATTCATCAAACATTTATTAAGCACCTGGAGGGAGGAGCAAGTCTGGAGACCAGGACAGTCTCTTGAGCAATTCAGGTTGTTCCTGATATTGATTGAGTCAACAATTCAGTTGATATTGATGCAATCTTATCTGGAAGAGGAATCATACAGGGGTTTTTCAAGCTGGATTGGCTCATAGAATTCTTTAGTCTATTTTGCTATGACTTTCAATCTTAAGAGATGTGTTTTAGAGACATGGCTATTTTATTTCATATTTTATTAAGTGTGAGGACAATGTTTTCTGGATTAGGTTTCGTTCATCTCTTTTATCTCTGGACTATCCTCTTAATCCTTTAAGGACATACTTTTTCTCAAGTACAAAGACTGGGCTGCAGAATAACCCTCATTAAAGTTCATCAAGCAGCTAAGTGTGGTTAGGGGTGGTACTGCCGTTGAACCACTGGGCTTTCAAACCTAACCCTGCTGCATGCTAGCTACATGACTCTGGTTTTGAGGCTTAAAGTCAGCCAGGTCCAATTCTCCCATCTGAAAAGTAGGTTTGATGATAATAGCACCTACCTCATAGGACTATTCTGGGAGTCAGTTGATGCATGTAGAGTGCTTCCACATGTAGACCGTCAATGAACATTGGCCACCGTTGTTATTGTCCAGAGTTCAGTTTCTCTCAAATCTAGAAAGTTTTTGACTCAAAACAGTTTGAAGCTCCTGAATACGGTGATCTCTGGAGGTTCTTCCTGTACTGTGAGTGTAGGCTGTGCCCTAATTATTAAAGAATGAGGGTACCAGACCCCAAGGCATACCTAAGAATCAGAAGCCTGAGCTCTAAACACTCCAAGATGTTTGTCTTTTCAGTAAACTCTAAGCCCTCAGGGCTCTATTGACAAGTCTGGACTCTCAGATGGGCTCTTTTTGTCATCTGTTTATCTAAAACCCACAAGCTTTTGTTCCTCTAGTCATCCAAAAAATAATCGCTATTATAATCCTGCCTCAGGAATTCAATTATCTCCCTTACAGCCTTCCCCCAGCTTCTTAAATGCAACCACAGTTTTGAGGCCCTTGGGCTATTACTGTGGGTGATGAGATGAATTTCTTCTGTCATTCATTCACACAGTCATGAGAGCAGATCTTATTTTTCTTGGTCATGAGCTTATATCCTGTCAAACCCTCACAGAAAGGGAAGTGCATCCATGATTGCATGTTTACTTATTCATTCATTTGGAGTAAAAGCCAGATAATTATTTTGAAAGGCAGAGACCCCCAGCCTCTCCTGCTCTCTGGAAGTGTGCACCAAGGCCTGTAGAAATCACCGTGTCAAGGAAATGCATAGGGCAGGTTCCTCTCGGAGACCAGATGTTAAAGCTCTTGTGGCCGCTTTCAAGTTGTCTCCTGAAATGGCAAGTCTGAGCTTCTGGGTTCAGGAGGAACGCCTGTGGACTCTTAACCTCCATGACTACTTTCTGACTTTGCGTGAACCCTAACTGGGGAGAGTTTCTATTTGTGGATACTTACCTCGCTGACTTTGCCTCTACTGAGAATTTTGGATTCTTATTTGAACCCTCACCATTTCTCCTTGGAATTACTGGAAATGCATCCTAAGTTGACTCCCTGCTTCTTTTTCACTCCTTCTACCTTTCCTTCTTGCTTTTTAGAACGGCTTTTAAAAGATGCAAGCCAGATTGCATTCATTTTTCTACTTAAAATCCTTCAACGCTACAGACTTCTTTTCAGATAAAGTTCACACGCCCAGTGCAGCAGATGAGGTCATCCCAAGCTGGCTCTTGTTTTGCATCTTCTTGCAGGCCCGCGTGTGTGTATCTGGTTATCTCACACTCTCACGTCCAATTTGCCTATGCCATGTCGCCTACCCGTGACTGCTTGCTGAGTGTTGCAGGCTCAGACACATTTGCCCTTGGCACCATTTTCTCATTCTCCCATCCTCAGTTTTTCTCTTCCCCTCTTCTCCTGTACCTGCACCCTTTCAAACATGTGAGTGCTTTGGGGACAGGGACAATGTCTTATTCCTCTCTAGTCGCAACACTCAGCATGGGTACTAGAACCTGATAACACAATGAAATAATTATTAAATGAATGGCCTCATAAGTCCTTTTCCTTCATTGGTAGAGAAATAGAAGTCCCGCTTCTCTTGATCCCATGACCTGTGGGCCACCTTCTTCACTATGGACATATTTGTGTAATTTTTAATGTGCAATAATTTTAGTCTCCTAAGACCAAAATGAACCATGTTTATTATCAGAGTTTCTCTCAAAGAAAAGTCACTTCTGATTTTAATTTATTCCTTTCCCTAAGGGGTCAAGTCATTAGTGTTAGTGGACAGGGTGAGATGATCTCTTTCAGACTTGGCTCTGACCTCAACTCCAAGGCCACATCCCTGCCTCTGCAGTGACTCCCCTCCTGCCCTCCCCCGGGGCAGCGCTGTGGTGTCTGCACTGCTGCCAGGCACTGGGGACACAGAGACAACAGACATGCCTGTTCCCTCCAGAGTTTCAGGGTCTGGTGTGAGAGAGAGATGTGTGAAGGAGCTCAGGGAACTTCACCCCAAAGTATGACTCCCTGGCATAGTAAGTATTTTGATTTAAAGATCCTAGAGATGAACAGTGCTAAAGGAGATTTTTCCCCTATGTATGTAAAGACCAGTCAGACCTACCAAGGAGAACGATCTCTCCCACCCTTCTCTCAATCCTCTACCTCTCTCAACACACAGGCTGAATTTCCCTTAGCTGCCTAAAAGTCTGGACCTACTAAAGAAAAGAACAATTACTTCCAATCCCTTCCCTGAGTTTTCATGAACTGAACCCACATTGCAGGAAAGAAGACTAAAGTCGGTCAACAAACCTGGACAGACTTTTGTCACAAATCATTGTCTGCTCTGCAGATTCAATAGACTTTGCCCCAAACCATTGCATGTTCTTTAAGCCCATGAAATTCCTCTGAAATCACTTACTATCCCCCTAAAATCATCCGCACTTCCCACACCCTTTCCCCTAAGAAGCAGGGTATGTAAGCACCTGTACTACATTGGGATACTGGGCAATCACTCTGTGATTTTCCCCGTGTGCATAGCAGTAACAAATTGGTAGTTTTTGTTTTGTTTTGAGACAGTTTCGCTCTTGTTGCCCAGGCTGGAGTGCAGTGGCGCAATCTTGGCTCACTGCAACCTCTGCCTCCCAGGTTCAAGCAATTCTCCTGCCTCAGCCTTCCGAGTAGTTGTGATTATAGGCATTCCCGTCACGCCCTGCTAATTTTTTGTATTTTTAGTAGAGACGGGGTTTCACCATGACCAGGTCTCGAACTCCTGACCTCAGGTGATCTGCCCGACTTGGCCTCCCAAAGTGCTGGGATTACAGGTGTGAGCCACCACGCTCGGCCGCTAGTTTTTTCTCTTGTTAATCTGCCTTATCATGAGTTGGTTTTTCAGCAGACCTTCCCAGGACAAAGGGGAAATTCCATTGGCCCCCATATGGGCACACAGACAGTTATAAGAAAGGACCTACTGTTCTAGAAAATAGTTTGCCTAGTGATGCTTGCTGCAGAGGCTAGGTCTTTGCTGCTTCCGGTTGACCAGCAGAGAGGTGTGCTCGAAGATCGCCTGCTCTTCTCATTCTTTTGGCCTTGTCTTTGGGTTTTAGAAACCACCTACTGAGGCCAAGCAAACTCTGAACTGGATGCAGGAGGCTCTTCTCCCGCTTACTGCCCCAGGCTTGTCTCGAGACTTCAAACAAGGCAGGGAAGGGCCCAGACCAGAATCCATTTCGGGGAAACATTTCTAAGCCTTTCTGCCTGCAGGCTTCATACCCTTGACTGTTTTCTGAGTTCTGTGCCACATTAATGGCCCCACCATCCTCCAGGCCCCTGGCTGAGAAATCTAACATCACTGCTCATTCTCTGTTCCGTCTCCATGTGCCTCCCATCCAGTAGGCTTGCTGTGTCGACGATCTTTCCTCTAGAGCTGGGGTGTCCAATCTTCTGGCTTCCCTGGGCCACATTGGAAGAAGAAGAAGTGTCTTGGGCCACACATAAAATATAGTAACACTAATGATAGCTGATGAGCAAAAAAAAATCTCATAATGTTTTAAGAAAGTTTACGAATTTGTGTTGAGCCACATTCAAAGCTGTCCTGGGCCGTATGTGGCCCATGGGCCAGGGGTTGGACAAGCTTGCAATAGGGTATCTTAGGAATCTGCTGTGTCTGCCCTGCCTCCTCCCTGGTGCTTTTGCTTTTTCTTTTTTTTTTAACTACATCCTCAACACAGCCACTTGCAGCCACCACCGTCTCGCCACTGCCTCATTTATTCCTTCCGAGGTGTAGTGTTGGTCATATCCCTCCGGTGTCCAAAAACCATCAGGGTTCCCGTGCTCCTAGCGAGGCCCTCCCAGAGCATCCTTCTCGTTTATTTAATCCTAGGTCCTTCTCCATGTCCTGTGGTCCAGGAAAGTGAATCCTCCGCACCCTACAGCTCCCTCCTGCCCTGCCTGTCCTGAGTGCTCTCCCGGCCCTGGGCTTGCCTGCGCCTTCTCATGCGTGCATCCAAAGCCACCTCTCGTGTCACCTGCTCCTTACCACCTCCCCCTTCCCCCTGCCCCACAGGATTTCAGACAAGCTGTCTCCTAAAATAGAGATGCCTTTGGTAATTAATTTCCCAAGGGCCGATTCTTCAAATTGCAGGGCCTTGCCCAGCACCCCCCCGCCAGGGCATAGTCACTAAAAACATATTGGGTAAGCCTGTAAAGGGGGGTAACTGAATAAATGAGTGTATCATTTATGTCTTCGGCTTTCTCTTACCTAGGCTAACAGAATCTCACTTTCTAGTGATGCTGAGCCGTGGTCAATTCTCATTTATTTATGGGCTGATAATCCAGTGAGTGGATTATCAAGAGAGGTGGTTATCCTTATTTCTCTTTCTCCTCTTCCTCCTTCCCTGTCTCCCTCTCCTGCCACCCCTTTTCTTCCTCTGCCTCCTCCCCTCCCCCATCCCAGGCCTATTAGGCACTCCTTTCTAGCGAGTAAGCCAGGGAAATAAGAGAAGGTGTAACGTGAACCCACCCATGCAGTTCAAAGATCGCAGCAGCTCTGGGAACTAGCTTGGTGGGAGAGAAGATGAAGTTCACAGCAGATGTCAAAACTTCATTGGGGGCAATAGTTTCTGCCGTCTCCATGGATAACTAAGACTTGGCGGCAGTCACCTTATCATTACTTCTGATTTCTCTGCACCCTCGTCTTTGAAGTAAAAGCCCCTTCACATCTGCTGCCTCTTGTATCTTTAGATGACCATTGTAGGCAGAGTGAGCGTCTCTCCTTCCCATGTTCCCAGGGTGTCAGGTGAGACTCGGGTGCAGATGCAGCTCTGCTTCTATCTAGCAGTGTGGCCTAGGGCATGGCGTCGTATAATTTCCCTGGCTTCCCTTTTTTCCTGGAAATTGTAGGGAATTAGACCAGAGAATGAGTTTTTCCCTGCAGTGATGCAACCCACCGGTCTGTGGTCAAAACCAATTGTGCAATGTGTCACAAGTAATGCACTACTGCCAATGTTTTAGAAATACAAGGTAAAACAGAGTCAGTGCCACCCTCACTTTCTTAGATTTCTAGATGTTTTTTGAGGAAGGGACGTTTCAGCATACACAAATGGAAGTGCAGGTCATCATTTTTCATTGAGTGTCTTGACAGGAATAATAAGTTTCAGACCATGAGACCAGCTGACCTTCAGGGCGCCTTCCAGTGATGACATGATGGTTCATACATCCTAGTTGAACAGTGCACCTCAAAGCCAAGAGGCCCAGGGTAATGTGAGTTGCCTAAGGTCACCCAGATGACTCACTAGTGGAATTGAGGTTAGAGCCACTTTCCAGACCATTCCACGGGAGACGTGCTTCAAGACCTGTAGTAACTTGGGCTTCTGTGGAAGGATGGAATGAAGTGAGGCTTCCTCCCTCCTTCCTAACTGGCTAGACCTCCCCCGTTCCAGAAGGGCCCATGTCTTGGACTTCGAACAAAAATGAGAGCAATGAAACCAAAGCTGCCCCCCGCCTCTGGTGTGCTTGACATGGAAGGATGGAATGAAGTGAGGCTTCCTCCTTCCTTCCCGACTGGCTAGACCTCCCCCGTTCCAGAAGGGCCCATGTCTTGGACTTTGAACAAAAATGAGAGCAATGAAACCAAAGCTGCCCCCCGCCTCTGGTGTGCTTGACATGGTGATCCCCGGCCCAGCTCTCAGCTGTCAGCCTCTTTCCCTGAGATCCCCAGGACCACCCATGCAGACAGGAAGTGCGCTGAGCCCACTCTGGGCCTGTCAGTAGGAATGGTGGGGCAGGTCCTCAACGGAGGGAGGCAGCAGGGGGAGATGTATTATATTTACATTTTTCTAAATTGAACTGGAACCTGGGCTGGGGCCCAGCAGGCTTGGGGGAGGGGCTGCGAGGTGAAGGGAGGCTGGGATCAGCCTGAGGAGGTGCATGGGGGTGGGGAGCCTCCTCAGGCCAGTGGATGTGGGGATGGGCTGGCTCCAGACAAAGGGAAACCTGAGAGGGAGGGATTAAGCTGGAGAAACCTGGGAGGGTAGCAGCTGGCTTTCGAGGGAATCTCCAATATCAAACCTTTTCCTGAAGGGCTTACTAAGAAGGACTTTAGGAATCGTCTCCCACTCCCCCATCTCGGAGGGGATGAAAGAAAACTGGCCCAAGAGATGGCCATGACATTAATCATCACTGTCCCCTACCCCAAAATGGGGCTTCAAAGCTCCATTGCCGCAGGCCCCTCACAGCCCTGTCATGGGGTTTTCCTCAGGGCTGATGAGAGGAAATTCTTCATTTGCTTTAAGAGCTGCAAGCTTAAGTTCTCTGGACACTTGCAGCCATTTGACTTTTCCTCCTGAGCAGAAGGATGTAGGCCCAAGTTTAATCCCGGAAGAGTTTAGTGACAAGTCCCAAAAAAATCTCTTGGTAAAGTTTTATCACCGTTTCATTCAGATAAATAAATGATGTGATTGTCAGTTCTTCTCACCTGAAGACCAATGGCCCAGGGTCATGATACTCACTAAATTGTGATGGAAGCTTCTTGAGGGTGAGATTTGTGTCTTATTGATTCACAGCACTTCACCACAAGGCCTGGCGTACAGTAAGTGCTCTATGAATGTTTTCTTAAGAAGGAAGAATGAAAGAAGTGATCCTGTAGTGAGGACCTTTTGGGCCGGCTGGGTGTGGGGACGGGCTGTCAGTTGGACTCTGCAGACGTTACCTTTCATGAAAACTCTCCAGACATCCTTGTGGTATTGATTTAGTTGGGACAACCTACACCACCCCTTGCAGTGCAAAGTCTCCTTATTTTGAAGTGCTAGTAATTAGGGAATGCTGTCATCCATAGAGCTGGTCTCCTATAGCAGCATAAATTGATGAACTTATGCAATTATCTGGATAGTTCAGGAAAACTACCCCATATATTAGACAACTACTGCTATGATAATGCTTTGTAGCAAATACTCCAGAGTCCCGGTGACTTAAAACGGAGACAGAGAATCAAAAACAATGAAAATGACGGGCTCTGGTACTGAGTTCCCTGCCTGACAATGATCAGGTGAAAGTGGACACTTATTAAAGGAGCAGAATGGCCTGAGCTTCAGATGGAGGGATAACTTAGGTGACACCACATTCTTTTCAACTCTGATATTCTTTGGTCATGGATGGTAAAGACTGCAATGGGTAATTTCCAAATTTCCAACAGAGGCTGGATGTAAGTGATCAGATTTTCTAGAATACCTGAGAAACCATCAGCACTGAGGCCCACATATTCTGTCACAAAGAACTGCAAGTGTGTGTGTGTTACAAGCCAATGGCTCAAAGAACCAGGAAATTCCTTTCCCTGGGCCATCCTGTTTACACACGCTGAGTCATTCCACTGGATAATGAGGCTCCTGCCATCTTCTCCAAATGGCGTTTAAACACAATTGAGGCAGCATCGAGGGGCTGGCTTCAGCATTTCTGAGAAGTAGGTTGAGTCCCAGGTCATTTCTGTCCTTTTGCTGCTGAGGCATAGATTGCTTGGTGTTATCTGCCCTAGACTGCATCCCCACGCCTTTAAGAAAAAAGGCAAAAGTGTATCTGGATACCACAGCCCTCAGCGTACCACAAAAGGCTTCTGGGATACAGAAGATGCCTAGTCAGTGCTTGAGGAGGGAAGGAAGGAATGGAGGGAAGGCAGTCTTTTAGTTTAAAACTGATGAAGAACTGTACTGCTGCCCCATTTCTCTTCTTGCTCTAACAACCGGGAAGCTCAGAGTAAACGTTACTGCTCAAACATAGCTGCATTGTGGTTCCCCGAGTTTTCTTACTTGTTTTGTCCTCTTTTCTGTGCTCCTTATTTCCGTTTTCTAAAATCCTATAAACCTAATTTTATTTTCATTTTGTTCACTTTTGCACAAACCTTTTGGGAAGAGGTAGAGGAGAAAGAATAAAGCAAAGAAAGGTCCTCAGTAATGATTTGTTGCTTGGGAACTTCATTCCAATCATGACTGGTTTCATTGCCCTTCGAACTCACGCACTACATTACCACAGTCCAAATGAGAGGATGGAGGGATGGGAGGAAGGATGAATGAATAATTGTCCTTCACACTCCCATCTTGCAGGTGGATAACGTAAACAAGAGTGAGAAAGCCAGACCATTCATTTGTTATTTCAGTAAATATTTACTGGAAGTTCACCAGTCTGTCCTCCAGGAAGTGGATCAGTAGATCTTGCCAACTCAAGTCTCCCTAGCTTTGATGTGGGACGGGAGAAAGAGCAGGGACTGAGTCTCCTTTAAACACAAAGAAATGAAGAAAACTCGGAGCCAAATGTGCCTTACTGATCTGTCCCAGCATTGCATTGCTTTGCATGCAGTAAACTCTTAATACCTAAGCTGTGACTTCAAGCCTGTCCCTTCCTGTTATGACTTCCCAGGCTTTTTGAATCAGGCCCGATCCATTGTGTAAACCCCCAGGTGACTCCATGCAGACTGAAAAGGAATTCCACATATTGTCCTTATTTCTTAAGTAGTTTTTTGTGAATTTGGATCAGTGAATTTGCAGGAACGACCTTAACTACCAACCATATAGCAAATTTTCTTATGCGTCTTCTACTTGTTCTTCACGTGGAGCCCAGTGATGAATGGTGCAAAGCCTCCATGGGTCTGCTGGTGACAGTCAGTTACCTCTGCCCAGCACTCTACAGCACTGTTAATGCTGGCATTTTGTTCTCACCACGTGAGGCTGTCAAGGATTGTTTCCATGTCCATCTTCCCCACAGCATATTCTGAGCCCTTGGAAGGATGCCACAGTAATCTGCTCATCTTCGTATTTAGCAATGCACATGGTCTCCAGTATATAGAATGTGCTCAGTAAATGCTTGCTGAATGAATGCATGAGTGAGTGGATGGTGAGTGATGGACGTTGAGAACTCTCTTATGTTTCTGTCAAGGCTTCACCATTTTTCTAAGCAATGGAGGCCCATGCTGAGGATCTAAAATAGCTCGTGCCTTTTCTTCTCACTGTCTTTTCCTATTTATGTGTACAATCGACACTTGCAATTCTTTTTATGCCAGACGTTGTCAGCCCAAAGCATAGTTGGCTTCCCTTGCTCTTGGGAAAAGGGGATCCCTGGGCACAGTCGTAAAATATGGGCTGAGGAAATAAATAGTTATGACCTTCCCCTGCTGTGCTCTTACATAAGTATGTACTAATGGGCTGTTTCTAGCGGAATCTTTCACTTACTGCCTCCTGAGTGAGAAGACAAGCTCATACCAGTGTGTCCTTCCATGATTCCCTTGCACTGCTCATTAATGGCTCATAAGAAGGAGGATTCTTTTTTTAAGCATTTCAGTTATTTTTAATTAAAGAAAAACAGCCTTCTCCAAGGGCCACAAAGTGAACTGAATGTCAGAAGGAAGCTGGGTGTGAGTTTCTCACAAGCTCTTGCTCCAAAACCTGTTAGTGAGGAGAAAGGGCCCTCCGGGAGCTCTGGGGAAGGTTGGTGCACACAGGAGTCCCTTTGGCGGGGTAGGCAGAGCCGCCAGCCCTCACATGGTCACTGGATTGGTTCGAGTGGGCTCTAAGGCAACTGCCGTGTGCCAGTCTGTTGACATGATCAACATTAATATTCTTGCGGCGGGGGGGGGGTGTTCATTAAATTAAGGAATGACACAGGGAGCCAAGAGAATGGCTTATTTGTTTGGATTCTGAATCACAATCGGGAAATAGTCTTTATCTGGTGCAACCATAATTCCATTTTACTTGGAGCAAATTCGAAGGAAGGTGAGATCATTCTGGGGGTCACTTTCATGCATGGTGCTCCGTGCCTTCAGGATGAAGCTGTGCAGGAAGCTGGCACACTCTGTGGTGGTGAGGTTGACCATGGTGCTCTTGATGGGAATGCCATCTTTGTTCACCATGATGATATTCTGCACTCCCCTCTGGCTCTGAAGTCACTTCAGTGTCTCCTCCACCTCTGATATTTACAACCGATCTGGTAGTCCTGCTTTGCCAACACTCAAAAAGGAGAATTCTTAAGCCCCCAATATTCAACTTCTTTAAGCAGACTGTGTTGCTTTTATTAAACAATAGAAAGCATTTTTTTTTTTTTTTTTTTTTTTTTTTTTGAGACGGAGTCCCGCTCTTTAGCCCAGGCCGGATTGCAGTGGCACAATCTTGGCTCACTGCAAGCTCCGCCTCCCAGGTTCACGCCATTCTCCTGCCTCAGCCTCCCGAGTAGCTGGGACTACAGGCGCCCGCCACTGCGCCCGGCTAATTTTTTGTATTTTTAGTAGAGACGGGGTTTCACCGTGTTAGCCAAGATGGTCTCGATCTCCTGACCTTGTGATCCGCCCGCCTCGGCCTCCCAAAGTGCTGGGATTACAGGCGTGAGCCACCGCGCCCAGCCAGAAAGCATTTTTTTAAAAGCTATAATCATTTTCATTAGAATTGGACTCTCCTAACCAACTGTTTTTACTACAACTTTCTTCGAAGTCTTCTGTGCCGATTGCAGCAATGAGAATTGCGATGTAGAGGTGTTCATACTTCATGTCTACCTCTCTTTTCACCATCAGCAAGTGCAGTGCTCTCAGGTCACACATTTTCATTTTTGACCTTGTATGTGTGTGTGTGTTTCACAACTGGTGAAAATAAGGTCAGATTTATGAAACAGATAATCTTTGAGCATCTGCTATGTGATAGGCACCACAAAAGATGGTGAGTGAGGACTTGGAAAAGAATCAAATAAGGCCCCTGGTCTCAAGGGGCTTTCCATCTAGGGAGCAGGTCAAATAAACAGAGAGGCGTGTCAAGGCATTATGGGAGTGAGGATGAGAGATGCCCAAGGCACCGAGTTCCACCTGCAGTGCTGGTGGGAAATGGAGGTGGAGGGGAGTCTTCATACAGAAGGCGAAGTTTGAGTTGAGCCTGAGAGATGAATAGCATCCTACTCAGCCGACCAGAAGAAAAGGAAAATTACAGACAGTAGTGGCATGTACCAAGGCTCAGAAATGTAGAAATCATGGTGAGTTTGGGGAAGTACAAATGGTCTTGGAATGGTTGGAAGGCAGGCGGAGTTGATCTCCAACATACTTGCTAAATATTTGCCCTTAGCACAGAACATGGGTGGGGAGGAAATGGTTCTGGATATGTTCACTGAAAAATCTTAAATAAATGAGTAAAAAATCAGAATTGTATTCCATCAAAATCTTCTCCACCAATCCTGGCAAGTCCATTCTATTTTATCTACTATACTGTTTGTGTTCTCTAAACAGATTGTCTTGAAACGTCCTTGTTGAATATTGTCTTGGTTAGTTTAACCCACTCTTCCTTGTTATTTTAACCTAAACTCAGGAAATCACTGATGCAGAAATGTCTCCAGCTTCAGGCAGTGTAGGGCTGATGGTTATTCTAGAAGATCCTTGGCTGCTGAAGGGTGAGAAGAGAAAACCAATGGGGTTTGCATGGAGGAGTTTCCAGCCTTTGAGCTCAGCATTACTGGAGCATTTTACAGCAGGCTTTATAAAGATTTGGTTGAAAATCAACTCAAAGTTTCCTCCCTAATTGGCTTGGCCAGGCTTAATCTGTTATTGGTCAGGCCGAGCTGGCTTCTATTATGCAGCGCACGGAGGATTTCCGGTGTTGCTCTTATTCTAATGGAGGCTTGCTGCTTTTAGAAACAAATCTTGGTGTTGGCAAAAGCCGGTATCATTGTATCCTCTGAAGTGAGCCCAGAAGGACTCCCAGCATTTTAGACCTTTGACTGAAAAGAGCGAGTCTTGGATTTGGAATTTGCATGCTAGAGAGTTATGGTTTTATGTTTTATTCTCCCCCAAATAAAACAAAACTTCCTATTTGTTTCTGCCTCTTTGGGTTGAATCCTGGCAATGCTCAGATTACCCAGTCTGAGCAGGCGACATCTGCAGCAATGGGGCGTCTGCAGAGAGGGCCTGTTCTTGGCTCAGGATACCATGGAGTAACACCAGAGGAGGGGACAGGAGGATCTTGTCACTTCAGGTCCAGCATTGCTGAGCCCAGTCTCTTGAGGCCATCCAGTGCTGAACATAGAGACTTACATGGCGAGGGGAAGGAGGAGGGACATTTTGTTATGGGACTGGGGTGATTAACAGGAGCTATTAGAGAGCATCAAGCCAGCACTGGAAGATGTTTGCGTTGACAGAAGAGGGACACCAGAGAGTCCATGTCTGGAGAGTTTGTGAAGGTAAAGAAGCAAACCAGCAGGGAAGCCCTAGAAGACAGCATTCATGTCTGCCTCTGGAGTTCAAATGAAGAGAGAAGAGGAAGTGGAGAGTCCCATTTTTCCTATAACCCTGGAAGGAAGTTAGATTTCAGAGTACCATGTGCACGAATGTGGTGAGGGCATGCTGTGTACATTTGCAATCCCTCAGAAGTAAACTGCCCTTCTCCCTCCCCATCAGTCTCCTTGCCAAACCCTTGCGGAGGCTCTGGGGAGTTTGCACATTTCTGCTGGAGGAAGTCACTCATGATAAGAACATTTGCCCTGCTGAACTGAGCTCATTAGAATCAAGAAGACCAGCTTATAACTCCATAAATATACATCCATCCATACACTTAAACACAGACATGCATTTTACAGGTTTTAGAATGCTAGTCTAACATCTGTTTTCGTTTCCTTGTTAATTCCATTCATCCCCACACCCTCCTGGCCTTATCCCCATTCCTGACTCCAAAGTGAATTCCTCAGCAAAGCTTTATTTAAAAGATGAGAGAGATCCTGCATTTTGAACTGGCTTCCAGAGCTTGTTTTTGGGGATTTCTCCACCACCCTCCAATCGTTGTTGGCCAGCCAGCTAGTCAGGTGATCACTCTAAGGTCCCAACCTTGACAAATCTGTGTATTTCGGTGCAGGTGTCTTGCTACCGACCAGCACTTGCCGGCCTCCTAGGGCCTGCAGGAACCTACTGGGCACCAAGGACAATGGCAGTGGACAGGGTTGAATCAGCAAGAACAGTGACCCACAACTGTGGGCTGAGCAAACTGCCAAATCAAAAGCAGTTGGGCTGGGGAAAGTTCCATGCCTGTTCCCTTTCCTGAAACTTCTATTGTGGTTGCTCTTATCCCTCTGTAGAAACAGAATTTTTTTCCCATTTGTGTCAGTTTTTTCATTCTTCATTTGAATATTCTAGACTCACGAAGCTTGTCTAAGACAATGCGAACCATAGCATCACAGCAAATCAGAGTTGGAGGCAATTTAAACCGGTCCCTTCAATTTATCAATGAGGTTGCTGATGCCCATTGAAACAAACAGGCTTGGCCAAAATCATACCTCTAGTTAGAAGCATATCCAGGTCTAGAAGTCGGGTCTCTCTCATTCAGTGCTTAAACCTTAAGTTTGTGTCTGTTTAGCATATAAGTATACAGTATACATTGCAGTCATCTGTACATGTTGATATTTATTCCAATAAGAATAAAATTACACATAAAAGATACCATTTATTAAACAGTTATTATGTATCCAACATTGTACATATTGTACATTGTATGTACATTGTACATATTTTGTATGTAATATCATTTACCCTTCTGGGAACCCTATTGGGTGGGTATTACTATTATCTTCAATTTACAGTTGAAGTACCTGAAGCACAGAAAGTTTAATAATTTGCCCTTAGTATGTAGGGGAGTCCTACTACATTGTAACTTTCCTGGACTCTGGGTTGTGTTTCCATCAGCAAATATGTACTGAACCCCTAGAAGGGACGGAGGCCTTGCCTTCTCAGTGGGAAATAAAGATGTGTGAGCAAGTCAATCACAGAAGCACACAGTGATGGCTGCAACAGAAGCCTGAACACAGGGTGGTGGGGTCCAGAGGAGGAGGGATGGGGCTTCACCAAGGAGGTGGCATTTGAGTGATCCCAGGGATGCATAGAAGCTTGCCAGCCAGAGTGTATGCTTATGCACAAATGAGTGGAAAGAACTAATGTGGCAGGGGACAATTAGGAGGGTGAGAAGGCAGGACCATGGTCGTTGCTGGGGAGATGCTAGGAGATGAAGCTAGGGAGGCAGATTGGAGGCAGATTATAAAGCACCTGTATGCACCGGTAGGGACTTTGGATTATATTCAGTGAACAGAGTGGAGCCAACAGGAATTTTTATAAGCAGGTAGATAACAGAATCAGGTGAGAGGGGCTGTGTGCTGGATAGACTCTAGCATCCTGGGAGAATGGTGACAAGAAACCCCGTCAGGAGGCTGTTGCAATGGTCCAGGTAGGGCTGGACTCTTTCCAGCTGTCTCATGGGCATGGGCTGTGCCACCATGCTTTTGCTCACACTGCTTCCATAGCTTAGAAGGTCTCTTTGACTTAATCCTCAAGAAAACTGCATGCCCATCTTTCCAGACTGTGCTGAGGGACTCTACATGGAGACCCATTCAGTCCCTGCCCTGAACAATGTACGTTCCTCTCCATTTGGGCCTTCTCTATCACTAGTACATTCTTTATTCTCTCTTGGCATACATAAAACCTTGTTGCACATGTTTGCCTACACTTAACTCTCCACTTTCAAACCCAGCTTCTTGCAGGCCAGAACAGACCTTTGCCTTCTTAAATACTTGGTACAGGGCCTGACATTTATAAATGCTCTCCATAAATGCGTGATGGATGAATAAACTTTCTAAACAAAGGCAGTGACTGTAGACATGGAAAGAAGAGTCCAAATCTGGGAGGTGGTTTTTAAAGCTATTTCAAGGGAAGGCAAACTGTGGCCCGTGGGCCAAACCTAGTCACTTTATATATTGCTTTTGTAAATAAAGTTTTATTGGAACTCAGCCAAGCCCACTTGTTGATGTGCTGTCTATAGCTGTTTTTACTGTATAATGGCAGAGTTGAGTCGTTGTGACAAAACCATATGGCCTGCAAATCCAAAAATGTTTATTATGATCTGGCCTTTTACTAAAAAAGTTTACCAAACCCTGAGTTAGATCAGTAGGATTAGTGACTGGCAGTAAAGGGTAAAGGAAGCAATTAAGACTTTTTTTTCTTGTATCTCCCCACCATGCCTAATCCAGAGCTTTGCTCCCAAGTGATGGCATTGACCAACAGGCCTGCAGGTACTTAGAAAGAAATACCGTGTATGTGACACAGGAGGAAAAGGGAGACTAAAAATTACCCCATATGGGAAAGATACCCAAGGCAGAAAGGACAAGGGGCTGTAGCTGCAAGCCAGAAGGGACCTGAGTCCTGCTTGTTCCTGCTGAAGCCCTCATGCTGTGCTCTCTCGCAGTCATCCAGTTTGGTTTTGTCACCCTCTTCGTGGCCTCCTTTCCCCTGGCACCTGTGTTTGCCCTCCTCAACAACGTCATTGAAGTGCGGCTCGATGCAAAGAAGTTTGTTACAGAGCTGAGACGGCCGGATGCTGTAAGAACCAAAGATATCGGTACGTGCCCCACTTAGAGGCCCCACCAGGCCCATCCTTCTGCCATTCTGTCCCCTCTGGCCACAGTCACACCACACCAGGAATCAAGAGGGCTGGGAAAGCCCCTCTTCCCTTTGGGTCCCTCATCCTCATATCCTGAAGTGCAGGGACGCCTTCTGAGACCGCTTTATCCACCCCCACTTGTGATCTGAGCTTCCAGATGGGGGGGCTACCTAAGCCTTTCCAGACAAGCCCATTCTGGGGGGGCCCAGCAAAGCTGCTCCGTAGTTCACCTGCAAAACATCACCTGGAGCTTCAGCGTTGTCATCACTGGGCCGAGGGCGGGAGTGAGCCAGACGCTGTCTTTTCTGTCTTGTAGGAATCTGGTTTGACATTCTCTCTGGAATTGGCAAGTTCTCTGTTATCAGCAACGTAAGTACTTGCATTCATGACACACTCGCTCTGTGGGAAGGGCTTCCAGAGAAGCTGAGGTCTTCAAAGTGGGAAGCCAGCCCTTGCACCTCCCAGCCTTTTCCATTTGTAGCTTTATTGGTGACAGTGCTCTGGTTAACAGCTCACAAATGCCTTGTAACCCATCATGCTGTCGCTGAGGCTGTGTAGGTTTAATTTTAATTTCACAAAGAGAAAGAAAGGTAATTATCCATCAGAATGCATACCTTGGCCCTGACGGTCAAAATCAGATCTTTCCTTGGAGCCAAGAATAATGAGGAAAGAATTCCACATATCTATTCATCTCTTTCCTTTCTTACTCTACTCCTGAGTTAAACAATACCTGGAGCATTGCCCAGGCTACAATCCCTAATTACCGTTCCTCCAGGTTGTCAGTGCAAAATCTTAATTATCCCCGTGGACTCTGGCACTGCGTAGGTTAAGATAGGACATAGAAGAAGGGTCCCACCTGTGGTGACCTCCTTAACTCCCTTGCCAGATATGTCTACACTGCAGAGGAAATCCTGCTGGGCCCCAGCCAGCTCCTTTTCTGCTGTATTCTCTAAGGACAGTGGCCAGGAAGGGCCTCCTGTCCCACCTCCCAGGAACATATCAGCCAGCTCAGTGCACACAAAGAAAGCCACAGCCCTTTTCCCTTGGGAGGCAAACAGTGATTTGACTCTGACCTGATTTCCTACCCAGATCACATAAAATGGCTGGAAGGTGTGAGGTGAGGCAGAGCAAATCAGCCCACTGCATTTTGAATGTTGTGATGTAGGAAGTGCACATCTCGAGGCTTAGAAATAAGGTGCAAGTTGGAAAACAGATCAGTCCGCTACTTTGAAGTTGTGTCTGTTAGAACAGAGGCCCTGAGTATTAATCACTTTCCATCTACAGTACGAAATGACGTGCAGTCTTACTTCCCTGGCCTCTTTAAGACTTGTTTACTTATCTGTCAAATGGGAGATAATAATAGTACCCACCAAATAAGATCATTTGGGAAATTAAATGGCATGATGAAAGGACATATAACAAGTGCCCAGTAAGTTGTAGCTATGATTATGATGTTATTCACTCTCAAATATGGTTCTGGCCGTTCACATTCACATACACATTTAGAGAACAATATCTGAACTACATTTTGGTAAAGGGCTTTAATTGTTGGTGCAGGATGCAGTATAAACACCTGCCAAAAAGATTTAAGACTTTCTTTGCAGAAAGTACCCCTGTGTTCAAATACGCAATCATTCATTTGTCATTTGGTTTGCTCCATGGACATTTATAGAGCACTTAGACATGCCAGATGCTGTGTTGGGTGTGTGTGGCTCCACCTAGCAGGACCTGTTTCTTTCTCCACTGTGTCTCCGTTTTCTTAAGTAAAATGGATACAAGAATAACTTCTATTACATGACATGCTAAAAAGTGTTGAGAGATAATGGTCAAATTAAGCAAACTGTGGAATCATATTCTTGGTATTTCTGGCTTTCTGGTACTACTCAGGGGCAGATGTACATGGGCATTCCATTTCCTTGCCCATTACACTTACGTAGTACCCTCATCACTATAGGTAATTTTTTTCAGGAAAGCGTGCACCCTGTTTTGGCTTGCTCAACAGCAATGTTAGATATCTCAGAAGTGGTTTAATCCTTCCAGCACCAAATGGTCCAAATTGACTTAGCATGCTTTGCTGCAGTGGTTGACATGTGCTCTTTTGACAGCCACTGTCTGGTGGACTTATTATACTTATACACATCAAAGATGGAAAAGGCATGTGACTCAGCTGCATGAGCTCAGGGACCTGATCATGCTGCATGAGCTTCTGTATCAGTCAGAGCAGCTCCTTCTGATGGGGAGCCTAAGAGTGGACAGTCCTTTTTAGCATCAATCCTGGCTACTCAGTGCTTATGGTTCTGTCCCTCAGGCTTTTGTCATTGCGATCACCTCCGACTTTATCCCCCGCCTGGTGTACCAGTACTCCTACAGTCACAATGGGACTCTGCACGGCTTTGTCAACCACACCCTCTCCTTTTTCAACGTCAGCCAGCTGAAGGAGGGGACGCAGCCAGAAAACTCACAGTTTGACCAGGAGGTTCAGTTCTGCAGGTAAAGTAATCTTCAGGAGAAGGGCAGCAGAGGACCAGAAGCAATAGATCCAAATAATTACGGGGACGACCTAGAATTACAACCCTGCACAACATGATGATGTTTTGGACAACAGCAGACCACATATATGGCGATTGTCCCGTAAGATTATAATACCATATTTTTACCATACATCTTCTGTATTTAGATATATTTAGGTACACAAATACTTACCACTATATTACTGCCTACAGTATTCAGTACAGTAATATGCCGTACAAGTTTGTAGCCTGGGAGCAATAGACTATACTTTATAGCCTAGGTGTGACGTAGGCTATATAGCATCTAGATTTGTATAAGCACGTTCTGTGATGTTTGCAAAGTCACCTAATGATGCATGTCTCAGAACATATCCCCATCGTTAAGCAACACACGACTGTACATCATTCTCCTTTCCCTCTGTCTCCTGCTCTCTCTGCAGTTGTTATAAATCAATTGTTATAAATCAGCTTTGATGACTCAAAAAATATTTATGGACTGCCTTTTTCTAGACACTATGGAGCAGACAAAGAGCCTTGTCCTCACCATCAAGGGGGCTATGGTCTGGTTGAGAAGAAAATAAGCAGAACAGATAGGAAATAGCAGGTTATTTGGTGAGCTTATGTATGGACCATGAGCATTGTGGGTGCTCAGAGGAGAGGGAGATTACTTGAGGGACTAGAATGGAAAGGGTGGGCCTCCTGGAGGGGCAGCTAGGTGTTGTAAGAGAGAAAAGAAAAACATTCTAGGTGGGGAGTCGTCATGGGCAAAGTCATGGGGTGGGGACAAATGTGGGCTGTTGGATAAAGACTTGGTGCTAGGTGATATGGTTAGCAAGGAGACACAGTAAAGGGATTAATAAAGGAAATACAGTAAATGTAGAAACTCCTACACCAGCATAAGCCAAAAGGTTGTTGAATTTGAAGAGATGGGATAAAGTACATAATGGGAAGTCCTGAAATCTAACGGGAATTAGAATGTGATGCAATAGGAAGACACTGGACTTTTTTAGTGTCAGGGAATGATAGGATAAAGGGAAGGTTTAGAGAAATTGATCTGTTCTCAGTGAGGACAATGGGCTAGAGTTGGTAGGACCCAGGGAGCGCAGCTGGGCTGCTGCATCATTTAGACATGAACTGTGCTGGGCATAAACCAGGGTGGCGGGAGGAATTAAGAGGAGAGGAGAAGATGAGCTATTTCACATGAAATATTGCAGAGTTGGTGACAGTAGACATAGGAGAGTGGCTGAGCTAGGATTATCTCCAAAACTTGGACTGAAGTCAGAGGACTGGGATGTGGTTACATTGATAGGGAGAGGGAATATGCTGAGAGAGTCTAATTTTATGCTACATATGATGAATTTGATTTCAATCATGTTACATTTAAAACGATGTTAAGAAATCCAAGAGGTCATTTTCACCCAACTCCTTGACACACTAAGCTGGACTTCTGGAGACGTCCAACTTAGAGTCCTGATTGAAGGCCATCAGCACTGGGGTCACTGAAGCCAAGAAATGGAAAACTCTCCACTATTTACCCAAGAAGGGCAAATGAAGAGAATAAGAGCAGAGGGGAATAATTTATTCAACCCATTTGTACCCTGGTTAAAAGATAGTCCCAATAAAGCACTTGACCAAAGATCCTACCTCATATATATAAATCAGAATAGTTAATTACACCAATAACAAAAACCTAAGAGAAGGTATTGTGGGACCAACATAGGGCTTTCTTAGACCATCCCCAATAATATTTGATGTAAAAGCTGTGTTTTCAGTTGTGTTGGCAGCAGTGATGACCCTGGGCATGTCTGCCATGCTTGGTGCCCAAGGCCAGCCTTTCGTAAGACAGCCACATAGGTTCAGATTTGTGGTCTGAGACCATGAACGAGAGAACACCAATTGGTTTTCCCAACCTGGGTGGCTGAGTTAAACAACTGTACCAATCTATGGTTTAAATAGAAGGGTATTCCAGTTCCAGGAACAACAACTTCAGGGTTCCACTGTCGTCAACCAAGAAAAGATAAAAAATGAGGAACCAGACACAAGAATTGATGAATAAATTTACTCATAAGTGTCAATTTATATTAGCCTAGATGTTTCAGGATTTTTCGCATCTGGGCCTATAAAGAGTCTGACTCTCATACTAAAATCACATTGCAGGCAGATTTGCTGCCAGGCTATGCACTGCCTGGGGGCCCCTCTGCATGGCTGACATGCTAGACTGTCTGTCCATGGTGCTGGACTTGGGTCTGCAGACCCCAGCGACATAGTTCCACAGCACAGAGGGTCTGGACCAGCTCGAGGCCTTTCCAGTAGCATCTAGGTCTTCTCAAAGCAGGGTCTAAAGCTCACATCTCTCTAAGAGCGCAGGTCTCCACCTCCATGTCCAATGGGAGGCAGCACCAGTGTGACTTGTCGTGTGGGAAAGCCAGGCTCACATCGTCTGTTTCTTTAGTTGCTCTAGAAGCACTTGTCCTCAGAGCACAAGGGTCTCTGATCTTGCCCTTGACCATTGGATTTTCCACTAACACCTATGAATATGCTTTTCAGGTATATCACTGGTGAAACAGGCTTAAATCAATAGGAATTTTAATGGTCCCTATGGGAAGTTGAAGGTAGATCTAATCTTAGGCAAGTTTTCATTCAATCCAGTCTGCCCAAATCCAGTCTCTGCCCACCTCCCAGTTCCACTGCAGTCAATGTTGACTGTGTTTTTAAGTTCCGTATGATTGCCAGGAACTGTGGTGAGAAATAAGGCAAATGGGTGCTACTCAGCCAAAACAACCAATGCCCAGGACACCAGGTATTGTGAATATGTGTGGATCAGATTGAGCTTTCTTGTATCTGCCTTCAGAGTCACTGGATTTTCCGGCCAGCTATAAGGCTCTGATAGTTGTCTCCCCATTATTCCCATGCAAGTAGATAAGATCATGGCTTGTTTGTGGCCCGTTTTAGAAAAAAATCTGACACCGAGTGGCAGAATTATCAGTGGGCACATGCATAGAAAGTGCACTTTCATTCTATATTTCTGCCAAAAAAATTTATTTGCAGAAAATAAATCATCCCAAGATCAAGCTGAAGTGACTTTGAAGCATCCATCATTTTTCCTTCCTCTCTCAGTACCAGTGAGGATTACAGATTCATTAGGCAAATATTTTTGAGACCCTACTAAAGGCTTGGCATTGGTTGTATAATAGGGAGCGAGATATAGTGCATCCCTCAAGAACTCTAGATGGAGCAGACAATAAGTAAACAAGGAATTAAAATTAAAATACAGCTTTAATGATTGACAATAGGGCAACAGCAGAGAGCTAAGGGATCCCTAAGGAGGGAGGCCCTGCACCTAACACAGACTTAAGTGTTTAGGGGATTTTCAAGGGAGATGAAACCTGAAGAATGAACAGTACAAGAATGGCCATGGAGACAATCACATTGAAACTCCTCACTCATGTGGCCATGTCAGCCTGGCTGGTAAGTGGGGTGGGGAGGGTGGTAGGTCATGGGGCAGCAAGGGGTGTGTCAGGTAGTGATGGAGGTTCCGAGAGAACACTGTATTCCAGGGAGACAGGCTCAGGTGAGAGGGGTAAGCTATGAGAGAGGAGGCTGAAAGAAAAAAACAAACTCCATATTAAGGAGAGGATGCTGGTCCTGTTGAGGTGCGTGGAGTCTCTCTTAGGGCCACAGGGTACCACTGTAGGGGTTTCAGAGGGCAGTGATGAGATCAAGCTTTTTATTGGTGTTACATCTCTGCCTACAGTGTGAAGACTATTGGGTTACACTGAGGGTTATGTTTAACATAAAGAGATGCCCTACTGTGAAATATAGGTAGATGTTCAGAAAATAAGGTCAGCATGTGATCTAGACATAATATGTCAAATAGGTGTGCTCTGGGGGCTGCGTTTCCTAGATTGATAAGGGTTGTTGATGGAAATCTCTGCCTCATATGAGTCCTATCCACTGCCTGCTGTGTGAACTTGACTGGGTCACTCAATTCTCTGGAGATTTAGAAAGCAGAGGCATAACCTCTATGGATGTCTTTCTAAGTCAGGAATTGAGATCCTTGAGATAATTCCGTATACATATATGTGTACATGGAAGAGAGAGAGAGAGAGAGAAGAAAGAGAGAGGGGAGGAGGAGGAGAAGGGACTATGATAGAGAAGTATTTTGAGAAACAGAGATAACTCTTCAGCTAGTCCTAGAGCCAGTTAAAACTGCTTCCGTGGTGGGAAACAAGGTTTGCCATGATTTTCTGGCAAATAGCGTTGGGAACTTGTTGACCCTTCTTATTCTTAGCTTTCAGTGACCTCTGGAGATAAATGTGGTCAAATAAAACTGAGGTCTCCGACTCCAACCCAGCCTCGCCAGGGATAGAGGTATCTTAAAAATAGCAATAAAAGTTAGCACAAGTCTCCGGCTGCCCGTTTGAGATGCATTCCCAGCATTTTGGAGCGATGCTTGCCTCTGTCATCTGACTGCTCTGGCAGGGCTGCTCCGTAAACAGTCCCGTGACATCAATCTGCAGGCATGATTAGCAGCATTTGACAGGGTCGAAGGGCCGCCACGTCCTGGAGGACGGATGTAGGCTTGACTTCCCAGCTCAGCTGGAAGGGAGCATAGATATCTTGTCTCAGAGCTCGAAGAGCCTACCTGGGCATTGTCAACCCAGCGGGTCTGCTTGGAGGTGTTTGTTGAGCATCCAGCAGCAGCTTCTGTGGATGGCTTCTGCCAGGTTTTCCTGCAGGTCCTAAGGGCTTGCACACCCCGTATCCTGACAAAAGTCTTTGAAGAGGGGTGCTCCCTTCCAGCCCATGGCTGCCTCCCATCTGCTTCCCACCGAAACCAGAGGCTGTTAGCTTTTCTGGGTGCCACATTTCCTGATTCTTATCAACCACTGGATTGACATGCTACTCATTAGTTCCTAATTGCCTGTACTGTTTTCCTTTGTTAAGGGTCAATTCCAGGAGGCAGTTTTAAGTAGCTCAGATGGTATGAAAATATTGTATGTAGTTGTGTTCAGCATTAACATGACATTAATTTCCACTGGGGCTACTAAAATGTTTTTTACATGCCACTATTTGGAGTTGAGAAATGCATTTACTAGCTGATTCATTACATAACAAAAGCTCATTAAAAAGCTGTTACTGATCGTTGACTTCAGCACTGTCCCTGCCCACAGTGATTTTGTGTTGTGATGAATTGTGGCAGATGTCACTGTCACTAGTCACCCTGCAAGTGAGGACAGGATGAGGACATCTGAGCCCTGAGTCTCTCTCCTCTCTGTACCTCAGTTTTTTCATCTGTAAAAATGGAGACTTTGGAATAAAAAATCTTCAAAGATTCTTTTCTTTTTTTTTTTAAACTTCAGGTTTAATGACATGTCATTTATTAATCTAGTTCTACAAAAATTCTAAACATTACAGGTAACCACTCCACCTCTGTTTTGCCTCCACCCTAACCCCTGCCCAACCCCAGGCATCCTTCCAACAGTAATAGGGTGATACTTACGGGTGAATGTTCTCTAGGCATTTTTCTATGCATTAACATAGTATTAACTTGTAGGACTTTTAAGGTATTGTTTCATGGGTTTGTTTTATAATGAAATATATTTTGAGTTAATGGAAATCTTATTTAAGTCATGTACAAACTCAATTCAATCAATGTGAGTTTTCACAAAGTTAGAACAATCTAGATAAAATATTAACATAATTTTAAAGCTAAAACATAATGTTGATTTCTGTATCACTTTCATTTATTATATGAGTCTGTTCAAATTAACATAATTTTGCTCAGGAAAGCTTACTATAAAAATGTACTTGAATCAACTGTGTATTGCCATTAATTACATTCATCTTTTACCATTTTGAACTTTTTAATTGTAAAAGTAATTAATTTCATAGACACATATTGTGTATGTATATAAGAAGAAAAGTGTCACTTCTCAGCCCCCACCCCAGCTGTTCTATCCCAGAAGAAACTGTTGTGTTCATTTTCTGCAAAAGCTCCGGAAATCATATTCACCTAGATTGTCTTATTTAATTCTCACAGTGTCTTTCTTTAAAATGCAAGGTATACACACAAGCAGACACACACGCACACACATCTATTATTCACTCCTGGCTGGGATTGAGACAGCTCCTCTATGCTCAGCGCTGGGATACACATTTTGGGAGTTCCACTCTGTAGATCAGGGACCTAGGTTCGGAAATGGGGAATGACTTCCTCGGTCTCTTACAGGTAGTAAGTGGCGTAGCTGCTCCAGGTGCAGACTAGCTTTTTAGACAGGCTAGTTGTCTCATTATTGGAAGTCTCTCCTTATTAGAAAACTCAGGGGAACTCTCAAAATTTATGTTATTTAAGCCTCAAGGAAAATGAAGGAGGACTGGAGGGGTGAGGGTGAGATCCAGGAACATCCCTAAAATAATATGCTGGGGATAAAACTCTGCTTCTCTTTGGGGGCACGGCTGGCAGCTGCAGGAGTCTGACCAGTTGTGGGGGCTCACCCAGTGCTGGGGAACTCAGTGGGACTTTGGGAGGCCCGAGCTCCCCAAGCCATGGGAACGGGTCTGTTGTGGAGCTGTCTGGCAGCCTCCACCCACCAGCCAGCACTTGCCCATTTCATGCTATTTACCTGGACAGAGGTCCTGAGAGAAGCCCTGTATGGCTGTGCCCTTGGCTGACTCCTGATTTGCACTAAAACTTGCAGCATTTAGTGCTTACATGTTCAAAAATCCTTCTGGAAAGCTAGGAGGAACTGGAAGCCGTGATCTACATGCTCTGTCCTCTTTTAACAGAAAAGGTGTATTCCATAAGTAACCTCCAGTAAAAAGAGAAAGAATAGTTGCTATTTATTGGGTTCCTCTGATGGGCCAGATAGTGTGCGGAGCACTCGGCGTTGACCCTCCGTCTTCAGAACAACTCTGTGATGGAAAGTTCAGGCCCACTTTATAGATGAGAAAGCTGGGCATCAGAAGGTTAGGTAACTTGCAAGAGGACAGAGAACGACAGTGCTGGACAGGGCTTTCAACCCCTCACCTGCTACCTCCAAAGCACGAACTGTCGCCAGTGCTAAGCACTGGGTTTAGAAACAAAACACGCAGCATCACGGTGGTGGAAATTATTCGGTTGATTAGCCACTCTCTTTGGTGAACACTTCTATTCTTAAAGCTAATTGTCTCTTTGTTTAATTAGTGTCTTCTAAGTTACTCAGTGAAACATTTGATAAGCCCGACTTCTTAGGGTAAAATTTAAAAACAATTGTGAAATCTGAACTTACTGTTGGAATGTAAACAACGAGTCATTTACCTGGTGGTAGGGGCTTAGGAGAATCAAGGTTTTTCAAACTATGAGTCATGGTTCATTAGTGAATTATGAAATCACTTTAGTGGGTCATGATCGGCATTTTGAAGAATAGGGTGGGTTGGCCAGCACGGGCGGATCAGGAGGTCAGGAGATCGAGACCATCTTGGCTAACACAGTGAAACCACGTCTCTACTAAAAATACAAAAAATTAGCCGGGTGTGGTGGCGGGCGCCTGTAGTCCCAGCTGAGGGACTGAGGCTGAGGCAGGAGAATGGCGTGAACCTGGGAGGCGGAGGTTGCAGTGAGCCGAGATCACGTTCCTGCACTCCAGCCTGGGCGACAGAGCGAGACTCCATCTCAAAAAAAAAAAAAAAAAAAAAGCATAGGGTGGGTTAGGATCAGATAGAGTAGAATAGGAAAATACTAGTGCATTCTAGTGCATTGCACACAACAAAGTATGTTTTGTGTAATTTTTATTGCAGTCTGTGTATGTGCATGAATGTAAAATGTATTTCTCACTGTAGGTCATAGTTTTTATAAAGTTAGCTTTGGAAAGAAATGTGAACAGATGAATATTAAATTGCTCACTGTTCTTTTCTGTGGCATGGCTTACCATCAGTTCCTAACGGAGCTACACTTAGCCTATCTGCATCGAGCTATTTTCAAGTAGAGTTTTCTGAACAGATCTCTGTGTTAGTCTTTCTGCAGATCCTCAATTAGATGGATATGCTTGTTAAACTTAAAACATGTTTTAGACACTGAGGGAGGACAAAGTGACATTTCCAAAAGCTGGGGTGAGTTAATAGCAGAGGTGGAACCAGAATTAGATTATTTATGGATTCTTTTCAGACTGGAAAAAAGAGGGGTGAGCAGTGGCTCGCATACTGAGGTCAGTGAGCAGCTGTTCCTGCAGAGATGCAGCTAGAGAACAAGAGAAATGGACTTTCATTGTAGCAGTAGGGATTGGGCTGAACCCAGGGAAGGATTTCCCCATGGTAAGGAGTGTGCGTGTGTGCACACATGTGAGTGTGTGTATGTGTGTGTGGCACCCTTCTCTGGAGGTCTCTAGAAGAGTGAGATAAATTGCTGTTGCCATGGCGTCCTGTCTGGGGGCGACGGGAGGATAGGTGAGTCTGAGGTTTTTCCCACCCCAAGATGTTCTTATTCATTTAGCCACGCTCTCCCTCTCTGCCATCAGCAAGGATAATCTGGAGCTGGCCATGTTTCTGTCCTCAGCTGAGGACGGTTATGATGAATCCCGTGGTGCTCTGCTGGGCTGCAGTTAGCTTTGCTTTTCATCCGGATGTCAAACCAAGCTTGCGGCAGCTGTGATCAGCTGTTGGGAGAGGGGGAGTCGGGCAGGGAGAGGGTAGCTCCTGGCCTCCTGCCAAGCCCTAGTCGAGTCCCCAGTGTCCACCTCTCAGTTGTGTCTTTCTGTTGCTGATTCTATCACTGCGCTCTTTTTTATCTTTGTGTGTGCGTCTCTTTTTCTCTTCCTCTTTTTCTCTTCTCTTCTTCTCTCATCTCTCTTTGGACAATGGAAAACAAACTAGCTTTTGCATGGACCTTTTAGAGCAGCTAATTCATTTATGGCAGGAGAAGGGACCAAAGAGCACCTACTTGTGAATGTCCCCTAAACTGCGGTCACTGGTAAGATGCCCTGTGATAATGGGAAGAAAGCCTAGATTCAGCCAGACTCGCATTCCTACCCTGACTCCACCTTTACTGGTCACGAGACTCTGGCCACACACTTCAACTTCTCCAAGCCTCAGTTTCCTCCTGTGTTATGCTGGGGTAACAATGCCTGCCTGAGGATGTTGTCGTGAAGATGAAATGTGAAACCTTCCAGAAAAACCCTTTGCTCAGGGATTGACCCGGGCAGAGTCCCTACCTGCCTTCCTTGGCAGCCACTATCATTGCTTGGTGGCCTGACACCACCCACCTCTTTCTCTGGCCCAGGATGAGCAAAGATTTGTTGAATTCCATGGAGAAAACTGTTCCAGGAAGGGTCATAGTTCTGGTACCAGCCCCTTGTCATTTTTCCAGGCTTAGAAAAATGTGAGTCTGAGAAAATGAGCTAGTATTCACATGAATCATTCTGGGATGGGGGTGAAAAGGCAAGGGTGAGGGAAAACCCAAGGCTTCTCTATGGGTCTGAGAAAGAGGCATGAAATCACGTCAGGCATTAACATTTTGTAGTTTAAACCATGCAGACAGATCAGGAAGATGATTAGCAAAACAGAATACTGATCAACTGTGATGCTTAATGACCCTCCCATCCCAAATTCACTCAGCCTCCAGCTTGGTCTGGATCAGCCTTCTTTTTGGTTCAAGAATGCAGCCATGAAGCAAGGCCAGCCCCTCTAGTGGCCGTAGTCCTGAAGCATCTGGAAGGGGAAGAAGCCCAAGACTGCCTGCTGGTGTCTGCATCTTCCCCAACCCCCCCGGCTGCAGAGCACCATTCAGGGTGTCTGGGTCTCCCCTACCCACACAGAGGCCACAGGCTAGTGGGAGGCCCAGGTGGACCCACTGGCCTGGACTACCCTCAGATGCCCTGGGCTCCTTTGGGAGTTGATGCCTGACACCAAAGTAAGCTTTGGGAGCTATTGGAGAGGGTAGTAGAAATGTCTTTTTAGGACATTTCTAGGCTGACATTGGCTTTCTTGGACTTTAGTCCTTTTTGGAAATTTGTTGGTTAGGCCATAGATTCCCCCCACTTCCCCCTGCTTCTCAAGTCAATGCCAAGGGCATGCGTGCCTGATGCTCCAGCCAGCCCTCGAGGTTTCACCCAGAGAATGACCACCCTTTTCTCCATGCGCTCCTGATCTTAACACCACATTTCTCTTTGGGCAGGTTTAAGGATTACCGAGAGCCGCCATGGGCCCCGAACCCTTATGAGTTTTCGAAACAGTACTGGTTTATTCTGTCCGCCCGTCTGGCTTTTGTCATAATCTTCCAGGTGAGTTGCTGGGATAGGGAATAGCCCATTCGAATCCGGGCTGCAGGAGTAAGGACACTGCACTCATTGCTTGCACCTACCTCCAGGTTCCGGTGGTACTCTGTGACATAAGAAAGCTTCATGTGTGGCAGGCAGAAGTGAGGGCTCCTTTCCGGGTTGAAGCAGGAGGACTCTTGAGAGGGCTTTCTTTAATGGGTGGACTTTGCAGACAGAGGATAAAACACAGTGTAAGGTTACAAGACAGATGTGGAATAAGTTGCAGGGTGGAGATAGATTCCTGTTTAAACCTAAGGCAAAGAAAGGAAAAGGGCCATTGAAACCAGAGTCCCAGCCTGGGGCAGACAAACAGCCCCATCTCATCTCTGCAGCCATGAAAGAGCTCAGGTTTGGAACCTTTCTTCTTGCACTCTGGGCTCCCTCCTTTGTTAGTGTTGTTTTAGCCACTGAGACATCTGGTGAGAAGGGCCCCCAGAGCCATCGAGCCATCCCTGAATGAATAGCAAACTCGAGCCCAGTGATTCCTATCTGGGACAATAGCCACAGCTCCAATTGCATCGCTGAGATTCTCTGAGCTCGAGGGCCCCCAATTCCCACTCTGGGTGCCCCCGGTCTTCAAGCAGGGCTGGAGAACGAGCCCAGATCCTTTTCTCTTTGGCTCCCTCAGGCTTTTGTATTCCCTGAAGGCAGATCTCTGGGGGGCTCTAAAGTATCCTGCCCCCAGACCCCAGCCCAGAAAGTGGAGAAGCCCATCGGCTAGTCTTTCACCTAAAGAAGACAGCCATTCTTCCTCTGGAGAGATGGAGGCGATATGTTTGAATGATCGCTCAGACATCCCCTGCTGCCCCACCCCCAGGAGTCTCCTCACTTTCCCGTATGTCACATGTCACATTTCACTCACACAGGAAGGAGTGGATTCAGAGGAAGAGTGTGTGACTTGGTGAAGCAGCTCCCAAGCACCCAAGATGCCCAGGAGCCTCTGGAAGCAGCAGTTGGTCCCCAGTGTCTTCCCCTGAACCCCTAGGAACATGTAGGGTTCAAGGGCTCAGTCCCAGTCTCAGAGGGGAAAAGGCATGTGAGCGTGCAACTGGCAGCCAGGGAAGTGTATCACAATGGGAGGAGTGTGTTGGGTAAAGCTGGGTGAAGTGTGGCCTGGGGAAATGGATGGGAATCAGATGCATTCATTGAGCCATGCCAGGCATTGTTGTCCTATATTCATTCATTGAGACAGTAAGTGCTCTGGGGAAAAGGTAGTCCTAGCCTACTGTGTGCACCAGCAAAGGGATGTGGCTTAGCAGCCAGGAGGAAGTCCACTGCAAGTGTGTGCCAAAGCCTAGACCCAATCGGGGCAAGCTGGATGCAGGGGTTCCCAGACAGGCAGGGTTAGCCGAGGTGGCTGCAGTGACTGAGACCGGTATAAGGTGAATGTCAGCAGTGGGTTGGGTCAGTGAAGGCCCGAAGTCAAGGCAAAAACCTCAAGTCCGTCTCTAGTGTAGAGGATAGAGAGAGCCAGATGGAGGGAGGAGAGGAACAAGTGGCACCGTGACAGCCCAGGAGAAGCCACTGGGCTTTGTGACCACTTGCTAGAAAGCCACTTTCCATTTTCTAAAGCAGGGAGGGCCTGGAGGCTTAGAGGCCAAGAAGCAAGAACTGGACACATGGGAACACTCTGAAGATGGTGTGGGGGCACAAGTCCTGGGGAAGGGGAGAAGCAGTAACTACTACTGATGGAGTCCTGCTCTGTGCCAGGCACTGCGGCAGATGCTCCACATGTATGAACCCGTTTCATCCTGACAACCACTCCAGGGTAGGCAGTGTTTCCGCTCCATTTTATGGGTGAGGACACCAAGGTAGAGTTATGCTCACTGGTTGCGATCACTGGGCTGGTAAGTTGCAAAGCCAGGATTGACACAGAGGCATTCTGCTCCAGGGCCGCCACCTCCCCAGGCCGGGCCTCTCCAACTCAGCCCCTCTCTCCTTGGCTTTTTGCAGAACCTCGTGATGTTCCTGAGCGTCCTCGTGGACTGGATGATTCCAGACATCCCCACGGACATCAGCGACCAGATCAAGAAAGAGAAGAGCTTATTAGTGGATTTCTTCCTGAAAGAGGAGCATGAGAAGCTCAAGCTGATGGATGAGCCGGCTCTGAGGAGCCCAGGAGGTGGGGATCGAAGCAGGAGCCGGGCAGCCAGCTCAGCACCTTCAGGCCAAAGCCAGCTGGGCAGCATGATGTCGTCAGGCTCTCAGCACACCAATGTGTGAGCAGTTCAGCCTGCAGCAGAGGAGGGCACGGCAGCAGAGACACGCACATGCACGTAAGCATGTTCCTACACCCACATGGCGTGCTGTCTGTCTGCAGGGGCCTGGCTTGATGGGGTCTTGAAGAGGGGGCAGTGTGTAAAAAGAAAGAGCCTGACAGAATGAGTGTAGGAAGGAAGAGAAATGATGCTACATCTCAGAAACTTCAAGCTTAAGTTTCTTTTAGGTCCCCTTTTAAGCTGCATCCTTTTGAGGGATTGGAACCCCACTGGGGTCTCTCCACCCCAGAGTCTCAGGCACCGCGAGCATTCCCATGTACCCTGGGGCACCCTCTTGTACTTCACCATCATTTCTGACTTTGACCAGCTGTAAGAGAAATGCAGTCAGGAGCACAGCATCCCCTACTTACTATCACTACAAGAAAACTGAGTCACTTGCAGTGGGGCTGCCACAGTCTCAGCAGATGCAAATTAAGTTACAAGGCTGAATGGTGCAGCCGCTGGACCTGATAGTAAGGTGCAAAGGTCCAAACCTGGGCTTGTCTCCACTTCACGTCACAAAAACGTTTGGAGCTAAATGCAGATAACCATCATTTTATGAAAGTTCAGATTTAAAATAATAAAATAAATGGACACATTCTTTATAAAGATGCATCTGTTGTCTTTGGTGCCTTGTCTCTCTCTCCTTTCCTTTCTTTTCCTCTCCTCTCCTCTCCTCTCCTCTCATCTCCTCTCCTCTCGTCTCCTCTCCTCTCGTCTCCTCTCCTCTCGTCTCCTCTCCTCTCCTCTCCTCTCCTCTCCTTTCCTTTCCTATTTATTGAGCTTCTACTATGTGCCAGGCATTGTTCTCAGACTGGAGATAGAGCAGAAGATAAAGGAGACAAAATCCCTGCCTCATGAAGCTTACATCCCGGGGAAAGACAGATGATAAGCTAAATGTACAGTGTTTTGGATAGTAATAAGTGCCGTGGAGAAATATCAGGTAAGACAAGTAGACAGGAAGTGTGAAGGCACAGGAGGTAAGGGGTTTACCATTCTAAATACAAATTAATGACAAACCCCGATGGTGAAGAGGTTACATCTTGCAATACTAACATAATCAATTGGTAGCAGCTTCCCAGAGTGCTGTGCTGAGATCATGATGTAAAGTTGGAAGCACGGGCCAAACATCACTCATCATTGCCGTTCATACACCTCAGGCCCACCTGCTGCCCAGAAATCTGTTGCACAATCACTTCATCCTGGTTCCTTGCAGGTCAGCGGGACTAGAGTCCAACGAAATGTCTGAGTGGAAGTTGCAGGGGGGATGGTACTCCAGAGGAAAAATGAGAGCTATGGTTCTGCTGTTTGAGCACACCTGGCAATGTGCGGGCCTGTAGGTGCTGGCTGGTCACCAGTGCTGCCCACCACCTTTCTGATTTCCTCCTAGGAACATGCAGAATTGCACTGACTGCCAAACCTCGCTCAGGAAAGCGGCTTCTTCTTTTGTGGGACTAATAGGACATAGATACAGCTCTTAGTGAGAGCAGTAGGCTAACGTATACCAGGCCACTCCTGTACAGGAAATCTTACAACCAGTTTTAATTTCCTCAGATTTTTTTTTTTAAGACGGAGTTTCACTCTTCTTGCCCAGGCTGGAGCACAACGGTGCAATCTCGGCTCACCACAACCTCCGCCTCCCAGGTTCAAGCGATTCTCCTGCCTCAGCCTCCTGAGTAGCTGGGATTACAGGCATGCGCCACCATGCCTGGTTAATTTTGTATTTTTAGTAGAGATGGGGTTTCTCCATGTTAGTCAGGCTGGTCTCGAACTCCTGACCTCAGGTGATCTGACCGCCTTGGCCTCCCAAAGTGCTGGGATTACAGGTGTGAGCCACCGTATCCGGCCTCTCACATCTTAATATGCAAACTTACCACTTGAGCTGAGGTTCAAACTACAGCAGTATGGAACACTGCATCATTTGACAATAGGCTTTACCTGATTTGGGGAGAGTGCGGTGACCAGTGGGAGGAAGTTGTTATTGCAAGGAGCATTGATGACACGGAGATTCCAGGCCTATCAAAGGAAGCAATCCCCAGGGATGACTGCCAGTGTGGGTGGTGTTGACATTTGCAGGAAGCAGTGACAGTCCATGGTCAAGGTTGAGGGCTGCCTCCACCGCCAAGACACCCACTTGGCTCCAACCGTGCTATCTCCAGGCCCACTGGCTGCTCATGGCTGGTTCAGGACCCACTTGTTTTTCTTCCTCTTTTTTAAATTAAAAGAAACATTTTTGTATCATCATAAAGGTTAAGCTCGCATACCAAGAAATGTTCGGATAGTCCAACAAACAATGAAGCAAATAAAATCACCCACAATCCCCAAATCTATAATTGGCATTGGCACTTGCTGTGTCTTGGAGACTCTCATTCCCCCCTCACACACATCTAATTTCTTTTAACCACAGTTATGCTATTTTAAAGCAGAAAAGTATCTGAGACAAGTCTCAATCAATTTGGAAGTTTATTTTGCCAAGGTGAAGGACATCCCCAGAAGGAAAGAACACGGAATCACAGAAGGTCTGTGGTCTGTGCCTTTTTCTGAAGATGATGTTGAGGGCTTCAATATTTAAAGGTAAAAAGTGGGCTGAGGGTGGGTAAGAGGGAGGGTGTGATCTTGTTACTGAATCCACATGTTACAAGAGAAAAGGAGCAGGTAGGAGAACAGCTGATTTTGTGTTTTTCTGGTGCTCAGTAAATCAGCATTTTACATAAGATAAGGTGAACGTAGAGTAGCTTCCTGTGGAGCTATCTAGACTTTTCTGTGTAGCTGTCTGCTTAGGAGCAAAAGGAAAGGCAGTTTCTTGCATGACTCAGCTTTCAGCTTCATTTTTTCCTTTTGGCAGATTGCTTTGGGGTCCTGAGTTTTTATCTTCCTTTCATGCTATATGTGCTGTCTTTTCATCTTTTTTCACTACATGTGTCTCATCAGTCCTTTTATTCCAATAAACATAGATTCATTCAAAAGTGTGTACTGAGGCCGGGCGCGGTAATCCCTCAGGCCGGGCGCCTGTAATCCCAGCACTTTGGGAGGCCGAGGCGGGTGGATCACGAGGTCAAGAGATCGAGACCATCCTGGCTAACACAGTGAAACCCCGTCTCTACTAAAAATACAAAAAATTAGCCAGATGTGGTGGCGGGCGCCTGTAGTCCCAGCTACTGGGGAGGCTGAGGCAGGAGAATGGCGTGAACCCGGGAGGTGGAGCTTGCAGTGAGCCGATCGCGCCACTGCACTCCAGCCTGGGGGACAGAGCGAGATTCTGTCTCAAAAAAAAAAAAAAAAAAAAAGTGTGTACTGAGCTTCTACTATGTGTCAGCCTCTGTGAGGTGCTTTGGATACATCACCCCACAGAACACAGATTCCTGCCCTCAGGAGCTTATGCTCTGTGTGTGGGTCAGAGAGGCAGAGCAACAGTGAGAGCAAACTACTAGTATACAGTGGGTCAGAAGGTGATCTCTGCTGTGCAAAAGGAAAAAGAAGAGCAAGGTAAGCGTGCTGGGAGTGAGGGTACAGGCTCTCTGGCTGCCACCTCCAGGAACCTCCAAGTGTTCAGCTATCTGGCAGCTGTGGAACCCAGTCATTTTTGGTTTTTATGGAAGCTTCATCAGTAGGCAGGATTGGTTAAATCACTGGCCGTCCTTGAACAACTTAACCTACAGCCCCTCTCCCCTCTCCACATGTTGGGGGTGGGACTGAAAGTCTCAACCCTCTAATGCTGCCTCCGTCTTTCTGGTGACCAGCCCCATCCTGAAGCTACCCAGGGTCTGCCAGCCATCAACTCATTAGCATACGAAATGACACTTCACTTTGGGATTCCACTGATTTTAGGAGTTATATGTCAAGAAACAAGGATGAAGTCCAAATGTGTACTTCACTATATCACAGACCATAGACAGATTTATGCTCGGGAGGGATTCAACTTTCTTCCCCTTTTCCACTAGAAGGAATATAGGAATTTTATAATTTGCCCCCATCCCCAGGCCCAAAGTCTCAGTAGCACTCATGTTACTAGCCAGACCACCAGATGTGCTTGCTTCACCCCAGCAGCGGTAGAGGTTTAGGCTAAGTAAAGAGAACTTTCCAACGGACTTGCTAACCTGGGTGAAGACATGGTAGGTGCACTTTCAATTTAAAAATAAAGCAAACAATGAAGACTCCTTCCCTGAGCTCTTTAAGGAAATAATGAACATTTTTTATTCCATTGTGACATGCAAAAAAAAAAAAATTGTGAGCAAAAATCTGAAACACTGAAGAAAAAGAAATTGCTCATTATCCAATTCCTCCTTTCTAGAAATAATAGTAGTTAATAATTCAGTTTAATTGTGATCCTATGGTATATGTACAATAACATTCATTGATTTGTAATAGCATTTATTTGGTTTAATTATAAAAGTGATCCATGCTCATTGAAGAAGACTTAGAAAATGCAAGAAATAAAATGTCAAGTAAAAAGTTTAAATTACCTGAATTTTTACCTCCAAGAACTAATTTGCAATCAGTCTTTTTTCCCATTCACTTATTTTCATGTACAATTGCAATCACTCCACACACACTAACTTCTAGACTTTGTTAACAGAGACATCTACCAGCCCCAGGTAGACGCTGTTATGAAGGGTTGTCTGTCACTGAGTGGTTTCGCCATTCTTTTCTTATGAAAAACAAAAATAAATGAAATCAACTTGATGGTTGATTCAGATAAATAATCTTAAGGCTATTTTCTTTATGTGCTCTTTGTGCAAAAGAATAGTATAAAGTAAGAGATGAGACGTTCCTTCACGTGCTCTCCTTCACAGCCCTTCCAGATCCAAAGGGTCTACTACATCCCACTTGTGATGATGGAATTATTCTATCCTCAAGAAAGCTTTTAAAGATGGAGAAAATTGCCACTACATCTCTGCTCAATGAAATGGCCTAATTTTGCTTTTCAGTAAGAGAAATAGGATTCTTTTGTTTTGCTAATCCTCCCAGCACAATATTCTAACCTTGCAGGTAGATTAGTCATTGTTAAGAAAAATAGAAAGGGAATGTGCCAGTTGCTCTTCTGAGTGGTCATAAATTGTGGTAGGACATTCTGATAGATGCAGGAGGAAGATAAGGGGGACGGTCCCCGGAGAATCTTCCACCAGCCTGCACTGGGAGGAGGGGGTAGAGACTCGGGAAGTTTGAGCAGTTTGCAGAGGGGAGGAGCCTAGCCTCTCCAGTGCCTGGGTGGTGACCTGGGATTCAATCTGTGAGATGGGGGTCTGTTAACAGGAACTCCTCTCACTTTGCTGAGAGATTCTTTCCTTTTCACCCAATAAACCCTGCCCTACTCACCCTACAATGTGTCCATGTGCCTAAATTATCCCGGGCATGTGACAAGAACCCGTTGTTTTTTTCTACAATTCCAGCAGGCTGTGGAAAGCATTTCCTGGAGCAAGGAAAAGAATGAGATGGGAAACCAAGGGACGAATCTTTGCCCCATAGCTTATTTGAAATATATAGCCATGCAGGGTTTGTGGTTAAAAATGAATTAGGAAAACTCTTTGCTCTTTTTATATTGTCATTTCCGTCCCTTGGTTCACCTGACTACACCTTCAGGTTGAAAAAAAATTAACAAGGTCGTGTTAAAGTTGCCACCAAAGTCCCTCAGGACTTAGGTGTTCATTCCTCAGCTGGTGATGGTCACAGGTGGGTCACTCTGGAATTGCCTCAGCTGTAAGGGAACTGCCCAGGCCATGGTCACTGTCCCACTCTGGGGCAGCCCACATCCAGTGACTCATCACTGCAGGGGGGTAAGGCCCACCTTGCCTTGATTCCAACTCTAAATGCTACTCCAGCTCCAGAGCTTTCTGTGGGATTGGCTGAGGCCTCTGTTGCAACATATTGCAGTTCGACTTCTCCCTCCGCCTAATTCTGCTTCCCTCACTAAGCAGATGCCCCAGGAATCTCTAGCACGCAAGGTCTGCAGGTCTTAGACTCTGCTTTCCAGAGAAACTGACCTAAGACATGGGGTATTTGGGTGGTATATTCTCTGAGCATATACATCTCTGAAATTGCTTTTATGTTGGAACAATGACTTGGCTGGATTTACCATTCTCAGATCACCATTCTTCCTTTCAAAATATTGTGGCTATGGCGATTAATCCACACTCTTCTAGGGTTTCAGAGGAACAGCCTCTGGAAGAAGCCTGATTGATATGCTTTTGTAAGCCTTTTTCCCCTACTGCTTTGGTGCTAGCAGGGTTTTGAAATTTATTCTTGTAACTCAAAAATTTCACTGGGATGTGTCTCCATGTGCGTTTCTTTTATTTAATGTGGCCTAAAATGTAATGATCATATTTGGTCTGCACAGTTACTTACTTTTCATCTCTGAAAAGTATTCTTCCAGCACAGGAACGGATCTCAGCATATCTATTCTGACTGTTTCGGTTGCTTTGGGAAAACACTCCAGTTTTAGCTTGGTTCTCCAGTTTTTAATCTTCAGTCCACCATCTTCTTTCTCAACATGTGATGTCCTTGTCCCATTCCCCTATACTTCAGAAGCACACTCCTCCCAGTGTTACTCTTTTCTCTGTCCCCTTCCCCTGAATCAATCTATCCTCCCCACTATGTTTTTCAAGCAGCATCTGAGCTCTTACTCATACGAAACTCTCACGGTTCCTCTGGAAGAGAGTAGGGCTAGCCACCCATAGCCCTACTCACCTGCACTTCCTTTGCCAATGATGCCCTTACCTTTACCTGCAGTGTCTATTTTCCAACACACATTCCTTGGCTAGTGAATCAGGAGGCTGGGCTGGATAAGCTCTAACATTCATTCTTGTTCTGTCAAGTACAATCCAACAGGTTCTCGGCAGTATGGCTGAAGTGAAGAGTGTGGATCACTGTCGATGACTCAGTCTTACCTTCCACACTGCCATCGTCTTCCGCAACTCAGGCCCTGGGCATTTGTGTCTCAGATAGCCCAATCCAAATAAGTGGGGGTAATCATTGACCGTGATTTTCAGCCTTGCCCTGCCCTATGGCAGTATCTGATCCGCTCTGCTACAGCAGAGGGCGCCAGAGAGCAGAACCCGCCACTTCCGGCACAGCCAGGAAGGTCTGGAAAGCGCAGCCGACATTTCCTCAGAAGGCAGTCACAATTAAAAAATTAAAAAATAATAGATGTTGCCGTGGATGTGGTGAAAAGGGAATACTTTTACACTGCTGGTGGAAATGTAAACTAGTACAACCACCGTGGAAAACAGTTACAGGGATTCCTTAAAGAGCTAAAAGTAGGCTGGCCGTGGTGGCTCACGCCTGTAATCCCAGCACTTTGGGAGGCCGAGGTGGGTTGATCACCAGGTCGGGAGATTGAGACTATCCTGGCTAACACGGTGAAACCCCGTCTCTACTAAAAATACAAAAGCAAAATTAGCCGGGCTTGGTGGCGGGCGCCTGTAGTCCCAGCTACTAGGGAGGCTGAGGCAGGAGAATGGCATGAACCGAGGAGGCAGAGCTTGCAGTGAGCCGAGATCGCACCACTGCACTCCAGCCTGGGCGACAGAGCGAGACTCCGTCTCAAAAAAAAAAAAAAAAAAAGGAGTGAAATAATGGCATTTTCAGCAACCTGGATGGAGTTGGAGACCATGATTCTAAGTGAAGTAACTCAGGAATGGAAAACCAAACATCGTATGTTCTCACTTACAAGCGGGAGCTAAGCTATGAGGATGCAAAGACATAAGAATGAGATAATGAACTCTAGGGCCTTGGTGAAAAGGGTGAGGGAGGGTTAAAAGACTACCCATTAGGTGCAGTGTATACTGCCCAGGTGACTGGTGCACCAAAACCTCAGAAATCACACCTAAAAATCATCGATGGAACCAAACAGCACCTGTTGTTCCCCAGAAACTATAGTAATCCTCATCATAATAAAAAGAAGGCAGCCCTATTTGCACATCTGGTGAGCCTGCTGCCCCCATCCTCTTCTTTCCTGTTCTCCTCCACAGCAGCAAATGGTAGTGTTCCCAGGGACAGATCCCTTCCGAACCAGGCTGGAAGTCATTCTCAGGAATTGCATCCTGACCCGGTGGAACCCACTTAACTCTTCCACCTTCCCAAGGCTTGTACAGCTTTATCTCCAGAAAGGAAGTACAAGGCAAAAGCCAGATGGGAATTCAAAAAGACAGCTCTGCACATGAGTTCAGGAACCTTCGTGTTTTATTGCCCCTCCTTTCTCTCACTTCCTGTCGGCCTAACAGAGAGAGGAGTGGAGGACTGAGGCTTCCAAGCCAGGATGTCCTCTCTAATTAGGGGAATGAAGCCACAGGCCCTAAAGGAAAGAGGCAATGTTTTGACATGGATCCCACATCATAACCTGCTCCTAGTTTTCTCCCAGCATGATGGACTCTGGTTGGCCTGCATCAAATTCTTCAGAGTATGTGTCAGCTTCTATCAAGAACCACATTTGCTTGGTCTGGGTGAGGCTGCTAGTTGAGAAACAGATGAGACCCTAACATAGGCCTCCCTATCCCTTTTCGACGGGCCTCATTCCTACTTCTCTAGTAAACTCTTCTTGTTCCCTGTCCTGTCACCTTCAGACTTGGCTTTCTCATTTGCCAACTCCAGGCTTCTCTAGATCCACTTGTCTCTTTTGATTCTTTTTTCCTTCCTTGATTTTATCTTTCTTCTCAGTGTCCCCAATCTCCTTCCAGATACCCCTGTAAAGTTCTTCTCCACGTATGTGGACAGCAGAAGTACAGCACTTTTCCATGTACGTTATGTCAAAAGCAGGTAGCATCATTAAAGTGGGCAGATCCTGGTTTTGTGGGGATAGAAGATCCTATAATTTTAGAGACGGTTAAAAAAAAGCACCCACGGTTATAAAATAGAATCAGGTGCAGTTGTATTTATTTAGCATGAAAATGGAAATCACAACAAAATATAAATTTCAGGCTAATATCACACATGTCATCAGAAAACACAAATAACTTCACTTTTTATGAACTGACACATATGTTTATAATATTTCAATGCTTTCCCCTCCACATCCTTGGCTGCATGCTCTTTGATTGCTTTTTCATAACAATATTTTCAATAAGGAGAAGAAAAGATAATTCAATCTTTCTTCCAGCAAGTTTGATCAACATTTGCTTTGTATTTCTGATAGAAAATACCAACTTAGAAAATTTTCTTTCAGTTCCACACCTGATTATTGGTAATTTCATGTGAATCTTACTGTCAAATTTGGGAAAATGTCTATCAAGTTTTCTTTTTTTCCCTATATAAGCTCTAAGAAAGTTGTTTCCCCTCCACTATCCATATATCCTTAGAGTACTGGGCACCCTTGAAAGGCACCTTGAAGTCAAAACTATACTAGCTTCACTGTAAATTTACCCATCATCATTAACTCTGTTTTAATAGTCACTGAACTGAAGCCTGGAGGGGTTAAGCAACTTACCCAAGTCACACAGCTACAAGGACTTCCACTCTGGGGTTTAGACTCCAGCCTGGGCTTATGAATATGCTGCTGCCCACCTTGGACTGCACATGCCACCCCTGCGCTCTCTGCTGGAGGCCTAAGGAGAAATGCCAGTGGACAGGGTGTGATAAAAGTAATACCACCACCATGCCACCTACTAGGAGCCACTTTCTGTGCTAAGAACTCCCCACTCATCTCCATGTTCAGCCTTCATAAGCTCCTGTGAACAGTTTGTATTGCTCATTTTACACTTACCTAGTGTGATCCACACCACCAGCTTGGATTAAAGTCCCTCTTTTCCCCATTAATCACATGCATGCCCACATGGTTTTTAACAAAGCTAGGTCAAGAGGTCATGCACATTTCCCTCTTGAGGTCTCCTGCCCTAGATTCATCCAAATTCCCTAGAGCGTACTTCATTCAGAGCAGGTTTTCACAGACTCCCCTAAAGAAATAGCAGAAGAGTCTTCAGTCCTCTTTGGCAAATGCTCCATGTGGCACATGTGGGGACACTTGCCCTCTCCACATTGCTGCTCTTGATGAACAGGTTTCTTTTCTTTCTTTCTTTCTTTCTTTCTTTCTTTCTTTCTTTCCTTTCCTTTCCTTTCCTTCCCTTTCCTTTCCCTTTCTTTCTTTCTTTCTTTCTTTCTTTTCTTTCTTCCTTCTTTCTTTTCTTTCTTTCTTTCTCTTTCTTTTCTTTCTTTCTTTCTTCTTTCTTTCTTTCTTTTCTTTCTTTCTTCTTTCTCTCTCTCTCTCTCTCCCTCCCTCCCTCTCTCTCTCTCTCTTTCTTTTTTTTTTGGTTACATGGATAAGTTCTTTAGTGGTGATTTCTGAGATTCTGGTGCACCTGTCACCCAAGCAGTGTACACTGCACCCAGTGTGTAGTCTTTTATCCCTTACCCTGCCACCCTTCCCCCTGAGTCCCCAAAGTCCATCGTATCATTCTGATGCCTTTGCGTGCTCATAGCTTAGCTCCTACTTAAGAGTGAGAACACACAATGTTTGGTTTTCCATTCCTGAGTTACTTCACTTAGAATAATGATCTCCAATTCCATCCAAGTTGCTATGAATGCCATTATTTCATTCCTTTTAATGGCTGAGTAGTATTCCATGGTGTATATATACCACATTTTCTTTTTCCACTTGTTAGTTGATGGGCATTTAGGCTGGTTCCGTATTTTTGCAATTGTGAATTGTGCTGTAAACATGCGTGTACAAGTATCTTTTTCATATAATGACTTCTTTTCCTCTGTGTGGATACCCAGGAGTGGGAGTGCTGGATCATATGTTAGATCTACTTTTAGTTCTTTAAGGAATCTTCATACTGTTTTCCATAGTGGTTGTACTAGTTTACATTCCCACCAGCGGTGTAAAAGCATTCCCTTTCCACCACATCAATGCCAACATCTATTATTTTTTGATTTTTCAATTATGGCCATTCTTGCAGGAGTAAGGTGGTATCTCATTGTGGTTTTAATTTGTATTTTCCTGGTAATTAATGATGTTGAACATTTTTTTCATATGTTTCTTGACATTTGTATGCCTTTGAGAATGGTCTGTTCATGTACTTTGCCCACTTTTTGATGGGATTATTATTTTTTTCTTGCTGCTTTGTTTGAGTCCTTGTAGATTCTGGATATTCACCTTTTGTCAGATGCATAGATTGTGAATATTATCTCCCACTCTGTGGGTTGTCTGTTTACTCTGCTGATTATTTCTTTGGCTGTGCAGAAGCTTTTTAGTTTAATTAGGTCCCATCTTGATGAATAGATTTCTAATCACAATGAAGTCATGAGCCACACTCGGGCTCCAAGGTTGTCCCTATCGTGCCACAAAGATGAGATCCTGGAGGGTCTTGGCCTCACCACATACCATGCCAAATTCAGCTCTTCCCCAGGAACTCCCAGCTCTTTGTATTAAGCCAAGTTCACTAGCCTAAACTCCTCTTCCATGTGGAGACATCCCCTCTATGGTGGATCCACTCTGATAAAGGCTGATTTTGGATTAGGAGTAGGGTATCTCACAGTGTCCAGGAGAATCAGTCTAGTTCCTTCCCAGCAAGCAGCTCTCCAAACCAAGATGAATCTAAGAAATTGCCCATCTTAAGCTACAGAAGATCCCACTCTTTCTCCACTCTGAGTGATGTATTATCCCACATTTATGTAAATGTCAGCCCTCACTGAACCTAGAGTCTCTCATCTGACTGGGCAGAGATGGTGTATGGGGTGGAAGGAGAGGGGAAACGGAGGCTCAGAGAAACTCTGCTTCTGCTCAAGAACCCAAAGCCAGTGAACACCAGAGCCAGAAGTCAAACTACACCCTGCCGCAGCCCAGAGTCTGCTCCTGACCCTCACTGGAGAAAAGGGAAAGGCATATTTCTAAAGCTGTCCCTGTTTGGGTGAAGTATGGCAACAGGTTTTCATATGGTGGATGAAGGAGCTTCTAGTGGAAAATGCTCTCTGTTTCAGAGCCAGACTTGGGTCCTAGTCCCTGCTCTCCATTGAGGTAAATGCCATAACTTCTCTGAGCTGCTTTCCCCATCTGGAGGATGGAAATCCCTTCCCTGCCTCCTTCTCACGGTTGTCTTTGGTAAGCCATAGAGCACTAGATCAATATCAGGGAGGTACTGTAATGAACACATGCAAATAGAAGAAGACAAACATTATCATCAATGACCAAAATAAGTTTATGTCTAGTATAAGATCCATTGGTAGAGACTACTGTAGCCAATGATGAACTCAAAATCCAGGTGACGCCAGACCAAGAGGTGGGCGTATGTGCCAGGAAGTGGAATATTTGTGTGCGGGAACCATCTCTGCTTAGGACACGACACTGCCTGGTTAGTATTCTTGCCATCACTATGTTTGCTAAACTCTATTTCAGGACTGGGTTTCCAGATGAGTCAACTATTGAGGAAGACCTCAAACGCAATGCCACTGCCCAGGATTCACTAAATAATTATTGTCTTTTCCCCCAACTTCTGTTAACATGCCTTGGCTTTTAAAACAAATGTCCTGCTTTGACGTCGAATAAATATGTAGTGGTTTCTTAAAAACATTGCACTGACTTCATTAAAAACATATCGAGTGGTGCTTAAGTATAAATTTCAGCCACTAGACCATGATTTTCAGAAAATACATTAATTTAAACTAATTTTTCACGTTGTTTGTGGTTTCCTTAAGTGGCTCCTTATAAATATCGACCAAAGAAAAGAGAGTTTATTGTGGGAGAGGGTAACTTCTGTATTGAAATGCTTCATCATCAAGACTGAAATCCCTCAGAAGAAAATTGGCTTTTCCACTGATTTTTGGATGATCCCTCTATAGCTTCATGACACATCTAGAAACCAAGAGGGTGACTCTAGACACACCACTTGTTAGAGGTAATATGTTAGTCTGCTTTTGCATTGCTATAAAGCAATACCCGAGACTGAGTAATTTATAGAGAAAAGAGGTGAATTTTGGCTCATGGTTCTGCAAGCTGTACAGGAAATGTGGTGCTGGCATCTGCTTTGGGTGAGGTCCTCAGGAAGCTTCCAATCGTGGAGGAAGGTGAAGGGGGAGTAGGTATCACATGGCAAGGGAGAGTGCAAGAGAGAGAGAGGGAGGATGTGCCACATCTTTTAAACAACCAGATCTTGTGTAAAGTCAGAGCGAGAACTCACTCATTATTGTGAGGATGGCACCAAGCCATTCATGAGGGATCTGCCGCCATAATCCAGACACCTCCCACCTGGCCCCACCTCCAACATTGGAGGTCACATTTCAACATGAGATTTGGAAGGGGCACACATCTAACCCATAATATCAGATGCCACACAGGTGCAGTTATATTCCAGGATCACTTAGTCAGAAAATGCCCAAGCACCTGTAGAGACTTGGTGAGTGAGGAAGGGTATCTTTACTTCCCTACAAGTGTCTTCCACTGATCAGTGAGGGTCTGTAGTGTCAAATCCATTCCTAGTAAAGGTGGAAATGAAGAATCAGATGCACCTTAAAAAGCACCAACTCAAATAAGAATTTATATTTGGGTAGATATTATGTAGGCATTTCTCTGCCCCTTTTTAGTGGGATATGAAGGGGCTGGGATGTAGTTCTGAAAGCAAAGGATCAGATAAAAGCATATCTTGTTGTTAAAGAGATTTTTAAGAACAGAAGATACTGGTTTTTTATAGATTACCCACTTTCAAAAGAGATTTGAAGTTGCTATTATAATAAATTTTGAAGTTGCTATTAAAATAAGCAAAATACAGCTACATGGGAGGCTGAGGTGGGGGATCACTTGAGCCCAGGAGTTCAAGGCTGTAAAGCACAATGGTCACACCTGTGAATTGCCATGTACTCCAGCCTGGGCAGTGTAGCGAGACCCCATCTCTAAACTAAAAATAAACAAAAACAGGACAGTTAAACTAGGGAGAGAGATCAGAGACTATACTGAGTGTGTCAGGTAACTGACAACAGGGTTATCAATTCACTAAGTTCACTAAAACACCAGAGGTTACACTGCTTTGCTGAATATCTAGCTAGGCCCTTTGAGTACACAATCCCTGTTGTTCCAGCAGGAGCAGTGCCACTCCAAACCGGCTGTGGGTCCTGCCGCCGAGCCTTCCCCAGTGCCCAGCTTTCATGGGGTGCCCACCCCTGGCTTGGCCTCCCTCTGCATCTATACCATCCCCACTCGGCTGAGCTCTGTGCCCTTCCCTCAGCTTCATGCCCGGGGCTCCATCCACAATCTTATGCCAGCCTCATCTCCTATCCCTGGGCATGCCCTTCCCTGGTGCTCCTTAGGACTGGAGGAAGACTTCAGATCTGCTGTGGTCATGCCCATGTGGCACAGGCTTGGGGCTCCACCAACTCCCTCAATAAACTTCTCCCCCATCACCTCCTTCATCCTGTGAGGGGGAACTCCGTAGCAAGTGTGGGTCTGGGGTTGGAAGGGCTGTGGAGTGAGAGTGAGGAAGGTAGATAGGGACCAATTCACTGGGACCAGTTTTATAGCAGGCACATCATATTCATTATTTCTAATCCCTGCAACACCCATACGTTAAACATTAACTCAATTTTATGGATGGAAAAGGTGGTGCTCTAAGACATTCTCTAACTCACCCACAGGCAGGTAGCTAATACATTCAAGAGTCAGAAGTGAAACCTCGGTCTGTCTCACAGGCCATGCCATTTCCTCAATGCCAGTCTGCTACCAATTTTCTTCCTGCCCTATTTTCCACTATTTAATTGCATAAACCCTTTGCTGTCACCTCCTCTTCCCTCCCTGTGCCTTCACTGCATCTGGAGTGCTTGTCTCTGGTTTGCTGCCAGGTCGCAACCCATGGTTTTACACTGACCTGTGGTTCCCCACTCAAGGCTGCTCACTTCCCGGCCACACAGTGAATAGCTGGCTCTTTCCTTTATACCATATTTCACAGACTCGGACACAGCCTTCTCACACATTCCCTGCTCTTCAAGCTTCTTCCACCAACCCCCTGCTGCTTTGCCTGGGCACTGGCAGCTTCAGAGCAGAGCTCCCACTCAATGGAAAGGTACACACAGCCCACTCATCTGCATGACTTCCCTTAAGGGAAGTGGGCGTACATTAATTATCATTAGAATCTGAAGCCTGATACCGTGCCTGGAACACAGTCACATGGTTTATGTTCAGTAAAGATTGGTTGCTGCAAGAAAGGAAGGCAGGAAAGGAGGGAGGGAGGGAAGAGGAAATGTGGGGCTGGAGTTGCCGTGGAGTATTTAGGAGGTGGGTCCATGATGAGGCTTTTGTCAGAAAGCAACAGTGCTCTCCTCTTCCCAGGCTCAATGCATCTCTCTTCCTTGCTACATCAGAGAGATTGAAAGTTGACATTTGGTTGACACATAACAGCAGGACCACACCAGGGACTAAGAATATGGAAATACTTTGGTATTAGATTATAAATGGCTGTTACCCCACAAGTTCTCCAAGTGTGCCCCTAGACCATCCCAGCTCCTCCCTGGAGGCCCCCCTCATCCTTCCTGTGATCCTGGAAGTAGATAAAGGAGTGATGCTTATCACAGCAGGTGGGCTCTGGATCCTTTAATTGCTAGGAGTTTAGGTGCGCCAAGTGCAGAATGTTAAAATATCTCCACACACAAAGCTACCAATTCTTGGATACCTAATCCTGGAAGTCCCATCAATTCCCACTTGCCCTCTGCCCTGCCCACCCCACCCTGGAGAGTTGCCCCGTCTTGGCTTAAGGCTTTTAAGTCGCTGCAGGCAGTCAACATAAACAAACCCAGGAGAAATGTGCCTGAGTTCATTCCAAAGGAAACAAGTGGGGTAGCTGCCTACCTGTGCTTTGATTCCAGAACATAAATTAGATCCAAGATGGGAAAATCTTTGGCTTCTGTCAACTTGGCTTCTCGGTGGAAATCTTACCAAAAAATTTTGGACCTTCCAGATTTCCTGATAAGACTAGAGTGAAGACAAAAGTTTGTGTGTCTCCAGTTGCTCATGTCCCCCCACTTCCCCATCCCACCTCCCCAAATGCTAGTAATTATCATTTGCAATGTAATCCTGTGGAAATGTGTTAATTACAGCCTCAGAGCCCTAGAGATCCTCTGCCTTTATTATGTTCCAGTGAATTTACTGGGAGACAATTGGGGTCTTTTCCAAGGGCTACCAAGTGGCTAAGATACATCTGCACTGATGGCAACTTATGTTTTCTCAACACTACATCATGGATTTACATGCTGAGAAGCCCACTTTAATGAACACCTGCTATCTTTTCCATGCAATAAATTGTTTCCAGGAGTGGGAGGACAGCACTTACAGCATTTCCCTTGACTACACTTAATTCATTTCCACCCCTTCTCTCCCTCCCGCCAAGAAAGGACCCCAAGATGCTGAAATATGCCAAACTCTGGCCCGGTTGGTGGTGGCATGACTCAGAGACACCGATGATTCCAGTGGCTTGTGGATTTCTCTGGAGGTTACCTCACTCATCTTCCTGCCTCCAGGCCAGGAACCATATCAAACTCATCCCAGACTGGTATGACAGAGACTAAATGGGCAAATGAGCTCAGGGCCTGGAAGAAATTAGTCTGAGATGAAAGGAAACCATGTTCTGAGTAAGAGAGAATGGCAACTGGAACAGATAAAACAGACCAGCCTTTCGACACGAACTTGCCCCAGCCTCCAGTCAGTATCATGATAACCTTGGCCGGGGTGGGAACAGTGTTCAAAATACTTGAAATATTTCAGGAGGGCAAAAGACTAATATTTAGAACTTACATTCGGAATTTATTTGATTCAAAATGGTTTTTAGGAAGTGGAATTCCATGACCACTGTGAAGTAGCTCTAGGGGTGTGGGCTGGCTTGGGTGGGAAGAAGGAGGGGTGGGATCTGAGATGAGCCCTGCAGTGCCAGCACCCCAGATGGGCAGGCCCCATGGCTTCCTCAGCCATGCCAATCTCCTGCACGTAAGGCCTCTGTGCTCAAGGCTCTTTTGCTGAGATCCTCACATTGCTTGTTCCTGTGCTTTATTTGGTTCTCTGCTCAAATATTGCTTTCTTAGAGAGGTCTTCCCTGGCTATCTTCCCAGGGTATCTCTTAGGACTTAGGAGTGCACACACTGAAGACATGGTCCATATTGGGGAGACAGACCCAGGGAAGATGACACAGCCTTGCAAATGGGCTTGGAGCCATACAGTCAGGAAATCCTGGGGTCCTGGGTATATGCAAAGTGGTTTAGAAGGGGGTACTTCTCACTGTGTGGGTAGGGGCATGGCTGGAAGGCAGCTGAAACAAACACACAGCTCCTCTGGCAGGGATCAAGCAGTAGTACTGGTGCTGGCTCCTCTCCTCAAGGCCACATCAGGGCTGCCTGGTAGCCTCTGCTCCAGTCATCCCTTCATTCCAGGGAAAGGTAAGGAGGAAGTGGAGAGTAAAACAGGAGACTGCCTGCTGAGTTAGACTCCTTTCTAAAGGAATTTTCTGGAAGCCCCACTGATAACTTCTATCTACATATTATTGTCCAGGACTTAGTGACACAGCCACTCCTCTCTAAAAGGAAGTCTGGGAACAGTAGTTTTCTTTGCTGGACACATTGCCCCATATCACCTTAAAAAGGAGGGGTCTATTGGTGAAGGAAAGAGGAAGATAGATTTTGCAGAGGCAAGCAATAGTCTCTGCCCCCTTCCTTCTACTTCTCCTGGGCCTTTAAATACAGGAGGAAGAGGCCGAGCTTGAACTTGAGGGTAAGTGAGACAGAAATGCTAGTGGGAGGTGAGCCTGCTAATCCAGGAAGAGGCAGGTCACACCAAGTGCTGATGCCATGCTCAGAGTCTCAGAGGCACTCCAGGCTTGGCTTGTGAGGCTTCAGGTAGATGCACGGCTCTTGTGCTGTGAGCTCACTATGTCAAGGACTTTTATATATAGCTGACCCTTGAATGACATGGGAGTTAGGGGCGTCAACCCCCTGCAGACCTGAAAATCTGTGTATCACTTTGGACTTCCCTGAAACTTAACTAACAGCCTATTGTTGACCAGAAGCCTTACCCATAACATAAAAAGTTGATTAACAGGGTACTTGATATAATTTCAGTTTTCTTAAATTTACTGAGACCTGTTATGTGGCCAATCATATAGTCTATCTCGGGTAATGTTCCATGTGCTGATGAAAAGAATGTATATTCTGAGGTTGTTGGATAGAATGTTCTGTAAATATCTGTTAAGCCATTTGTTTTAGGGTACAGATTAAGTCCATTGTTTTTTCTTTGCTTACTTTCTGTCTAGTGCTGTCAGTAGAGTATTGAAGTCCCCCAATATTATTGTGTTGCCATCTATCTCATTTCTTAGGTCTAGTAATAATTGTTTTATAAATTTGAGAGCTCTGTTATTAGGTGCATATATACTTATGATTGTGATATTTTCCTGTTGGACTGATCCTTTTATCATTGTATGATGCCACTCTTTGTCTTTTTTTAACTGTTGTTGCTTTAAAGTCTGTTTTTTCTGTTACCGAAATAGCTACTCCTGCTCACTTTTGGTTTCCATTTGCATGGAATATCTCTTTCTACCCTTTTACCTTAAGTCTATGTGAGTCTTTATGTGTTAGGTGAGTCTCTTGAAGACAGCAAATACTTGGTTGGGATATTTATCCATTCTGCCATTCTGTATCTCTTAAGTGAGCATTTAGGCCATTTACATTCAGTGTTGTTATTGAGATGTGAAGTACTGTTTTATTCATCATGCTACTTGTTGCCTGAATACCTTAGGTTTTTTTCATTGTGTTATTGCTTTATAGCCCTGTGAGATGCTTTAATAAGGTTGTGTTTTGGTGTATTTCAAAGTTTTGTTTCAAGATTTCAAATTCTTATCATTTCTCTTAGTGCTGGCTTGGTTGTGGTGAATTCTCTCAGCATTTGTTTGTCTGAAAAAGACTTTATCTCTCCTTCATTTATGAAGCTTAGTTTTGCTGAATACAAGATTCTTGGCTGGCAATTATTTTGTTTGAGGGGGCTAAAGATAGGACCCCAATCCCTTCTGGCTTGTAGAATTTCTGATGAGAAATATGCTATTAATCTGATAGGTTTTCCTATATAGGTTACCTGATGCTCTTGCCTCACAGCTCTTTCCTGTATAGTAATTCTGGTAATATTACTTGAAATAGTTTTGCTACCTATCAAGTAATAGGTAATGCTCTTGCCTCACAGCTCTTGAGATTCTTTCCTTCACCTTGGCTTTTGATAATCTGATGACTGTGAGCCTAGGATATGATTATTTTTGCAATAAATTTCCCAGATGTTCTTTGAGCTTCTTGTATTCAGATGTCTAGATCTCTAGTGATGCCAGGGATGTTTTCCTCAATTATTCCCCCAAATAAGTTTTCCAAACTTTTAGATTTCTCTTCTTCCTCAGGAACACCAATTATTCTTAGGTTTGGCTGTTTAATATAATCTCAAATTTCTTGGAAACTTGGTTCATTTTTTAAAATCTTTTTTCTTTGTCTTTGTCTGATTGGGTTAATTCAAAAGCCCTGTCTTTGAGCTCTGCAGTTCTTTCTTCTACTTGTTCTAGTCTATTGTTGACACTTTCCAGTGCATTTTGTATTTTTCTAAGTGTGTCTTTCATTTCCAGAAGTTGTGATTGTTTTTTCTTTGTGTTACCTATTTCTCTGGAGAATTTTTTAAACAATATCCTGTATTGTTTTTTAAATTTCTTTAAGTTGTTTTTCACCTTTCTCTGGTATCTACTTGAGTAGCTTAATAATTAACCTTCTGAATTCTTTATCTGGCAATTCAGAGATTTCTTCTTGATTTGGGTCCATTGATGGGGAGCTAATGTGTTCTTCTGGGAGTGTTACAGAAGCTTGTTTTGTCATATTACCAGAATTACTTTTCTGATTCCTTCAAAATTATATCTAAGTGCCCTGTCAGACCACAATGGAATAAAACTAGAAGTTAACTCCAATAGGAGCTTTCAAAACTATACAAATACATGGAATTAAATAATCTGCTCCTGAATGATCTTTGGGTCAAAGATAAAATCAAGATGGAAATTAAAAAATTCTTTGAACTGAATAACAACAGTGACACAACTTACCAAAACCTCTGGGAAACAACAAAAGTGATACTAAGATGAAAGTTCACAGCATTTAATCCCTACATAAAAAAGTCTGAAAGAGCAAAAACAGACAATCAAGGTCACACCTCAAAGGAACTATAGAAACAAGAACAAACCAAACACAAACCCAGCAGAAGAAAAGAAATAACAAAGATCAGAAAAGAACTAAATGAAATAGCAACAAACAAACAAACAAAATACAAAAGATAAATGAAAGAAAAAGCTGGTTCCTTGAAAAGTTAAACAAAATTCGTAGACCATTAGCAAGATTAACCAAGAAAGGAAGCGAGATCAAAATAAGCTCAATTAGAAATGAAGCAGGAGATATTACAATCAATACCACAAAAATACAAAGATCATTCAGGCTAATATGAACAACTTTATGCACACAAACTAGAAAATTGAGAGGAGATGGATAAATTCCTGGACATATACAGCCTGCCTAGATTAAATAAGAAGAAATAGAAACTCTGAACAGACCAATAACAAGCAACGAGATTAAAACAGTAATTTAAAAATCACCAAAAGAAAAAAAAGTTCAGGACCAGGTGGATTCACAGCTAAATTCTACTGACACATTCAAAGAAGAACTGGTACCAATCTTACTGAAACTATTTCAAAAGATAGAGAAAGAGGGAATCCTCCCTAAATCAGTCTATGAAGCCAGTATCACCCTAATACAAAAACCAGGAAAGGATATAACAAAAAAAGAAAACTACAGACCAATATTCCTGATTAACATAGATGCAAAAATCCTTAACAAAATACTAGCTAACTGAATCCAACAGCAAATCAAAAAGATAATACCCCATGATCAAGTGGGTTTCATACAAGGGATGCAGGGATGGTTTAACATATGTGAGTCAATAAATATGATACATTACATAAATAGAATTAAAAACAAAAATCGTATGATTATCTCAACAGATGCAGAAAAAGCACTTGGCAAAATCCAGCATCCTTTTATGATTAAAATTCTCAGCACAATCGGCATAGAAGGGACATACCTCAAGGTAATAAAAGCCATTTATAACAAACCCACAGCCAACATTATACTGAAAGTGAAAAAGTTGAAAGAATTCCCCCAGAGAACTGGAACAAGACAACAATGCCCACTTTCACCACCTCTATTCAACATTGTACTGGAAGTCCTAGACAGAGCAATCAGACAAGAGAAAGAAATAATGGGCATACAAATAGGTTAAAAGGAAATCAAACTATTGTTATTTGCCAGTGATATGATCATAAACCTAGAAAACCCTAAAGACATCCAAAAAGCTTCTAGATCTGATAAATAAATTCAGTAGTTTCAGGATACAAAATCAATATATACAAATCAGTAGTACTGCCATACACCAATAGCAACTAAGCTGAGAATCAAATTAAGAACTCAACCCATTTCCAAAAGTTGCAAATAAAATAAAATAAAATACTTAATACTTAAGAATATACTTAACAAAGGAGGTGAAAGATCTCTACAAGGAAAACTATGAAACACTGCTGAAAGAAATCATAGATGACACAAACAAATGGAAACACATCTCATGCTCATGAACGGGTAAAATCAGTATTGTGAAAATGACCGTACTGTCAAAAGCGATCGCTAAAATCAATGCAATTTCCATCAAAATACTATTATCATCATTCTTCACAAAATTAGAAAAAACAATCCTAAAATGGAACCAAAAAAGAGCCGACATAACCAAAGTGAGACTAAGCAAAAATAACAAATCGAGAGGCATCACATTACCCAACTTCAAACTATACTACAAGGCCATAGTTACCAAAACAGCATGGTACTAGTAGAAAAATAGGCATGTGGACCAATGAAACAGAATAGAGAACCCAGAAATAAAGCCAAATCTGTACAGCCAACTGATCTTCAACAAAGTAAACAAAAACATAAAGTGGGGAAAGGACAACCCTATACAACAAATGGTGTTGAGATAATTGGCAAGCCACATGTAGAAGTATGAAGCTGGATCCTCATCTCTTACCTTACACAAAAATCAACTCAAGATACATCAAAGACTTAAATCTAAGACCTGAAGTCATAAAAATTCTAGAAGATAACATTGGAAATACCCTTCTAGACATCGATTTAGGCAAAGAGTTCATGGCCAAGAACCCAAAAGCAAATGCAATAAAAACAAAGACAAACAGATGGGACCTAATTAAACTAAAAAGCTTATGCACAGCAAAAGAAATAATCAGCAGAGTAAACAGACACCCCAGAGAGTGGGAGAAAATATTCGCAAACTATGCATCTGACACAAGACTAATATCCAGAATCTACAAGGAACTCAAACAAATCAGCAAGAAAAAATGAATAATCCCATCAAAAAGTGGGCAAAGGACATGAATGGATATTTCTCAAAAGAAGATATGCAAATGGCCAACAAGCATATTGTTCAACATCCCTAATCATCAGGAAAATGCAAATTAAAACCACAATGAGATATCACCTTACTTCAGCAATAATGGCTATCATTAAAAAATAAAAAAATAACAGATGTTGGTGCGGATGTGGTGAAAAGGAAACAGAACACTTTTCACTGCTGGTGGAAATGTAAACTAGTACAATAAGTATGGAAAACAGTATGGAAATTCCTTAAATAACCAAAAGTAGAATGACCCAACAATCCCACTCCTGGGCATCCACCCAGAGGAAAAGAAGTCATTATATGAAAAAGACACATGCACATGCATGTTTATAGCAGCTCAATTCACAACTGAAAAACTATGCAACCAGCTTAAATGCCCATCAACCAACAAGTGGATAAAGAAAATGTGGTATATATTATGTATACCGTGGAATACTACTCAGCCATAAAAAGGAATGAAATAATGTCATTTGCAGCAACCTGGATGGAGTTGGAGACCATGATTCTAAGTGAAGTAACTCAGGAATGGAAAACCAAACATCATATGGTCTCATTTATGAGTGGGAGCTAAACTATGAGGATGCAAAGTCATAATGATATAATGGATTTTGGGGACTCATGGAAAAAGGTGGGAGCCAGCTGAGGGATAAACTACACATTGGATACAGTGTACATTGCTCAGGTGACAGGTACACCGAAATCTCAGAAATCACACCTAAAGAAATTTTCCATGCAACCAAACACCACTTGTTCCCCAAAAACTATTGAAATAAAAAAATTAAAACTTTAAAAAGTCAATAGTGCCAAAAAAGTTAACATATATTTTGTATATGTATTGTATACTGTATTTTACCATGAAATAAACTGGAGAAAAAGAAAATGCTATTAAGAAAATCACAAGGAAAATATATTTACTATTCATTAAGTGGAAGCGGGTCAGCATAAAGTCCCTCATCCTTGTCATCTTCAAGTTGAGTAGGCTGAGAAGGAGGAGAAAGAGGAGGAGTTAGTCTTGCTGTCTCAGGGGTGACAGATGCAGAACAAAATAAGTGGATCTGCTCAATTCAATGTTGTTCAAGGGTCAACTGTTCATGATTTCATTTAATCCTAATAACAATGCCATGAAGTAAGTTTTATGGTTTTCATTTTACAGATGAAGAAATCGAGGTTGTTCAGTGTCTTGCTGAAGGTAGTAAGTAGTGTAGCCTGTCCTTTTTCCTGTCTGTACCTGATTCCGAAGCCTACACTCTGATGTTGCCCATGCAACAGCCTCTGGCCAACTGTGCAATGGATGGAATCTACAGTCCCTAAAACCTTCAGTCCCCTTTCTGTTTTTTTCCCTTTTCCACCACCTCCATCCCATTCCTTTATTTGGCAGCTTTTTTCCTTTCCCATGCTCCATGGATCCTGGAAATTTGGGTTGGAAGTATCTTTTTCCTAGGCCCAGTGTGTTTCCCTAGCCTATTCACTCTACTGAGTAAAAGTTTCATTATCTTTCTTCTCCCTTCAAACCCTTAGCACCTCCTCCTTCACCCCAATTCTCTTTCACTGAAGGAGTGGGAGCCATTAGTGAACAACCTCTCCCCTCTCTGGCCCCCAATCCTCCAGCCTCTCTGCCCCTGAGCTTGCACAGCCTGCCCTCCTGTCCTCTCCACGGTCCCATCTGGGACCCTCCCCAACACCAGATTGCACATCTCTCTTCTCTGGGAGGCAGCCACCTCGCTTCTCCTGCATCACTAGGTTCCTCTGGCTCTTGGATCATTCCCATCAGCATACAAAGAAGCTCTAATATCTCCCATATTAAAAGAAAAAATGTAGAAAACCTTCTTCCTCTAATTATTACCCCATTTACCTGCTCCTCTTTACAGTAAAATTCACCCACAGAGTTTTAAATTGTAATTGTCTGCACTGCGAAGAATTTTTCTCCTATGTTCTCTTGAACTCTTACTCATCAGACATGTATCCCCACTACTTCCCCTAAACAGCTCTTGTCGAGGTTGCAGGCCACTCTCTGAGTGGATAACCAGCGACATGGCATGTGGGACAGCTGGTTGCCCTTTCTGCCTTCCTGATACACTTTCTTCATCTGGCCACCACAGCATCTCTCTCTCTTGGTTCTTCTTCCTCACTGATTGTTCCTGCGCTATCTCCTTTCCCAGGTTTTCCTAATTTGCCCCACAGCTTATTCCTTGGATCTTTTCTCTCCCTACCTTTACTCCATTATTTCTCATCCAGTTTCAGGGTTTTAAACACATACTCCAGATTTGAAACCTGTCTACTGGACATTCTATGAATATCTACTTTTGATCTCAAATTTAATATGTCCCAAACCAAACTTCTCCCCCAGGATTCCTATCACAGTTAATGGCCACTCTGATTTCCAATTACTTAGTTCAAAAACCTTTAATTGTCTCAACCCTGTAATGCCTTTCTCAGTCCAAGGGCCAGTCTTTCGCCCAAATGCCAGACAAAGCTAGAAAGGCCACCCAGTTTTCCCCATGCTTGTTGATGGAAACTCCACCCTTTCAGCTGCTCACATCAAAACCTTTTGCATCATCCTTACCTCCTCTCTTTCGTTATACTCTGCATTTTTGTGTTCAGCAAATTCTGTCAGCTCTATTTTCAAAAAATATCTAGAATTTGACTTTTTATTTTTTATTTTATTTAATTAATTTATTTATTTTTTACCAGTGGTACCCCGCCTAAGCCCTCGCTATCTCTGCGGGACTGTTACGGCCACTGCCTGGCCTCCCTGCTTCGGTCCTTGCTCCCTTACAGACCATTCTCTGCATTCTCCTCCTGGCAGCCAGGGTGGCCATGTGACATGGAAGCCCCCAAGCTGGAGGCTGTGTGGAGCCTCTGCCCCTCCACAGCCTGTGTGGAGGTCTGCCCTGTGGGCATTTCTCATCGGGTGAGACCAGAGACTGAGAAAAGGAAAAGACACAGAGACAAAGTATAGAGAAAGAAAAGTGGGCCCAGGGGACCGGCACTCAGCATATGGAGGACCCACCGGTTTCTGAGTTCCCTCAGTATTTATTGATCATTATCTCTACCATCTCAGAGAGGGGGATGTGGCAGGACAATAGGGTAATAGTGGGGAGAGGGTCAGCATGAAAACATGTGAACAAATGTCTCTGTGTCATAAACAAGTTTAAGAAAAAGGTGCCGTGCTTTGATGTGCACATACATAAACATCTCGGTGCATTAAAGAGCAGTATTGCCGCCAGCATGTCTCACTTCCAGCCCTAAGGCGGTTTTCTCCTATCTCAGTAGATGGAATATACAATCGGGTTTTATACCGAGACATTCCATTGCCCAGGGACGAGCAGGAGACGGATGCCTTCCTCTTGTCTCAACTGCAAAGAGCCGTTCCTTCCTCTTTTACCAATCCTCCTCAGCACAGACCCTTTACGGGTGTCAGGCTGGGGGACGGTCAGGTCTTTCCCTTTCCACAAGGCCATATTTCAGACTGTCACATGGGGAGAAACCTTGGACGATACCTGGCTTTCCTAAGCAGAGGTCCCTGCGGCCTTCAGCAGTGTTTTGTGTCCCTGGGTACTTGAGATTAGGGAGTGGTGATGACTTTTAAGGAGCATGCTGCCTTCAAGCATTTGTTTAACAAAGCACATCCTGCATAGCCCTAAATCCATTAAACCTTGAGTCGACACAGCACGTGTTTCTACGAGCACAGGGTTGGGGGTAAGGTTACAGATTAACAGCATCTCAAGGCAGAGGAATTTTTCTTAGTACAGAACAAAATGGAGTCTCTTGTGTCTACTTCTTTCTACACAGACATATTAACAGTCTGATCTCTCTTTCCTTTCCCCACACCTTACCAACCGATCTGGATCCCAGCTCCCTCTCTGACTTTGGGTGATATTCAAAATGCTAAACAGCACAAAATGGTATGGCCGGGGCACTGACCAGTTCAAAACCGGTAGCCACTACAGGTCTTGAGGAGGGTTCTGAAGCACTCTAACTCTGCCAGGCATTACCATAGGGGAGCCTGGAAACAACACAAACCATTTTCCCTCTGTTCTCACATCACAACAATCAACACAAAAGACTTCTGTGACCAAATATATATGGGTTTTTCAAGTGTGAGGGCTTAGTCCCCATGGCTGTCTCCTTTCCAGACACGTCACAAGTCCCAGACCTCTGTCCTGAACTTCTGACCTGCAGTTTCAAGTTGGGATTCCCTACCCCCTCTTTGGGTTGGATTAATTTTCTAGGACGGCTAACAGAACTCAAGGAAACGCATTTACCAGTTTATTATAAAGTATGTTACAGGCCAGGAGCTATGGTTCACACCTGTAATCCCAGCACTTTGGGAGGCCAAGGCGGGCGGATTACCTGAGGTCAGGAGTTCAAGACCAGCCTGGCCAACGTGGTGAAACCCCATCTGTATTAAAAATACAAAAATTAGCAGGGTATGGTGGCGGGCACCTGTAAGCCCAGCTACCTGGGAGGCTGAGGCAGGAGAATCACTTGAATCCAAGAGGCAGAGGTTCCAGTGAGCTAAGATCATGCCACTGCACTCCAGCCTGGACACCAAGAGCAAAACTCTATCTCAAAAAAAAAAAAAAAAAAAAAGAAGAAGAAGAAAAAGGATATTATAAAGGATGCAGATGAAAAGATGCATAGGATGAGGATGGGGAAGTGGCACAGAGCTTCCATGCCCTTCCTGGACACCACCTTCCAGGACTCCACCTTCCACAGAACCTCCATGTATTCAACCATCTGGAAGTTCCCGGAAGCCATTCCTTATTTATTTATTTTTTTTTATGGAGGTTTCAATATGTAGACATGGTTGACTAAACCACTGGCCATTGGTGGTCAACTTAACCTTCAGCCCCTCTCCCCTTCCTGAAGGTTGAAGAGTGGGGCTGAGAGTCTCAAACTTCTAGTCCTGCCTTGGTCTTTCCTGTGATCAGCCTCAACCTGAAGCTACCCAGGAGCTGCCAGCCCTCAGTCAACTCATAAGTATTAAAAAAGAAATCACTTTGGAGATTCCAAGGATGTTAGGAGTGGTATGTCAGGAAATGGGATGAAGACCAAATATGTATTTCACAACATCACATCCTATAGCTACGGGATATGAGGAGTCTAAGCTTTTTGGAGGAAGGGCTGGTGTGGCATGTGAGAGCTCAGAAGAGTGGCTGTTTTCCAGCCAGTGTGGAAGTTTGTCAGTTGTGCAATGGTCAGTATTCCCACATAGGTGCACCGTGGCTGGACACCAGCCTTGCTACCAGCTTCCTCCTTGTGTGCTCACTCCTGCCCCGGTGGCTTCCATACTGTCATTTGACAGATGTCCCTCTGTGTGGGAGGCTCCTCTCCCATTAGGCTTATCCCTCACCTCTGCAGATCTCTGCTCAAGTTTCACCTCCCTCAGAAAAGCCCATAATGGCCACTAGACCATCCCCAACACTGTTATCTTCCTTATGGGCATTGTTCTCCAGAGGTCTACCAACAATCTGGCATACTATTTATTTACTTGCTTATTTTTTGTTCCCTGTCTTTCCCCATTGGCATGTGAATTTCAAGGGGAAAGGGGCTTTGCTTTTCTCTTCTGCATCTCCTGTGCCTACACCTAATAAATACTCACACACATTATTGGATGAATTATACATTAATGAGCACTCTGTCATTAATTAAAGCTAATCATTAGTACCAGCCATCCCTCTCCTAAAGCTACAGCTCAGAATAAATAAGGGTATTTGGAGAGCCAGAGCTACCCAAAGGTGGAATGAGCTGTTTCACAGCGCCGGTGTGCTCTCACTTTTGGGAATTTGTGCATTATGTTGGGAAATCTGGGCTCCATTAACCGTATGCAACATACATGGTATGTTGCAATCCCATACATGGCCTGGGACTCACCGTATGCAACATATTTCACCATGGCCTGGGATTCACCATATGCAACATACTTCACCATGGCCTGTGTGTTCTCATCTGCAAGATGGGGTACTATCACTCATGCCACAGGGTTGTGGCAACCATGTACACAAAGTGCTTGTCACAATGCCCAGTACATATTAGGTGCAAAATAAGTACTGATTCCTCGCCCACATCTTCTCTCATCCCTGCAGGCGTTTGGTGGCCCTCAGATGGACATATGGCTTCAAGGACTCAAGAGTAGGTGGGGGACATAGAGTTAGGCAAGGGCTGGAGATGGGGGTAGTGGTAGGGATTGGTGCCATTGCTCCTGCTGGGATGGATCCCAGGCCTGCCGAGTTGGAGGGCACAGAGCAGACCCCATCTGTGCCACCAGGCCTTCTGTGATGCACTGGGAGTAGTGACAAGCGTTAACCCAAATCATGCATATTCAAAGCCTGGTCTGGTTCCCTGGCACAACGGGCCAGAGCAACAAATCAGGTAACAGCTTGCCTCCTTGAGTAGAACTCGGAGAAACTGGGTCTTTCAGGTATGAACTAATAGGGCAGGATGTGTCCCCAAGAATATATGAAAAAAAATTCAGGTGGATTATCTCTAAACCCAGATTTCTTATCCAAAAGTTGGTGATCCCTGGGCACCTTAGAATAGAATTCAGAGGGCCCAAAAATTCGAATAAAAAAAACAACAACCTTATTTTTACTGATCTTTAACTTATAGTATATACTTCTAATTTGAATATAGGCAACAAATCACATTATGATTTGTGGCACTGGTGTCTTTGTTAGCAGTAGAATTTGGAGATAGTTCTATATCATATTCTAATTGTTGCTGATATTTCAAAGTATCATCCCTACTCATCATTACTTTGAAATAATGCAATTGTAGAGAAGCATTGCAGTATCTTGTTATCTAATGCATTACTGAATAGGTTTTTTAAAATCGTACTTTGCTGTCATATTGACAACTGTATTTTAATGTCATTGGTTTCATTTTTAGTCCTGTGTGTGTGAATATATTCCACATATTTTAAAAACATACTGAGAAGGGTCTACGGACTTCAACAGACTGCCAGAGTGATCGATGGCTCAAAACCGTTTTCTAAACCATCTCAGAGAAGACAGGTAGATGTTTGCTGTGCTGAGTGTGTGTGTGTGTGTGTGTGTGTGTGTGTGTGTACACGTTTATGCTGTACACACACGTGGATATGCTTGTGTTTAGACCCAGAAACAAACCATGAATCTAATTTCAGGAACACTCTCCTCCATGTCAAACTTTGATCCTTTCTTCCTGCCACAAACTAGGTTGCCTGGTGTCAGCGGACCTGGAGGATAACTCTGCTGCCCATTGTGCCCTAGTGTCCCCAGACTGCAGTGACGTCACTGGCTCCTTCCCCAAGTGCCTGGCTGGGCCAGTGGACTCCTTCTCCCTGGGACTATCTCTCCAGTGCTATCATCATCCATTCACCAGGACCACACTGGCACTGATTATCCCCCTGAACTTGCTCATCTTTCCCCATCTGTTACTCACAGAAGGGCTGAGCTTCTTTTTAGATCCAAGAACTTCACTCCACTTAGAAAAACAAAATATGGCACCCTGAGTAGAAAACTGGTCAATTGTTAGGTCCCTGTATAAAGAGATGGGTGCTTCAGAAGAGCCCAGAAAGCTTTGCTAATATCTGTCTCGTCCCTCTTCACCCCTACTTCTCTGGCCACATTGACAGAACTGCTCAACCTGAAACCACTTGAGAAGCCATCTTCCCTGTTTTTTTTTTTTTTTTTTTTTTTTTTTCATTTCGATCAGATAGATTGGGTCAGTGGAGATAAGAGACAAAAATGGCAGAGTGGAATGTTCAGAGTTGATCATGAATATCTGTAATGTGGAGTTATGGAAGGCCAGAAAGATCCCTCACCTACTTCCATCTCGAATGGCTTCACTATACAGGCAGGGAACAAGTGATAAAAACACAGACATGTAAGGAGCTCACACCATCCTTGGCCCTGGAGATGCAATGATGAGCAAGATGATGTCTCTGCTCAAACTCTGGAGGGGAATGCAAAATGTAAACAAATGAAAAGAGAACAACATAAGAGAGTATGTTAATGACAACCTTGTAGCTGCAAATGACAGAATTCAATTCAGACTAGTTCAAAAAAAATAATTGATTGACCTATTAATTAACTTTAATGTATAGATCAGCTTTCACTGGATTTTGCTTCAGTAACAACACTCTGTCCCCAAAATCTCAGTATCTTACATGTATAAAGGTTTATTTCTTACCCACAATACATGCCATTCACAGAGTAGGAAGCCTGCAGTTCTCCTCTATATCAGTTTACATTTCTGAACCAGGTTGATGGAATCACCTCTTTCTAGTAGAAGAGGGTAAAAGGCAGCTCTGAAAGCACACACTCATTCTTCCAGTTCCTGCTCAGTGGCAGCATGTATCACTTCAGTTGACAATGGCCAAATGTTTACATCAGTTTCCATTGGCCAAACCAGTCATAAGGTCAAATCCAGTATTAACTGTGGTGACAGGAATTAGCAATGGAGCCAGTCTCAGTTTCCTGATGTGGAAAGTCTGCGGGTTAACCTGTCTCTTAGTTCTCTTCCATTCTATGGCTCTGATTTTAAAGTGTTCTTTCCTACCTCTGAATCAGTTAGGATGTTTTGGTTACAAGTCACAGAAAACCCTGACTCAAGAGTTTTAAACAATAAGGGGGTTTATTTTCTGACATGGGAAGCTGCAGGCAGAGCCAGCTTGGTTTGTGGGGACCCTGGTCCCTCTCCTTGTGATTCTCCTGACTCTGATTTATTCCATGGGCTGGCTGTTTCTTCAGGCTGATTCCTCTTGTGGTCAGAAGTTGGCTGCAGTCTTTCCAGGCATCCCATCCAGAAATGACAATGTCCAAAGGAAGAATCTTGCATCTCTTGTCAAGAATGAAGAAACAACCATGGTCTCCCCTGAAGAGTAAGCCCTCTGAAAGTGGATAGCTGAACAATGTCAGGTTCTTTTAGGAGGGTCAAAGGAGAAATGGCTGTTGGATATGCATTAAATAAACTTTGCTTACAATTCTCATTTAGAATTGGCTCTTCCTAAGACATCTTCCATTTCTCCCACCCCTGGTTCTTTTTGCTACCTGGCTAGCAGAGGTGGGGAATGTGATATTTCTCTAGCAGAACTCTAAGAGTACTGGCAAGATACAGCCAGCATGAAAATGACATACTTCTTCCACATGTGACTCTGCAAACAAAAAATAAGATTAATCCCAGGCTCTAGGAGTTTCATTTATTTTTGAGTTTTTCAGTAAAGAGTCAATCAGGGAGCATTCTCAGGCTCCAAGGGCTATTTCTCGGAGGATCAGAGAGCCATGGCCCAGTGGCCTGAGAGATAAATGGCTTTCCCATTTTGTGTTTTTCAATGTAGATACCATAAAGAAAGAGAAAGGGACAGAAAGGGCTAGGTCGGGGCCTTTTACCTTCTTCTCAAACCTAGTTCCTAGGATTAGCCCCTCCACCCTCTGGCTGGAATTCCATTCAAGAAATGGGCTCTTTTCTTTGGAATAATCTCACACAGCAAACTACTGTTTCTCTCTTTATTAATCTCCAGCCTCAGGGAAAAAAAATCAAAATCACACCTGAAAATGCTTTAGATATTGGAATCATCATGTGAAGCCTATAAAGAAAAATTTGCTGGGCTTAAATAAATGAAAATCTGACTTTAAAAATTATCAAGACCAAAGATTATAAAGGAGGCCAACTAGATTTCAAAAGTGAATCAAATGTAACTTTTAGAAACAGAAAAATATAACAATTAAAATTAAAACTCAGGAGATGGATGAAACAGTAAATTAGACAGCTGAAGAGAGAATTAGTGACTCAAAGCAGGTTCAAACAGTTTTCCAAAATGAAGCATAGAGAGACAAAAACAATTTAGGAAAGGTAGGTCAAAATATGTGGAGTAAGAAATTGTAATGCTTATACTATATGTTGAGCATCCCTAATTCTAATTTGAGAATTCAAAATTCAAAATGTTCCAAAATCTGAAACTTTCTGAGTGCTGACATGACACTCAAAGGAAATGTTCATTGGAGCATTTTGGATTTCAGATTTTAGGATTGGGATGCTCAATTCTAAAATTGTAATAACGTAAATGTTCTGAAAATAAAAAAGAAAATTCCAAAATCCAAAATGCTTTTGGTCCCAGGAATTTAGGATAAGGGATACTCAAATGGTATTTTGAGGTTGTTCTTACCTTTGAGGAATTGCATACCCAGCAATTACAGTCCAAACCTTAGTCCGTCCAACAAATCCCAACCATGGTAGAAGAACTCTTGCACATGTACATTAGGAGAGACAGACAAAAATATTCATGGCATCAATGCTGAAATAGCAAAGACAACAACACCAAAATACCAAAACTAAAAACCAACAGAAAAGCAGATAAATAAATTGTGATAGTTACTTTATATGTATATATTATATATAAATCATATTGTGGTTATGAAATAGTATCTAGAAGTGAAAATTAATGAACTACTATTGTACACATAAACATAAGCAAGTCATTGAAATAATATTAACAAAACAAGGAAGTCACAGAAAGATAGTTTTTTTTTATTTATACAAAGTTCAAAAGCATAAAAAAATAGAATGATTTACTGTGTAGGAATATGTGAATATATGAAAGCCATAAAGAAAAGTGAAGAAATGATAGATAAAAATTGAGGTTATCTTTGAAAGCTGAGGGAGAGTGATGGGATCAGGGAGAAGCACACAGGGAGCTAATGTTTTACTACTTGAGCTTAGTAGTGGCTTTGTGAGTATTTTTTTTATTTTTATACCCTCGTTATGTTAGAAATACCTTTTTATGTACTCAATATATAAAAATGTATGAAAAATATGTGTCAAACAAATATGTACCAAAAACATAGCAAGGGTGTCAGTTTTATCAGACAAAATGGATTTTGAGGTAAACATTATAAAAAGAAACAAAGAAAGGTACTATATATCAGTAAAATAGTATCTGGTACTACAGATAACACAATGGCCCCTAACATATATGCACCTAATAATAAAGCCTTGAAGTATATAAATTTAAAAACTGAGACATAACTGATATGGTTTCCTTGTGTCCCCACCCAAATCTCATCTTGAATTATAGCTCCCATAATACCCATGTGTTGTGGGAGGGACCTGGTGGGAGGTCATTGAATCATGGGGGTGGGTTTGTCCCATGCTGCCCCCATGATAGTGAATAAGTCTCATAAGATCTGATAGTTTTATAAAGGGTTGTTCCCCTGCACACATTCTCTTGTCTGCCATCTTGTAAGGCATGCCTTTGCTCCTCCTTCACCTTCCACGATGATTGTGAGGCCTTCCCAGCCATGTGGAACTGTGAGTCCATTAAACCTCTTTTTCATTATAAATTACCCAGTCTCAGGCATTCCTTCATAGCAGTATGAAAATGGACTAATTCCATAACTATAGGAATAAGCAGATACATCATTTATTATAGTTGGTAATTTTAACATATTTCTCTGTGAAACTAATCAATTAAACCAACAAAAAGAAAACAAATGGTAGGTTTGAATTACACAATTAGTAAGCTTGAACTAATACAAATATATTTCACACCTAATAAATACAGAATGCGTATTATTTTAAAGAAAACATGGAACATTCACAAAAGTCAACATTGAACTTGGGTGACAAAGGAGGCTCAATAAATTCCAAAGAGTCAACATCACCTCGTAGACTATACTCTCTGGCCATAATGCTATAAAATTAGACGTCGATAACAAAAGGATAGCTTTAGGAAAATCCCATATGCCTGGAAACTAAAAAGCATACAAATGAATAATCCTTTGGTTAAAGCGGAAATCACAGGGAAAAATATGAAATACTTGGACTTGAACAAAATAAAAGCACCGCATGTCAAAACCTGTGGGACACAACGAAATCATTTCTCTGAGAGAAATTTATAGCTTTAAGTATATTTATCACTAAGTAAGAAAGAACAAAAACAAATGATCTAAACTTTTAGCTTAAGAAGTTAGAAGAAGAGAGGTTGAGTGAACCCAAATAACTTAGAAGGAATGAGAAAATAAAAATGAGTTTAGAAATCATCAAAATGAAGAACTAAGAAAAGTGGAAAACAAACAAAACCTAAAGTTGGTTTTGTGAAAAAGTTTATATTTCTGATAAGTCTCTGGCAAGGCATTCAAATTTTAAGAAAAGAAGAAAATACACAAATGAAAAAATATAAAATGAATGAAAAAAAAAAACAAAGACCCAACAGAGTTGTTTTTTTTTTTTTTTTAAATAAGACTATCATAGATTATTATAGAAAAACATTTCAAAACTTAGGTATGGTTAATAAAATCCTGATAAATAAAGCAAAACTGGCAGAAGAAAAGTTAAATAAATAAGTCATAATTTTAAAAAAATTATTGAGACAGGGTCTCACTCTGTTGCACAGGCTGCAGTGTGGTGGCACGATCACAGTTCACTGTAGCTTGAACCTCCTAGGCTCAGGTCCAACCTCAGTCTCCTGAGTAGTTGGGACTGCAGATGCATGCCACCACGCCTGTCTAACTTTTTGTATTTTTCGTAGAGATGGGGTTTTGCAATGTAGCCAGGTTGGTCTGGAACTCCTAGACTCAAGCAATCCACCTGCTTTTGCCCAGCCATTTATTTTAAAAATTGAAATATTAAATGCTCCCCCAAATTCACACATTTCAACAAAGCCCAAAACTCAGAAAGTTTTATAGAAGAGAGAGCTATTAAACTTCAAACAATATATAAATATCTATCTTATGCAAGTTGTTCCAGGAAAAAGAGGAGAGAAAGCTGCCCAACTTTTTATGAGGTTACTATAACCCTGATTCCAAAGTCAGCAAATGATAGTTCAAACGACTTATTTCACTTTTGAACACATATATGATTACTCCCTATCACAAAACATATTTGTTAGCTGAATCCAACTCTCTATTTTTTTTAAATCATGATTAAAGTGGTTATTTCCAGGAAAGATTAACAATATAAAAATTTTTTCAAAGTAATTCACAAAATTAATGGACTAAAGGAGAATAAAATAATATGATTATCTTTGATAGATGCAGAAAAATAATTAAATAAATTTCAACAACTTTTTAGAGTAATAGTAAAAATAGTAATAGTTCTCACAAAAAACTAGTAATAGAAATCTCTTTACTTTAAGAGTAATACCAAAATTCTACAATAAACTTTCCCAAGAGAGAAACTTTAGACACATTTTGTTTAAGCCGAGGCTCAGCATAAGGAATGCTTGTCATTGCTACTCTTTAACATGTACTGAAATTACTGGCCCATGCAATAAAACAACAACAAAAAAGTATGAGAAACAACGATAGAAAGAGAAGAGACAAAAACTACACTACTGGCAGGTGGTAGAATCAACCACATAGAGAAACCAATAGAATCATCAGTCACACTGTTGGCACTAACAAGAGGGTTCACCAACTCTTACAGATAGAAGCTCAATTAATAAAAAGCAGTAGATCATATTATTTCCGCAAAAATCCAATTAGAAACATATAGAAATTAGTGAGACACAACCAAAATAACAATAAGAACTAGGATAAGCCTTTTTTAAAAAGATGTATAAGATCCTCAGGTAGATATGTTAAAATTCAATTAAGTAAAAAAGAAAAGTAAACGAAGAAATGTATTTTGCTCATGAATGTACAACCTAACATTGTAAAGATGCCAACTCTCCCCAACATAATCTATAAATTCATTGCAATTTCAATTTAAATTTCATATGGATTTTTTAAGGAACATGACACATTTATTCCAAAATGTGTATCAAATAATAAAGATCCCAAAACAGCTAGTTAAATTTTGTAAAAGCAAAACCAATTAGGACAGGTCATCTTACTCAATAGGAAAATATGAAAGTTCTACAAATCCATAGCAGTGTAGTAACAAAATCAGTGTGATAGGTAATGAGACCAGTGCAATAGAATTGAGTGATAAAAAAACTAATTATATTTGTATTATATATTCCTTACATTAATTCACATGTATCAATCACTACAAAATCATGAAGATAAAAAGAAATATATTGAGAAAAATTAAATTATATACCTGCCTGACCAAAACTAAATGTTAACTTTTGATAGACTAATGCTTTATTTATGAAAAGTAGAATCATAATATTAACAACAGAAATAGACAATATATTTGTAACTTTGTCATGGAAAGAGATTTATTAAACAATAGTCCAAAAATACAAAGCACAAGGAAATAAAAAAAGACAGATTTAACATTATCAGAATTTTTGTTCAACAAAAGTTAGCGCTGTCAAAGTTAACAAACCAGGAATGGATTGAGAGATGTTTGCAAGAACCAAAAATAAGCAAGGGATTAGTGTCTAGAATGTTCAACAAACACCTGCAAATCAGCAGCAAAAACATGGCAACCCAATGGAATAATGAGAAAAGGTATGACTAGGCAATTCACCGTAGAGAAAACCCAATGGCTAACAGGTGTATGAAGGGGTGGTAAACCTCATTAAAACTGAAAATGTTAGTAGTAACAATAGGAAGTACTACCTGTACTACTAGTAGTAGTAATTACTGAATACTTTTCATTAATTTGTTAGATCCTCACGACCACCCCCTATGGTAATTATATTAGTATCTCCATTTTATAGATGCGAACACTGAGGCATATAGATGTGGCTTATCTGCTTTTATGTGGTCACATAGCTGCTGAGTGATGGAGTGAAGACTTGAACCCACACTGGTAACTGTCACAACAACCCAAACTTTGCATCTGTCAGATTGTTGGCAGTTGGTAAGGACCAGGGAAACAGAAAGCTTCATGCCCTGCTGGCAGAATATAGGCTGGTGCAGGTGTCCTGGAGATAAGCCTGGGAAAGTTGAGCTCAACTAAGGATGCTTTGACCTGAGGACTGAAGCCCTGGTCACCAGGGGATGCGAACAAGAAATTGGGTGCAGATGAGGTACATATCCCCACGGGTATGGTAAGACAAAAGGAGGCATGTGGACCACAGAACACCAGGCAGCTGCAGTCAAAACTGAGACTTAGAGGGTCATACAGCATCACAAGCAAGTCTTTAAAACATAAGGTAAGTTTTTTGAAAAAGGAAAAAAACCCAGAAAGTCCATAGCACAATGTCATTTATGTAGATCTCTCTCTGTCTCTCTCTCTCTCTCTCACACACACACACACACACACCATTTAAAATGTATTTTTAAAGTATGTTCCCATTCAAAGCTTTATACCAAACACATCAAGGCTGGGTAAGAGAACTGGTGACCAAGAATGAAGGAGACAAAGAGGAAAAGAATAAAACCGTAACAGCCTTATGCACAAACACAGTTTACCGCAATCTGAGGAGTATGAGTTACTGTGACTTCTATCTTTAATGTTCACGCCCTTGTCCCCAACAACAGCAGGCCACGGCTCTGAGCCCGCCTGGCCATATGGGCCAGTCCTGTGGTTTCTGCCTAGTTGCTGTGGCTTCTGTGAGGCTGGGGCTCCCCTTGGCTATGTGAGCCCTAGAAGGCGGAACCCCGGGGTTGATCAAGGACTCACATCTGGGGATGGGCCTCTGTCCACAGTGGTCAGAGCTGATGCTGGGCTCTGCCGCACCAGAGATGTGCTCCAGGGCAGCATGGCTCCTCCTTGCCAAGGCCCTAGCCTACTCTACCCCACCTACCCAGCGCTAAGTTCAGCCGGGTCCTCCCAGCAGAATGACTGTCGTATTTTAGTGCTGGGCTCTCGCCTGCTCAGAGGACCACAGGGTCACCAACCCAGAACTTCCCTTTTCCTTTCCACTCTAGTAACTAGAAGAGAGATGCCCTTCCTGCTTTTCGCCCTAAGCTGGTTAAGACAGTCTTCTCCCAGACACCACATCCGACTCCCCTGCCCTGGCTCACACACAGGCCTGGGCCTGGGCCTTGACGTTCACGGGGTCAGACTTCAGGAGAGTGTCGAGTGTCCTCTGACTCGGTCTAGCCTGCTCCTGCACTCCAGTTGTGTGGGCTTCGAGCATTTCCATGTTCAGTCCGAGCTGTGTCACTTGGCACTTTTCAGTGTGTTGCTTTCTAATAAGGTCATTTCCTGCATATGTGTTTAGTGTCCCCTGCTAGACTGATAGTTCTCAAGGGACAAGGCCATCCCCCCCACCCCAATTCCTTGAAAATGTGTGTGTGCACCCTAGGATAACATTGGCACCATTTGTCAGTCATGAGAGGGACAGCCGTGAGTACCTTCCTGTCCTAGCTCTCTCACCCTCCATGGGCAGACCTGACCAGGGTGGAGTAGAAGCTGGGGAGGAAAACCCGCACGCTCACATGGCGGTCTGGACCTGCACAGCTGACAAAAGCCCTTTCACGTCCACTTTTCCATCTCACTGTGCCCACCTCCAGGAGGCGGAGCACCTTGCCCATGGCCACACAGCTGGCAGGCCACTGAGGCAGGTTTGATTTCCTGTCTTCTGAACTGACATCACCATGCTTTCAGATATCCTGAGGCTGACTGACTCCTGCCTTATTGTCTTGAGTTCTAGCCAGTTCTCTGGCCCAGGACCCTACCCTGTCAGCAGAAGCAGGACTCCTCCAGGACCTTCTCAGCCGGCGGGCAGGAAAAACCAAACAGTTTTAACAGTGCCTTCTCCAAATGGCTCTTTCCTAATCAATCCCAGGAGCTCCCCTTCGGGCCACAGCGAGATGCTGAATGTGATGCTCTCAATACTATGTGCCACACAGTAGCCACATCCACTGTAAATACCCTCAACTGTGTTTCGTCAACACGAAAGGCCCAGTTAACAGCCGGAAGCTGGGGTTTAGGGCCCAGCCCGCATCCTGGGCTTGCCGGCTGTCTCGCTGCACACGCAGGACAGAATGAGCACGTTTGCCGTTAGTTTCTTATGTCTTCTCCACATCACACCCAGCACCTCAGGCAATGGAAGTGAGGACATGGTACATCTCCATCACCATCCCTCAGCGAGGCTGGTGGAGACAGCTTGTGATGGAAAATGGAGTCCCTGCCTTCTCTGCCCCTGCCATCCCTCCCTCTTATGGGTCCAGGGTACCGATAGGACGACACAGTTCCAAGGCCGGGCCGGGCCCAGGGAAAACACTGTATTAGTTTCCTGTGGCTGCCGTAATAAATTACTAAAACCTTAGTAGCTTAAAACAACGTAATTTATTCTCTCGCAGTTGTGGGGGCCAGAAGTCTGAAAACAGTTTCCCTGGGCCAACATCAAGAGTTGGCAGAGCTGCACTCACTCAGGGGCTGGCGGGGAGAATCTGTTACGCGCCTCTTCCAGGGTCCGGTGGCTATGGCCACACCAACTCCGATGTTCAAGGCCCGTGTTCTCAAGCCTCCCTCTACTGGTCTCCACACTGGGGCCTCCTCTGTGTGTTTTCAGATCTCTCTTTGTCGTCTGATTATAACGATGCATGTGACTGTATTTACAGCCCACCTAGATACCGCAGGATAATCTTCCCATCACAAGATTCTTCATCTGCTCACATTGCCAAAAACTCCTGTTTTCCCCTCATGTAAGGTAACACTGACAAGTTCCAGGTATTAGAATGGGAATATCTTTTGAGGGGCCATTTCACAACCTTCCACAACCACAAACTCCTTACGCTGTTTGTTTACTTGCCCTCTCTGGGCCGGTTTCCCCACTTGTGAAGTGAGAGGGTTGGGTGAGAAGCCCTTCTGTGACCCTGACTTCATTTACCTTGTCTCAAAGCCTAATCTGCTGGGGCAGCCTTTCCCTGGTCCCGCCTCTCCTCTCAACCCTGGAGGTTGTGTCCAGGGTTGGGGGCGTGCCCTCCTTCCCACACAAGGCCATTTCCTGGGGGGTTTCCATTGCCTGAGGTGCTGGGTGGGTGTCTGCAAGGCCGCTGGAGCAGCCTGTGTTCTCACACATGCATGGCAGACCGGTCGGTTGTGTCTGCACCAACATCCACCTAGCTCAGGAGCTTCATTTAGAAGGGCCACGTGGCCCAGGCCCATGAGATGGAAGCAGGGCTGGAGATGGGAGGGCAGAGAGGCTGGGCCCTTTCCCCTGACCCTACACCTAAGGCATGCTTTGCTTGAGGGCCTCTGATCAAGTCCCTCTGAACACTTTGGGGCCCACCCAGCCCCTCTGGAGCACTTTGAGGCAGGCAGAGCCTCTGCCTGGTAGCCCCCTCCCCTCACCCAGCTGCACAGCTCCCTACAGTAAATGCATGACCTCACGTCTGGCTGCCTGGCATTCTGGAGATCATCCAAGAAGCTGAGGCAGGTGGGTATCCCAAGTCCTCAGTGTGGAGCAACCACAGCCTGGGCAGTGCAGTCAGCCCATTCCTCTGGGATTTGAAAGCCCACCTCTGCGAGCCAGCTGCACGCCCTCACTCTGGCCTTTCTGCTGAGTGTGAGGCAGCCCTCATGTGCCTCCTCTGTGATGTTGTTTATGGTCCTCTTGGACTGTGCAGCAACCTCTCCTCAACTCCCCCTCAGCATCCCTGTGTCTCTTCTCCTTTCACCTTGGAATCTGAGCACCATCAGCAATTACCCAATTATAGCTCAGCTTTGGGAGCCCTACACAAGTCAAGCACTGTGCTGAATGCCTTACACATGTGGTCTATCTCAGGTCTCAAAAAAACAACCTAAGAAGTCTGTGTTATTGCTTCCGTTTTTACGGGTAGGGGACTAGGGACTCAGAGAAGTCATGGATGGACCCATGGCCACCGCACTCGACACGCGGCAGCCCGGGATTTGACTCTCGGTTGGCCCCGCTCAAGCACAGGCTCGCTACCTCCACCCCTGAGCCATCCCACACAGCATTCTCGCCCCAACCAGAGAGGTCTCCCATCTGTCTCTTTGCCAGGCATGGCCTTCTGCACCTTTCAAACTGTGATCAACTCTCACCAACATCAATAGCCCAGCAAAATGATGGCTTTTCCAGCAGCCTCCTTATTCCTTGGTTCATAGCAGACTGCACAGGTTTTGACTGTAAAATTTCCCTGCAGACACTGGGTTCACGTGGACTGATGCCGGATGGGGTCTCAGTCAGGTCCTGGGTGGTATTTTCTCACCTGTAGTTGGGGGAGGTTGGACACATGTGCTGCCCTGCTGGCTTCACCACTGTCTGGACTTCCCGCACCCAGGTCTCCCCACCAAGCCTGGGGATGCAGCACACATCCCACTGGAGAGAGATCAAGAATCAGCATTGGCTCTGGCCCCTTACCCCAATCCCCCAGTCTTAGCGTAACCAACACCACCCAAGGCCTGGAAGGCTGAGGAGACGCACACCTGCCATGGAGTCCTCTCCTCCCATCAGCAACTCCAGCCTGCCGTGGGGGATGCACCCTGGCCTGGTTTCTGCCCAGCCTCTCGTTCCTGGATTCTGATTAGCCTCCCAGCAAAGGGCACAGGCATTGTAGTCACGTCGTCTCAGAGTTCAACACCAGCACCATCCTGCTCTGTCCTGGAGCCTCTCCACCCTCAGTTTCTTCCCTCATGCAATGGGGAACGCAGTCCTTCAGAGTGCTGTAAAAGATAAAACAGCGCAGCACAGTCATCTCATGAGGTAGGACTGGCTAAGGGGAGCTCCTCTCACTGGCCTCCCTCTCCAGAAAGCCCAGACATAGAGCCTGGGGTACAGCAGCCCTTATGTGCGGGACTAGATCTTGGTGTCCAGTCATGGGCTGGGGCAATGCCACTTATCATTGCCTGCTGCCTGGAAGCCCTGTCCCCCAACCTGTCTTCAGGATGGAGCCCAACTAATGTGTGCCTCAGGCCTCCCGATACCTCTGCAGGGCCAGTCTCTGCAGTCTCAGTCCCATCCCCTTAAGACCGCAGCCTCCTGACTTACCCAGTGGGGCCAGGTTGTCCTCCTAACACCCAGACCTATCCCCGGGCCTCTGCATGCTCCCATTGTGCTGTTACTTTGTTCCATCTTCTGCATTGTCACCTCTGTCCCCCTAGCTCTTGCAGCCTCCCCATGGAAAACAGACCATGACTTATGTGAAGACACAGTCCCCGAGGCACCTGCTTGTCTACGAAGCAGCCAGTTTGAGGAAGAACCTACAGCCAAACACATGGACCTTATAAGCTGTTTGCAGTGGAATTCTCTGCAGACTGAGAAGGTGCATAAAAATATTTTGAGCGTCCATATGATAACAACCTGTTTTGATCAATGAAGGTGGGATTTTACTGGGGTTAGGTGAGAAAGCATAATATGTGACACACAGGCACAGCCAAGACAATGTAACAATCTCATATGACGTTAGCAATAAAAACCAACAAGGACTCAGAGAATAGGTAAAAAAGGTTCGGTCATTGCACCTCTCCCAGCTGCACATCCCTGTGCCTGAGAAGCTCTGCCTCCCTCCCCACCCTTCCACTGAAATTCTGTTCCAGCCTATTATCTCTCTATTATCTCTCGAGCTTTCACCCATGGAGCAAGAGGGTGCCCGAGTGCCAGGCTGGTAGGACCCTAGAGAATACTTGGGCTCATCAAAATCACTACAGCTGATTGTGACAAATACAGATTCCTGGGTTGTGCTCCTTGTCTACTGACTGAATTTTCAGGATAAGAAGCCAAGGAAACTGAATTTTTAAAAGACTCCCAGGTCATTCTCCCGAGCACTCAGACTGTGGAACCTCTTCGCTCATCTGATCCTCTCACTGTCCAGGTAAGGCATGAAGGCCATGGGGAGTGGTGACTGACTCAGGGCCGGGGTCAAGCACAACAGGACCGGGTGAACCCACAGAGAGGTCCCCATGATCCCACTTCTGTTGTCCTGCAAAGCATCTGCCCTCAGCTGGTCAGATTACTCCTGTGCACAGGTGTGCTTGTGGCCATCAGGGCTGGGCTCTGAGATCATGTAGCAATTGTAAGTCCCATCTTTCATCTGTAAACGGTGGGTGGCCATGCAGTTTCATCTTTCCTCTGATTCCGCCCAGGGGGCTTGGTGCTGGGCTCTGCCACTGGGGTCTAAGTATGCGATCTTTCCAGCTAATTTTGCCTCCAGGAGAAGAGGCCATGGAAAATAATTCCATGTTCCATTCCAACTTTTGAAACTTTCTAGATGTGTCTGCATTCTTCCATAGTTCTGAACTCTGCCGTGGAATGCACGTTCCTTCTGTACCAGGTCACACAGGCCGACAAAGTCTTAAGCTGTCAAGACGACTCTCTTTATCTTCTGCAAGGCACAAAGCACTCTACTGAATATCACAGTCCATGTTTTCAATCCGGAGAAGTTGAGAGACAAAAGGAGCACCCAGATTTAAAGTATCTCAGCGAAATAGGGGCAGAGTTGATATTAGAATCTCTTAATTCCTTACTTCTGCACACTCAGTAGTCTGTCAAACAAGGACAATACACATGGCCTCCTAAAGTAAGGAAAATATTTTCTGCCTCTGATTTCATAGTAAAGAAGACAGTATGTCCCCACAGCTTTAGTGTGGTTTTCTGTTTTGAAGATGAAATGAGCACGAGCCCTCCCACCCCAAGTACAACATTCACATGTTTCATAGTTTACAAAGTACTTTAACGTACATTATCTCTCTTAGTCCTCAAAATCCTGCAAGATAGGCATCATTCTATCACTATCAGACTCTTAGGAAACTGAGGCTCACTCAGGAAATGAAAGTGCCTTCCATCCCACCACTCTGTTTCACTGAAGGCAGAGCTGGTCCTGCTGGGGTCAGTCTTGCCCAGGTGGTGCCATGTGGCCTCAGGCTGATTGAGGAGCAAGGGATACCACATCAGGTGTCCCATCCCACCTTCCCCCTCACTCTCCCTCTACCACCAGCAGTGGTTGCTTACTCCTGTTCAGCTGTAATACAAGCCCTGGTTTAGGAGATGCCAAACTATTTGAGGCAATTTACCTATATTGCCCTATTTCCCTCTTAGGAAAACTTTGCAAGGTAGTTATTATCACCTTCTGTTTTTGAGTCGATCCACAAAGACCAAGAGTGTCCCATAGAATTTCCGTTTGCTGCCCCAGATCTACTTTCCACCCTTCTCCATCTGCTCGGTGCTGCCGGCTGACCCATTTGGACCACACCAACAGGCCCCAGTGCCCGCTGGCATGCAATTGGTCCAGCCCATGCAGAATGCCAGCAGGAGATGTGAGGGAGGGAGGAAAGCGAGGTCAGGATGCTCCCCCAGCTCTTTCTCTCCCTGCAGAGGTCTCAGCCAATGAGCCCCCTCCACACTCCCTGCTGTGTCTGCAATTCCAGTAAACACCTCTCTCCTCCCGCTGGGAACCACAGTGTGCTGCGGGCCCATGTTGGAGCCTGAGGTCACAGGAAAACTCAGTGCCCCTGCATATATGTTTGTATAATGGTTGTTTTTTCCCCCAGAACTAGTTGAACAAATATTGAAAATCTGGGAAGTAGATGTCTCAAAACTCACAGCATTATTTTAAGCTTAGATATTTCATTTTATCTCAAACCGAATGTGTTATAATTTTATTTTCCTCACTTTAATGGAAGCAAATTCATCAACAATACTTTCAAAATCTACTTTGATCAACTTTTTTCAAGTGAAAGTTGTGAGTTATAACAAATGAGAATAAATAACTTGACATGCTGGATGAAAGTAAAACTTTAGCATGAGGTATAAACATGCTTCCTAAATTTGGAAATAAATTTTAAAAAAGTAAGGAAACTGGAAATATATGATTCATGGGTAAGAGTATCAATTACAATGAAACCAGCTTAGATCAAATAGAAATCAAAAATTTAAATGTCTGAAGTTCACATTTGAAATAGACATGCAAAAATTAAATATCTTCAGATTTTGAATTTTTAAGTCTAGAAAAATTAGAAAACTGCAGAAAAGTTTTCATGAATAGATCTTATTTACAAAAATCAGTCATTGATTGGACTCTTAAATATTCTGACAATTTAAGTCCTATTGAAATTTCATCTGAAATAGTTTTAACATGTAATATCAATAAATTACAATACAAAATCAGCATTAGATTTGAATCTCTAAAACAGATTCAGGAATTTTGCTTAGTGTAGTCTTATCTAAACTTGGACATGGCCTTGAGAATTCTTTTTTTAAACAATACTAGTTACAGTGCTGTCCAGGGAAAGAAGTTTTAGTGAGCTAAAGTTAATTAACAATTATTTAAGGTAGTCACTTGGTCAGTAGAAATTGTTGAACATGGCAATTCTTTCAACTGAAAATGGCGTAAGTAAGTAAGCAGGTTTTGAAAATAGTATTGATGAGTTTGCTTCCATTTTAAGCCAGGAAAGTAAAATTATAATACATTCTGGTTTTGATATAAATAAAATATTTAAATTTAAAATAATGTTGTGAGTTTTAGACACTTCTCAATATTTTTAAAACTCATTTAATGTTCTGGAAAAATAGTAACCATTAAAAATGCACAAATACACATATATAGGGAAGCACAGTTTTTCCTTTTGCCTCAGGCTCCAGTATGGCTTGGCACGGCATTGTTGGAGCCTGTTTTTATTTAAAATTTTGATATTTTCTTCATCATGGATTTTTTTAACATAAATTTTAACTTAAAAAAATATTGCCTTAAAATATAATTTATCTGATTGCTGAGTTTTTTGAAGTTCCCTTAAATTGTACACCCGAAGCAAGCGCCTCCTTTGTCTCATCCTAGTCCCGGCCCTGGTTAATGGTGCCTGTTGTTTCTGGCCCTAAGGCACTGCACCATCCCTATGTCTGTGCCTTAAGGTCATACTGCCAGCATGTAGCAAGGCCAGTGCTCGCATTCAATTCTGTATAATTCTAAATTTCTAGCTCACTCCTCTGGGCTGTGGCCTCTCTGGGGAGCACCAGGGCTTGCAGAAAGTGAGCCTCTCTCCCCAAGACAGCTGGCCTACAAAGGCACCTTTGCTTTCTTCTCCTGTCTAGAAGCAGACAGAGCCTGCACCAGGGGCAGGATTCTACAAGCCACCCCCGCCCCCTTCCCGGCTGGGCATAGTGTGGGCTGCTTTCCTTGCAAGCAGAAGAGTGACAGGGTCCTGGCTCCACCTGGGAGTCCTCAGGCCTTGGGCAGGCAGGCTTCAGGATAGGCTTTGATGCTGGATTTTTTTTCTTTTCCAAGTCATTCTCTAATTGAAAATGACTCCATGCAGCTGTCAGCCTGGAGGCCTTGGGTGTCTGCACCCCGGCCTGTGCCAGTTTCAGAGCTCCTGGTTGTGACAGCCTCAAGCACATAAGCCCAGGAAGACATTAACAACTGTTTATTTGTGCCTGATGAGAAGGCTCTGGGAAGTGCAGGCCTTGGAGCTCCTGGAGACTGAAAGTTCTTCTAGTAATCCCACATGCACAGAGACTGTCCACAGAACAGGCGGAAGCAAGTCCCACCCTGCCCTTCCAGGGGATGGGGCCCGGCTGGGCAGAGGGGCGCTTCCCTCTGTTATAAGAAGTGAGAACACAGTCTGCTCGGATTTTGCATCAAAACTTATCCACAGAGTGATTTTCTCTGGCCTCAATTCCTGGGCAGAATTGACCTTCTAAATCCTCCTCCTGAGACAGCAAAGACTGACTTGGCCTTTTCTGGGCCTCAGTTTCCTCATGGATAAAATGGAAGTAACTATAGTACTTACCTTTTCGGTTGGGAGGGGAGAGGGATGGTTTTACTTACTTTGAAGAAGGAAAAACAAATGCTCAGAGAAGGGAAGTGAGTGGTCCAAATTGTTTTCTTTTTCTTAGAGAAGCAATGGGATTTGATGTTCATTTCCTGAATTCCAAGAGTGATATTGTTTGAGCTATATGATAGACTTGCCCATTCACTTATTTTACAAAATAAGATATTTACAAACATTAGCAGAATGAATGTGAACACTTAGGGATTCATTCCACAAACATTTATTACGTAGATGACAAAAGCAAGGTACTGTTCAAATACTTAACATATGGTAGCACACCAACCAGCCAAGACCCCTGTCTTTAGGGATCTCATCATGGCAACGAACAAGTAAATAAACAAATACATGGTATAATACAGGGCAGTGGTAAGTGCTATGAAGAAAACTAGAGCAGGGCAAAGGGCTAGAAAGTGAAGGATGTTGTGGGGTAGTGGTGATGGTGGCTATTTTAGCTCTGGTGGTCAAGGAAGTTCTTTCTAAAGAGGTGAAACATGAGCAAAGCTTGAAATGCCATAAAAAAATGGTCCATGAAGAGGTCTGAGTCAGGAAGGTAACAGGCACCAGTGCAAAGGCACTAAGGTAGGAATGTCTGGTGAATGTAAAGAAAAGCAATACTGCCCATGTGACTAGAGCAGGGTTAGAGAGGTGGTCAGGGCCAAGTCATCTGGGGCCTTTGATTTTATGTTAAGTGTGATGGGAAGATAGCGGAGGGTTTATGATCTAAGGATTAACCTAATCTGACTTATGTTTGAACAGGATCTTTCTGCCTGCTGGTTAGAATAGAAGGTGGGAGAGAAGGATGGAAGCAAAAAGACCAGTTACCAATTTTTTTGCAAAAGAATAGGTGAGAGGTGCTGATGGCTTGCACTGGGATGGTGGAGGTGGAGGTGGTGCGAATTGGCGGGATTCTGTGTATGTTGTGGGGGTAATGCTACAGGATTTGCTATGGATAAGATATGTATAGAACTAGGTGAATGAAGGTATATCATGTATAGAGGTGAGTAAGACAGAAGGATGCAGTTGGGGACAAGACTGGAAATCATGTTTGGCTTTGAATATTAATCGTACTTGCAAAGAGAAATGTAATTTGAGTAAAACTTGAAGAAGTATAAATACATAAGTAATATAAACATCACCCTAATTGATTTTTCTAATTGTTGATCATTGATTAATCTGGTTTTACCTCCTGACTTTTAGAAGAAAGAACTGAATTCGAATCTAATGATTTATTGGCATATACTTGTAGCGGTATTTTGCACCTTTAGGATTATGAACTAGTAAGTTCCTTCAGGGCAGGGATTCATTATTTATCTTTGTCATCTCCTGGGCTTAGCTGATGCCTGCTTGATTTACAATAGACTTCTAATAAATGTTAATTTATTAGAGAAAAATAAAATACTTGCACAAGAAAACAGGGTCAATCCTTAGCAAAACTATGAGTGTGGGTGTGCCTGGGGGCTCTGCTTCCAATCCCTGCTTAGTTCCGGTGACCTCACGGAGGCCTCTCCTGGAACACTCTGTCAGGTCTGCATTCCCACAAAGCCTCCTTCCCAGCCCCATAAAGGTCATTCCTGCACCCGATTTCCACTTCACCTATCATGCCACTGAGACAGGAGGTAGGATGTGTGCTCCTCTATATGACATGTACTATGTGTGATGTAATTCAGAAGACCAAGTCTTTGGGCCACGGTTTCAGATACCATGGCTGGCCCAAGTAGCTGACACATTATGGCACCCAGTTTTAGAGAGACCCTGAAAAATAAAATTCTCTCATGTAAGCGATTGCCTGTATGCTTCTATACACAGGGCCGGACTTACAGGAGGGAAGTGATATTTTTAAGACATAAACTAGGCAGTACAGAGGCAGAAAGGGCAGACCACGTGCAAGGATGCTCAAGAAGGCAAACTAAGGGAGATGTGGGCTGTCCTGGGGGTAGATCCAGGGTGTATTGTCAATTAGCCATTGCTGTGTAACAAACCATCCTGAAACAATCGGTGATCGTGACTCAGGAGTCTGTGGGTCAGCTGCACACTTCTGCTGATCTGAGCCAGGCCCGCAGATCTTGGCTGGGCTTGGCTGGGACTCATTCATATGTCTGGGGCTCAGTTGGCTAATATGGTTGTTAATCTAGAACGGTGTTGGCTGGGTCAGCTGGCACTGCTCCATGTGTCTCATCCTCCCACAGGCTAGCCTCGGTGTTCCTTCATGGCAGCTACAGGGGTCCAGGAAAGAGAGAAGGGTTGGGCAAGGCCTCTTGAGACCTGGGCTCCACACCTACACCTTGATACTTTTAGTGCATTCTTTTGGCTAAAGCAGTCAGAAAGCCAATCCAAATTTCAGGTGTTAGGGGATAGGCTCCAGCTCTTGCTGAGACGAGTGTGAACTCAAAAGGCAAAGGACTAGCATGCAGGAGTGGAGAACTGGGCCATTTCTGTAGTCTGTTTACTCTGGGGAACAACCCTGCGTTTCCACTCTTGATATCTAAGGTCCTCATGATGCATTGTAGTGGCATAGTCCAGGGGAAGGATGACAAGGGGACAAGCAGACAAGGGCCTGGGCGCTAGGAAGGAGGCCCTCTTCTTCCTGCCCTTCCCAGGAATGCTTGGCCATACGCTGTCCCATTGGAGGGGAAGGCAGTTCCTTTGTGGGTGTCACTGGGGGGTGGGCATCAGAAGCTCACAGCCTTTTAGAGCTGGCATGGACCTGGACAACAGCCAGCACCATCTCCTCCTCCCTTTACAGAAAACTGAGCCCCAGCGAAGGGAAGTGACTTGCTCAAGGCCACAGAGCTACTGCTGGCTCCAGGAGGATCCAGAGGGATAGGAAGCGTTTCTTTTTGACTTTTAAAATGTAAAATGACAACCTTTCCAAAGGCAAAGGAGCAAGTCAAACTCATTAGGTTTTAGGAAAACATTTTAAAAACGAGGTAGGGATTTCAGGAGCAGACAGATTAGGGATATCATTTACAAAGGTATCAAAAACCGAGGTCAGGGATGTTGGGAGGCCATTCCTGTGTCTCCAAGCTGCCTGGCAGCAACCATAATGGGCTTTGGTCTCAAGGCGCTTATCTATGGGCAGGTTGTCCTTGAGGGAAGGAAAATTGGAATTCTTTTTCTTTGCTGGTCCAGATTCTTCTCCTCAATCTCCCTTCTGCTCCAGCATGCTATGTTTTCTCCATCTCTTCATTAAAGAAAATGCATAAGCCAGGTCTTAAACATCATTCATTTATTTCAACTAATAAAATATACGTATTGAATGCACAATCTCGGTTGGGCACTCTTCTCTGTGCAGGTAACAGTGCAGCCAAAAGAACAGACACGGACTCTGCTCTTAAGGGACTTTGCATTTTCATGAGCAGAGCTCATCCATCAGTGAGCACAAAAATATCAGGCGAAGAGGATCGCCAGGAAGGGGTTACAGCAGGACAGTGACGGAGTGCCTGGGGAACTACGCTGGGTGGTCAGAGAAGGCATCCTTGGAGAGGTGACCCTTAAAATTGCAAGTGGAAAGACAGGGAGGCGATGGCCAGGTGTAATCTGAGGAGGTGCCTAGTGCAAAAGCCTCCCTGAGCCAACCCGGGAGGGGGTCCTGTCTGCAGCACAGCCTAGCTTGTCACCTTTAACACATAGCAGGTTTTACTCTCCAAACAAAGAGTTTTTAAAAAACGCTTTTTCCTATTTGAAAACAGACTGTCAGAGTTGGCTCAGAACCCATTTGCTGGGCTGACAAGGGAATAAACACTCAGGCCCTTTCATCTCGATGGCCTTAAGTGGAGCCAGCGCCCTGGTGTGTGGGGCAAGAAAGATTTGAACCCTGGAACCGCATCCAATTTCCCCCAAACCCCAGTAACAAGATCTCGTAGACTTGACAAGCGGGCCCTGTCCCCACTTCCCTCTGGCTTCCCCTCATTCTCCTACCCGCACCGTCCCTGCCCCCTGGAATTCATGGGCAGAACAGCTGCACTGGGGGCTCAGTTTTCAATGAAACAATAAAATACTCCTGCGTGTCCCTAAGAGTATGGCATTTATGACTGGGGTGGGCTGGCTTCCCTTCGCAGACGCCCCCTCCCCAATTCCCAGACTCACCAACCCAGACGCCCACACGTCCCGCAGCCGTCCTTAAGCCTCTGGGAACTGCAGCATGGGTGCCTCAGGAGGTCCTTGTCCAGAACACAGTCCTGGAGGAAAAACAAATGCACGTCCAGTGCGGGGAGCACCTTTGCCAAGCGCATGCGAGTGCACATCTGTGTCGAGGGCCATGCAGCACAGCACCCTCCCGGAACCCCCTCCTCCCCCCATGCACACAGCTGCCTGGGGGAACTGTCTGCTCTCTTGTTCAAGGACAGGAACATCTTCTCTGGCTCGGGGAGGAAAGCTAGCGGGTGTGGCCCACATCCCCATCAGCACTGCACCCCCACCCCTGCCCTCGGGCTCTCGTCTAACACGCCACGAGGTCCTTGACTTCATAAGTTTCTCTTTTGCACAGCGCGTACATTTGGGCACTAAGCCTGGTCCCCCTGGGCTGCTTTCCAGGGGCCAGATAGGAACTTCCGTGCCTAGGGGGCCAAACCTTGCAAGCTTCCACGTGGGGGCGCAGCGTGCCAGCCGACGGTTCCGCGTCACCAGGCACCCAGCACAGAGTTTGTGCAGTTATTTTGCACATTTCATTTAATTTTGTCCTTACTGTTTTATAAAGATGAGTGGAAAGCTGGAGTAGAAAGCACAGATCTCATGAACTTAATATAAATGAGACAAAGATAGGAGTCCTTAGGCACGCCCAAGGAAGACCAAAGAAGCCACAATCAGATGCTCACCAGAATTAAGCTGTGTTCAGATGCATGCCAGGCACGTTCGCGCCTTAGGGCCCTGTACCCAGAATGCCCTTTCCTTGATTTCCACGCGGCTCATCCCTCACCTCCTTTCCAAGTCATTGCTCAAATCTTAGTGTATCAATGAGGCTTTCCCTGATCCTCCTGTTTTAAATTGCAACCTGCACTCTACCCTCCACCTGCATTCTGGATCTTCTCTCTTGGGCTCTGCTTTTGTCTCCCTTTGTTTCCTCCCCATAGCACTTATCACCATCTAACATTTATGATGTGAAGTTTTCATTATCCATCTCCTTCTGTTATTAGATTGTGCGCCCCACGAGGGATATATTCTGAATACCTGGAATGGTGTCTGGTACCTAGGAGGTGCTCAACAGATATCTGTTGAGTGACTGCATGTTGAATTGTAGCAGAAGTAAATGAATGAACATGTTCAAAATATGGTTAGTATATTGCAAAAATTATGCATAAAATGTGGATATAATTACGATTTTACAATCTTTTTTTAGCTCTCTGGGAAAATACACCCCTATGCCATATAAATCTCTGGTTGTGCTTTTGAACATTTGCTTTTGGCTCACAATTCGAGAAGCACACTAGCCATGGTTAGCAGGGAACAGCTTTTGGACAAGCTGAGCCCAGGGTTACAGGAGACACAGGATATGGGCAGAGTTCAAGGCAGGGCGGTGAAATCTAGAGAGGCTTCTCGGAAGAAGCAGTGTGACCTGTCCTTCTTGTGATTGACATTTGGCACACCCCAGGGCAGATTCTGCCAGATTTAGCAGGGAAAGCCTGGGAATTGCAGCCAGGGTCTGTCTAGAATACTCTCTAGGTGTTTGCTAGCTGACCTTTGAGGCAGGTAAAGCCGCCTCATACACTGCAAGGAAGGCGTTGGAGCCAGAGGAAACCCTCTCTGATGGGAAACAGGAGACAAGACATCTGGCTCTTTCCCAGGCCAGAGGAGCAGAGGGTGCAGCTCCCAGTGAGGCCTGGAGAAGAAAGGAAGGGAGGAGTTCCTGGCATAAGGACAGGGCCCTTGCCCCCTCCCAATTTCCTCCAGTTCTGTTCATCAAACCCTTAATAAACCTGTTCCCTTTCCCGCAGTGAGCAGTTACGAAGTGCTAGGCCCTGTACAAGCACTTGAGCGGCAACGACTCAATTCCCACAACTCCCACGTGCTGCTCATCACTTTTCCTCTGCTCTACTGATACAGAATGGGAAGAACGGAGGGGTGAGTTTGTCCCGGGACTATGGTTGGAGGGAGTCAGTGTCAGAGCCCAGCTGTTTGGTTCTGGTGCTCACACTCTTAACCACTGCCAAGCCCAGGAAGGCCCCAGGCCATGCTGGGGGGCCCAGTGGGATTCCTCTCACCCACCTCTAAGGATTCCATCACCCTACATTCCATCCCAGAATGCAGAGGTTCTGTGGGGAGTGGGTAACAGAAAATAAACCCTTTAGGACCAAAGTGGTAAAAAAGACAAACAAAAACAGCTTACATGCAAAATCAGAGAAAATCTTGTTTTGGTGAACCAGATGGCTAGTCGCCCAGAGACAACCTCATCTCGGGTTGAGGAAGTTGTTTCTCTCTTTCTCTACACACAAACAGAAAATGTGCATAATTTCACCTTATTCTCACCTTAGTCTCAGAACTTTGCTGCGGCCTGGGACCATGGACCTGAAGAGTGGGTGTCGCTGGCTGGGATGAGTGTGTACAGCTGGAAGTATCTGTTGGTTTAGTTCTTCTGAGCCCCACCTCCAACCTTGACCAGGGTTGACTCGCCACAAAGCTAATGGAGCTTCAGCTTCAGGTTTCTTCACTTGCCCCTGTCCTTCCAAAGACTGCAGGGCATCCTAGCAAGGTATTCACGTGGTTATTATACGGTTTTAACAGTTCTGTGGAAGTAAGGTTAAAATTATTCTCATATGAAGAAATAAATTGTAACAAAAAATCTTAGATCATACTAAAAGTATTAGTTCATTAAGAGGAAGACATACATTTCCAATCTTTATGATACATTTCCAATGGAAGTAATAAGTAGGCTCTTGGATTATAATATAACCCAATTAAAAGAAAGGGATGAATTATAAGCTCACATCGGAAAAAAGATTTTCCTTTTTTTGCTGACTCAACATAAAATCAGAACATTGACCAGGATAGCATAACTATGGTGCAGACATTGGTGACCGACTGGTTAATGAGTGTTGGCAATTCAAAGAGCATTTAAGATTAGTCACTGCATTAATAGATAATGAAAATGTCCTGACATTTATCAGCCGATCTGTGAAAGAAACTTGATAGACATTTTCCCAAATTTGGTACCAATTCTGAAAATGTATGTGATGTTACCGCTGATAAGTTGTGAACTTCAGACTTTTCCATATTGGAAAAAAATCTGATCAACCATGTTACAAGAGAAGTTAAATTATCTTTCTCTTCTCTCTATGGAAAAGAATATTATAAAACTATTGTCACATATGAAGATTATTCAGCCAAAAATATGGGAAGTAAAGTATGACAGACAGTTAATGCAGCTATGAATATCATGTTATTCTTCCATATTTCCAGATTTTTCAGTGGTATCTATCAGCTTTTGAGGTTTATAATTGGTTGTGATTTATTTTATCTCTAGGTATTTGTACTGGTTTGCTGGGGTTGCCTTAACAAAGCCCTACAGACTGGGAGCTTAAACAACAAGAATTTACTGTCCTGCAGTTCTGCAGGCTGAAGTCTGAGATCAAGGTGTTGGCAGGGCTGGTTTCTAAGGGATCTGAGGGAAGGCTCTGTTCTAGGCTTCTTGCCTTGGCTTGCAGATGGCCATCTTCTCCCTGTGTTACCACATCGTCGCCTCTCTGTGTTTGTCTCTGTCCTAACCTCCTTTTTCTTATAAAGACATGAATCCTATTGGATTAGGGCCCACTCTTACAATCTCGTTCTAATGACTTCTTTAAAGACCCTACCTGCAAATACAGTCACATTCTGAGTAGTGGGGGGAGGGCTCCAACATACTCATTTTGAAGAAACACAATTTCAGCCCATCACGGTATCCAATCTAGTATTTTGTTTAAAAAGAGGAGTCCACAATTTTTGTTTGCTTGTTTCAAGCACCAGAAAATTTAGACCTAGACACATGGGTATCTCTTTTGTTCTTAAAATCACCTATTCTGAAATTTACAGTCTCTCGTCTACAAGAAATCTTTCCAATTCAACACACGTTATTGAGGGCCTACTGTGTGCTAGGCATTGCTGACCCTGGGGCTTCACAAGGAAAGCTAGGGATGGTGAGTGCAGGCCGGGAAGCCCCAGGAAGGTGCGGGGCCACTTCATGGGTATGGGACCTGGGCGGCCCCACTGGGTGCTGTGTGTAGAAGAACCCTGAACTTGGGGTTTAATGTTTGCTGCCACCATTTTGAAATTCTCCATCATTTATGAACAAGGGACCCTGCCTGCATTTGCATTTTGGGACCTGCAAATTACATAGCTGGTCCTGAGGAGGGGAATTGATTCAACTTCTAGTTACAGCCCAAGTTAGCCATAGAAGGCTTTTCCTTCAGAGAAAGGGAGGGCCAGCAGGAAGAGGAACAGTATGTGACGAGACACGCAGGCAAGAGTCAGGGAGCATTGCTCACGTGTCATCTAGCGCTCTCTCCCTCTACTGAGGGAAAGGAAACATGCTCTTCATGGAGAGCACTCTGAGGTTCGAGCACTGAAGCTGGAGTGCGTGGATTTGAATGCCAGCTCTCTTGTTTCCCAGCTGTGCCTTCAGGCAAGTTACTGACTCTCCCTAGAGTCCAGCATCCTCATCTGTCAAGGGAGGAAAGTTGGACATTCAAGACGCAGGATTGGTAGGTGTGCATCACTTTTGAGTCACAGTAAGGAGAAGCAGTTGTGTGGGCTAAAGATTGTGGTCAGAAAAGGATCCCTGGAGGATGGGGAACAGCCCATGCTGAGGCTTGGAAGTGGGGATGTGCAGGTCAGGTATGAGAAATATGGAGAAAGGCAGTGGGGCTGTTCTCAGTGTCAGTGAGGGAGAAACAGCCGGAAAAGAGGCTGGGGCTACTTTGTCAATGACCCCAAGTGCCCAGCCAGGAAGCCAGGACTGTATGTAGACAGTGGGGAACTCCTGAAAGCATTGGGGTGGGGCCTGATGAAAGCGGTCTTTGATGAAAATCCCTGTGTGGGAACGTTCTCATTCAGCTCCTTTAGAAAGCCAGGTCTGGAGAGAGGAAAGTCAGCTATGCCGGGGCCTCCTGAAGGATGGGTGAGATCCCACCTCCAGCCCCACCAGGCATGCAACACAAAGGCACACAGAGGGCAGCAAGGAACCTTGTGCTCCTAAGGCCAGCAGCCCTGTTCTGTCTTCCCAGCCACCTCAGGAATTGCAGTGTTGTTGCCAATTATGGTTGCTGGCCTGGAACAGGGCCTGTGGGGCTTGGAGGCTGAGCAAGGCCGCAAGACCCACCCCGGGGATGCTGACTTCATGGGGGTTGACAGTCACACTGACACGAAGCAGGGTTTGTGTCAAAAGTTCAGGAGGAAGCGTGACAGGATAAGAGGGAGAGGAAGCAATGTGGACAGCTCAATTATCCTGGGACCAAGATCCAGCATCTGGATTTCCAGCTGCAAAAGACCAGAAAGGGCAGGGACCGGAGCTGGTCCTTCCACCAGGGCAAGGGGATGAGTGAATGCTCAAGGTGGTTCTGAGTGTTGAGTCCCACTCAGATGAGGGGGAGGAGTGATGAAGCTGCCCCACCTTCTCCAAACCTGCCTTTCAACGCAGCAGCATGCCTGTCCAGGTCTCTCCCTTCCATCTGACTTTCAGCATGTCCATTCTCCAGAGATGTCACAGAGGATCCTGAGGTCTGCACTGGAGCTGCCACATCTTCTCCCTTGGCTTCAGGCAGACCTGGATTGGTGTGGCCACAAACAAGCAGCAAGTGTAGATGACGCAGCACACCAGAGGGTGGAGAGAGAAGCTCACAGCCCTTCTGGACAGAAGAGCCACTGGTGCCTATGGTGACCTGTCTATGAAAGGCCACTCTCCCGGGTCACTCCTGCATGGCCCAGGCTTCTTCTCTTTTGCAAGACTAAGTCCAAGCTCTCTAGCACGGCACATGAGCCTCTGTGTGCTGACGCTTGCTCTCTTCACTCTTTAAGTTCCAACAATATAAACATATTTGTTGGCTCCCTTGTACTTTGCAGTATCTGGAATATCTTTCTCTTATTTCCTTGCAGGCATCATTAGCTCCAGGGAGACTTCCCCTCCCCTGCCCCCCTTAGGTGAGGCAAAGAACCCCCTATCTGTGCCCTAATAGCAAGCCTTCATGAAGGGAATTAAAGCATCAATCACATTGTATTATAACTGTTTGTGTCTCTCTCTCCAGGAGACTGGGCTGCAATCTGTATGCCCAAAGGGAAGGGTGGGAAGGTCTGACACACAGCTGGTGCCCAGGAAGAAGGAAATGGATGTGGCCCAGAGATGCCTGACTCACGTGAGCTCATGCAGTGACACTGGGGTTCTAGGGTTCACATCCATGGCACTTGCTGGGCACCAGGCTCCTGCTTGTCTACATGACATTTCTCTCAGCTCTTGCTATCCTGCAGTGGCTGATGGGGTCTGTGGGCAGTCAGCAAATTATAGAGTCCAGTGGCAATCAGCTCACCCAGTCTTCACCAGGGGCTGGCACAGACTGGGCGCATGAGAAGCTGAACTGAAAGGACGAGAGCAGGGGGCAGGGCCCTACCCAGTGGTAAGGGCAGGCCTGCACCCTGCCGAGGTCACTGTCTGCCAGAGCACCAGGAGGATGCAAGGTTGATGTTGCAAAGGAAACCCATAGAAATCAATAGTCTTCTGCTTCGCGACCTCCTTTCCCATCCAGTTGGTGCCATGCTTTTGGAGCAGAGGGTATTTTTGCAAGCATTTAAGAAAAGTTCCAGATTTAGCCTGGACTTAAAAGTCAAAAGTCCTAGAACTGACTTGGGCTACAGTGTAATGAATTTTGGCAAGAAAGCAAGAAAGTTCCCTAGAAGTGGAGGTGTCATGAGCAGCAAGGTATTGCATGTGTCTGCACAGTGGGGCCAGCGGGCCATTTCCTCCTCTGGGGACTATAGGCACAGACCCTGTCTCTCAGGGGGAGGAGGCCAATGTTATTGAGCACTTCCTAGATGCCAAGCATTGTGCCAACGGCCTTACGTGTTTGTCCTCCATCCTGACAACCTCCTTGTGCAGTAGGCAGACCGGATGTCAGGCTGGAAGGTGGGCCAGTTAGCAATCATTGCTCTCCAAAACCCTTAAGTGATCTCTTACTACCTGGCTGCCCTGGCCCTTCCCCTGGAGACCTCAGGAATTCCTTATGAAGGCCCAGAGGAGGCACCCCAGGACCTGCTATAGCCTACCATGCTTTGCTGGTGTCCAGGTCACTTGTTCCAGCTACAGACAATGTAACTGTCACCCCTGGAGATAGATATTATTATCCCCATTTCATAGTGAACTTGAGAAGGAACGAAACCAGGGAACTTGCCCCAGGTCACATGATTATCGGTGGTGGGATCAGGGTTCAAACCTGGGTCTGCCTAACTTTGGCCACTGCATCACAAACATCACAATATGTTTACTCTATGGATTAACAATATGTGAATGCATCCTCTTCCAGAGGTTGAGGGTCTGATAGCCATGAATTAAGCCTTCCATGTGCACAAATCCAGGTTTCTGAGAAGTCCCTGGGAATGTAGAGGCACGTGCTGGCAGATGCCAGGGGAGTTCTGCAGGGCACTTGCAGAAGCTCTTCTGCTGGCCCACGGGAGGTGTCTGAACACCTCACATCACTCACTCCTGTGGTTTCATGTACAAGGGTGTCTCTTATGGCAGTGTGGCATAATGGAGGGTGTTCTGGACTGGAGGACAGATCTGGTTCTCATTCCAGCTCTGCCCCACATATAAGCTGTGTGGCCTTGGCTAGATTACCTAACCTCTCTGAAGTCAAGCTGGCTTAGTAGGTTGGGTTTGGAGGTGGTTCTAGTGGCCTTTTGGGGGGATTCTCGGAACCCCTTCTGTACAATCTGTACTTGATTGTACAGATTCTGTACTTGACTCCCCTTCTGTACAATCGCAAAGCTCTCATCCTTGCCACTCATTCTTAAGGTAGCCGGGGTGAGCTCCCAGGATACATTTTGTCAAATTAGAAATGTTTTTATATCCTCTTTTAAAGAAGAAAAACTGATGGAGGGTTGTAGAGTACAAATGACTCAATTATAGTCCCAAGAAAAGTCCCAAGAGTAGTTTTCTTGATGCATGCCTAAGATGAAAAGAAAGTGCCCTTGGGGTGCCAGAGGCAGAAACCCAGCCCTGGGTTGGGCAAACCTCCCCACCTCTCCTTGTTGGGGAGCTGCCAGCAAGAGCCAGAGGCACTGGAATTCAGAGGGAGTGGCCCTGCCCATCACCTGCTCCCCACCACCCCAGCCCCCGGGCCTTTTGGCATCTGGAGGGGAATCAGAGGGCCCACCCCTGACAGCAGGACAGAGTGACTGCGTCTTGTTCCTCTGGAGTGAAACAGGTTTGACGGGGTGAAAAGTCCCTGGAGAGACAGAAGCAATACTCTGCGTAATGCCCGCCTCTGTTATGGGGAGAATGTGGTGTAACGTCCAAGGTCTCCTATAAAACATGTTACCTAGTGCTGAAGAACAGAGAAATAATTTGTGGATTGGGCCCTGTGTGTGCTACTGCTGAAACTTGGCTTTTGATTTTTTGGCTAAAAATCCTCTGCTTTAATGACAACCATTAATTGCTCAGAGTTTATGAAAATGTGTTTGACTTCCCTTAGGCATACTGAGATTTCATGCCTCGAATTTCACAGGAGCAAGCATTTCAACCATGAAAATATACAACATGCAACACCAGCACCGCCCTCGCCCAGCCCCCCTTACTCATTCTCTACCCTTTTACTGTATTGTATTTCTTCTAGGCAGTTACCACCACCTAAATCATTTTATCTACACATTTGCTTGTTTCTTTCTTCTTCTTTTTTTTTTTTTCCCTGTCATACCCTCTACAAGGTAAGCTCCATTAAGGCATGAGCCTCATCTGCCCATGTTTGTCATCGTACTAATCAATACCTGAGAAGAGGGCTGGTGCATAGTAGGTTTTGATATAAATTAGTTGAACGAATGCATGGCTGAGTGGATGAATGACAGCTCAATCAAGACATGATGTTCTTAATCTAAGAAGTATAAGCACAGCCCTGGTTCATGATCTTGTATTTTGTTTCCCATAACTACACTTAAAAGTCTTCTTTCAGTTTGAGTCCTTTCCCCAGCGTTTTGCCAATGGAATAATGGAGCCACCAATCTTTGGACTAGAACAGACATCATGATTCTATACTGCTGAGCCTCTTGCCTGCCCTGGCTCTCCATGGATGTCTAAAGAAGTAAAGAGCAACCAACCTCCCTCCTCGCTAATCCATTCTCCCTGGGGCTTGACTCCAGTCCTTCTTCCTGTTGTAATCCCTGTTTATGAAGGGGATTCATTCACTCATTTGTACAACAAACATTATTGAGTGCCTACTGATGGCATAGGCATTGTGCTCAGCATTTGGGATAAAGTTCTGACGAAAATCAGCATGACTTAGGGACTCATGTAGATGACAGCCAAATGGGGCAACAGGGCAAAGAAGAATGACACAAATAATCCCACAGCTGTAATTTCAGTTGTGTTATGTGATAGGATCATATAAATTGTGAGGAAGGGTCGACCATAAGTAACTCAGGAGGAGGCGTCGGGAAAGATCCCCTGAGGAAAAGGAAGGCTGAGCAGGTGGGAATCAGACAAACAGAGCCTAGCAAGAAAGAAGAGCATTTAAGGCAGAGGGAACTCCTGCCCGAAAGCTCTGCAGCAGAAAGGTGTTTGCCCACTTCCAGGATTTTCTTAAGAAGGAGGAATCTTTTTTCCTAATAGACCAAGAGGCTTTCAAGGAGTCAAATTAACAACTGAGAAAAGTTCTAGCCCAGAAAATACAACCACAATAAGTTCTTTTTTTGACAAGAATCTTTAGATCTCAGCTTCCCAATAGCTGGCTTTTTCCTTTAAAATACAACCTGAAATGTCTCTGATGGTGGTGTCTGAAGCTGGCTGCTAAGGCCTACGGCCCTGCTGTGACACTTATCTGAAGATGCAGATGGTGTGAGTCTCAAAATGGTCATTTCTTTCTCCTCAGCAATCTCCAAGCATTTTTCCCCCCCAACTTCCAAAGTGATCAAGTGGGTGAGCACATAACCCTTCTGAAATGGAGGCCAGACCCATAGATCCCCATTGGGAGTCCAGATTCCCACACCCTGATTCGCTGATGAGCTTATGATTTGGGCTTCCACTGAGCTTAGACTAGAACCATTTGTACATGGAGAGGCTCACCTATGCTGGATTACTTCCAAATGAACAAGAGGTGTTTTTTCATAATTTCAAGCATACTTCTATCTTAATAACCAGCTGTCTATTGGATACCATTACTTTGATGTCCTCTGAGAACCTCGCACCCAGTGCCTATAGTTCCTATATAGTTCCTGTCTTCCAATCCACTGTCTTGCTGTCTTCTTGCATTTGATTTAGAACCATCATGATTCGAGAAGTGCTAGAGTCATCTTCCTAATGCCTTCCTCTTTCGCCTTCCACATCCACTTGGTTACCTAATCTTGTTGACTGCATCTCAAAAATGCTTTTCTAATCCAATATATCTCCTCACTCCTATTGTCTTCTCTTTAGTCTAGGCCCTCACTTGTGATCAACCTGATCAGTCTGTCCCCAGTCCATCCATCAGTTATACTGCCACCAAAATTATCTTCTTAAAAAATGCAGAAAAAAAAACCCTTATTGACTCCTCATTGATTAGTGAATCTGATTCTCCAAGTGTGTAGCAGCTGCAGTATCCCTGGGAACTTGCTAGAAATGCAAATTCTCTGCCCCCACCCCAGACGTGATGAATCAGAAACTCAGGTGATGGGCCCCCCACCCCCCGCAATCGGTTTCAACAAGCCCTCCATGTGACTCTCGTGCAAGCTCAATTTAGGAGATCCCAAACAATCAAATCCAACTTCATAGCTGTTCCCCTCAGCCTTGAATTACTTAGTCTCAACTTCCCCTTTTCCACAGTCCTAAAGTCTTCATTACCCCAAACCTTCCACTTTTCTTTGCATACATTAGGCCCTTTCCCCATTCTGCACTTTTCCCCCAGGCTGTTCCTGTCTAGAATATTCTCGCCATCTTTCCCTACCAAATTCCTACTCATCCATTAATAGCCAGCTAAGAGGTCACCTCCTCATGGAGGCTTTCCTTGACTGCCTCAGGCGAGCATTTAGTTAGTTGAGCTTTGGTTGACAACCTAGTTACAGCTATTTTGTCTGTAGATGTGGCTTTAACATTGGAAGGGGCTTTCTATTATATGGTAAGAGCTGTTTCAAATTAGAGCAAGCTGCCTGGTGAGGGAGAAGTGGTTATCAAGAGGCCGTGGGAATTGTCTAAGCGGCTATCCCTTAAGGTCCCGTCTTTTCTACTCATTGCTCCTCCAGGAGGGATGGCTTCTCATGTGCAGAGCCCATAGAGTTGAGAAGAAAGCCTGGAGCCTAGTAGGGACTTGACAATTTTTTTAAAAAAAGTATGAATGAATAAAAATAGATCTCTGCCTTGTAAGGAAGGATAGGTTACTGGATCTCAAAGATTTTGTCCAAATTTGAAATTTCTGCCTTCTATCTATTTGCAAAAGCCCCAAAGGGATATTCCAGATGTGCTGATCCTTATATTTTAGGCAGAAGCAAAACCACCTTCCCCCTAGCACAGTGATTCTTCAGTCGTTAGGTGGCGAATGAAGGGTTTGGGATAAGAGATCCACTCCTCCTCCCTAACCTCCTGAAAATGTCTGCTGCCGTAAGCCAGTTACCCATGAGTCTGGCATCTCCCTCAGGTAGAACAATTGTCGGTATCACTGCGGCATTGAACCTATGATCTCTTCCTGTGTGCCAAGTGCATGTCACCCTCCTCGCTCCCTCCAGCCCATTGCAGTTCAGCTGTCAGGGCCCTCTGAAGCACTTAAGTGTCCTCTCCACTGCTGTCTTACTCACATAGTTAAGAGCATGTGCTTCCAAGCCACGTAGACCTCTTGGTTTCCTATCTGTGCATTTCCTTTTACCAGCTGTACAACTTTAGGCCAAAGTCCTCAGTCAAAAGTCCTCAACTGCACAAAACGGTTAAATCTACCAGGGTTGTCACTGCGTACCCATGGAGATGTGTACACAGTGCCTAACTTGGAGGAAGCAGCCACCAATAAGAAAGTTTATTATTATTTATTCCTTGGTCTGATCTCATCTCCACCCCTAATCCCAGCACCAGCTTTGAATGCTTTTCCACCAAGTCAGAGAGCCCACAAACCCGGCTCCTTCTGTTTAGGCTGCTTGGAGTCTGCTGGATGCCTTTTCTGTCTATAAATCCTCCACCCCATCAGCCTGTTTTCAAGCCCCAAGAATGTTCACTTTCCATATGCTCCCCAGCTGGCCACCAGTGCAATCTCCTAGAGGTTAACCTTGTGTTCAGGAGCATTCTTTTGCAGGCATTACCTTTCCTTAAAAAAATGCAATGCCTCTCCGGTTAGGATATCAAAGCAGCCATGCACACACACACACGCATGCATGCCCACCCATTCATATGTCTCACGTGAAAATCTTCAAACTCATTAGGCTGTGTTTCACAATTTCCCAATAAACGTTCACGTTTTCTTGCCACAGAGACTTCTATAATTCACCTGGCAACGGCATTACTGAACTCTGCAACAATTCAACCCAGCCCAACTCATTGGTGGTAGGCAGTTCCTAGGAGAAAAGGCTTCTGACATCCTTGGAGTTTTCCCCTTCTCCACACTTCCTTGCTTCTCCCATCCCTGGCCCCTACAACAGGCATATTTGTGCTTGTTTCATTGGCCTGCCATACCCTGCAACCAAACATAGGTTGAGGATTGTAGGAAACAAACCCATAGTCCCTCGGAGTGCTTCTAACCTGCTCTGTGGCTCTGCCCATTCAAGCTGGGCCAATCTCCATCTGAACCAAACAGAAACCCAGGGGGCTATGTCAGCACAGAGACGTCTGCATCTCAGCTTGCTGTGAAACAAGTGTGCTTTTTGAGAAGCCCACTCGCCCACTGTAACGTGGGCAGAGCATATGTGAGGAGTTTGGGTCTCCTTAGATTTGGGGGTGGGGTCTTTGAGAAAGAAGGTTAGGCTGGAGAAGTTTCCAGCTGAATCCATCTTCAGTGACTGCGGCTGTTCCTGGTTGTGGTCTTCAGTGACTGCGGCTGTTCCTAGTTGTGGAACAGAGCATGTGCGAGGCCCTGGGGCCAGGGCTGTGGAGGGTGGCATGTTTGTTGTGGACAGTTGGCCGCTCCCCAGGCTTCAGAGCACCCTCACTGAGGCAGAGCCTATGGTGCAGCTGAGCAGGGCAGGAGTTCAGCGAGGCAAAGCCAGGCTTCACCGAGGACCTGGCATTGGCTTTGCCAGGTCCTTCAGAGTTTGAAGCCTGGGCAGGGGGTGCGTCTTCCTGGTGAAGCCAGACAAATCTCCAGGTAACAATAAACTGATTACACAGCCTTCATTCCTGAACACATGTTCAAAAGCGATAAAATAAATGCAGATGGCTTCTCCAAGCCTCAGTGGAGGATTTTTACATTGACTAAATGAACTATAAAGCACATATAGACACACATGTGCTCACACACAACACAGGAAAGGGAACAGCAACAGAAAAGTCCTCAGAAATACCAAACCCTAAAACACCAACACCAGCCTAGAGGAAGCATTGTTGAACACGAGAGAGAGACAGAGACTGAGAGGCAGAAACACAAGAGAAAAGCCGTGCTATAATTTGCAAGGAGGAAACAAAACATGCATGCACACTCACACACTCACACATGTACACATCAGAGAAGCATGTCGGCAGAACTTCTAGCAAAAAGTTACATTTCACTACCTGGAAGGGTTAGAAATACCTTCCCTGGTTTGTCAACTGAGGATTAAAGGCCTTGTCAGTAAGACTGGGTCAGTAGTTTGGTTGAAGAGACCTGCAGAAAGGAAATGGGCAAATCCCACCCTAAGGTCCACCTCCCGTAAAGTCCATGATTAATACATGTTAATTATGACTAATCCTCCACTACGGAGCTTGGAAAGTCCCACCAAAATTACAGAATGAGGGATCCTGCAAACCTTGCAAACATCATCATTAACGCTGAAGGAGGCTTCTTATGTGCCAGGAAATGGATGATTTTATTAGATTGCCAAACAGTCTTATGAAGTAGCCACTATCCCCACTTTACAGACAAGTAGACAAAGGCTCAGAGAGACTAGATAATAAGCTCAAGGTTGCAGTCTGTAAGAGGGGAGAATTTTAGAGTCTCACATGTGGCAGAAAGGAGTCCCATCAACAGGCAACAGAGCTTCTCACCCTAGCATTCATTAAGGAAGTGAAGATTATTCATCTGGACTCTGCCCCTCTCTGCAATAGAATCTCATGATGTTGAAAGCCCCAGTTAGGACAAGGGAGTTATTTAAGGCCATGCAGCTATTGGCAATAAAGTTGGCCCACACCCCATTTTCTCCTGTGCACTCAAGTTCTTCACACTGCAATATACCTCTGCTTAATGAAGCCCCTGCAAGAAACTAAGCACTAAGGGAAGATAAGGAGAGAGTGGAGTTTTTCCAGGAGCCAGATACTAGCCCTCCAAGCCTCTCCTATCTCAGAGATGGGTTTAATCTTCAACTAACCCCAATGGCAAATGTGTACATTAGATAGAAACAGGCCTCCTATCCACCTCGAGAAGGCTCTGCCCTGGGTCCAGAGCTAACACGTTGACTCTGGCAGCATCTGAATAAAGTTACTGACATGGAACCGGGTATTGCCACATTGCCCTGGCCTTCCGAATGAGTGAGGCTGAGCCGTCAGATGGCCTGCAGCCCAGAGTTCCTTTTGGGAATATTTCTGTCTCATCCCCAAGTCTCTTCTCCTCAGAGCTGCACCTGCCCAGAAGCATGCTACTCCAGACTTGCTCTGGACAAGCCAGCAAACTCCTTGCATTCCAGGCAGAGCTCAGGACTCAGCTCTACTCCTTAGGGTCAGTGCCCCGCAAGGCTGGGTTCTGGGGTCCTGTCACTGAAGACCATCTCCCTAATAAACCAGACCACCCTCTACCATTCAGAAGTTCCAGAAGAGGACCTTAAAGGCACCTCAACTGTAGGCCTGAAGATAGAAAGAAAGGCCATATGATAGGCAGGTGAGGGAGCATTTGCGGCAACTCAACAGATTTCTCCAACTTTCTAGAATCCACTGTTAACCAGGGCCATAAAACTGCTTCTTTACATTCTTGTGTTGCTCCTGCAGTGCTGGCTAAACAATTGAGACTCAAGCTTTATAGACATGCGTCAGCTGCAGTATCCCTCAGCCTGCTGTTTTAGGGGTGGAGGGCTTACTAGAAGCCCAGGGAAATGGTCACTTTGAAATGACGAGCTCCTGATAACTGGGCTTGGGCTAGTCCTAAGACTCTCCTTGTCCTATCAGCTGGTTTATTGTGTTCTTGATGAAGGCTCAGTGAAACAATAGGACAAAAGGTTCCCATGCAGAGGGCTGTGCTTTTCATATAACTAGGACTATAATACCCACTCTGAAATGTGATGCTGCTATGTGGGAGAGGGAGAGACTAGTGCCGAGGGTTCAAGACTGTGCCATCATTGCCACGTAGATTACAATCTTCACTCCGCCACTTACTTACTAAAGACCATGGGCTAGTTGAACCCACCAGCCTCAGTTTCCTCGCCTGTAAACTGGAGATGATACTGGCTCCCTCAAAGGATTTGTGACAATTAATGGTGGCAGGGTTTGAATATGCCTGGCCCATGATGGGCACATGGTCAATTCCTTATTTCCTTCCCCCATATTTTAGGCATCCAAGATCAAGTGCAGTGTCATGATGTTCCTAACTAAGGCTACTGCTATTTGCTGAGTCTATTTCAAAAGTTCACATCCCATAAAGGACACATTCCATACAGGTGTGTGCTAAGGAGATGTCAGTGTGTAGGACAGCTGGGCCCTAATGAATGCAGGGCAATCCAGGTTGGGCAGAGGGCGGGGCTTCAGGGCAGTGCTGGATTAGTGGACACCTTGTACCTCCGCCAAGATGGGAGATGAGCATCCTTATGTTCCAACCCCAAGAGGATGAGCTGCTTCTCAATGGGAAATGGGCATCAACAAACTCCTTGATGGACATCCCTGGTGTCCCCTCAGTCCTGCCTGGGCATGACAGGTGAGGCCATCACCACAATGACCCCTTGGCTGTCATGGACTCCTGTTGGGACTCAGAAGGCACCAAGAAGTTCCCTTCCATTTAGGCATTTTACATCTCGGGGGGATGGAAGGGAATGGGTGAGGTACTAACATTCTTGAATGCCTGCGCTATGCTAGAAAGTTTCAGGGGTTATAACCTTCCTCGGACGTAGGCAAGGACCGCTGTCTGACTCTGACCCTAGGAAGCACAGGCTCGGAGAGTCTCTAAAACCTGGACAAGCTCACAGGGGAGGAGCTGGAACTTGAACCCAGGTCCGACTCCAAAGCCCTAGCACTTTCCAACTCTGCTCACAGCTCTAGAAGGGGCTGGCAGATGAGGAGGGGTGGTCACAGGCTGAGAGTCGGCCATAAATAAATTTATCCTCTATGTATAGATGATTCATGATCCATTTCAGTTTGCTTCTGGGTAGTCATGCAATTATTTTGTTACAAATAGTTTTAAAAAATTCCTATGTGCCTAAAAAGATGAAACCACTTGCAAAAAGCAAAACAAAAACCAAAGCCAAAACAAAAAAATTCAACCCTTAAACAACCCCAAACCCCAAAACAACAAATGTGCTGCAAAGAAACTTCCAAAACTAAAATTGCCAGGGTCGTTGTTATTGTTCCAGGACCATAACACTGGAGCAAATCATAATTCTAATTTGCCAAACTAACAGCAGAGAATTTGATATAGAACTTGCTGGCCAGAGCTACAGGGTATCATTTTAAGTAAGTGCAGGCCATAACAGTTCTTTTAATTCATTAACCCAACATTAAATGTACCAGAAGAGGGATATAACTGTGTTTATACACAACTCTGACATCATCTGATTTTAACAAGTTTACTAAAACAACAGTCATGGCCTTGACAATACTGAATGCAAAATACTGGTGTACACAGATTTTACAGAGTGACTCCTGAGAGCCGGATCACAAAACAAGTTTTAACAGATGGGAGAGGCCTGAGGGAAGGCAAGCACACTGATTTTATTGAGAAAAAAGCTTATATACTGTAGGGTTGCTGAAGTTTAATAAATAAAGGTCAACTTATAATATATAAAAACAATATAAACATTTATATGCTACATGCATATCATATAATTTAAAGTAATAATTTATATATGGGGAGAGATGCCAATTCATGTTCTTCCGATTTTTCTCGACAAGGCACACACACAGGACGTGTCTATCCGTATCCACCGCCAGCCCACGAGTTTATTGTTCTCTGAAGTCAGTGCTCGGACGTAGGTTTGGGATGTTTTGCACTGAGAGTTCCAGTGTTTATCATCAATACCCCTGCAACCGTTTTTGACCGGCCTGGCTTCCTTACATCGCGTTTCATAAAAATATTGTTTGACGGGAGAGTTGCCCGTTTTGATCTCCCCCAGCACCGTGACCTGGTGTCCCCGAATGTCGATGGCCGATGACTTGTCGGTCACCCACAGACTCTCACTGTCACATACCGAGTACTCCCCTCGGTGACTCTTATGCTCCGCGTACCGTTTCCGCCGTGATGTTCTGTTCGCCACCACGGGGCTGCCCACGTAATCCTCCATGAGATACAAGGGCGGGGGCTCCAAGGGGGTGCTGTCGCTCAGCAGGACCCGCGGTGAGTTGTAGCGTCTCTGTTGTCGCAGCAGTTCGGTGTCCATTGCAATCACCGGCTGGAATGCTGACTTGGCGGGCCCTCCCCGCTCCGGCTCTCGGGGAGCCTCAGCTTTGGGCAGGGTGCTCTGGTAATTTTCCTTAACGTCCACCATCTGCTTGGAGAGCTTGTTTTTCAAAATATCTGCCTGGATCAGCTTAATAATGAGGGAATTGAGCGAGTCTTCTGGCAAACTCCTTTGATCCATGTTGTTACCTTGGATGCCACGGAGATAAGCGAGAAATATCACATAAAACAAGATGGACATCACCTTGTTCACCTGTAAGATCTGAAAAGGAAACACAGGTGTTAAGAGCAGGCTCTGGCAGCTGAGTCTGTGTTATTCTGGCACCAGCTACCTGAGGCTGAGTAGCCCTGTGAGGGCACGAGAGAGGGTACCGCCCCCCAGGTAAGCAAGGCAACTCCCCTCTGGACATTCTGAAGAGGTGATTTCTTTCCCCCACCCCCGGGAGATACTGCGAATGCACTCCAGGTCTGCCGACTCTGCTTTTTGCACGGGTTGTATTTACATTGGATGTCTGCTTTATCCTGCGGTCTCTGCTTGTGGGTGGACGATGTCCTACCGCTTCTTTAAACATCCCTTGAGCCTGCAAAGACGCATGGTTCACTCTACCTTGGCAAAGCATGAAAACTTCAAACCTGAGAATTGTAAACATGGAGTAACTTCCCTTCAGCAGCAGCAGCGGTGGCCTTGTAATTGTCTCAAGAAAGAGTTCGACTGCTCCCCAGCTGCAGCCCCTGGAACACACTGAGGCTGAGGACTGGTTCAGTTGCCCCCATATTGCAGTGTCAGATGTGGGGTCATCCCTGGCCAGGCCGCAGCTGGAACGGTCTATTCTCCTGCCCTTGGAAATGAACATGTAGGGCCACTACCCACTCCGCGAGAGGGCCTACGTTCCAGGGTGCTCTGCCGAGCTTTCTGATACATACGCATCACCAACTGATCTGCTCCATCCCCGGGGACGCTCTCCACAAAACGCAGCTCTGCCACAGCACTACTTGCAGAAGACAGAGATGCAGAATAACCACCTTACATAAATGGGCTGGACTTGCCCAGAATAGAAGAGTCATTGTTGATTCACTTGCCTCCTTTAGATTTTTAACATTTCTGCTACAAAATGTTCCTTTTAGTGCTTATGCTTCTTCTAATTCTACTATTTCCTTGTTGAAATGGCATTTCAACCCATCCACGCTCTCATTCTGTTGCCATAGTAGAAGCTTAACACCGGACTCCGGTGGCGTCCTGGTGGAATTACAGTGCTGATCTCAAGACACCTTCATTGCTAGTCTCTCCCTCACTAGAGCAAAGCCCAGATGTTCTGAGGGTAGCACTGGAAGGAGATGCTCCAGGTGGAGAGGGGCAGCTGAGCTAGTGATCCCCGAATTCGTCCACCTCCTTGAGATATTCACTCCTTAATCACCATCGCTGCCACCTCACTGGCTCCCAGGGGGGTACATCATTTCCTCTTTAAAGTTCTGTCCAAACATGGAAAATAAAAACTCTTCCCCTGGTTCACCTTTGGTATTTTCGGAAAGACTTTACTAAGTCCAGGGGGAAAATAGAGAGGAAATAAACAAAGCCGACACAAGAAACAGAAAAGCAGTCCTGCTAACCAGCACCTATGTCTGAGCCTGCCAGTGCTCACTCGCTCCCAGGACTCACAGACAGCCTCTTTCCCAGCTTGTCTGAAATACTGCCGGCTCACTTGTCCCTAGAGGTCAACAACAGTGAGGCACTCTGCTCATACTGCCTCCTCTTGCTGCTGTGATAAGGAGACCATCTTCTTTCCATGGGAACTAGTCTTTGGGAAAACTGACTCCTTCAAGGTCAAAGCCAAGAGAGGGATTCTAGCTTTGCTGCTCACCCTTAGAGATGACTCTAAGGAATTGTACTATCCTAGGAAAATGGTTCCTCTACAGCATAAGGAATCTCCCTCCTATTCTGCATACAAGTGACATTTTCTTCAATATTACAGGCCCAACAAAATGCAACTTGAACAATACAAAAAATATGGCATACAACTAGGATTACATTCTCTACTCCCCTCAAAAAGAATAATACAGCTGCAATAAAATCATTTAGGACTGAGAGTCTATTGAAAAACAATTTGTTAAACCTCCCAAAAGCTCAGCCACTGTAAGCTAAGAATACACAGGATATCCGCTCTTAAGGAAATAAATCAAGTATGGTTAGTGAGGGGAGGTCCCAGGTAGAATAAGAGTCAAGGTACAGATTAGTGAGGTAATGACCAGGATGAACTGAGAGGGAGAATGCTGGCTGATGCTGATGGATTGAGGAGGAAAAAGTAAGAGTCTTTATGGGTGGTGGCTGGAATATGGAACCAAAGTTTATTAGAAGTAGATAAGCCATATAAAGAGGCCATCTAATCTTATTCCTTCATCTTATAGATGAGGACAACCTAAATGCAGTTTAAAGAAGAGGAGAAAGGCCGGGTACGGTGGCTTATGCCTGTAATCCCAGCACTTTGGGAGGCCGAGGTGGGTGGATCACGAGGTCAGGAGATCGAGACCATCCTGGCTAACAAGGTGAAACCCCGTCTAAAAAAAAATACAAAAATTAGCAGGGCACGGTGGCAGCCTGTAGTCCCAGCTACTCGGGAGGCTGAGGCAGGAGAATGGTGTGAACCCGGGAGGCGGAGCTTACAGTGAGCCAACATCACGCCACTGCACTCCAGCCTGGGCGACAGAGCAAGACTCCAATTCAAAAAAAAAAAAAAAAAAAAAGAAGAGGAGAGACCCACAGGAAAGTGAGAGGGGTTCTCTGCACTCTGGCCCTCACCTCCCTTTTCCATGTGATGACTGGGCTCACAGGCCTCTTGCTCCAACCCCATTCACTACTCACTGCTGCTCAAATCACAACCCATGTGCACTGCCTCTCCTGTTGAAATTTCACCCGTTTTTCAGTGCCTGGTTCCAAAGCTGACCTTTCTACAATGCTCCCCCAAGATCCCAACGATAGCACCTGCCACTTCCTTGCAACCTCAGCCTGCTCTCCCAGTGGCTGACCATTTCTTTCTTACTTGCCATGATACTTTGTAATAAGTAGTGGGAGTAAGTCATCTGCAGGCTGGTGAGTGTTTCTAAACTCTTTAGAAGGCTGTCTTAAAGCCCTGCAGGCTTCCTGTGGACTCCATTTTAATAATCGACTTCTAGCTTTTCTCGTAGAGAGCAAGTCCAAGAATGTTGCTAACAGAACTCCCCAAAACACAGAGGTTTGCAGCTGGAAAGGACCCTAGACAACCTCCTCATTTATACATATAAGGGAACGGAGGCCTGCAGTTGTGGTGAAGTGAGCTGTCTAAGGTCAGACTGCTAAACAATGGCAGAGAGTGACGGGGGCATTTGGTTCGTAGGCGCAACAAAAATCACATGGCTTGTGCACCATGAAAGTTATCGTGAGGGGTAAACAATGAAATCCACATGGAAGCACCTAGCATAGCATCAGGTACAGAGTGAGCACACTAGAAATGTTAGAGAACATGAAGCTGAATGGCCTGTGGCCACGGGAGATGGTGCACACCTGCCCTTGACGCACACGGGCGAGGGACCCAGAGTCTGGAGAGCTCCCTCCTCTACATCTGGCTCACAGCAATCTTTACCAACACGGTCCCCACAAGGCTTTCCCCCAGATGCCATGGTGCCCGACTGCTTGGATCTCAGACCAGTTACACTGGTTGTGGGAGAAGATAGGAATATTATGAACTCGAAGCCCAGAGAACAGACAAATGACGAAAGCAAACACGGGCAAGGGAGAGGTGGTGTTTCTGAATTTGCTGGGGGCAAGAATAGATGCATTCTGATCTCTGGTCACTTTTTGGCCACCAATACCTTCATTTCTCACTCCATGTCCGGGGTGGGAGTCCCCCAGTGGGCCAGTTCCCTGGAGTGGGGAATGGAAACAGGAAGGCAGTGCCAGCTCCATCCAGGCAAGGCACAGCAGCGAGTTCTGCTATTTAGGGGAATGTCTACGCTCTTTCTCTAGGGGTCCCTGTCATCTGCAGAGAGCTTCATTTAAGCAATTGTCATATTGTGCTATTATTGTTGGTGTGCCTTCTCTTTGACGACAGGGACCATGTCCTTTCCATCCACACATCCTTGACTCCCAGCATAGGGCTGGACACGCTGCGGACTTTCGACGTCTATTTACTGAATGAGCGCCTGCTACGATCGAGACCTACCCCAGGCACTGCTTACTGGCTGGAGAGCCTGCATGGGCTTTTGCCAAGCCTGGTTTTGGAAGCCAATCAACTCTGCCTTCTTTTCCCAAAGAAAATACAGGCCCTGGCTCTGAAGTCGGCCATGGTCCCCAGGCTCTTCTTGGCTATAATTAGAAAAAGACCTGTTAAAGACCTTAGTGAACCCCCTTTCTACACTCTCCCCAGTGCCCATTTCCCCTGCTCAGAGTTTTCCAAGATCCTGACCGACGTGCATGTGCGATTTTCCTCACTTAGAAACGCTTTCCCACATATGGTGTTTTCTCAGTCCCTGGAGCAACATTCCTACAAGGTTTCACCATCCCTCAAAATACTCAAAAGAGAGCAATTTCTGATTCCTCCTTTTTGGCTCAGTTTACAGCATCCACAGAGGGTTTGGGGGTATTCAAGAAGCAGCTGACATGGAAAAGGAAGCTGAGGTAGACAGTGGCACAGAATCTGAGCCCCCAGCAACCTGCGTCTGCCCTGTCACGTGCAGAGACTGGGCTGCAGCCTTCAGGTTCCAATTCACCTCTCCAGGACCAGCTTCCCTACACAGGAGCACCTCCTGACCGTGTACCTAAAGACGCCTCTTGCTGCACATGTGTGAAGTAAATTTTTAGACTGCTTAGGGGTGAGATCACCAAGAATAAAAATGCAAAGTGCCAGGTACTGGCTTACATAAATCTTAAATCCTAGTAACAACCATCCTGAAGTACGTACTATTATATTTCCCATTTTGAATGGGGAAACCAAGGCAAAGAGGGGTTCCACAACCAGCTAACAAGCAACAGAGTCAGGATTTGCACCTTCTGGCTCTAGAGCTCATGTTATTAATGATGACACTCGGCTGCCTCTCCGTCTGTCCTTGCTCTCAAACATTCTAGAGAGTTTACTTCCAGGGGAAGCCCAAGCTCCAAGCCTGGAGCCAGGACGGCTGCTGTCAGCAGGCTGTGTCCTTCCCCAAGAAGCCTCAGCTCTAAGCAGAGTTTGCAGAGATTTGAGGCCATCAATCCTGTGTCCTCCTCCCTGTATTCCCTATGAAAGCATCCCCCACAAAAGTAAACACAATCCAATTCCCTCACCCTAGTCCCTCCTGGGCCTGATGCTCTCCAGTGCAGCCCATCTGCAGGTCACCTGTGCCTGCAGAGGCCCTGTGTTGTAGTGGACAGAACACGGAGTGCACCATCTCACATCCTGGGTTTGAGACCAGCGCTGGAAATCTGGGTGACTTACAAAGAAAGCAGAAAGGCTCTGTTTTAGCTTTCCTCAGAGAGGAGTCATGAGAGCAGAGGTGAAAGCAAATTTTAATTTGCCAAATTTTTAATATGCAAATTCAAGAGATTTCATTATTTCTGGTGTAGCCATATTCTCTGGAGGCAAATGCATTCTCTGGCTGGGGTCAAAGAGGACGCTGGCCAGCTGTGTCCAGAAGGGCCTGATTCTTTGGAGAATTTCTTCGGCTATGACATGATCTCTGACTAATGCTACAGGCTCAGGAGACATCCTGCCAGATAACCCTAATGTCTTGTTCAGGGACTGGAAAGGGAGAGAGGTGGGAAAGTGATAGATTTAAAGTAGAATTACAAAAGGGAAAGGAATGTGGTGGAAATATTAAACTAAGGCCATATATAAAAGACTGGCTATGCTTGTTCCCCAAATCTTAATTGAAAAATTAATTCACACTGGCTTTGCTCTGAACATAGGTCTTGAGGCCTCAGAATTAGTCAATGGGGCCACATGATGATGTTCTGACCCATGACAAAGCTGAGAGCTGGGAGAGAGAGATCCTGGTGGAGCCTCCGCTGGGGATTGGTCTGGTTTTGGTTAATCTCTTTATTAATGATCCGGAAGCAGGAGGGAGGAAAAAGTGGCAGATTAATTAAAATGCACAGATGACGCTCAAAGGGAAGGTGCTGCAGACACCAGTGAGGACAGACCAATTAGGCTGAAGCACCCGTGGGGGTTGGCAACCTGGAAATAGCATGATTAGATTCAAACTAAAACATGTAGGTTAACTCACTGGGGTTACAATGGATCCAAAACCAACAAGGGAGGGAAATGCTTGGAAAGGGATGAAGGGAGGGGGTGACTTGGCATTGCTACAAGGAGTAAATGAGAAATGAGCTCACATGAATAAAGCTGTGTGGGTTTCCACGGCACCTTCTTCCCTGCTAGCTCTGTGTCCTCCACCTCATTCACTTTAGCACACCTCTCGGGTAGTGGCAACCATGAAACTCCCTGTCTTATGGAGCACAAAAAAGACATAAATTGAGGGACAGAGCCAAGATCAGAAAGCAGGCCAGAGATGGTCCCCAAAACCTGCTGACGCACATGCTCTAAAGTCACGGAAAACTAGAAGCAGTCAGTGAGCTAGAGGAGAAACAGCTAGTCTCTCTGTTGGTATTTGGTGAGGCCTCATTAGACAATCCCTGAACTCAGGACAGGTCTGTATCTATGTAGTGTCAAACCAGGTGAGAGAAGGGGCAGGGAAGTGGATTCCTATCCTGTTCTTTAAGATATCTAATTCTACTGTTGTTCCTCTCCTTAAAACTTAGCACTTAAAACTCAGGGCTCTGAAACTGACTAACATACATGGTCAATCCTCGGCCCAAGATCTGAAACAGGACAAGACACTCAATTTTCAGAAGATGCTGGCTTCTTAGCAGAAATGAGGCAAGACACGGTCAACAGTGAAGGCATACTCTAGGATAAAATAAAATAAAACAGAGAACCTCAGAAGACTGACTTGCCTCCCTAAGAAAGGAAGTACTGAAACTGGTCCTTCTGAAGGCCAGAAAGTGAGGAACAGGGACCCCTGAACAGACAAGAAACCTATACCCCAAAAGAAAGCTAAGTGGACCGAGATGGAGATAGAAAGCTGTGAGTTTCCTTTGCACAGCTGTTAGGAGAGGAATTTCACATTGTTCAAAGCATACCCTCCTCTGGCCCCGAGGCCGTAAAAGATGGAAGGCATGGCACACGTCAAAACAGTGTGCGCCAGCCGCTCCAGGGAGGAAGGTAGGACAGTTATTCCCCAGGCCAAGGAAGCCTCTGGCTTAGCCCCATCTTGGCAAAGAGAGATCTTAAAGGAGCTTGGTATGCCGACACAAGCCCCAGGAAACTCAGGTTTACTTTATCCTTTGCATATCACAAACTCCCATGTCATGGAAGGAGGGTGGACTAGGAAGGATCTGCAGAGAAAATCTGAGTCAATCCAGCTACTAGCCATCATGGTGTTATCCTGCATTTAGTGGTATTTGTTTTGGTAACTCACACTCATCCACCACTGTGCATACATGTGTGCATGCATGGGTTTGTGTGCCTACACACACACACACACACACACACACACACACACACACACCACGTAACTACCTGAGGTGAGGATGGGCTCTAGTCGAACTATTTTCAAATTTTTGAATTTTGAAAAATTTGAAACTATTTTCAAATTATTGAATCATTTAACGTTCAGAAACATTTCAATTTTGGTATCATTTTCTGTGTCTGGATTACTCCAATCTCTAAGTGTGAAAACACACAAGGGGAAGTTGCTTCAGCGACATAGGCAGCTGAAGGTACAGCTGGAATTAAAGAATAACTTTGACCTCAGATAATAGCTGCCCAAGTCAATGTTTTTGTTTTAAATTTATGCTTATGTTCGAGCTGAGTTTATGGTCTAGTGTATACGTTGTCTGCAAAATGCTATACAACTGTAAGTGATACCATTACAAGGTAGGGGCTGCTGAGTAATTGATTTTCAATAATTATAATTAATAATAATGATGATAATGATGAAAGTATTTATCTTATCCACCCAGACAAGCATGAGTCTCAAAATGGCAGAATAAAGAAGTTGGCTTCCTCTAGAGGGTTGAAGGCTAAGGGAAATCCCAAAGCATGCCTTCCCTTCAATTCTTACTTTGGTTGCCTCTTCCAAACCAAGACCACAGCTGGCTTGGCAATGGCCAAACCTTTTTTGTGTGCATCAACCATAGCAGCAAGTCGGGGATAAACTCAAACCATACTGATTTGGCCCCCAGAGGACTTGGCTGCAGAAAGTGTGGTCAGATGGCAGGCTGACTCCTTTAGACTTGGCCAGCAGGCTTGTGTCAAATATGGCCCCTCCTGTCTCCCTGCTGCCACACAGACAACCGCCTTTCACAAGGATGAGGTATATTGACTGGCGGTCTGCGGCTATATTGATTGGCGGTCTGGTCTGGATCCCTTCTCCAGAAAACCATGGTGTCTGAAGACTGACAGCTGGGACTGTCTTTTGCTCCTCCAGGTGTCTCTCCCCTCTGTTCCCTGTGGCCGCCATCATGCTCTTGAGTACTTTTACAGACTAGGGAACTGAGGCAGAAGAAACATGTGTCTGGTGCTTTTCTGAGTCTCTTCTCACCCACTCATGTAGTGATGCGGGGATGTGCACACAGGAAGAAAACCAATCTTCCATCAAAACTGGAGTGTGTGGTAGGCACTTAATAAACACTGTGACTCCAGCCCCAAACACTCTAGTGACTCTGGGCAGCTGGGCAAGACTGAAAAACCAACCCAGAGCTTGTCCTCTGAAAGCAATTTTGGCACAAACACTCTGAACCTCAGGCTGTCTTTAATCACAGACACAAGTCATAATAATCGCTTGTAATAACAGCTCACATTTATTGAGCCTCCCCATATGCTAGACTGTGCGGAACACTTCACATGGATGATCTCAATTAATCTTTGTGGATACGATTATTATCCCCACTTTTCAGCCAAGGAAACTGAGGCTCAGAAGGATTAAGTACTTTTTCTTAAGAAGACACATCAATTGAGAGACAGAGCCAGGGAACAAACCCCTGTCTCTGTGATCCCACAGGCCTAACTCTTAGCTAATACTGCGGAATATCTCTCAATTTCACTCCAAAGTCTAAGGCACCTGCCACTTCATTGCAGTAAACTAGGTAGCAAGCAGCATGCTGGTATATTAATGTTTCTTTCTTTGTAGAGTAAGAGACATTCAAGACAGATCCTCTGAAACATAAAGGGGAAATTTCCAGTCTAAGGCTTGCGTCACCAATTCACAGTAGCTGAAGAACACATCTAGGTGATATGGGGCTAGTGGGATCAATTGTTTATGGTTTAGTTTCTCCAAATGTAAAATATTCCTTTCCTCATTTCTCATTTGATGGTAAAAAACAACCAAGAACCCAAAGACTCATTTTTAAAAATGGCTGGAGCGTTGAAGGTGGGACAGATTTCTGATTCTTTTGTTTTCACAGATTGCAGCACATTTGCAGCTGATGATGAGAAACAAAATAATGTAGGTTCTTGGCACATCCCCTGTTTTGATCTGTTAATAAAAACCAACTCTGCCACTAATGAGCTTTGTGGCCACGGGAGAATCACTGTGCATCTTGGGGGCTCAGTTCCTGAGCAGTGTTTCTCCAGAGGGGTGCTACTGGGATTTCAAACAGGACAGTTTTTTATTGTTAAGTTTAATCCCCCACGCATGCAACGCAGGCCCCCACCTACTAAATATCCATCGTGACCCCAGTCATGCTGACAACTGAAAAAAAGGACCCGCACGTTTCCAAATGCCATCTGCGGAGACCCCTCAGTTATGAATCACATAACATGATGCTGGGGAATTAATTGTTTTATGATTGTTGGCCCTTTTACAATGTAATCAATGCTAAGGAATCCTTCTGCTAAAAAACCACACATGTGCCCATAAAGAAAAAATATTTTAAAAAATTTCAGGGTGATTCAAAGAGTCCATAAAAATCATCCTAGTGTCCCACAGATTTTAGGTTTAGAATTCTTGAACTAAAGATTTTCAAAGGTTCTTTCTAGTTGACATATTAACCTGTGCCAACCCTAAGTCATTTCTTCTCCAGACCAAATAGAGAAGAAATGATTATTATCAGCCTAATTTTCTGGTCCTCTCTGTTTCTCTGTGTCCCTGTGAAGCCCAGGGTGCCAGAAACTGGCATCCAACTCTATTAGGATTGTGGTACAATGGAAAGGTTATGGGGGGAAGTGACTTGCCCAAAACCAATCAATCCATCAGTACAAGAGCTGGAACCAAGCCCAGCCCTCCAGATGACCAGCCCTACGCTGCTCATCCACAGTCACACACAGAGCAGTCAGTGTATTTAAGGACACATGGAGGGAAGCCTGCCCACACCTACCAATAGGGTTTCCTGGGGGAGGCACAGGGGTCCCAGATGAACCTGACCAACACAGCATGTCTGACACTATGTGTGAAGCCTGAGGCCCCAGCAGCCCTACTCAGCCCATGGAGGCAGACTCTTTCCCTTCTTCCTTTCACAAGTGTCTGTGTAGCACCATCTATTGGCATCCACCTTCCTCATGGACACCAGGAATCAGAGCATTTTCCTTTCTGTCCATAAACCTGCAATCACTCTGGGTGACTTCACTTCCAACCTGATGGCTTTTTCATTCCTTGGTCTCCATGTTCCTGCACATCCTCAAGACCTGTGTTCTCCATGATGTTTGAAAACGCAAATGCGATTCCTCAAAGACCTAAGCAATTCCTCAAAGACCTAAAAATAGAAATACCACTCAACCCAGCAATCCCATTACTGGGTATATACCCAAAGGACTATAAATCATTCTTTCATAAAGACACATATGCACATATATGTTCACTGCAGCACTACTCACAATAGTGAAGACATAGTATCAACCTAAATGCCCAACAATAATAGACTACAGGAGATGAGCCGTCATCTTGTAATGTCACCAAGGTCATTCCATTAAATTTGCTCAGAAGGGCCTCATTCAGTACCTGGATGAGGAATCTACAGTGGATCTCTAGGACGATTACTGATGTTTACCAACTACTCGGGGCTGGAACCCTGAAGAACACGGGAGTGCCCTGGCACCGTTGGTCTCCTGAAGGTGTGCGCCAGAAGAGGGTCTGCAAGCCCCACGGGTCGGACTGCAAAGTGGCGAAACAGAAAGGTGAAGCCACCCACTGCTCATGGAGACTTCAAGTAAGTGGGTGAGTGAGTGCCAGAGAGAGAGAGAGAGAGAGAGATAGAAAGAGAGAGACTGGGAGAGAGAGAAAGAGATAGAGATACAGAGACAGAGAGAGGCTGAGACAGAGAAAGGAAGAGACAGAGAGAGACTGAGGGAGAGGGAGAGAGAGATGGAGGGATAGAGAACAAAGAGACAGAGAAAGGATAAAAAGAGAAAGAGACAGAGATACAGAGACTGAGAGAGATAAACAGAGACATAAAGACAGAAAGGGACTGAGACAGAGAAACAGAGATAGGGAGAGAGGGGGACAAAGATACAGAACCGAGAGAAGGAGACAGAAACAGAGATGCAGAAAGACAGAAAAAAAAACACACACAGAGAGAAAGACAGAGGGAGAGACAGAGAGATAAAGAGAAAGGAGGAGAGATAGAGACAGAGATTGAAAAAAAAGAGCGATACAGAGAGAAACAGAGAGAGGGAGAGGCAGAGAGACACAGAAGAGAGGAGAGAGACACGGAGTGAGGGAGACAGAGAGACAGTGAGTGGGGAGGAGGAGAGAGACACAGTGGAAAGGGGGGTCTCTTTCTTGTACAGGGGGTTTCAGTTGAGCCCAAGACACTGGGCAGTGGCTCTTCTACCTGGTTGGGGAAAATTGGAAAGGTACCAGAGAAGGCCCCTCTGAAGCCAGCATTGCTGCAGGTCCAGAGGGCATGTGCACTTCCATTCACATTAGAGACTGCTCCACCCTGCCACCATCTCCAAAGCCAGTGACCTCCCTGCACTAACCTACATTTCTTTCTACTGCCAGGGAAGTGAACATGCGGGTGCTATCAATGCAGCAGGTGGCCAAGACCCAGCACCATGGGAAAGACGAAGGCACGGGCACTCAGTATCACACAGCGCTTCCTGGCTCAGGAAGAGGCTCTCAGAACAGGCCGTGATCACACTGGCCACCTGTACCTTGTCCCAAGAGGGGTGGCAGTGCCTGGCACCCTGGCCAACACAGGCTGGGACAGGAGGGCTACAAGCGACAGGCCAGTACCCGTCTTGTGGGAAACAAGTCAGGCAGTGTGTGTGTGTGCGCGCTCGTGTACGCATGAGCACACAACATGTGTCTATGTGTGTCTGTGTGTGAGTGTGCATTGTATGTCTCTATGTATGTAGTGCCTGTGTATGACTGCAGATGTGTCTGTGTGTAGTGTGTGTATGCATGCATGTATGCCTGCGAGTGTGTCTGTGTGTAGTGTGTGTATGCATGCATGTATGCCTGCGAGTGTGTCTGTTTCTCTGTGTGTGTGTGTGCTGTGTGCATATCTACGTGTGTGTGGTGTCTGTGTAAGCCCGTGGGTGTGTCTGTGTGTTGTGTATATGTATGCATGTGTGATGTCTGTGTATGTTTTTGTGTGTGCATGTGCATGTGTGTAGTATGCATGTGTGTGCATGTGTCTCTGTATGAGTGTGGTGTATATGTCTAGGTGTGAGTGTGTCTCTGTATGGTGTGCATATGTGTGTGGTGTTATTCTGTGTGTGTGTGTGGTGTGTGCGTGTGGTGTTATTCTGCTTGTGTGGTGTATGTCTATACATGTGTGTGCATGTGTGTATTCTGTGAGTATATCTGTATGTGTGCATGTATGTGTATGTCTGTGTGTCTGTATGTGTGTGTGGTGTTATTCTGTGTGGTGCATGTATGTATGTGTGTGTGTGCATATATGTATTCTGTGAATGTGTCTGTGTGTGTGCATGTGTGTGTGGTATTCTGTGTATCTGTGGTGTGCATGTATGTGTGGTGTTATTCTGTGTGTGTCTGTGCTGCATGTATGTCTGTGTATGTGTGCATGTAGGTGTGGTGTTGTTATTCTGTGTGCATCTGTTTGGTGTGTGTGTCTGCGTGTGTATGTACATGTGTGCGTGGTGTGCTGGGCAAGGGATGCTGAGAAGGGGAGATGCCAAAAAGCAGAAGGGATCAAGAGCCTGCGTCTACTCCCAGCCTCCCCTTTGGCCACTGTGAGTCCCTGGGCAAGTCTGTTTTTCACTCCCAGTCCGGCATCAAATTGCTCCTCCAGCAAGGGCAGGAACCGGAGTAAATCATCCAGAGACCATCCCGGCGCTAGCAGCCTGCTAGTCCACAGGGGTCTAAAGCCAGGCAGGGCTCTCGCTCTCTGGGTCCCTTTCAGCACAGAGCAGCGAGCCAGCTCTGCGGGTCCTCCCTACCCCGCCACCCACACCCCCAGTGAGGTGCACGTGGAGTCAGGCACAGGGCTCCAGTGGCCTTCCTGGGTCCCCATGAACTGGAAACATGTGAGGACAGGCAGGGGAGAAGCCGTGAGATGGAAGGAGAAACTCTGGGTCAAGTTTGCATTTCTCATTATTTCTCCAACCCTTCTCAAATTCCTTTTGTTTAGAAACCTCCTTGAGTTTCTGAAGGCTTCCCCCTCCCCCACCCCACCCCCTGAAAAACTCTAGGAGCTCCTCCAGCCTGTAACCCTTCCGGATAACACGTTCCATATGTCGGTCACTCTCGGCATGAAACGTTTGCACTCACTTTTCTGGTCACCTCCTCCGTGGTCTCCCCACACTGCCTCTCCCCAGAGTGGCCCCACCAACCCCTTCTGTAGCCCTCTGTTCAAGAAGCAGGGACTGGGATCAGGTTGGAGGGTCCTTTGGTCTCCCTCCCGGGTCAGCTCCCATGCAAGATTCCTGCCGGTTCGCCTCCCGAGTGCCCCAGAGTGCGCCTGCCTTTGCTCCAGCCCGCCCGCCGCCAACAGCTGCAGGGAGACCCTCCTTTAAGCACTGGGGCTAATTGAGCAGGGCTCTGACTGAGCTTGCCACTTTATTTGCTTAGAGCAAGCTTTTACAGCAAGGCAACACAGCATTCTATTGTCTTCCTTTCCCACCCAGCTCCCCCTCCTCCCGAGGCTACCCACTGTGGTAAATAAAGGCCGGTGGGATTGTTTTTCCACCCGAACTTCCAATGTTCCCGTTGCGAATGCAAACAGGCATTCTGGCCTTCCTTGTTTGACCCTCACCCCAGGCGCCACCCCCTCCACCCTCCTGATGCATCTTTTGATGAGTGAATTTGATGCTGGAAAACCATACAGAGCACAACCCCATGCAAGGTTTTGTGGGTTTCCCGAAAGAGGAAAAAGGTGGCGTTCAACAGCTCTGGAGGGGCTGCACTGGAAGAGCTGAAGATGACTTTGAATTGATCAAGGGAGCCTGAGAACTACTTATAGTTCTTTTTCCTTGAGACCACAGGAGTCCTTAAAGGCCTCAGACTCCCAGGGATGCTCCAGGGATCAAATAGAGGCCTCCTTGAAACAGGTAATGAGGCAAGCCCATGACCTAACACTGAAGGCAAGAGCAAGTGGGAAAACATGAGGCCTAGAGGCCAGTCTGAGAGCAACAAGGCTTTCCCAAAAGACACAGAGAGACCTGTCTGGAACATATATGGCTGAGCCATCGGCTATCTTGAGGGACAGAAGGATGAGAGATTGAGCACCTACTATGTGCCAAGGACTGGAATTTAAAACTTACATCTCCAGCTTTTTGGGGAGAGATGGAGTTAGGAAAACTATAAAGAGAGGCTTTTGCTATGTTAAAGCCAAGAAATCCAGGGCACAGAGTAGGTGAGGGATGGGCTAAAAGTTGTTACTGCTAGATGTAAAACTACAAGCAGAATCCCTGCTTCCCGACTCCTGATCCTGCAGTCTTCCTAAAAGATAGCCTTCTCTATGTTCAAAGTCCTAGAGCCCAGCAGGGTGGACCACATGCCTGTGATCACCAGGTAAGTGGAGCTCCTTTATCCGGCTGTAAACCTAAGGGAGAGCCCTCATATCTACAAAATGCAGACCATGCTGTATCAGTATCTGTGAGATACTCTAACAGTATCTGTGATGCACCGGTTTACACAAAGTAGATCATTTCCAAAGCGGAACCACCTCTGGCTGCAAGAATGTCCTCTTGACTAGGGAGATGGATGGGTCCATTACTGGCCCAAGTTCTGCATCCACTTCTCTCTAATTCTAACCGGAGGGAAGCTTCACCAGCCTCAACCGCTATCTCCTCTCTCCGGCAAATCTTGGCTCTATTTAGGATTGTATTCTGGAGATGAAACAAGTTAGGCAAAATTGTATCTAAAACAATCCTTTTTCAACAAGACTGGTATTAAGAAAATGACAACAATAATGAAGGAAAACACGTTTGATGATGAGTTTGGATGATGCATGGGGGCTAATGAGACAACTGAACTAATGTAATTGAGGTACCTGACTTCAGAAGCTCTGATTGTGCTGACGGGCTTGGCAAGGAACCCTGCAATTTGGCACTAACGAATGGATTAACACGGAGGATCAGCTGGAATCCAACATTGTGTAGAAATGTGCCCTGACATTGTGCTGGGCACATACAGTAGGGGACAATGAGGACCCGATGAGCTGAAACAGAAAAAGATTAGAGCCCTCCTAAAAGGCAACAGACGAGCTCTTCTGCCCCTGGACCAATGTGCAAAATGTTAAAGTCGTTTATTTGAAGATTTATTTCAGTTTACTACTAAAAATGCTGTAGTGTTTCTAGACATGCAGTCTAAATGACCAGATTAAAACTGGGTTTAATAGAGGAAACTCCAAAAAGTTCCTTCAAGACCTGAGGGTCTGTGATCCTAAGCTGATTTTGAAAAGGCTAAATGCTGCCCCATGGGGAGGCCTATCGGGCCGCAGGCCCGTATGAGCCATGAGTGACCCTCACCACAATGCGAAGTGAGTCACATGGCTGCTGGGGCGGGGATCCCTGCCGACTGTAGTCAGACGGAAGGGTCTGGACATTCTTTTTATACTGGCATTGATTCAGAATGTGAAACTTTTGATCCTATAACATGATACATTTTAATTCCTCCTGGTGATGTTAATAATGTAGTTGGCTGATGCCACACAAACAGAATTTACAATGCATGGATGCTTCCAAGAAAAAGGAGGAAGTAATAACTGTAGTCTTGCAGGTGGACCTCATTTTGCACTCTATTTAGGCTTCTGAAAAACGTTGAATGCAAATCAATGTTTGTGAACTGAATTGCATTTTAAAGATACTAGGAGGGTTTGCAATGAAAAAATCTTATTGTGGATTCCTATGGAAAGCAGTAAATAACCACTTTTCAATTAAAAGCACATTTGATATCCAGCTAGTTTTAGCTTAAAGCACAGTAAACCTTTAAATGTACAGCAACTATGGTGTAAATACATTAACATTTTATAATGAACACATGTGCTTTGAGACGAAAGCAGTCACCAAGGGAGTAAGGGTTACTTCTCCATTAGCTCTTCAAGTATTTGGGTGTCCTGTTAATGTGCATTATATCCTACAGCTAATTCCCCAGAAAGTGAGAAATCTGGAATAAGAAAAGAGGCAGGAAAATATCTGTGCTGGAACTTCCCTTTTTTGCAGTCCTGTGTCCTAAACAATGCCATCCTAAATTCTCATTATATGTGATACATTAATCTTCTCAAACATCCCAATAAAGAAGGAAATGGAGGGAAGAGGGGCAAGCAGAAATCATGCACTCCATACTTAGTGAAGGCTCACGAATAATTATAGCATCAATAGTGATGATAACTCACTTTGTCAGTACTTACTCTCTGGCAAGAACTGTGCTAAGAACCCTGCAATCACAACCTGACTTCATTCTACAATAACCCTATGACGCAGATCCTGTAGTTCACAACTTACCTGAACCCTGCGTATTATCTCATACCCTCCGTGAGATCTGGGCGAACATCCAATGATTAAACATGTTAATATTTCCACTGCAAAATTATATTCACTGAAGTGAAATAAAGACTAGCTCAATTCAGGTTAGGTTTTATAGCCAAATGAATTTGCTGTCACTTTAAGAAACGACTCTGGGTTTTCAGGGCTTTTTGGGTTTCGGAATTATAAAGAAGAGACTGGGGATGTGTATTATTCCACTTCATAAATAAGGATAGCCTGCTTGAGATCACACCATGGCAATACTATAGCTCAGCTTAGCGGAGCTGGGATTCAAACCCAGGCATGTCTGATATCAAAACCCACGTTCTCAAACACTAGGGCCATGCTGCTCATCTTCCCCACCCTGGGGAAACTAGAGAATAAAAACTCCCTACAATGGTTTTCTGAGAAGGCCAAATTAAACTGTGATTACAGACACCCTTTTTCATGTTTATTTTTTCCTTAAATAATTTTTCCTAGAGAGATGTTTTTTCCTTATTATAAAAGTAATATAATGAACTTATTGAAGAAAAATTTAAAAATACAAAAATATATCATCTATCAGCTCCCACAGGTATTATTATGGAATATTTGTGCCCAACCTTTTAAAAATAAATAAAAAAATCTCTATGCATTATAGGCGGGATGGTTTAATATACATCATTCTGGAACTTTCTTATTTCACTTACTATTACAATCTAGGCTTTCTCTCCTTATATTACAATTCTACCTAAACAAAATCTTGATGGCCACATAATATTCTATCACGTTAATTTGCCATAATTTACCGGATGACACCCCCTTGTTGGACATTTACTATTTTGAATCCTCTGCTCCCATAAACAGTGCTGCAATAAGTATCTCCATGTGCAGAGCTTACTACGGGTGTGCTATTCTCATGATCCACCACTCCAGCCACTTCCTTACCCTCTGGCCACATCTGCCCTGTGCAGCTCCAACCTCAGATCAGTTTATACATCTATTCTCCCAGCAGACACGCAGGCTGCTAAAGACAGGGAAACGCGGCCTATGAACTACTTGGTGCCCAGCAAATTGATGTTCTCAAGGATCTGCTCTGCTCAGCCCTTACTGTAGATCAACAATTTGCTCTTTTTCTCATTTCAGGTCTTCCCTCCCCTCACAGCTGCTCCTATCTCCTCAAGCCTCTTGGAACATCATACAGAGAATCCTGCCTCCTGCTGCACAGAGTCCTTCAGGTAGGAGCTCCCTCAGCTGTCTAACTCCACCTACGAATCTCCTTAGATGTATACTCTGAGGAGACCAGATACTTTATCACCTAAACTTTCAAAAGTGAAAAGGGGTGTAAGCAATAATTTTGTTGGGGTAATGGTTGCACGGTAGGACTGCCCTGGGTCAACCAGGAAGTGTGATTACTGTGAGTATAACCAGAATTTCTTCTGAGTGGCAGGGCTGACCTTATCATACTCGCTCTCCAACAGGCCCTATACTGACACTCTGGGACCCACACCCATTTCCTCAGAAACCTTCTTCCATCAGGGCCTCCATCCCAGGTGTATTTTCTCTTTTCTTTTCTTGTCTTGTCTTTTCTTCTCTTTTCTCTTTCTTTTTCTCTCTTTCTCTCTTTCTTTCTTTCTTTCTCTTTTTCTTTCTTTCTTTCCTTCTCTCTCTCTCTCTCTCTCTCTTTCTTCTTTTTTCTTTTTTGAGGCAGAGTCTCATTCTGTCACTCAGTCTAGAGTGCAGGGGCATAATCACAGCTCACTGCAGCCCCGACCTCTTGGGCTCAGGTGATGCCTCCCACCTCAGCCTTCCAAGTAGCTAGGACTACAGGAATGCACCACAAGCCCAGCTATTTTTTTGTATTTTTTGTAGAGATGGGGTTTTGCCATGTTGCACAGGCTGGTCTCAAACTCCTGGGCTCAAGCAATCCTCCCACCATAGCCTCCCAAAGTGCTGGGATTACAGGTGTGAGCCACCATGCCTGGCCCAGACATATTTTCAACCTACCCCTCCATAAAGGTTTTCCTTCCTCTGTAGATAATGTTCAGATGTTGCCAGTATTAGAGAAATGAAATAAAATAGTTGTCATATAACTTTGTAACTATCTGATCCCAGCCACATGCTGTCTCCCAGAGAGTAGAATTCCCTATGTCCATCATCCCCACCTGCACCAGGTCCCTAAAAAAACAGCCCCACCTAGAATACCATTCTTCATTTCAAAGTCAGGCAGGTGTGCCACAGCCCCTCCTCCCTCATGCTCTCTGAATCACTGGACACTCCGATCCCTCCTCCAGACGGCACCTCTCTTGGTCTTCCTCCTACCACCACCAGCACTTCCCTTGCATTCTTTCCATATTCTTCTCCAACATTCTGCTTTCCCTTCTCATCTGAGGATATGACTGTGCAATCTCATCAACCCTGCTGATGTGTAGATACGTCTATGCTCACATCTCCAGGCACAGACCTCCGTCCTATACTCCAAACCCATAGACATCCATGGGACATCCATGGCCTACTAGACATCTCCACCTGAACTGCAGAGGAATCTCAAGGGTGCTATATCCAAAGCTGAAGTCACCATCCTCCCCCAAACCCTGCTCCTCCTCCAGCCTCTCGGATTTTCTCTCTTGGGAAAAGGCAGCACCAGAAATCATGTTTGAGTCCTCTTTCTTCCTTTCTTCCCTGCCCCCACATTGAACTGATCTTTAATAATTCCAGTTGACTCTGCCTCCTCCTATTTCTCAAAATCCACCCTCCTTTTCTCTACAGTCCATGCTACCTCTTTCGCCTGGATTACTTCAATAGACTCTTAAATGGTTTCCGAGACCCTATTTTGCCCTCTCCCAGCCTTCCCTATCATTTCTTCCCCGCACTGGAATGGAATTGGGTCATTCCTCAGCTGGAGAAATTTCTGTTCTTCTCTATAACCTCCAAGATCAAGCTAAAATTCCTCAGCATTGTCTGCCCTTCATCGTCTGGCTCCTGGGTGCCTCACTTGCCAGCCTCATCTCTTGCCAGCCCTCCTCTCCCTGTGCACAGCAGCCTCAGCGAGGGACCTGGGTTTTCCAAACACACCATGTATACTCTCACCTCTGCCAGGGCTCCCCTGACAACTCCCTGTGCCAGGAAGGCAATTTCTCCCTTTCCTTCCCTGGCTAACTACTATTTGACTGTCTGAGCCTGCTCATACATCACGTCTCTGAGAAAGACTTCTCAGCACTTACCGCATTCTTTTACAACCATCCTTTTTCTTGCCTGTCTGCTCCACTTAACTGTATGCTCTCTTTTGATGTGTTTTGATATCCTTAGCACCTGCAATGGTGCCTGGCTCATGGTAGGTACTCCATAAAAGATTCCTAGAAATAAAGTCACTGGATCAAAGGGATGAAGCTCTTAAGAAGCCTGAAATATGCTTTTGTCCTGCCATCATTATTGTCAGCTCACCCTTTCACTCTCGAGTGTCCCACTTTGGAAAATAAATTCCATGCTCTCTCTTCTCTGAAGGCCTTCCATATGGATACCTGTACCCTTTAAAGGTATTTATTCAGAGCCAAGAGCAATAGACCAACTAGGGTGAATCAGAAGGGGACTGAAGATGCGCATGTGAGGCTGAGAGAGGTAGGAGGAGTTTCTGGGTGTCCTGAAGATGATGGATGACATGGGTGATCTCACACAAAACTGCATGTCAGCAACTGCAAAGGAAGGATTCAGATGCCAAAGAGAAAAATAAAAATCTCAATTCCAGCAGCCCTTGCCCACTGCCCAGAATGGCATGGTTGCCTCTCTTTGGGAATGAGAAGCAAGAAGGAAGGCAGCTCAGTAGGACATGGAGAAGGATAGCTGCACTAGGATGGTAAGGGACTTGCCCAGAACTCAGAAGCCCCTCTGGCCTGAGTCTCCTCTCTCTCACACTCCACCTACTAGACGATGATTCCCCCAGCAGGGTTTCCTGGCCCTACAGCTCTAACATACTATCAGCACTGGATTGGAAATTTTTAGGAATAAGAGAGAATGCATAAGACTGGAGAACCTGCAAATAAAAGCAAGTAGGAGTTAACATCCAGGGGACTTGTAAAAACTAGGGCAGGGACAAAATGCCCCTTAGCCACCTCTGTGAAGGCAACGTCTAAGCACGGACAAGGCTCTGGGAGGGCTTCCTACCACGTCAGGGAACTCAGTGTAGCTCTAGGTAACTACCGGATTTCAAGTTCCTGAGGGCAGGGCCCACATTTCCTTGCTATCTGCAGCTCCAGTGCCTCATGCGGTCCTAGCACAAGTTGCACAATTATGTGTGTGGAGTGGAAAGAATGTACTTCCTAGGGATGTACAAGGATCTGAGGAGGGCTGGGCAGGCAAAAGCCAATGAGAAAAGAGGCATAGGTCTCTCACAGTGGCAGAAAGAGAGGATAGCAGTCTGAGGCTTAAGTTCAGGTCTATGGGTGGGAGGAGATGTTTTTAGCAAGACCATTTAGAGACGGGCCAGGAGCTGTTTTTGAACTAAACAAGACGGGAACTCTGCTGCTGGAGCCTTTCAAGAATATATCTAGCTTGCCAGTAAAACTCAGAGAAAGTGCTCTCCTGGCCCAAAGAAAAATAATGCTGGAGAATTGTTTTCCCCTTAGGAAATTCACTGAATAATGGCTCTAGGGATAAATTGACACAGGCGTCAACATAGATATCTATGATCACTGGTTCCCTAGATCAATGCAAAAAGGCTAGCTCTGAGGCCAGCTCCTGCGAATCAGTGGTCTCTGACCCTGCCACGTCCCTCTGCCACAGCTTTCTCCCTCAGCATCACCCTCCCAGGAACACTGAGCCCAGCGGGGAGAAGACAGTTGCAAATGAGAAGAGAGACCAGCAGTGGCAGTCAAGCCAGCCTTGAAAACCCTCCTTGTCACCCGGCATTGTGAGGGATCAGCACATGTCCCCACTTAAGGCAGGCCCAGGCTGGAGTAACAGAAGCTCTGACCCAGAAAGAGGGACAGAGAGTAAGTGACCACTGGAGGGAGAAAGTGAGGGTGGCAGTGGAGGTCCCGAATGTCATATAATTCCTGACATTTATACTGTTCGTTGTATTTTAAAGTTGATCATGATAGCCCAATTCATTTCAATATGAGGACGAATATTTTCTTTATTTTAAATGTAAGGAAACTGAATCTCACGAAGGGTAAATAATTTTTCTAATGACAAACAGCCAGTAGGTGACAGAGCTAGAATTAAGCCTGCCATTCTATGATTTCTGTTCTGTTTCCCAAATGCTCATGCGCACGAGCTGCCTGCTTATACTTTCCCTTCCCGTCACACCAAACACTGCCCTTCTTTCACCCAACAAGCCTTGAGATTCTTATCCATTCCATGAGGGTAATGTCAGTGTGTAGGAATGTCAAATCATTCCCATTAATAAATTTAAAAACAAAGCTTTACGGAGCCTAATTACACAGAGATGGTAACCTTACCATTGGCCAAATACACTTCTTGCCAGGTGATGCTTTCTTGGCCAGGACCTCAGACCGCACAGTTATCAAAATGAAACCAAGTAAAAATGGACGGTGTGCAGAGGAAGGTCTTGGGGCTGCCAGGCTTGCTTTCTATGTTGAACATAAGACATCTCTGCATGAGACTCGCAGGCATGATGCACATGTGGGAGATTTGATTCTCCTCTCTCTGCAAGCCCTTTTATCACCCACCAAGAAAGAAAACTTCCAGGATGCCTGAAGCCCACTTTCTACTTTCTGCTAGGAAGAGATCTGTCTCTGGGAGACAGATATGCACGAGGAGATCTGTCCCTGACTTCTACAGAGATCCAGAAGGAAATGCCCAGTGAGCAAAGTCAAGCCACTGTCCAGAAGTCTTCCCCTCTATACAAACATCCTCATGTTAAGTTCTCACTGTTCTTCACTGCCCTCCATCCAGAACCCTTTTCTTATCTCCAAAGAAGAGCCCCTAAACGCACAGACACAGAAAGAGATGCCTGCAATAAACAGCCAGCACCGAAGCTGCCTCTCCTGAGACGCTCCAGGTGAGGGCCTGGCTTCCCTCAGCAATCCCTGCTCCAGTGCATCCAGCCATCTCCTCAAAATCTTCTTGCAATGTCAGTTCCTTTGTTTGATGTATTCTTGGAGGGAACAGAATATCTGTGCTTTAAGATTATTTTGTACATTTCAACATAGTATTGGTTTCCCAAACTCACACAGTGCTTCTGTGTGACAGATAAGGGAACTAAAGCCCGACAAGGAAAATGACATTTCTAAGGTCACCCACTAGTTGACGCTAGGAGAAATATGAATCCAGGTCTCCGGGCCCCCTGTGGATTGCTGTTTCTAAAGGCCGTCTGTTCCACATTAATAGCCCTTGAAATAGTCTAAAAAACCAGAGGAATTTCTAGTGTTAGAAGAGACCCAAAAGTCGGTGAGCCCATGTTTCTCAACAGAAATCACACTGTGGACAAATAAACTATTTCAAATGTTTATTGTAAGATCTAGTAGTAGGGGAGAAGAGAGGAGACCAGTAATGCAGAAAATGAATGGAAACTTGCATTGCCAAAAGGAAGGGTGGGAAGGAAAGGAGCTCAAAGCAGGTGTTGACAACATGTGCAGCTTCTGCGTGTATCAGTGGCTGAGAGACATACATATGTATTTCAAAATAATAGACTTTATCAGAAATCATCTGGGCCACACATTTGTCTTATGAGCAGTATTTTATAGTAGAGAGACTGCAGGCTGGGTGGCATGTTCCACACATGCATTTGACTTCATAGATAAGGGGAATGCTCTGTCTTCTGGTCTTACAGCTCTGCTGGACAGGTATGGGCAGGCCGAGCAGAGGGGAAGGAGACACAGTGCTGAATCCCACGTGAAGCTGCCACAGCAGAGATCTGGGAGAAGGCAGGGGGCACGCTCACCCAGGGACAGGAAATGAAGAGGAGGGCATGGCCCCCTGCCCTGCAGCCATGGGAAGAAGAGGTGGCAGGGGAGACTTAGCAACAGGAACTACACGGATGGCTCACTCGGGTTACAGCCAGGACTGCAAGTGGAATGCCCCAGGAACACGGATGTCCCCTTCTGCCTCAGCATTTAGACTGCGACACAGGATTCAGGAATCAAACTTCAGCGTGAGGGGGTGTTTTCCTGCTGCAAAACGTGGATGTTCTAGACACTCCCTCCTGGAGCTTGTGGCAGTTACTCCAGCTTCCTGCTCTTGGCGGAGATGAGAGAGAACTCCTGTCCTCATATCAGAGAAAGGGAAGAATCCCAGCTGTATAACTTCTTCTCATTCAAACCTCTAGGCCAGAAGTCTCTCTTAAAATGAGCTCAGGAGGCCGAGCGCAGTGGCTCACGCCTGTAATCCCAGCACTTTGGGAGGCCGAGGCGGGTGGATCACGAGGTCAGGAGATCAAGACCATCATGGCTAACACCGTGAATCCCCATCTCTACTAAAAATACAAAAAATTAGCCAGGCATGGTGGCGGGCACCTGTAGTCCCAGCTACTCAGGAGGCTGAGGTAGGAGAATGGAGTGAACCCGGGAGGCGGAGCTTGCAGTGAGCTGAGATCGCGCCATTGCACTCTAGCCTGGGTGACAGAGCAAGACTACATCTCAAAAACCAAACCAAAACAAAACAAAATACAAACAAACAATGAGCTCAGGAAAAAGTAACAGTGTCAAAGGGAAACAGGGTCCCTCTTCTTTTTTTGTATCAATACAGGGAATCTTACTGAATCAAATATGTGGGTAACTAAAAAAACAGTGGATGCCATGAGTCTAAAATTATCCCCAAATAAAACAATTAAATGTTAAAAAATACATATTTCAAAAATTGTTGTTATTTTGAAATGTGAAAGAGAGACACATTCCCTAAGATCTGTGACCTTTGAGGAAGGTTTGGTCAGTGTTTCTACATTTTTTCTTCATTCGGCCTTGCTGGTCAGGGTTAGTTCTAGATTAATCATGAATTCTTACGTCCATATGTCACCTATATTTAAGTGAAGCTGTGCAATTTTCCCCATTAGGCTGTGCACTGTGACAATCACAGTGCCCTGGAGACTGTCCACCGGCCCCATGATTGTGACCTGGGCCCCTAAAGATGCCTGCCAGTGCAGTTCTGTCTTTCTCATGGGACTCTACACAGGCCATCTTTCTGTCCCCACTTCTCTCCCTTCGCAGCAGGTGTCTAAGCTCTGCCGCCACCCTTCCAAACCCTCCCCTTCTAGTCTGCTGGTTGCGAAAATGGCTCCCATGTCATTATGGTCTGACTTCTCCTGACTTCAGTGTTCAATGAATACAATTACATTTTTGGAATTCACAAAAACCCTTTTCTCTCTTAAGTGCCCAGCTCTGGCAATTAAAAGCCACAACTTGCCATAATTTTCTGTTACAGATTTATAAGACGGATTCAGCAACTTCTTCCTCTTTTTTTTTTTGAGACAGGATCTCACTCTGTCTCCTAGGCAGGAGTTCAATGGCACAATCATGGCTCACTGCAGCCTCGACCCCCTAGGCTCAAGCGATCCTCCCACCTCAGCCTCCCCAGTAGCTGGGACTATAGGTGTGCAACCCCAAGCCAGGCTAATGTTTCTATTTTTAATGAAGATGGGGTTTTGCCATGTTGCCCAGGCTGGTCTCTTACTCCTGGGCTAAAGCGATCCACCTGCCTCGGGCTCCCAAGGTGCTGGGACTACAGGTGTGAGCCACCATGCCCAGCCGCTTTCTCTGTTCAAGGTGGTATCCCACCTCCCCTCTGAGTGATGAGTGTTGATGACCCACTTGGTGGGGGGAGATCATCCCTATCCCCCAGCAGAGTGTCCTGTGTCACTACATCCCAGCATAAGCGGAGCAGCATTGGCGTCAGGCTGGTAGAATTCAGGTGTGGTGAGTGTCCTGAGAGGCTACCATTAAGCTCTAAGCTACCATTTTTTAGTTTACATCCATATTGTCTTTATAGCCTCCATCAGAGCTTTCCCTGGGCTGCCTCATATCTTTTCTTTCAAATAGGAGAAAGGACTCGTAACAGCATAGGCATGAAGACTGAAGAGAAAACGCCTTGGTACTGGTGAGGAGTGTATCATATGGAGAAGCAAATGCCCCCTCGCTGGATACAACTCCATTACCTGCCCTCATTTGATAACTAGTTTTTGGCCCAGAATTAGATAGCTGTTCTTGAAAAGTAAAAAAAAGGCCCTAGTGTTCTCAAAATGAATCCAGTTTAGGTGATATGCATTAAGATACTGATTTGGAGGAAGATAAAAAGTAATTACAGGCACGGTGGAAAACATCTCTCTCTTTCAATACATCATATACATACAACCTGTGTAATATATACACATATATATGAGCACTTAAGTGTGTATATATAAAACAGCCTGAGGAGGTGGAGGACACAGCATGAATCACACAACCAAATCAAGGCAGAGTTGATAGCATCGAAGAGACTGTGATTATGTTGATTGAAACCAGATTTAAAGGACCTGGGGAATTTGTTTGGGAACAGAGAACAGGACCAAAATATTCCCTCAGAGAGGAAATCTCATCAGAGGGAAAATGTGGGGGGTGGAGGGGCAGGCATGGTAGGGAGGTGGGGAGTGGTGCTTCAGGACAGAGTTTGGGGAAAGGGAATGAGAATTATTCTCTCTCCACTTTCAAGGGTGTCCAAGGAGTACAGCACGATAAATCCAGGGGAGACGCTGATGGCACAAAGGGAAGGAGGGAAGAGAACAGGACAGGCAGCTGAGGAGGGCTGCCCCATGTATGTGTTTTGAAATGACGGCGGCATTTAAAAAACAATAATCACAGAGAAGCAAGATTTTAGCATTCAGAGGAACTCTCAGCTTTCACTTTAGAGCTGAAGAAACCATGGTCCCAAAAGTGCAGGGGAGCTGCCCAAGCCACACAGCCAGTTAATGCTCAAGCTGGAACTGGCTTTTGTGCCTCCAATTAAATAACAGTTTCTACCTGTTTTATCTTTCAAAATTTCTGCTGCTTTTGTAACAAATTTGTAACCCTTAATCAATCAACGAAATAATAAAAGACACTCAAGGGAATATGTCCTAAGAACAGGTAAGTTAGATATGGGGAGGAACACCAAGCACTCTAAAGACGTCTGCCTCCCAGGCACTGAGATGTCCACATCTGGGGAATCACTTCTCTTTTAATGCAATACTATCATTCCCATCACTGACCTGTGGGCAGGACAGAAGAAGAGGTCTGATAAAGATCACAGAAATCAGCTCTTAAAATTTCCCTCCCATTGCCCCAAAAAGCGAGCTTGGCAAGCCCCCGACTTTTTTTTTTTTTTTTTTTTTTTTTTTTTTTTTTTGAGACGGAGTCTCGCTCTGTTGCACAGGTTGGAGTGCAGTGGCATGATCTCGGCTCATTGCAACCTTCACTTCCTGGGTTCAAGCAATTCTCTGCCTCAGCCTCCCGAGTAGCTGGGATTACCGGCGCCTGCCAGTACGCCTGGCTAATTTTTGTATTTTTAGTAGAGACGGGGTTTCACCATCTTGGCCAGGCTGGTCTTGAACTCCTGACCTTGTGATCCAACCGCCCTGGCCTCCCAAGTGTTGGAATTACAGGCGTGAGCCACTGCACCCGGCCAAGCACCCGACTTTTTAAGGGTATGAGGGAGAATTCATAGGGTTAGCAGGTCCCTGTTGCTTCCTCCCTTCCCTCACCCCTCCCATAAACAACACTAACAAGTACACAGAGTTCAGATTTGACAGTCAGTCTCAGGGCAGATGGCTGTCAGTCCCCCCTCCCCGGGAAACCCAGCCTACAGCATTTCTTGCCTGTTCATTTTGAAGTGGAGGAATTTTCATTTTCAAGTTTGAACAGGAAATTCTACTCAGGAAAGAATATAAAAAGCAAATAGTATTTTGGTGAGTAGGCAGTACTTTCTGGATATATTTCTTTACCACATTTGAGCAGATTTCGAGTTCCCATTTCCCCTCTTATCCCTTTGCTTGTCCCGCCCTCAAGCATGAGTGTTTGCACACACATGCCACTTCTGGAATGAAATGATGGCTAGGAAAGTCTGGATCAAAAGAAGAATTTGTCAGAAGAATTATGAGGGAACAAGAACTTGTTGTAGAAGACACCCTTGGGGCTGGCAGGACATTTTTATAGCATTATCCTTGCAGGCTGGTTTTAGAACTCGACTGTACAAAATGGGACAGGCTGTAGATCCATTTATACTGAGTTTACCTCTGGAAACAGCACGTAAGCAGAATGCCAATAGCTGCTCTCGCCACAGTGCATCTCACTGTAGGATGCAGCGGACAGACTTGGGTTAGCCGTTTAGGAAGAAGATCCTAAATGACACTGAGAGGTCATGGAGCTGGCCTCTCCCAAGGATGGATGTAAAGCTCTGATGAGATGACAAGGTGGAGGCAGCTCAGCCTGAAGACTGTGCCAAGGGCTGCATGACGCCCACACGTCCCTTCCAGGTTCCTTTTCTGGCCATCTTGGTCTGATATTCTTCAGGGAGGCTGAGACACATTGGGCACGAGTGAGGCTGAAAGTTGGGGGACTTGCCTTTTAGTCCCAGCTCTACCACTTACAAGTTGGGTGGTCTTGAGCAATTCCTATCAGCTCTCTGAGGCTCGATGGGGAGCTATAAAGAGAAGTTTCTGGTGGAAATGTTTCTTGGGTAGCTACTCCTGGTACATGGTTCCATTAGACAGGCACGGATGCTGCAGTAAGATAGATGCCAAGTCCTTGGTGGAGCTGCTACTGCTATGGTTTCCCTGATGGAAGAGCTCAGTAGGATCCCTGGCCTGGAACTCAAAGGATCCAGTTCCACCAGGTGAGCTGGACAGCACAGTGTGGTGGGGATGGGGGCCTGGAAATCAGAGAAGCTGAAAGCCTTGCGTGGCCATCAGCAGTCTGAGTGCGAGCCACATGATTTCTGTAAGCCTCAGGTTTGCCGAATGTAAAATCAGGCTACAGTTATGAGGAATAAATGAGGCATTTCATGATATATGCCTGCTGTGCACACTGCTTGGCAGATGGGAGGCATCCAATAAATAGTAGTTCTCTTCATTTAGGAAAGTCCTACCTTTGACCTCAATTTCCCACTGGTAAACTTCTGGGGAATAAACTACCTTCTCTCTGCTACACGTGAATGCTGTGCAGATGAAATAACACAAACACACGTTGTCGTGGTGTTACTACCTGAGAATCCAGATATAAAAAACCTCATTCTCAGCAGCAGGAATCATTCCAGATCAAAGGTGTGTCAGCTGCCCTATTCTAGGCAACGGCCTGCAGCCAAAGTTCTCTATTGCCTTGAATCGGGCTCTCCCTGAAGCTGTCCCCAACAATCCAGCCCACAGTGGCCTCTCCCAGCTCCAGAACCTACTGCTCTGGGGAGGAGGATGCTTCTCCCATGAAGTGGGGAGAAGCCCTGGACTGAGGGCGGGAGATGTGAGCTTGGACATATGGATTCACCTCTCTGAGCCTCAGCCTCCACATCTGGAAATAAAGAGATAACACCACCTGACCTGCCTGCCTTAGGTGGCTCTTTTCAGTCTCTGGTGATAAAATGTGAGTCTTAAATGGATGCTGAAGAGAAGAATGAAGAAGACGACCATGATGTCATTTCACCTGTGAATGACTTGCCTTCCTAATGAGGCTGCCAGTTGTTCAGGTGCTGAGAAGTGAAGATCTTAACATAGTCCGGCTTATATTCTTCATCTCTACCCCCCAACCCTGGGATGTAAACACCTATATCAAGCACATAGGATACTCAATAAATTCATATAATCATAATTTACTCATGTAATACTGAATTCATATGAATTCATGTAAGTGCAAGTAAGAGAGAACATGGTCACCCTGAGCTGTGATGACACAGAATCTTCTCTAGATCAGAGGTTCTGAAGCTTGGCCCTGCATCACACTCACCTTCAGCAGTTAGTATGCAGATTCTCAGGCCCCACCCAGGCTCACTGGATCATCATCATCAAGGGATGGGGCTCAGGAATCTGTGGAGATGCTCCTCAACCTATGACCCCTCCTAAGTTGAAAACACTGTAAGTCAAAAGTACATTTTTGATTGACAGTATCTTCAATTAATGATGGGTTTATTTCACACAACCTCTTTGTATGTTGAGAAGCATACTGAATGCCCATCACTTTTGCACCATTATAAGGTGAAAAATTGAAAGTCCAACCACTGTTAAGTTGGGGGCTGTCTGCATTCTAAAAAGTTCTTCCACAGTGACTCTGATAAGCATCAGGTCTGGAAACCACTTCCCTGTCTTCCTGTTAGCCTTAGATTAGCAGGCATCTCTACCCCACATAAGCCCAGCACAATGTCTAGCACACGAACCAGTCAAAAGTGTTTGCTGAACTGAGCTGAAATTCCAAGTTGGTGGTCCTGCAATATAGAATCTGTTGGGGCCTCTCAGATAGGAAGGAACAGTCACGCTGTCTACCTGCATCCCTTTCCAGGGAGTTAGTTACACCAGTGTAAAGGGTACTGGGCCAGTGCAGAAAAACAGACAAAGCACAGCTCAAGCCAAGTCCAGAATTGGCCCCCTGGCTTTAATTTTCATGTGGAAACAAATACCACTTTATTCCCACTCCCATTTCAAAGAGGAATGACAAAGAAATAAAAATAAATCACTTATTTATTTCGTTATTATGCCAAGACATAATTCAACCTCCTAATTTCATAGATATGAAAACTGAGGCCCAGAGAGAGGTAGTTGCTTATCTAAGGTCACACAGCAAGTTGGTAACCCAGTAGTGTGGTATAATGGAAAGAAGGCTGAACCATCTATGCAGTTATCTAAGTATTCTGCAGACACCATACTGGGGTCATTTTAGTACCGGGAAGCACCAGACTTCTGCCTCTAAAACCTAATTTCATCATAAAGAAGAGTCCTTCTTCTTAGGCCACATCCTTTACATAAATCCATCCTTAATAATTTGCACCCTTCAGTGGTCTTTTTCTCCATATCCTCATTCTTGTGGTTCCTTCTGTCTGTCCCTCCTACCGCCCACCCCCAACCATCTCTGCCTGTCCACCTATAACCCTGCTGCAGGACTGATCTCAAATGCCACAAAGGCTACCTCCTCCACGAAGCCTTTTGTTATCTGCCACCTTCGAACTCCCTGGATATTTTCATGATCTCTTTTGTAGCTCTTCTATTTTACCTTGTCATTTGTGTATTTGTTTACCTCTCATGACAGTTTCTAAGCTGTGTGAGGGCAGAGATTATGTTTATACTGTTGGACAGAAAAAAGACAGTTGATTCAGAAGGCACTATATGTATAATTTGAGAAAGGCATTTTGAAGTCACTAGTATCTCAGGATGTATGAAATCATGATTTTAAGGATTTGATTTGCTCAAAACATGTTCTCTGGTGTTGCTGCTCTGAAAATAACCCTTTACTAGTCTGGAGGCAGGGTCCAATGCTAGTCTAATATTGTCTTGAAGAAGGCATCCCCTGGGATGCCCTGCAGACCACTTTCCAGTCTTCCAACCCTGGATTGAGGTAATCTATGGTGAAACCTTTTCCAAAGAAGCCTGTCCTCCTGCCTGCAAATCATCCTAGCTTTCTGTCATCTCCATCAGTGAGAAACATTCTGAAAAGAGTCATATAAAGAGCTCTACCAAGATGTCTTCCCTGGCTCTCTTCAGTCACAGTGAAGCTGCTCTGGAGAACCAAAAAGCTAAGGCAGGCCTGGCCTTGGCACATGGCTATGCATGCAGTGTGCGCAAAAAGAACATCCATCATGTCATAATACATGGGTGTTAACTCTGTCCTTCCAGGGTAACAAGGAAGCATTATATTAGTTCAGGAAAGAGAGATTTAATAAGCATCTTAAGAATGTGAAGTTAAAGTCAGGTAGAATTAGAGGGTCCAGCTGTTCTCCATCTGCCTTCACTGAGGATGTTAAAAGAAGCAAAGGTGAATGGAATCCTAACTATTGTTCCATATCTGGGGTGTGGCATGATGTGTCCATGCCGCTGCAAATTCATACTTGGCTATCACTTGCTGGGTGCTTACAATGCACCAGGTACTATTCTAGGAACCATCACACAAATTATCTTACATGTTATATATTATCTTACTTAATCCTTACCTCGAGCCTCTGTGGTAAGCATTATTTCTTATTATAGAGGAGAAAGCTGAGGTTAGAGAATTATTAAAATTAATTATTATTAAGTAGTAGGTCAGTAACTTGAATTCAGGTATTCTGACTCTAATCCTAATGTTCTTCCCATTAAACTAGAGATGGCAAATTGGTAATCCAAGTTCTAAATCAAAGTAATTGGTATATAGCTACTTAGAGACCTATGTGGAGGATTAAAAAACCTTTGAAACTCAATGAGAGAGAGTGCTGTGATTGATTAGTGATGTCTGCTGTAGGCAAAGGCATGACAGTGGAAAAGAATGTTGTAATTGATTAGTGATGCCTACTGTAGGAAAAGATGTGAGAATGGCAGCACAGTTGCTGTATTTATTTGTCATCCCTGCACTAAGACATAATTCAATGAAAGAACAGGCCGTCCTGTGACAACATTTTACCACAAATTCAGTTTTCTACCACATTCTTTTAAAATTTCCCCATACACATCATACACATAACCCTTGGACATTTTCAACATTCTCTAGTTTTCTTTTCCAAGTCTTACGAGTTCTTCATATTTCTTTTTAAATAGCTATTCCAAAATAAGAGTCGTGGATCAGCATGGTTTATGCCACAGGTTTCCCTTCTAAGGGCTTCTTCCTGTAGGCTGCCCCAGTTCAACCTTCCTCATTATCCAGAGAGCTCCTTTGGGGACAGAAAACCTTCTCAACACATAGAGAGGGCACATTTTATGTGACCCTTGAATACACTTCCCTGGGACAATCATTATTGACAGAGGGCTGTTGCTGATGGAGCATGAAGAATGAAGTCAAGGAGAGGCAGGTGTATGAGGACATGGCGGGAGGGTGGTAAGGAGATGGGGATTGGCTTGGGGGTCAAAAGGCAGAAAGTAGGCAGCTGAGAAGTTGCTTTCAGGGTTTAGGCAGGCCGGTGCAGCCTGTTTTGAGCAGAGAGCTGAGGAGAGCACAGAGAACATGGAGAATGACCAACAGCCCATGTAGCCAACCATTTAAAAACTAATAATAAAAGGAAAGAATAAGGGAAAAAATCTCTTCTTCACTTTAAGTCTGCTGTCTTAATCATCTAAGTCATCTGGATGTTTTGCTGCATGGAGGACTGACCACAGCTGAGAACCTAGAGACCAGATCCTACCCAGGGCCTCCTTTAAAGCGATTAAACTCGAATCAGACTATGCTGCACCTCCTGACAGCACAGACGTCATGCTTGGAGCAGCAACCCTGGGAAATGCTCTTTGGGCAAATCAAGACCTTAAAAAATAATTATGGTTCGCACATCCTGAAGCAATAATGACTTCAAAACTCCCTTCACATGTGATTTATACATAAGTATAGTTCTCCCTTGAACCTTCCCCCCCAATCCCACTCTGCACACTCCACCCAAATCCAAGTGGTTAGAAAGTCAATATTCATAGGCCCTGCTAAAAGGCCCAGATGGAAAAACCCTGATCTGTATCAGGAGGAAAAGAACTGCTAACACCACCTGCCATTAAAATTCTCATACACCCAATTGTGCATAAATGCGAATGTGTGTGTGTGTGTTCCAAGATGTTCAAAGAAAAAAGGAGAAAAATTAATTAAGCCTACACCTCTCTGCCAAGGAATCAAATGCTCTCTGGGGCCTGGTATTAAGGGAAAGAAATGCAGTCTTACAGAGCTGCTGGTTCTGATCCAGTTTATTGTGGAAAGAGGGGAGAATGAGGTTAAAACTGGGATGGGGGCTCTGCTATTGACCTAGCTGGTTTTATTTTTGTTATCCCTGGGAAGGTGTCCCAGGTGGTGAAAGGGAATGTTCATTAAATGGATACCTATTCTATGCCAAGCAGTGGCACACATAGAACTAGAAAGGAACAGACAGAGATGGAGAAATTCCTTGGATGACTGGCCTTGTGGTGATAAAAGGATGAAAGCAAAGTTTCCATGGAAGAAACTTAAAATGCATATTGCTAAGTGAAAGGAGCCAGTCTGAAAAGACTACGCACTGTATTATTCCAACTACTATGATATTCTGAAAAAGGCGAAACTCTAGGCAGTCAAAAGACTGGTGGCTGCCAGGGATTGGTGGCAGAGGAGGGAGGAGGGATGGGCAGGTGGAGCACAGGAGAGTTTTAGGGCAGTGAAACTATTCTGTATGCTATAATGGTGGATACATAACATTATGCATTTGTCATAACCCATAAAACTGTAAAACACAAAGAATACACCTTAATGTAAACTATAGACTTGAGTTAATAATGATGGGCTAATATTTGCTTATTAACTGCAACAAATGTACTGCACTAATGCAACATGCTAATAATGGAGAAAACTGGGGAGTGAGGGGGAGGAGTTATACGGTAACTCTGTAATAGCTGGTTAATTTTTCTGTGAACTTAAAACTGTTCTAAAAATTGAAGACTATTAATTTTAAAAAATGAAAGGAGACTAGCTCTGCCTCTGTGAAGCCCCAGTGGGAGGGTGGTGAGGTGGGACCAGGAAAAGGGAAAAGGCCAGAGGACAATCTGGCCCTTTAGGAAAATTTGCAAATGAGGACGAGCATCTGGAATGGCAAATCAGATATTTTTTCAATGTCAGACTTAAAGGCATGAATCAAAAGCACAGATCTCACATGCTAGAGAAGAAAGAACTGGAGACCAGAGACCCCAAAGAGAAAACAATTGAAGGAACGCAGCCCCTCGAAGGTCCTGCTGATAAAATGTGCTCTGGGACCAAGGCCTTTTCCGGGAAACCACAGCCACAGCACCTTGATAACCTGCGTCTAGGACATCCGCTAAGCTCTGGCCTTTTCTCTCTCGTATTGCAACTGCAGGTGTAAAGAAATGGAAATGAAATTTCACAGCCAGGCAATGACGCAATATGCACGTTCCTCCCTGAAGATAATTGAAATAAGAAAACAGCACAAGAGAAGATGAAATCTGCTTATAAGACCCCTGGGAAATAGCCTCTTGCTGGGGTGTGAAGGGAAGGAGGGAGTGCAGTGTGTCACTCTAGCAGGGGAGCAATGGCAACATCTTTGAGAGTGAAGGACAGATGTGTCTTTAACTGGGGGACCTGGGGACAGACACTGAGCCTTGAGCTTCCCAAGCCCTCTTTTCACTCTTCCACTGGCAAGAATTGGCTGCCTCTGAGTATAGGGTTTCCAAGAAACTTTATCAGGGTCAAGGAGGAAGGGTGTGGTTGGCCTCCATCCTCTGACGTCATCTCATTTGAGAATCCAGAAGAGGAAGAGAAGATGAGCTCTCGGTACAGAAAGAACAGGTTTTAGTGAGCCAAACCAGGCATTACCTTTGGGAGGAAGAACACAACTGCAGTGCTCACCAGGGGAAAAATGGAGACAGAAAGGAAAGCCAATCAGCAAAGAGTAAGCTCCAGGCTTCGTTGTTACAGTCAAACCTGCCCGGCCCCCAGTTCTAGGGCGAGTGGGATTTTCCATGGCACGTCAAGAGTCTAAACTAAAGAGTGAGTTACCATCCTATAAAATAGAAGAAGGGTTTGGGCATGCCCATGTGAGTGAGCAAGGTTGTCTGTCAGTGTGCGTGTGCACGTGTGTGTGTGTGTGTGTATGTGTGCTTGCTTTCCCTACTTACTGGTCACAGAGAAATGAGGACCAGTTTGTCTACCTGCCAAAATCATTTCAGAGCTTGTTTAAAGGACTTCCAAAGAAGGAATAAGCTCCGTGTGGGAAGGGATTAAACCTCATTCAACTTTTTGCCTGGTTGCGTGGCATGGGATAAACATTTGCCAAAGTGAATGAGGGTTAGTCACCTGTTCTGGGAATTCATAGTGCCACCCCAAGGAAGTTTTTTCCTTAATCCCAGCTCTGATCTTTGATCTTATTCCAGATTTCTGCAGGCAAACACCTTCTGTTTTCACTTATTCATTCATTCATCAACTTTTTATTGGCTGCTTATTATAAGCCAGACACTGTCACGTGTGGTTTGGAATGCTACTAGGAACAAGTGGGAATTGTTCCTGCCTTCAAGAAGTCCAGAGTCTCCTGAGAAAGGTGTTGAATCAGGAACTACAATAAGGAATGCTGGGTGCTGAGGATGCTGCAGCATGCAATGGGAGTGTGTGATAGGGAGCCCCAGAATGCGACAGAGGACTAGGGACAGCCTCCCAGAGGCGGTCATGCTCAAGTGGCCACTGCTGCATACTAACAGTCAGGCAAGAAAGGCGTGGTGGCAGGGAAGAGGAGAGCTGCAGTAGTGTGAGCAAATACCCAGGTGCTGTGGCTCAGAGGCCAGAAGGTGCATTGTGCATTCTGGGAAACAAAAACAGCAAAACCCAGGATGGCTGGTGCATGGGGTATGAGTGAGAGAGAGGTGGGGAGAGTGTGAACAGTGTTGAAAAAACAAGGACTCAGAGGCACTGGAGAGCCATTATAAGATTTCAAGTAGAAAAATGACCCAATTAACTTTGCAAAGTATGGAGGATGGCAAGAGACAATGGTGGTTTTGATTAGCGTAGCGGCAGTGGTGACGAGGAGATCTGGACAAACTCCAGAGGCATTATGAGAGTTAGAATGATGAGGACTTGGAGGCTGCCCGATCCTGCGGATGACAGAGAGACAAGCTGAGGTGACTTCCAAGTCTCTGGACCACACACTAGAGTCGCAGGTGGTTCCATTTATTAAGGTGAAAGACAATGGAGAAGACTCACTGGAGTTGGGAAAGTTTGGGGCACAAAAGGAGCCCCTGTTCAGCTTAGCATACACTGAGTTTAGGAGCCTACAAAGACATTTGGGGTATCTATAGGGAAGCTGGATATATGGGTCTGTAGCTAACACAAAGTAATTGTGCATTTGAGAGATAAGATATAAGAGACCTGGGACACTTAGAATAGGCTATGGAGAGTGTATGGAGAGAGGAGAGCCCAGGTCAGATAAAGGAGCAAAAGTCAGCTAAGGAAAGCACGCAGAAACAGCCACAGAGGTAGGACAAAAACCAGGATGCCGTGGTATCCTACCAAGGAAAGAGGGTTTCAAGAAAGAAGACATCATGGAAGGGCCAGGCAAGGCAAAGCCAGAGAAGGGTCTGTGATAAGGCGATGGTAGAAGCCAGATTGCAAGGGGTTTAAGCATTGAACAGGAAATGAGGAAATGGAGCCTTCACTAAAGAAGTTAGGTGTGAAGAGGAGGACACAGTCAAGGTAGGAGCTGGAATGGAGGAACACAGGAACATCAGTGGCCACCAGTCACAGAACCCCGAAACTTCCTGGCAATGACAAGATTCGGTTAGTTTCTAACTTCTGACCATGCATACCTCAAATCCTAATATGCATGACTTTATACAGTTGCTGCTCTTTCTGGAATGCAAAGCACTTCCTGTTTCCTCTCTGTTCTCGTTTTATCCTGTGCAGCAAAAGGAGCGAGATGTTATGTTCTTCCTCTTGTGGGTGAGCAAACCCAGGCACAGACCGTGTCTGCTCTGTGAGCCTGTGGACCTGGGGACGGGCAGTGGAGATGGGAGGCCGTTCTGCGGGCCCCCTGCCTCCCTCAGCACCTCTCTCATACCTGCCCCTATGGGCCACTCAGCACACTCATGGTAGCTACACAGCAGTCATTTAGGGACTCTGGGTCAACTCGGGCCCAAATCACTTGACCTACGGGAGCTTGCTCTGCTTCCCTGTCTATTCCAGGAAGCCTGGTAAAAATCTTGGCAAATATCAGAGCCCAGAAACAGAATTTGGTCCTTGTCATCCCATCTGTGCTGAACCGTGGGAGGGAATCTTACACAAACCTCCCCTCCCAGAGCCAGACCCTCAGCAGAGCTCTGACCCCGAGTACCTGCTCCAGGGGCTGGGGGTGGGGGTGGGGGTGGAAGAGGACCCCCAGAGCTCACGATCAGGGCTGCAAACAGAATGCAGACCCTTTCTCTCCTCTGTCCCTAGAGCTCTCTGAGGAGCCAGGTCCACCGTGCCTGAGGTGGTTAGGTGCCGTTGGCCCCACAAGTGGGGATGGATTAAGTACTCTTGGCTGGGTTCCAACTGGGTCTGAGGGGTACACAGCTCCCAGGGTCCCACTGATTTCTGGGGTGAGTAAAGGAAGCTAAAGGCCGCTGCAAAAATCACAAAAGGAGGCTACCATCCATTTATTTTTCACTCATCAATCAATGCGATTCTATGTGATTCTCAAAAGGGCTGTCACTGCCCTACTAAAGGGCATTTGGAAATGTGTCAAGGTGTTTCTGGTTGCCATGGTGACCGGAAGGGGATGATGCCACTCGCATTTAAAGCTTGCAGTGCATCCTGTACCACTAAGAACCATCCCAGCCCAAGTGACCAGTGCTCCTGCTAAGGAAAGCTCAACCTCAGCTGACGACTGACAGCCCACCATTGACTGGAGGTCCGGACATGCTTGGAGGAAGAAGTCACAGATAAGCAAACATTTGCCTCTCCTGCCCCAAACATGCCCTCCTTTTTCTCTAGTGGCCCGCACAGCTGTGAGGGTTATCTGGGCTGGGGTGGGCGATCATGACCCCCAGACTGCCAGAGAATGTCTTGCTTTCTCAGACTCTGTGGACTGCCTGATTCTAACCACTGACCCTCACTCCTGACACTTCTCCCTGCACATCCCTCACCATCCATGAAAGGCACTTCAGCCAAAAGAAGGATAGAGCCAGCTTCTTGCAAGGCAGCATCTTGGAGTCAGCAACATGTTCCCGATCAGCTGCTGTGTGCCCTGAGCAAGACATGAACTTCTCAGAGCCACACCTCCTTTCCATTGTCCCCAGCACCCATCTAAACAGGGAATAGAACTTTGTCTCTCACTGTCGAGGGTGCAGGTGGGCTATCCTGGAGGATATGAACAGGAATTGGGGCCCCCTCAATCACAGGGGCTATGTGTGTGTGTGTGTGTGTGTGTGTGTGTGTGTGTGTGTGTGTGTGTGTGTTGGGGAGGGGTTACAGAGGCCAGATGGATAGGGGGCTGTGGGCTCTGTTAGGACAGGACTCCTGGAGTCCAAGGGGAGGCCAGGCCCAGGCACTTCTGCCCTAAGCCCTGACTTGCATGCATCGTCCTCCTGCCTCCTGGACAGCTCACAACACCTAACCCAGGCAGTCATGGGTTACGCTCAAGAAGCTTGGCATAAGCCTCCCAGAGCTGACAACGATCGAAGACAGATGTATGCCATCGTCAAAGAATACTAATGGGGATCATGAAAAGGAGTAGCACGCTTGCGTGTGCAGAGAGACAGGAGCTGGGAGGGGAGCAGTGGAGGCTGTTTCAAGAGCGCAGGCAGGCAGCAGATGCATGCCGCATGACCCTGTAGGCAGGGCAGCCCTATTGGAAGATGTTTCCACAAGAACAGGGGCTGTGCTCACTGCAGGAGGCCGGAGCCCAGTGCTCCCATTTGCTCCACACGTTAGGCTCCTGCTGAGAATGTTATTCTGGCCAGGAAGGGATCCTAGAGAGCACCCATCCACCTCCCAATCTTGCCTACAGAGAAACTGAGGCCTGGAGAAGGTAAATACCTAGGCCACAGACATGCAGCCTCATGGCAGGGCCAGGGCAAGAACTCCTGGCTGCCAAGCAGCCTTCTGCACCTCCCCACCAATTTGCCGCTCTGCTCGCTATACTTTCCTGTCCTCTCTGCCTGCCTAGGCCCTCTGCTTTCCAAGACCCTCCATCTACTCCCCCTTTTTCTCGCCGCTGTCCTCCTTGCTTTCCATGCACAGCTCCCAGAGATTCCCAAATTGTTGGAAGAGCAAAGCAGGCATTGTGCTAAAAACATAAAAAGCTGAACTGAGCCAAGGAAAATGAGATGCTTTCCTCCCTGGTTGTTATTGTTGCTGGTGTGGACAGAGACCCCACATGGGGGCCCTGCCCCTAGGCCTCCTCACCCCAAAGAGAACTGACTATGTGTTAGCACACAGCTCACCCTGCACTCTGTGGGTGTTTGGAGGAGTTACAGGTGCCCAACATCTTTCCTTCCCATTATGGGTTGAATTGTGTCTACCACCAAGATATGCTGGAGTCCTAACCCCTTAGTACTTGAGCACATGACCTTATTTGGAAATAAGGACTTTACAGAGGTAACCAAGTTAAAATGAGATCATTAGGGTAGAACTTAATCCAATTGGGTTGACATCCTTATAAAAAGGGACATCTGAACACAGACATGCACAGAGGAAAGACAGTGTGAGACAAAGGAGAAAGCCATATGAAGACACAGGATTTGACAGATGCATCTATAAGCCAAGAAATGCCAGAGGCTACCAGAGGCTAGGAGAAGGCGTGGGGCAGCTGCTTCCCTGGGCCTTCAGATGAAACACGGCCCTGACCGCAACCTTGATCTTGGACTTCTGGCCTCCAGAACTGTGAGGCAATACATTTCTGTTGTGCTAAGCCACCCAATTTGTGGTGCTTTGTTACGGCAGCCCCAGGAGACTCATACACTTCCCAACTCTCAGGGGTAGTCTTAGGCTACCTGCCATGCCCAAGGGCCTCACTCTGTTGTCTACAGGAGACAATGGAAGGTTGTGTTTTTGTTAACCTGCCACAGAGCACAAGCCAAATCATGTATACCTTGGATCAAAAGAGCTCCTGGAATGTGTCTGGGAAACTCAAACTCTACCCTACACAGTTCTCCAACATCTTCCTCCCTCCTCCCCTTCACTAAGCCCTTCAGAAAGTCTTGGTTGCTGGGCCATTCCTGGTCTGCTGGGCCAGGGAGACCTTCACGACAGATGGCCCCTGTCTGTGGTCAGCTGGCAAAAAGATCCCGAACAAGTGGGAAGCATGAAGGAGCATGAGACTAGGCAAATGCGAGAAGAAAATCCTCTCACTACCCAAAACATCTGTTGGAAGAATAAATACAGCTAAACATGGATCAAAGAGATTTCTAAGCAAGAGAGAACAGTTTTACAATGCAGCGCACAGATAAAGCCAACTGGAAAAGCTGCCGACCAGGTTCCAGTTCTTCCCAACTGGAACAAATAAACTGATAAGGAGAAAGAGTCCAACAGGGATGGGAAAGAGAAGTGTGCATATGTGGGCAGATCTGGAAGCCAGAGGAAAGCCTACACTCTGTGAAACAGCAATATTCTTAGGGAAGGGGAGGCAGGAGGGGTAGGAAACACTGAAGGTGAAGAGAGAGCTGGTATCAGGGACTGGAAAAAAGACTTTGCAGTAAGTCACACATACATCACAGTGCTAAATATGCTTGCAACTGGCTTTGAGAGTCAAAACAATAGGAAAATAGGTATCAAAAATGTTCATCATTGTTATTAATTTATTCTTTTCAAAACTAATTTAATACACCATGTATTAAATGCTTCATATATGCCAGGCATTGTTCTAAGCATTCTACATGTGTTCAGTCATACAATCCTTATATAATGCCATAAGGCAGTTACATTATTATCCCCATTTTACAGATGAGAAACTTGAGGATGATGGATGTGTAAACGATCTTACTCAGTCACCTGGCCAGCAAGTGATGGAGCTGGGATTCACAGCCAAGTCAGCCCGGCTTCTGCCTTACGGTTCTTTCCCACTGCACTACATGAGATGTGCACTTAGCTGTAAGGTCGGGGTGGGGAGTAGGAAGAGAATATAGGAGAAGACCAATCCGAAAATTAGACCAAGAAAGCACATATGCTTAGAGGATCAGCTAATGAAGCAAAGGGGAGGCGACAGTCTTTCTCATAATCCTGAGTGCTCTTCCCAAGGCTGCCCTAGGTGGGGGGATGCGTGAGTACACACAGGCCAGCCAGTGTGCCTTTCCGCTATCCTGTGGTAACCATCAGCCCCGGCTCCCCACTCAGAGCTGTCAGGGCTTTCAAGAATAACCATCTTTCTTTAAAATGTTAACATCTTCAAGCTTGGAAAGGTAACGTCTGGAAATCTATTCTGAGAGAATAGCCAGATATGTGTATTCAAATGTATGTAAAAGGATGGCAACTGTAGTATAAAAAGTGTGACCAAAAGGAAAATGTGCCCCAGAAGCAAAATGGTTAAAGAGTGGTATGTGATGGAATATTATGCAGTGAAAAGTCATCTTATGCAAGAATAATTAAAGACATGGAGAGGGCCAGGCGCGGTGGCTCACGCCTGTAATTCCAGCACTTTGGGAAGCCGAGGCGGGTGGATCACGAGGTCAAGAGATCGAGACCTTCCTGGGCTGACATGGTGAAACCCCGTCTCTACTAAAAATACAAAAATTAGCTGGGCGTGGTGGCGGGCGCCTGTAGTCCCAGCTACTCGGGAGGCTGAGGCAGGAGAATCACTTGAACCCGGGAGGCGGAGGTTGCAGTGAGCTGAGATTGCGCCACTGCCTTCCAGCCCGGCAAGAGAGTGAGACTCCGTCAACAAAAAAAAAAAAAAAAAGAAAAGAAAAAGACATGGGGAGATACGTACAATGCAATAATGACTGGAAAATGCCAGGTAAAAACTGGTTATATTGTATGGTGAGCCCCTTATTTATAAAAGGGAGCTGGGCATGGTCGCTCACGCCTGTAATCCCAGCACTTTGGGAGGCCAAGGTGATAGGATTGCTTCGGGCCAGGAGTTTGAGACCATCCTGAGTAACATAGTGAGAGCCCGTCTTCACAAAAATTGAAAAATTAGCCAGGAATGGTGATGCATGCCTGCAGTCCTAACTACACAGGAGGCTGAGGTAAGAGGATCGCTTGAGCCCAGGAATTGGAGGTTGCAGTGAACCATGAGTGCCACGCCACCACACGCGAGTCTACAAGACAAAGTAAGACCTTGTCTCTAAAAATTACATTAAAGTAAAAAAACAAAAATAAAGGAAATACACATATACAGACACAGAAACAAAGACACACAAACACATGCACACACAGAGAAAGAATGTCAAAGGGTATTGAAGGTATTTCTGGTCATTGTTTTACTCTTTATTCTTTCCCCATTTTCTTAACTCTCTATGTTGAACATACATTAGAACAGATATTTACTTCATAATCAGAAAGAATGCTGTACGTCATCACTACTTCTGGAAGGATCCCCAAAGGCTTAGCTGTTATCTTTCCACTTCCCACTGGCTGGGTGCAAGAGTGTGGTACTTCTGGCAGCCTCAGTCAGTTCTGCAGTACTTCTTTGGTTTTAAGCTTAGTCTAGGCAAAGCCAAAAATCTTGAATTAAGGAAGCAAATGCTTTGTGTTTCAGATTAGATTAAAAGAACTAAATATATTAACTATACCTGCTGATTTAAAGGCCGTGGTTAGGAGGCACAGTAGGATGAGGCTACCATGCAGAGGGGTACAATCCCATAAGGTAGTTCATTATATTATCCCCATTTTACAGATGAGAAACTTGAGGTAGCTTACTGTGGCCATGCTTCAAATTACAGCAAGAAGGTGTAAGGCACTGGAGAGGGATTGAAGGGAAGGAAAATGATTTAAAAATAAACAAGAAGGTAGTGTGGGATAGTGGTTAGGGCTGTCTGGACTCTGGAATCAGAAAAGAGTCGTCCTAAGCTTGGTGCCACCACTTCCTAGACATTTAATCTTGGATGAGTTACTCAGTCATTTGAAAAACCTTTACTAAGTAACTACCAGGTGCCATGCAGTAGTCCAGGTGCTGGAGATACAGCAATGAAGCAAGGCCACAGAAAGCCCTGTCCTCATAGAATTAACATTATAATAGAAAAATCAGATCATACATTAGAAAAACAAGTACAGCATAGTTTCTCAGATGATCTTAGGTGCAATGTAGAAAATGTGTGGAAGTTTCCGTTGCTTTGTCTGCAAAAATGAGATAATAAAATTGCTATTTCATTGAGTACTGTGAGGATTCCTGAGATCACGTACAGAGGGCTGAGCACTGTTCCCAGTCCAATAACTATTAATCATGACCATTATTTTGAGATGAAGAAGGCCAAATCTATTCTTGTTGTCTGAGTGACAATGCAGGGAAATTTTAAGAAATGGCTGCAACCATTCAGAAGTTGCAGAGGCAATGTGATAGGGAAAAATTAAACCAATAGCACTGTAGCAGGGTCTTGAGTTTCCTAATGGCTAAAACAAGGAGCAAAATTCTCTTCACTTTGGGGCTTATCCAACCCTACAAGAAGTCAGAGAAATCCCCAAACATTTCTATCAGTTAATAAAGGTAATATCTGCTCCTCTGGTATCTCCACTCCAGGATGGAATTTAACAAGGTACTAAGTCTGGGTTTCACCTGTTTCCATGCTGCTCCACCATGATTTCCTCTGCCATGTTTCTCTAAGGTGGTCTAGACACCAAACCGTGTTCTTGGAGAGGCCCAGAGGAACAGCTGTCTGTTGCTCTTCTAAATCCACATATTTTGGACCATCTGGGAGTCAAGAGATTAGTTAAGGTACTGGAGTGGATCCAGGCTACAGACCCCAATGCAGAGTCCCACCGAGGCTTTGGGGACAAACCCCAGAATGCAAGCTACCTCTGATCCTTGCCCCAACCACTAGGGCAGTGGCCAGTGATTCTCCAGGGGAAGGCAGAAAAAACAATGATACCCTGGTTAAGCAGAAGAAAAAACTTCCCAGAAGTCATGGTTTATAAGCCTTGGATTCCTGCCTCCTGGAGGAGAAGAAATCATCAGAGGCTAAGAAAGGGCACAAAGAGGGATATGTGTATATTCGTATGTACATGAGCCAGCAAATGCATGTGCGAGAATGTTCTAAGTGACTAAATGCAGGACTGAAATCAGATGGATTATCCTGGGGTTTCACAAACCAGTAGCTTACTGTTGGAGGACCTCAGAGGGGCTAAGTGATTTGTCTGCACTTGACACCAAAGAGGATGGCTTGTTAGCGCTTTTCTTACTCCCGCAAGGCAAGGTTTGGCAGAGCTCTGTAAAGTCGGGAGTCAGGAATGTTAGGGGTTTTCTCTGAAGCCCTGTCCATACTCCGGGTAAGTCGTTTCTTTGCTAGGGCTGGGATGGCAGCAAAATAGCAAAACCCATACCAAATACTAAATTCAGAGAAATCATTTGGGAAGGCTGGATCTCAAGCACTACAACCTGCAAAACGTAGAACCCCAAGAGATGAAGCACAGTGTTAAAGAAAGAACAGGGGAAGTTTCCAAAAAGTTCAAAGAACAAACTGAAAGCAGAGAAAAAGGAGAAGAGCCGTGAGAGTGAGCAATAGGCTCTTTCTCCCAAAACCTCGATGTCCTGGGAGGGGCTGAGGGAAGCTGCCTCGAGACAGAGCTCCTATTAACGCTCTGTGTACACTCCCTCCCTTTCAGGCGTACTGGTCAAGCTCTCGACACTCCACACTTGTTTCCACCCCTGTGCTGTCTGTGCTATCCCTATCCCTTCAAATTGCTTACCTGATCCAGGGCTCTCCTCAATCATCCATCAGAAGTCTTAGGAACTCCAGGTACCCTCTGTGTGTTACATTCCATGGCCCTAGTCATTTCCATCTTGAGTGATATTCAATAGGGGTTGTCTTATTTCCCTACATGTACTATAAGTTCTTGGAGGTGAGGAACCGTGCATTTTTGTATTCCTGTCCAGCACAGAACACAATACCTTACCATATCAAGAACTCAGAAGTGCGTTGCCGAATGAGTGGCTTTTTTAGAAACAGAGTTTATGCCCATTAAGTCACTGGGCAGAGTTCATTTTTCACATTAGATAAATGAAGCATGCTGAACATCCTATTTTTCTTTCTCTTGTGCTTCTAGTAATAGCACACATAGTTCTCTCAGAAACTGTAAAGTAAGTCAGCTCTTTCTGGCAGGCTTAGGAATCCAAGAACAATGCGATAGCTTCCTTCTGGGGCTTTGATTGCTCCTTCTTCCATCATATCTTTCTTTCTCTCACTTTCCACCACTCATCCATTAGCAAGTCCTTCCAGCCCTACTCCCAAAACAATGTAACAAAAAGTACATTTAAAATAAAATTATAACTGTCTGGGTTTGACAATAAGAAGGGGGACTTTCATTGGCTAGAAGCTGTGAGAAATTCCTGAAAGAAGGTAAATATTCAGGACACGAGAGCCCAGATAAAAAGCTAAAGCCAAGCACGGAAGCCACATCCGAGGCATGTCGGAGAATCTGTCACAGAAGACAAACTGGCAATAAGAATTAGCAACCACCCAACTCAGGAAAGCCAGCACCATGAAAAGGAACAGCAAATTCCACCAATAGAAAAGCCCAAGCCTAAAGAAGAGGTGAAAACAGCAATCAGAAAGGAGCATGAGTATTTAATAATCTCAAAGACATAAAGCACCATGTCTACAAAATGGGACTATGGATGTTTCAAGGGTATTTTCATAAATGAAGTAAACAAAAAAGGCAGGGGACATTGTGGTAGCGGAATCTATTAGATTTGCAACCAGATCCATTCTCATGTAAGAGGAGGAGCTCTGTTTCACAGATACAGGTGCAAGTGTGTGCAGAGAGTTCATCAAGAGCAGCTGGGGACGAAGTAGGGGACTGGGTTGGCAGAAGTGTGGGCAACCCATACTGAAATAAACCCAGGTTTCCTGGACACCATTTTTACTGTGCAGTGCATGCCCATGTCCCTCACTAAGCTACCCTGAGTCTCTTATCCCAAGATGACATTATCAGAAATAAGTAGACTGATACATTGTTATTCTTTCAAGCCAGCGCTGTAACATTTCTTCCCATGTCTTATGGTGCTTCCTCAAGGTTCCCAGAGACAATGTTTGGGGAACACCTAGGTATGGCAGTGTCTTGTCAGGGAACATTATCCCAGCCTGACTTGGAGAAGAGCCGTCTTCCCAACAGAGCAATGTGCTATTCGCTTAGGAATGTACCAGTTGAAACCATAATATATATTTGTAATTTACAGATTTACAGCTTGCCAAGCACGATCCTATGCATCATCTCACCTGAAACCCCACATTGTGTTAAGTAGGTAGGGTTTATTATCCCACTTTGCAAAGAGGAAACTAAGGCTTTGAGAGGTTGTGCGTACAGTGATTGACAGAAATAGAACTAGAACTTGGTTCCTCTTGCTTAAAGGTTAGTTCTCTATTTCGCTGTAATGATGCCTAGCTCTAAGGCAGAAATAGCCTGAAGAACATTTTTCCTTAAATGTGCATAATCCCACAGGGGAATTATTGAAGGATCACTCTTAACTCCTCCTTCAGTCATTGTACCTAACAGTCCTTAATACGATAGTAAACTTTTTACTCAATTCACGCTTTCTTGCAAACATGTTCTAGATTAGACTTTGAAAAACAATAAATTGCCCAGTGTCCATACATAAATGCTTCTGTTCATCACTCTTCTCCCTCCTGGAAATATTACTGTCCTTTAATCAAAAACCAAAAGCTATAGCTGAAGGTGATGCTGTATATTTGGGGTGGGATGGGGTGATGGTGGCAGGTACACACAGCCAAGAGAGACTTACTTACATGACAGACACAGAGATAGGCCTGTGTTTTCCTGCTTCCACTGCTCTCGGCAGGGCTTGTCTCTGTGATGTACAGTTCAGGTAGCAGTACTTGGTGCAGAAGAAGCCTGTCTCCACCCCGCTGCCCACCTCTGCAGATCATAGTTGTCTCACTACCTGGCCTGCTCTCTTCGGCTACCATCCGGTTCTCGCATCAGGTCGGCGTGGCTCATTCCAAGCATTATGTTGCTAAACTACACGTAGGTCACTCAGCAGTCTGGAGAATCCCAAGTCCAAAGCTCTTACCGAAGCATGCACTTAGCAATGGGTGCTAGACATCCGGCTCCAGCATGCCTGACAGCATACATAGTAATATCTTTTGCAAAAGTTGTAAATGAGAAACCCAGGGATTGCAATGATTCCATATGGTCCACTCTACAATTTGGGAATATATGGTTGGAAACTTAACTTTTTCAGGTCTTGATTTTTTTAGCCTCCTTCTCTGAACCTCTACTCCCTGGCTGTCCTGCAAGCCATGGCTTCCTAACAGGGAAATGGCAAGGAAGAGAACTACTATTTTCTCAATATAAAGGCCTGTTGGTTAAAGCATGTCCTCAGGTTGGGCCTCCTGGAAGGACCAGCCCAAGATTGCTGAATCCCACAGAACAGAGGGGATAGGCGCTTTCCTTCCCATTGAGCCATCAGTGCCAGAAATCAGCAGCCCTGATCATAGCTAACCCTAGAGGAGGGTATCTGGCTGATATGCAAATTACTGGGGAGAACCAGTGTAGGAAGTCTGATCATTCCAAGATCACAAACCACTTTGCATTATGAATGCATTATGCAAACTGTGCCCTCAAGTCTGGTATAATATCTGCCTCTGTGAGTTGTTGTGCCCTCAAGCCTGGTATAATATCTGCCTCTGTGAGTTGTTGGGGGAACTAAGGAGATGACACATATAAATAGGTGCCTGTAAGCCTGGTATATCTGCCTGGTATAATATCTGGTTCTGGGAGCTGTCAGGGGAACTACGATGACACATATAAATAGGTGTCTGCACCCTGTTACTGCCCTATGGATGCTGGTCTTTCTCCCTGCTGTTCCCCATCATTCATCCTCAATACACCCTTCAGCAGATGAGAGACGGTGAGTGCTTCAGAATCTGCTAAGAACCTGTCTTATCCTCCTAGCGTCCAATTTCTCAGGCAAATGCTGGATTTTTAGGGGATAGGAGGCCTTAGCCCATATTAGTTGAACATCCTTAGAAGAACTTCCTTAACTAAGTGAGGAGTTCTCAGCAAACTGAGGTGAGGATGGGACAGATATCATGGCAAAGCCGCCAAAAGGCAGGGAGGAGAGCAGAGTAGATTAGCAGTGTCAGCTAGTGGTTCTCAACGTGGCTGCACATTGCATTCACCTCGTGAGCTTCTGTCCCAACCCTAGACATTCAAATTTAATTGGCCTGAATGACATCCTGAGCAATCACTGTTAGCAAAAGTTAAAAGATCTCAAAATGCAAAGTGAGATTGGAATAGTCAGGACATGGGAGAGCAAAGACACTAGAGGTCCTCTTTGGCTCCCTTTGGCTTTGCCAAGGAGTATTCACACTCCCCAAGCAACTGGATGGCATGCCGGCTGTCCATCTGGGTCTCTGCCGCACACACTTTCCTTATACATGCTAAGCAATGTGGCCTTGAAAGAAATTATCCAGATATCCACTACTGACAAAAAAAATGTTCAGTAGCACTTGGTAATTTTCAGGAGACTTTAAAACTTTAAACACACACACACACACACACACACACACACACACACATACACACACACATCATTTAATCCAAGGAATCATCTATGGGTGGATCTGACGTCCAGAAATCTGGGACCCCTTCATATGCCCAAGAAACTTTATCATCTGTCCCTATTCCACGATGAGCCTATGAAAAGGTCTTCCATGCAAGCAGCCCTCTCTGGAGCAAGTCAATGCCACAGTTTCAGATTTTCTGGGATGTAATTTCAAAAGCCATCTTCTTTTTTGATCCTGAATGAAATCAAATTAGGATGGAAATGCATAGAAGAGGGAAAAAGTTTCAGAAGTCCTCCCCACTATCAACCACCCTAAAATATCAGATATTTTAATCCATGTGTCCAGAGACATTCTAATCAATGCATTACTCCCTGGCCTCCCAGGCTGAGATAATCGCCCCTGGAGCCAGTACTGGTCAAAGTAACCAGAGATCAAATCAGGCTTGCTGCGTTCCCTCTGCATCTCATGCATTCGTTTGCTCATTCATTAATTCTTCCATCAATCCAACCATCAGCCATTCCTTTCTTCATTGAACAACTCTTTATTCAGAGCCACACTGCAGCCGGAGGGATCTTTTTAAAAACAAAAGCTTAATTGTGCCCTCAGAGTTTTCCATAGTTCCCATGCCCCTGGGAAAAAAAAAGTAAGCTCCCAGTTGGCTCCCGCCCACCTCTCCACCATACTGGATATGGGATATATGGGATGTTCTCTGTTCATCCCCTCCCTGGGCTTCTTTCAGTTCTTTAAGTCCCTGCTTTCTCTCACCTTGGGGTCTCCTCCCACGGAACTTCTCTACCTGTAACTCTCCTCTACCCCATCTCCTCCTACTTTCACCAGTGATTACAAAACACATCTCAGGTCACCAGGAAGTTTCCTAGTTACTTCCCAGGGTTGTTTGGCTCCATATCTGTTGCTGGGGACTCCTGCTCTCTCTCCACATTTGTTGGTTTGGGGAGAATCTCCCTTTTATCTCTGCCCCAGCCCCTGCTCACGCTCTCTTTCTGTGGACAACAGTCACAGACATCAGCATACCACAGGAAAACACATAATCGACAATTGGAACATTTCTCCTATTCCTCAACATATTTTTTTGTCTTTGTCCAAAAGCTGACCGTCTCTAATGGTTCTATCCTTGACTGTGCCTCTGTCGAGCAGTCCCCAAAAGAATTAAGGAGACTTGCTGTAGACAGACAGTAACTTTATACAGCTGCCCCAAAAGAAGATGTAAACATGGAAGAGGGAACGGGAAGATGTATTCTTGATTCAGACAAGAGCCAAAAAGTAAAAGGGAAATGTCAGAGGATTACAGTGACGAGCTGAGGTCTCTCAACCTGTAACCCAATCCAAATTCAACTTGATTTCCTAGACATGCTAATAGACCACAGTCTAAAATATCTTTCTCTCTTGTACTCTCTCTCGCCTCTCCTCTCTCCCTTTCTTTTTTTTTCTCTCTCTCTCATGCACACACACACATCAAAAGGCAAGAATATGCAATAAACACCCTGGAGGTTTCCTTGGTGGTGGTTTAAATGCTAAGAAAGACAGAGAAAAAGAGACAAGGAGTAAAAGAGCTATAGAAAACAATCTTTTCCTCATTTTAATCCACAGCTACCAAAAGTCTCAAATACTCAAAGAAAACCTCCATAAAAACAATCATGGAATGAATTCTAATGTGAAGGAATCTTAGATTTGAGCTATGAACAATGCTAGAATACTAATACAATTTCTTTTGGGGTAGCTATCTTGGACGCAAAGCACCATGCACATATATTTTTGGAAGGAAAGTCCAGGAAAGCTCTGGAGAGGAGTGGCATGCAGAGGTTGCATGGAACATTTCCCCCCTTTGTATTTTAACAGCACCCAAAACTCCCCTGGGGAAATTCTCTCTCTCCTGCTGCATGTGGGGTCATCAGCACAGGGCCCTGCATCCAGGTATCCTTCCTGCATGGGATCCAATTGACTCTATTGCTCTTGACAAGCTGGAAACCAGGAAACCACCTCCCACTGCATCCAAGAGTGGTACATGATGCAGGGTCGGGGATGGGGGGGCCCTTACATGACAAGAAGACCAACAGCCTTGCTTTGAGGATGCGGAACCCAAGGCCCTGGGTCACAGGGCAGGACTGCCAGAAGCTGGACTAGACCTCAGGCCCTCCAGGTTCCTGAGTTTCCAGTTCATAGCCTGTCCCACAACATCGCGCAGCTCTTAGAAGCCTCTTCCTAAACACTGGGATTGCTAAAAGGAGACCCATATTGGTCTTTCCCAAATCCCCCAGCCTATAAGGGCTCCTCCTTCCTCCAAACTCCCAAAACCTCTGTAGTCCCTACCACCCAGATGCCTCTTACCAAATATCTACTGCCACATCCTGTAGTCTGCTTCTCTGCAAATCTACACTGTATTCGCAAGTAGACTGCAAGGCTGTTGAAGGTAAGGCCTTGCTTTGTATCTCTTGGTATCCCACACGGCACCTCGCACAGCGGCTAGCAAGACTCAGTGGCAGCAGAGTGGCCCCTTACAATAATACTTTGTAAACAGATACGGAAACCATCTGACAGATGTGCTATGTTTTTTGAAGGCTCCCTTCTAAATTCTAAAAAAATTACTAAATAGGACTCCACGTCTGTTTCTCCTGGTGTCCGGATCTATTAAAAACAGGATGAGAAAAAATAAATGCCTCCTTGAGCAGGAGGGACTCAGGACAGAAGTGGACAGTAGATGGCAGTCTGTTCCTGTGTCAGAAGTGGTCACAGAGACAATACATGCTGTATAATTAGAAAGGAAGTAGAAGCACAGCTTAGGGGCCTGAGGTGGACTCACCCCCACCATGCCACGAGCAGGGATACTTCTGAGAAGTACCCTGGTGAGCATGCACACCTACACCTCCCCAAGCCCCAACACCTGTACAACATGCGTGTTCCCCCGACTCTCCCCACAAGGACCAAGGGCTCCCATCACAATGGTCTCTGAGCATCCATCACCCTAGCCCTGGGAATTCAGGGACAAGAAAACCACTGTCATGTGGAAGCGGAGACCATTCCTGGACCCTCCAGCTTGCTCCTGAACCAAGAGGATTCTCAATCATGGTTTGTACTAAAAAACAACACCTGAAGTGGGAACCCTGTATTCCATCTTCCTTGCTTCCCTTGTTCTCCCTGGAGCACTATGATTGTAACCTGACTGCCTCCTTCACCAGTTTCCAGACCCCAAGGCCAGCAGCACTACATTCATCTCTGCATCTTCCCCAACATTTAGCACGTGACCACCAACAGACTGCTTAATGAATAATCTGTACACGTGTGTTTTGAGTTGCTTTCCGAGTGTCTAACGAGGAGTTATCCTAATGCGTATGCAATGACACCCGATTCCCTGTGACCAAGAGCCCCAATTTGCAGGAGAACTAAGCAGGCTAAGATGTGGGGAAGAAAGGTCTCTAAAAGGGAGTAAGAACAGCCTTTTCTGGCCACCAAGCGCTGAGCATTCATGACCTTAGCCTTGGGACAGGCCAAAAGGGGGATAAAGGTAACACTGTTTTGAAGCCCTGGCAAGGTGCACTGCCTCTCTGAGCCAAGTTCCTGGCACTGTCAAATCGCTGCTGCACATTCTGAGCTCACAATGGCTGGTCACGCATTCATTCACTCAACACATTCCTGTGGCTGTCGCTATTCAAGGTGGGGGACACAAAAATGAAAACAACAGATCCCTTTCTCTGTGAAGTCACATTCTAGGAATGCAAATTAAACACAGGCTGCTAAGTGGCATCAGGAGGCTGGGAAGGGAGCCTTAGGCTCTCTGGGGAAATGCAGGGAGGCTTCCCAGGTTAAGCAAATATCCCAGGTTAAGCAATGATTTTAATATCATTGATGATGATGGAGGGGTAAGCATTTGAAGCACAATATTTGTACAGAATATATCCTCCAATGCTATCTCCGATTCAAGAATAAACGTATCACTTGTACAGAACATTTCCCTCTATATTTAGGCCATTTGAGGTATCCCCTTCTCCATCCACGCATTTGTCCAGATTTTTCTACTAGCTCCCAATTCTCACAATTTAATTAATGATAAGTCAAGAAAGACCTTAGAGATAATCAAAGTCAGTAGCTCTTAATAGATGAGGAAGTGAGACCTAGTGTGGTTCGAGGACTTCCCAAAATTGTAATTAGCCTCTGTTGGAGTTAGAGGCGGGGTCTGATCTCTCTGCAGAGTTTGGGATCTCTCTGATTTAGCTTATTGAATTCAGCTACCCACAGACAACTTTAATCCCACATAAACCTCTCGCATACTCCCAACTTCCAATCCAAGATCCGCCACGAATCTGGCAAGCTTGTTTCTTCAGTGCTTCATAAACATGCACTCATCCGTATGTTCAATGACTTATCTGGCATCACATAACTTAATTTCCTCCTCCACCCCCTCCAAATCACTCTATGTAAGTCCTCTAGGCCAGCAGGGTTACCTGAAAATCCCAGGCATGGGCCACAGTGTGGGGCCGAGGGAGCAGCGGAGTCATGGAAGATGTGATCTGTCACACTGGTAGGGTCCTTGTGACCCTCTAGTGAGTCCAACTCCTCCCTTTTCCAGGAAAAGAGGCCCACGGAGGGAAAGTGATTTGCTTAAAGTCACACAGCTAGTCTGGGCTCTCTGCAGGGAGACTGTGGCAAGCTATTTAAGGTAGCCAGGTGGGTGTTAGGAGGACTGGGCTTCTTCCCCACCATGGGACACACCTGTTGGGAAAGCAGGTGATTTCTAGAGCTGTGTCTTCCTCTTGAACCCAGTGGAAGTACCTTATGAACCATTAGAAGCAGGTCCTCTAGATGTGGGATGAAACTAATCTCAGATTGAGAACTTGAAACAAACTCCCTGAGGGATCACTTAGAGCCAGAGAAGGATATTTTTAAATGCTGGGGTCTTAGATCTAGAAACAGAGGGAAGGGGGAAGTAAATTGCAAGAACCTGGCTATCAGTTTTTAAAAGGCTATATACTCCATATGAAGAAAAAAATTATCACCCTACACATGAAAGGTTATTTTAAGCAAAGTAAATACATAATTTTTGAGTACCTATGGTCTAATAGGCATTAGGTTAGTGTTCAACATTTATTTGTACATGCAAATATGTTTAAGCAACAGAACAAAGTCACCTGTCCTTAACTGTCTTGATGATGTATATGTGGTAGTGATGGTGAGGAAATCAGTGGAGGAAGAAGGAATGAGCCTTTAGTCACAATCTTCAAACAGGGCAACATCCACCCCAAGAACCTGTTTGGCTTCTCTATTTCTGGTACTGCCCAGAGAATGGTGTGCAGTGGCAAATCCTCAGCTGGAGGGCTCTACAGCTGCTCTGCTCTGCATCAAACACAGCCTGGGGACCTCAGTCTTTAGCAGTGACCCCTGCCCCCCAACCTCCCAGCAAGAAACCTACCTTAACTTTGGCCCCAGTCTAAATGGTGTGAGTTCCCTAGCCTATCAAAGAAAGCCATCTTCCAAATTCTAAAGATACCTCATGCTCTCCATTCATATTCTTTTTCACTTTGATTCTGTGCAATTCCAGGACTCAAGAATGCTGGGACCTACCACCTCTCGTGGGCGTGTGGATCAAAACCAGATGTCCAGCTCCAATTTTATAGAGTTTACAAGGAGGCAATTGTGGCTTAAATCAATATCCGTATTCTGTAAGGGCAGGTTCCCTTGTCAACAGAACAAGAAGTAAAGGGAGAGGGCCAATGGAGGCTGAGACAGATCTGACACATGCTTGCCAGCAGGTGGCTAGAAAACCTAAACATTTGTCTTGCACATGACAAGGAGGCTTCCGGGGGCAGGGAGCAGGTTACCCTATGGGGTGACCAACTTTGCAGAAGAAGATGGACCCAGCTCCCATCTGGATGACATCACAGACATAAAAAACAGAATCTGACTAGCAGGTGATGGGCTTGGGATGCCACAGACTTCAGGCTGGAAAGCCAAGAACATCAGCATACCCCTTAACCTCACATAACCTCAGTACCCCCATCTGTAAATGAGATTATTTTGAGTACTGAGATAATGCCATGTAATAGCTGTAAAAATGCCTGGCACCCAGTAAGTACTCTAATATTAACTGTCATCATCATCATCATCCATCATCTTAAAGATGGATGCTTACCTTAGTCAGAGACATTGCCACTGAAAGACATTCACGTGGAAGCTGAATGATTAGCATCAGACCTACCAGAAAGCCAAATCCCACCCCTTTCAGCTCTGCACACCCTGTGTAGGCTAAGCCAATGTTTAGAGCATTCTTGGCCAAAAGGAAACACTCTGGCAAATTTTTTGCACGCTTTTCTGCCTTTGACTCAGCCATTCCCCAAAGATAAAAACAGGAGCTCGTTAAGGGCGTGCCAGGGTGCACTCCAAGTGAGGTAATTAGCACTGATTAGGTAGGAGGATGTGGCTACTGTGGAATCCTACAGTGACAGGGCTGGAATGGGACTGGGAGATCTTCTAATTCAAGCCCTTCATTTACAGATGGCAAAGTCATGTCCTACAGAGAATGTCCAGGGTCACACAGTAGCAGCTAATTAGTGACAGAGCCCAGTCACTGAACCTGGTCCTTCACTTCTAAGTCAGGCAGCTACCTGCTGCCTCAGGCTACTGAAGGTCACCCTGGCCTGGGCTCTTGTTAGCTACTGTTTCCTCCAAAATCTCTGGCCTTGAATGTTGGAGAACCTTAAATCTTCCAACAAATCTCTGACTGAACAAACCCACAAAAAAAAATGGGGCTCAACAAATGTCTTCTCTGGAGATGTTACTAAAAAGTGAGCAATCACAACAGACCACACGAAATTTCACGTCAAAATCTGTTCTGTTTCAATGACATCACGGTCAGTCATAGGTTTGTCCTGTGAGGACAACCAAAGCTGCGGCAAGCTCTCCGTAGTTCCCAATTAATCCTATTTGAGAAGGACCATGGCACAGATGGGGACATGAACAGCAAATGCATTCTGACCATGTGGGGGTGTGTGCAACCTCTAGCCTCTCAGTATTTTTAGGTAAAACAAAAGACTGAGTTATGGAAAACTATTAACAACAACAAAAAATACTTTAACGCTCTGGGGCCATCTACATGTGTTCTCACAGGTTCTAAAATGAGTCCTCTGAAAGACTTTTTTTTTTTTTGTCCAGCCTCAATCTTGTTAGAAATCCATCCAGGCAAGAATGAGGTAATATCTACACTGGCCTCATACTTCAAGGTTCAACATGCCCATATAAAAATGATCTGAAGGAAGGTGTCCCCAACTTTTTTCTCAGGCTGTCCCACCTGTAAGAAGCAATCCAATGACAATCCAATCTGAGCCAAGCATCCAGATACCTGCCACCCATAACATAAGCTCTACAAATGCCCCATCTACCCAGGGCATCTCCTACGCTCACGTGTCCCCCAGCACGCACGCACGCACATCCTGTGCTCTCCTCTTACTCCACACATGCCTGTCCATGCACAAAGTACATCCACAGACCTTATCAGCAGCACCACACGGGGCTTAGGCTTGTCTCCAGTAGAAGATTTGGTCCTTTTCCAACAAACTCATTTTTAAATAAAACTAAATCTAAAACCCTAGCAACGGTCATTAGTTCAACATCCCCAACGCCAGAAACTGCCTGCCTCGTTAAAGAGTAAAACAGCCGCGGGTGAGGCTTGAGGCAGGGTGGTGGGCTCTAAAGATCTTCTGTGTCAGCCTGCATCCCCTCTCTCACTTCCAGGCAATGCACAGACTTGCATTCCCTCCAGTTGGGGTGGGAGTGCTGTAACTGCTCAGGAAAAGGTCTGGAGAAGCTTGTAGCAGAAGCCGCCTGCTCCGTCAGGCATCCTGAATGTAGGGAAAGAGGAGAGGCCTGAACATCTGATACATCTGGGAGTGGAAGTGAAGACATGGGAAATGTTATGTAATTAAACTCTGCTGGCCTGTCCCGCCTGGGGAATGTGAGACCCATCAGCAGTGACCTCTTCCAATCAACTTAATTGGCCCAATCTCGCCAAGAAAAGCAACAGAATTAGTTTAGTGCCTCTTGGAAATAGCTTAGCTCCTGACTATTTATGGCCACTGAACTCAAGGATGGGAGCCTGACTCTGAGCCAGGAGTTGACAGCATGTACTGACTTCTGGGAGGAATCGGAGGTTTCAGTGTGTTTCCATGCCCCTCTACGACTCCATCTTCATCTCTGGGGAAAGTGGCTGTACCCAACTTGCTGCACTGGGCACAAAGAATTTCAAAGACCCAAAGCCCAGGCTTTCCTCTTACCAGGCAGGCTAGACTTTGCTCTTCTTTTATTCAAATGGTGCCTATGTCAAGGGCAATTATTATTTTTGCTGTTCTCCACGTCACATTTCTTTTGGTGCTGTGGTCTGCATAGCTGATGTTAAAAAATAAAGAAATGTCTGTCTCTGATCATTAATAACATTGATTCTTAGACTACCTTTCCTCTGAATAGCTCAAAGATCTTAAAGATTTCCATCATCTATAATCTAGGTTTGGCTGCCTCCAGCTTCTGGATGAGTAAACTGAGGCAGTTATAAAAAGTTTTATTTACACAATGAGTGAGCAGTAGAGATGCTGTGGGCATCATGATTACTGATTAAGTTGCATTGTAAAGAGAAAGGGGTCCAGATCCTATTTTCACAATGACCTACATACGTGCTAGCACCTGTATTTAATTACATTTCATCTTTGTATGGCTGTATACAACTAAACACATCAAGTTTTGATGGGGGAAAAGAGGAGTGAACTTTCCTTCTCCTTGAGTCATTATATTGCCCCTTTACAAAAAGAGAAACAGAAGAGTTATAGAGATTAAAAATGTCCCCAAAGTCACACTTTTCCCAAGTGGTAGAACTGGACTAGAACTAAGACATTCCCAATCCAGTCTTGCACTTCACCACCCTGCTCTCAGAAATATCTGCCCCGGATCTTCTGACCAATAGTCAAGCCCTATATAAACTATCTCTTACACAGATGAGTTTCCCTCTCAAAAATAAGGTAGACCCTTAAAATGGCACAGCTGTAACTTCATGAATTCAAAAATGTCATGAGTCAAATAAAGTCCTCCCAAACATATGCCCAACGGTGGTCAGAACCTAATCAAATGGGGATCCCCATCGTCTGCTCCAGACAGGCAGATGTGTGCATCACAAAAGCACAGCCTTCACTCTGTTCCTACCCAGTTGCCTCACCAGCCATCTCAGGGTATGGACCCGATCAACGACACCTTTGTCTCATTCCCCAAAGTCTACGGCCCTTCTTTTGTGTACACCTTTTTTCGCTAAAGATGCACATCTGAGTATCCAAGACAATTTTTATCCTTCCCCAGACACACAGAATTCCTGCAAAAACACATACTGGCACCCCCTTCACAAGAGCCAGAATATCCACCCCTCCTATCCACCTCGCTAGTTTTCTCCCAGTTACGTTACTCCAGGCCAAAGTGCATGTGCACGCACCTGCATGCATACCCACCCCCCCAACACACACTCAGGTTAGCTTTACACTCGTAGCCCAGAAAACATCAAAGATGAACAAACACTCCCAGTCCATCTCTTCCTTGATCATGACTTCACCATTCTCCAGCTCCACATAACAGGTCTCATTCCAGCTATGAAGGAGGCTCTGTGTACTCTTAGAAACTCAATCCTTAGAGGGATCTGGACCTGCATTCTGACCTGAAGTGCAGCACCCTCCAATTCCCAGCCCACACCCCACACAAGAAACAACAACACCGTCCAGCTCCCTTCCCAATACACAAAAGTCTACATCATCCCTCTCTTTATGCCCCACTTTTTACAAAACCAGAGATATATTTCAAGTCAGCTTCCCTTTGGCCCCCAAGATCCATAAACATCTCTAGAAACTGAATTATAGACCTTGAAGAAACCTCAACAAGCGTCGAGCTCTGTCTATTTCTGGCAAAATTGCATCAGTTTTACTGAGCCTGGAGAAGGAATTTTTCCAGGGCAGTGTGCCATGCCCCAGTACCCAGCAATGGGCTGAGCATCCAGTAGGCACTCCATTAGCTTTAATTGATTATCAATATGAACTGGTGATAGTGAATTCTCCTATTACATAAGAAACCCATTACAAAACATTATACAACATGCATCCCTGACACCAGGCACAGATAGTGCATTCCTCTACTTACTTCAGTCTTATGCACACATCTCTTCCTGTTCCCACCCAGTGCCAATGCACAAGGACTTTTCCCCTTAAATGTACATCCCTCATTCTAAGCCTCCTCCAATTCTCTTCTCTCTGGGGAGGAAGGAGGGGGGAGGCAAACACCAACACCAACCCGGTGTCCTTCCCTGCAAATGCTTTGTCTTTCCATAAAGAGGATCTGAGCTCACACTTTTCTACCCCCTACATGCCCCAGTGCCATTCCAGCCAAATTTCCCAGTGCACCCTCATGAAGTTCAAACCCCGTGCTCCTCAGATAATCTTCCCCCACCCCCCACACACATCCCTTTGGTAATCCTCAGGCGCCCAACCTTCCACATGCATCCACCTTTCCCTCACACACACAGCCGCCCTCCTACACCACACCCACTCCATGTGTTTGTGCAGGCATGCACAAGCCATCTGTCTTCAACAGGCTGCACCTCTCCTCCTGCTCTGACACCCTTCATAGGCACAGATTTCGCATTAGCTACACCTATGTTCCTGCAAGCTCTTGTCTCCCGCTAAGCACACAGATGCCCATCCGACAGACTCCCCAGAAACACACACCTCCCAGGCACCAAAGAGGGATAGGACTCCAGCTCTTTTGCCACCTTCCCCTACACACACACACACACACACACACACACACACACTTTGGAAAAACATCCCCATCCCTCCCTGACCACTCACTCAATGGTCACAATCTCACTCCATAGATAAGCATATCCCATTCACACACAACCAAACCCTCTAAGTCCAGCTACACTCCAGTCCTCACCAACACAAAATCCCACACACTCTCCCTAGGGGAAATACCCCAGACTTTCTATCTCCCTTCAACACTGTCTACCGGAGCCTGCATTATTTTCCAACCCCCTTACCTCCTAACACGATACCTAAGTCTGTGTGTTTGCGCCCAAGGCAGAGGGGGTTGGAGTTTATCCTCCACATTCTACCTTTCAGCTTTCTTTGTGTGACATGTCAAAAAGGAATTGAGGGCAGGCGGGAGGCAGGCTGAGTACGCTGGAGAACTTCTGAGTGTTGTGAAAACAGGACCTCTGGAAAAGTCTCCTCTATGTTACAACTTTCTCCCATCCTGACGTTTAGGACAGAGCGCTTCCATGTTCTCCTCGTTCGCTGTTTTGCGGGGTAGGAGCGGGCACCTCTTTATTTAAAAAGCAGGTCGCTCAGTGCACTCCATAATCAGCTGAGTTACAAACATCAGGCTCCAGGAGAAACACCCACCCCTTCCAGGCTCCCCTCCCCTCTCAGCAGGCCCTCGCCCCCGCCTCTTCACACACATAAACAAGTCCACAGGCGCACAGTCTCCCGAGCTCTCTAGCTCTGAGCCCGGCGCTCCCGGGAGCAACCTCCATTCGGACTCAGAACCTGCCGCCCGCCGCCAGAGGCCGAGGCCAGACGATCTTTTCGGTGTTTCCCCCACCGGCAATCCCACCCCAGCCTCGATTCCAGCAAAAGGGATCCTTTCTAGTCCACAGCCCCGACACCGTCGGACGCAAGGGTCTCAGTGCCGTGCATCTGAAGCGCAGACGACGAATGAACGCAGCAGCCAAACTCCCGCAAAGAAGCAGCGCCTCCTGGACGCGCACCCACTCCCGCGGAGAGCAACAAGCAGAATCCTACTCCCCCATCCCATGCCCTCGGCCCTCGCCCCTCCTGTCCCTAACCTTCAACTCCCAAGCGTCCCAAATTTCATCAGGAGCATCCACCACTGAGTAAAGCTCTGGGGCAATGGGACAGTTCGGTCCGTCGTGGGACCTTTAAACTCCGACCTGGCTGGCTGCGCGGGTGCCCAGGTCTCCCGGCCTCCCACGCCACCGCTCAAAGTCCGAGAACAGGCTGGACGATACCGCAAGGAGATCCCCTGGGATGGCCGGGCCCGGGTGCCCGCCGCTCCCCGGAGGGGTCCCAGATGTGCGGGCTGCGTACGGAGCTCCAACATCTGCGCAAAGGCCCAGGGTGGGGTGGCCACCGGGTGGGCGCTGGCCAAGAGGAGCCCGGGGCGCGAGGTCTTTTCTGAAAAAACCCTTTCGGGGAACTCCAACGCAGGTACGCGGCGCGTGGCAGTGAGTCCCAACTCCCAAAACTGGAACGCGAGGTTCCGGGTCCTGAGCTGCGCGTCCCCTCCCCCCAGCCCACGCCCGGGCCAGAGTGGTGCTGGGGCGAGCTGAGAATCAGGCTCAGCGGCCGGCAGAGTGCAGGGCGTGTGCAGGGGAGCTGCCGCGGCACCTCCCCGCCCGGAGTTCTGTCTGCCACCCCCTTTTGTTATAGGATGCGCTAGGAGCTTTCTCGGAGGAGCAGGCGGGTCGGTTGGGAGTGGTGGGTGGTTGATTCTGTTGAATCTCTTTCCTGCTCTTTCGTCGTCCCCATTTCCCCTCTTCTGCCCCCACCCTTTCCAATCCAGGTCCCTTAAACCTGATCACTTTCCCAGATTGAGGGAAGCTTCTTGGGCAGCCGAGGGACAAGAGGGGAGGAGGTGGAGAAGGGTGTCCGTGTCTGTGTGTGTGTGTGTGTGTGTGTGTGTGTGTGTGTGTGTGTGTGTGTGTGTAGCGGGGTGGCTGCGGTTGCGCTTCGGCCTGAGCAGATCCCAGCGCAAACTTTGGGGAAGACACAAGCCCGGGAAAGTGAGTGAGCGCGGCGCGATGGGGGTGGGGCGGGATGCGGATCTGGGGCCCCCCGCACCAGTCCACTGGAAAATCCCTCCCCACGTGGACCCCCATCCCCAAACCTGCCCACCCAAGGTGCCCGCCGCCTCCCCTTACCGTGGCAAAAGTAACCATGGCATCCGTGTGGCCGTTTCCAGGGACGTCGACATGAAGAGAAAGGTGGACGCGAGCTCGGTCATTCAAAGTCTCCCCCACCCCGCCGCAGCCACTACCCAGCAGGGGAAAAAGGAGAGGAAGAAAGAAAGGAGAGAGAAGAAAGTAGTTGCGCCGGGCTGCGTCGCGGGGCGGTGCGCGGAGCTGTTCGGAAGGGAGAGGAGCTTCAACTCTGAGTCCCGTGAACAGAATCTGCGCGGTTATAACCAGCCAACCCGGCCAGATGGCTCCGCGCTCAGCGCCTTAACCCCTTCCGCGCCGCGCCGCCCTCCCCCGCCGGCCCGCGCCGCGCCGCGCGCGCCCGCGCCCCAGAGCCCCCCCCCCGCCCTCACTTCGGGACCCGTGGCGGGGAAGGGGTCATTTCTCCTGGCCCCTCTTGAAAAACAAAACCAAACCAAACAACAACAGCAACAAAAACTTCCAAATCTGTAGTATTCTTCAGTAACCCCCACCCTTGAGTTCCCTTTTAGAGATCCAGGAAAAAACGAAACGTTAAATGTATCGTAACAGGTTACATGTTAGTGTCTTCAGCCTTTCTTAGTGGTTCTTTTTCTTGAAATTTTTCTTTTTGATCTTTTTTCTTTCAAGATTTTCTTTACAAGGCATCAGGGCCTTTTCCTGCCTTTTTCCTCAGGAGGATCAGGTCTGAGGCGTAAACTCCTCCTCCAAACCTTAGACCCTTCCAGCTCCAGATCTCTCCCCACCCCCTACCAAGCCCACCCGCCACTCCTCCCCCCACCCCACAGCACGAACACGCCCAAGGACAATCGCTCCCCGGCGAACTCCCCGCTCCCGGGGACCCGCACCCAGGACGCTGTGTCGGCGGTCAAGGGAGGTCAAGGTAGAGGGGCGTGGGGGCGGGTGGTCCGAGGGACTAGGGAGGGGCTGTGTGTGCGCGCGCGTGTTTGCGGGAGCTTGAGTGTGGAAGGGAGAGGGAGATGGATCGCAGCCTCCCATTTCACCCATCCTCCAACTTCTAAACCCCTTCCTTCCAAACTAGGATGGGGCCCTGCAGCTAATCACTCGCCCAGCACCCACCAGTCTGCACGCGGGGACAGCGCGAGAAGCAGGAAAGGCGAGCAACAAACAAACCTGTTCGTGGCGCCCCGAAAGTAATGACGCTCACTTCCCCACCGGTGGATACATTCGAGGAGAGGATAGGGGGAGGGGGTCAAAATCTCTTATTTGGAGATAATTTTAGCTGCCCGTTAGACCTCACTTGCTCCGAGCCGTTCTCTCTAAATTTACCAAGTTAAGTCATCTTGATTTCGCCCATTTGCCATCGAGAGAAGGGGGAAAAATACCACTTAGTGATCAACGAGAAATCGAGAGCCCGGAAGCAGAGTTTTGCCCACTTGCCCGCTTCCCGAGTCCTTGCGTGGTGGACCTCCGCTCCAAGCCCCTCATCCCTTCCTCCCTGCCACTTCAGCCGCTCCTCACATCATCTCCTGCCAGGACCTTTTGACTCACGCGCGACTGGGAAGGGCAGCGAGTATCCCGTTTCCTCCCTGCCCTGTCGTTCGAGGTGTCTAATAAGCAAGCCGTTCCGCGTTTCGGTTAGGGCCCAGGTTCAAAAAATCCAAATACCTTGAAATTGCTTGAGAATTTGGTTAAACATCGGAACTGCACCCACCAGTTCAGGACCAACCGGCCGCAGAGAGTAGCTGGGGGGTTGGATGGGGAGGTGGGAAGGGAGGGGGGAGTCTGGGGGCTGCGTACTAGATAGATTGTACCTGCCTCATCATTATCCTGGCTGATGGGGGTTGCCACATCGAAAACCGCCAGAAGCGCCCACCGAGGCCCAGGGGCGTCACCTCCTGCGGTCCCTCGCAAGGGTAGGGTAGTCCTTCAGTGGCTCCCCTCGTGCCAAAATATCGACGTCTTCCTCAGGGCCAGAAGAGGCTGCCGAGTCGTTCCCTCCACCCAGCCACACAGCACCATGAAGGTTTGGATTGGGCGTGCTCTGTCGGGTTCTGCTTTTCTCCCTCTCATCTGGCCCGCCTCCCTGCCCTCCCCCACTTCCCGCACTTGCCCCCCTCCTCCAGCTTCTCGCCCTGGTCAAAGGAGGGATTCAGGCCCCAGTTTCAGATCCACTGGCAGAGTTCTTTTCTCAAGCTCCAGGTCCTCTGGGAACCTGAAGATTGCAAGGAAAGAGGTGGTTGGCTCCTGCTGCAGCAGGGAAGGGGTTAAATACATGTGCGGGCTGATCTGCAGGCAGCTCCCAGGTCCCTGGCAGTCTGGAGGGAGGAGGGGAAGGGGGGCAAACAAACTTGAAAAATCAGAAGAAAGGAAGGAGAAGAAAAGGCAGCAAGCAGTGCGTTTAGGACTTGGATTTGTTCTGCAGATGCCTTGCACTGGCTGGCCGCGTCATTTTGCCGGGACTTTCGGGGATCCCAGAGTTTGTCTTATTTCCAACTCCAAGGGGTTTTGTCCTAAGCTGGTGGGTCTGTCTTTGCTTGCAATCAACAGGCCTTGTAATATGAGAGGTGACACCTTAATCTTGCCAAATATGTGCTGTGTCTTTGTGGAGAGAGGGGAGGAGGGACTGAGGGAAGGAGGGAGGAAGAGGGAGAGACCCAGACAGGAGCAGAGGGTGAAAGATGCACTTTTTCTCAGAAGGATTGGTTTCCCAAAGGGAGAGCCTTAGCCCTTTTCTGAGTAGAAGACCTCTTTCAGACAGTCTACCTTGAGCACCGCCAACTGCCTTTTCCTTTACTGTTTTTCTTTAGACTTCAGACCTAAAGATTTCTTCCCTCTAAGACTAGGGACTGACCCCCCAGCTCGCTGTTGTGGCTTCCAAGGGAGTGGCAAGGTGCTGAATGAAGAAGGTGGGAAGAAAAAAAGAATTAGAAAGGTGTATTTTTAAGAAGACAGAATAAAAAGATCATTCTCTACTATGTAGAGCCATTTTTAAACTAGAATATTGTGACTTCTAAGTAAATCCGTGTTTCTAAATAGAGATTTTTCTTTTCTATAGAAATACCATTGGTATGGATAGCAAAAGCAAAGATCAGGACTGGAAAGTAAGCTGGCTGCGAGCTTGTGCCCTGTACATAGGCCTGGTTAAGGAAGCATCCAGGATGAGATCTTTTAGGATTCACTAGGTAGGTGCTCCTCTCCAAGTTGACTTCGTGGCCATGACTTTGGCTGCCCATCTGTCGACTGTATTTTTAGGTTGCTGAACTTTCTTCTTCTCCCTGCTGCATCTGAGAGTAAGGCCCTGACTCCTGGAAGTGATTTCTGAGAGCAGGAATCAGATCTTGTTTTTGAAAACCCCCTTTAAAACTCTCTCCTAAAGCAAATTTCCAGAGCGTGCCTTCTGGTTACCCTTATCTTTTGCAATAGCACCACTCTGTGGTTGGAACACTGAACAGAAACAAAACGGCAACGTGGGATTGAATTTTGCCTTTATCTTGTGAAAACAGCACTTATCTCCCTATGTTTGAGCTCAGTGGACTGAATGCTGGTGGTGGGGGCTCAGCGTGTGGTGAGGGAGGGGGTCTTGTGCAGTGGCAGTATGTGGTTAATTCATTGTGACATGTTGACCCAGGAAATGAGAGAAGTGGACCGAATGGCCTCCAAGGACCCTTTCCGTGTCAAAGACAAGCTTGTTTTTTTTCCCCATGATCGTGTAGCTAGCCTTGAATGTCTGTCCTCTTCCACTGCTTTTCTTTTTCTCTCTTTTGAGGTTACTAAAATAAACACCACACTTCTCACTGATCCTGAAGTATTTGCAAGTTGCATCTTCTGCTGCTGGAGGGCGCTGTGGGGAGGTCTCGCCCTACCCCCTCCATCCCCACCCCCATCCACCCAGACAGCTGCTAGAGCTGATGGAGTCTGGAAGTCTTCGTTTTTCAAACAATTAAAGTGAATGCAAAAGGTGTTTGCACAGGGACTGGGAGCTTAAGGGTCAGGAAAGGCGGCTTCATGCTACCTTTGTGCCTCCGCACTTGAAAGATTCCTGGCTGCCCACCCGTTTCTATATACTGGCAACAGCATTATTCACCAAGAGCTACAGGCTGTCAAGCCATATAGCAATTCCTCTCAGATGACCTGGAGTCACCTGTGAGACATTCTTCTTTTCTTTCAATTCGCATGCACTTGTCCACAGAAACTGAGTGGCTTGTTTATGTTTATTTAACAAGACCAGGTCTTCCCCCAAATTTCTGTCATTTTAAGAAAGCACAGCTTTGCTCTAAGGACTAGCATTGATCTCTCTACACAGAATACAGACATCAGAGATAAACTTCTATCAGCCCCTATGTCCCCCACTCTGCATTTAATAACTGAGGAAACTCAGAATAACAAAAAACAAAAACAAAAACATAATGACAGACCACGACCTAGAATTTACTGCCAGAGTAGATTTTGGTGCCTGAGAAAAGCAGGTTCCCCTCTACCTTCTCCACTCAGTAGCCATGTGCTTTTGTACAGGTTTCTTAACTTCTTAGAACCCATCTGCAATTGGTGAAGACAACACCAATCTCATAGAAGTAATATGAGGACCAAAGGAACTAATTAATTTAAAACATTCAACACAGTGCCTGGCACAATGTGAATGCCAGTCCCGATCTGCTAGTCCTTACACAGGAAACACTGTCACACCACTGGGGGAATGAGCTATCTTTAGAAAGAAGCTTGGCTCTGGAATGGCCTGTGTATTATTATTTGTATGCCACTACACATTTCATTAATGTAATTTTATGGATGTATATTTTCCCCTTTGGACAAATACAGAAATAAATCAGCAGAATGAAGTAGTGGACATATTTAGAATTTATATAGCTTCCCAACGTGGACCTCAATGTGCATGAAAGACAGAATTGAAGGATTTCAAAATCTCGTCTTATTCATTCTCTGCCTTTCACCCAGAACCACCTCATCATTTAAAAGGAAATTCCACCATATCCTTCAACTCTTAACAGATTGCCTGGTATATTATTGGTTTGTTGTTATTGCTAATTATGTTCTAGGGCTTACATTGAACAATATAATGAATTGCATTGAACAACGGTGAATCAACTTATTCTGTGACATGGCATACATATTCATAATTACGTTTCAAGAAATTACCCGTAATGATAGAGGGAAGGTATGTATTCCTACCACACAGGTGGATGTAGAAATCATAATAAAGTCTCCTATTTCACCAGTCATGACATGAATTCCTAACCACCCTATAAATTAACTTTATGCTGCACCAAACTCCACTCATAAAAAAATGACATTAAGGTTTCCTAGGTAACTAATGCATTTCCAAAGGGAATAGGTCTCAGGAGACAAAGAGGGCAGGGAAAAGGGTGGGGAGGGGAAGTGAAGAAAAGAGAAAAAAACATCCGATGAGACCCACGTGACATAAACAAAATATTTCACGGGGAAGAACCCATAAAGTTTTACTGCCGGGGTCTGACACAGATATGGCATAGCCATTAATTCCATCTTTGGATGATAAAACACTCGATAGACTATCCCTCTCATCACGTATGCTGGCATTTCATATTTCAGATCCAGTTCTACAAATCTTGAGAGGGATTTGACCCTTCCATTCATCTGCTAAGCTGCGTCCACTCAGCAGCCAGCTGACTCTTGTGCCCTCCACCAAATGTTGAGATGAATGTGAAAAACAGGGTTGATTTGCATGTTTCAGAATATACAGATGCTTTTGATCACTGTGGACTCTTAAAATTTTGGAGTGGATCTGTTAGCCTTAGCAGAAGGCTGGGGCCTGAGAATTGAATTATGGGAATGGAGGTTTGGTTTGCAACCCCTCAACTCAGTGGCATTTTCACTGCAGCTTTCTTCATTTGGAGGAGGGTCTGGATGCAAAAGAACATCTTGAATGCTTTGGGCGAAAATGGCAAGTTGTAGGTGGAGCTTAAGGCTGAAATTTACACTGTAGGAACAGAGAAATTCTGACACGCAATGCAATCCAGAGAATTATCCTGGGTTAGAGACAGGGAGATAGGGAAATGAGATCCAGAGTCTTGTCACTGTTTTGTGAGCTCAGGGAAGTAACTAAACTTTTCAGTTTCTTGGTTTTACCATGTGTAAAGGTACTTAACCTCATTTTCTTTCATGACTGTGAATATAAATAAGAAAACAAAGAACACACTAATGTGAATACAGTTAGAAATTTTGTATTATCTGATTTCTTCTATTTTCAGTAGCCCCAGAGTGACATCTGTGAGTGAAGTCTCCAACTGGTTACAAGACACAGCCAGGTGACTCCTATATTCAAAGTGTGGCAAGTTTCCCTGCGAGTCCCATGGCTGACGTGCTCCTACCCATTAGCACTGGGCAGTCAATGTAGAGTAAAGCCTGCCTTTTGCACTTTCCCTGACCTGCTGGAGAAAGGACACAGGACACAAATTCATGGCTAGAAAGCCAACTGGAAAACTAGAACTGTTTCCATCACACAATGTCTTCCATTGGGTTTGAAGTCATTTTAGGCTTTAACTCTGTAGGGGGACTTGGAGTGGCACTAGGGATTAGAAAAGCATTCTGGCCACACCCTGCATTTACCACTTTTACTGGTAGTAAGGGGCAGGGAATGTCTGGGAAGTAAATGCCTAGCAACTCAAGGTGCAGCCTTTGCAGGGATTTGAGACCAAGCAGGATGGGAACCTAGGTCTCCTTACTCCTAATTGAGACCCATCCAGGCTAGCCATGCCTAAGAGCAATGCGTGATGAAATGCCCCTCGAGTACTCACCTCCTATACACCTGCCCCCAGGGGATCCTGCAAATGTCACTTCATCCATCTTCCTGCCCCCAAGACCAGCCCTCACCTTCCACTGATAGGTACAAAGCAGGTGAGGTGGGGTGAGGGGCAAAGAAGGTTCATCCTAATCTCCTCGTGTTTCCTTGAAAATATTCCTCTCTCTACTCAGCAGTTCAGAAAAACTGAAGAGAGAGAATGAGTCACTGAGTTTTTACTTTAAAGACCCTCTGTCCAGTGTTCCCATGAAACATTAAAAAGAGGTATTAGTTCTTGGAGGGGCTAGAAAATATGAGTTCCAGTTAAAATAAGCTTACATACCACTACTATCTCCAACACACACAAACATATACAGACAGACACACCCCATGCAGCCAACCCATCGGATGATTTGCTATATTTACCAGTCAGTTCGCTGATGGTTCTGCTCCTGTCCCCACCCTGAGAGCAGGCTGTCGTCAGGCCCCAGTTCAGAATGCAAATAATGCTCAAAAAGCCAAGGGTGCCCATGCTGGGCTCTCGTCTGTTCAAACCACAAACTCCCAGCACAGGAGGGAGGGAACGTTAGCACGTGGAAACTTTCTCTACAGATAATAGCAATAGGTAACATTTATTGAGTACTTACTGAGCATTGGGTACTTAATAATCTTAGCATTATAGGCCAGGCACTGTTTTAAGCAGCATGTGCATGTGTGTGTATATGTATATATAAAGGTATCTATACACACACATGCAAACACATATGTGTGTGCATACAGATACATATACATATATATACATAAACCAGCACACACACACGTACATATAGATATCTATATCTATACCTATATCTGTATTATCCATGCCAGCATACATATCTATATCTGTAGCTATACAAGCATGCACACATGCACACATGCACTGGTTTTAGCACTAGACTAAGAGGCAGAAACCTGGTTCATGTCTGAGCTCCTCTGTGTGATCTTAGGCAAGTTACGTGTCTTCTCCTAGGCTTCAATTTATTAAATATGTCAAGTGGAAATAATAATGGCACCTACTTTGTAGGCTTTTTTGTAAGGACTCATGATATATAGGTAGGTGCTATTATTAGCTCCACTGTACAGATTAAGAAAATCGAGGTATAAAAAGCTTATATAACTTGGCCAAGGATACATAGGTAGTGAATGGGTGGCAAACAGAGGTTTGAACCCCAGCTGTCTGTCCCTCTGCACCATCTAACCTTGATAGAGTGACATTTTTCTCTTTATACATATGAAGAAACTGAGTCATAGGAGGAGATAAGCAACTTGCCTAAGATTACACAGAGGAGCTCAGACATGAGGCAGGTCTCTTGTTCCTTAGTCCAGTGCCAAGACCTGCAGTAGGAAGGTTGCAATACCCACAGAGCCAGCCCTCCTGGACCCCAGGTTGTCCTAGGGCATGAAACGAGGAAGGAAATGGAGACTGAAAGTAGGATAGGATCAGGTGAAACCATAGGCCTTTGTGTGCGCTAGGTGTGCACACCTTTCTAGGTGAATGTAGCTCACACCAGGACACTCACTTGGCACATGGAAGAAGAACTGATTCCAACACCCACCCATCTCTTCAGCTGGTTCCTTCATGCAGACATAACCTATGTAACTCTTTATGACAGCCTTGGGTACGAGAGCTCCCACAAGCAGACAAAGCCACTCAGTGCCAGGTTGTTAAGAAATTTGTCCAAGGGAACAGGCCATTGGCTTTGCTCCAGAGATTAAAAGGCCACTAATTAAAACTACCAGGGTTTGCAATATCAAGATATACAGGAAAAAAGTTGAGCCTTGAGTCTCTAATAAGTATTAACTCTGTAAATGCCTGCTCAGAAACTACAGGATGTTGGATTAGAACATTATGGGCAATTGATGTTCTGTTACCTATGTTTCATTTGAATCCCATCCAGGCACAAATGTCTACTCATGCAGATGTCTCTTCCTTTAACACAGACATAGACTTAACTGTCATTTAGACCTCAGACTCCAAAGGCAAGCCAGCGTTCAAAACCTGCCATTGAATGAGTTTTAAAATCTGGAGCTGCTGTCAAGATAGTATCTATGGGCATCGGATTTGCTTTTTTTTTTTGAGACGGAGTCTCTCTCTGCCGCCCCAGCAGGAGTGCAGTGGCGCGATCTCTGCTCACTGCAAGCTCCGCCTCCCGGGTTCACGCCATTCTCCTGCCTCAGCCTCCCCAGTAGCTGGGACTACAGGTGCCCACCACCAGGCCCGGCTAATTTTTTGTATTTTTAGTAGAGACGGGGTTTCACCGTGTTAGCCAGGATGGTCTCGATCTCCTGACCTCGTGATCCGCCCGCCTCAGACTCCCAAAGTGCTGGGATTACAGGCGGGAGCCACTGCGCCCAGCCCGGATTTGCATTTTACTACTCCAGCATATCTGCCTCTGCCTCCAAACAAAGATTAGAAAATTCCATTGGTCCTTTTCTCACTATATAAAATAATTTTCATCAGAAGTTTTCAACAATGAGTCTAAAAGCTAGAAATTAGTTCCATTGGAGTGAGTAGAGAGAATAACTTTACAAATGATGACAACTATTATCTTTCCACCTATGTTCATCTCCCCTAACTGACTGTATGGATACCTTAAAAATAAAGAAAATAAAAGAGGTGCACAAGAAAGTTGCAGATAACCTTCCAGACATAAGAAATTAATGAACTAAAAACAATGATTTTGCCCATGGTTAGCAAGGAGTCTGTGGTTAAGTTGAGAATGAAATCACAACTGGTAGGAGATGCCCAGTGTGAACTCTGGTCCACACCCCATATCTCAAGTTGGAAAACAGACTAGCTGCCAGGTAGACGCAATGAATGAATGACATGCGTTCAATGGGGGGTAACTCAGATTCCCCTAGTCAATCCCCTCATTTTACAGAGGAAGTAATTGTAACCCAGGAAAATGAGCACACCTGCCAGAGACCACACAGACAATCAGACTCATCAGTGAGAGTGTGGAGCCCACTCACCTGATTCCCAGGATGCTGCTGTTTGTCTACTGTGTTCATACAGCCCCCAAGAAATAGGCACATCTGCTTTCCTTCTGGAAGCGTTTCATTTCCCTCCAATTCCTCCCTTCCATTTCTTCTTTCCTCTCTTTCTTATTTCAGTGTATTTTAATATTTCCTTTATTTTGTTCCTGTTGTGAACAACTGGTCACACAAGGGAAAATTAACTTAAAATGAAGAAGGCAAGGTTTTAGTAGGAGCTAGAAAAGAATTTTAATCACAGGTGGGATTAAAAGACAGCTTTAAAAGTGTAATTACTACTTTCTTATTTCTGATGACATAAGGTTGGTCTTTTCTGAAGAAACAGGATTAAATAGATGAACTCTATCTCTTTTTCAATAATATTATTATAGATGACCTTTTAAGGTTCCCAACTGAGGAAATCTTTTTTCTCCACATCTTTCTTGCTTTTTTATCTTCTTTGCTTTGTAGTAAAGATAATGAAAGGATCTATTTTGCTGAGGAAATGTTTCTTTGATATAACTTTTTTTTTTTTGAGACGGATTCATCTCACTGTGTTGCCCACATTGGAGTGCAGTGGCATGATCTTGGCTCACTGCACCCTCCACCTCCTGGATTAAAGATATTCTCGTGCCTTAGTCTCCCGAGTAGCTGGGATTACAGGCGTGCACCACCATGCCCAACTAATTTTTTGTATTTTTCTTCTTTTTTTTCTTTGTAGAGATGAAGTTTTGCCACGTTAGCCAGGCTAGTCTCAAACTCCTGGCCTCAAGTGATCTGGCCGCCTTGGCCTCCCAAAGTGCTGGGATTATAGGCGTAAGTCACTGCGCCTGGCCCCCAGAACTTTTAATTTTAATTTTCCTGTGATAAAGCTATCAGTAAGTCCTGGGATAAATTCTTAACTCTTGTATCTACCTGCTAATTACTTTTTCATAAACAAACCGACACCAATATCTAGCATTAGCATTGTGGATCCCAGGAGCCTAGGAACATCCAACAAATCGGAGTAGAAAAGATCCAGGTATCTATAGGGTCATGAAGTAAATGGAAAGTGTGACTAATCTGCAAGATTCCAAGGAGTAAAGCTAGGATTGATGGATGGAATTTACAGGGGTGCAGATTTCAAGTTAAGACAAAGTTGATGGTTCTGATATACAGAATTTCCAAAAATAGAATCCTTTGCCTCCACAGCTGAGGAGCTGTTCTCTGTCACTGGATGAGCTTAGGTATGAGACCACTTTGAAACATTGTTGTGTAGGGGTTTCAGATTTGGATAAGTGGTAGTCAAGATTCCTTCCAAACATGAGATTGCACATATCAGTGATCTGGTCACTTTAGCAAGTATGTACTTTCCCAAAGCATAATGTTTCTGCCACTGACATGGAAAACTATTTTTGGTGGTACATGGATAAACATTTTACATTTTAATAGTTGTATTTAATTTGTTTTACTTTATCAAGTTTATTTATGGAGATACAAAAATTCATTTAAAAATATATTTATTAGGGATTCTTACTTATGGTTATACAGGCCAATTTGTAATATATCAATTCTTCCAACAGAAACGCCTTAAAAAGCTGGAAAAAAATTTTTTTGAGACAGGGTCTCCCTGTGTCACCCAGGCTGGAGTGCAGTGGTGCAATCGTGGCTCTCTGCATCCTCAACCTCCTGGGCTCAAGTGATCCTCCCACTTCAGCCTCCTGAGTAGCTGGTTCCCCAGGTGCATGCCACCGCATCCAGCTAATTTTTTTGTATTTCCATATTTTTCAGGCTGCTCTTGAACTCATGAGCTCAAGTAATATGCCCCTCAGCCTCCCAAAGTGCTGGGATTGCAGGTGTGAGTCATCATGCTCAGCCTGGAAACAATATCTTTAAAAACCATGCGAAGGTTCCACTTATAGTACAGCTGAGTGAGCTCTTCTAGACCAAAACAAAACTTTCAAAGAAAAACTATATGCTGGGGCCCAAAAGTGAACAAATGCAGGCAGGTTCTGGAGGGGAGTTGGCTTTTCAAAACAGGGAGGGGTATAGAGATGATTTTATTGCTTTAAAAATATTTTTTAGCTTGAGGGCAGACCACAGTTGGTACCACATGAGAGAACAAAAACTTACAGATATAGAAGGAGAAGTAGACAATTTACAATAAAGCTTGACATTTTAATAGCTCTCTTTAAGAAGTTAGTAGAAAAAAATGATCAAAATATCAGTTAAGGTAAAGACAACACTATTGACCACCTTGACTTAATCACTATTTGTAGAATAGTAATTAAATGTGGCATACACTTTATTATCAAGGACCCCTGGTATATATTTACCAAGATAGACCATATGCTGGGCCACAAAACAAGCCCCAGTACATTGAAAAAATGAAATCACACAGAGTATATTCTCTGACTACAATGGAGTTAAATTACTTACCAATGAGAACAAGAGATCTGGAAATCCCAACGTAATTGGAAATTAAACAACACATGTAGGCATTACATAGGTGAAAGAAGAATTCACATAGGAAATTAGAAAATATCCTGACCTGTATGAAAATGAAAATACAATATAGCTAAATCTATGGGATTCAGGTGAAGCATGGTAGCTCATGCCTGTAATCCTAGAGCTTTGAGAGGTCGAGGTGGGATGACTGCTTGAGGTCAGAGTTCAAGACCAGCCTGGGCCATGTAGTGAGACCCTGTCTCCACAAAAAAAGAAAAGAAAAATCTATGTGATCCAGCTAAAGCAGTGCTTAGAGGAAAAGTTTTAGCTTTCAATGCTTATAAATAGAAAAGAACAGAGCAAACCAAATCAAGTAGAGCAAAGAAATAACAAAGATGAAATTAATGAAATAGAAAATAGGAACTAAAATTTGTTCTTTAGATAGATCAACAAAATTGATAGTCTCCTAGCTAGACTGGTCTACAAATATGAAGGAGAAAAAACTTAGCAATAAAAGATCTAAAACCTCAGATCCTACAGAGGTTAAAAGGAAAACGGGACTTCCATGAAAAATTTCAGGCAATAAATTTGACAAATTAGGTGGAATGGAAGCATAATTTGAAAAATACAACTTACACTTATGCATGATCAAGTAGAAAATCTGAATAGCCTTTATCTATTAGAAAAAATTAATTTATCATCAAAAACTTTCCCATTAATTAAACAGTAGAAAAAGATGTTTTCACTGTTGAATTCTGCCAAAAATTTAAGGAAGAAATAGCATCAGTCTTGAAACAACTCCCATGTTGTTATATGTGGCGAGTATAATCCTAATACCAAAACCTGGCAAAGAGACAAAGACATTACTCTCCTTAAGAAAAATAAGTGAAAAATAAAGTTGCAGACCAACATCTTTATAAACAAATGCTGAAATTCTATATTTGTCTGTTCTCACAATGCTAATAAAGACATACCTGAGACTGACTGGGTAATTTATAAAGGAAAGGGGTTTAATTGACTCACAGTTCCACATGGCTGGGGAGGCCTCACAATCATGGTGGAAGTCGAATGAGGAGCATAGTCACGTCTTACATGGCAACAGGCATGAGAGCATGTGCAGGGGAACTCCCATTTATAAAACCATCAGATCTCGTGAGACTTATTCACTATCATGGGAACAGCATGAGAAAATCCCACCTCCATGATTCAATTACCTCCCACTAGGTCCCTCCCACCACATATAGGAATTATGGAAGCTACAATTCAAGATGAGATTTGGGAGGGGACACAATTGAACTGTATCACAAAATATTCATGAATATCATGAATAGAATATATATATATATATATATATATATATATATATATATATGGACCAAGTTGGGTTTATCCCAGCAATGCAGTCAGTTAACATTGAAAATCAATCAATGTAGTTCACCGTATTGATAGGATAAGGGTGAAAAATCTTTTCAATAGATTCAGGAGAAGCATTTGATAATATTCAGTACCTATTCATGATAAACACACACACACACACACACACACACACACACACACACAGCAAAGCAGGATGCAAAGGGAACTTCCACAATCTGATAAAAGGTGCAATCTGATAAAAAGCATCCATAAAACTGACATAATATTTACTAGTGAAATGTTGAATTCATTGCCCCTAAGATCAGAAACAGGGCAAAGGATACAAATATCTCAGGTATCCCTCAAAGGAGAATGAGTAAACAAGCTGTCGTGTATTTGTATAATAGAATATTCCTTAGAATGAAATAGGAATAAACTATGGATACACAGAGTACTATGGATGAACTTCAAAAATGTTATGTTGAGTTCAAGAAGACTTACAAAAAATTATACATTTTATGTGATTCCATTTTATGAAGTTTTACAACAGGCAAAACTAACCTATTGTACAAAAAATTATAATAACAGTTGCCTCTGTGGGGATGGGGCAGGAGTGAGGAATAATGGGAAAGAAGCACTAGGGGACTTCCTGGAATGATAGAGGCTTGGATTGTACAGCGTATACCCTTGTCTGTCTATGTTCATTTAAGATTCATGCAAATTGTTTATTTAAATTTTATATCTAATGAAAAATATTTGTAAAACAATGTAAAACACTAGTTAATGAAATGCAGGCTGAAAGATTTAAAAGGGAATGTCCTCATATCCTTAATGTATTTTGAAATTCATCAAAAAGTAAGATTAATTGACAGATGGACAGAGGGACAGATAGAGGGAGAGACATATAATAAGTCAATCAGGATGAAATTTAAATTATAGAATCTGATCTGTGGGTATAAGGCTGTTCACTGTAACACACTTTAACCTATTTTTTATATCTGAAAGTTCCCATAATAAAATGGTGAGTAAAAAGGAAAACATACTTTTGAAGTAATTCATCCATAGCAGCATGAATAAGTGAGGATAAGATCCCAGAGAAAAAGGGAAGTACAGAGGAGTGAGACTGATCTTCAGCTCCATGTTCCTATTGAGGCATATGCTGATTTGTAAGTGGAAGCTGAGAGGATAAAAAATGGAGATGAACTTTTAGTAATCTTTCCAGGCTTCAGAGACAAAAATTGGATCTCAAGATTCACTGAAGGAGAAGGGCTTTCCATTTGGATTGTTTGGCTGCAAACAATCAAATGGCTACTTCTTAGGAGTAAGAGAGAACCAAAAATAGAATCACTTTTGCAATAATAAAAAAAATTTTTCAATCAACTCAATCAATAGGTTTAAGATGATTTTTTCTTAGCCTGACAGAAGAAAAGGAAAGATGAAGAAAGAGTATACCATGCATCAAGTTATTTGTACAATGCTCCATACAGTATCTCCATCATTCAATAATAAATTATGAGGAAATATGTCCAAATGATTGAGAAACAAATGAAAAAAATCAGACAATAGAAAGAAAATCCAAGAATATCCATATATTGAAGTTATTAGACACAGACTTTTAAATAACTAATCACTATGTTCAATATATACATAGCAAAAGGAATAATTTCATGAAAGACTAACAATATATTTAAAAGACTCAAATGTAAATGTTAGAACTAAAAACCTACAACAAACTTAAGAATTCAGGTTAAATGCAACTGAAGAGATTACTAGGCCGGAAGATAGATTAGTAGAAAATATCTAGGCAGAAATGTGGAGTGAAAAATAATGGAAAATGCATAAAAGAATGTGAGACATATGATACATAAAAAAGTTATAATACATATATAATTAGCATTCCAGGAAAAAAGGGAGCGAATAATGAGTAGCAATCAGTGAAGAGATAATGTGAAGAATTTTTGAAAATTGATGAAAGATACTAACCCAGATTTTCAAGAAGCTCAGCATGCCTGAAACAGGATAAATAGATAGAAAACCACACTAAATCTGATGAGTCACAATAAATCTGCTGAAAATAAAGACAAAACCAAAAAAAAAATTACCAGAGGGGAAAAAACACATTACTTTCAATTGCAACAAGACTAATGACTTTTTAACAGAAATTGTGGAAGTCAAAAGACAAGAGAATGTCAAAGTGCAAAAGAAAATAACTGTTAATTTCAAATTCTTCATCCAGTAAAATGTTCTTTAAAAATATCTCAAATAAAGTTATTTTCAGATCATTAAAATTTGAGGTAACTTTTATTGGAAGATGTGCACTAAAGGAAATATTACAAAGAGTTATTCCTGCATAAGAAAAATAATTTAATATAAAAGTATGGAAATGAGAAATAAAGCAACAGAAAGCAACAGAAAGGTTAAATATGTGGCAAATATGCATGAATATTAACTTTACAAAATCACTAAATATATTGTAGAATTAATTAATGACAGAAATAGCACAAAAGGCAGTAATTTGTAAGTAGGAAAAGGAGTCTAAGGACCTTTCATTCTTTGGGAAGTAATAAAAATACTAATATATAGTAGACTTAAAAAATTCAAGGTAGCATGTTGTAGTCTCTGTGATAACCACAAAATAAATGGTAAAAGAATGTTTATTTAAGATGCTAATGTGGGAGATGAGAAAATATTAATTAATTCCACAGAAGGCCAGAAAAGAGTGAGAATTGAATATGGTACAGATGAAGCACATACAAAATCAATAATAAAGTAGTAGAGAATTAAACCCAAACATATTAGTTATGTATATATTAATGAATAAATATAAAGAAATAAAGTAATTAAATAACTCAATTAAAGCATACAAACTGAGTTTTTAAAAAGACTACTACATGGTCATTACATAAAGAAAGGTTGAAGGCAAGAGGTTTGTAAAACATATACCATTAAAACATAAATTTAAAAAGGTGGTACAACTATACTGATAACAGGTAAAATCAATAGTAAGACAAATCTCATTACTAGAAATGAAGACTATTTAATAACAATAAGTTTCAATACACTTAAAATCTAAATATGCATCTACCTAGTAACATGCATATGTTTTACATATATGATATAATAGACACACATTCAAGAATAGGAAAATCCCTAATGATAGTGGGGGATTTTAATATACACTTCTCTGTAACTAACAGATCAAGTAGAAAAAAATTAATAACATTATAAAATATTTGTACAATATGATAAATAAAGTTGAACTTATTGATGACAAATATTTAAAATACTGCAACTTCTATGGACTAACCTAAGGTGCCCTCAAATTCATATGTTGAATTCCTAACACCCAATGTGATGGTACTTGGAGATGAGGCCTTTGGGAGTTAATTAGGGGCTAGGGTTTGAATTTTCCCACCAAAACTCACGTTGATATTTAATTGCCATTGTAATAGTATTGGGAAGTGGATCCATTAAAAGGTGAATAGCTCATGAGAGCTCCTCCCTCAGGGGTGGATTAATGCTGTTATCCTGGGAGTGAAATAGTTATCACAGGAATGGATTTCTGATGAAAAGATAACTTAGGCTTGCTTGCTAGGTGTTGCTTTTCTGCCATGGAATGATCCTCACCAGATACTGGTGCCTGCTCTTGGATTTCCAAGCTTCCAGAATCATAAACCAAATTAACTTCTTGTCTACATAAATTACCAAGTCTGTGATATTTTGTTCTAGCAGCAAAAAGTGGACTGATGGAGACATTATGTTTAGATGACCTTATGAGGGGGGGCCCTTGGAACGGTATTAGTGCCCTTGTAAGAAGAGACAACAGAGACCTTGCACTCCTCTCTCTCTTGCTCGCTCTCTCACTCTCGCTCTCTCTTGCTGTCTCACTCTCGCTCTGTCTCTCGGCTATGTGAGCAAACAAGAACACTCTCCCCAAAACCTGACCATGCTGGCACCCTGATCTGAGACTTTGAGTCTCCAGAACTGTGAGAAAATAAATTTCTGTTTCTTAAGCCACCCAGTCTATGGTACTTTGTTATGGCAGCCCAAGCTGACTAATATAGAATCTCACAATCATTTTCAAGTGCACAAGTGACAATTAATAGAACTGACCGCAGACTGGTTCATAAAGCAAGCATCAAAACTTTTCTACAGTTTAAAATCATATAAAATATTTAATTTGACTACAGTTGAGTTAAACTAAGCAATCAAATTCCTAAGTGTTTGGATATTAAGCAATACATTTTTATATAATGCATAAGTTAAAGAATTACAAGGTAAATAACATTTCATACTGGGTGATAATGAAATATGATATAAAAAAACTTGTGACATACAACTAAAACCATGATTAAAGAAAATGGTATGTCCTTGAATGTATATATTAGAAAAAAATAAAAGCTAAAAATTATTTAACTAAATACCATCTCAAAAAGTTAGCAAATTGGCCAGGCACAGTGTAATCCTAGCACTTTGGGAGGCTGAGGTGGGAGGATTGCTTGGACTCAGGAGTTCAAGGTTGCAGTGAGTGATGATCATGTCACAGCATTCCAGTCTGGGCAATAGAGCAAGAGTCTGTCCTCATCACACACAAAAAATTTAGCAAATAAAGAACTTATTGAATGCAAAGAAAACAACAGTAAGAAAACACTGCACAGAAGAGCAGAAATTAATGAAAGAGAAAACAAACAGCATAGAGGAATTCACAAATTTTAACATTTTTCAGATGTCTTTATAAATGACTAATATAATTGATATTAAACATAATTGATCTTGGCAATGCTAATCAATAAAAATATAGAAGGCACAAATTAACAATATCAGGAATAAAAAAAGGGGAATCACAGATCCTAAAGACTTTAAATAAGGATATATAAAAGGATACTGGGAACAAAATTATATCATATTTAAAAATGTGTATAAAGTGTACAAATTCCTAGAAAACAACCATTAATTCTTAAAAATGACATAAATTACTTTTAAGGAAATTGAGTCTGTAATTAAAATCCTCTTGAAATAAATTCCCTAGCCTAGATAACTTCCCCAATGAATTCTTATAAGTATTTAATGAAGAAATAACATCAGCCTTACACACAGTCTATTAGGGAATAAAATGAGGGAATACATTCCAAATTATTTATGAAGCTAAAACCTGTAAAACATACAAGAAGAGAAAATTACATACCAGTCTCTCTTATAAATGTAGTTGCAAAATTTTTCATTATTAGTAGGCAAAATCCGAGACACAAGAAAGAATAAAATAACGTTCAATTTGTGTTTATTCCAGAAATGCATGATTGATTGAACATTGAAAAAATCAGTTTAATTCAGCACATGAAGAGCACAAAAGAAAGCAAGCATATGATCATCTTAATAGATGCAGAAAAATTATTTGGTGAAATTAAATTCTCATTCATCATAAAACTAGCAAACTCAGCAAATTAAAAACAGAAAAAAGTCTCCCAAGTCTGATAAAGTGTATCTACTCACACACACACACACACACACACACACACACACACACACATACATACCACCTCCCACACAACACCTACAAACCTACAGCAAACATCTTACTTAAAGATGAAGTATTGGGAGCTTTTGTCTTGAGAATGGTAACAAGACAAGGACATCGGCTAACCTAGAGATCCTAGTCAGGATGAAAAGGCAAAATAAATGAAATATTAGTTGGTGCAAAAGTAATTAAAAATAATGGCAAAACCCGCAATTACTTTTGCACCAACCTATATGATAAATTGGTTGAAAAGGAAGAAATAATCTTGCCATTATTCATGGATATAAAGCTGTCAAAAGAATCTCCTGATAATGTATTTAGAGAGTGAATTTAGTAAGATCACTGCATACAAAGTAATCACACAAAAATCAGCTTTATTTATTAGCAGCAAATGATTAGAAAATTAAATCTAAAAATATGCCATTTCAACAGAATAAAAACATTTTGTATCTAAGAATAATTTTAATAAAGGAAGTACAGCACCTCTACCTGGAAGAGTACAAAGTATTATTTAAAGAAATCAAAGAAGATAAATAAGAGATACAACATGTTCATAAATTGGAAGACTCAATATCTTAAATACGTCAGTTCTTCCCAAACTGATTTATGCATTCATTACAATGCCAAACAAAAATCACAGGAAGGTTTTTGTATGTGTATGTGCATTGAGGTATGAAATTGATGAGCCGATTCTAAAATTTATACTATTAAATTTATTCTGAAAACCACCAAGTTAAGCCAAGTCGATCTTGTAAAATAGCAAAGTTATGTGACTTTCACTACCCGATATTCTGAATCAATATGAAGCTACATTGATTGAGACTGTGGCATTTGCACAAGAATAGGCTAATAGACTAATGGACCAGTGTAAGGAATCCAGAGCAAACACATAGTATGTGGGCACTTATGACTCTGCAGAGAAAGGGGAAAGGATACATTTTTAAACTAAATTGGGTTGAGTAAAGTATATATCCCACGTGAAAAAATATGAATCTTGCTCCTACCTCACCCTATATACAGAAACTAACTACAGGTGAATGGTAAACCTAAATGTAAGAGGTAAAATAATAAAGCATATATAACATATTGGGAAAATTTACTTATGACCCTGAGATAAGAGAATATTTCTTAGGATAAAAGGAAAGCACTAAACATAAAAAGATTGACAAACTGGACTGTATTAACTTAAAAATGTTTATATAAAGGTACCTACCATTAAGAAAGTGAAAGAGTAATTCCCAAAGTGAGAGAAGCTATTTGCAATACATGTTATAAACCAAGGGCTTGTGTCCAGAGCATATAAATAACTACTACAAATAAATCAGAAAAAAGTAAGATGATCCAGCAAAAAAAAAGGGGGTGGGCAAAAGACTTGAACCAGCACTTCACTAAATAGAATTATCTAAATATAAAGCTGCTCTACCTCAATAGCCAAAATGGGAATGCAAATTAAAACTACAATGCAATACACTTGCACCCAAATCAGAATGGCTAAAAATAAAAAGACTGACAATAGCAAGTGTTGATAAAGATGTAGAGCAACTGGAACTGTCATGCACTACTGGTGTGAATATAAATTGGCACAGCATTTTAGAAAACTATTTTATCAGTATTTATTAAAGCTGAACATACACTTATCTTTGACACAGCAATCCCTTCCAAAATATATTCTCAACAGAAATATGTTATACTTCCACACAAAAAATATGCAAAAAATGTTTGTAGTAGCAGTATTTTGGAAACAATCTAAATGCTCTCAACTGTAGAATGAATGAATACATTGCAGTGTATTCATACAATGGAATACTCTACAGCAAATGAGTTAATGAATTACTGCTGCATGCAACAAACTTAGATAAATCTGACTACCAATATGTTGAAACACAAAAGCCAGGCACAAAAGATTACATAATATCTAACTTCAAAAAGCCAGGTGTGGTGGCACATGCCTGTAGTCCTAGCTACTCAGGAAGCTGAGGTAGGGCGATCATTTGAGGCCAGGGCTTTGAGGCTACAGTGCACTATGATTACGGTGGCCACTGCACTCCAGCCTGCACCACATAGTGAGACCCTATATTATATATAATACATATCTATGTGTGTGTGTATATATGTGTGTGTATATACAAACACACATATATACATGTACATATACACACATGCATATATACACATATTAAAAACAGAAATATGTATACATACAAGTATGTGTGTATATATATATATATATGCATGCAAAGATATACATATATACAATTTCATTTTTAATAAATTTCTATAAGAAGCCAAACTAGTCTGTGGTTTTTGAAGTTATGACAGTGATTACCTTTGAAGAGGAGAAAAGAGGTGTTTAGAGGGAGGTAGAATAAGGACTTCTCAGGTACTGGTACTCATTTCTTGATCTGGGTGATAGTTACATAGGAATGTTTACTTTTTGAAGATTTACCAAGTAATACATTTGTGATTGGGGTACCTCTCTGCATGACTATTAGACTTCAATAATTTGTTAATAAAAGAAAATGTTCCTTTAATTAAGTAAAACGGGAGATATGTATATCTGGGAAAACCACTATGTGGTTTGCAAAGGACATAAGTTTGGGAAATATCGGACTTCTAGCAAGTTATGCTCTGCATAGCCCAGAAAGATGCCTATTTTCCCAGAGATATGCATATTTGGGAAAATCACTAAGTGGTTTGCAAAAATCAAACATTTGGGAAATATTGACCTTCTAGCAACTTATGTTCTACATAGCCCATGTTTTTTTCTGCATCTTTTTGGTGTCCAGTTAGGCTGGGGACAAAGAGAGCCTGTCCTGACTCTAGTTATCTCCTGCTCCTCACATGTTGCCCTTAGGGCCATATCACAGTTTAGAAAGCATCTTGTCCAAACCCTCTAACTTCACAAGCAGGAGAAGTTTCAAATAATGTTACATGTCTCCCATCTCTAAATCTAGCCTTCATTCCAGTTGATTTCCAATAAAGCTTGGTGACTTTAGCGTATAACCCCATCCTGCTCCCACAAAATACCTCCCACACTCCCTCTTGGATGACCTCTATCCTGAAATGGGCTAATAGATGTGAGAGAACATAGGATGATTTAAAAAAAAAAAAGAGGAAAAAAAAGGAAAACAACGGCTATAGAACCAAACAAACTTGTGTTGAATCTTAACATTTTTAAGCCAGTTTCCAGCTGGAGATCTTGGGCAAGATCTTTAATAGCATGTAATTGCTTCTCTGAGCCGATGTTTCCTCATCTGTAAAATAAATTGCTGTGATGATTAAATAGGATAAAAGTTGTGAGGCCCTTGGTAGTGTGCCTGCAATGTGGGCACCACAAAGCTATGAGCTCTGCAATGTCTTAATATTTAATTGCTTCAGCTGAAGGATTAGGAGGGAAGAGGTGACCTCAAGGTATATTGTGTGTCTCAGGCACAGTGTAATTAATTATTCACCACACACCAGGCAGATGATATCATCATGTGATGGGAAGGGCAAAGTTGACTTTCTTGAGAACATCTTTAATATATCCTTTATGGAGCCTGTAGTTGAAAAATGTTTGTTGAATTAAGTTCATGCAAAGGCATTGTCTCCAGAAGTCCCCTGATAAAAAGATATCAACTCATACGGGTAGCTCATTTGTGCTCATTAACACATATCAGTTTATCAGATTGACTAGGGCAGGAAAGGAAGGTACAGGCTGTTGTAAAGAGGTGGTTATCCTGATTAGAGATGCCTGTCTGGATGATGTCCCCCAAGAGCCATATGTGAGCAGGAGAGAGAGTTTTGCCTAACAGTGAAGAACACAAATTCTGGAGTGCTACTTTGGGTTCAAATCACTTTAGCAGCTATACAAATTTAGAGGAATTACTGAACTCTTCTGTGACTCTGTTTACACATCTATAAAATAAATATGACAATGATAATACTAGTACCTGTTTTATAAGGTTTTGTGAGTATTGAATGAATTAGTATGTTAAAGTACTTTGAAACAGCACCTGCCATAAAATGAGTGCTTCACGAATTGCAGTTATTACTATGTTGAAGAACTAGGATGGGTGAAGGGAATGTCAGAGAGGAGGGTATAGGGACCGTTCTAAGCAATATCTATGAGAATTGTGTTTTCTTCTATTTCTGGTTCCTTACTTAAATAGTGCTCTTGAAGAAAATTGTTCAAAATTGTGTTATTGTTTAGCCCAAATCCGTTGCACCATTGATAACTGTTTCATCTGATATGCCATTCAGGGTTTAGAAAAGTAATCCAGTAAAATGGAAAGAGCCCAGGACTAGGGTCAGAAGACAGAGGTTTTAAAATTGTCTCCATCATGGATACAACATGTAATACTCATTAAGCCACTTTCCTTGTGTGAGATTCATTTTTTTATCAGCAAGATGAAGGTGCTATCTAGATAATCTCTGAATTCCTTCAGGTTCTAAAATCTTACAGTCCTTTTTCATTTGCCAGTCGGTTTCAGGTTCTGAGATGAAGAATGTGTTGGAGACATGCCGTGACTACATGATATTGCCAGCTGACCTCAGGAGACATCTTTCCTGTTCTTTGTCCTGTGATCTTGAGTGAATAGCTAGAACTTTCTGATCTCTTGACAAACAGATAGTGAGGGGGGTTTTCACGGGTGTGTCTATGGTGCAATAAATAGATTCCAAATTTTTCTACTTGTGGCCTCCATGGGAGAATAGGCGGAGTCAAGAGGACACGAGGCACTTTCTAAATTCAAACCTCCTGGCTCTGCTGAACCACTAAGTGAATTATCATTTATGATCTTAGACAATTGTTTATAATCTTTGAAATATCATGAAAAATGGATTAAATATTGGATATGGCCAAATGTTTTAGTTTCCAAAACAGGAGAGAAAGATGACTTTGGGATACTATAGATTAAATGGAATATTCTAGAATTCAATATTAAATATTATTTAATATTCTAGAATATTATAAAGCATTTGAATATTAGAATATCTAGTATCTATAAAATATTTAAATATGCTGAGGCCATTTATAATGAGAAAAAGTTACAAACACTACTAATTTATGTCTATATTTTAGAATAGATCATTGAATTGGTGATTCTGAATTTTTAGACTGGAAAGTGACGGTCTCTAGGGTCTGGGAAGCATTCACTGAAAACATGTCACAGAAGCTGGACTGGCCAATAGGGAATTTGACTGTCTCAGTAGGTTGAAGTCAACCTGTAGTCAGGTCACAAGGGAAATTTACAGAGAGCTGCATCCACGTTCCACACTTTTCATCAATGACTTGGAAGAAGACAAGAGTTCATGCTTTCCAAACTTGTAGATTTCTCCATTCTTGGAAATATTTGTTCATATAATAAATGATAGAAATAACATTCAGAAGTTGGAGATTTGTAAAGCTGAGTAAAAGTTAGCAATATCAAATTAAAAATGAAAGAAAAAGACAAAAACTTCAAGTCTTGTGTTTAGATTCAAAAGACCATGCGGCCAGATTAAGGATGCAGCGATGTGGCTTAACAGTGAGCAGTTCTGCAGGAGTGAGCAGAGGTTCAGTGGAATGCAGACAGAGGCAAAGACGGAGAGGCTTCTGTGCAGAAGCAAATGAAACCTGAGACTGCACTGGAAGAAATCTAGATTCCATTTGGAGAAAGTGAATCCCGGGGAACTGCACTGGTCAGATGTGTTGGAGGTAGGGAGAGATGGAATTGGCAGAGGTCCTTAAAGCCTGCAGTCTCTCACAACCAATGAATGAAAGGGTCCCCATGAGTCTCAGGGCAGAGTTTCATCTCCCTGTCTTGGCTGTGAGTGCAGGAGTTTCTTTTTCTCTCTACTGGACAGTTTATCTTGTACATAATTATACCCAGAGCACCACCCCATTAGAATGATAAACACCACTGAAATTAGCCCAATTTATTGAGTAGTTCCTTTAAAAGCATTTTAGCGGTAGCTGAAAAAAAGCTGTGGAAGCTAGCTGCTTTATTACCCAAGGGACGTGCTCAAGGGTCTTTTTACACCCACAGGATGAAGATGGATTCTGCAGGGAAGTCATATATCTCTCTGAGGTAGCATCAAGGAGGGGAGAACTGTGGCTTATCAAAGAGATGAGAGAGGCTGGTAGTTAAGAGCTGGGCTCTGTGGGTCAAATCCAGCACAGGGACAAAGAGCAGCTCAAGGCCTTAGCAGCTGGGTGATCTTGGGTTTCTCTGTGTTTCTGTTTCCTTGTCTGTAAAATGCAGAGCATGCTTACAATAATAGTACCTACCTCACAGAGGTGTTATGAGTATTAAATGAGCTAATATGTTAAAGTGCATAGAAACAGCTGGCCTTGATCTAGTCACTTAATCTTTCCGATCTTTGATTTTCTCGTCTGTAAAATCGGGATGATCCATGTTACCTACTTTTAGAGTTTGCTGTGAAGCTGAAGTAAAATCATGTACAAAGTTCTTCCCATAGTGTCTTGGCACTTTGTAAGAACTTGATAGAGATTAGCCAGAGGAAACCATAAGATTTCTGTAGTCTTTTGGCCTGTATATCCTATTCTAAAATGAGTTTCCTGATTTGATGCCAAGATCCAAAAATGTCATCATGCTTTACACAGAATAGTGACTGACTTTATTACATCCATTAACAGAATTTTCATGACAGAAAGGTACAAATTCAAATCATTCTTTTAAATGGATGCTTATTTCGATAATCCTAACACGTACATCCACCTAAAAAGTGATAGCCCACGTATGTACACAACATATGTGTCTGTGGAATTCCTCAATGCTGGCTCAGTAAAAATACAAATGCAGCAATCTGTGGGCATCTTTCCGCGTGCTTAGGTTCGGTGGGGACGTGCTCTGCTCCCGTGCCTCTGGGAAAATCAGGACGGATGGGCTCTGCAACGGTGTCTCCTCCCATTCAGATATCCAGGCTTTTGCTTCACTTACTGTCAAGGATTTTCTCTCTTTTCTTTCTCTCCTTACAAAACTTACCCCCAGAACTCTTGCTAGAGTAGCAAGGAGTGAGGAATTGGACATGGGCTTTGCATTGCAATGGCTCACCCTTTGCTGTCTGTGTGAACTTGAGCAACTCATGTCACCTCAGCTTCTTAACTTACAAAAAGATCCTTTCAGAATTAAATAATATATATGAAATACTTAATATGATGCCTGGCCATCAACAGATGCTAACTGTTTTACTCTTCTCTTTCCTCTCCTGTTATTGATCTTCATTTGCCCTTCTATACCCTTACAGTGCTCAAATCCAGCAAATTTTATACAATTGCTAGTTAATAGATGTTTGAGTGATTTAATGGATTGGCTGCCAGTTCTGTGTTTTCATAGCTTTTGGATGCTTGGTTATCGTAAATGTTTGAGCTGAAGTTCCAGGTACCCGTGCAGGTCAATGAGCCATATAATTGGTCCTAGGATCTTGGTAGATGATCACACCGCATACAACATGACATCCTCTGTCAGAAGATGACAGGCAGTCAGGTGTGGCTCTTTCTCTGGAGTCATTGGTTCATAGTTCCAATGAGGTATCTATTATGCAGGACTTTAACTCATCCATTTGTATTTGCCTGGTCCCTACCAGACAGCAAGAGATTTTGCTGGACCAGGTTATAACCATCTGTGTAGCATCAATGCCTATCATCAGCTTGACACATACAAGGTGCTTGACAAATGCTGAGTGAGGGAATGAAAAGCTTTAAGAAAAAAAATCAAGTTAAGTGGGCCTTCTTGAAAGGGGAACATTCTCTGCTCTGCCATCTGTAGAAGACAGGTTTTTGCTCCCAGTGGTGGAGAAGCCCCCTCTGATCCAGTGGGTGAGACCCACCTTGACTCACCTCTTAAGTCGTCCCCAGTACCCATTTTCAGGACTTGGTCTTGACATTCAGAACTGGACACACCAGACAGTTAGCAGAAGGCACATGTTTTTCTTCCAAGAATACTGTAATGAGAAAGAGAAGCTATAGCTCAGTTTTCTAAGAATTAATTAAATTATCCAACAGCTAACATGGCCACCAAGTTTCCCTGCATATCTTCCGGCAGCTTCTGATGTCATTCCTTTCTTCCCTCAGTATGGTTTCAGTTCAAATACAAGGGAAACCAATGGCATTGTGCTGGCATTCACAAAAAGGGTCTGGCCAATGACCTTCCCTTGAGTCTGACTTGACTGGCATTTATCTGTTCCGAGAGATTAAAAGGGCATTGGAAGTCTTTTTGGGATGCCTCAAGCCTTTGCGGTGAGGGCAACCTCTACCCCCGACCCTGTGGCTTCCTCACTGTTCCACAATGCCCCAAACCTCTGCAGTCATTTCGTAAGTGGAATCCCCGAGTCTCTGCCTTCTCTGGTCCATTCTTCACACAGCCACCTACAATCATATGCCTTTAAAAAGGACTACTTGCCACTGGAGGCCTGTAGGATGAAATCCAGATCCTTAGCACATATGTCCAGCCTTTTAGACTCCGGGTCCAACCCACCTTTTCTCTCCTCTCCTAACCCTCCCCCATAAGACAACACCTTACACACACAACTTTTTCACTAGGATCTTCCCATGCCTGTGCTTTTGCTTCATCTGTTCCCTCTGCCTAGAATTCTCTTTGCATGTTAAACCTCTACAGAACCTGAAATTGTAGAGGTTTCCCCATACACCTGAGAGAAGGTCAAGTCATCAGACTTGTAGGAAGTACCTAGTGTGACCAAAAGTGCTTCAACTGTGATTCAGCTTGTTGGACCTTTAAACAAATTGAGGCTTTTTTTCATGTGAGTTGGATTAAGATGCCTGTTTTATCATCAGTAAAGGGAGGTGACTTGCTGTTCTGGGCTGAACTGTGTCTCCCCCAAATTTATATGTTGAAGTCCTAACCCATAGTAGTTCAGAAAGTGACTGCATTTGGAGAAAGTGCCTTTAAAGAGGTGACTAAGTTAAAATGAGCCCTTAGAATGGTCCCTAATCCAGTCTAATTAGTGTCTTTATAAGAAGAGGAAATTTGAACTCACAGAGAGACACGACGGATGCACGCACATGGAGAAAAAAGGCCACGTGAGGACACAGCGAGAAGGAGGCCATCTGCAAGCCAAGGAGAGAGGCCTCAGAAGAGACGAAACCTGCTGACACCTTGCGCTTCGGCTTCTCCCCTGCAGAATTGTGAGAAATAAATTTCTATTGTCTAAGTCACACAGTCTACAGTGTGTTGTTACGGCTGTCCTAGCAAATGAATAGTCTAGCAAGAGGGAAATTTTTATTCATCTTTAAGTTCTTAGCATTTGGAGTTTCTTGGAACAGAAGATAATCAATAAGTGTGTATTCAATGACACAGGGTATCTGGGACTGGCATTATCCAAGGGGAGTTGGATGTAGGTAACACATTCTGAGTAAAAGGAGGCATCTAGCCATAGAGGAGATCTAGGAAATTCCTGAGAGTGTAGGGCACTAACAAAATCCTAGGGGGTTCAAGGCATTGCTGTGCATCCCCACCAGCCTGGCATATGCTGAGCTACCCTCTGAAGAGCTCCCTTCTCTCCTGAAGTTCTCCCTATCACGTTGAGATGACAGTGAGTTTCAGGAGTGTGGGCTTGGTTTTCCTTTATCATGAAGAAGTTAGAGGTGGTCTCCTTTTTTCATGTCAAATTTATTAGTATAACCTCCACCCCACATACCATCTTCTATCCCTTAAAATAGGACATTCTTCTCTAGTGAAATAATATGCCAGCAACAAAGACAAATGGAGAGCAGCAAGAAAAAGAACTGGAGTGGGGGCGGGTGGTGGCTGTGAATTGTTTTCTCTCTTTCCCATATAAATATAGTAATAGAATGTTCGAATGCATAATAGTGCTTTGGGTAAAGATCCCAGCCCATTTTTAGGGGAAGAGTGAGGACTCTGCTGCTTTTTTCTTAGCCAACTTCTACTAGAGGGAAAATTTATCTTGGAGCCAAATTATGCCCAGGGTGACCTTTTCCCTCTCTTTCTCCTCAAACCACAACATTTTCAGATTGTTTTCTGGGGTTAACTTTCCCGTTTCACACTACCTGTTGTAATGTTCCTTCACCTACATCCTTATCCCATTTTCACGTGCATAATCTTGTGGGCTCCTCTAACTTATACTCCTGGATATTTAAAAAATATATTCACAGAGCTTTTGTTTTAAGATATCACTGTCCAGCTTAGTGTCTGATGCCCAATAGGGTTCTATAAATGTTTGTGTACTATATGAATGAAAGACGGATATTAAGCTTTTCTTCCCTACCCCCACCCTGTTCATACATGCACACACACACACACACACACACACACACACACACACCCCTTGACTAGCTCTCTGTACACATCCTTGGTTGATTGTGGCTGAAGAGCCTGCCAACCTGGCTCAGTCTGCAACTTTAAGACACAGGGGAAAACAGTGAATTGTGATGCTCCCAGGGAACTTAGAAGGTCAAACACTGAATGATAGAACTGGAGAGAAATTAAGGCCATTCCCCACTACTGACAGAGCCAGAATGGAATCAAGGCCTCTTGACTTCAGTTCTGTTTAAGCACTGGCAGCCCAGCCATCATTTGAGGCTGCCTGCTTAGGGAGGCTGGTTTGCTAGCTTGCTCAGCGATTCCAAGATCTATTTAACACGCTTTGAATAAATTCTACAAAGGGTTGGGGGAAGAGGAAATATAGAAGTAGAGCAGACCACAGGGAAGATGGTAACAATGACTGGCCCTCCTAAAGCTCTGTTGGGCAGCCTGGCTGGGGAACTTCTCTCAAATAGCCTCCTTCCCTGTGCACATACATGCATGTGTGCACACAAGTAATTCTCCATTCTTTACTCTTTTCTTGATAGCACACCAGGCTCAATGGGCTGCCAAACTTTCACTTGTCTGACAGGGTGTCTTCACTCACATTTGTCTTTATGCAGGGTCTCATGCTCTGTACTGCTAATTCTTTGTCAGTTGTATCAGAACTGCCCCATCTCAGTTCTTGTCATGTCAATCGCTCCTATTCCAGGAAAAAAACCATTATCGGCACAAGAAATGAATGGCAGCATGCCAAGTATTGCCAGAGGCTAATGGGGAAGAGATTATTTTAAGGGGAAGGGGCCCTCTTAGAATATACCACAGGTGTTTCCTGCATTTTAAGCCGGCTCTGCTGGGCACATCGGGCGGCAGGCAGCCTGCTGCAGAATTTCCATCTCGCTAAGAGTTCAGAGAGAAGACTGATTAGACCTACATCTTTAGCATGGCAAAAGGAACATCCCATCTACTTTGGAAAACACATTCCCTTCTAGATCTATGCAGTTGCAACATTTAAGTATGCATCAATCTGATCATTTCATATTCAGTCAATAACTCACTTAGATGCTGGTTTGTGGTTTCTTAGTGTGCAATTCTTCAAGAGAGCAAGACTGTACCTCCACTTCTCCTTAAGGGTATTGAGACTAATTATCTCAACCCTTCATAAGCTCTCTGGAGTTGATGACAGCCGGTCTGCTAAAGTAAATTGGACAATGCAGCTGATGAATGAAGCAACATTAATTAATGAACAGAGAATGAATAACTTGTGGTAATTCATTCATTCAGCATATATTTACTTGCAAAGCATCTTTGCTTTGTTTTTCTCAAGGAGACTCTGCCATATCCTGTGAAATATAGAAAAGTAAAAATGTGTTATTTTTAGAAATAATGGGCTAGAGAAGCAAGACCAAAAATTAGGCTCCCAATTTTAAGCGTCCTAAGTCAGAGCATGTCATATGTGATGTAGCACGGACATTATATTCCACCTTTATTCTTTGTCACCTTCTTCCATGGGCCCAGGAAGCCCTGCTATTCTTTTGTGTGGCTAATACAGGGATTCCTAAGGTTCCTCCAAATTCATATGTGTCTCAAGCATTAGTTTTAGAATGAATTACTTGGGAACCATTGATTTTGTGGAAAAGCTCAGGCTTTTGAATCAGTAAGACCTGGATTTCAATTTTCCAGTTTGGGCCAATTAGCTCATGTCTGTTAGTCCTGTTTTCCTCATCTATAAAAGGGGGACGATTGTACTTACCTTGAAGGGCTGTAAATAGATGTGTGTGCTTTATGCGACCACAAAGAATGGAATGGAGATATAAAAAATGATTCAAAGAATAAATATACCTCCCTTATAGCAAGTGATAAAAGAGCCCTTCTTGAGAAGCATTTTTGGTTAGAGAGTCTACATAGCTTGAGCTTCTCTATTTTATGCTTAATCAAAACTCCAAGAAAACTCTGAAGGACTGCACATCTTAGCCAAAGACAACTGTGCACTAACCTCAGTAATCTTCCCCAAATATCCGGCAATTTCCCAGGCTCTCCGGTGAAAGCCTGCTTGGTTTGCATTAATTTAATCAGCCATGCAAAGGAAACAAAGGTGTTGCCTTTGGCTTTGAGGAATTTGTGTTTTGCTGTTTTTAGAAGGGAATACTACCTTATGGAATAATATCAGCGACCGATCATGTAACATTAGACCTGGAAGAGGCCTTGGAGAAAATCCAGTTTAAGCTCAGGCCAGACTTTAAAGAACAGGAGACTAAGACTCAGAGATGGAAGGTACCTTGATCAGAGCTACACCAATGTTGTAGTTGGTGACAGATCACGGGCAACAACCCAGATTTCTAGTTCAAGCTCTATCCTGTATATGTTGCTGCCTTATCTTTTTGGTTCTGGCATGGCAGTTCTGTGGTCTTTGGAATCCAATATGGTGTGAGGTTTGTATTCATCATTTATTTTTAAACAGGGGTGATTTTTCCTATTGCTCTTATTTTAGCCTCTGTTGCTTCAGGGTCACATTGAAATATAGAGATGAGTGAATGGAACCTGTGAATCCAGCTCTCAGTCTGTCATCTGGCTACCTGCACTGGTCCGAATTAACTGCACAGTGGACAACGGTGGGCTTTACTTGGTGCTAGCAAATAGTGATCCTTTTTCCTCACCCCCTTGTCTGGGAGAGTGAGCAGTCCCCGCCTCTCATTTAATAGGGGCTCCATGACATCTTGCTAGAAGATACAAAGGAAGAATGAATGAATAAATGAGTAAGTGAATGAATGAATTCCCATCTATTAGCGTTCCACTCCATTTTCTTTACCCTTACTTTCTTATTTTTTGTTTTCACAGTACCTAGAATCACAGATTTTTAGAACTAGAAAAGAAACTTTCTAGATTACAGGTTTGGAGAGAAAAAGTGCCTGGTCCATGGGAGCAGAGAGACTCAGTGTCAGGGCTGGGCCTGGGTTCCCGGTCCAGGAACTGTTTTTTCTATGACTTTATTTCTCCTGTTCTGGTGTCCTCCCTAGGAAACATCTTCTACCTTAGCCGGAAAATATGTTCTAGGAGCCACTTCACAAGCTCACAGTAAGGTATGCTCCAGGGTGGCATCTGCATCAGAAAAAGCTTAAATAGCTAGAAGAAAGGCAAGTGTGCAAAGCACGGATGATCTCCTTTACTGAGAGACAAACATCTGCCTATTCCTCTAACCAGAAGGGCCACCCCAGCCCAGCTGGGACACATGGTGAGTAGACCCCCTCAGAGTTGCTGAGTACTGGAGCCAAGGAATGAGGTGAAAAGCATCAGCAGCATTCCTCAGTGCATGGCACATTCCAGTTTACTGCTTACTTTATATGATACTCATAGGTCTATAAGGTTGGCAGGGTAATACATTACCCATTCTTAAAGATGTGGAAACTGAGACTCAGAAATTAGAATGACTTGGCCAAAGTCTCGTAGTTACTGCGATAGAGTGGGGACTGGTGTCTGACTGATGGGTTTAGGATGAGATAGTAAAGTGGATGCATATTTTCATTTTCCAAAGCTGACATCACAGAGAACAGCCACTACTTTTCACTTTTCACACATTCCTTAACACCATACTGTGTGAGAGAATTTGAGTGAGAGGATTGTGATTCTAATATTGATGCAATCAGTTTTTTTCCTAAGACTCTCAAGAAGAGGCCATAAAAATTGCAGCATTTGCAATAACAAGACAACCTGAGATATAATCTTTTGTATAAGATAAAGTGTTTTCTCTACTTTATAGCAGTCCAGAGGCGAGCGGCTCAGAAGAGCAGGGCAGCTTTGCTCCTTGAGGTCGTAGAGGGGCCCAGATTTCTTTCACGTTGTGTCTCCCTCATTCCCTCAGGTGTTGTCCTCCTCTGCATGATAGAAACTTGGTCTTGAATAAGTCTCTCTTTTAAATAAGAAGTGAAGACAAGCAGTTGCCTTTAACCAAGTGACATAGAAATTGCACCTTTCTTGTTCTTACATTCCATTGGCAAGAACTTCGAGTCGTGGACTATGTCCATGTGCAAATCCTGAGAAATATAGTCTGTAACTATGTGGGAATGTGTCCAGCTAACTTTTGTGTGTGTACTGACAGTGGGTGGTGGGATAGTGGTGTTGATTATACAACTAAAATAAAGAAAGAAAGTAAATCCTAGGGAGCAGTTAGCAGTCTCTAGCACGATGGTTGAAAAAACAGGTACTGCTCTGAGCCTAATAAGAAAAATAAGAATAGTGTATCTTCATTGACCACATACTGAAGGCCAAATGCTGTGCTAAGTAGTTTAGGAATACTGTTTTATTTAATGCTCAAAAAACCCTGTAACTGGTGTACTATTATTAGTCCTGCTTTACGCATAGGAAAGCTGAGGCTTGGCTCACACAGCTAGTAAGTGACAGAATCAAGACTGATATTCCAATCTAGCTAACTCCGAAGCCCACAGTCTTAATTTTCACGCTATATTTACTTATTATTTAAAATCTGAATTCAAAACTAATAATTCCTGTTTAACAGGATAGCTTGGGTAACCTAAAAAACTCACACAAAGAAAATATCCATTGACTGCTGTTCTTCCACGGTTAAACAGACTTCATCTAGAAAAGGAATCAGAATTGCCGTCCCACTGACTAAACCCGTGCAATCCAAAGTGGCATTTATAGACAGTTCATTCATTGTCTCATTTATTCATAAAGCAAAACAATGTTTGGCACCCTCGAGGTGGCAGGTCCTAGGCTAATCATTGCGTATTCAATGCTGAGCAGAATAGACATGATCTTTGTCCTCAAGGAGCTTATAAACTAGAGATGAAGTTGGACATTAAATATCTAACAACAACAACTACTACTGCTAATAATAATACTAATCCCACAACTACTAATTGCTATATGGAAAAATCCATCTAAAAAAACAATTGAAAAAGGCACTTCTTTTAAACTGAGTGATCTGGGAAGACTTTTCAGAAGAATTAGGGCTCCAGGGAACAAAGTTTCACAACCACTGTTTTTGAGTTTTTTTTGTATACTAAATATTTTAAAATGTGCCTTTATTAAAATTTGTGTATAATTTAGATGTCACAACTAGTACAGATCATATTTCTTCTCAGTGAGTTGAAAGTAGTGCTATGAAAATGATGTTAAAAATATATTTTTTGAAAAGAAGTAGCTTCTTAGCTATGCTATAAAATATGAAAAAGAGGCATGAAAAGAGTATAGGAGGGGGTCTCCAGGCAGAGGGCACAGCCTCTGCAAAGGCCTTGGGGCAGGAGGGACTTGGCAGGTTCAAGGCATCATAAAGAGAGAGACTAGCTGGAGCTTAGTGGGTGGAGGAAGCCAGGAGGAGCTGAGGATATTTGAAAGGCAGAGGTAGGCCGCCTAGGGCCTTGGAGGCTGTATGAAGGAGTTTCATTTTTATCTCACAGCAATGGGACATTTTCAGGAGTGAAACCATCCATTTATATTTTAGTAGGGTCTTTCTTGTTGATGTATGGAAAGGAGATAGGGGAAATGCGAGGGTGAAAAGGAAATAAAAGTTAGGGATCTGTTGGCAATAGTTCAAGAAGAAATGATGGTGGCTTGAATTAGGGAAAAGGACCAGTTTAAAGTGATGGATTGGGCTGGGTGCGGTGGCTCATGCCTGTAATAATTCCAGCACTATGGGAGGCCAAGGCAGGCAGATCACTTGAGGTTAGGAGTTCGAGACCAGCCTGGCCAACATGGTGAAACCCCCAACTCTACTAAAAATACAAAATTTAGCTGGGTTTGGTGGTGCATGCCTGTAATTCCAGCTACTTGGGAGGCTGAGGCAGGAGAATGGCTTGAACCTGGGAGGCCGAGGTTGCAGTGAGCCAAGATCGTGCCACTGCACTCCAGCCTGGGTGACAGAACGAGACTCTGTCCCCCAAAAATTAAAAACAAATTAATAAAAAAAATGAAGTAATGAATCAAGGTGATAAGCAAGGGGCTTAGTAAAGATTTCAACAAGTACAGTGGCTAAAAGACAACAGATTTAGGCTGGGCCTGCTCTGGGTGAACATTCTACTCACATGTTGCAAGGGCTCAATGACAAATCCTACATGAGGTGGTGGATCCTTTGGTTAGAGTCAGTTCATCAGATCAACCTGGGGATGTTGGGAACAGAGCATCTCAAACTGCACCTATCAAGAGCCATTGCTAAATCAGGGGAGAGTGATAGTGTCCCCGTGGGAACCAGTGTTAAAGAGAAAACAAGCTAGAAATTACTGTGATGTCATCTGCTTAATCATGAAAGCTAACATGAGCATTTTTTCTATTTCATAATATATGTATGTATATGAATATATTACATCATATATCAATCTAACATAATATTACCATTGTTAATATGAAATTATCTCAAGTTACTTATAATCAAGTAAAATTGACCATCCAAGAAGTATCTCATGTATACTATGGTTTCATGCACCTTCTGGCACAAAGCCAAACATTCCCAGCTGTGTATGTCCCCTTTTCTGGGAAATATTGTCAATAAATGAAAATTCAAATAGGAATGAGTAGATCGAGCTCCACCATCATCTCAGATCTTGGTGAGACAGTTTTCCCATCCCTGACACGATGGTAATACTGCCGCATCTATGAAGCCCTCAGTGACCACTGATTCAGTGCCCCACCAATACTGCACATTATTTTACTGGTCATCTGAGTAGGCATTGTCTGTCTCAACAGGAACCACGGTACCTTTCTGCTCCTAAGCTGTCATTACGTGTGCAGAACAAATTAAGCTAAGCAGTTAACAGTAAAGCTGTGATAATATGGTGTGTTCCTGGAACTGACCCAGGACACACATTCACAGGCTAACAGACACGTGCAGGATTCTTGTCTGAGGAGGAAGCTGCCTCCTCAGTCCTGGGCTCCAATTCATAGAAGGGGGAATGGGAGGCCTGGCTGGGAGGTGACCTTCATTAGCTCTGAACCGGCACTTCTTCCTCTTTCTTTCCCTCCTTAGAGATTTATTTATTCATTTGCCTTGGCGTAGTTAATGGGGACTCAGCCTGGAAATGGCGGGTGGCCAGCAGGCTGCCGTCGAAGGAGGGTGTTATATATTGCTTCCTGAAGGGCGACATCTGGGGGAGGGAGGGAGGGCGGAGGGAAGAAGATGGGCGCTGAGTCGGCTCTAATTGAATACCCAGTGAGCAAGATGGATGATCCCCGGTCCCCCACTCCCGAGAGCAATTAGAACATGAAGTAGCAGGAAGAAACATGAGGAAGAAGGCTGGGTGGGGAAGGAGACCAGGAGTCAGGGAGACAAGACCCAGTGGTGTTCAAATCTCAGAGTCAGGCAGATAAAAGCCAGGCAGCAACAATGGGACTGGTTGGTTGGTGGGGGAGGGCTGCCTCACCTGCCTAAGGGCAAACACACCTGGACGGCAGGATGGCTGGGTGCCATTGGAAAGGCCCTGTGTTTCCAAGTTTGATGATGCATTCAATTCATTATTTAGGTTTAGGATTTTGAGTCCTCTTTGGAAGGCAATATTTTAGGCTGTTGCCATTGTTTTATACCACAGTGTGAATGAGTTGTGGGGAGTGGAGAGGGAGGGTGTTGGGAGCTAGTTAATACTGGGGAAAAGCAAGTCAGGGGATAGGAAAGGAAGGCATAAGAAGGAGTGAAGGGATCAAGGACCCTGAAAACAGATCATTTTATCATCCTAATCCTGGTGCTCTGTGGCTGAATCTGGATGGCTCAGTGGCCTAACAGAAACAGACATGACGCAGTAAGGATGCTCGAGGGAGGTGCAGGGGGTGTCGAATGGGCATGGGTGGGGAGCAGGGCTAAAGATTTAGGATTAGTATGTAGAAGGCTGGTTCTGGGATAAGGAAGTACCTAAAGTACAGGTTTTTAGAGGAAAATTGATGGAAATTTGATTCAAAAGGAAAATGGGTGAGTGGTGGGCAAAATGTGAACGGTCTTCTACGTTTGTTACAAAGTTTGGATGTGATTTTATAGATCTCTAGGAAGAACCACCAGAGCATTTTGTGAAGGGGGGAAGAGAAGAGGAAGTTGAGAGGGAGGGTGAAGAAAGCCAGCATTTCTTGCATGCCAGCTGTATACCAGCGTTTCATCAAAGCCTGCCATAAACCAGACTCTGGGCCTCACCACATCTGCTCTCCAGAACCCCCTGGGAAGGATGGTCTTACATTCTCCTTTCTTTAGGCAAGAAGAGGCTGTGAGGCTATACAGCTTGCCCAAGGACATTCTGTTGAAAGGTGGTAGAGGTGAGATTCAAACCCAGGTCTCTCTGACTCCAAAACCTGTGTGTTTCTGTGACAAGAGTTGGGGTGTTTTAGTAATACAGAAATTGTCTGCTGATAGGTCATATTTTCTTAATGAGTGTATTAGTGTCCCATGGCTTCCATAATGAATGACCACAAAGTCAGTGGTTTAAAATGACAGAAATGTATTCTCTTACAGTTCTAGAAGCCAGAAGTCTGAAATCAAGGTTTCCTGCTTCTGCTTTTTCCAGCTTCTGGTGGCTTCAGGAACACCTTGATTTGTGGCAGCATAACACCAGTCTCTGCCCCTGTCTTCACATGACCATACCTTATGGACCTGCCTCTTTCTTCTCTCGTAAGGACACCTGCCAATGGATTGAGGCCCATCCTAATCCAGGATGGTCTCACACTCACATCCTTAACCTTAATGTGTCTATAAAGACCCTTTTGGTAAATAAAGTCACATTCACAGGGACTGAGTTTACATATCTTATAGGGGCCACCATTCAGCTATAGTGAGCTTGGTGAAAATTATATGGAAACCGGAGGCTCTGAGCCATGCTCCCTCCTGTCACTCGCAGAATTTTTTTTTTTTTTTTTTTTTTTGAGACGGAGTCTCGCTCTGTCGCCCAGGCTGGAGTGCAGTGGCGGGATCTCGGCTCACTGCAAGCTCCGCCTCCCGGGTTCACGCCATTCTCCTGCCTCAGCCTCCCAAGTAGCTGGGACTACAGGCGCCCGCCACTACGCCCGGCTAATTTTTTGTATTTTTAGTAGAGACGGGTTTCACCGTTTTAGCCGGGATGGTCTCGATCTCCTGACCTCGTGATCCGCCCGCCTCGGCCTCCCAAAGTGCTGGGATTACAGGCGTGAGCCACCGCGCCCGGCCTCGCAGAATTCTTATGCTGTGTGGCCAAGGCATCTTCTAGTGCTCCACCATCCATGGTTCTATTGTCTTCTTGTAACTTGCTGTCTTCTTATGGGCTTATTTTCAAGGGAAGGAGAAAGAAGGGATGGTGCTTGTCCTCTATAATGGGGAAATGAGGTCCCACATCTGAAGAGTTATCTTGTGGGTTCACAGTAATATTGGAATTGGACTTCTAGTTGGTGATTCAGAGGTTCCAGCAGTGTGGAACTAGACTTCCAGAGGTTCACAGTAATACTGGAACTAGACTTCCAGCTGGTGGTCCAGAGGTTCCAGTGGTGTGTGTGTTGGGGAAGTGCAGATGAGGGAGGCTGGGATTTCCTTAACATCTGAAAGAGCTCCTGGTCCCAGACTATCTAGAAGAGTCATAGCAACGTTTCTTCTGACTGCCAAGACCAATTTCCTGTTACCCAAATTTTGACCCTGCACCCAGTGGTAAGAGACCTTTAACTTAAAAGACCTTTAGCAAATGTCTACAGTCACATGTCTGCAAGGGAAGAAGAATGTTTGAATAAACTTGGCCAATAAGAAAATTTTGGTCACCGGCCTTAAGAGAGTGAAGGGGGCAACTCTCCCGTATTCCAGGTGTCCCTGGCTGGCTGGTGCAACACTTGTGAATGCTGAGCTGCTGAGGCCTGAAGATTGGCCTTGCCAGCCACTTTCAGGGCTCACCAGTTCTCTTTCAGGGCAGCTGATGTCTTACATAAGTGAACCACCCACACAGGCCCTGAACCCGAGGTTCCAGTGCTGCCCTCCGTACAGCCACAGGGCAGGAGGCACCTCAAGACCCCTGGGAAGTAGTCACTGGGTGGGTCTGGGAGGTGGAGAAGGAGGCACGTGTTAGCATGAATGTGCTTTATGTGTCAGGAGAGGGATCTGGGAGTATTTCTGAGGCCCTGAAGGTTCCAAGTGAGATGTTGAATCAGCCCTACCTGTTATAACTTTGAGGAGCTGCTTTTCTGTGCTTGACTCAGATGTCTGACACCTGTTTGCTGGGAAGTGGGAGAAGAACAGGACAGAAATTGGAGCAGAGAAGGGGAATGGGGAGAAGAGGAGAGGAAGGAAGAAGAGGAGAAAGAGAGTGAAAGAAATTGATGAGGGAATAGGACTGGGGGAAAGGCAGAGAAAGACAAATAAAAGGAAGTGAAAGAAGAATGAATGGACAGGAAAAAAGTTATTGGTCCCTGTGTGATGGGAAGCTGGGGTGACTCTTGATTGATTTGTTCATAAGAACAGACTGCTTTGATCATTGCATCCCCCTGACTGGGAGAGGGCTCTTCGAAGCCTTAAGCAGTGAAAAGTGGTTGGTGAAAACGTGGAAAAATGCCTGCTGGAAAGTCTTCATTCCAATACTACTACTACTACTACTACTACTACTAATAATAATAATAATAGTTAAAAGTAAATTCACAAATTTGGATTTTTATGATGACTTTTTAAAAGTAGAAATTATTACTTAATAATATTTTTAAAATAGCAAATCTCATCTTCCAAAAAATGTATATTTTTAATGATCCTCCTTTGCAGATGCTCCAAGCCTGGGCTTAAAGAGAGGCTTCTCAGGTATTATACACCAAACAGATACACATCTGCCAAATGAAGATGTCATCATCAATGAGATTCCCTTTATTGGTTTTGCGGCCCAAAATTTACAAAGCTCTTTCACATGTACTATGTGACTTAATCCTGTGAGGAAAGATAAAGCAGGTTTTTACTTTTAGCTGGAAAAAAATGTATATCTAAATAAAAACAAGCTATTTCAATCTCTCTACCCAACCACTCCAATTACTGACATTTCTTCAGATGTGTAATAATTATGCATATGGAAGGATGTCTATGCAACGTGAAGAACATTCTGCTTCAAAGCTGCCCAAGAATAGAAGATGCAGCCTCAGGAATGAAGTTAATCATCAACAACAGCCTATGTTGTGGATTGAACTGAGACTCCCTTATCCAAAAGATATGTCCACATCCTAACTCCCCCGTAGCTGTGAATGTGACCTTATTTGGAAACAGGGTGTTTGCAGATGTGATTAAGTTCAAGATATGGAGATGACATAATCCTGGATTTAGGGAGGGCCCTAAATCCAATGACTGATGACTTTATAAGAATGAGGAGAGGAAGATTTGAGACACAGAAACAGAGAAGGAAGCCATGTGAAAACAGAGGAAGAGACTGGAGTGATGCTGCCATAAACCAAGGAATTCCAGGAGCTACTAGAAGGTGTAGGAGTCAAGGAAGAATTCTCCCTTAGAGCCTTCAGACGGAGCGTGGCTTCTGAAGACTTCTAGCTTCCAGAACTATGGGAAGAAAAACAATTCTGTTGTTTTAAACTGTGAAGTTGGTGGTGATTTCTTGTGGCAGCCACAGGCAATGAATATAGAGGGGTTTAGGCAGGAGATATATGCCCCCTTAGTGAAAACATCTCCTAAGGGACCTGGGGATCAGAAAATAGATTGTTTGGTAAGTTAACCTTTAAGGTTCTTTCCAATCCTCAGATTTTACAACCCAGAGTATTTTTACACAGCTGCACTGTTGTAATGTTCTGCTTATATATATAAGATAATTTAATATATGAATTTTGTTTATATGCAATTTCTTATTTTTATCTTTAATGACTATAGGATATGCCATCAAACGAAGGTATCATAATTCTATTAACTCTTTTCCTGCTATTAATGCAAATTGTTTTCATGCAATGCTGCCACAGACCTAATTGCAGATACAACCATCTTTCCTTTGATACCCTAGGACAATGGTTCTCCACTGTGGATGATGTAGTCCTGCAGGGGATATTTGGCAATGTCTGGGGACTTTGATTGTCTTAAGTTTGGAGGAGGTGTTGCTATTGGCATCTAATAGGTAGAGGCCAGAGATGTTTTTAAGCATTCTACAAGGCAGAAGACCTCTCCCGCAACAGAGAACTGTCCGATTCAAAATGTCAATAAGTAATGATGAGGCTGAGAAAAACATTCTGTAGAATAAAATCTTGGGAGTAGAATTCTGTGGTCCTTGGGTTTGGCTCTTGATATGTATTGAAGGAATGTAAGCACCTTGGTTACAACAGAGGTCCAGAAAGGTAAAGAGATGTGGCCTAAGAGTAACATGCTAGTGGCAGGGCCAGGGCCACAGCCTTGATCCAAACCTGCAATCCAGTGCTCTCATCATCCCAGCCTGGCTGCCTCTTCACAGTCTAAAGGCCAGAAAGCATTCAACAAGGTGTCTCAGGACAAAGAGCAAAGGAAAGATAAACATACCTGAACCGTCAGTGGTGAGGCTCTTGATAACATCGAGGAAATAAAGTTTGTTCCTACTTTGAACAGAACCCCATATCCCTCTGTGACAGGAAGACTTCCCAGTGCCTCTCCCTGTCTGCACTGCCCATGAAGGCACTTTAATATGTTCTGGCACATGGTGAGTCTTAACAGACTGTTAGACAATGACTGAGTGATGATCGGTTTAGTAGCTTTCCACAAGCTCTCTTGGGTGTACGATCATTGGCCTGAAATAGTGACAGTTGGAAAATACATTCTTCATGAAGTGTGTCATGGCAGCAAACCTCTGCACTCTCCTCCATCCCCTCTGAGACTCAGGGGTTGAGTCTCGACATGACTGGGGAAGCCCATCCCATCAGTACTCACAGCACAGTGCACGTGTGGGCAACCTGACCATCATCTGGGTGCTCGTTAACAATGCTGATGGATGCATTATAGGTTTAAAATCCATCACCTTCCTGGAGCTCAGAGCTGCGTTTTACATGTGAATAGTTGAGGGGATGCCCCCGCTTCCCTATCACAATTGGGGAAGGACCATGACGTGTTCAATAAAATTGATTTGGGCAAGGCACCATTGCCTGCCAGCAAATGTGATGAAACTGGAATAAAGCACAGGGTAGGGAAGGGGCAAATACTCCTTTAACATAATAACATGAGGATTATTATCTTGCAAGAATTGAAATTAAATAAAAGGAATACAAATTTCTCATGAAGACCAGACAGAGGTCTTCAGAATGATATTAATTCTCATGAAAGTATAATGTACTGGTTTCAGATTATTTCTGGAGAAAAATGGGCACAGTCCAGAGTAAAGCCTGCTTTGGCCCAATTTCTCTTCCTCTGACCCCCATACTCTGGACGGAGTCCAGAACTCCATCCCCACCTCACCCATCTCACCCTTTTGAGTTGGCCAGCACTGAGATTAGAACGTGTTCCTCCTTTTTACTGAAGCAACAGAAGTGGAGGAATTAGACAAAGTCATTGGGATTTTAAGTGGATGTTTCAGGCCTAAGAAGCCTGAAGGGATGGGGGTTCATCACTGGGAAGATGGCACATCCTAGGCAAGAAAAGGGAGGTGAGACACGAAAGGGAGGAGGCTTTAAAGGGAGAGAGCCACAGCAAGTTGGAGAGAAGAGAAAAGAGGAATTGTGCATGGGATGCCTCACTTCTTTGGGAGATACCTAGAGGAGAAGGTAGCAAGGCCAGGGGCTAATAGATGCTTAGAAAATAACTGAAAGATGATCAGTTTAATAGCTTTCTGCAAACTATCCTGGGTGTACAGTCATTGGTCCAGAAAGGTGAAGGTTGGAAAATGATTTCTGCTTCCCATCCCTTCTCCTAAAGCCAATGAGAGTGACCAGACCCTTCCGGTAGGGAGCTGCTTCATTGAGACCCACAGCACATTCAGTTGGAGGAAGGCAAGGGAATATTTACAGAAATAACAAAATAAAGGAATATCCCTGACATGACCCTCATCCCTAATGGGTCATCTAATAGGTATGAACCACACCCTCTTTGTGGCTTTTGAGGTGGCAGAAGTATCTCAGATGGTGACTCAACTGGAAAAAAAGTAAGTTAAATCCTCAGAATTTGTATCATACTCTACGGAATGGAAAACAAGGATTCTCCATGCAGGTTATATTCCAGATGAGAAAACTGAGATAAGAGAACTAGAGGAGTGTATTGACCACATCTTGGTGAAATAAATAGGATATTACAGGCTCAGTAAATGACCAAGAATCCTGTAACTGTGCTCTTCCCCCATATCTGACTGTCTGTGCTGCTAGGAGGAGGATTGGGACCTGCCTGTATGGTCTCTGGGGCTGGAGATTGTCAGGCAGGGGTGCAGCCCTCTGTCCACACAGCCAAGGGAAGTCCCTGAGTGGGATGTGAAGTCCCACTCAGTGCAGCACGTGATATTAATGACCCCAACGTGGAATTCACATCACTTACCTTTTCTCCTGCATGTTGGAATGAAACTGAAAGGGGTTTTGCTCTCAAAAAAAGCCTCAGGAGAGTCTTCAAAAGGCAGTGATAATATAATCAAGGCACATGGCTTCACTGAAAAACAGTTGGGTTGCAATAGAGCAAGTATGAAATGTGCTGTGAATAGAAAGCCCCTATTGTTGGACACTCAAACAAGGTACACTTGACCCCTTTCAATAAGATTCTTAATATTTTTAAAGGAGCAAAAATATCTTTCCTGCAGCAAAAAACGTTCACAATCCTTTTCTTACCCATCAAAGTTCCATTTAAACTTAACCTTTTCTTTTCTGTTTTACGTATTTTTCAAGAAAGGAATATATTGACATAAGCCTGAGTTTTCTTGCCTTCTTGTTTTCTTCACTTTTCATTGCCAATTCTGTCCAAAGTAATGGAGGCTGGAACGTGGATGTGGAGTGTGTAGCCGCCATGGTGGTGAGAGGATAGATTATATGGAACACTCAAACATCTAATACGTATGTATTTATTCATGCACTCAACAACTAAAAATAGTGTTTACTCACTTCAAATATGTTTACTGAGAACCTATCATCTGAAGGACCCGCAGGTGAACAAGACAGGTTTAATTCACAAGATAAATTATGTATCCTGATTACTACAATAGGAAGGAAAAAGTTAGTGCCTTAAGATATACATATACAATGACAGAGGATTTGAAAGCATGGAGAGAGAACTTTCAGCTCAAGAGCTCATGAAAGGCTTTGTAGAGTCTTGAGATGGCATTTTTTTGAGCCTAAAGAATAGGTAGGATTCAGGCACGAGGAAGTGGGAAGTAGTAGGGATTATTGGCAAATGAAACTGCATGAACGACTTAGCAAATGGGAATTATAGGTCAAATACTAAAAGAAGTAAATCACATATGTGCTAGTCTGTTCTTGCAGTGCTATAAAGAAATACCTGAATAAAGACAAGAGGTTTATTTGCTCATGGTTCTTCAGGCTGTACAGTAAGCATAGTGGCTTCTAGGGAGGCCTCAGGAAGCTTTCAATCATGGCGGAAGGTGAAGGGAAAGCAGGCAAGTCTTACATGGTCAAAGCAGACGTGGTGGCAGGTGCCACACACTTGCAAAAAACCAGATCTCATGAGAGCTCACTATCATGATGACAGCACCAAGAGGCATGGTGTTAAACCATTAGAGACCACCTCCATGATCCAATCATCTCCTACCAGACCTCACCTCCAAACACTGGGGATTACAACTGAACATGAGAATTTGGTGAAGACACAGATCCAAACCATATCAGTATGGGATGAATGAAGTTGAGAAAAAGCATATGATGAGAAGCAGTGGAAATTATATTTGGAAAGCTATGTTGGTGTCAGATAGCAGGCTGTATTTGGTGTATTACTGTGGCTGCATGGGGGTTGAATCTGATTACAGCAGTACTTCACCCACACTCACAGACAGACACACATAAAATGGTGGAAGTGAGGGAGAAAAAACAGGTATAAGGCTATTTCACTGGCCCGGAATATGACAAATACCTGAGCTGCAAAAATCAAAGTTGGGACGGAGAGGAGAGTTTTCTATTATAGATATTAAATTGGGTAATCAATTACAGATAAGTTTATAATTGATCATTTATCAAGCCAAGGGAGAAGGCACAGTTCAAGATGACTTGGAAGTTTCCATGTTGTGAAATAAAAAGTAAGGTGGTCTATTGAGAAACAGAAGAAAAGTAGTTGATTTTGTAGGGAAGATCAGAAATTCAGTTTGGAAACCTTGCAGGTGCTGGTCCATTAGGATACCTGGGTGAGGATGCACAGTTGCAGCATTTTCTCTGCAAATGAAAGATTACAGATTCAAATTTGGGAGTCCTCAAATAAAGGTTATAGCTGGAGCTGTGAAGCTGGCTGAGATTGTCAAGAACAAGTTTGGAGAGAAAAGAGGGAAGATGGAGTAGAGAAAAGAAGAATGATTAGGTCAAATCCCTGGAGAAGATGTGTTCTCAAAGGCAGAAAAAAGAAAAAAAAGTTAAAAAGAAGAAGAACAGAAGGAGAAGAAGGAGGAAAAGGAGGAGGATGAAGGGGAGGAGGGACAGAGAGGAGTAATTTGAGAAGCCAGAGGACAAAAAGAACGCTACAATGCATTAGAAGCTAAATCACATATGATTAGGTTTTCTGTAGAAAATGTAAAAACAAAATAACAGTGGTTTAAAATTTTTGAGCTTTTTTTTTTTTTAACATAGGAAAAATCTGAGGTAAAGAATCGACGGGCTGGCAAGTCTGCCCCACGATGTCATTAAGGATCCTGGCTCGTTCTGTGTTTCTGTTCCATGATCTTTCATGTAGAGCCTCATGATCCAAGATGACTGCTGTACCTCCAACCATCATGCCCACATTACCATAAATGGAAGAAGGAGAAAGGGCAAAATAACTTGTGTTACCATTTTGCAGTGCCTTTAGGGATTCTCCTATAAGTCCCATCAAACAACTCCTGCATCTGAATTATTGATTGCATTTCACAGCAGTGAGGCTGGGAAATATAGTATTTGCATTGCTGCCTAGAAGAAAATCAGAGTCTATTAGTAAGGAAAAGGGGCAGTTGATATTGGATAGGCAATCGGTAGCAGTCTCCACCAATGAGCCAAAGGTGGAGGGGGTTTTAGATAGGAAAGAAAAGTCAACAGCCATGTTCGGAAGTGTGGGCACAAACTCAGCTGCTTCAGCGTCACCTGGGAACTTATTAGAAACGTAAAATCTTGGGCTCCAACCTTGGCCTACTGCATGAGAAATGCTGCGGGTGGGAGCTAGCAGGAGATGCCTTAAAAAACCCTCCAGGGTATTTGGATTATTGCAAAAATGAGAACCATTAATCAATCAGTATAAATGCTGCCATTTGTCCCCAAGGGTTTGTTTTTACAATCATTTGTTGAACAATTATCATGTGTCAGCCACAGTGTTAGATGCCTCTATCCATATTATACCATTAAGAGACAGTTTATTCATCTTTTATTTTTATTTTTTATTTCTTGAGGCAGGGTCTCACTCTCACTCAGGCTGGAGTGCAGTGGTACAACCATGGCTCACTGCAACCTGGACCTCCTGGGCTCAAGCAATGCTCCCACCTCAGCCTCCCCAGTAGCTGGGATTACAGGTGCACACCACCATGCCTGGCTAATTTTTGTATTTTTTGTAGAGATCGGGTTTCACCATGTTGCCCAGGCTGGTCTTGAACTCCTGGGCTTAAAGATCTGACCACCTTGGCCTCCCAAAGTGCTGGGACTATGGGAGTGAGCCACTGTGCCCAGTCTAGTTAAAGAATTGTAAGAGCAAATAAGAATGTGTGATAGTAAAATTACATGAAATGGCTAAAGACTTCTTTGGTGATTTAGAAAGGTCTTATTATTACCAAGTGGCATTCTTCTGAATACTGCTTCTTACATCACAGGACTAAACAAAACTTGGTTCTGTGACTATTCTGTTTATCAGAATTTTTAGTTGAAGAGATTTTTGACATAAATGAACTATCAATCTATTTGAATATCTGTTCACCTTGGAGGCAGTGTCCCAGTAGAAAACACATAATTATCTGCGTGTTTCCTGTAGAGGAAGAGAGGAGGTAAACTGTAAACCTAAAACTCACCAGCAATCTCATAACTGTAGGGTCATATAACCATGGGCAGTTCCTGCCCCTTGTAACTTTTGATGAGATTTGTGAACCAATAGACTGAGTTTAGGTTTTCTTTGTTCATGTTTCCCCTACAAGGAGACAAATTAATTAAAAAAAGATGCCAAAGACTATTAGAAAACTGATCCCAAAGATTATTAGAAAGAAAATAGTTCCAGATAATCAGCCATGGAGTTACTAAAGTTTCTGCTCATTCATTTAAGCAGCACTTTTAGAGTACCTACTACATGAAGCATGGTACTGAGCATGGGATACAGAGAGAAGCAGGCCCAGTGTCCCCGCGAGGACTGCACATGCACTCCAAAGAGAGGAGACGGACGGGAGAAACACGTGCGATGTAGAGTCACAGCAGTACTCATGGGTGTGCAAAGGTCAGTTCTTCCTAGGGGAGATAGGATCCAGTATTTCACTCTTCTAATTGGCTTGTGCTCTAGAATTGAAGTTTTTCAAAGGTGAATTCTTCTTTACATTATAGACACTCATCTCTCCCATTGCCAGGCAGTGGGCCCTGTAAATCTTGAATGATAATAGTTCTGCCACTGCTTTAGCCAGTGAACTTGCAGATAGCAATGCCTTGAATATTCAGAACCTCCTGCTGTTGCATGATTACTATGGATGTGCAACGCACGTTAGTATCCAAGGGTCAACCCTGAACCATACAACTGCTTTGATTATCTAAGTGTGCGTGTGTGTGTGTAGTGTGTAACATCTGGAGAAAATTAAGAAAATAGAAAGTCCCAGCTCCATCATGCAGAAACACGCCATTGTTATTAAACCCAGATGCCCCATAAAAAGTTTTCTTTGACTCAGAAAGGAAATATTTGTTCCTACACCTGTTGTTGCCTGTTACCAAGTGACTTCCTATGGTCTTTGGTCAGCTGCATTTTTTTTTCTTTTGTTGACATTTTCTTCCCTAAGGTCATTCTGAATTGCTCCCATGCACTGTTCATCCACAAAGCATGGTGAGACACCAAGGGGCTGGACAGACGATTTCCAGGGATCGCCATTGCTACTGCTCCTTCTATTCCTATTGTAAAAATGCCTGCTTGGGGAGATGTACTTTAATTCAACTCACCACCCTATAAGGGGATGAAAAATAGAAGGCCTACAGGATAGCTACATTGTGTTGACAAATGAGGTGGTAAAGAGAGTAGATTGACTGCAGTGCATTAAGTTCGATGGGAAGGCAGAAATAGTTGAAGTTTGAATCTAAGACTAAAGAGTCTAGACTTCATTTGTACTGACAGCCACAATGACGCTGGACACATCTTATCCCTTCTCTGGACCTCAGCTTCTTCTGTAAAATAAGTTAGGTCGAATTAGAAGCCCATTTTGATAGGATATCAGGAGGAGCCAATTAGAGTACTTCAGTGGCATGTTGGAAAGGTTTTTAGGGAGGATTAATCTGGACTGTAGAATGGATGGCACTGAGGAAATACTGGATCCAGGAATTGACCTAAGAAGTTATTTCAGTAGGCTGAGTTCCTTCTCGCTTGGTGCCTGGGTCTCTGACTGCTGAACCTAAAGCAAGAGACATTGTTCATCTGTCCCCATTACTGTTGTCCCCATCTCCACTTCTCAAGAGTCCCTGCTGAACCTAAAGCAAGAGACATTGTTCATCTGTCCCCATTACTGTTGTCCCCATCTCCACTTCTCAGAGTCCCAAGTCAATGGTAAGGCTAACTTACTGGTGTAGCCATTCCTTTGTTTCCCCAAGAATTAAGCATAACTTCTCCTTTCATAAGGCTGCAAGATAGGGTCTCAGAAGTGGTGGGGTCGGCTGTCTTCCCCTCTGGTCCTCAGATAGCCAGTTAAGCATGTTCTGCAGAAGCAGGCTGCCAACATCAGCATAGAGGACAGACCGTAGCTTGTTCTTGTGTGCAATTTCTTCATTGCACCTGCAGCTCCACCAGAGACAAAGAAGAGATGTGAGAAGGCCAGTCTATTTATGTTGTAGGCCAGTCTATTTATGTTGTAGCTTTCCCCTCTCCCTGGAGAGAGAGAGGCCTTTCTACTGCACAAGGGCTAGCACTATCTCCTGCCTTTGCCGCTTGTATTTGCCTGACTTCTTTACAATAATGTTTGTGTTTGTGCACTAAACTAATCCTCAGAAGACACCTGCAAATAGGTGGGACAGAGGTTGTTGTGCCTGTTTTCTAGATGAGGAACTTGAGATTAGTGCCGGGGCCACCTATCCAGTTCATTGCTGGAACTCCACCTGAGTTGTCTGACTCTAAATCTGTGGGTTGATTCTGGAAAAGGGTGCTACCAGAGCCTAGTGAGTCCTCTCAAACTGGAAAGACTCCGCTAGTGGGGAAGATATTCTCCATTCTTGTTTCTCCAAGGACCTCCATTGCCTGAACCCATTAGGAAGCTTGTGGCAAACAAGTCCAGGTGCTGCAGGGACAGGCAGAGAAGGGCAGAGAGCAGATCTATGGGATCCAGGCTGTCCAGGACACCTGGCCCCTCACTTACCTCCATCCTTGCCCTTACACATGCAGCAGTTTCCACTAAAAAATGGCATCCTAAAAGCGGCCCACGTTTAGTGCCCACTGCTCTAGGGTAGAAGTTCCTAATCTTTTCTGACTAATTCAGGGTATCAGTGAACTTAGGTTGGTAAAAACGACATTTTTGTTTTCACTAAACTCTAATTGAAATTTAGCATTTATGAAATAGGCAGAAGGCCAAGGTAGAATGAGCAACTTCCCTGTGACATTGTAATCAATACTATATTTTTATTATGTATGTTACAGATTTTGCAAATAGTTTGGAACTCTTCCCTACTTCAAAATTGTAGTGATTATTAGACCTGCCTGTAGAGCATGTGTGATGGCTAATACTGAGTGTCAACTTGATCGGATTGAAGGATACAGAATATTAATCCTGGGCATGTCTGTGTGGGTGTTGCCAAGAGAGATTAACGTTTGAGTCAGTGGGCTGGGGAAGGCAGATCTACCCTTAATCTGGTGGGCAAAATCTAATCAGCTTCCAGCAAATATAAAGCAGGCAGAAAAATGTGAAAAGGAGAGATGGGCCTAGGCTCCCAGTCTACATCTTTCTCCCATGCTGGATGCTTCCTGCCCTCAAATATTGGACTCCAAGTTCTTCAGTTTTGGGACTTGGACTGGCTCTCCTTGCTCCTCAGCTTGCAGACAGCCTATTGTGGGTGGGACCTTGTGATTATATAAATTAATACTTAATAAACTCATATATGTGTGTGTGTGTGTGTGTGTGTGTGTGTGTGTGTATATCCTGTTAGTTCTGTCCCTCTAAGAGAACCCTGACTAATACAGCTTTTTATTAATATTTAATGTGTTATAAAATAGCACAATTATTATTGATCACAAAATTGTTTCTTTCTTATGTTGACAACTGTATCTTTTAAAAACCGGTATTCTTTTTAATCTCCTTCATTTTATTTTGTGCACTTAAGAAGACTTTTTCGAGTCCATAGATTTCACCAGACTGCTAAGAGGTCCATACACAAAGAAATTCTAAGAACTGCTCCTCTTAGAGACGTGACAGCAGAGGTCTGGGGAAGACCCACCAAGGCTGTGTTTCTATTGCAAAAAACTCTTTACTATACCTTTGGTTATATATATATAAAGATAAAGCTCAAAGAGTATTCTGGAATGGAAAGGTGATGACAGTGAGGAACTGAATCATACAGCATAGGTTGTCCAGAGAGGAAAAAATTATTATACTGTCAATCGTTTTTGCTTTCACTGGCCACACCACAGAGGAGGGGGTTTGAGTCCAGGGCTCAGGAATGAGGGCAGGGAAGAGGGGTACACCATCTGCAGGAAGTCAGCATCTGGTCAAGGTCTCCCTGGAAGGAGCATGGTTGGTGTGCCCAAGCAGCTGCAATCATCCAAACCAAGGTTTGGTTTTCCTCTTCTGTACTGTAATCTCTTATGCTCTCCTTCATTCTCCAGATAAGTGTGTAACAGCTCAGAGTCAGTTCTGGCTTGGAGAATTCAGGGCAAAACAGTGCAAGGGAGGGGCAACAGCCTGGAGAAGTGAGACTGAGCTGCCGATGGATGTCCAGAGAGAGTGGGTCATGTCTGTTTCCGCAGCTTAGTGCACAATGTCTTTCCCATAGAATACGCTCCAGAAATGTTTGCTGTATGAATAACCAACTGGCTGAATGTATTAAAGAAAGCATGAATTAGTGAAAAGTGTGGTTCAGTGGCATATCAACGTGGGCTAGAGAGCTGAGGGAGCCGTCCACCCCAGAGGGAAGGATTGTTTTATCACTGACATCTTTAGGATTTTTAGCTCATTGTGATAATAAAAGACAGGCCAAAAATTCATTCATTTTGTCATTATTTTTAAATTCTCTGCTGCTGATGAACCCTCTTATTGCTTGCACCCAGGCTAGACCACTTGCCAGCTCCTCTTTGTGCGGCTCATGTGAGTGTATGAAGTGGTGAAGCTCCACTTCACTTGGCAGTGAATTGAACCAGAATAAATGTCTAGTTTCTGACTTAAGGAGTCGTGGCCTCTCTTTGTTTGAGATTTTGCTCTGCCACCCTGCAAATGCTGAGGAGCACGGAGAAGATGCATTGAATGCAGAACTGAAACACTGGACGAACAACTGTACAGCCCTTACTAAGTATTTCCGTCATGCCCCATATGCCGTCCCCTCCCCTTTTCACTGTGACTAATCAGCACCACCATTCCCATGAGAAGTGATTCCCCGCAGGAGGCTCTGAGCATTTGCGCCATGACTTTTGTGAGCACCTCTGCTTTTGGCACTATGACTTGGGGGAATAGAGTGTCTACATGGGGGTGCTGCCCCTGTGAGCTCCGCCTTCTAGCCCTGCTCCCCAGGGCCTGGCCCAGGGCTGACTGGGCCACGTTTCCCAGGGATGATGGGGGAGGGAGGGAGAGAGTAGCTGACTGCAGCCAGGTGGGTTGTTAGGATGACTTGTGAGGCCTGGGGCAGCCCTATATCCATGAGTCACCATGGCTAAGTTTAGTGCTGGCTTCAGTCACAGAACAGGTGGGCAGTCAGGGCAAAGGCATTCTGCTGGACTCTAGCCAAGCCTGGCCCTGTCCAGTTGGTGCCCTAGGGCTGACCCAGGGCAGCCAGGCCTGAGCTGACACAGACACATGGAGCAGTGCTCCCAGGTGCTGGGAACAACAGGTCGAGGGCAGGAACCCATGACTGCCCATCATTCCTTCTCCACTAATTCATTCAAAAACTTTTATTGAGTACCAATTATGCAAAAGTAAATACCAGCCCTCCTTCAAAAGGCTTACAATCTAAATGGGAGACAGACCATATGGAAGATAGCTACCTTGTTACGTCAACAGGATGCAGATAGATGGAAAATAGACAGACAGGAAATAATAATGACTGAAATTTGGGCAGTGTTTTGCAATTAATAAAGCATTCTCTCAAATATATCTTTTTATTTGCTTTAAAAAGTAGTCGTAAGAAGTTGTATTATTAGACCCAAGTGACAGATCAACTCACTGAGAAGTAGATTAAGTTGCCCAATGTCCCAGGGGGAATAAAGAGAGTTGGCAGTTGAGCTCTTGTCCCTCAATTCCAAATTCAGAGTCTTTTTCATACCACTCTGCCATCATGTCGGTTTCATTTTTTCAGGATGGGTTATGAAGGACATGATACCCATTTTCTTGGCAGGGAGAGAGTGTGGTTTAAGAAAGTCTTTGGTGGCAGGTGCCTGTAGTCCCAGCTACTTGGGAGGCTGAGGCAGGAGAATGGTGTGAACCCAGGAGGGAGAGCTTGCAGTGAGCCAAGATCATGCCACTGCACTCCAGCCTGGGTGACAGAGCGAGACTCCATCTCAAAAAAAAAAAAAAAAAAAAAAAAAAAAAAAGTCTTAGTTCAGAATGGCATTGGTAGTTGAATGATCTCAGCGTCTCCCGGCCCCATCACTCTTTCAGCCTCTGTCTATTTCTCTCTATCCCTTGGAAATGACCTGAATGTAAAGTACCAGGGCCTGTGTCCCAGACAAGGAGAATGGGCAAGTTGGTGGGAAAAAGTGGATGTGATTTTTATAGAAGTGATAGGAAAGTGCTGTGATACTGTCCTTGAAGCCTTCACTGACCCTTTCAGTGGAAGCTGAGTTCCTTCGCAGCATCTCTCCAGAGTTTTGGTCAGAATTCAGTACAGTGGCATCCATTTCACCTCACACTCTAGAAACTCAGGCCCACTTGCAATTTCCTCAGGAAAACCCACTCTTCCCCCAGGTAGGGAAATCCCAAGATGTATCATCTGACGTGGGATCCAGAGGACACATCTCTTTCAAGTCTCTGCTACTCTGCAGATGCTGAGGAGCATGGAGAAGATGCCTTGCCTGAAAGTTTATGCTTTCAGGCAATAACTGAGACTTTGTTCTAAGATCTGGCATGATCCTCCGATGGCCATTTAGTGGATTTTCAAACAAGCTGTCTGGTTTCCCTTAGACATAGCTCTTGCTCATTTCCAAACTCAAACGTTTAACACAAAACAGAAAAGTATCCGCAAGCAGCAGACAAGCTCTGGCCACTCTTTTGACTGGGGCCAAGAATCCTGGTGGATGTCACTTCCTAATGAGTTGGCCTGGTCTGGATATCTTTGGGAGGTGGGGAGGGAGGAGGCTGAAGGGGAGGGAAATTGCATGGGTGGAGTGGTGTCGGGGTGGGAGCGGGAATGCCAGTGTGGTTTATTGATGGCCCGCAGCATGACATTCTCGTTTCATCACATGATCAGTGTTTTCAAGGCACTGAGCCAAGACCAGCCATAAACCTGTCGAGAGAAACATCTCCGTGAAATACTCCCAGGCTCACAAAGCAGATGTTGGCAGAGGCAGCACGACTCACCTGCTTCACGCCTTTGAGGCGGCCATAAAACATGTGATCTAGAGAAGGTGGAGGTGGGTGGGCTTCTTACAGTCAGCTGGTGACAGAGTGAGGCCTGGAACTCAGGTCCATTGAACCCTACGTTCTTGTTCTTTTTGCAACCCCAGAATATAGATGCTCAGATAACCGTCATTCTGCTGAGATCTTCGTTATGTTACTTTTCCTTGCTGGGCTTCAGCTTCTTCCTCTAGAAGATGATGTTTTGGAAAAGTTGACCCCTCTTCCATAGGGGCAGGAATGGAATCCCCAGAGCATGCAGTACTGGCACTCAGCAGGTACAACGTGAATACCTGTAGAGGGAATGGATCAATGTTCTATGAGTGTATGAGCATATTAGCTCCATGACTTTCTATCTGCTCTCTACTTGTTTATACCTGATCTTCCATGCTCTGCCTGTTTTATAGGGTGAGTCTTTAAAGGGAGGAAACTGTCTCTAGTGCATCCTATTAGCATGGTGCCCATTGCAACACAAAGAGATTTAACTTGTTTTATTAACAGTGATGATAGTAGTGGTGGTGGATATATGGAAACTTTAGGTGTCGGAATCTTTTCCACTTGAATGATGGTTCTTTTTTCCTCTTTCTCTTAAGCCTTGGGTGATTGTTCTTTATCATATTAATGTGCAGTTCTTTGTATGTTATAGTTTTAGGTGTATGAGAAACTGTGTAACCATGAGTGTGTATGCGTGTGTCCTATTCTTCAGTGTTGTGGACCTGTATTGTTTTTGGTCTCTTAATATCTACTTCCCCTTCTTCTTTTAACACTTTGGTATTCTTTAGGTACCATCTCTCTCCCACTCTCACAGCTGACCCCATCTCCTTCAGGGCTGTGATTCAGCTCTGGCTGATTTGAGAATTAAACCTTCCTAGCCTCAAATCCAGAACTTTTGATCCAAAGCCTGTACTACTAGCAGGTGAACTTCTTATCTCCATCACGTGGGGAAACCTTGCCTGAGAATGGGGCCTACACAGAAGACAGCAGGGCTGAGGGATAGAGACAGATATTGTTTGAGCACCTGGAGCCACTGGGCCTGAAGCCAAAACCTCTCCTGAGGTTTTGCTTCATGAGCCAATAAATTCATACGTTTACTTAAGCCATGTTGGGTTGGGTTTATGTCACTTGCAAGAGAAAGAGTGACAAAATTCCATGAACTGGTGATGATCTTGAGAGTTGGAACTGGTGTTTTCCTCTTTCATCTGCACCCCCACTCATTGCCAAGTCCAAGTTGCGGTTTGTCTCCTCTCCAGCCTGGATGTTCCGCACAGCCTTGCACAAAGCTTCAGATGCACATGGCTCTGTGGGTATCGGGGATGCTGGGTGGCATTGGGTTACACTTGTCTCTTTACACCACCAACCCCTTCTCACAGATGTCACCAGGTTTTGTTGTTGTCCACACTTAAATCTGTTGTCTCAGGTTTCAAGAAAGTTTCAAATCAATCAAATGTTTGATTCCTTTATTTCAGGGAAAATTCCCCCTATTATATATATTATATATGTAATCTTTCTCTGGCATATTTGTTGAATTCCTTACTTCCGGAAAATCAATAATATACATTAGTCATATGTTCAATTGTCTTTCTCTTCTCCACATTGATTATATTCCAACTGATTTTCAAACTTTGTATTTTTCTTCCGTATTTGCTAGAATTATCTTGAGCGTTTTCTGTGTTAGTACTTTGATTTTTGGCTAAAATTGTTCTTTTCCTAGCTGCATCTTATTTATTTATTGTTCCATGATAGTATTATTTTTTTCCGCCTCAAATTTTGCCCTAATTTGCAAACATCTCATTTCATTGTTTTGTCATCTGGTCTTTAAACTATTTTATTTATTTATTTTTTTGAGATGGAGTCTCACTCTGTTGCCTATACTGGAGTACAGTGGCATGACCTTGGCTCACTGCAACCTCCATCTCCCAGGTTCAAGCAATTTTCCAGCCTCAGCATCTTGAGTAGCTGGGATTACTGCCACCACCTGCCACCACACCCAGCTAATTTTTGTATTTTTAGTAGAGAAGGGGTTTCAACATACTGGTCAGGCTGGTCTCAAACTCCTGACCTCAGATGATCCACCGGCCTTGGCCTCCCAGTGTGCTGGGATTACAGGCGTGAGCCACTGTGCCCAGCCTGGTCTTTAAACTATTTTTAAAATTTTGTTCCAGCTCTTAGTAAATGTTTCAATAGCGTGAAGCACAAGTGTTTTGATTCTGTTCTGGGATTATATTTCTTCCATGCTGAAGTTTGTGCTGAACTTTTCATTCTTTCAACGGTTGTGTTCATTGTGGTTTGCACACAATCACCATTTCTGTGTGTCCTGTCACACCTGATGTGAGTGGTTTGTCTAGACCTTCTAGTTGCTCTGACACCAGTAGGTGGTTTTGGCTTGGCTTCTCTCCCTTGCTTAGGTGACTTCCCTCTTTACCAAAGTCTGAGAGGACAAGAATTGCAGTTCATCTTCTTCTCTATACGAGGGTCTGATAGGTTAGAGGAGAAGTCAGCTAGGGCATGGCCCACTCCTTTTAATGTCCTCTATCAGAATTCACCCCCCAGTGGAGTGTGTAATTCTTCTGTCCTGGGGAAATCCTTCCAAATTCAGAGTAGATCCCAGGACCTTAACTTCCCAACAGAGAAAGTCAAATTATGTTGTTTATTTCCATTGTCACCTTTCTCTCCTTAATAGGCCTAATCTACTCCCACCCAGCCAGAAGTGGAGAAATACAGAGGCACCCACTTCATCTACCTCTCCTAAGTTCAAGAGTTCTGCTAAGATTTTTCCTATTTTGTCGACTCACTAGTTCTGTTTCAGAGGTGAGAGGATGGCAAAAAAAATTCTCTGTTTCTCTCCTTGGGTTCTGCCTTTGGCAGTTTTTAGCTTGAGGTTGTATCTCTTTCCTTATTTCAGTGTGATAGTATATTTTTTGCTGGATTTTAATGTTTTTGCTTATTTCCCCCTGTCTAAGTGAGGGAGACCCCCACTAGGGGCACATGGCATCCTCAGAAGAACAAAGGCTCTACAACCTGACAGGCCAGCCATGGGACCCTGGGTTCTTCTGAGAGTCACTTTATCCTCTAGTCATGAGAACAGTCATGATTACTCTGCAGATTAGAGATGCTGTATGCAAATGTTGGTGCCTGAAATGTGCGCACAATGGGGTAGGGTGGATGCTTGACCACATAGAGTGGGCAGCCCTCAGGGAAGCATTGTACAAGGTGAGAGTCATCATTTCTGGGCCCTGGGTTCCCAGGTGCACCTTCCTATGTTGTTCATAAAGCTCTTTGGCCAGATGTGGAGTTTGGAGGATGGAAGGCCATCCTTGCTCTCACACCAGCCTGGCCCTGTGATTTGCATGTTTTCTTTTAGGGGTTGTCTTGGGACTAGATGGTTTTATCAGGACACTCTCTTGGCTTACCAAATTTTCTTTTTTTTCTATAAATCCTTTTATGGGGGTCACAGATGGGCATAGGCAGAACTGTGACTTAAGGTAGAGGGACAGTATCTTAGCATTTTTGGCATAGCTAGGTTACCTCCTGAAGGTAAGAAACCCACTGATTTTGCTACCCAATTCCTCTCCACCATATTTTGTGGTAGGCAGCAAGGCTTGCCAAGCAATGAGCTCTCCATCATGCCCACGTCATGCCTAGCTATGGGCAGGACCAGGACTTGGAGTTTTCCCAATTTATCTGTGGGCTCTCCCTGGACACTCCTCCCAGGGAATGCAGAATGTTTGTAGGAAGGCAGGAGCAAGGAGGCCCCTCTGGCATAGCAAGTGGCCTCTACATGGTGTGAAGGTCAAAGGCATCCATGAGGAGTATGTATGACCTCATTAAATATTAGATACAAGAAACCACATCTTTCAACATCCTGAGGCAGCCTTTGTGTCAGGCCTGCTACAGTCACTGCAGAAAAATACAAGATAAAAGCACTGGGACCACAGAGCGGCATGCAGGAACGCAGTGCCTCTACAGGGACGCATGCCTGTCTGTGTCCTAGAGACCCGCCATGTCTCCCTGAGCGTGGATTCCTCATCTGTAAGATGGGGATGGTAATAGTACCTACATCATAGTTTTGCTGTTAGAATTAAATGTGTGTAGAGTGACTAGTATATTGGCTGGGAAAAAGTAGGGACTTGGTAAATGGAATCTGTGAACATTATTTCCTTAGAGTTATGTCTATTTACCATTAATAAGCAGAGCTCGTGTGACATACGCACACACACATAAACACACAAGCAAAGGAGCCGTGCAGTCACCCCCTTCAAGATACAATCTTGGTGCCTATTAAGGGGAAGCCAGGGGCTGTTCTCTCTTCTTCATTTTGTCTTCAGTACCTGCGCATCCGCAGGAACTTGATATATTTTGTTGAAGTAGCTACAGTATGGTGCCTAGAGAGAAGTGTGGAACAGTGCTGGCACAGAGTTGGTATTCCGTAAATATTTGCTGAATGAATGTAAATGAATGAACAAATCATCTTTTTAAAATATCTTAAAAGAAAATGAGCTTAATCTGTAGTAAGCAAAATGTAAATGAACTATAAAGGACTATAAAGGACAACATCTCAACACTGAACAATGACAGACTATAAAAGATGATTTAGAGAAACTTTGGGCTCTTTTTAAAGGAAAATAGAGTAAGTCTTGGGGAACAAATAAATTAGCTTTCCAACCTCATGTAGTCCTTAGACTCAAAACTTTATTGACAAGAATCTTTGATGTTAAAAAAACTACAGAAAGATGAGTGTTTTGAAAACCTTTTTCAATCACAAACTAGAAGAAGCAAATACTTTGAGAGTAGATTAAAACGAACCAACCAGCGACTTAACCCACAACGTAACAACCTAATTGAAATCTCATGCTCCAGTTTTGGGCTCCTGTTAGAGGTCAGGGTCTTGTGAAAATTGACTTGTTCATGCCAGTCGGAGTGAAGGCACAACCCTCACAGGTAGAGACATGAATATGAAAACCCAGAACAGGTGGGCGTGGTGGCTCCCGCCTGTAATCCCAGCACTCTGGGAGGCCGAGGAGGGCAGATCACCTGGGGTCAGGAGTTCAAGACCAGCCTGGCCAACATGGTGAAACCCCATGTCTACTAAAAATACAAAAATCAGCTGGGTGTGGCGGTGGGCACCTGTAATCCCTGCTACTCAGGAGGCTGAGGCAGGAGAACCTCTTGAACCCGGGGGGCGGAGGTTGTAGTGAGCTGAGATCGTGCCATTATACTCCAGCCTGGGTGACAAGAGCAAGACTCCATCTCAAAGAAAAAAAAAAAAGAAAAGAAAAAGAAAACCCGGAATAATGTGTATTCTCTTACCTGCGAAATACAACCCAAGTATCTTTGTCCCACATTAGTGTTGAATCTTACTGAATACCCAATTCTGGAAATCTTAGTATGGGCACAGAGTGAACTGGATTAGACACTACAATGGCTAACTTTCTATGAAAGAGATAGCGTCCATGGGTCTGTGGGTCTGTGTGTCATGGGGGAAAAGGAAGAGGCTACAGAGAGCCCACATTTCGGACTAGGAATCTAGCACTTGATGATAATACTACACTGTCTCCGCTGGTCAGTGCCACCCAATGGAGCACGGAATTATTTTCAGAGTTTTGCACATGTTCTTTTCTTTTCTGTGAAAAGCAGGAAATACATCTTATACTCTTCAGAGCTCTCAAGTGCCTAGCTCAATGCAAAAAAGAAGGGCTTCTTGATTGCCATGGATTGATGGATTTTCCATGATTAGGTGTGGGCACCAGCAAGACAGACCTAACATGGGACTGAGTATCAGATGCCTGACAGAGCCCAGCATAAAAATCACCCATGTGGGCCTGGCATGGTGGCTTATGCCTATAATCCCAGCACTTTGGGAGGCTGAGGCGGGCAGATCACTTGAGGCCAGGGGTTCGAGACCAGACTGGCCAACATGGTGAAACCCCATCTCTACTAAAAATAAAAAAAATTAGCAGGGTGTGGTGGCACGCTCCTGTAGTCCCAGTTACTTGGGAAGCTGAGACAGGAGAATTGCTTGAACCTGGGAGACGGAGGTTGCAGTGAGCCGACATTGTGTCGTTGCACTCCAGCCTGGGCAAACTCTGTCTCAAAAAAAAAAAAAATCACTTATGTGAAGGAGCTGAGTTAGCTCCTAGAAATTTCTGGCATTCATGGCTTTTTATTTTTGTCCTTGGTAGGGAGAAAAATTAGGGAGCCAAACCCATGTGGGTTGTCAAAAGGGAACTAGGAAGAAAGCAACAATTAGAAGTGTCTGTGGAATTTGGGTAATCTGTTTGTAGGGTTGGCATTTTGAAGACAGGATAGAAATACTGCTTGTGTGTGTGTGTGTGTGTGTGTAAGAATGTGTTTAAGGGCCTATGATGGGAGCTTCTAGAACGATTAGAAAATATAGGAAGAAAGAAAGCCTGGGCATACCATTTTTTGTAATAGATCATATTTTGAAAGAAAAAGCATAAAAACATTACTCACTTTGGATATTTTTTTCTTTTTCAGCAGTGACAGCATCTATCCGGTACCTGCCCAACCATGTCCCTAGGGGAAACAGAGGCAGGTCAATATTGACAGAGGGGAGAATCCAGGGCAAAGTAACCGTGTGTGCATCACCAACACCAGCACCCCCCAACCTCATGACCCATAGACCATTAAATGCTTGGCCAACTATGGCACAATGTTGGTGCCATGGAACTACTAGCCAGACATTGTTTTCACCAAGATGGTATGATAATTGGGGCAGGGCCACTAAAACATGCAAAGGCAGATATAATTCCCGAAGGACATTATAATTTAGGTGCCATACAGTAGCCCTAAAAGCAACAAGAATCCTTGGAAAGAGTGTACATGGCACAGGCATCTGTTTTTTTTTTTTAATTTGATCACTCCCTTTTGAGCATCCTTTCTTCTCAGTAGCTCAGGATAATAGGGATGGCAGTGCTGGAGGTAGCCGACTGACAGTTTGCTAGGTACTGGGGGCCTATGTGCATGTGTGAGCAGGTGCATGTGCGTGAGGGGAGGGCACACAGGTACTGAGGAGAAATAGATATAATCGATTTTGAAGAAAATTTGTTAATGCTGATTTAGCTACTTACTTCTTAGGGTCCTGAAACTACAGAATCAAATTCCCTTATTCTTAGATTTTTCTGATCATCACTGAATCCCTTTCTCAATGAAAAAATAGATGCAGGCTTGGGTTCAGGTCAGATTTTATTATTTCGTAATTGATCTAGACAAAAGGAAGTTTTTAAACTAGGCTTCACATAATAAGGCAGAATTTATGAAATGCCCTTTGGATCTATCACCAGATACTTTTAAGAGAGAATTAATCATAGACCCCAGAGAAAAGGGCTGCTGGAGGGGAAGCTTGGGGGAGGGGGATGTGTCTGAGCTTGGTGGAGGGAAAGGAAGAGAGAAGGTGCATGCAGGATGGAGGAGAGGGCTGCATTACCTCATCCTTGTAGTTCCGACTTGCTTCATAATCTCAGTTTGCTTTCCAGAGGGACTAGAGCTAGCCTCTCCCTCTTCAAATCTATCCTGAATACCATGGCCCTATTAGTCCTTCTAAATCACTGCTCACTTCTCATCACTCTTTTTCAAGAATCAGAGGTGGCTCCCTATTGCCTGCTAAATCAAATCCAACTTCTCTGCTTCACTTGCACTGATTTCCGGAGCTCAGCCCCTCCCAGCCCATCCGGCTTGATCTCCCACTACCACTCTCAATGGCCACCTCTGTTCCAGCAGCCCTAACTCTCACTGTTTCCATGGACGAAGCTTTTCCTACCTTTGTGCCTGGGGTTGTGCTGTTCAGCCTGATGGAAATATTGCACTGCTTCTTCTGCTGAGTCTCCTTCTCTGACCCTTCATGCCTACATCGAGTCTAAGTCTCAATTCCTCTTTAAACGTAGCCCTCCCTGACTACTATCGCCCTCTCTATTGTCCCTCCTCTCTGAATCTGGTGATGTGCTGGTAGATGTTTGACAATGGGCTCTCCAGGAAGAGAAATGTATGCACTCATATGCGTACATTAGCTTATTCTAAATGTTACTGAAGTAAAGGATGTGTAGCACACAACTTACAAATAAGAATAAAAATATGCAATACTCTTTATTGTAAGTGCTATGTTGCTAGATGATTTTCACTGAATGCTTTCATCAATATTTGTCAAACTCTTGTATCTGTAGCCAATCTATGATTGCAATTGACAAACAAGTAATATTCTGGGATGAACGTTGGTTGATATTTTAATGAATAAAATGAAAGTAAAACAACAAAGATATATGTAACAATTTTACTTGTTTATCAACGACAAGAGAGTCTTCTTGGTTGAATAGGATAATTGTTTTTAAATACGGGTTTTTGTGTGTGTGTGTGTGTGTGTGTGTGTTATTCACAATGTAATGATTACAGACATTATAAATTTAGTCTGCATTAACATTTTCTTTGTCACTTTAAGTCTAGACAATCAACAAAACAATAAATCAAGCCCTGATTTGTAACATTTGCCAATTTCTGTGGTATAAATAGTCCTACCATGGCCGATTCCAAGCTACCAACATGAGGTTACTAAATGTGGAGATGGAAGAGACGTGCAGGGGCAGGTGCACACACGGCATTTCCACCACACAGGTACGACAGACATAAATAGCTCCTCCAAGTGCGTAGATAATAGAAAATGTTGTGACATCACTAGCGAGTGATGAATTTGGACTATCTCTAACTTGTGTTTTAAATATACTTTATTTGTTAATTTGCATACTGTAATTTTTAATATCAGCTGACAAAATTCCTGAAAATGTAAAAATCAATTCTCAGAAGCCACTGCAGGGTGTCAGTGCAAGTGGATGCTGTCACACCACTGCCTTAACTCAGCAAACTGTGAAGGGCCAGGCATCACCTGGGGCCTTGGAGATGACAGTGGATAACTTCATCCTTGCCTTTAAGGACCTCACGACCCAGCGGGGATGACAGATATGTTACAGATAGTGATGATGTGTTTGTACTTTCATGGAGGCATGAATTAGACCATTGAGGATTCTAGAAGACCAGGGAGAGGGGGCTGTTAACTCATGATGGTAATCAGGAGAACTACAGCGGAGATGATTTTAACTCGAATCCAGAAAGATGACGAGGAATGGGTCACAGGGAGTAAGGATAGACATGCCAAGCAATTGGAAGCACATGCACAAAGATGCGTATTCTTGGGACATCAGGTTATTCAGTGTGGCTGCAGAGGGGGTCTGGGGCAGGGATGGCCAGAGATGGGAATATGAGGGAAGGCTCAAGCAGATGGCAAAACATTCATAATCATTACCATGCACTTCACTGCTGAATCGCTACCTGATTTTTCGTGGGTATATATTTTTAAAATATTTACTTTTTCATGAAGCTAAATCTTAATTTTTACCCATGTAATACTGACTCATTTATCTGCAGTGCAGGCTGTGGAGGGAGCCAGAGAAAGAAGAGCATCTTCACCTTCGAGAACTTTTTGGATTTTTACATTTATTTATTCATTTATTTATTTTAGAAACAGGGTCTCACTGTGTTGCTGGGGCCAGAGTGCATTGGCATGATCATAGCCCACTGCAATCTCAAGCTCCTGGCCTCAAGTGATCCTCCTGCCTCAGCCTCCCAACTAGCTAGGACTACAGGTGTGCACCACCATGCCTGGCTAATTTTTATTTTTATAAAGATGGGGTCTCGCTATGTTGCCTAGGCAGTTTCGAGCTCCTGACCTCAAGTGATCCTCTTGCCTCAGCCTCCCAAAGCACTGGGATTACACATATGAACCACCACACCCAGCCAACTTTTCGCATTCCTAGCATTGGGCTTGGCATCCAAGAAAGCATGTGAGACCTTTGTGGGATTTTTTTTTTCTTCTCAAATACTTAAACTCCTTTGTTCTTTTTTATTCCAGACAATGGGATACAAGGCCTGCACTCCTCATTATTCAGGCCCCAAAGTGATGACGACTTGAAAGAACCTTAAAGATCAGCTCAGATATTTTGTATTTTACAGAGTCACAAACTGACCAGTGTTGGGGGCTGGGTTAAAAAAAAATTAGTTATTCTGACTTTCTGTTCAGGTATCTGCCAGTGATTCCACCTTAACTCCTATATCTTAGCCACACGTCACTCACCGTCTTGGGGAGCCTGTAGTCCTCTGAGGCATGGTGAGGCGGGAAATGGTGGAAATGTGCAAGGATGTTATATGAATTGTGTTGGTTGGCCTAAAACACAGAGCCGGCTTGAGCTGGAAGCACACAACATGCCTGAAAAACAGTTAAAGCCTTGTCAGAAACATTTTGGAATCCAAAACTTTTGAACCCAGCATTGTAAAAGAAAGATCTTAAGACATTTGTTTTTGTGTGTGTTCAGTATATTCAATTAATATGAAAGCAGCTTGGTTTCCAAACATACGGAAGAAATTTTTCATCAAAAGAAGGACTTTTTAGTGGGTTTCAGATTTCTGCTTGTTGCCTGTCACTTGATACAAAATATCTGATTTTCTAGATTCTTTGAAGCCAAGTGGAAAAGTAGATAAAACCGCTTTCTCTCCCCAGATGGGATGGATGTGTGTTTGTGGGGGCTTATAGAGGACGCAGCCCCATCGGTGACACTGTGCCAAGTCAATACAGCCTGGGAAGATGAGGCTGGACCAATAGCAGTAAGCATGCTTACTTTCCCAGGAGGAAAGGCTGGGGCATCCCCAGGGAAGAGGATTCTGGTCTCCATGGTAAACTGTGGAGGGAATCCACAAAGAAGAAAGCTGTGGGAACACTTGAGGAAGCCCACCTAAAGCTATGCAGCTACCTGGATCAGAATTACCTGTGGTGAACAAGCAGTGAGGAATGCTTTTGTTTACTCTAGGGAAATACTGCCTTAGTATCAGTTCAGCAATAGAAAACCTGGGTCAGCCAGTCCTTCCCACTTGTCTTCACAACTCTCAGGTCATCCAGTTTGGTTTCCCAACAAACCTCCCAGCATCAGCCTCTTCATGCTCAAAAGGAGAAAGACTGAAAGGGAAACTGAGTGGCCAGACTCCGGCCCTGACGCAGCCTTGGGAAGAGATGTTGCTGTGGCCCCCACGCACAACTGGGACTTTAATGACTGAGACCAGCCTAACCCTGGATTTGCTGTCCTTGCACCCCATCACCTCCATTGTAGTTGTTATTATGTTGCTTTGTAATGTTCTGATTATTGCTGGTTTGCTCCACTGGACAGTAAGTACCTTAATATTACTCACTGCTTCTCATCCATCATTTCCAATGCCAAACACAATTAATTGGATGAGTGAATTTTTAAAAATTGTACATGGGATACATGTATAATTTTTTTTAAATTATGCTTTTAAAAAAATTATACATGGGATACATGCACATGGCATACTTGTGCAGGTTTGTTACATAGGTATACATGTGCCATGGTGGTTTGCTGCACCCATCAACCTGTCATCTACATTAGGTATTTCTCCTAATGCTACCCCTACCCTAGCCCCCCAGCCCCTGACAGGCCCTGGTGTGTGATGTTCTCCTCCCTGTGTCCATGTGTTCTCATTGTTCAACTCCCACTTATGAGTGAGAACATGTGGTGTTTGGTTTTCTGTTCCTATGTTAGTTTAGTTAGCTGAGAATGATGGTTTCCAGCTTCATCCACATCCCTGCAGAGGACATGAACTCATCCTTTTTTATGACTGTATAGTATTCCATGGTGTATATGTGCCACATTTTTTTTGAATTTTTAAGAATATGTTAGGCAACACCAGTCATATCATTATTCTCTCTAGGACTTATTTGTCCATATTTAAGATGTAGCAACTGGTATAAAGCCTCTTCCAATGGTCATGTGCTAGGATTCTAGATGTGGGAGGGCAGGGGATGAGGCTAGGGATAAACAGAAAACTACACCATTAGGTACAGTATGCACTACTCAAGTGACAGGTGCAGTAAAAGCTCAAAATTCACAACTTTATAATTCATCCATGTAACAAAAGCTACTTGACCCCCAAAACTACTGAAATAAAGATTAAAAAAAAAACTCTTTGTGCTCTCCCTATTTATTCCTTCCACCTTCCTTTCAAACCCCCGGAAACCACTGATATTCTTACTATATCCATAGTTTTGCCTTTCCAGAATGTCATATAGTAGGAATCTTACAATATGTAGTTTTTCATATTGAATTCTTTCACTTTGCAATGTGCATGTAAAGGTTCTTCCATGTCTTTTTATGGTTTGATAGCTCATTTTATTGCTGAATAATATTCATTTTCTATATGCACCACAGTTAACTTATTCATTAATCTACTAGAGGATATCTTGGTGTCTTTCAAATTTCAGCAATTGTAATAAAGCTGCTGTAAACACTCTTGCAGGTTTTTACATGAATGAAAGTTCTTAACTCTTGAATAAATGCCAAGGATTGTCATTGCTGGGTCATATAGTAAGACTATGTTTAGTTTCATAAGAAACTGCCAAACTGTCTTCCAAAGCGTTTACACCGTTTTGCATTCCCACCAGCAATGAATGAGAGTTTCTGTTGCTCCACATCTTTGGAAGCATTTGGTGTTATCAGTGGAAAAAGCTTTTTTTTATTAAGATGTCTCATTGACATTTACAACTTCATACGTCTGAATTGTGTTCACTCTCGCCCTCTCCAAACCTCCTATGTTCCTTACCTTGAGGAATGGTACCATCATCCCTCGGGGCACTTAAGAGTATTTCATGTCCTCCTTTCTCCATCACTACTCAAATAAACCAGTCACTAAGCTCTGTTGATTCTCACACTTGTATTTCTTTGAGGTTTGTTCCTGTTTTCCATCCTTTGTGCCTCTTTCCATGAAACAACCTCCTTCACTCTTCTCCCTTCCTCTGGCTTGCCCTGGTCCACACTATAGGCAGCTATCTTCCAAAATTCTGTGTTACTTCGTTATTTAAACAACAACAACAACAATAACAACAAAAACCTTTGACGTTCTCCCACTGCCTTCAGATTAAAGCCGCAACTCTCCTGGGTGGCCTGAAAGGTCTCCATGAACTTTGCTCTGCCAAACACCTTTGGCCTCATTAGTTGCTTTTCTGTCCCCCACCTCAACACCCTGCATGCTATTTGCAGTGTTTGTAACATCTGCAGTTCCCCAAACATGCAAGGCTGTTGTAAACCATTGCATGTATTATTCTACTTCCTTGGAACTCTTGTCTGGAGAATTCCTACTCAGGTTTCAAGATTTAACTCAAACATCACCTCTCTTGACAACTAAGAGAAAGGACTTCTTTTTCTGGATCCCTACTGAGTGGCATGGTCTAGCTAAGTTATGCCTTCATCTCCCTGACAGGCAGATTTATTTGTTTATGCATCCATCTTCCCCTCCTACTCCGTGTCTGTGCATTTCTGTATCCTTCCAGCTAGCCACTGATAAAATTTGCTGCATTAAATTTATAAAAGGGCAACAGAAGGCTGTGGAGAGCTAACTGTGCCATTGATAGGACTTCATCACTTCAGAGCATGCATGACCTCTCAACCACCATCAGCTCACTTAACCACATAGACTGGAAAACAACAGGAGAAAGAGATAAGAGGGTAACTGTACTGGGTAGACCCTAGCCATATATATTTTCTCCCTCTAATTATTTTGAATAGGTTCTGAGGGAGAAGAAGCTAAGGTCATTGCTAACCACTACTCTTGTACTGATGGGGGAGGGGAAATTGTAAAATGTGAGATGTGCAATTAGTTAGATGAGTGCAGAAAGACCATAAAAATTACTCATTGTCACAGGAAGGATTTATTCGGGCTCATGAAAATTAGCCTGCTCAGAGAACAGGTTTGCAAGGAATTGCATCAATTCTGCGGGGTTCTCCATGGGAGCTAAGCCTGGCCCTCTGCGTAAGCTCTTGCAGGTGCCGTTGCAGAGGGATGGGCCAGAGGGGAGGAGCAGGTAGTAGCTTTTAGGTGGGAGTAGCCATCCATTTTTCTCTTCTGGCTCATCAGTAAAACTTCCCATGTTTGGCCAGTTCTTTTTCCATTTCTTTTACAGATAACCCTTTTGATAATCTTGGAAAATGTGCCCCGGCTCCCGCTGAGGTTACCTGGGAAAAGTGCTCAGAATGTGATAGTGACTTGGCTGTGGTCACTCAGCCCGTAAGAACAAGCCCCAAACTCTGGCCTCTCCCACAGACTTGGTTGGTTATTTCTTACAAAACTCCTCCCAGCTCTTTGAACTACCCTAGGAAGGATCCTTAGCCACTTATTTCATATGCTTCCTTGTTACATGTTTTTTCAGCTGCTTGGAAGTAGTGATGCTATCTTATTTTGTTTGTCAGCAAGCCTGCACATATATGTGTTTAATTATTTTGACTACATTGCTCTGCATCTGGCTTTGAGTTAAACCACTTCTCAATTTTAGCCTAGGCCTACTGGCCTAGTGTGCAGCTGACTTGATACTGGACTCCAAAGGCTCCAGGCTGTGAACGAAGAATGGAACAGGTAACGGCAGAACCTCTGCTTTGGTCCTGGCCTCCCATCAAATGGAATGATATAAAAGAGAGTGAAAATGGGGGCCCCCAGTGGATGCAGCACTTGCCTGACCTTCATTTCTGGCAAGTTCCTGGCTTCCCTTCCCCACCTTGACATTTCTCCTTGCAATACTCCCTGTGCAGTGAGATCTCCCACACTAGGGGATGCTCCCTGTAGGTAGAGTAGTGTGGCTCAAAACGGCTGGGAAGCAATCGTCTAGCCAAATCTACCCTCCTTACAGCTGAAGAAACCCAGGGCCACAGTGATAAAGGCACACATCACCCAGTATGACAATGGCAGGGCTGGGACCAGAACCCAGGCCTCCTGATTTCTGGTCTGTGTAGGAACCAGTCAGGGCACATTGAGAATCAATTCTTATATTATCTAGAGGGTGTGCAATTGATCAGTGATGCTGCAAAGGCCCTGATTAGACCCTACAGTAGGTCTGGGGAGAGGCAGCAATTCTGAGTCCCTGGAATCTGGATTCATTCATTTGTCCATTTACTCTTCATTTATTCATTCATTCTAGCCCCCCATTCTGAACTGCTGAGAGGTAGTCTTTAACTTTTGTTTGTATCTCCTGCAGTGATGCTTAAAGTTCAGTTCTTTGCACCATCAGCAGATATAAAATCACATGTAAGCAGCATCATAGTGCAGCTGAAAGTCACCAGAGTAGTAGACAGATAGCCCTGGGTTCTAGGCCTGGCTCCACACAGCATGTCTGCATCATCTTAAGCAAGTTATTTATTGTCCATGTGCCTATGCGTTTGAAAATGGGGAGTAGACCCCTCGCTGAGGCTCTTCCTGTGGATCTATGATGTTGATATTGATGCTGAATTATTTCCCATTCATTGGGCATTTACTGGCAGACAATGGCCAGAAGGAAATATCTCTCATTTGTGTGAAATTCACCTCAAATTTGTTAACTCATGAGTTCGTTGCTACAAGCCTTGGACACCCAGATGTGAGGGATGGATGTAGGAGTTCTCGTGCTACTCCAGACTGAAACAGACACTGGCTGAGCACCTCCTGGAGGAGAGGACCACATTGGCCCTGGGGACCCCCCATCACCTAGAGAGGGAATCCTCAAAAGGCAAGCCTCCCTCCAGGGTCCTAAGGGCACTTCTTTTGTTCTTCCATATACCAGCTCTTTCACCTTGGGCATATGCTTAAATTCTCTGCATTTGAGGCTCCTCATCTATAAAATAGGTAAAATAAAATAAAATAATGCCTACTTCATAAAGGTGCTGTGAAGACTAATTTTTTTTTTTACAGAAATTAGTACCAGGGCAGAGTAGCCACTCCACTGAGGGAAAGGTCTGACTCTGCAAGTTCCCATGCAGGTCAGGGGACCAAAAAATGCGTCACTGCCTCTTAGAGCATATTCCCTTCCAGGTGCTCCACTTTTGCATTGACATTGAATATGAGGCTGCGCCACAAAAGAAAGGTTTGAGACCTGTGAGAGGAAATGAACAAGTTTTCCCTTGGCAGCAATGGGTTGAGATGACACGGTTTTGTCGCCTCGTGACTAGATGTGGGTAATTTCCCTGGTGTAATCCACATGTTTGAACACAGAGCAGGGATTAGCCACAGCTGAGAGTCCCAGAAGGAGAGGCTTAAAGCACAGTCTTCCTAATTTCTCTGACAGCATCCCCCAGCTTTGGCCCACCCTATCCCCAACAGGACCTCAGACCCTCTGATCTGGGGCAACCAGAATCTTGCCTTACAGAGATATTACACTTGTTTGGTCTTCCAGCACCTTCTGAAAATGATAGGCCTGCTGAGAAATCGTGACCAGCTGGGGAGGGGTGTGGTTGGCCACCCTGGGTTGGAAGGAAAGGGATGATGGAGGTGATCGGGCTACAGTGTTAGGCTGGGATCAAAGTCTCTGGATTACTTTCTCTGTTCTAATGTAGATTTGGTGAATTTTATAGCGTACATCTTTATGGCCATTACATGTAGTTAAAGAAAACTTATCTGTGCAATGGAAAGAAGAATATTGACCATGATGCTTCTTCAAGATTTCAGTGAGCAACCAAAACAAAACAAGACAACAACAAAACAAAAACCCATGACTTTTAACATTTTTTATTCTGAAATGATTTCAGGTTTACAAAAGAGTTGCAAAGATAGTATAGAGTTCTGGCATATTCTTTACCTAGCTTCTTCTAATGCTAACATCTTATACAGCCGTGGTACATTTATCAAAACTCACCTTGGGAGAATGCTATTAACCAAATGACAGACTTTATTTGGATTTCTCTGGCAGTCTTCGAGACTTTTAACAGTGCCTCTTAATCTCAATGGTCACCTTCCAACTCGAATCCTCTCTCACTGCACTTGGCTTGTAATCCCAAGAGGACCTCAGTACTTCCATTCCTTCTCTTTCCTGACTGCACACACTGGAAATCCAACCCTAAGTCTCAGTGCTCTAGACTCCGCCTCTAATCTTCTTTCATCATCCTGGAGCAATCTCAAAACTGAACATGGCTACCACCAAGTAGGACCTCCAGGCCCAGCCAGCCCCTCAGCCTGACGCACTCTTCAAAGTCTCTACCTGTGCTAGATGAGCTGCTTCTGCCACTCTCCTCAGCAATGCTGAAGAGCTCTCTGTTCCCCCAGGCACCTACTCACTCCTCACCCCTCAACTTTAGAAGATACAGATTTTCATAGAGAAAAACATAAGATCATCACGTTAGGTGTGATTGTCTTTATCCGTTTAACCTTTATCTAAAAGCTCTTCACAGCCACAGCCATCTTGACCACCCTTCTTCTAGTATTTAATGAGAAGGTCTCCATCTTTTCATTCACAATGCCTGTGGCTCCCTGTGCCAGTAACTCTTTCCCCCCAGCCTCCTTAACAAACTTGACTGTATCAGTCCCCCTCTTTCTGTTCCATACAGGTTGAGCATCCCTAATCTGAAAATCCAAAATTAAAAATACTGCAGAATTGAAAACTTTTTGAGTGCTGACATGTGTCACAAGTGGAAAATTCCACAAATAAGTACTTAATACAAACCTTATTTCATGAACAGAATTATTTAAACTATTGTATAAAATTACCTTCAGGTTTTGTGCATAAGGTGTATATGTAACATAAATAAATTTCGTGTTTAGACTTGGGCTAAGCTCTAACTGGTATATCTCCAAGATATCTTACTGTGTATTTGTAAATATTCCAAAATCTGAGAAAAATATGAAATCTGAAACACTTCTGGTCCCAAGTATTTAGAATGAGAGATACTCAGGCTGTAACTACATTCCTTCTCTAATTATAGATTCCCCTTAGTCAAGTCTGAAACTTGCTTAATTCTTTCCAATTCCAAAAACAAAAATAAAACATAACTTCTTTTTACCTTTAGCACCCGTTTATCTACAGATCGTTCTCCTCTTCTCTCACAAGCTTCTTGAAATATCAGTGTATATTTTCCCCTTTTAATTTCACATTAATCTAAGTTTGAGAGGTTTTTCCCTAGACTTTTATTTGCCATTTTTTCTTTGTTATGTTTTAGAGATGGGAAAGAATATGGAAGAGTAAAGAAAAATGACTTTTAATCTACCTGCTCCTGTAGAAAAAAAGTATGATATCTGATTTAAAATAGCCTTAAGGTCTATTTAAATGTTTTGAAAATCAAAGTTTGTAAAATAGACACAATCCTTTCCTTTTCTTTCTTTCTTTCTTTCTCTCTCTCTCTTTCTTTCTTTCCTTCTTTCTTTCTTCCCTTCTTTCTTTCCTTCCTTCTTTCTTTCTTTTCTTTCTTTCTTTCATCTTTCTTCTTTTTTTCTTTTTGAGATGGAATCTCATTCTGTCACCCAGGCTGGCACGCAGTGGCGCAATCTCGGCTCACTGTAACCTCCGCCTCCAGGGTTCATGCGATTCTCCTGCCTCAGCCTCCTGAGTAGCTGGGATTACAGGCACATACCACCATGCCTGGCTAATTTTTTGTAGTTTTAGTAGAGACGGGGTTTCACTATGTTGGCCAGACTGGTCTCGAACTCCTGACCTCTTGATCTGCCCACCTCAGCCTCCCAAAGTGCTGGGATTATAGGCGTAAGCCACCGTGCCTGGCTGACACAATTCTTTCCAACTCTACTGTCTATATCAATATCAGAGTGTAATATCAGAGTGTATCGGTTTCCTAGGGCTGCCCTAACAAATCACCATAAACTTGGTGGTCTAAAACAACTGAAATGTATTATTTCACAGCCGTGCTGTGCAGAAGTCCAAAATCAAGGTGTCTGCAGGGCAGCATTCATACTGGGTACTCGAGGGTCAAATCTATTCCTTGCCTTTTCCAACTTCTGCCTGCTGTGAGCATTCATGGTGGTGGCATCACTCCAATTTCTTGCCCCTACCTTCACAGGCCATTCCCTCCCATGTCTTCTCCTATTCTGTCTTTTTTTTTTTTTTTTTTTTTTTGAGACGGAGCCTGGCTCTGTCACCCAGAGAAATCAATGAGAAATCAATGCCTGGCTTCAGAGTTTCAAAGGACAAGCTGACTCTGTTGTTAGGAGCTAAGGCAGCTGGTGACTTTAAGTTGAAGCCAATCATTTATCATTCTGAAAATTTTAAGGCCCTTAAGAACTATGTTAAATCAACTCTGCCTGTGCTCTCCAAACAGAACAGTAAAGCCTGGATGAGAGCACATCTGATTACAGAAAGGTTTACTGAATATTTTAGGCTTGCTATTGAGACCTACTGCTTAGAAAAAAAGATTCAAAATATTACTGCTCAGTGACAGTGCACCTAGTCACCCAAGAGCTCTGATGGAGAATTACAAAGAGATTAACATTGTTTTTATGCCTACTATCACAACATCCATTCTGAAGCCCATAGATCAAGAAGTAAATTTGACTTACAAATCTTATTATTTAAGAAATACGTTTCAAAGGACTATAGCTATGACTATATCTGTGGCTATAGCTGCCACAGATAGTGATTTCTCTGATGGATTTGAGCAAAGTAAATAGAAAGCCTTCTAGAAATAATTCACTATTCTAGACACCATTAAGAACATTTGTGATTCACGAGAGGAGGTGAACATATCAACATTAACAGGAGTTTGGAAGAAGTTGGTTCCAGCCCTCCTGGGTGACTTTGAGGAGTTCAAAACTTCAGTGGAGGAAGTAACTGCAGATGCAGTGGAAATAGTAAGAGAACTAGAATTAGAAGTGGAGCCTGGCTGGACACAGTAGCTCATACCTATAATCCCAATGCTTCTGGAGGCTGCGGTGGGAGGATTCTTGAGGCCCAGAGTTTGAAACCAGCCTAGGCAACGTAGCAAAACCCTGTGTCTACAAAAAAACATAAAATAAAAATTAGCCAAGCATGTTGCTGTGCACCTGTAGTCCCAGTTACTTGGGAGGCTGAGGCAGAAGGATTATTTGAGTCCAGGAGTTTGCGATTACAGTGAGTTATGATCTCACCACAGCGACACTGTTCCAGCCTGGGTGATGAAGCAAGACCCTGTTTCTTTAAAAACAAAACAAAAAAAAGGTGGGGATGGGGTCTGAAGATGTGACTGAATTGCTGCAATCTCATGATAAAACCTGAACAGAGGAGGAGTTGCTTCCTTTGGATGAGCAAAGAAAGTGCTTTCTTGACATGGAATCTGCTCCTGGTGAAGATACTGGGAATGTTGTTGAAATAACAACAAACAGTTTAGAATATTACATAAACTTAGTTGATAAGGCAGTGCCAGAATTTGAGAGGATTAACTCCAGTTTTGAAGGGAGTTCTACTGTGGGTAAAACCCTATCAAACGGCATTGCATGCTGCAAAGAAATCTTTTGTGAAAGGGACAGTCCATCAATGAGGCAACCTTCATTGTTTTGTTATTTTAAGAAGTTGCCACAGCCACCTCAGCCTTTAGCAGCCACCACACTGATCAATCAGCAGCCGTCAACATCAAGGCAAGACCCTCCACCAGCAAAAAGATTATGGCTCACTGAAGGCTCAGATGATCATTAGCATTTTTTAAGCAATGAAGTATTTTTAAGTTAAGGTATATTCATCGTTTTGTAGACACATGCTATTACACATCTAATAGACCACAATATAGTGTAAAATAACTTTTATATGCACTAGGAAATCTAAAAATCATGTGACTCACTTTATCATGATACTCCCTTTATTGTAGTGGTCAGGAACCAAACTGGAAATATCTCCAAGGTATGCCTGTATAAACACTAAATGTGAATTGTAATTCAAACATTATTTGAATTCAAAGGATTAAGAGCTAAAATTGAGAGAAGAAACTGTGTATTTAGGAGTACTCCATGTGCCAAGATTCTAAGCTGTGTTGTATTGATTTCCTATTTTGGCAAACTTTTCCTGTTGATTATGGATATTTGCTATCGTATGGCTCCTTGGTATCCATTTCCTCTACTTTTCCCATTTGGTAACAGCGCTGGGAATTTCTTCTCTTAGTCACTAAATTTTTGTGATCCTGCAACATATATGAAGCAGGCCTTCCTTAGCCAAAGTGATTGGTTCAGGGATGAACATATGACCCAATCTCAGTGAATGAGATTTTTGCTGGGATTTCTGAGAGAGGCAGGGAAATTTCTCCTCCAGATTTGAACCTGAGATGATCTGAGGTTGAAATCAACACAATAAGGAGCAGAACAAAGCCTGCCAACATCATTTGAGCCTTTAGAAGTCACTTTTGAAGCACACACTTTTGTTATATAAGCCCACAAATTCCCTTTTGTTGCTTAAGCAAATTGACATTGGATTTTCTGTTACTTGCAATCAAAAGAGTCCTACTTGATAAACCATTCTTTCCAAATACAACAAACGTACGCTAAGCACTTCAGGGATTTTAAGAATAATTTTGTACAATTAAGTGGTTTTTGGTATATTCACAGAGTTGTGCACTAATTCTGGTACATTTTCATCATCACAAAAAGAATCCCTATACTCATGAACATTCACTCCCCACTCTGCTCTGCCCCCCAGATCCTAATGACCAGTAATCCACTTTCTGTCTCCATGGACTTGCTTATCCTAGACAATTCATGTAAATAGAATCAACCAATGTGTGGCCTTTTGTGTCTGGCTTCTTTCACCTAGCATAATACCTTCAAGTTTCCTCTACGTATCAAGTTATCAGTACTTTATTCCTGCTATTGCTGAAAAATATTTTATTGTGTGGATAGAGTACATTTTGTTTATCCATTCCTCAGTTGGTGGACATTGAAGTTATTCCTACTTTTCAGCTATTATGAATAGTGCTGTTATGAATATTTGTATACAAGTTTTTGTGTGGACATATGTTTTCATTTCTGTTAGGTATATATGTAGAAGAGGAATTTCTAAGTCATATGGTAATTCCATGTTTAACCTTTGAAAGAACTGCCAAACACATTTTAAAACTGGCTGTACCATTTTACAATCACGTCAGAAATATATGAGGCTTTTAGTTTTTCTACATCCTTATCAAACATTGGCTATTGTATCTCTTTTTGATTAAAGTCATCCTAGAGTATGTGAACTGATGTCTCATTGTGGTTGTGATTTGCATTTCCTTAATGACAAAGGATGTTGAATATCTTTATATGTTCATTTTGGCCACTTATATGTCTTTTGGAGAAATGACTATTTAAATCTTTTGCCCATTAAAAAACACGGTTATTTATGATTTTGTTTTTGATTTGCAAGAGTTATTCATACATTCTGAATACAAGTCTATTAGCAGACATACAATCGGCAAGTATTTTCTCTCAATCTGTGAGCTCCCCTTTCACTTTTTTGGTGGTGTCCCTTGAAGTACAAAAGCTTTTAATTTCGATGAAGACCAATTTATCTATTTTTTTCTTTTTTGCTTGTGCTTTTGGTGCCATACCTAAGAAACCATTCAAGGCCCAATCCCAGGTCATCAAGATGTACTCATTTGTTTTCTTCCAAGAGTTTTAATGTCTTAGCTCTTACATTTATAATTATGGTCTGCTTTGAATATGGTACAAGCAAGGGGTTCAAGTTCATTATTTTGCATGTTGATATCTAGTTATTCTAGCATCATTTTTTGAAAAGACTATTATTTTCCCATTGAATTGTCTTGGCACTTCTGTTGAAGATTAATTGGTCATAAATATACAGATTTATTTCTGGGCTCTCAATTCTATTCCATTGATGCTAATACTACACGGTCTTGATCATTGTTGCTTTGAGGTAAGTATTAAAACTAGGCCATGCAAGTCCACCAACTTTATTCTTTTAAAAATTGTTTCAGCAATTCAAGTTTCCTTAAATTTTTATACGAATTTTAGAATCTGCTTGTCAATTTCTGCAAAAAAAAAAAAAAAAAAAAAAAAAAAGAAAAACAAAGGCAGATGGCATTTTGATTTAGACTGTGTTGAATCTATAGGTCAACTTGGGGAATATTTCCATTTTAAAAACATTACATTTTCTGATCCATGAACATGGGTCATGTCCTTCCATTTATTTTGGTTTTTGAAAATTTATTTCACAATGTTTTATATTTTTCAGTGAACAAGTCGTGCTCATGTTTTATTAAATGCATTTCTTATTATTTTATTCTTTTTGATGCTATTATAAATAGAATTGTTTTCTTAATTTTATTTGTGATTGTTCATTGCTAATTTGTAGAAATCCAGTTGATTTTTGTATATTGATCTTGTATTCTGAAAACTTGTTGAACTCAGTAGTTATCACAGTTTCTTGTGGATTCCTTAGACTTCTTCAATATTCAAGATCATGTGATCTGAAAATAGAGATAATTTTACTTTTTCCAATATGAATGTATTTTATTTATTTTTCTTGCCTAACTTCTCTGACCAGAGCCTCTGGTACAATGTTGAATGTAAGTGGTGATAATGGAAGTCTTTTTTTGGTATCTGATCTCAGGGAAAATATTTCATGTTTTACCATTAAATATAATGTAGCTCTGTAATTTTGTATATGCTTTTTATTTGATTAAGGAAGTTGTCTTTTATTCTTAACTTGTTAAGTGTTTTAACATGAAAGAGTGTTGAATTTTGCAAAATGCTTTTTATGAGTCTTTTGATGTAATCATGTGGTTTTTGTCCTTTAACCTGTTAATAGGATTTATTATATTGATTGATTTTCATATATTAAATCAACCTTGCATTCCTGGGATAAATCCTATTTAGTTATGAAGCCCAATCCTTTTTATACATTATGTGTTCACTTTTCTAGCATTTTATTGAGGATTCTTTTTATTTATATTTATAAAGAAAATTGATCTTTTACTTTCTTTTGTGATATCTTTGTCTGGATTTGGTATCAGGACAATATCAGCTGTGCATCATGAGTTAGCATTTCCTCATTCTCTCTACTTTTTTTTTTTGAGTCTGTGAAGGGTTGATGTTAATTTATCTTTATGTGTTTGATAGTAAACCATTCATCAGTAAAGCCATTTACATCTAGGTATTTTTATGGGAAGTTTCAAAATGATTACTTCTAGCACGTTCCTTGTTATAGGACTATTTAGATTTTCTATTTTCTTTTGAGTCAGTTTTGGTAGTTTGTGTTTTTCTAGAAATGTGTCCATTTTATCTAGGTTATCTTATTTTTTGGCATACTACTGATAGTAGTACAGTACTATTTATTTCTGTTAGTCTGGAAGTGATGTTCACTCTTTATCTTTCATTACTGATTTTTGTAATTGAGTGATCTCTTTACCCTGTCCCCTCTCTTCCTTCTTTCCCTCCCTCCCTTCCTTCCTTTCTTCTTTCCTTCCTTCCTTCTTTCTTTCTTCCCTCCTTCCTTCCTTCCTCTCTGTCTCTCTTTCTCCCCTCCCTCCCTCCCTCCCTCCCTCCTTCTCTTCCTTCCTTCCTTCCTTCCTTCCTCTTTTCTTTCTTTCTTCCTGGCAGTTTAGCTAGCTAAAGTTTTGTCAATTTTTAAAATCTTTTCAAAGAAATGACTTTAAGTTTTGTTTGTTTTCTCTATTATTATTTATATTTTCTATTTCATGGATTTGTTCTCAAATTTCTATTATTTCCTTCCTCCTGCTCATTTTATATTTCATTCACTCTGCTTTTTCTAGGTTTTCAAGGTAAAAGGTTAGGATGTTGATTTGAGATCTTTCTTCTTCATTGCTTTAGCTACATTCTGTAAATTTTGTTGTTTGGTATCTGTTTTCGGTCAGCTTATTTCCCTTGCATTTTTTCTTTGACCGTATATTAGTTTTCCAGGGCTACCACAACAAAATACCACATATTGGGTGGATTGAACAGCAGAATTTTATTTTCTCACAGTTCTGGAGGCTAGAAGCCCAAGGTCAGGGTGCTCTCAAGGTTGATTTCTGGTGAGAGAATCTCTTCCTGGCTTGCAGACATGGCCTTCCCTCTGTGTTCATGTGGAGAGAGAGAGAGTTCTGGTGTCTCTCCCTCTTTTATAAATACGCCAGTCCTATCAGATTAAGGTTCCACCTTTATGACCTCAATTAACTTTAATTATCTGCTGAAAAATCGTTTTTCCAAATAGAGTTACTTTGGGTGTTAGAGGTATAACACATAAAATTTTGGGGACAGAATTGAGTTCATTAAAGACTTACTGGCTATTTAAAATGTGTTATTTTATTTCCATATATTTGTGGCTTCCTGAAATTTCCTTATTTTTCCGAACACTTTTAAATTTATTGAGGCTTGTTTTATGGCCTAATATATGTTTTGTCCTGCAGAATGTTCTATATATGCACTTGGGAAGAATGTGTATTATGCTATTTTTAGGTGGGGAGTTTTATAGATGAATTGGTTTATAGTATTGTTGAAGTGTTATATTTTCTTAACTGTCTTCTGCCTAGCTCTTCAATCTATTATTGAAAGTAGAGCATTGAACTCTACCAATTATCATTGCATTGTCAATTTCTCCCTTCTTTTCTGACAGATTTTGCTTCATGTATTTTGGTCTCTGTTGTTAGGTGTATATATGTTTATAATTGCTGTTTCTTCCTGCTTAATTAACCTTTATTATTATTATAAAATATATTTCATTGTCTCTAGTAGCAACTTTTGTCTTAAATTCTATTTTCTTAATATGAGTATAGCTACTCCAGTTTTCTTTTGGTTACTGATTGTCTGGTATATCATTTCTACCTTTTTACTCTCAACCTATTTGTGTCTTTGAATTTTAGGTATCTACCTGTAGGCAGCATATAGTTAGATAATTTTTTAAACATGCATTTTGTCAGCTTCTTTCTTTTTATTGAAGTATTTAGTTTATTTACATTAAATCTAACTACTATTAAGGTAGGATTTGTATCTGTCATTTTGCTATTTGTATTTTGCATGTCTTGTGTTTGCTATTGGTATTTTGCATGTCTTGTGTCTTTTTGTTTCTTTGTTCCTCCATCACTCCCTTTTTTATGTTAAATAGATATTTTTAATGTGCAATTTTAATTCCTTTGTTGTTTCTTTTGGTATTTATTTTTGAGTTATTTTCTTGGATGCTCTGTGGATTAGAATTAACGTCTTTGGTTATAAAAATCTAGAACATCATCTTAATTTTAATAGTATGCAAAAATGAGTCTCCTTTGTAGTGACAACCTCCTCCTTATGCTGTTGTTGTCATAATGACGTTTTTGTGTATCGTGTGTCCATCAACAGATTTGTAAGTATCATTTTATGTAGTGTTTTTAAATCAGATACTAGAAAAAGGAGTTACAAACAAAAAATACATTTATACACTGTTTTATATTTACCTTATGAAGTTAGAGCACCTTGTAAGTGCTGTTTATTTCTTTTCCTTGACTTTGCTCACTATCTAACGTCCTTTTATTTCAGTCTGAAGGCCTCTAGTATTTCTGCTAGTAATGAATTCACTGTTTTTATATATCTGGGATTGTTTTAATTGTTCCTTTATTTTTGAAGGATTGTTTTTCTGAATATTGAAATCTTGGTTCACAGTCCTTTTCTTTCAACATTTTGAATATATCATCTCACTGCCTTCTGGCTCCTGTGGCTTCTAACAAAAAGTCAGTTGTTTATCTTATTGAAGGTCCATTGTACATAATAAGTCACTTTTTTCTTGCTTTTTCAAGATTCTTTGTTTCTGTCTTTCAACAGTTTGACTATGATAGGTCTAGTTTTGGATCTCTTTAATTTTATCTTACTTGAAGTTTGTTGAGAATTCCAGGTATATAGATTAATTTTTCATTGAATTTGAGAAAATTTTGACCATTACACTCCTTTCTTCCTCTCATCTCCTTCTGCCACTCTTATTTTGTGTATGTTGATGGTGTCCCTCAGGTCTTTGAGGCTCTGTCAATTTCAAGTTCACCGATTCTTCCTTCTGCCAAATCAAACTTGCTGTTTAGCTTCTTTATTAATTTTTAAATTTCACTGGCTTTTCAACTCCAAAATCTCTATTTAGTTGTCTGTGTGTACCTGTGTGTGTGTGTGTATTTCAAAATATTTTCTATCTCTTTATTGGTATTTTCTATTTGCTAAGACACTGTTCTCATACTTTGCTTTAGTTCTTTAGAATGGTTTCCTTTAGTTCTTGAAACGTACTTACAGTAGCTGATTTAAAGTCTTTGTCTAGTGGTCACCAATCGCAGCTCCCTCAGAGACAATTTCTATTGAATGCCTTTTCCCTGTATGTGGGTGATACTTTCCTATTTCTTTGCATGTCTCATACTTTTTGTTGAAAACTGGAAATTTCAAATAACAGAATGTGGTAACTTTGGAAATCAGGTTCCTCTCCTGTCTAAATTATGTTATTCTTTCTGTTTTTTTTTTTTTTTTTCTGTGCTTGGTGTTTCTCTTGCACTATTTCTGTAAATTCTGTATCTTTGTTCTATGTGGCTATTGAAGTCTCTATTGGTTAGTTTAGTGGTCAGCTGGTAATTAGACAAAGTAATCCTTAAATGCCTTTAATCAATGAACCTTTTCTTTTTTTGTTATTTTCTGTGCTTGGTGTTTCTCTTGCACTATTTCTGTAAATTCTGTGTCTTTGTTCTATGTGGCCATTGAAGTCTCTATTGGTTAGTTTAGTGGTCAGCTAGTAATTAGACAAAGTAATCCTTAAATGCCTTTAATCAATGAATCTTTCAACTGTGTGTTGGGGGATGGATTTTGTGCTTTGGTAGTACATTACTCTGCCTTAACCTTCACCTCCTGCTTGTACAGAGCCACAGTGTCAGCCAGAAATGAGAAATTAGGGCCTTCTCAAGTCTTTTCTGGGCATATGTACAACTCTGCACACGAGTGTGGCATTCAATTCTAGAACTAATCAGAGCTTTTCAATGTCCTCTATGTATATCTAATTTCCCAGAATTTCCTTTGGAGCTTTTTTGTAAACCTCTTTGCCTCATCTTATAACAGCTCTAATGTTAAAAAAAATTGTCACTGATTTTTTTTTTTTTCCAAAAAACACTCTGGGGATAGGGCTGTTATTCCTGAATCAGATAAAGTAAAAATAAGACCTGTGAATGGGGCTTTTCCAGGAAACTGCCAGACAGATCAAGTAGTGACAATTGCCTAAGTATGGGGCTTTGGGGGCAGCTCCGAGCCCATTATACTCTTTTTTTTTTTTTTCCCAGCAGCAACTGCTAGGCTACTGGTCTTCATAGCCACCATGAATGGGAAGCTGTTGGTTTTCAAGACAACCACAATGCTAGGGAGAGGGGATGAAAACAGGGCAGATTTAAACACCATCAATTTCACTGTTCATACCAAGATTTAGCCATTTTCCTGAATAAATACTCCTTAGGTTGTTGCAAGCCTTTGGTTAATTTCCAGAGTTTAGAAAATTGATTTTCATCATTTTGAAAGTGTTCTCATTCCTTTTATGGAGGAGCATATTTTCAGAGGTCCTTACTCCACTGTTCCAGAAGTGTTTTCTAAACTCATCTACTCTTCATTGCAAAGGATCATGATGGGTGTTGTTATTTTCCAATTTACCTATGTACAGAAGCTGGTAAATGTAACCCTTTTCAAATCAATTCCTGCCCCCTTTCAATCTGACTCTGATATAATGGCAAACCATCTTCTTTGTTTTCTTCTCCTCCCTGTGTTGGGACACTCTATTTTTTACTTAAGTGTTCCTGAAAACTGAAGGTCCGTCTCGACTTAACTGAATTATGCCTTCTTAAACCAATAGTCCGTGGGATGGAGACAGGCCATTCCTGGCTAGCAATCTGCACGGTCATTGCTATCATTCTAAGACCCAGGTAATGTGACAAGAGTGTCATCTTTGTTTTAAAACTTTGTGCATTAATATAGGTAATAAGAATAAAAACGAAAACTAAATTTCTATAGCAACTTAATTCTAGGTAGTGGCATCCTGTTGCTTACCAGTCTCTAGCCTCTTGATCAAGTTACACTCTTAGCTTTAGATTGTTTATAGCATATTATAATAATTATAATAATAAACTCCCACTTGTAGGGAAGAGCAAATAACAAAGAATGTGTGAAAGATTTATAATTAAGTGCTGCAAAAACTTTTATAATTCAGCATGAAACTGATTAACCACTTTATTTTATGTGCTTGGAAGTGTTAGAGCCCAGGATTATTCAATAATTTGTCCAACACCTAGTAGGAATGAGTGACAAACCAGGAATATTAGAAAGCAACTTAGGTGCTTTACAGTGAAAATGTGTTCCTCCTTAAATTCTGCTCCCCAGTTACCTAATTTGCCTTACCCTAGTCTTATCCCTGTTATGCATTTTATCCTCCCCCATCTCTTCCCCAAATACTGACATTTTTGTTTGTTTGTTTTTTACAAGTGTGGGTGGTGGAGGCCAGATGCAGACAATTTAGGCAATTTAGTGGCTCTAGATTGCAATATGCCCCAACAGACTCAGGGCAGAGATTACTAGCCCTCTTATCAGTCCCTCGTACACTGTCTCCCTGGCGCTGGCTGCTGTGGTCAAAGGAGGGTGTGGAGTGCTTGGGGGAGAAGTTCTGCTGGGGAGGGATTCGCTTGCTAGAGCAGGGTCCCTGTGTCAAAGGAGCTCCTTCCGGGAATTCAGCCCCATGGAACCACAGGTATGTGCAAACAGGGAAAAAAGAAATCAGTGAATGTCTGATCTGTGTCTGGGCTTGTGGAAAAGGATTGCATTTCCTTTCTTTTTGTCTATTCATAGGTTCTCAGATCACTAATTCCTTTAATCAATAGCAAAGATTTGTACCAGGTGCCTCAGAAATTTGCTTGTCAGGTTAATGCCATTTAATTCTCTCTCTAGCCAAGACTGCTCAGGGACTCTAAGCAGAACTTACTTGGCTGGCTGCTCTAGAGCAGTCAGAATTGTACGACCAGGTATTGAGGGAGGCAGTGGCAACTTCTGTTTTACTAGTTCTTACTTATTTGTACAGCACTTCCCAGTATACAAAACGCTATCACATTTATATTCTAGCAGGCAGGCAGGCAGGGCAGAGGTTACCACATTTCAGACTCTAAGAGAAATTCTGCAAATTATGATATGCGCAGCATTGATTGCAAGACACATCCTGACTTCAGTGACATGAAAATATGATAATATAAATATTTGCTTGTGTGTGTGTGTGTATCTTGGAACCAATGAAATTTAGTTCCATGCATATTTAATGGGCAAAAAAAAAAAAACCCTTCAAGGTCCAGATAAGTGCCAAAGCCAAGTTCTTACTTCACTGGTTCCTAGTCTTCCAGTTCCTAGCTCAGTGCAATTCTTAACACAAAATTTGTAGCACAGTACTTAAGAAAACTTGGACAGATCATATATCTACTATGGTCTTTGCTTCTTTTATTTGTAAAATTAGGATATGAATATTTGGCTTTACTGCCTCGGAGGATTATTCTGATGTTCAAATGAGAAGATGCATGGATTTCTTATTTTTTTATTAATTAAGAATTTACTGAGTGTCTCTTATGTGACAAGCACTGTGCCAAGTTTAAACAGTTGAATGGAGTAGCATATGACCCCTGCCTTTATGAAGTTTCCAATATAGCACTTGGTGATGTGCAGAGGACTGTATGATTATGAGGCATTGTTGTTGCTGTTGTTATTGTGAGAGATGCTGACGGCAAAACGCTTGAATGGAAGAGCTTAATGGGGCTGACGATGAGGGAGTAGAGGGTGGTGTCCCACCTTTGCCCAAGTCGAACCTCTAAATATGGTGGCTGGAATTTTCCCAGGCCTAAAAGAAACACCTAAGCTTTTAAAATTGGAATTTGATCCCCAGTCTACCTCCCTAGTCCTCTCATGCTGTGTGACTGCCTATTCCTCTTCCAGCCCTTTGAACTTGCCATGAGCATTCTCATCTGTGTCTTATTCCCATCTTTTCATCTTCTTGACTCTATTTGGCAAAATCCTGCAGATCCTTAAGCCCCAGGTTTTCTGAATATTCTTCTCATCATCTTAGACCACAGTGATTTTCTTCCCCTAAATTCCTGCAGCATGTTCTTGCAGCATTTATTATGTTCCACTTTCACTGAACATAGTGATGTACATGTCTTTTCTTCCTACCTGGGGAAAGGACCCTATTCTACTCATCTCTCCTTCAGGGTCTAATATTCATATGTTGATTAATTTATTGTTATCGAGACTTCCCTCATTTTAAGCTGCCTCATCATCCTCACCCATGAACTGTGTCTTGCATAAGTGAATGTAGCATTTTACAAAATGAAAAGCAAAACTCTATGTGGTAAAACCAAAGGTAGAATCTGGTGTAGCACCAGGTATGGAAAATGCCCTCCACGCTGAGAGCTGAGGTCAAGTGACAAATGGACTTCCTGAGTATGTGTGATGGGCCCCACACCACTCTACTTTTTGTTGTACTTTTCTAGCACATGCCCTGTGCTCTTTATCTCCCAACCTGCTTACGTTTCTTCATAGCACAGCACCACCTAGGGCCGCCATAGTCTATGTGAAGGTACCGCCTGGGCATTTGCAGCATGTAACCTGTGTAGCCACGTGTGGTAATCCATCTTTAGTTGACATATTATGTATGTATTGCTTGACGTCTTCATCGTCTGTCTCTCACCACTAGAATCTAGGCTTTGTTATAAAGATCCTTGTGTTGTTGTTATTGTTGACACTCACTGTATTCCTAGTGCTTAGAACGAAGCTTGGCACATAGTAGATATTCAACAATATTTCTTAAGTGGATGGATGAGTAGACGGACAGGACCTAAGACTATGTTTCCAGCTCCTCCTCCTCATGTCTATAACATGGCATTGCTTTTTTCTTTACATATATTGTCAAAGAATAGAGAGAAGTGTTCTAACAACTGCTTTCATGGATTCATACCATGTCAGAGCTTGTAGGACATTAGTGACCATCGACCATCTTATGCAAACTTATTTACATGGGCAGAAACTAAGACCGTGAGGGTGCTGCAGTTTTTCCTATATCACCTCACAAGTTCATAAGCTAGTGGGAAAGCTGACCAGAATCCAGATCGTCTGATGTTCATCCTAGTGCTCTTTCAATCTACATTATTGACACTGCCCACTTGAGTGATGGAAGATTTATTCCCTCTAAGGTACAAAGCAGACCCATACTTTCGATCAGAGCTTTTTTTTTTTTCAGTCATACAGTTGGCAATTATTTTTTATGGTCCAGAATGGCTTTTAATCTACTCTATTGAACCAAAGCCATACTCGGGCTGTGTTCCTAACATGGACCTACTAGTAATAAACATTGATCCAGATACAAGAAAATTCCATGGTATCAGGATCCTCTTATCAAGCAATCAGAAGACTGATAAATGATCCTTTCTTGGTGGAGGTATCCAAAAATATTATGAACACCCCAGGCATTATATAGGTCAGTACACACAAAGGAGCCACCAGTCAGCCAGGTAACTGTTCTGACAACTTTTCCTAGGCTCAGTAAGTCCTGATGACTCATCACAGAAGAATAAAGGCCCAGGTGAATTTAAATCCATCAAGTCTTTATTGAGGGCTACTATGTGTCTAACACTAGGTTTCAATTTATTAGTAGAGATGAGATTAAAAGCTATTATGAAGTGCACAAACCAAACCTTTGAGGCTCAACTGTGTATATGGAAAAGAACATTCAGGAAGGGCTGGATGAGTCAGAGAAGGTTGAAGGTTTCAGAGAAGAGGTAGTAATTCCACATAACCTTGAAGGATAGATAGGGTTCCTAGACATGAAGCACATTCAAAATTTGTGCAAAAGTGAACAAAGTCATGGCAGTGGGAAGGGTCTAGGACCTGGATTCCAAGTCTATTTACTGGACAGATCAGGTTCTAGTAAAAAAAAAAAAATGTTTGCAGGAGTGGAATATTTTAAATAGCAGAGGCATGTTTTGGGGAGTTAGAAGTGAGAAAGAGGAATTCAGACATGATGCTATAAGGGACAGATGCTCTTGTGAGAAGAGCAAAAAAGTGGCATGGTGGAAGCAAGGTGCTAAGAAGTTGATACGGGTTGGTTTGAAGGGAAAGGGAAGAGACCATTGCAGGCAGAAAAAGCAAAAGCCATGGAGAAGGCTGAGCTAGGGAGGAAAGAGTTCAACTAAAGATGAAAGCCACGTCTCTGCACTTGGGGCACTCAGCCTCCAGCCTCCTCAAATATATTCCACATGGCCAGGTGCAGTGGCTCATGCCTGTAATCCCAGCACTTTGGGAGGGTGAGGAGGGAGGATTGCTTGAGCCCAGCAGTTTGAGACCAACCTGGGCAACATAGAGAGACCCCGATCTCTACAAAAAATGAAAAGATATAAAATAATTAGTTGGGCATGGTGGTATGCCCCGTAGTCCCAGCTACTCAAAATGCTGAGGCAAGAAGATTACTTGAGCCCAGGACATTGAGGCTGCAGTGAGCTATAATTGCAACACCGCACTCCAGCCTGGGTGACAGAGAGAGATGCTGACTCTAAAAAACTTTTTTTAAAAAAATGTATATATTCCACCTCAGTTAAGCAGATTTAATTATTTAAAATATTAGGGAAATTAGATCTACAACTTTTCTCAGGGTCCTGCCTTTTCATTCACAATCCCAAAGGTTGGAGAGTTCTTCCTTTGATTTAACTTTAATTCTTCTCATGACCATTTACACGTTTCCTTTCTCTGTACCCAGCGGTGAGAGGAAAGTAGATTTCATAAAGTCATCAGAATGGTACTACTGGAAGCGAACTTTGAAACCATTAAATTTCACCTTCATATTTTAAAGATTAGGAAATAGGGAAGAAGGTCAAACAGCTAGTCTGGGACTGGAAGCTCCTACACCATCCACTGTGTCCCTCCAATCCCTTGGTCAGTAAGAACCTGCCCCAACCTGCTGCCGCCCACACTCCCATGACCTCCAAAGAGAAAAGCTTTACCAGTCCTCTCTGGGAGCAGTCCAAATGCAAAATTCCCTGAATGGTTTATCCTGGGGCAAAAGAGCCTTTATCTTTAAAGGGACGTATTGATTAGATTTACCATTACTGATATACCATTGATGATTTACGACCTTCTATTTGTTTCCAAATCTATTATTCTCAGCACACAAGGGCACAGGCACCTGAGAATCTGACCTTATATTCCTTTTGGCCTTTGACATGATCCATGAGCTGAGTAGATGCCGTCCCCCCTCCTTACAGGAGCAGCTGCAGGCACAGCCTTTCATGGCCTTGATGAATGCACATCTTTACTCATGGCTCTAGGCAATCTTTCTTCCACATCTTCAGCTCCAAAGCTGTCCTTCTTCAGCCTGACTGCCTGGAATGCGCGTACCTGAGCCCTGGATTCTATCCCCTTCTCTAGTATGTTAACTGCAGGCAAAACCACAAGGAAGTATTTCCTACAGTAAACCCACTTCAAACACACATACCTGGCTAATGTTCACCATGATTGGGTTTGGGAGGAATGTACAGACTTGATCAGAACTCACATGCCATGGATTTTTTTTTTTTTTCTCTGCTTGTACCTAGGACACTGGCTGGGGAGATGACTCTTTTTATCTCAAGACAGTTTCCTGTGGTCAAGTTATTTTTTGGTTCACCCAACTTTTTTCCTTCTTTCCATTTTGGCACCCATTGCTCCATGTTGGTCAGTATGTAATAGGAAGCAGAATGTGCTTGCACATTGGAAACTTTAAAACATGCAGCCCATTTAGTGTGGACATTTGCCTTGGAGCAGAGACCAGGCTTTCCCAGGGTCCTGGTGTAGGATATGCCCATTCAAAGCTCCCTAGTCCAGAACTTGACCTGCAGGGTTTATGAGCCTTCTAGGTTACCCGAGGATAAGCCATGCCAGGAAGATAGCTTTCTCCAGCTTTCTTCAAGAGTTCTAAAGATGGAGATTTCAGGCTGCTCTGCTGTCCTGCTTTAAGAGCTTGGAGAGATAAAATATTCTTGCCCCTACTGAGAGAACCTTGGCACTGGAAGTTATCATATTGATAAGGAAGCTGAGACCTCTGAAGAGTAAGTGATGTGTGTCCCTCAGCAAGGTGAGGGCCTAGGACAAAGGACTGACTCCTTTTCAAGGCTCCATCCTGCAGGCAGGAATTTGGAACATAAGGAGATAAACTACAACACTGAGTTCATGTCAGAGGCCCTAGTGGGCCTAGAGGATCCTGAACTACATCACTCAAGAGCCCACTGTTCTTGGTTTCCTTTCCTTTGGACTTACTCTGCTTCCTCTCCATAAATACCCGTTTTTGTCTTAAGCAAATAAATCTCTCATCATCTCTTTGGCTGAAAAGTCACTTAGGAATTCACCTACAGTTCATTCCCCTATCTCTCACCAACTGTGATCATTGGCCACAGTTCATCCAATGATCATCCTCTTCATGATTCAAACATGTTTGGATCAGAGAATAGTGTTGTTACAGGGAATCCATTCCTTAAAAGAGTTACATCATCTAACTTTGATTTCAGAAGCACAGGGGGAATAAAGAGACAAGTCACCAGATTAAAATATTGGCACAGGATTTGATTAGACATTTCTCTAAAGAAGTTCTACAAATGGCCAATAGCACATGAAAAGACACTCAACAGCAGTAGCCATTAGAAAAATGTAAATCAAAAGCCCAAAGAGACACCACTTCTTACCCACGAAGATGGCTATAACAACAAAAAATATAGAAAATAACAAGTATTGTCAAGGATGTAGAGATATTGGAACCCCTATACATTGCTGAAAGTATTGTAAACTAACGTAGCCAGTTAGGAAAACAGTTTGGCAGTTTCTCAAAAGATTAAATATAGAGTTGCCATACAGCCTGGCAATCCCACTCCCAGGTATATACAGATAAATGAAAAAATATGTCGATACAAACATTTGTACATAAAGGTTCAGAGCAGTATTATTTATTATAGCCAAAAAGTGGGAACAACTGATATGACCATCAACTGATGAACGAATAAACAAAATGTAGTATAGCCATAAATAGAATATTATTTTATCCTAAAAAAGAATGAAGCACTAACACATATTACAACATAAATGAATCTGAAAACATTATTCTAAGTGAAAGAAGTTTGTCATAAAAGGTCATATATTGTATGGTTCCATTTATAAAAAATGTCTAGAATAGGCAAGTTCATAGAGATAGAGAGTAGACTGGTGGTTGCTCAGGGCTGGGTGGAATGGGTGATGAAGGAGAGGGACTGCTAATGGGTGCAGGGTTTCTTTTTGAGGTGATGAGAATATTCTGGAATTAGATAGTGGTGATGGCTGTACGGCTCTGTGAGTATACTAAAGTCCACTGAATTGTACACTTTAAGAAAGTGAATTTTATGGTATATGAATTACATCTCAATAAAGGCTATTATTTTTAAACAGCCATCATCGGCAAACACACACAAGAGAAGAAAAGTGGGCAATTTAAGGGAACCAGACAATGAATCCATCATAAAACACTTTCCTTTTTCAGTGTGAATGAATATATTTATCACCAAATTGATGTATTCTGCAATATTGTGATTTTAAAGTATGTGGTTTTCTGAAACTGAGGCCCACCCAAGAGCCATTGCTAATATGAGCTTCTGCAGGCCCTTCTGACAGGGGTGGCGAAACTAGCACTTTTTTATTTTTATTTTTATTATACTTTAAGTTCTGGGGTACATGTGCAGAACATGCAGGTTTGTTACATAGATATGCACGTGCCATTGTGGTTTGCTGCACCCATCAACCCGTCATCTACATTAGCTATTTCTCCTAATGCTATCCTTCCCCTAACCCCCCACCCCCAAACAGGCCCCAGTGTGTGATGTTCCTCTCCCTGTGTCCATGTGTTCTCATTGCTCAACTCCCATTTATGAGTGAGAACATGCGGTGTTTGGTTTTCTGTTCCTATGTTAGTTTGCTGAGAATGGTGGTTTCCAGCTTCATCCATGTCCCTGCAAAGGGCATGAACTCATCCTTTTTTATGGCTGTATAGTATTCCATGGTGCATATGTGCCACATTTTCTTTATCCAGTCTATCATTGATGGGCATTTGGGTTGGTTCCAAGTCTTTGCTATTGTGAATAGTGCTGCAATAAACATACGTGTGCATGTGTCTTTATAGCAGAATGATTTATAATCCTTTGGGTATATATCCAGTAATGGGATTGCTGGGTCAAATGGCATTTCTGGTTCTAGAACCTTGAGGAATAGGCACATTGTCTTCCACAATGGTTGAACTAATTTACACTCCCACCAGTATAAAAGTGTTCCTATTTCTCCACATCCTCTCCAGCATCTGTTGTTTCCTGACTTTGTAATGATTGCCATTCTAACTGGTGTGAGATGGTATCTCATTGTGATTTTGATTTGCATTTCTCTAATGACCAGTGATTATGAGCTTTTTTTCATCTGCTTGTTGGCTGCATAAATGTCTTCTTTTGAGAAGTGTCTGTTCATATCCTTAGCCCACTTTTTGATGTTTTTTCTCTTGTAAATTTGTTTAAGTTCCTTATAGATTCTGGATATTAGCCCTTTGTCAGATGGGTAGATTGCAAAAATTTTCTCCCATTCTATAGGTTGCCTGTTCATTCTGATGATAGTTTCTTTTGCTGTGCAGAAACTCTTTAGTTTAATTAGACCTCATTTGTCAATTTTGGCTTTTGTTGCGATTGCTTTTGGTGTTTTAGTCATGAAGTTTTGGCCCATGCCTATGTCCTGAATGGTATTGCCTAGGTTTTCTTCTAGGGTTTTTATGATTTTAGGTCTTACGTTTAAGTCTTTAATCCATCTTGAGTTAATTTTTGTATAAGGTGTAAGGAAGGGGTCCAGTTTCAGTTTTCTGCATATGGCTAGCCAGTTTTCCCAACACCATTTATTAAATAGGGAATCCTTTCCCTATTGCTTGTTTTTGTCAGGTTTGTCAAAAATGAGATAGTTGTAGATGTGTGGCATTATTTCTGAGGCCTCTGTTCTGTTCCATTGGCCTATATATCTGTTTTGATACCAGCACCATGCTGTTTTGGTTTCTGTAGGCTTGTGGTATAGTTTGAAGTCAGATAGAGTGATGCCTCCAGCTTTGTTCTTTTTGCTTAGTATTGTCTTGGCTATATGGGCTCTTTTTTGTTCCATATGAAATTTAAAGTAGTTTTTTTCTAACTCTGTGAAGAAAGTCAATGGTAGCTTGATGGGGATAACATTCAATCTATAAATTATTTTGCACAGTATGGCCATTTTCACAATATTGATTTTTCCTATCCATGAGCATGACACTTTTTTAAGGTTTTTGTCACATCTTTCTCTTTTCACCTCTGCCTCTCTGTTAACCTGGCAGGAAGCTCACAGTGAATCCCTCCTGCACAATCTGGTGCAGTGAGCCAGTGACATGAGTTAATGTTGGAGATTCTCTCAGCTGCAGGTTGTGGGTGAGATTTATTTTCTTTTATTGTGTCCTTCAAGGATAGGATGGGGTGTGAGAAGGGTTGGCTATTGAATGGGAATATAGGTCTCTGACTCGCAATGAAAGTGACCGATTCTCCTCTGTGAATGCTTTAGGGAATGAGAGACTATTCTGGAACTGAGTGAGGAGGCACTATTCATAGGGAAGATTAACAATAGCAGCCAGAAGGTGGGTTGTACAGAGCACCTCACTTGGCATCATGAGCCACTCTTCAGGTCATCTTGACAATCTGCATGCCTTGGAACAGTCACCTAATTACTCTGGGCTTTGATTTCCTCAGCTATAACATGGGAATAATGATTCCCTTCCTGCTTGAGTTTCATAATCACAAGAGTTATTAGAAATCATCTAGCACAGTCTATTTCAAATCCTTCCCCCTCTTGGATCCCACCCCTGACTTTCACGCACCCACTTAGGGTTTTGACAAATGATTGGCCATTCTCTACATGAGTTGGTCAGTTCTAAAAAGTGTGCTTACATTAAGGTGAAGTTGTTAGGTTGCCAAGTCTTCACTGGGATCCTTGGGTGCTCTGACTATAGCTTCCACATGATAGAAGTCTGAAGACCAAGGCCCAGTGCCACTGAGAGCTTCCCTTCTCCAGGCTAGATCCTTCCTGCTCTGCTATCAAAACCTCGTGTAGCCTGGTTTCAAGTTCTCTGACATCCTGGTTACTCTCTGAATACATTCCAGACTGCCTGCTTCTCTACATACTAAAAACAGTACTGAAAAGTCATCAGAATAGAGTGGGGTTTAAACTTCATTGCTCTGGACAGTAAATTCCTATGAATTAGTATACCTTTGCCTTCATTTTCTTGGCAACCACATTCACAGGAGATTCACATTCTTATTACAATCTAGGAAACCCACATGCTCTTTTCTCCATGAGATCCTTTAGCAAAATTTACTTCAATCTTTTCTCCTGCGCCCTTCATTTTTTTGTTTTTTGGACTAAGATGTCAGATTTTACATTTTTCTCATTGGGGCCAATTATTTCAACCCATTTGCTGTACTGCAGATGAATATTTGGTCAGGAACGTTTGATAATGCAGTGATGAAAAGGAATGGAACGGAGTAGAATGGAGATGCCATTTCTGCTTTGAAGGGTCTCTGTGAGGAAATCAGTATCTCCAAGTCTAACCCCAGAGCCACTAGAAGTGGGCACAAAGAAAGCACTCTACCCATCCAAGCCCAGGCTCTGCTCACTTGAGGACAATTGTTTTCTGGTAACCTCATCTTCAGATCTTGAGTCAGAAATCATACAGTGGTCATTTGGGCCAAGGTAGAAGGGTTCAGCCAGGGAAGCGGGCAGAAGAGAAGAAAGGAGAAGAGGAGTAAAGGGGTGAAGACAGAGTGAGATATACTGGATGACTCGTTGAAATGTCTCCTTGGTTTTGGTTACATTCTTGTTCCTAAGTTCTATGGGACACCCCTGTATTCTTTTTTTCTTTTTCAGAGACAGGGCCTCACTCTGTCACCCAGACTGGAGTGCAGTGGCACAATTATAGCTCGCTGCAGCCTTGAGTTCCTAGGCTCTACTGCCTCCCACCTCAGCCTCCGCAGTATTTTGGACCACAGATACACCACCCTGCCTAATTATTATTACTATTATTATTGTAGAGATAGAGTTTCAGTATGTTGCTCAGGCTGGTCTTGAACTCCTGGCCTCCAGCCAGCCTCCCACCTTGCTCTCCCAAAGCGTTGGAATTACAGATTTGAGCTACCTCACCAGGCCGCCGCTCACATTCTTATAATTTCTTCTGCTTTATGTATTTGTTTGTTTTGTTTATTATTTTTTTTTTTTTGCGTATTCTAAATTAATGTGGTTTCTCTTGCTTGAAGTAGTCTTCCCATCCTATAGAATCTAAGGACAAAGCCATAATTATGCTCAGGATTTTAACCAATGTGGAATCTGAGGCCAAGACATATGCAATCAATTGTTTGAAACTGTTCAACACTCACTGAAGCAATGCAGAAGTTTTTTGTTTGTTTGTTTGTTTTTGTTTTTTGAGATGGAGTTTTTTTTTACTCTGTCACCCAGGCTGGAGTGCAATGGCATCATCTTGGCTCACTGCAATCTCCGCCTCCTGGGTTCAAGTGATTCTCCTGCCTCAGCCTCCCGAGTAGCTGGGATTACAGGTACCTACCACCACACCCTGCTAATTTTTGTATTTTTAGTGGAGACAACGTTTCACCATGTTGGCCAGGATGGTCTCAAACTCTTGACCTCAGGTGATCCCTCCCACCTCAGCCTCCCAAAGTGCTAGAATTACAGGCATGAGCCACCATGTCCGTCCACAATGCAGAAGTTTTAAGGTGTCCCAATGACTTAAATAATGGGCAAGGGGATCCAAAGATGTTAAGTATAGAGATGAGAGGAAAAGTAGTATTTCCAAGGACAGGAAGTTTTTAATGAAAAGTAAAAGGCAGTTGCTTTAACTAAAACAGGAAAAATTTTGGAAGAGCACAAAGACATTCCCCAGGTCATTAAATATCTGAACTTTTGCCTCTGCAGAACTTCAAATGAGGCCAGTCAACCAATGACCCTGAATGGTAAGGCATTCGAACAACATTCTCTGAGCCTCTATTACACATCTGGCAATGTGCTGGGTACACAAGAAATGCTATACACAACCCTGCCCATAAGAAGCTTAAAGTATCATTAGGGACATAGAACAAAATCATTAGCAAACAATAGAAGGCAGCATATAATTAATTTTCCCAAGGCGTGGTACTTATTGCAAGAAAGAAGTGAGTGGAAAATTTAGCTTACTCTGGAATTGTTGGGAAAGGCTTGAAGAACAAGTTTAGACTTGAGCTAACATAAGACAGGATGGAAAAGATTTCAGTAACTCAAGTGATAAAAGGATAGTAAGAGAAAGAGGAAGGGAGGAAGGTGAGAAGAAAGGAGGGACCATTTAGGAGAGGTGTGGTGTATGCCAAAAGACAAAGGAAATAGCATGGCTGGCACAAGGAAATGAGCTTGGCGGAAGACTGCTTTCACCTGTGGTCTTCTCTTTGTTCCTTTTCTCTACTCCGGCAATCCCCTTTATCTCTGGTCCTACTCTGGCCCTGCGTTTTCATGAAATCCCTCCTACCTTAGGACTCTTGGAAATCTTAACATACTTTCCTCGCTCTTGCATGTGCCTTGTAGAATTTTAGTTACTTGGTATTACCAATGTTTATATCATATTATTAATTTTTAAAAATCTTTCCAATAGGTTGATAAGCTCCTCAAAGATAAGGACTGTGCCCAGTATGTTTTAGCAATCATACTAAATGCAATATGTTGAATGCCAGTGCAATATGTTGAATGTCAAGTTCTACATAGGCATTTATTAAATGAACCAGGTGGAATCTGAATACCACTTCTGGTTCTAACCTTTCTGGGAGCCACTGCCGTTTAAATTTTTAGTTTTTCATTCCAAGACTTTGCTGAGGGTTGAAGTCAGCTGGTGGGCATGTGAAAGAATGAAAACAAAGCCCAGTTCCCTCCAGAGACTGCATCTTTTGTTGTGGTTGTAGGAACCATCTCATCTCTGTTCCTGCTAGGTGAGCACTCAAACCTTGAGTAGAAATTAGGCACAGTTCATAAGAGGTCAGGAAGCAGGTAAAGATTTACATTAAAATAGGAAGAAAGGACCCCTGTTTCTCCTATTATCTGCTGGCACACCTGCGTGAAGATGCCAAGTGTGTGATAGAGAGTTCAGCTGGTACTCAGAATAATTGCACCCAAAAGGACTTCAAAGCTCTTCTGAGTCCTTCAGGCAGGATTTAGATTGCTCCATCACATCTATGTTCATGGTCTTCATATGCCTTTTGCAAATCAAATTTTTAGGTAAGAAGGGAGTCAGATGGTTCAAATGCATTTACCTCCAGATATGGAAACATCTGGAGTATTATGATAAAGCCTGGAAAAATAATCTGCTGGTCTTCATTTATCTTCTGGATTTGGGACCAATTTGATTCTACTGTGAATCTGGTTACAGATCACAATGGCCACGTGGACCCAGCCCCTGGGAGCACAGGTGATGCCCCAGCTCAGCTGAGATGGAGAAGTGGAACTAGCTTCTAGAGCACGGAGTTTGGGGGGAAACTAGCTTTTTTTGGATTCATGGTGTATTCTGTCCTCACTGTGTCACTTATAAGCTGTGTGCCTTTGGGCAAATTATTTAGCTTGAGTCTCAGTTTCCTCATCTGTAAACTGAAAATAATAATAACGTGAAACTGACTGGGTGGTTGCAGGGATTAAATGCGATCACATATATTTGTATAAAGCCTGTGCATAGCAGCTGGGCAGAGTAAGCACATGAAAAATGATAGCTACTGCAATTATTATCGCTCACTGCATCTGGAGCAACATACCCTACTCAGCCCTGCCCAAGAAGCTCTGTCTTGAATAGGGTTTGGGGAGAAGAGAGAGGAGGTGATAGGTCTGCCTGTGTGGCTGGCCTCCTGTGTTGATTAAGAGGGGGTATGTACATCCTGAGAAAATTGCAGTTTCATGGGTGTGTCTCAGTCCCAAAGCATGTTGGAGAATCTCTGACAAAGACAAGTCACGAGTCAGAGCCACATGGGTTGTTCATGGCCTGGGCAAACCCTGCTTTCCACTCTGCACAGTGTGCTGCTCTCACAGGAAAGGATTTAGCAGTCACAGATTCTTCTTTTGTATCTGTAGCATTATTTATTTTTAAATAGCAATAATATGACAGAACTTTTCATGTAACCAATATGATCACCAGTATAACAGACAAAAATAAGGCTAGCAGAAAAGAACTCTTTTCTTTAAAAAATTGTAAAATCACTGCACTCCCCTCTGAACGATAGCGCAAGACTGTATCTTTTTTAAAAATTGTAAAATTCACTTTAATTTTTTAAATTTAAATTTTTAAGAAAATTTTAGATTCAGGGGATACATGTGCAAGTTTGTTACTTGTTATACTGTGTGATGTTGAGGTTGGGCTTCTATTGAACCTGTCACTCAAATAGTGAACATAGCACTCAATAGGTCATTTGTCAACCCTTGCCCCCCTCCCTCTGTCTTCTCAAAAGAAAACATACAAGCAGCCAAAAAACATGTGAAAAAAATGCTCAACATCACTATCAGAGAAATGCCAATCAAAACCATGATGAGATAGCATCTCATATCAGTCAGAATGGTTCTTATTAAAAAGTCAAAAAATAACGAATGTTGGCAAGGCTGCAGTAAAAATAGAATGCCTGTACACTTTTGGTGGGAGTACAAATTAGTTCAGCCCCTGTGGAAAGCAATTTGGAGATTTCTCAAAGAACTAAAAATAGGACTACCATTCAACCCAGCAATCCCATTACTGGGAATATACCCAAAGGAAAGCAAATCATTCTACCAAAAAGACCCATGTACTGGTATGTAATAAAGCAGTATTCACAATAGCAAAGACATGGAATCAACCCAGGTGCCCATCAACAGTGGATTGGGTAAAGAAAATGTGGTACATATATACCCATGGAATGCTATGCAGCCATACAAAAGAATGAAATCGTGTCTTTTGCAGCACCATGGATGCAGCTGGAGGCCATAATCCTAAGTGAATTAATGCAGGAACAGAAAACCAAATACTGCATGTTCTCATTTATAAGTGAGAGCTAAGCCCTGGTTACACACTGACATAAAGATGGGAACACTAGACACTGGGAACATCAGTCACACACTTAAATTTCCTTTCTCTTTCTGTCTGTCTGTCTCTTCTTGGTCTTTGGACTGAATAGAAGAGCTGGGGCCATTTTAGGGGCCTCACTTCATCCCATTAAAGGAGCCAGCATAGCCTATGCATGATGCACCTATCTGTACCTACCAGTGAGTGACAGATGCTCTTCCATATCAGGGGCTGTCCAGGCATATCCGAGTTGGACTGGCATGAGTGGATTAGATGTTCACTCACAGGGGATGACTTCAGAGAGCACCAAAAATCTTGCCCAGATCATCTTGCCATTTATTGAAGGCAGAAGTTATCCCATACCAGAGTCCTTCTTCAGTGTCAAAGCTTTGTAAAACTACAAATACTGGGAAAGAGTGACTGCTTAAGTCAAAAGCAGTCATTAACTCCTTCATGTCAAATAGTTTACGGGAATTTCATTCATCAGAGAAATTAGGAAAGAAAAAATTATGGGACTATAAGAAACAACACAGAAGCATTGGGTGGAAGGGCAGAGGTCCTGTGGCACAGCTGGGGTCTGGAGAGGGGAGCCCTGGGCCCTGCTGGAGGATACCAGCCTCAGGTTGCCCGGAGAAGTCTATTGAAAGGGAGAAGGGAGAGCAAGGACAAAGCTTTGACCCCCTTCATGATTCTGCCTAGATGCTGGGGAATCGTTCCTTTTGCCCTGTCTGGAACTGGAGCTGAAAAGGCAAGCTTGGAGACAGAAGGCAGGGCCTTATCAAAGAGAACACATGGAGCAGGATTAGGCCCCACGGACGCGAATAACTCAACCAGGCCGGCCCTGATGTCTTCCCAATGTGCTCTGAAGGGAGTGATCCCGCAGGCTGAGACATAACCTCACCGCCAAAGCCAAAGTATGTCATGGAGCTTTTAATAACTCTGCCTGTCCCTGCCTCCCCCACAAAGAGGAACAGCTGGCCTCACCCTCCCTTCTGCTCATTGTCACTTTCTCCTCTGTGATTCCAGGGTATTGTCTTCAAATGGGTGTCCCCATGCTAAGATGCATACTTTGGGGATGTGAGCAGTCATCATTTAATAATTTCTTTAATGCTATTGTTGCAGGGATTGCCTTTCTACGTGATGGTTTCAAAAGGCAGATGGGAGATTCATTCTAATTAGGGGCCCACCAAACTGCTCCCTTGTCTGTAGTTTCAGTCCCACCCATGTTTACCTGGGCCACCCAGGCCCCACTACACCTGCCCTCCACACTGGAGAACTTTAACACAGTCTGTGAGAACCTCAGACCAGCACTGAGGGCCAGGCCTGCATGGGGACTTCCTACCGCCCCCTTTCAGTGTCTCTCTGCCCACTCGTGGAGCCCTCTGCAGTGTACAGGAGCCAGCATTTCCCCAGCAGCATGCATGAGCCAATTGCTCATTTCTAGGAATTCTGTGGGCCAGTTGACATCAAATTGGCAGCTTGAAATTTCCACGGTGGGAGTATTTACACCATTAAAACCAGCAAATGCTTTAAAACTGCACACCACTGCCTCTCTAAAACAGTGCTCCACAGCACATCACCCAGGAATTCTGCTCTTCCATGCAGCCTACCAAGGCTTTTTCTTTCTTTTCTCTCCCACATTACACTTTCCTAGGTCTGTGGCCTTTCTCTTTTGCTCTCCGCTAGCTCTGATTGAAAAAGATTTAATAAGGTTCTTCCTTCTACTGTTTTAAGACAGTCATAACGGCCACCCCTCTGGTAACCCTTGCATTTTAACTTTAGACAAAACCCTGAACCAAGGGAATAAGCCTGTGATTCTCTTCATGGCATTCAGAGTACCTAAGTTGGGGTGGAGACCTTCCTAGAACCCCCGCTCCCCTGGAAATTCTCCCAGTGCACTGGGTGGTGGGTGGTGTCATCTCCTTGCCTGGAATGTAAGGGTGGCCTGGCATGGAGGTGATCAGTTAGCCAGGTGAGCCTCCTCAGTGCCCTTCCTATCTAAGAGCTCAATCTTATGTCATGTGTTTAAATATGTGTGGATCTCTCCATACTAAAGGCACCTACCATTTCAAGATTTAGTATTTCCCTCCAATTGAATTAAGGTCCCCTAGAAACAGAACCACACTTTAGAATTGTGTGTGTATTCTTGTTTTAACCCCTGAAATCTCCTATCATCACAGACCAGGGCACTCCAGTCATATTTGCATGTCCAGCTGGGGCAGAGAAGCCACTATCTTCTAATAAGAGGCACGTACTTGGAAAGGGCAAGTCAGTGGGCTCAACTTCTTGAGCTGTCTTAAGTTTCTTTTCCCGCTTTTCCCAACTATTTCAACTTCTCCACAGCCCTTCCTGACCTCACTGCACATTCTCCTTGGATGATTATGGAACCCAGTTTGACATAGATCTCCCTAGGATAGAAGGCGAATGTAGGATCACCAAGTTTCCATTTTAAATAGGGACAGGAGCCCTCCCACAATGAGGCACAAAATGTTGCTCCTCACAAAGGATTCTGCAATGAAGCAAGTCCCCATATGATACATTATGGAAGATAAAGGTTAAAACCTTGATTTCTACTTCTGTATCCCAGAGGCAGATTGGTTTTGGAAACTATAGCATGGTGTCTATTACTGCTGCTTTCCTTGTTCTCAACCATGACACTCATCACAACTGTAATTATAGATTTGGAGGATGACTTGTTTAAATTATGTCTCCTTTCCTAAACTGTAAGCTCTATCCAGGCCACAGTCATGCTTGTCTTATTTGTCAATATATCTCCACTGCCTAGTAAATGATGGTTGCTCAGTAGATACTTGTTAAATGACCTTAAGATCTTTCTCAGTAAACCAGAATTTACTCTTCTTCTCCTATTTTGGGTTTGGATTTGCTTTTCCTTCTAGAGTAGTAACTTGGACTTAATGTTATTCAAACTAGGAGGCAGAGTGGTTAGAAAGCACAAATTCTCTAAAGGTTAGTGCTTCCTGGTTGTATAGTAATTCTGTTAGTGAATTTAGTTGCTAACCCTGACTCAAGGATCTAAGAGCCCTATGGCCCTTCTCAACTTGTTAACACTTTTTGTGACCCAGTTAGCTCAGCAACTTATGCTACAATATTAATGAGGCCATGGTCAGAATGAAACTAAAAAGGGGAATAGACTGCATATTGAATCTCATCAATCTACTGCTTATACAAGGCCTCTGGAAGGAGACTCTACATGGCTGTATGTATACTCATCTGCCTTGCTGGCAAAACAACTCCTCGGTAGAGTCTTTGCTGGGTCAACAAAGGTAAGTGATTCCCCACTCAACTCCCAAGCAGGACAATTATCCTTGTGCTCTGTATTGCAGGCTTGTTTTAAGAAGTTGAGATCATGGCTGCGGAAGCCCTTTAACAGGTCTTCTGTAAGGCCAGAGATAGGTTATAGACATTATCAACTGCTCCTACTAGCTGCTGGATTTCCTTAAATTCCAATGACATCTTTCAAGGTGCAGATTGTGACTCCTGAGTGCTCCTCTTCCCAAGTCCCTCACCCTTACAGCATTGAACACATGTGAGTCTGGGCTCAGCCCGTGAAGTCATCTTTTGCTAAATAGTTTCTTTAGTCAGGCCTGTAGATAATTACAGGGTGAGTACCCCTCATTTGAAATGCTGGAGACCAGAAGTGTTTCAGATTTGAGATGTTTTCAGATTTTGGACTGTTTGCATATATATATATGGTGAGATATCTTGGGAGTGGAACCCATCTAAACATGAAATTCATTGTTTCATATATACTTTATACACATAGCCTCAAGGTGATTTTTTATGATATTTTAAATAATTTTGAGCATGAAACAAAGTTTTCATCTTGTTACCCTTTGTGAGAATTCAGTTGTGTGTGAAAAAGACCACAGCTGAAGGGGGCTGGGAGGGCCTTGTTTCCCTTAGGGACACTGAATCGACGGTGTGCTGTGTGCCTGCATTTTGACTGCCATTTGTCATGTGAGGTCAGGTGTGGAATTTTCCACAGGTGGCATCATGCGGACACTCAGAAAGTTTCCAATTTTGGAGTAATTCTGATTCCAGATATTTGGGACACTCAACCTGTATTTCCTAAGCATGACCATTAACCTGCTGGGAGTTCATCTGAATGTTTCGTGGTCTAGACCAGAGGTTCTTAAAGTATAGGTACCTGAACCAGCAGCACCAGCATCACCTACGAACCTGTTAGAAATGCAAATTCTCTGGCCCCACCACCAACCAATAAATCGGAAACTGGTAGTGAGACCCCAAATCTGGCTCTTAATAAGATTTCCAGATGTTTCTGATTCATGTTCTAGTTTGAGAACCACTGGCCAAGACTATAGTTTAGTCTCAGAATTCTTCCTATGAGATGTTGGAATGGAATTGTCCAACAAGAAGTCTTTCTTAAAGATTATTTTGTCCCTCCTCATTTTTCAGGTGAATAAATCCAGGCTGGAAAAATTTGTGGTACAATCCCAGCTGAGCCCAGGGTTCATGGATCCACATTCAGAGCTCTAGAATACTGATCAACCACTCTCATCAACCTTGGCCTTGAAAATGTGTTCACTTGCTTGTGTCAGGGCAAAAGCTAACCTTTCTTAGACTTTGACCCTCCTCAGCTGAGATACATATCTCTCCTTCCCCCTTCTAATCTTTCCTCCTAATCTCTAACTGCACCCAAAAGCAAAACTGTCTTGGAGAAAAAGAAATCGTCAAGGGCTTGGTGCGGAAGTTTGGTCTCTCTTCCGGAGCTCCAACAGGTGATTCCCAAATGTAATTGTTACCCAGATTCCCTGCGTGCCTAAGAACAGATGGGCAGTCTGTAGAGGACTCCCTCCTGGAATTTTGGGAAAACCTATTCACAGAAGTGGGGGAAGGGCAGCAAAATGTTTCTGAGCAGGTCGGCTGCAAATAGACAAGGCCTGGCAACCTTCACTGCCCTTAAAAAGGAAAGAACTTGCTGTGTTTGGGGACAGTCCATTATCACTTAGCAAGGGGGGAAAAAAGCAACCAAAACCCTAAACCTCCTTCCAGCCTTTGTTGCTTACGTCTTTCCAGCTCAGGACAATTGCCAGCTTTAAATTTCATCTATCATTTGAGACCATATGTGGAAATTCTGATCACTGACATTTTTATTTTTATCTCTCAGACTGAAAAGGCTTGTCTCTCTTCCAAACTGTCTTATTAAAAAGGCTAGAGTTGACTCCAACTGCTGCAGGCAGAATGGTGACAAGTGAGAGGGAGGAAGAGTTTGGTGCTTTGGGAAGGACAGAGCTGGTGCAAGTCACAGCAGGTCTCAGGCCCTCCTGCAGGGTGCCTGCATCATTCACAAAGACTCCACTGACTCTGTCTTCCAAAGACCTTCAAAAGCCTTTGCCTTACACAATCTGCCCATCTTCTCTCCCCTAGACACAATTCTGTGTATTACTCTCTATCAACAGAGATTTAAACGGCAAGTTGTTGGAAGAACATTGGTTCCTTCTGCTTCCAAAATATATATATATATTTTTCTGGCTTTGGTATTATATTTTTGGCATTGGATACCCTAGCTATTTGCCTTCAGGAGATCTGTAAGTTAATATTTTTAGAGAGATGATCATTAAAAATCTTTATGGGTTCACTGAGAACTGGCCATGTGGAACTAACCCCATTTCCCCATTTTAAAATGGTTCCCAGGCAGTAAATCGGAAGAATGCCATTGCTATATAAAGTATCTTCATTTCAGAAAGGCATTTAATAGCCTGTCATTATAGCTATATTTAAACAAACAAAAAACCTGAAGAAATAGGGTTGTACTTGGGTACTGCATGTGGCTTCACAGTTACAGTCAACTTGGAAAATATCACTTGTGTCTTTCTCTGATGCCCTGCTTATCTCTTCAGTGATTTCTTTTCTTTTCTGTCTTTTTTTCTTTTTCTTTTTCTTTTCTTTTTTTTTTTGATGGAGTCTTGCTCTGTCGCCAGGCTGGAGTGCAGTGGCGCAATCTCGGCTCACTGCAACCTCCGACTCCCTGGTTCAAGTGATTCTCCTGCCTCAGCCTCCTGAGTAGCTGGGATTACAGGCACGCACCACCACGTCCAGCAAATTTTTGTATTTTTAGTAGAGACGGGGTTTCACCATGTTGGCCAGGATGGTCTCGATCTCCTGACCTTGTGATCCACCCGCCTCGGCCTGTTTTTTCTTTAAGAGATGGAGTCTCGCTCTGTCACAGAGCCTGCAGGACAGTGGCACAATCTTACACCTCACTGCAGCCTTGAACTCCTGAGCTCAAGCCATCATACCACCTTAGCCTCTTGAGTAGCTGGGACTACAGACACCTGCCACCATGCACAGCTAATTTTTTTTTTTTTTCATAGCAAGGGGCTCTTACTATGTTGCTCAGTCTGGTCTCCAGCTCCTGGCCTCAAGTGATTCTCCTGCCTTGGCCTCCCAAACTGCTGGGACTACATGTGTGAGCCACTGCTCCCAGCCTTCTTCAGTGATTTTTATAAAAGCATACAACGGTTATTTAACAAATTTGTGTGAGGTATGTTACAGAGAAAGACAATAGCATAAGGATTCAAATATTCTCAAAAAACAGGAATGTTTAACTAAAAGCTAAAAGGTAGAAATTTTAACACATAAATTCCTGCAATCAATTACATGAACAGAAGAGGAAAGAGACCTGACTTTATAGTCGTCAGTTAGAAAAAAAAAAAAAAGAGAGTGACACTTGGCATTCCCATTGCTCAGGAATGCAACTGCCAAGAAAGTAAAACATGTAGAGGCTCTATTATAGAAGTATAGAGAGCAGATCAAGGGAGATGATGGCCCCACTGCACACTGCACTGGGCGGACTATGGCTGGACTATTACTTTGTCCTCTTCCACAAACCATATTCTAAAAGGGAGACAGATAGGAGAGTATTCAGGTGGCAGAAGGTGAAATGGTGAGAAGCCTGGATTCTGATTCATCTATGCTGCAAAAAATGTGAAATTTCAAGAGGTAAAAATTATAAGGCAGATTTCAAGAAAATAAAAGTAAGAATTTTTTTTTTTTTTTTTTTTGAGACGGAGTCTCGCTCTCTCGCCCAGGCTGGAGTGCAGTGGCCTGATCTCAGCTCACTGCAAGCTCCACCTCCTGGGTTCAGGCCATTCTCCTGCCTCAGCCTCCTGAGCAGCTGGGACTACAGGCGCCCGCCACCACGCCCGGCTATTTTTTTTTGTATTTTTAATAGAGACGGGGTTTCACCGTGTTAGCCAGGATGGTCTCGATCTCCTGACCTTGTGATCCTCCTGCTTCGGCCTCTCAAAGTGCTGGGATTACAGGCATAAGCCGCCGCGGCCGGCCGAAAGTAAGAATTTCTAATAATTAAAGCTGCCCGATAATAGTGTATATCTACTCACAAGTTATTGAACTAACTGCCTTTCAAAGAAAATGCTTAAGCCCAAACTTTCAGAAACATCAGCTATTCTAGCAAGAGGATTTCTGTATGATATGGTAGTCTAAATTAAGATGAATTTGACTTCTATTTCCTTTCTAAGACTACTTCCAACTCAAAGGTTTTGTATTTGGGCTAATTGTCCCTCCAAATCAATACCCTGACCTGGGAATCAGGAGACCTGGATTTCAAATCCGATTTCGTAAGAACTAGCTGTGCAAGTGACTTCTCTCTGGCTTCATGTTTTTTTTTTTTTTCCTTCCATTCAGAACGTGAGAGGGGTGAATTATATGACATCTAGGCTTACTCCTAAAGGAATATTCCATTTCTTATATTTTTTTGAAATTATAAACATAATTGAATTAGATAAATTATCATTAATTAGGTGAAACTAGACTCTTTGGGATCTTATCTTACAAAGCATAAATTTCTAGGCCTACTTGAAGAAGTTATTTATTCGTTCCCCTGTCTCAGACCCTGATGGGGCTATCTAAGAAGGCAGGCAGCCCACTAATTGCTTATAGCAGTGTGAAAATGAGCTAACACCTAAATGCCCATCGACATGGTTGAATAAGCCATGATATGTCTATCCAAAAAACACTAAGCAGTTAATGAGAGGGTAGCACTGCAAAAATCTACATGACATAGGAGCGAGGGAAATAAACAAGTTGTAGAATAATATATTCAACACAATATTTTTAACCATAGATAAATGTCATTTGATCTACACATAATGAGCCCTGCACTTTGCTTTTAATTTTTCTGAATTTGTGGCTAACATTTTAAATTGATAAATTTTACATTAAAGTATAGATTTATTCTTGAAAAGAAGATTGACTTTTAAATCAAAACTGATAATTCATTGTGTATATAGCAAAAATACATGACAATAATAGCATAACTGGAGGGGGGATATGGAGAATGGAAATATACTGTCAAGAGGTTCTTAGACTATAGTTTTAATGATGTATTTCAGGGTAGGCTCTAATAATTTAGAGATTATTGTGAACTCTAGAGCACCCCTTAAAAATTACAACAAAGAGGTAAAGCTAATAAGCCAATAATATAGATGAAATGGAATAACAAAAGTACTCAATTAACCAAGAAAAGAAAAGACCAAAAAATGAGAAAAAAGGAAACAAAAAATAGATGGAACAAAGATAAAACAAATAGCAAGATGATCAATTTAAACCCAAACATTAAACACATTAAATATAAATGGTGTAAACACCACAATTAAAAAGCAGAGATTGTCAAATTGGAAAAGAAAGCAAGACTCAGCTAAATACATTCTATAAGAAATTCAATTTAAATATAAAGACACAGATAAGGTAAAATAAAAGATAAGGTAAAATAAAATGAAGAAAAATATATACCATGCAAACATTCATCATGAGATAGCTAGAATGGCTATACTAATATCAAAAAGTAGACTTTAGAAAGAAGAACATAACCAAGGACAAAGAAGTATATTTAATAATGATATATTTGAGTAACTTCCTCAATAGTTTATAACAGTCCTAAATGTGTGTGCACCTAGTAATAACATTTCAAAATATACAAAGCAAAAACTGGTACAATTTAAGGGAGAAATAAAAAGTCAGTAACTATAGCTAGATATTTCAACACTCTTCTCTCAGTAATTGACAGAACAAGTAGACAAAACGTTGATTGAAGACTTAAACAACACTATCAGCCAACTTGTTCTAATTCACATTTACAGCACACTGTATCCAACAACAGTAGAATACACATTCCGTGCACATCCACCAGAATAAATTATGTTTTGGGCCATAAAATGAGTCTCAATACATGTAAGAGAGTTCAAATCACACAAAGCATGATTTCATCCACAATGACATTAAATTTTAAAATGGCTTTTAAGAATTTAAAAAAAGCTAATTATAGATGTATTGGAGGGGTTGAGAGTCTCCAGAAATAAATTTGCTCGAAGTCATTAAGTGTTGAACTGAGCTGTCTTCCTGACTTTTAAGGTGGAACAAAGCAAGACTGATTGTCTCACTCTTTTTACTCCTTCAAGGCCACAGACCCTTTCAAGACTTATCATCTAGGATCCAGAATTCCCTTGTCACAGAAACAAAGTAGGCAGTTGCTCATGAGGTGTGTTCTGAAATGTCCAGTGAAAAGCTTCCATCTCCCAATATCTTCCCTATTGCCTGTCATGATGACTGCTGTTAAACTTGGGGGGACATTTTGTTGAGGAATGTAATTATGAAATACTTAAACCCCAAAAGAGATGTGAACATCAGTCATAAACAGTTTAGAGTAAACCACTTTGTCAGATGTAAATAAGTCAGGCCATTAATATACCAATGTGTTTTTTATGGAGATCATGAGAAAAAAAATCAAAGTATATAGATTATGGTTCTATCGAAGTAGAACAAGCCTGGATGGGATGCCTCTGCACATGCCCTGAAGAAGCTCAGAGTAGTGAGCATTAAAGAAAGAGGAAGATGGCAGAAATCCAGACACAGTGCAGGAAAGAAGGTAAAATAAAATGATGAAAAATATATACCATGCAAATCTTGCAGACCCAGGGCAATTTATGATTTTCTTATGGCCACCTGTGTAACGGAAGTGCAAAACCAGTGTCAGAAAACTGGTTCTTGCCTCCACTGTAGGTGTTGTTGCAGATCTGATCCGAGTAAAGATTTCCTTTCTCACTTTTCTCTGCCTCTTTAGAGGGGAGCTGAATGACTGAGACATATTCTGGCAGGCACCCTATGAGAGACAAGGCCTTTCCTATGAAATGTTCCATGACGTGGACCCAATGGCTCCAGAGGGAATATTTTCCCAAGGGGTACTGGCTGGAAGATTTATTTTCCAGGATATGACTAGTTGCCCTTGCTCTACACCACCCCTACTCTTAACCATAGGTTATCTATTGAATTTGTGGTGGCAATGCGAGCCTCTTACTCCCTGTCCCATGGGAAACCTAGCGATAACCTAACAAATAAGACAATCAGTCAGTCACCTTGTGGTGTGATTTGAGGAGCTCTTCCTTCAAGCCACTTTCTTTCTCCAAATCTTTTTATAGTTACAGTCTCATTTATTTGGCTGAGGCTTGTAAATTATATCCTTTTGCACGTTAAGAAGTCTTAATCATTTTTGAACTCCATTGAAGAAAGGTGAAACAATTCTTCACTTAGGGCTTCTCACTTATCAATATTTGTTGGATTACATTGCATTTTGCTCTGTTAGAATGCAGTCTCTTGAAGGAGTGTAGCATTAAACCTAATCAGTAAGATGTGTGTTACAGTAAATTGGAGAATTCTCTCCCAAGGGAATTATAATGGGAAGAAAAGAATAGAGATAGTAGATAACATTTTGAAGAAGTCACACAAGGTGTGATAGGGCATTAGAACTTATTCCTCCTATCAACGCTTTTACACTGTTGGTGGGAGTGTAAATTAGTTCAACCATTGTGGAAGACAGTGTGGCAACTCCTCAAAGACCTAGAGGCAGAAATACCATTTGACCCAGAAATCCTGTTACTGGGCATATAGCCAAAGGAATATAAATCATTCTATTATAAAGATACATGCATACATATGTTCATTGCAGCACCATTCACAATAGCAAAGACATGGAATCAACCTGAATGCCCATCAATGATAGAATGGATAAAGAAAATGTGGTACATATACACCATGGGATACTATCCAGCCATAAAAAGGAATGAGATCATGTCCTTTGCATGGACATGGATGGAGTTGTAAGCCATTATCCTTGGCAAACTAATGCAGGGACAGAAAACCAAACACTACTTGTTCTTGCCTATAAGTGGGAGCTGAATGCTGAGAACACATGGACACATGGGTTGGGCGGGGGAACAACAGACACTGGGGCCTGTCGGAGGGGGACTTGTAGGGAGGGACAGCATCGGGAAGAATAGCTAATGGATGCTGGGCTTAAAACCTGGGTGATGGGATGATCTGTGCAGCAAACCACCATGGCACACGTTTACCTATGTAACAAACCTGCGCATCCTGCACATGTACCACTGAACTTAAATGTTGGAGAAGAAAAAAAAAAAGAACTTACTTATTCCTCCTATGTAGCTGTAATTTTGTATTCATTATCTAGCCTCTCCTTATCCCCCACTTTCCTCCCCTTTTCCCAGCTTCTATTACCAATATTCTAATCTCTAATTCTATGATATCAGCTTATTTAGCTTCCAAATATGTGTAAGAACATGTGATATCTGTCTTTCTGTGCCTGGCTTATTTCATTTAATATAATGTACTCCCAGATCATTTATGTTGTTGCAAATGACAAGATTGTATTCTTTTTTATGGCTAAATAGTATTTCATTGTGTATATATACCACATTTTTTAATTTCATCATCTGTTGAGGGACACAGGTTGATTCTGTATCTTGGCTACTATGAACAGTGCTACAATAAACATAGGAGTGCAGATATCCCTTTGACACACTGATTTTATTTCCTTTAGCTATCCACCCAGCAGTGGGATTTTTGGATCGTATGCTAGTTCTATTTTTAGTTTTTTTGAGAAACTTCCATACTGTTTTCCAAATTGGCTGTACTAATTTACATTTCCATCAACAGTATATCTGTTTCCTTTTCTCCACATCCTTGCCAGCATTTGTTATTTTTTGTCTTTTTGATTATAGCCACTCTAATTGGGGTGAGACGATATCTTACTGTGGCTTTTATTTACATTTCCCTGATGATTAGTAATGTTGAGCATTTTCTCATATACTTGTTGGCCATTTGTATGCCTTCTTTAAAAAAATGTTGTTTACATCATTTTTCCATTTTTAAATCAATTTTTTTTTGCTGTTGAGTTGTTTGAATTTCTTATATGTTCTGCATATTAATTCCTTGTTGGATAAATAGTTTTCAAATATTTCCTCCCATTCTGTAGGTTGTTTCTATTAATTGTTTCCTTTGCTTTTTAAGAAGCGTTTTCATTAGATACAATCTCATTTATCTATTTTTTTCATTTGTTACCTATGCTTTTGAGGTTTTAATAAAATCTTTGAACAAACCAATGTCCTGAAGCATTTTTCCTATGTTTTCTTCTAGTACTTTCATAGTTTCAGGACTATAATCCATTTGGAATTGATTTTTTATATGGTGAGAGATAGGTATCTAGTCTCATTCTTCGGCATATGGATATTCAGTTTTTCCAGCACCACTTACTGAAAAGACTGTCCTTTCCTCCAATGTATGTTCTTGGTGCCTTGTTGAAAATCAGTTGGCTGTAAACACATGGATTTATTTGTGGGTTCTTTATTCTTTTCCATTGGTCTCTATGTCTGTGTTTATGCTAGCAGCATGCTATTTTGGTTACTGTAGCTCTACAGTATATTTTGAGGTGGGGTAGTATGATGCCTCCAGGTTCTTTTTGCCCCCCCCCAGGGTTGTTTTGGCTATTGGGCATCTTTTATGATTCCATGCAAATTTTAGGATTGTTTTTTTCAATTTCTGTAAAGAATGTCATTGGTATTTTGTCAGGGAGTGCATTGATTCTATAGATCACTTTGAGTAGTATGGTCATTTTAACAATATTTATTCCTTCAATCCAGGAACATAGAATATCTTTTCATTTTGTGTGTTTATGTCTTCTTTAATTTCTTTCATCAAAGTTTTATAATTTTCAGTGTTGATACCTTTCATCTCCTTGGTTAAGTTTATTCATAGTCTGTGGCTATTTTAAATGGTATTGATTTCTTGATTTCTTTTGCAGTTACCTTTTTATTGATATATAGAAATGCTACTGATTTTGTATGTTGATTTTTGTATTCTCCTACTTTACTAAATTTATCAGTTCTAAGAGTTTTTTGTTGAAATCTTTAGGTTTTTCTACATATAAGATGATGTTATCTGCAAACAGGTGCAATTCTACTTCACTCTTTCCAATTTGGATGTTCTTTATTTCTTTTGCCTAATTGCTTTTGTTAGGACTTCCAGTACTATTTTGAATATGAGTGGTGAAAGTGGGCATCCTTATCTTGTTCAGTTCTTAGAGGAAAGGCTTTCAGCTTTTCCCCATTCAGTATGATTTTGTCATATATGACAAATATCATGTGAGTTTGTCATATATGACTATTGTTGATGTGTTTCTTCTATATCTAATTTGTTGAGAGTTTTTATCATGAGGGGATGTTGAATTTTATCAAATGATTTTTCTGCATCTATTGAGATGATCACACAGTTTTTGCCCTTCATTCTATTGATGTGATGTATCACATTTATTCATTTGTGAATGGTGAACTATCCTTGCATCCCTGGGATAAATTCCACTTGATTATGCTGTATAATCTTTTTGATGTGTTGTTGACTTAGATTTGATTTGCTAGTATATTGTTGAGGATGTTTGCATCAATGTTCATTAGGGGTACTGGCCTGTAGTTTTCTTTGTTTGTGGTGTTCTTGCCTCATTTTAGTATTCAGATAATGCTGGCCTCACTGAGTTTGGAAGAATTTCCTCTCTTTCAATTTTTTTGGAATAGTTTGAAGAGAATTGGTGTTACTTCTTTAAATGTTTGATAGAATTCAGCCATGAAGCCATCCAGTCCTGGGCTTTTCTTTGGTTGGGATACTTTTTATTATAGCTTCAGTGATGTTACTCATTATTGGTCTGTTCAAGTTTTCTATTTATTCCTAGTTCAGTCTTGGTCAGTTGCATGTGTCCAGGATTTATTTATTCCCTCTAGGTTTTCCCATTTGTTTGTGTACAGTTGTTTGTAATAGTCTCCAATTACCCTTCATATCTGTGGTATCAGTTGTAATGTCTCCTTTTTTGTTTCTAACTTTTTTGAGTCTTTTCTCTTTTTTTGGTTAGTCTAGCTAATGGTTTGTCAATTTTGCTTATCTTTTCAAAAAAAATTCCAACTTTTTGTTTTGCTGATCTTTTGTATATTTTTTAGTCTCTATTTTGGTAATTTGTGCTATGATCTTTATTTTTTCTCTGACTAATTTTGGGCTTAGTTTGTTCTTGCTTTTTTTTTTTTGCAAGAGGTGCATCATTGGGGTTTTTTGTTCGTTTGTTTGTTTTGTTTGTTTTTTGTCTTTTTGACAGAGTCTTGCTTTGTTGTCCAGGCTGGAAGACAGTGGGGCAATCCTGGCTCACTGCAATCTCTGCTTCCTGGATTCAGGCAATTCTTGTGCCTCAGCTTCCTGAGTAGTTGGGACTATAGGTGTGCCCCACCACACCTGGCTCATTCTTATATTTTTGGATAGAGACAGGGTTTTGCCATGTTGACCAGGCTGGTCTCAAACTCCTGACCTCATGTGATCCACCCACCTCGGCCTCCCAAAGAGTTGGGATTATGGGCGTGAGCCACGTGCCCAGCCTCATTAGGTTGTTGACTTGAAATCTTCTCTCTCTTTCTCTTTTTTTTTTTTTTGTAGGCATTTACTGATAAAACTTCCCTGTTGTTAGGGGGATATAAAGGACACAAAAGAAACTTCAACTGCCTCACAATGTGACCAAGAATTGATCATAGGTAACTCTTAAAGATACCCACTCTGTCCACAAAAATGGCTTATCAGCAACTGTGTTCCTGCTATGTGACTCTAACTCCACAGCCACAACTGGTTGGAGCAGGAGTGAATATCTGATTCAAGTTGAATCAGACCTATTATCTCTCTCAAGCATTGACCTGAGACAGGATTGGGAGCTGGGAGTGAGTCAGTCTCAACAGTGCTATTCTGGAGGGTGTGTCCACATACTGCAGCTGCCACATGCCCTTGTAGAGCTGGATTGTTCAACTTCTAGATTTCATGAGCTCCACTATCCTTCCAAAAATGCTCACTTTTTCTTAAACATTCTTGAACTGATTTCTGTTATTTTTAACAATAGAAATGTAATTAACAGAACAACAAATTTTGTTGAAAAAAAAAGTCTTCCTTTTCTTCTTCATCGTGTTTCCCATTTCTGAGAGCAAGAGCCTTGGCTGGTCATTGAGAGGCCTGAAGGAAAGTGCTCAGGCTTAGAAGTCACACTAAAATCAGGTTGAATCCCAGCTCTATCACTTTTTATGAGCTCTGTGACCTTGAGAATCTTATGCAAGTTCTTCAAGACTCAATTTCTTCATCTGAAAAAAGGAGTTAGTAATCTTTCTGTTATTGGTCCGTTGTGGGGAGTAAAAGAGCCACTACGTGCATAAGGCCTGGCATGTAGTAATTGCCAAGTGAAAGCTAGTTCTGAACTTTTCCTCCTGTCTTGTTTCAATTTTTCATTCATTCATCAGTCAATGTTCCCACAAGCATGTAGATACTCTGGAGGCTCTAAGGAGGTTTTTCTTTAAGGCTTTTGAACAACTTAGCTTTTGTTCACTTTTCAAGTGTGCTAGTGTATGCATAATAGAGACAACACAGTGCTGAAGCGTGAGTACAGAATAGGAAAAAAGAGAGCGAGTTCCAGTACTGACTTGGACCATGGACACAGTTGTGAGACTTACACATACCGTTTCCTCTATCTGAGACTGTTTCTCCATCTGTACAACAAAAAAGTGGTGTATATTAGAATTCCTAGTGTGAATTAGTATGTACCCAACAGGGATACTACTGGCATTTTGGGTGGGATAATTTTTCATGATGTAGAAGAACTGGTCCTCATACTAGATGATGTTTAGTATCCCTGGTCCCCACCTTTTAAATGCCAATAGAGCCTCCAGACATTGTGACCAAAATGTCCCCACAGATTTTCAGACACAACGAGGCAGGCACTGTGGCCCAGGTGGAGTATCACTTTGTCAGGCAAAAATAAAATGGATTCAGTGATCATAGTTTTATGAGATATCAGATTAAGCAAAGTTGAATAGGTTTCTTTAGAGTGGGATTTCTTAAAACCTTTTATGTGAATGTACACAATGAATGGGTCTATTTTTCCCTTAACCCAATTCTTACTTGAGATGGAGCTTGGATACATCAATAAAGAGCAGATTTATGTCCCAGGGAAACTGTATCTTGTACACTCAGTGTGAACCACAAGCTTATGCATTCCATGTTACCACAACTTCATGCCAGTGCAGAGCAACCCATTGTCTAAGGGACAACATATAATAATAATTTTGTGTTATTGTTAGAGAGTCCAATATAAGAAAATTCTGGCTGTTATGCACTATTTCAATCTGTGTACAGGCAATTCCCATGCAGGGAAGAAGAGTAAGAGCAAGAAGGTTTAGGTGGGAAAGCCAAATGGCATGCTGCAGCTAGAAAAATGCAAGAATAAAATGGAACAATAGAGTATGTCTGGTCTCCACACTTCATTTGGATTTAATAGGCCAGCAAAAGAGTAAAAGTCTCTCCACTGTGTCCACACTAATTTAATATTTCATTACCAGTGAAGATTGAATTTTACTTTTTCAGGCCTTACCTCTCTGTCTAAACATGGGCCCTATTCCAAGATACATAGCTCAGCCATGGAGTTCACAGCTTCATTTGCAGAGACGGTCTTGAAGGTCTAGAACAGATTCTCTTGGTTGCCATTATATTTTCATTAAAAATCTGCCACATAAATTGGTTCTGTTCCAGTTTCCAACTTCTGTGAATGGTGTTGGCTGATCTGATTAATAAAATTGACTAGAACTAGGACCAATATGAAAGGTGTTCTCAACAAAATATTCTCAGGGGCTTCAAGGAAACCTCAAGGAGTCACAGGAAAGGCTGTCCAGACAGCTCTGGGGAGAGGCCAGACCTGTGACCTGGGGAGTGCCCAGCTGGGAACTGGGGCCAGGAGCCTGTCATCTCAATTTTGGCATATTTTAGCTAATTTACTAATTAATTCACTTATTTATTGAACAAATATTTATAGAGAACCTACTGTGTGCTGGGCACTGCTCTTGATACTGGGAAAACAGCAGAAAGGTTAAAGTCAAGGTCCTTGTGCTTTTTTTAGCTTTCATTAAAGTAAGGGAGACAGACAATAAACAACTAAGCAAGTAAATAAATAATAAAATGTTGGGAACAGACAAGTCCCATGAAAGAAAAATCAGGGAAAAGGATTAGCAGCTGATGATATGGGGTTAGAAGTAGACTCTTTTATACAGAGTGGTCAAAGACAGCCTCTCTAAGAGGGTGATAGCCAAGCAGAGGCATAAATGAAGGGATGAGTTATTTGAAAATTTGAGGAAAGAGCATTCTAGGCAGAGGGAAACACAAATGTGAAGGCTTTGAGTAGAAATAAAGTTGGTATGCTCAAGAAGAGCCTGAAGGCCAGTGTAGCTAATGCAAAGTGACCTAGGCAGGAAGTGGTAGAAAGGAGGTCAGAGAAGTATTCAGGGCCCAGATTGTGTAGAGGCCTGGAGGCCATGGGAAGTAACTTGGCTTTTGAAGGTTTGGAGCAAATCTGTTTCATATTTAACAAAACCGTTTGAACTGATAGTTGGAAAACAAAAAGTTGGAGGTAGCAAGAATGGAAGAAGGAATAGATCATATTGGAGCATGATTAGGATAAGGAAGATTAATTAGGATACTTGCAGTATTTCAGGCAAAGGTGGTGGAATGGGCTAGCATGATAGTGGGGGAAACATTAAGAACTGCTTGGATTGAAAGTGTTCCAAATATTTCATTTACTCCCCTAATTTTCCAAATCTTTCTGCATTACCTTAGGGCCAGCTGACCATTTCTGGCCAATGAGTAGAAATGATACACGTCACTTCCCAGAATATGGGAGTTAATAGTTGTTGTGTCTCCTCATTTATCTCCTCCCCTTACACAGCAGTCTTGGACATGATGCCAGTACGTGCATGCCAAAGATGGATGAGGGTCTCCTGACCCATATTGGGCAACTTTTTCTTATGCTAAACTCAGAGATATAGTGTTTATTTTGGCATCTAACATTGTTTACCCTGAGAAACACAGTATATATCTTGGAGGTGAATTCAATAGGACTTGCTAAGGGGATGAAAGAAAGAGAAGACTCCCAGATGAAGCCACACTTTTTTTTTTTTTGCTAGATCATGAGGGTGAATTAGACGTCACTATGCAGATGGAGAACACTAAGAAGGAGTATTAGGCTTGAAACCAAGAGTTTGAATTTGGACATATTAAGTTTTCATTGCTCATTAAGCATCCAAAAGAACCTTCTAAGCAGATGATTGAACACATAGTTTGGAGTTCAGAGGAGGGTCATGACTGTCAATACAGATTTGGTAGTCATCATCATTCAGACTGGGATTCAAGACCATGGGACTAAATAAGGTCATCCAGGAAATTAATGCAGGCAGAGAAAGATATTATTAAATATAATGAGGGAATAGTACTCAACTCAGTGTGGTCTCTGGTTTATTGGAGGGGCAATACAGAAAATCAAACAGATAATGATTACTCCCCCCACACACCTTTTCTCTCCTGTCCCACACCTGGTCTAATTTTGAACTGGCTTCTACAGGATGATTATATGGTAATGATGGTGGTTTCCAAGAAGAGATGAAGGTGGTACCTAAAGAGTAACAGAAGGATGGAGTTGCTTCACACAGGACCAGCCAATATTGGATCTTCCTCAAGTTAGAAGATTCTTTCACCCCAGCCTAAATAATCTCTGTTTGTAGTCTTCTAACCCAATACTCTCTTTATTATAGCAAACTCAGTCCCACAATGGACCTCCAATATAGGCTATGGGAGGCTGATTTAAATTGGGGTGAGAAGAACTTCAAAACTGAAGATTGATGCAAGGTTCACTGTCCTGGGCATTTAACTGGCAGGGCTTCATTTGCCTTACTTTAAAAAGGGGAAAGAGGAAGGATGCCAGCAAAAATAACAGAGTAAGAACTTGTAAACATTTACCAAAATAACTAAAAATTAGCAAAATGTGCCAAATCAACTTTTTCAGAACTCTCGAAATAAACCAGCTGAAACTCAGTAAGAACAGCAAGACCTGTGGCATTTAATTTTCTTTAGTACCATCTTCCACTCTGCAGTAGCCTCCAAAAAATGATAGCCCACAGGTCCAGTGCAGTGTGGCAGCCACTGGTAGGAACAGAACAGACCTAGAACTTTTTCAATTCACTCCCAAAGAATTATTATTATTTTACCTGTCTGGTGGTTCCTTAGAACATTCCACTTATGAGACTGACTCAGAGCTCATTAAGTATGTGCAAAGCCTTTTCCTTGCCAGGATAGAGAGAAAGCATTGGTTGAAACAATTATAGGCAAGTGTTTTAACTTTGTAGCTGCATGAGGTGATGGCTAACAGACAAATTATAGACTAACCAGAAGCTTAAAGGGAAAAGCTGGGAAATGAAATGTCAATAGGGCTTTCAAAAGCTCTAACATACTCCTGAAAATCTAGAAGGTTGTATGCATGCACAGGCTTCTATACATGCACAGAGAAAATGTGAGAAGGCCTTAAGTTTTAACCTCTGACTGACCTTGAGGCTCTACATAAGCAGGAAGTGAAGGCTAAGGCAGAGCTGTAAAATGCCTGGTTGGGTGTTGAAGATTGCCCTAAGACATACAATATCCCAATCTTGGTAAAGTCTTGTTGGTAGATTTATTGAAAAGAATTATGTTTTGCTGCAACTGACAGAAAATCTAAATAAAATAAAGCAAACAATAGAAAACAAAACAAAACAAAACCAACAACACAGTGACTTAAACAAGATAGTTTATTTCTCTCCTATGTAATGAAAGCCAAAGGTAAACACTTCAGGACTGGAATTACAGCTCTGGACATCAGATCCAGGCTCCTTCTAGCTTTCCATGTAATATACCTAGGGTAGCCCATGTCCTCTGAGCTTAAGATGGCTGCTAGACTTCAGCTATTATATTGGCATTCCAAGGGCAGGATGGACTAAGGAGAAAATAAGAAAGGAACAAATGATACTCATAGCTATTTTTCTTTTTTCTTTTTTTTTTTTTTTAGATGGAGTCTCGCTCTGTCACCAGTCTGGAGTGCAGTGGCACGATCTCAGCTCACTGCAACCCCTACCTCCCAGGTTCAAGCCCTGCCTCAGCCTCCCGAGTAGCTGAGACTACAGGCATGTGCCACCATGCCCAGCTAATTTTTGTATTTTTAGTAGAGATGTGGTTTCACCATGTTGGCCAGGATGGTCTCAATCTCTTGACCCTGTGATCCACCCACCTCGGCCTTAGCTATGTTTTAAGGTTTCCCAGAAGTGACATTTACTTGTCATTGAACAAAGCTAACTCACATGACTACATCTAGCTGCAAGGAGGGATAAAAACTGTAGGTTTTAATATAAGAGGCCTTAGGCTCAGCTTACAGTTGGGGACAACAGGAGGAAAGAAATAATGGATATTTGGGTAGGCAACTGACAGTCTCTCCCATTATATGATTGGACAGCTGGTGGTGGAAGAGTAAAGAGATACTGAGATCAACATCAAAGTTGGCATAGGGTAAAGACACAGACTGCACAAAAGGATGGCCATCAACTGGGTACAATATCGATGATGGTCCGGAATCCAAAGTGGAAATAAATCCTGTGCTAAAAACAAAATCTTACTCTCATGTTGCAAGAAGGCCTTATTTCAAGAACTTGTTAAGACCTCCTTTTATACTCCCTAGTCAGAAGTTTTGGAGTAACAGAATTAAGATATTTAGCAAAATACTGTTTTTGCCTAGATGACCTTTCCAGTCTTTTAAAACCCAAGAGCCCATCAAATAAAATTGAGAAAATTTAGTGTAGTATACCTTGGAGATTAATAATAACTATAATATGTTCAAAGCTCAGGGATGACTTGCAGTAAAGAAACTTAACTTTGTAAAAGCTAGTGCATGTAATTATTTGACCAACACATTTTTCAGCATGTCAATAAATGCTGCTGTTCATCAGAAAACAGTTTGGAAAAATGTGCCATAAAAGAGTCCCTATTTATCTGTAGCAAAAGAAAGCCTTTTTAAAATGTACAACATTTCATGGGCTGATATCTTTATTTATTAATAAAAATACTATAAAATAAATTACTAGGAAAAGGAAAAAAGTCTCACAAAATATGAACCAAATATTTTATCATTACAGTCAATAGTCATAAAATCAATCTGTCAAAATTCTGACAAGGATTTAAAGCACTTACTCTCAGAGGGCTTCCAACAGTTTACCACAGAAAATTCTGTAGTTATTTCACTTTAGATAGGGAGCACAGAGTTGGTGGATGGACCACACGTCAGCACTACCACCAGGCAGCATTACTCTCCTCCTATATCCTTCCTAAGGTAGACTATCTCATGCCTCATCTGCCCTCACCTTGTAATGCATGTTTTGCTATTTTTCATGACACAAAGGACAATATTTGTAGCAAAATACTACCTATGGGATTAGGCTTCACTCAAAGAAGCAAAACAAGAAAAACCCAAGATTGGCTTTTATAATTTATCTATTTCAACATAAGAAAAAGAATCTTCTCTGCCTACAAACTGGGCTTAGCTGCCCCTATTGGCCTTTTCACATTCCTTTCAATTCATGATATATCCAGAGGTAACTGAGACCTTAAACGAAGAGAGGAAGCAAGCCACCTTCACCATGGTATCAGTGTCCATCTTAACATCGTGTGGGCTAGCCTGGCTTCCATCTTCTGCCCAGGTGTTGACCCTGCCTTTTTGGCACCTTTCCAGTTGCCTTCGACACCACCTGCTCCTTCCAGACTATTTACCTCTCTGCAGTTGGTCCACTGCTTACCTGACTTAGAATTCCTAGTGTGGTGGGCTTCCAGACTTTTAGGATACCCAGATCCCTGATATTAGAAAGAAACCCCAATTTTCCCCTACTTCTTTGGAATATAAAAGGTTCAGCTTCATGTTCCTAGGAGAAAAAGAGTGTGAATGGTTGATCCTAAGAAAGGAGGAAATGGGGATGAAAAGACATCTAAATGTCAAGGTTGAGACATAGATAAAGAAAATTTGTCAGCAGATGAGTTATTCAGCATGGGGATCCTCCTGGTATCAGGGGAGGGTGATTTGGAGAAATAAAGACCAAAAAAAATCAGTTTTTATTTTCTTTACTATGAACAACTGACTTGGATGGAGGACTGCTCTGAGACAGGACAAGTGATAAGTGCTTTGAGATCTAACTAGTTATTTCTAAAAATGAGGCATGGTAAGGTGGCTTTGTTGGTAGCAGAAGGGGGACAGCAGTGTGCTTCATGAGAGGAACTACCGGACAACCTTCCACAACCCCTTGCATTGGCAGAGTTTCCTGCATCAGTCTCTACTGACCCAAGCTGACCAACCGTCTCCCACCAGCCAACACAACAGTCAACATAACACAGAGGGTAGGCTAAAACAAACAAACAAAAAAACACAAAACACCACCACCAACAACAAAAAACAAAAACAAAACTATCTCTAAGCATCATCACTAAAACAAAAGATTGGAAAATTCAGATGGAGGGAGTCATATGATTGGCGGGAGGTGGTGGTGGTGTTCCCTCCTCTTGAAATGTCCTTCCATATGGAGAGACGTCCATTACCAGAACACATCTGGTTTTCCTCCAACTCCTCATTCATTCCTCCCTGAGACAGGAGAAGTGACTTTTCCGGTTGGTGAGCTTAAGATGGAGAATTGAACCTGTGTGGCTCATCTCGTCCTTCTTTGGGATATGCTTGCAGTTTATGTCTTGAGCTATTCTGAGCCACGCAGTAAAGTCCCTACCCTGATGTGGTGGACCGTGACTGTCCCATCCTGTGTGTGCCTAGGTGGAGGTGATTGCCCAACTGGGAGTTTGGTGTTAGGAACCCCACTGTTGCCGCACTTCTAAGCCATGTTCCTTAACAACTTATCAATAACAATGAAAACATTTTACCCCATAAATATAATTTTTAAAAATCTTGATTTGTTCAGGATTCAGGCTGAGAAAAGAAGAGTGTTACATATTGACCCCCTCAAGCCCTTAAGTAAGTCATTGTTATTTACATTGCCTCTATGGAGGCAAGGTCTATGATAGGGTCACAAAACTTAACTTGTACGGTTCTCAAATATTTAATTAATCAATATTTATGAAGATAGTTCTAAATTATGATGTAATAAACTGATGTAAACAAGTAACATTGATGATGATGATGATGACAACTATAAAGTGAAATATGAACTTCTCATCTTGGTCCTTGCCACCAATTCCTTAATTCCTCTCATCTCCTCCACAACTCTACACCAGCCAACATGGTGTCAGGTAAGTGGCAAATGCCCTTAAAATTAAGTAGCTAAAACTGGATTATGTCTACAGAGTTCAAATGCTCATTAATTTTCAATTCTAGGAAATGCAGTAGGTAGTTCCCGGAAAAGGCATATTCATAACATTTACCAACAACATTTGGGGCTGTGAAGATGGTGAAATTATTTCTAACAAGTTGGGTTTTTAGAAAAATGATAAATGGGAAGCTGCTGGAGTATTCAAGTTCCTAAGAGTCACAAAACATTCTTGCTCTGACAATCAGAAGCAAAACAAATGCTTCCATGTCTTAAACATTTCCTGGTATGATGAACATTTCCCTTTATTTAGAAGAAAAAAATAGTTTGAACTGTGACATTGTGCTTAAATTAAATAGTGCTTGAGAGAGCAGTTTATTTAGAATTTTTTTAAAGCAATGGGAGAGATAGACCTTTAATGTCTACACTTCTCAACCTTTAAAATAGTGGGGAGAAAAGGAAGTAAAAATAATATTTCCTTCCTTACAGGTTGTTTTGAAAATTAATGAATTAGTGCTTATTAAGTGCTTGGCTGAAAGGTGATGTGAAAACTATCAAACATCATCTCTATTACTGTAGTCCAATGTTCATGTGCCACTAATAAAAGCCTGAGCCTCAGGCACAGTCTTTTGTACTCTTGTCTTTGGAGAGAATCGCCTACGAGTTTCCTTTATCCTGGTGATAAATCATAATTAATAATTCATCCATTATACTACCACAGACGCACAGCCAAGGATGCACCGCCCTGAGCGTTGGCAGCCTCTGCAGTGCTGTCTCGCTCTGCTGCCTGGTATTTGTTTGCAGTGCAGAGACACGTCCATGGCAATGGCCCACGAGGCCTGAACAGGGGAACAACACTTCTTGGCTGATTCAGATCCCTGACTTTGGAGACTCCCTTGGCACCTTGCATGGGGATGGCCCCCATTAGTGGAATTTAGAGACTGGAGAGGGCAAGGAGGAGTCAAAAGGTGAGGGGATGGGTCAGACCCCAGCCAAGCCTGGAAGCTAAGTGAGCACAATTTCCTGACTCAGCCTCTCTGGCTTATGGTGGACTTCTTTGGTGTAGCTAAGCTGTCAGCAAGTTCCAGTTGGGCTCTACCTATTCCATGTGCCTGTCACTCAGCAGAAACTCATCAACAAATTTCAAACTGGAGGTGTTGCTGAATAGTCAGAACATTTTAAGAAACCACCACCCTCCTTCTTGAATTTATGAAGTATAGGAAACTGAAGGCAGTCATCATGTCCTTTGGTTGCCGCCATGACCCTACATCTACCCTGTCCTGTTTTTACCTTGGCCATAAGCAAATGTCTGTGATTAGGCCAGGATTCATAACGGGATGTGCTAAGACAATCTGAAATGGGAAACAGTCACGAGCTAAAGACACCACCCATTAATCCAGGAACTGAACAGGCAGCACACGAGCGATCGACCTAATCTGCCTGCTGACGGCTGCCAGACTTTGGTCACTGGCCATACCTCTCTGGGGAGACAACAGGGTAAGCTTCCATCCCAAGGTCCTTTCCTTCTGGGGTCCATGCCATGAATTGGTAATCAACACGAAGTATTCCTGGATGGAACATTTAGAGGCAGAATAATGGGGCTGGATGGGCTGATTGATTTAGAAAGTGCTACTTCAGAACACATTCAGAGGATGTTAAGTTGTATGGGACATGGAAGGCAATTCAGTAACCTCCTCGTTTTATAGATGAGAAAATAAAGGCCCAGGGAATGGCTTACCCAGAATTGCATGTTTGTTGGTGCCAGAGCCAAGACTCTCAGCATGGGAGTCTCCCCAGTACCCCAGGGGAGACTTCATAATGATGCCGTCTGATTTTGCAACAAACTATACTTTTTCTCTTCCATAACATCTTCTCATCGTGCAAAGAACAGAGCAATATGAACTTTGTAGATTCCCCCACAAACCCCACCTCAACACCGCTTTTACAAAACTTCTCACTCTATGTGGCTGCCTACCTTTGGCTAGGCTTTGAGCCCAGGTCTTGCACACAGCAGGCACTTAATAAAATTTTATTTACTTGAATGGCATCAGTCACAATATATGGAAAGAACTCAGAAAAGCCAAGTGGTGTGAGATAGACACAGTTGGAAACACTTGCCTTACAGGGAAAATCAGAAATGTCAAGGAAAATCTAGTTAAACTCTGTTAAGTCTCAAGGGATGAGTATAAGAGCCAACATTTTGGAAGCTATAATATGACTGAATGATGAGAGTTTGTAGCATTGCACTGTATTTCCACTTTCAGTAATTTTATATGTGGCTTATTTTGAGCTCAGACCACATTTATTGTACTTTAGGTCAATTTAAGAAAAATTTTCTTAGATCAAAATCAACCATATTTGCAACATGAAATGAAGTCATCCTATTCCTTGGCCACTATTACACAAATGCTAAAGCATACAGAACTCAGAGCTTAGTGCCCTGTTTCTGGAGAACAGTCAGCCATAGGGAATGTAGGTGAGGGCTGAGGGATATACCGACACCCCTCACAATGGGTGTGGAGGCTTGGAGGTCAGGCAAGCGGTAAAACATGGTGCTTTATAACATAGGCCTGGAGCAAGACCAGAGTCAAATCTCACTTTTGCCGGTTCTAGACCTATGACTTTGGAAAAATTGTTGAACAACTGTAAAGCCCAATCTTATATCTCATGGGCTTATTCTGAACATAAATTAAAATCCTAGTCTATACCTGGCATATAGTAAACACTCAGTGATGGGTGTTATACTGGTGGTAGTTTTTAATGATGGAAGAAAAGTTAGATTTTCTGTTCTTTCTCATTGCTCTACCTGTATCCCATCCTAGTGTGCTTTTGCTCATCTATCCACCCTAACTAGGCAAAACTCACTCTTGGAATCTGCATTGGCATAGTGTAGTAGGTATGAGTCTCAGCTCTACAGCAAACCACCAGAGTTTACTATGAGGCCTTGGGCAATTCATTGAACTTCTCTGTGCCTCAGTTTCCTTAACTAAAGATAGGTAGGATAGGAAAATCTACTTCACACTATTATATAAGGATCAGATTAATCAGTACATGTAAAACTTTGGGGGCATGCTTGACACACAGTAGTCTCCCTCTCTACCCAAGTAAATGTTAGCTAATTCTCATTTTCTCTCACTTTCTGAAACACCAGAGAGTCTTCCTCCAAAGTGTGCTTTTCCTCTTTGCAGGCTCCTGCTGTTAACCTCTGTGTACTGAGAAGACCTATCCATGAGCCACGGCAGAGGTCAGGAAAGGTGGAGAGAGTATGAAGGGCACAGTCTCAGACCCCTGCAATACACAGAAGCCAGGGGTCAAGGCAGAGTCAGAAATGCAGTATGAGGCAACACCCGGAAGTCAAGAGAGGTTTCAGATAAACACTCAAGGGGACAAAAGCAGACACAACAGGCAGGACATCTGAAACCTTGAGACTGAGGCATAGCCACCCAAGGAAGAAAGCATTTTTGGGCAAGTTCTGTTTTTAGAGATTTTTCCAGGGCAAGGTCCCAAAAAGCAGCTCTATAACCATGCACAAGAGACGGAGCTTATGAATTCATTTTTTCTAATAAATACATGCTTAGTGCTTGCTATGAGCCAGGCACTGTTCTAAGGACAGGACATTTAGCAGTGGGTCAAGAAGGCAAAACTCCTTGCTCTCATGGAGTTTATATTCTGGTCAATTTTAAAAATAAGTTACTTGCACATGTCGGATAAATTTCCAAGGGTAAACTCCGAATAAAGGCTGAATTCTAAAGAAGAAAGGCAGTGGGTTAATGTTTAATTTACCTGTGCCACACACCTTCACCCCAGTCAATGTATTCTGTCTCACCCAAGACTAAATATTGTAACGGGACATTATTTTAGGTGTAATCCTGGATCTTCTCCAATTTATACCTAAAATAAACAGCTCACTTGCAAAGATGCGTACTTTCTCATTAGTAACAGAATTTTATCTTCACCTATCTCCGATCTCCTCCCACTAGGGGGTGAGTTTGGACGCAAGGTCTTAGGTCTTTTGATGTAACTTCTCACTGCTCTTGGCAGATCCTGAAAGATTAGAGACCTAGTAAAGATATCTCAGGTGATAGAGACCCTACATTTAGCTTTGGAGAAGTTAAGGGACCTGCAGAGTTGTGGAGGTTTGAGGTACCTCTTCTCCCCAACCTGGGCACTAATCACAGACTCATTCCAAAGCAGCTTTTCCCCATGGCTGGTGCCTGTGCTGAGAGGCCCAAAGCCAGCCCGTCTGCCCAGGTGCTGACCAAGCACTTTTCTGCCCAAGTTTGGAGCTGCCTTCTCAGCATGGTGATGTCACTGCTGCCTCAGTCTGACCACTGGCTCCCCAGAATCTCAAAATGATAGTGTGACTCTGTTCTGGTCTTTCGTGGAGCTGGTAGGAATTTCTGTTGTTTCTTGGTTATTATGGAAACCACTTCCACAAATAAATATTTAGATAAGGATGAGGAACAAACCCCCTCAAAAATTGCGTGTGTTTTATGTAGTGCTGAAAGTCTTTAGCTATAGTACAGAGTACAAGTTAACAGGCAATGGCCACGCCTCTCCAGAAGGAATGTAGGAATGTTCTTTCTCTCTGACCATGTATGTTCCTTTACCATCCACTCTCCATTCCTAACTTCTCCTTTCCTTCCCTTCTCCTTCCCAATTATTTTCTTATTGTTCCTTTGTTCTTTTTCTCTTTACATTTTCTCTCTCTTATTTGTCCTCCTGGCATCTGGTCTACCATCCTCTTGTCTCTCTCCTCTTCTTTCCTTTTCTTCTAATCTGTCTCCCCTTCTCTCATTATAAAAGAGTATTCAGACAACTAAATCTGTGCCTGGTTTTGGTCTGTTCTTGTCCTCGAGACCATGAGTGACAGAAGACTCTGTCCTTGGCCGCCCGTCACACCATAGGCCTGTGGCCAAGCCCCACTTCCGGTGCTTGCTGGAGAGCTGCTGAGAAGTCCTCCTGGCCAGGGCACAGATGGTGGGTGATGGAGTCCGGATGCCGAGACTTAGGGCGGGTCAAAACAATGATCACTCAAGTGTAAACTGTGCTAATTGCTGGGGACAAAGGGAGAGGCAGGCCCCAGTGGAGTACATTAGGGTGGAGTACCAAAAGCAAGGGATGGCTTCTATGGTCACAGATTAATATCAAGGGTTCTGGCCTAAGCTTCTAGGCTGCCTTTGTTTTCATTCTCATTTTATCGATGTAGAGGCTGCGCCATTTTACCCCAGCATGTAAAAGTTTATTTTGATCATTTATGGACCATTTCCCAATGTTGGAGATATTTTTCTAGCAAGACATCTCACTTAAAGCATAATAAACAGACAGACAGATAGACAATAGATATGTAATACATACAGATGCACACACAAATATAAATACAGAGAAATAAGCATACAGTTTACTATATATACACCTACCTATATATGCATTTTATTGTAAAATAAAGCAGAGAAACAGAACAGTACAAGACAAATGTGTAGCTTAGTGAATTATCATAAAGGAAACACTCCTAAATCCATCCAGATCAAGAAAGAGAGCCTTGGCAGCCACCTGAGGGGCCCCCTCCACACACCTCATTGCAGTCACAGCACCATTTCTCACTCTAGCCCTTGTGTTTATAGCTTTATCACCCAAGTGTGCATTCCTATATGTTGTAGTTTAATCTTGCACATTTTTAAAAGCATGATTTGTCTTTTACATTCTCTTTGATCTGAAGTTTCTTTCTGTCTTGCTCTTTTTCTTGCAACTTATCTGTTGATGAACCTTGCATTTGACCTGCCATCTAGCTTTTGCTGAACGCTCCTTTGTCCTCTGGGTTTCCTGCAAATTGGCAGCTAGAATGTGAATCTTGACCAGACTCAGATATGATCCCCCTGGCAAGACAGTGGTGGTGTGTTCTTTTATCAAAGCATTATGTCTGGTTTTCACTCTTCTTTTATTTGGTGTCAGTAGCCATTGATGCTCAATTCTTAGATTCATCAATTCATAGGGAGTTGGTGACATCTTAATGTATTATTTCATTTTTCTTCTAATAGCTGGACTAATTGTGTAAGGAAACACTTTTCCTCATCCAATATTTTGTTACTCAGTAGTACAGCTCATATAGGAAAGACAGGATAAATGCTTGAATCAAGATTATGAATTGGTTTCCTGTCACCCTCTGAAGGTGATCAATTGCAAATATCATTATACGTCTGTGGATTTAGAAATATTTGATAGGTTTTAATTCATTGCAATCCTTTGCCTTATTGAATCTCAAATTGTCCCCTCTTTGGCAACTGAGAACCTTTTCAAGTCGGTTCCCAAGTCCTTTTCACGACTCTAATAGTCTCTCACAGTGTCTGGTACAGCAAGATATTTCAGACTCATTTTGCATATTTTCTTGAGAATCCCTGCTTTTGTTTGCTTATTTTAAAATGAGAAACTGTATTTCAAAACCACAAGGGCATCAGAGATACTGATTGCTACTGGGTTGTATATACAGAATATGTGCATATACATGTGTTATAGGTAAATAGATGACAGATAGCTGTAATCTCCTATAAACATATATAATGAATTTCTATATTCATACTGATATTTTCAGTTCAAACTCATAACTACATGGTATTCTCTCAACTTCTTCTAAATTACATATGTATCTTCTCCCATTCATTTTTACAATCTTGGTTCTCAAGGATACCAGGAATGGTGGAATTAGAATGTCCCTTAATTATTTATTTGCTTACTACACATACAAGAGTCTCAGAATAATAGTATTATTCTACCTCCATGGATTATTATTACTCAAGGCAGAAAAAAAATTTTTATATATGTTGTCCTCAATGTCCCACTTATCTTGTATTGTACTATATTTACATTGTCAAAGCATATATCCACTCCATACTAAGATCTCTCCTGCTTTATGCTTATGTAACCTCTTTTCTACAAGTACATACATATTTAATGATCACTACTAATTCTCCTATTTCTCTCTAGTTGTTTTGGTGGCCTGAAGCTCATTCTCTAGTAACTTCCTTAAGAAGGGGCCATGGGAACAGAATTCTCTGATTCTTGAGGTTGACAATAGTGTATTTGCACATTTATACTTAAAGCTTAGTTTATAAAAATAGAAAACAATTTTCTTTCATTGAGTAAAATGACTCTATTTTCTTCTGGTGTATAAGTCTGATAAAAAGTCTGATGATAAAATAATTTTTTAATCCCTCTCAGGAATCCGCTTTTTTTGCCTAGAAGCTTGTATAATTAAAAAAAAAACTTTAGTAATATTATTAGAATACATCTTTGTAATCATCATTCTGTGTCGATATTCTCAGGTACATTGTGTACTTTTTCAATATATGGCTTCAAATGCTTTTTTATTTTAGGAATTTTCAAGAAACATTTGTTCTTTTCTCTTGTTTTGGTTTTCTTCTTCAGAAACACCTAACATTGGTGTGTTGGGTCTTCTTTAGCTATCTTTAATATTTGTCACTTTCTCTCAAATACTTTTAATCTCTTCATTTCTTTCTGATTTAAGCTTTTTTCCTTTTTACATTATATTTCTTTTAAGCCATCATTTGTTGTGTTTATTTGCTCTTGTGTATCTTCTAGTTTAGTCTTCACTTATAAAATGATTTTTTAAATTTATTTCTAAGTTTTTCTGTCACCTTTTTCCTGAGTTTTTCAAAGTCTGATTTATGTTGCTCTCTCATATCTTGTATCACTTTAACATCTCTTAGCTCATTTCAAAATATTATGTTATAGTTTTGCTTTTTTAAAACCATGTCTTTCTGGAATTGTCCGGGAATGGGATGCAGACTTTTCCTTTATCAGGTGCTGGGATCTGAGATCCTACAAGTTTCTGGAGTGCCTCTTTTGCTTTACATACTTGGTAATGGCCCTGAGAACCTTCCGGAGATTTCTCTCAGTTCTCATGCCCTATCCTCAACCTTTGGACGGTCTCTGCATTATACTTGGTGGGTGTCTGAAATAACTTGGAGGAATCTCTCTCAACTCTCCTTCTTTATCCACAGCCTGCAAAGAACTACCCCAAAGCACTTGGTAAAGGTCTATACAAAAGAGTTAGGGGGTAGGTAGACTGGTTTTGTGGCTGGGGCTCCTTTACATTCTCATCCCTTGATCCAGTCCATGGCCACTGAAAGTTCATTGCAAGCTTGGCTGATTTCTTCTCACCCCATCTATGGTACATTCCTCTTTCTCCCATTGCTCTGCCAGGGCTAAAATCAGCCATGGGTCTCTCCTTTCCTAGGAAGTCCTCATCCTTTCTGGAATTAGTTCATTTAGACATTTTTGCATTTCAGCTCTCTGATGGTGTCCTCAAATAGCCATGTTTTTCACCTTATCAGGCTTGTTCTCATTATTAGGATGGGATCTCAGTCTCTTGTCACTTTCTATGTCTGACAGGAAACAGTCCCACATACAGTCTTCTTGCTCATCCTCTAAAGTTCACACTAAAAATGGCTGTGTTCCATTGTGGCTGAAGCAAGAGCCATAGAGAAACCAAAACACAGATCCCTGCATTCAATAAACATTCTAAGGTCTTTGTAGGCTGGAACAATTTACTTTATCAGGCAAATGCTTACGTGGGGATCATGTGGGGTCTCACTCATTCTTTATCTTCCCCAAGATTCTCTTTCTTCCATAATCTCACTCCAATTAAGTACTTGCAACCCATACTGTCTTCTAAGAGATGGGATATGCTCCCTCCCCTGGGAAGTCTTATGGAAAACATGTGCTTTAGTAAGTAAGATTTGGAATTCACTCACCTGGACTGTGGTGAGAAAGGCATAGGGATTGAGCCTGGTGATTGGCTAACAGGTTTGGTTCCATGAATTCTGCCTAACACCTACCTTTGGCCTCTCTCAGAGTTCATCCAGGTCATTGACCCTCCTATGTCTGAAGTCTCTTCCAGGAAGCTCTGTATAAATGCCTCAATCTAACATTTTTATTCTTCTCATATTTTCCCTTTAGTATTTCTGCACATTATTTGTGCATATTTGATTACAAGCAAAAATAAAACATAAATTCATAGTATTCACTCCCCTGATGAATGGAATCAACCAGTCTTATGGCTTTATATACCATCTATATGTTGATGTACATACCAGTGCCTACCAGCTGATATCAGTCTTGCCTACAATATTATAGAGAACAGAATTAGGTCTACTATTTTGGATAAAGCAGGTGTTGAAGACCAAGTTATTGACAGACCCAGTCCAAAGTCTCAACAATACAGTAACAACTCTGCAATCTAGCCGAGAAGGTAATTAGCAAATCATAGGATGTCATAATCCACATCACCACAGCATGGTAAAATACAACAGAGGGACTCAGCTGGGTGATACTCAAATGTTCAGTTTAGCCTGCTGCAGGCAGCTGCTGTTAGGGGTAGCCTGACTACAGCCAATAAAACTCCAGCCCCGAGTTAGTGACTCCTCAATGACTCTACCTTCTGGGAAGGAATGGCCAAATGCAAGCTATGGTTCAAGTCTACAGGGCAGCTAAGGTGCAAGGCAGATGAACAAGACAGAAAGTGGCACACAGGTAAAAAGATCTAATAGTGATGGATTGGGTCTGAATCCCTGGATGTACCAATGATTAGCTGTAGTATCTTCAGCAATTTAGCTAATCATTCTCGTTTTCAGTTTTCTCCACCATAAAATGAGATCAATAATAGCTACCTTGCCGTGCTTTGGCGATAGTAGTGAAAATAACGAATAGGAAATTTCCTGGCTCATTATAAACACCCTTTCAATAATTTCTCCTCTTCATCTGAAATTATGGCACTTGGTGTTTGTTTGTCTTTGATCAATCCAAGCCGATTGTGGGTTTCTGCAGATGATATTTCTATTACTCTCTGTCATCATCATTGTCTTTGTTATTGTGGTTGTTGTTACAGAATTTGTAGCACTTGGAAGGAAAAGACAATTAATTAATCACCACAGAGTCTCTGGTATTGTTGACAAATAGCTTTTCAACAGTTTCATTTGTGGGACTTGGGAAACAAGGTCGGATCAAAGAAGTGGCTTGAGAATAATTTAAACTTGCAGCAAATGAAGCTGATGTTTGCAAGCCTGTGGTTGTAGGAGCAAGTTTCCCAGTTCACACACATGCCTAAGATGGAGTTTCTCCAAACTCCCTAACAGTATTGATGGTCTGGAGTCTCTTCCTGAAGAGGTAGCAGCTCAGGCGGCTTTCTCAAAGCACCAAAATGGAAAGCCATTTCTCAAAGCACCAAAATGGAAAGCCATTTCTCAAAGCACCGAAATGCAAAGCCAATCGTGGGCCTGCATAACGGCAAGCAAGTTAGAGTTCACATTAGTCTGCATTTGCACAGCTTGTTATGGTTGATGAATTAGACAAAAAACATGGAAGGAGAACAAAGCAATGTCATTCTGCATAAAGACCATTCTTCAAGCTCGCTTGTCTGCCAGACCCTGGCTTTAGAAGATAGGCAGGGTCTTGAAACACATGTTACCAGCTACAGTTGGATACAGAAAGTAGCTAACACACTCACTATGCATCACCAACTTTGAGCCAATCTCTGAATTGGTTCCCACTTCACCGATGGGTCTTCAAAGGTTGTTTTTGTTTTGTTTTATTTCTCTTTTTATTACCTTTAACAATTTCATTCTCAAAGAGGAACTAGGGAAAAGGGAAGAAACACTTATCTAATTTTGACTGCGCATCTGCCCCTTTGCAAGGTACTTTTCAAACAGGGCATATGCTTATATATAGCAATACACAGTTTGAAATCTAGCAAGTTTACGGCAATATATAGCAAACCTGCCCTTTTGGTATGGCTAAGACAATTGGGGGTCTCCTGGCTCCAGTCTTGTCTTCTTTTTTGAGTACTTAGTTCAGTCTGTTTCTGCATCTCAGATTAGTACACACTGGGGCTTGTCTATGTGGTTGTTTCCTTTTATAAAGCTGCTTTCATAAATGCAAAGTGATCTCAACACCCCTCTCTCATTCTGCATGTCTTAATGTTAGGATTTTGGGTACACAGCCCTCAACAACTATAGGTCTATAGTTTTGGCTATTTTTGCTCCTACTGCTAACAAATAAATCCATGCAAAACCTTGAGAATCCCTTCCAAGTAGACAAGTATGTCTGCTGTTCTTACCTGGGAATGTTTTTTTCCCCTGCTTGATCTAGAAGAAAGTTCTATAAACTTCCTTAACTTTAATCAGAAGTCTGAGAAATTCCTGAAAATATCTATCTCTGCTCAAAATCATTATTTCCTACAACTTCACTGGTTGTTTTCTATTTTACATTATTCTATGTCATGCTTCAATCCAACCCCAGCCCTACAGCAATGTGTGCAGTTAAAACTGCATCCACTACTGCCTTACTAAGCTTTTTTTCTGATTACCAGCTTGGCTCTCATTATTATATGAATGTGCTTTGTTTATACATATGTTACCTCATTTAATAACTAAGCAAGTAATAACTTAAGCATCCTTACCACATCCCTGAAAGACAACTGTTAGAAGCTTTGTATAATAGATTAGAAAACTGATGGTCAGAAAGATTGAATAACTTGTTCAAACTTATATATCCAGGAAGGGATAGAACTAGACCACAAATTTAGGGCAATCTTAACCTAAAGCTATGTTCTTTGTATTGACTCTGGGACCCTAAGCTGTGGTCACCATAAGCTGGGTGACTCCCATGCAGTCAGATCAGGCACAGTTCTATAATGCTGCTTTTGAGCAGTATACCAGGTCTACATACCACAACACCCTCAGAGAGTTTTCAGTAAGTCCCTCTGTTTCTTCCCATGGCTATACAATTTTGTTCTGTGGAGCACAGACTGCAACATATCTTTTAGGAGCAGCTAAACACAAGTAATAACATCAAGGCTCATAATATTTAATTTCTTATTATATTTTTCATTCTTAGGCTATACTCCAATAGTCATAGAATATCAACACTGGAGAAGAACCTGGAGACCAGGTTAAGCTCAGTCCATTGTCTTTCAGATCAAAAAGACAGCACGAACAATACCCAGCCCACAACACTACCCAGTAAGCAGACAACCGCTGTCCCTGCAAGGATAGGGTTGGGAAGGTGAAGATGCATCATTGAAGCCTTTGAAACCTGACAGTAAGAACCAAAAGATAACCCCGTGTGCAGGAAAGCTTCATGGTGATGCCTCACTAGGAATTGGCTTGGCCACAGGTATTTTGTGTTTAAAATTCACACTGGAGAAGGTGCTATGTCTATATTATCCAGTGTCATTGTGTAGGGTTTTATGATTACTGTCACAAGGTAATTACTAAGATGTATTTTAGTAACTGATTGAACTCAACACAAAGCAACAACACAAAGGCCTCCTGTCTTTTAGGTGCTTACCCACTGAAACTTCCAGAACACTGAGACCAATTGATTTAAAGCCACCGATAATCTTTAACTTCCTGTGCTATCCATGATGTCCATGCCATCATTCCTAAATAGACAAAGTCTAATAATATGTCGATTTTATTTATTTATTTATTTTTATTTTTATTTTTGAGTCAGAGACTCATTCCATCACCCAGGCTGGAGTGCAGTGGTGCTATCTTGGCTCACTGCAACCTCCACCTCCCAGGTTTGAGGGATTCTTGTGCCTCAGCCTCCCAAGTAGCGGGAATTACAGGCACGCACCACCATGCCTGCCTAATTTTTGTGTGTGTTTTTAGTAAAGACTGGGTTCCAGCATGTTGGTCAGGCTGGTCTCGAACTCCTAGCCTCAAGTGATCCACCTATCTTGGCCTCCCAAAATGCTGGGATTACAGGCATGAGCCGCCACGCCCGGTCTGTAAATTTTATATTGCCTTTTACACATTACAATAGGATTTTGCATAAATCTTTTTTCTTTGCTTGGTACCATAACCCTGAAAGTTAGGTAGAACATCACCAATGAAAAACAGACACTCGAGGAGTTTACTAGACCAAGGTTACACAGCTATGAATTAGCAGAATTGGGACTTCAATGCAGGTCTTGTATGTCTATGTCTGCAACCTTTCCATACTGTCAAAAGGCCAGGTACTTTCTAATGTGAGCTTGAACACAAATGCCTAACCCCTGGGCTTTGCCTAATAGTCACAAACTTCTTCACAGGGTCTCAAGGCTCCTGGCCTCAGAACTCTGACACAATTTTCTCAGGTATCAATGTCTTTGAACCTTATTCATTCAGTGGTTCCTTGTTAAGTATCTGTCTGTACGTGGCACTGGGAACATGCTCACAGGAGACACAGTATAGTTTGCAGGACAGACAGCTAAGTAATAACTAGCCTTCACAGAGGTAGCACGATGTGATGGGGCACCTCTCACAAGGGGATGAGTTCAGAAAAGGTCCCCAGGCTGAGACTCAACTGAAAGGTATGGGGAGAAAAGTGCTGGGCCAGAGGAATAGCTTGCATATGAAGGCCCCGTACTGAGAGCACACATCATATTCAAGGAGAAAAAAGAAATCTGCTGTGATGCTTGGACCATAAAGTGCTGGGCAGAGGAGGTTCAGAGATGAAGCTGGAAAGTTATATAGGGGCCAGGACACAGATGGCCTTGTAAGTCATGATAAGAGTTTGGGGCATTGCCCTGAAAACAGCAAGAAGGTATCAGTGGCTCTTTTTTTTTCTCTTTTCTTTTGTTTATTTCTTTTTTTTTTCATATCAATGGGTTTTAAATCAAGCTGTGACTTTAGAACTATTCTTTACAGAGATAACTCTGATTATAATGGAGATGGGAATTTAAAGCCAGGAAAAAGTGGATACAGAGAGATCACTTCGAAGGCTGTAGTTTTCATTCATTACAGAGCTGTGTCTCTTAAATTAGAAGATTCCCTGAGTGAGTTTATGTTGTTATCTTTTCATTTATATCTTCCTCATATGCTCATACAGCTTTGCCATTAGACCTGGGACAGAAAAACTCTTGTGCTAGGCCCTGTGCTTTAGAGAGCTCCAAGCATCATAAACACAGGATAAATCAATGTATTACAGAAGATTTGGGTATCTCTGTCACTTGTTTTTAGCACTAGCTGAACATAAATGGTAAACCTATCATTGTCTATGGGGAGCAACGATGTTTAGGCTTCAGGAAAACACTTTTCTTCTCCATCTCTGGCTAAAAGGCGAGTGTGTCCAATTGGGGTAAAATTCTGTGGGTCATACCGGTGTTAGACAGCAACACTACTTTAGAGGTGGGGAGAAGTAAACCAGTGGAAACTCTTGGGTAAAAGAAATGACAAATCAATGATAATATCCTTTTTGTCAGTGTGAATGTAATAAATTCTCTTTCTTTGTAGAGATGGTGTCTCTCTATGTTGCACAGGCTAGACGCTAACTCCTGGGCCCAAGTGATTCTCCTGCCTCAGCCTGCCAAGTGGGCCATGCTGGCCTGAATGTAATAGATTCTTGCATAAGGAGATGTTGTTTCTCAATAATGTCAAAAATTTGTACTATTGTTTATCTTCATGTTCCAATTCTTTGTTCCACCAATGGTCGTAAAAGAGCATGACATTCCCAACAGCTGTACTTGGCAACTGAGGATTTATTTTTTGCAATTGTAAACATTTTATATTACCCTTAAATTTGTGTATCTGTAGGCCTAGACATAGCACATGTGAAGTATAACATTACTGTAAAGATCTATGTAGTGATGATGGCATTATAATATAAGCCACAATGATAAAATTAAAATATTTTGTATTATATTTTATAATAATAGTTTATCACATGCCATTTCATTATAATATTTGAAGAGGATGTATACATTTCCAAATGTAAGTATTATCTGAAGAACATTTTATTAACATGATAATTGATAGTGCATCTATAAAGCACAGTTCCTTTAAATTTAAGTTAATAAGTGTCATGAAACTAAAATGACTCAAGAAATGTTGTGTAATTTGCACTATGAGTAAAACACAAATTAAGTACAAATCTTGATTGTAAGAACATAATTAGCAATTTTGCTGAAAGAAAGGCAATAAAAAATTTAAAAACAACTGTTATGTAATAAAAATATAGTTTTTATGAATTACGTATGTTTTGTTAAATATTAATAATAATGCATATTATTATGTGTGAATCACTGTTATGGAATAAAAATATAGTTTTTTATGAATTATGTATGTTTTGTTAAATATTAATAATAATGCATATTATTATGTGTGAATCATTGTTTTTATTTTATTACTCATCTAAATATTGCCGGTTCATTGCCAGAACATTCCAGAATGTACAATAATAATTAAATTAAATTGAGTCATCTTTGGTATTTCGGTCACACCAAAACAGTAGGTACTCATATTTTTTCTTTTTGGCCTTAGGAAGGAAGGATTGAACCTTTTTAATCTAACTATGTGTTATCTTGATTTTAACTTTTAAACAGTTAGCCTGTGGGCCTCCACAGGCACTCCTGCCTCCGGCCCTGTAAATGTCAAGGTGTGCCTTCCTCAACATGCATGTTCTTTAGAGTTAGTCTTCGGTAACCCTCTTTCTAAAAACTCCCTCTTCAAATGACTTTCTTCTTGTTTTTGCCTCCAGCTCTCACTCTTGTGTAATGATTTGCACATTGCTATTACCCAGTTTCCCATCCTGCATCCACCAATTATTTTGGGCATTATATCAGTCTCCCAGTTGAAGATCGTCTGTCTCGGGACAGCACAGCCCTTGGATTATGTATTCTTTTCTCTAGCCCTCCACAGTACTTAGCACTCTACTTTTCACTTATGATTAATTTGGAGATGAAGGACAGATGGAGAGTCCATGAAAGATTTCAGACAAAATTGCATGGAAATTTGGATGACAAAAGACGAATATAGAAATTAGGGAAAGATGGTTGTTGCTGCCAGTACATATCCTGCAACTGTTAGGATCCAAGAGCCTCAGAGTCAGAAGAGACATTGAACATTATTCAGTCCAGCTCTAATTTACAGATGAGAAAGTGGTGGCCCAGGGAGGGGAAGTGACTTCTACAGAGCCACATAGCTACTAAGTGGCAGTCTAGGACTCCAACCCCGATTTCCTGAAGCCCAGATGCCCCCTTCAGAACTGAGGTGAGGGGTGGAGTATTGGCTACTGGTGGCTCACAGCCCAGTCCTTCGCTGGACCTTGCTCTTGACTGAAAGGAGCAATCCCTGGAGCCGCCCTTCCCAGGGTTACCCGGACCCCGGGGGACAGCCTGCCCAGGGTTATCCGGACCCTGGGGGACAGCCTGCATCCAATGCTTGGTTAGCAGAAGGGCACAAAGGCTTGCTCTTTGCCCATGTTCACACATCCCTGAAAACTCGTCCCAACTGCAGAGTGCCCTGCTGGACCGGCTGGAGCCTCTGATGCTACTATTTCACTGTTCAACTTCTCTTTGTTCAATTCTGCTCCCCTCACTCTTATTGAACACAAATGTCCATCTGATAGCCTGTTTCATGGAGAACCTGGCCAGAGAGATAATCTAACCAGGCTCTCTCTTTTGGAAAAAGAGGCTGACAGACAGATGGAGTCTCTGATCCATAAGCACTCTGGTTCTGATTGAAAAAAACAAAAGGGATGCCTTTGCTTCTAGCCACCTCCCCTTCCTCCTTTCCCCTAGTACTCCTCCCACTGCTCAGCCCATTTGAGGAGTCACCTACATGTCCCGACAATTGCTGGGGATTTTCTGACTCCAGTCAGCTGAGGCTTACTTTTCAGTCTCCCTCTGGAGCCTTCCTCAAAAAATGTTTTCTATTTGTAAAATCCCTCTTGGCAAGAATGGGTCAGAGCAGGTTTATCTAATACTGCTTCCCATCATGCATAATGCCTTCGAATCCAACCTGCCTTCCTGGGCTGGGTTGCCTCCTTCTAGCTGTCTTCCATATCTTGTAAGCTAGCTGAGTCCATATAGTTTGAAAACAAGAACAGAAAGAAGAGGATGCTATTCTTCACCTTAACCCAGGGCACTCCTACCAAACCTCTCCTAGCAGCCTGCTCCCCAGGCACCTGTACCACAGTCTTCCTGGGGCAGGAAAAAATACAAACATACATTGGGCTTATGATGGCTGGGCCAGATTCCGGGAGCCATAAAACCAAAGGTGGGCTCTTTATGTAGTGCCAACCAAATAGCTTCATCCCCCTCCTTGGAATTGTAGTAAATGGCTGTCTTTCTCTAGGAAGCCTTCCTTCATCAACTCTACCCATTGTGCAAGCTATCGACACAGTTCTTGGCTTGGTACCATCACTCTATTCTCTCCTCTTCTTAAACCCCTCTCCCCATCTAAGCATATAGTATGGTGATTAATCATGGCCAATCGGCCATTATGTGTATATTTGGATAGACCTAGAAGTACTCTAAACTAATTTACAAACTGACAGGATGGGCTTTTTAAAGCTGCGTGTTCGCACCCTCACTGCACCTCTGGCTACTCCATTCATTGGAAAGCCCTCCTCAGTTCTTACCCTCGCTCTTCCTTTCATATGCCCCCTATGCTATCCGGAAAGCTGTCTGTCTTCCCAACTAGTCTGGATGCTCCTTGGAGGGCAGGAACCACGCTGATCATCTTCGTATCTAATCTCTGCTTCTCCCCATCCCACTGCTTCTGATTTGCACCTGTCAAGTGCTCATTAAATACACCTTAAGTAAAACTACTTAATGCACGATTAAGAGGCACAAATTAAAGCTTGTAATTCCCAAGAAATATCTCTCACTCATCAGCGCCACGAAGCGTTCCATGTCTCCCATTAAGTGGCACTGCTCTGTGCATAATGGGTGTGGAAGGAATGTGGCTTCCGTGGGTGGCAGAAGGAATGTGGCTACCAGTCTGCAGTGCCAGCTCCCTCATGTGTGATCAGGGGGACCTTAGGCACTTCTCTTTCATGGACTTCAGTTTCCTCATCCATAAAGACTTGGTGCTGTCAGATGCCACCTCAAATACTCCTTCTTATGACTCTTTATGATCTTCTAGGTTCCCAGATGAATTAATTAAAATCATTGGCACCAACCCCACCCAGCCTAGTGGTGCCCGTGTAAATCTCTTTACTGAGCCTGAACCCAAATATAAGGCGATCTCTCACACAAGAGCAACTTGACCTTAGTGCAAAATGCTAATCCTTTCAGATGCTGAAGACAACTCATGATAGGAAATGAGCTTTTGATTGCAGCTTTCCGCTCAAGCTTTCTGTATGGATATTCGCGTATCCAACCCAGCCCTCATCTTCCTTGGATTTTACTAGGAGGTGGGAGTGATGTGGGGAGGAACAGGTAAGGCTGTACATATTTATAAATGTCTTTGTTGGGATTCTAGCTTGCACAAGTGTGTGCCACTTTCTGCCACCCTAATTTGTGAAGTTCTTGTTCAAAGTGGTTACTGTTTATTACTTTGGAATCCCACCTTGTACCCTGACTCCAAATCAACATTACAGTTTTGTCAAAAAGCTTTGCATTGGAAGAAATAAAGTGTCTTACCTGAGATCACAGAGAGAGAGAAAGAGGAAGTGGCCTGTAAGGACACAGGAGTGCAATTATAAACAACAATATATCTGAAAAATAGAGAAGATTGATTTAGTTCCACTTATTATAAGGGTATGGAGGAGAGTGCAGCAAAGCACAGCTTTTTCAGATCCAAACACTAATTTGCATTGGACCTGCACATATTTGACATGGTGGTCTTTACTAAGATGAATTGAAAATGAAGTTAAATCATTAGTTAGAACCATCTTTGGTATTTTTCTGTCAATTACAGATGTTCTTTGTATTAGTTTGTTCAGGTTGCCACAACAATATGCCACAGACTGGGTGGCATCAACAACAGAAATGTATTTTCTCATGGTTCTAGAGGCTAGAAGCCTAACATTAAGTGGTGGCAGGGTTATGTGGGGGTCGGTCCCTCTCGGCTTACAGAAGCCACCTTCTCTATGTCCTCACGTGGCCTTTTCTCAGTGCGTGTGCACTCCTGGTGTCTCCTCGTCCTATAAAGATACCTGTCCTGTTAGATTAGGGCTCCACCCTACGACCTAATTTAACCTGAATTACCTCCTTAAAGGCTCTATCTTCAAATGCATGCACATTAGCAACTAGGACTTCAACCTCTGAATTTTGGGGACATTATTTAGTCTATCATAGTCTTCAAACCCAGTTTTTGTAATGAAAAACATGGAAATAAGAGGGCTAGTTTTAAAACCAAGCTGGAGTCAACTCACCGTTACTTATTCTAGAAACAGGATGCTGAAAGGATTCAATTTAGTCATGAACCAGGAGGCCACCTGTGTTCAGCCTTAGAAAGTATTTTTATTTTTCTCTCATTTTGCATTAGGTTGAATTTGAAAATTAACTTTCTGGTCTGGTTTCCCAAGCCCATCTTAATTTTCCCTCTTTTCTAAATAGTCTTGTTCCCCACTGCCCCACATATCCGCCCTCTTTTAACCTGGCTGATTTACTTTCTGCCCCACAATCTAAACCATGCATGGTAATTAAAAAGCACATTTTTCTTATATTGATTCAATCAAAGCCTAGACCAAAATAATACTCCTACTCACCAAAAACACTGTTTAACTACCAAAACACTTTTTGTAAAGTATACTAATCTTTACTGACTTCTTTTCAAATAGTCTAAAGTAAAATCCTATTCACTCCCAAAACAAAAATTTAAACAATGTAGTTTTCACACCAGTCTTTTAAGACTTTAGGGGACAGGAGCCAAGATGGCCGAATAGGAACAGCTCCGGTCTACAGCTCCCAGCATGAGCGACACAGAAGACGGGTGATTTCTGCATTTCCATCTGAGGTACCGGGTTCATCTCACTAGGGAGTGCCAGACAGTGGGCGCAGGTCAGTGGGTGCGCGAGCCGAAGCAGGGCGAGGCATTGCCTCACTTGGGAAGCGCAAGCGGTCAGGGAGTTCCCTTTCCGAGTCAAAGAAAGGGGTGACGGACGCACCTGGAAAGTCGGGTCACTCCCACCCGAATACTGCGCTTTTCTGACGGGCTTAAAAAATGGCGCACCAGGAGATTACATCCCGCACCTGGCTCGGAGGGTCCTATGCCCACGGAGTCTCGCTGATTGCTAGCACAGCAGTCTGAGATCCAACTGCAAGGCGGCAGCGAGGCTGGGGGAGGGGCGCCCGCCATTGCCCGGGCTTGATTAGGTAAACAAAGCAGCCCGGAAGCTCCAACTGGGCGGAGCCCACCACAGCTCAAGGAGGCCTGCCTGCCTCTGTAGGCTCCACCTCTGGGGGCAGGGCACAGACAAACAAAAAGACAGCAGTAACCTCTGCAGACTTAAATGTCCCTGTCTGACAGCTTTGAAGAGAGCACTGGTTCTCCCAGCACGCAGCTGGAGATCTGAGAACGGGCAGACTGCCTCCTCAAGTGGGTCCCTGACCCCTGACCCCCGAGCAGCCTAACTGGGAGGCACCCCCCAGCAGGGGCACACTGACACCTCACACGGCAGGGTATTCCAACAGACCTGCAGCTGAGGGTCCTGTCTGTTAGAAGGAAAACTAACAAACAGAAAGGACATCCACACCAAAAACCCATCTGTACATAACCATCATCAAAGACCAAAAGTAGATAAAACCACAAAGATGGGGAAAAAACAGAACAGAAAAACTGGAAACTCTAAAAAGCAGAGCGCCTCTCCTCCTCCAAAGGAACGCAGTTCCTCACCAGCAACGGAACAAAGCTGGATGGAGAATGACTTTGACGAGCAGAGAGAAGAAGGCTTCAGACGATCAAATTACTCTGAGCTACGGGAGGACATTCAAACCAAAGGCAAAGAAGTTGAAAACTTTGAAAAAAATTTAGAAGAATGTATAACTAGAATAACCAATACAGAGAAGTGCTTAAAGGAGCTGATGGAGCTGAAAACCAAGGCTCGAGAACTACGTGAAGAATGCAGAAGCCTCAGGAGCTGATGCAGTCAACTGGAAGAAAGGGTATCAGCGATGGAAGATGAAATGAATGAAATTAAGCGAGAAGGGAAGTTTAGAGAAAAAAGAATAAAAAGAAATGAGCAAAGCCTCCAAGAAATGTGGGACTATGTGAAAAGACCAAATCTACGTCTGATTGGTGTACCTGAAAGTGATGGGGAGAATGGAACCAAGTTGGAAAACACTCTGCAGGATATTATCCAGGAGAACTTCCCCAATCTAGCAAGGCAGGCCAACGTTCAGATTCAGGAAATACAGAGAACGCCACAAAGATACTCCTCGAGGAGAGCAACTCCAAGACACATAATTGTCAGATTCACCAAAGTTGAAATGAAGGAAAAAATGTTAAGGGCAGCCAGAGAGAAAGGTCGGTTTACCCACAAAGGGAAGCCCATCAGACTAACAGCGGATCTCTCGGCAGAAACCCTACAAGCTAGAAGAGAGTGGGGGCCAATATTCAACATTCTTAAAGACAAGAATTTTCAACCCAGAATTTCATATCCAGCCAAACTAAGCTTCATAAGCGAAGGAGAAATAAAATACTTTACAGACAAGCAAATGCTGAGAGATTTTGTCACCACCAGGCCTGCCCTAAAAGAGCTCCTGAAGGAAGCGCTAAACATGGAAAGGAACAACCGGTACCAGCCGCTGCAAAATCAGCCAAAATGTAAAGACCATCAAGACTAGGAAGAAACTGCATCAACTAACGAGCAAAATAACCAGCTAACATCATAATGACAGGATCAAATTCACACATAATAACAATATTAACTTTAAATGTAAATGGACTAAATGCTCCAATTAAAAGACACAGACTGGCAAATTGGATAAAGAGTCAAGACCCATCAGTGTGCTGTATTCAGGAAACCCATCTCACGTGCAGAGACACACATAGGCTCAAAATAAAAGGATGGAGGAAGATCTACCAAGCAAATGGAAAACAAAAAAAGGCAGGGGTTGCAATCCCAGTCTCTGATAAAACAGACTTTAAACCAACAAAGATCAAAAGAGACAAAGAAGGCCATTACATAATGGTAAAGGGATCAATTCAACAAGAAGAGCTAACTATCCTAAATATATATGCACCCAATACAGGAGCACCAAGATTCATAAAGCAAGTCCTGAGTGACCTACAAAGAGACTTAGACTCCCACACATTAATAATGGGAGACTTTAACACCCCACTGTCAACATTAGACAGATCAACGAGACAGAAAGTCAACAAGGATACCCAGGAATTGAACTCAGCTCTGCACCAAGTGGACCTAATAGACATCTACAGAACTTTCTACCCCAAATCAACAGAATATACATTTTTTTCAGCACCACACCTATTCCAAAATTGACCACATACTTGGAAGTAAAGCTCTCCTCAACAAATGTAAAAGAACAGAAATTATAACAAACTATCTCTCAGACCACAGTGCTATCAAACTAGAACTCAGGATTAAGAATCTCACTCAAAACCGCTCAACTACATGGAAACTGAACAACCTGCTCCTGAATGACTACTGGGTACATAACGAAATGAAGGCAGAAATAAAGATGTTCTTTGAAACCAATGAGAACAAAGACACAACATACCAGAATCTCTGGGATGCATTCAAAGCAGTGTGTAGAGGGAAATTTATAGCACTAAATGCCCACAAGAGAAAGCAGGAAAGATCCAAAATTGACACCCTAACATCACCATTAAAAGAACTAGAAAAGCAAGAGCAAACACACTCAAAAGCTAGCAGAAGGCAAGAAATAACTAAAATCAGAGCAGAACTGAAGGAAATAGAGACACAAAAAACCCTTCAAAAAATTAATGAATCCAGGAGCTGGTTTTTTGAAAGGATCAACAAAATTGATAGAACGCTAGCAAGACTAATAAAGAAAAAAAGAGAGAAGAATCAAATAGACACAATAAAAAATGATGAAGGGGATATCACCACCGATCCCACAGAAATACAAACTACCATCAGAGAATACTACAAACACCTCTATGCAAATAAACTAGAAAATCTAGAAGAAATGGATAAATTCCTTGACACATACACTCTCCCAAGACTAAACCAGGAAGAAGTTGAATCTCTGAATAGACCAATAACAGAATCTGAAATTGTGGCAATAATCAATAGCTTACCCACCAAAAAGAGTCCAGGACCAGATGGATTCACAGCCGAATTCTACCAGAGGTACAAGGAGGAACTGGTACCATTCCTTCTGAAACTATTCCAATCAATAGAAAAGGAGGGAATCCTCCCTAACTCTTTTTATGAGGCCAGCATCATTCTGATACCAAAGCCAGGCAGAGACACAACAAAAAAAGAGAATTTTAGACCAATATCCTTGATGAACATTGATGCAAAAATCCTCAATAAAATACTGGCAAAACGAATCCAGCAGCACTTAAAAAAGCTTATCCACCATGATCAAGTGGGCTTCATCCCTGGGATGCAAGGCTGGTTCAATATACGCAAATCAATAAATGTCATCCAGCATATAAACAGAGCTAAAGACAAAAACCACATGATTATCTCAATAGATGCAGAAAAAGCCTTTGACAAAATTCAACAACCCTTCATGCTAAAAACTCTCAATAAATTAGGTATTGATGGGACGTATTTCAAAATAATAAGAGCTATCTATGACAAACCCACAGCCAATATCATACTGAATGGGCAAAAACTGGAAGCATTCCCTTTGAAAACTGTCACAAGACAGGGATGCCCTCTCTCACCACTCCTATTCAACATGGTGTTGGAAGTTCTGGCCAGGGCAATTAGGCAGGAGAAGGAAATAAAAGGTATTCAATTAGGAAAAGAGGAAGTCAAATTGTCCCTGTTTGCAGACGACATGATTGTATATCTAGAAAACGCCATCATCTCAGCCCAAAATCTCCTTAAGCTGATAAGCAACTTCAGCAAAGTCTCAGGATACAAAATCAATGTACAAAAATCACAAGCATTCTTATACACCAACAACAGACAAACAGAGAGCCAAATCATGAGTGAACTCCCATTCACAATTGCTACAAAGAGAATAAAATACCTAGGAATCCAACTTACCAGGGATGTGAAGGACCTCTTCAAGGAGAACTACAAACCACTGCTCAAGGAAATAAAAGAGGATACAAACAAATGGAAGAACATTCCATGCTCATGGGTAGGAAGAATCAATATTGTGAAAATGGCCATACTGCCCAAGGTAATTTACAGATTCAGTGCCATCCCCATCAAGCTACCAATGCCTTTCTTCACAGAATTGGAAAAAACTACTGTAAAGTTCATATGGAACCAAAAAAGAGCCCGCATCGCCAAGTCAATCCTAAGCCAAAAGAACAAAGCTGGAGGCATCACACTACCTGACTTCAAACTATACTACAAGGCTACAGTAACCAAAACAGCATGGTACTGGTACCAAAACAGAGATATAGATCAATGGAACAGAACAGAGCCCTCAGAAATAACGCAGCATATCTACAACTATCTGATCTTTGACAAACCTGAGAAAAACAAGCAATGGGGAAAGGATTCCCTATTTAATAAACGGTGCTGGGAAAACTGGCTAGCCATATGTAGAAAGCTGAAACTGGATCCCTTCCTTACACCTTATACAAAAATCAATTCAAGATGGATTAAAGACTTAAATGTTAGACCTAAAACCATAAAAACCCTAGAAGAAAACCTAGGCATTACCATTCAGGACATAGGCATGGGCAAGGACTTCATGTCTAAAACACCAAAAGCAATGGCAACAAAAGACAAAATTGACAAATGGGATCTAATTAAACTAAAGAGCTTCTGCACAGCAAAAGAAACTACCATCAGAGTAAACAGGCAACCTACAAAATGGGAGAAAATTTTCACAACCTACTCATCTGACAAAGGGCTAATATCCAGAATCTACAATGAACTCAAACAAATTTACAAGAAAAAAACAAACAACCCCATCAAAAAGTGGGCAAAGGACATGAACAGACACTTCTCAAAAGAAGACATTTATGCAGCCAAAAAACACATGAAAAAATGCTCACCATCACTGGCCATCAGAGTAATGCAAATCAAAACCACAATGAGATACCATCTCACACCAGTTAGAATGGCAATCATTAAAAAGTCAGGAAACAAGAGGTGCTGGAGAGGATGTGGAGAAATAGGAACACTTTTACACTGTTGGTGGGACTGTAAACTAGTTCAACCATTGTGGAAGTCAGTGTGGCGATTCCTCAGGGATCTAGAACTGGAAATACCATTTGACCCAGCCATCCCATTACTGGGTATATACCCAAAGGACTATAAATCATGCTGCTATAAAGACACATGCACACGTATGTTTATTGCGGCATTATTCACAATAGCAAAGACTTGGAACCAACCCAAATGTCCAACAATGATAGACTGGATTAAGAAAATGTGGCACATATACACCATGGAATACTATGCAGCCATAAAAAATGATGAGTTCATGTCATTTGTAGGGACATGGATGAAAGTGGAAATCATCATTCTCAGTAAACTATCGCAAGAACAAAAAACCAAACACCGCATATTCTCACTCATAGGTGGGAATTGAACAATGAGATCACATGGACACAGGAAGGGGAATATCACACTCTGCGGACTGTGGTGGGGTTGGGGGAACGGGGAGGGATAGCATTGGGAGATATACCTAATGCTAGATGATGAGTTAGTGGGTGCAGCGCACCAGCATGGCACATGTATACATATGTAACTAACCTGCACATTGTGCATGTGTACCCTAAAACTTAAAGTATAATAATAATAAAAAAAAGACTTTATAGCTGCCTCCAAAGACACATAGACTCTATTTCCAGCCTCCTGAAAATTCTGTCCCTGCATCAGCCTATTCAGGTTCTGCCCAGTCTCTCTCCCACTTCTTTTTCTCCAGCCTCTCATTCTCTCTTCTCTGATTTATTTAAGTCGTCTTTTATCTTTCTACCTTCCAGACTCTTTCCACATTAGCAATCCCTTCAAATTTCCCCCACCCAGTGCATGTAAATTCCGAAAGTCATCTAGGAGGGTGAAGTGCTTCTTTAGTGGGGAAGTCTGGGAGAGGGTGGGGATGAGGAAGGGGGCACTGGCAGGTGAGTATGTGAGGAGCCATGCACTAATATGCTTTGCAAACTCCATGTTACTCACGTTCATGCCTGCCTGTAAGTTATTGCTTGTGCTAGGACCCGGATTAAATGTTTTCCCATTATGTTACTAATTGATTGAACCTAATGATCTTAAAAAAAAAAAAAGCAACAAAAACATCTTGGCCATTTCGAGCCCTTTCTCTGAAATTTTGCTGAAACATGTAGTGGTCAGTTGGATGCTTTCATATTGTTTATTGCTATTTGTGTTAGAGATCTTGTATCCTTCACTAAACTTAAATGTTTTCATAGCAGGACCCAGTGCTAGTAAGATCTCTGTGATCTCTTCTGATTCTAGCATGTCATTCAATGAAGATTTATTGATTGATTATGTCTTGCCAAAGGTCCTATGTGTTTATTTCTAAAGCATAAACAAATTGATAATAGGATAGGTGACACAGAAGCATCTTCAGGAGTAAGAGACCAGACTGATATCAACATCTTCCTCAACAAAATATATTAATGGATGGTTGAGAGTCGTTGTAACTGAAGTCCATGTGGTCCTGAGAGTACAGCAGAAGATTGGTCTCCAGTCTCTCTCTGTCCCTATAGATTAGTTACTGTGATTATATCTGATTGTATTTAATTAGTTTAATAAAATAGGCAGGAAACGTGGGCTTTGAAAAATACATAGAAATTCAACAGGCAAAAAGAGGGAGAGTGTACTTCACAAACTAAGTTGTCTAGCATAGCTGGAGGGCAAGGTATGGACTGGAAGTAGGAAAGCAGGGGCCAGTCAGCATGGAAAGGTAGCAAGGCCAGGAGGACTAGAACCCTGACTTTCTCTCCAGCCCTCCCCACTTGACACCTGGGAAGGGGCAGACCTGGAAGAACCACCTGAGAAGCCCCTGGAGCGGCACTTGTGGATCTTTGACAGGAGGTGAGTGTTGCTCTTATGGCCGGGTCAAATTCTCTCTTCTCCTGCCATATAGAAGACAGTTAAGCAGATATTATAGGTGAAATTCTGTCCAATAAAGCCACAGCTCTGACTGGTTGGCTTCATGGACTCTTTTTGGAGAAATTCTAAAAAAGGCCTTTAGAATTCCACATCAGCGCTGTGGGTTAATTTTGGAAATCCTAGGAGTACAGCTGTGAAGAAAGAACTTAAAACCCTGCCTTTATGTGGCTACAAATCTATAGAGAAGAAACAGATCACAGACAAAATACACACATAAGACACCGTATATGTTGAGTTAGATGGTGGAAAATGCTATGGAGAAAAACAGAGCAGGGATGGGAAATTGGGAGTACTGGGGTGAGAGTCAAACTACAACTGCTGTGAAAGTGATCAGGATAGGAGACACTGAGAAAGGCATCTGAGCAAAGACTTTAATGTTCCTTTTTAGGGGAATATATAGGTTATTTCCAACTCTTTACTATTAAAGTTTTGGGTGCGTGTCTTTTTGTATGTCTGTTTGAGAGTCTCTGTGGGGTTTATATCCAGAGTAAAATTACTGGGCATTGAGTACCTGGAAACTTGACCAAATACTGTACATTTTGTATCAAAAATAGCTGCACTGGCTTACCCTCCTACCTGCAGAGGTGTGAGAGCTTCTATTTTTTTAGTACTTGCTATTATCTCAATACTTGATTTATTTTCTTATTTTTGCCAATTTTGAAGATGTAAACAGATATCTCAAATTATTGTTTGATTTCATGTTTTCCTAATTAGTAATAAAGTTGTGTTATTTTGTCAGCTTTTACCCTCTATAAATCGCCCATATATTTTCTTGACTTATTTTTCACTTCGGTTTTCTATCTGTTTCTTGAATACCTTTCCTTATATTCTAGATTACAATCAGTTATGTGTTTTGCAATACACTTCCTTGCCTGGTAACGGTTAAATTAGTGTAGAGGGCTTTGCACAACAAAATATTTCATTTTCGTGTGGTCAGATCCAAAAGGGTTTTTCTCCTTTATGCTATATTCTTTTGCATTTTGCTTAAAAAGCTTTTATCCAATACAAGAACACAGAGATAGTTTCCCAATTTTCTTCTAATAGTTTCATAGTTTTGCTTTGCTATTGATTTGTGAGCTCTCTTCCATGATAAACCAGGCTCCTTTATATATATGAGCTGTGCTTCTGAATCCTCTGTTCTGTTTAATGGATATATCTGTGATCTTATACTAGTGTTGTGCTGGTTTTAATTGGTCTTTGTAACATGTTGTACTATCTGATAGCTAAAAAGAGCATCCTATTTTTGTTCTTCTTTTTCAAAATACATGATCTTTTCAAAGACCTTTATTGTTCTACATAAATTTTAGTGTTACTTTATCTGATTCAGCCAGGATTTACATTAAAATGGTCTAAACTTTATATATTACTGTGGGAAGAATTGGAATTATTACGTGTTTTCTCATTCATGAATGCAGTGCAGTTCTCTAGGTATTCTCTTATATCTGATCAGTTATTTTGTCATTTCTCTCCACATAGGTCATGTGTATTTTTAAAATTAATTTTTAGTTGATTTAAAATTATTAATTCCTATTTTCAATGATATTTGCATTTTCAGATTGTGAGTTTATTATCTTGAAAATGCTATTTTCTAAGACATTTTCTGGTTGGTTATTGCTGTTATAGTAGTTTGTTGATTTTGTTGGGCTATGTGAATTATCATTTTATCTATTATGATTTTTCTCTTTCCTTCCGATTCTTATGTCTCATTTCCTTTTCTTGTCACTCATCCATTGATCAGGACTGCTAGTACTCTGCTGAATGAACAATTGCAATAATAAACACGTCTTTATCATCTTCTTGTCTGTAAAGGGAATGCCTCTAAAACGTCTCTAACAAGTAAAAAGAACAAATCCAAAACACTTATAAGAAATTTTAGAAATGTAATCTTAAAAAAGAAAGAAAAATGTTTAGGCGATGAACAATGAGTTGAAGTTGTGGGTAGATTCCATGGCTTGTAGGAAGCTATGGGCCTGCTCTCCTATTGTTGGAAAGGATGTTGACAAGAGTTAAAGAGGAGACATTTATGCAGCCAACAGTCCCATGAAAAAATGCTCATCATCACTGGCCATCAGAGAAATGCAAATCAAAACCACAGTGAGATGCCATCTCACACCAGTTAGAATGGCGATCATTAAAAAGTTAGGAAACAACAGGTGCCGGAGAGGATGTGGAGAAATAGGAATGCTTTTACACTGTTGGTGGGAGTGTAAACTAGTTCAACCATTGTGGAAGACAGTGTTGTGATTCCTCAAGGATCTAGAACTAGAAATACCATTTGACTCAGCCATCCCATTACTGGGCATATACTCAAAGGATTATAAATCATGCTGCTCTAAAGACACATGCACACGTATGTTTATTGTGGCACTATTCACAATAGCAAAGACTTGGAACCAACCCAAATGTCCATCAATGATAGACTGGATCATATATGTTCCATGGTGGCACATATACACCATGGAATACTATGCAGCCATAAAAAGGATGAGTTCATGTCCTTTGTAGGTACATGGATGAAGCTGGAAACCATCATTCTCAGCAAACTATCGCAAGGACAGAAAACCAAACACCGCATGTTCTCACTCACAGGTGGGAACTGAACAATGAGAACACTTGGACACAGGGTGGGGAACATCACACACCGGGGCCTGTTGTGGGGTGGGGAGAGGGAGGAGGGATAGCATTAGGAGATATACCTAATGCAAATGACGAGTTAACGAGTGCCACACACCAACACGGCACATGTATACATATGCAACAAACCTGCACGTTGTGCACATGTACCCTAGAACTTAAAGTATAAAATAACATAAAATAAAATAAAACCTCAAGGAAAAAAAAAAGAGTTAAAGAGGAGCCATGAACATACCAGGATTTTATAGTTTCTCTTGGTGATTATATCAGAAATATCAAAAGAGAATCCAATAGGCAGTTTGCTGACAATGAGAGTCAAGGTTAATTCAGTGCTACGTCTGTATGTTATTTAAAATCTTCTGTGCCCCACATTTTGGGAATATTTCTAGAAAATGGGTACTTTTAAGAGTACCTTGAGCAAATAAGTGACATAATCAAAGTGATAAAATGATTGCGCTGGATTATTTCTCTTTCTGGCTCCAAGTGCTGGAGGTCACTAAGTCTTGTGGACTCCTGAAGACTATTCAATTCCATCCCATCATCTCTGTCCTTGTGGCCCCATTATCCCCAACCAAGACTATGGGACAAGCCTCCTGACTTCCCTGGCTCCCTGCTTTCTCTTTTAGTGTGGTCTCCACCCTGTTGCCACAGTAATGGGCTGAAGAGCAATCTGATGCATCCCGGCCCATACTGTGACTCACTCTGGAATATCACATCTGCATAATGGAAGCACCAGCCCCTTAGACGCAGGCCTGCTGCTGAGAGAACAGTGTCGCTGGAGTTAAGTTAGCCCCCTCTCCTGCATGTCATGAGTACTTCCTCATCGCCATAACCGTTCTTGCTGCCTTTGGATCCTGACTTTACCTTTTCTCTAGACTTGATCTCAGGCATCTGCTGTAGGGTCCCTGGCACCTTCAGGTGTGACCTGTTCACCAACCTCACTTTGACACTTGGTCCACTTACTCCATAATAGGATTTGGTGTTCACCTTCATCTGCCTCTTGCTGCTTTTCAGACTGGACCATGATCTACTCCTGGTCTTCTTTTCATCCATGGCTAAACTACCGTAGCATTCTCTGCTGGTAAGCCTCTTGAACTCTCCATTGCATATAAGAAAAAGCCATTATTCCTCAATGTGACATATAAGGCCACGGTCTACCTCACCAGCATCTCCCCAGCCATGGACAGTATGCCTTGGACACCTCATCAGCTGCCATTCCTCTTGGAAGCCATGCACCCTCATGCCCCTTTGTCTGTCCTTGCTATTCCCTTTCTGTTGAGTGCAACTTTCTTCCTCTTTCTTTATTTTTTAAGCCCCTATGTATCTCCTTAAAGAACCAGTTTAAAAATCAGCTCTTCTGAAACTTCCCCCACGTGACCTGGGTAGTTACTAATTCCTTCCTTTATGCTCTTAACAGCTGGGTGTTTACATTTGTATCATTGTCTCACATTACTTTTTGATCATAATTGGTTTTCAAGTGTGTCTGTTCAACTAGTACGTGTACGTCTTAATTTTTATTTTCCAAGAAATCATTTTAGTGACAGGGACTTAATACATGCTGAAAAGAGTTTGTATAACACAAGCGATATTTAGGAAGATTGATTTGGTGGTCATATGCAGGATGGCTCATGATGAAAGACTGGATAGAGAGTCCCCAGAGGCAATTGCTATGCCCTGACCATGATCTAGGTAGGGCTGGAGCTGGGGCAAGGATAGAAACCATGGATGTCAGATCCAGGGGTAGAAAGACTAAAGAGGACGGTGGATAGGAACAGTGAGAGAAGAGAAGCACTTAAAATGTCTCTGGAATGTTGAGCATAGGTGCCTAGGGGAATGGCGGTCTAGCAACAAAAGCAGGGAAAGGAGAGGAAGTGACCTGGAAGGAAAGTCATATTGAGTTTGAAGTCATCCAGGATATACAATGGCAAAGTCCCACAGGACTGAAAAGTGAGGCTCCTGTACTGGGAATGTGGATTTCACACCAACTAGGGAAATGCAGTAGTTGACACTGGTGAGAGACAGGAGGTGTTACTATGCAAGAGAGTACAGAGAAATGAAAAAACAGATTCTCTGGAAAATTGCTCTGCTGGGGGAGCAAAAGGAAGAAAATACGGACACAGAGAATGCGGGGGAGAAAGGGCGAGAAAGTAGGCAAGAACTAGGAGAGTGTCTTGCTGTAGAAGCCAAGAGGGATGAATGGCAAAGAGTAAAAGGTCAACAGTATCAAATTCTGTGTAGAAAATGGGGCTGGAAAAAGGTTGCTGGACTTGGCCATGGAGGGCCTTGGTGACCTTCAAGAGAGCCCTTTCTGGGCAGAGGAGTGGGGTGGGGCACTGCCGGATGTGAGGGAGAGAGTGGGCGGGAGGAAGCGGAGGTGGCAGGTGCCACCCGTTCTCCAGGGAATTTGGCAGGGTGAGGAGGGAGGGGGCTGGTGGGGCTGTGATCCCAGTGCACAGGAGGAGGCTGGCCCTCCCCTCACTACACATCCAAACCCTTGCCAAGCCAGGTCAAGTCTAGCTGCAGATGACATCTCATTGTCTCTTTTCTATTCCAGCGGCCATCACCTCTTGCCTTGACTCCAGAGCAACCGCAGGGTTTTTCTCTTCCATATCTCTTCACTCTATTGCTTCCTTCATGCTGGGAAAAAAGTCTTCTCCAAGCACTTTTCTGATCCTCGCTTCCATGGTCAGAGACAAAATTAAGCCCAAAGACTCCCCCAACAACACAAGATTCTCCATGCATGGGTCCCCATCTTAGGCTTCAATTCCACTGGGCCGTCCCCTGCCTGGGCATGTCCCTCGCTTCCCATCCCTTCCTGCTCTACCTGCCCTTCCCCTGGGGGAGCCATGCAGCTCCTTGCCTTGATTTCTTGTTGAACCACCCTCCAAAGTCACTCTCTTCTTGTTTGCTTGTTTCATGTTTCCTTTTTTTCTCTTCCTGTGCCTGAAACTGAACTTCAAGAGTTGATTTCTGTCACAAGACATAATGCTTTATCTCTTTTTTAGAATAGGCATTTCCATTTTGTGTTGGGGCATGCTACAGGAAAGGCTGCATCTTTTAGGCAGTGGGTGAGCCCATATTTGTCCTACATGCAAGCCAGAGCTCCCCCAAGACCATGTGTAAATGCCCTCTCCACCATGCAGACCTCCTGGATTTCCAACTTCTTGTTGCTTTAAAACACTTCATAACGTTTTGTTTATAACCATTAAACAGGACTTATTATATTCTCTGTCTCTTTCTCTCTACATATAAAATACACATACACATATAGTGTTTATATCCACAAACACCTGCTGCACACATGTACACACACACACACACACAGCCTTCCTATTGCTCTACGAGCTATTTGAGGGCGGGCTTGTGCCTTACCTATTTTGCATTCTTGTAAACTTACTACAAGTCTATATCCTAAGCACTTAAACTTGAAGTGAATTGCAAAAAACAAGTCCAACCCCAGACTCAGCTGAGAGGGTGTAGACAAGGGCAGGCTCGTGGAAAGATGGAGTTTTCCACTGCCCAGACAGAACGGCTCCACAGTGGGTGGCGGGCCCTCCTCCTCCCCTGAAATCAGACAGACACCCTATTGTCAGTGCCCTCTAGCTCGGCTGGGGGCTGAGGGCGGCTGTCAGTGCCACACAGGTTGGCACCTGGTGATATTTAATTCAGCACCTTATCGCAGGTAGACCGCCTGGTATTGTTCTTTAATTGTTTAATGTGTGGCTGTCTTTTCACTCTAACAAGATTCAACAACAAACATTAACCTTGTCTCTACTCATTGTGTGCCAGGTGCTTCCACATAGTTATATTTAAAACTCACAAAGCCCTGTATGGTGGGCTTTACTAGTGTTACTGTAGTTTTTCAGATGAGCAATTGAGTTTCAGAGTCTGGCGGAAGTTCATGTAACTGATACAGGACAAAGCCAGAATTTGGATGAGCAGAGCCCATTTGCACTTAGTTACAGGTTTTTTTGAGGGCAGGGCAGGGCTTGACCCTCTTCCACCTTCCTGGGGCAGCCCTTCATCCCCACAGGGGCCAGGCTCAGCCCATAGCTTATGACGCACCCTTGGAATTAAGTTGAAGGTGAACGTACCTTCCTTGCTGCTGTGCGCAGAGGATGGAAGCCACCATTCTCTGATTCCTGCTGGTGCTTGGTGCTCAGCTAAGCTCCTACAGTCCAAACAAGCAGCCCCTGCAGGTGGGAGAGCAGAGCTATAAATATGTGCTGCATTGTTCTCCTCATCAGTGCCAAACAACATCAGTGCTCCTTCCCTAGGGAAGCTGATAAATAAATGAGAGATGCCACCAAAACAAAGCCAAGCCCTGCCTTAGGCTGTGCCTGGGAGATTTCAGCTGAATTGTTAAGAGGTGTGAATCTTTTAGCGGCCTTAATGATAGAAGGAACTGGAGACCATGACTAATCTCCACTGGCCACATAATACCCCAGGGCAGTGCCAGGGCCCGAGGGAGGGAGGTGCCCCAAATGCAAGTACCTTCAAGTAGTGTCTAGTGCCAGGACTTGGTGAACGCTGGCACTGCTCACTTCTCCTCCCTTCCCCTCTGTAGCAACACATGTCATCCTCCCAACACCTTATGGAACTGGGTCTATTTTTATTAAAAACATTTAAAAACCCTCATGTTGTAACAGAACTTTGTAATTTACAGGGAACTTCTGAGCAATCTAACAAGGCAGCTGAAAAGGGTATATATTACAAATCTCCCTTTCTAGACCAGTAAACTAAGGCTCAGAGAGAAGAAGTAAGTTGCCTAAGGGGACACACAGCAAGTAAGAGGCCCAACCTGGACCCAAATGCCTGTCTCCTGGCTCCAGGTCCAGGGCTTTTTCTGTTTTTCCATAGCTGTCTCCCTTAGCGGGACCTCCAGAACATATCGGTAAGGTGCATACTACTTGCCACAGTCCACCATGGGGATCGTGTTTGTTTCCTATCTTCTCAGGTGAATAGTGGTTGAAACTGGATAGTCTCTGAAATAAACATTACTCTTCATGTCAATTTACAGCTATGCAGAAGGGGTTTGGGAAAGGAGCTCTTGGCAGGGATTTTGATGCCTCTAGTGAGATTGCCAACAGTCTCAGTTATGTCCGAATGGCTTGGAGTAAAGGAACAGCTACTGTCCAAGCCATTCCTGAAGTTCTGGGAGCCACTTGTAAAAGAGGGAGTCCCCACAGCTTTACAGAAGTTATACTACAGAGTAAAATTTGGGACCCTCAGCAAACTTTTGATGGAATGTAAATATCCCTGCTTTGCGTGTATCAATAAAGGTAGTAAAATCAATCGTGGAATACTTTTCAGAATTGTTTTTGAGATACTGATTGGCACTTGGGCAGTGCTTAGCATGTGCGAAGGCAGGCAGCCTGGCCTGGCTCCCACCCTCTAGGGCATTACATAGGAGACTTAAGGAAAGCTCTGGTCCCCGGGATAGCATCCCTTTCCTAGAGCAAGTGCCGCGAGGTCCTGTATGTCGGTTCCTCTGACTTGCTGCCAGGTGACAATGGGAGGACTTTGGGATCCACAGCCGGGGCAGGACCTGGCCTTGGCTGGCACCTGTGTGAGCTCACCTTGCTGCCTTCACATGTTCAAGAACCTGTGTCACCCGCAGAACCTCATATTCTCCTTGGCCTTAGGCCTCCCAGACCTGGAAGTTGGCGAGAAGCCAGGGTGGGTCTGTGCCACAGGCTGGAGCAGGGCCCGAGCGGTCAATGCTGGGGACTGTGTCTAAGGCCACCTCCCTACATATTGGTAGTGCTTCGCCTTCAGCTTCTCCTCTCCCTGGGGTGGAAATAGGGCCTTCTTCACTCATTCATTCATTTGACTTACATTCATTCATTCACTCTACTTATTCTGTGAGTACTTTTGAGGTACCAGGAATTGTTGTAGATATCAGGAGTACCACAATGAATCAAACAGATAAACACCCCTCCCTGTGGGAATTATGTTCTATTGGGTAAGTCTTTGGTGGAGTATTTAGTGTCTGAATATAAGTAAGGCAACAGTAAGTTACATGATGCTGAGAGTTAAATGGTGTGGGAGATCTTGGGGCCTTTCAGAGAAGAGGATTGTAATTTTCAGTGGAAGTGGCTAGGTTAGGCCTTACAAAGAAGGTGACATTTGAGTAAACACTTGAAAGAAGTGGGGGCGTGAACCCAGCAGGTGTCTGGGGTGAGATTGTTGCATGCAGAGAGGACAGCTGGTGCCAAGGTCTGGTAAGAAGGTTGGTGTGGTGGAATAGAGCGGACAGGAGGGAACAAGGGAGATGAATGGAGGTCAGAGGTCTTGGGAGAGGCTTAGTCCTTTGGGTTGGGTGGACCATTGTCAGGACTTTGGCTTTCCTGCCAGGAAGATAAGGAATCGTTGTGGGGGCCTCCTGACCTAACTTCTGTCTGAACAGATTGCTTTGGAGGCTGCACTGGAAATAGGTGAAAGCAGGGAGGCCAGTTAGAACTTTTTCAGTACTCCAGGCCCGGGGTAATGGGAACTTTGACCAGGGAGGTGGCAGTGTGAGCAGAGAGGTATATCAGAATGGGTGTATTTTGAAGGTAGAGTCAATGACATTTCCTGTAAGAGTGGACGTGGAATGGGAGAGAAAGAATGAGGTCAAGGTGACCCCAAGGTTTTTATGCTGAGCAGTTGCAAGGATAGAACGGCCACCCCTGAGAGACGGAAGGCTGTGAATGAACGTATTAGGGGAGCAGAACCGGAGTTCCAGTTTGCACTTGAGTTTTGAGAAACCACACAGTGCAGCTCGATGACCCTGGGCAAGTCGCTTCCCCCTCAGACCCTCCATCTCTTCTTCTGCAACAAGGAGGTGATATCAGTTCTACCTGCTTCAAAGGAGTATTACGAGGGTGCAAAGCCCTAAGGAGATTAGCGAAGCATGTGGCACATAACGGGATTAAGTAAAGGGTGCCATGGCTCTTTCTCACCTCAGGACCCAGGCAGTGGCAAAGAGCAGCAGTAAACTTTTTCCAGGCTCCTAAAGGCGGAGTCTATGTGTGACTGGGCGAATGCCTCTTTTGAAGTCTTAAAGGTCAGCGCTTTGCCAGCTGCCTGCTGGAGACAAAAGGCAGCACGGTTTTCTCCATTGTTGCTTTTTGTTTCTTCCTCATCTATCTCAAACAGAGGGCCTGAGGCCAAGTGCCTGCCACTGCCGGGACAGTGGAGACTCCCTTGCTGCAGGCAGAGTTAAAACCCCTCTGCACAAAGAGTAGGGGCTTACCCCTGCCACCCTCCCAGGGGGCTCCTGGAAGGGCCGCCTCATGGAAAGAAGCCTGGCTTTGAGGTCACAGACTTGGGTTCCAGGCTTAGCACTAGTTAGTCAGGTGGCCTTGACAAAGTTGCTTACTTTCTTGGGTTTGTTTTCCTCCTCTGTTGAATAGGGTTAATCCAACACATTCTCGGGGTGGTCGGAGCTGTGCTTCATGCCCTGGGTCCATGGGTTTGAATTCTGACTTTTCATTTTCTACCTGTGTGATTATGTATAAATTACTTAAAACCTCTGTGTCTCACTTTCCACATTTCAACCCAGAGATTATAATAGTATATACCTCATATGGTGGTTGTGAGAATTAAGAGAAATAAATACAAATGTGTAACATAGAGTGAAACTTAGTAGGTTCTCAAAAAATATCAGCTATTATTCTTATATAGGGAATACCTAAAAGTGCTTCTAAATACTATTGCACTTTAAGCATATTACATGGTTTTATTATGATTGCCTTGAACTAATGAAGTTCCCAAACCTGTCCCCTGATTCTCAGATCAGAGAGTCACATGTTTTCTATGTTAGTATACAGGAGCATCTGCATCACCAAAATATTAAGTGTTTTTTGGAAGTGGAAGCTCGCATGACATATATTAATGTCAGGGAAAAAATTGCAGTTAATTTTTTCACAGAATAAAAAATACCTCCAAATTTTCTGGGTTTGTACATTGGGTTGTTGTTGTTGCATTACCGAGTTTTCTTAAGGCAAAGCCCACCATCTCTGGCCTATCTCTGTGGGCTGTGATTGCCATGGAGTTAGGCACCATTGTTGCATTACTGAGTTTTCTTAATGCAAAGCCGACCATCTCTGGCCTATCTCCGTGGGCTGTGATTGCCATGGAGTTAGGCACCATTGTTGCATTACTGAGCTTTCTTAATGCAAAGCCCACCATCTCTGGCCTATCTCCATGGGCTGTGATTGCCATGGAGTTAGGCACCACATCTCCCAGGAACTCAGGGTATGTGTGTGAGCTGATGGTTTACAAATGGCATGGGTTCAGACTGAGCATAGAAAACATGTGGGCATGTGTCACAATGAATTTTTAAAAAGACAAAAGAAATATCTGAGAAGCTCCAAGATTTGCAGTGCCGAGAACACACTCCAGCAGCAGTCAGCATGTACTGTAAAACAGTACTCGCTGGTTGCCAACTATGTGTCTTAAGGCCTGATTAATCCATGCTCCAGACAGATGTACATGGCATGCCCCACATAGAAGGCTGCCAAACACAGCAGCCCCTCTGCTTGTTCAATTTGTTCCTCAACTACTGGGTTCCTAGTTTATACCAGGCCCTGTGGTTGACCTAGCCCATAGGTGGGCTCACCGTGTGTGTCTGTTCCTGTAGGTACGTTTCTTTTCTCTCATGTAGAACTGGACTCTGCTTCCATATCCCGCTGGGGCCAATTGTTTACATTGCCTAAACCCTCCAAACCTCAATTTCCCCATGAACAGCCTCAGAGTCATACCACTCATTCCTCAGGGCGGTTAGAAGGATATGGATGAGTTTGTAAATAAGTGACAGTCATGGGAAGGTATTGCTGCCCTGACCTTGCCTATGCCCTTCTGTCTTTCTGCATCTAGGTCTCTGGTCTGCAACACAATAGTCAATAGCTTTCTGTCATCTAGAGCATAAAGAAGATTAATGAGCACCAAGAGGCCAAGGATACTCTTTGCTCCTTTTTTCAAACTCCCTATTCAGCTCTATGGCTGTTTGGGAAAAATGGATCACCAGGGACATTTAGAAAAGAGAGCAGACACCTACCACTCAACTTCTCAGTCACACTGATGGGCTCCTGTTGTGATTTATTGGATATGGCACTGGACACTGGGTCCTGACTCAGTCTATACCATTAATTTATTTAGCCTTGGGCAAGTCACTTCTCTTTCTTTGAGTTCAATTTTTCTTCTTTGTAAAACAAGAGGTTGTATTAAGAAATCTCTAAGGTCCCTGCCAGCTAAAATATCCCATTATTGAATTGCATATTTCTGTCATTTGATTGACAAACATAAAATATTTAGTCAATTTACTCAAAATAGTAAGATACATTTGTTATTAATTAAAATAATACAATCCGTTGATATGCCTTAGTCTCCTGGGTCTATGTACCTAAGCATTTCTGGAATCCTCTTCAAAGAAGAGCAACCTGGAGTTGGATTCTTCATCAGCCACAGGAAATCTTCCAATGGCCTGACTCACCTCCATGCCTGTGGGTTCAAGAACCAAGAAATGGTCAGATGCAGTGGCTCACACCTGTAATCCCAGCACTTTGGGAGGCCGAAGCGGGTGGATCATGAGGTCAGGAGATCAAGACCATCCTGGCTAACATGGTGAAAGCCCGTCTCTACTAAAAATACAAAAAAAAAAAAAAAAAAAAAAAAAATTAGCCAGGTGTGGTGGCGGGTGCCTGTAGTCTCAGCTACTTGGGAGGCTGAAGCAGGAGAACGGCATGAACCTGGGAGGCGGAGCTTGCAGTGAGCCAAGATCACACCACTGCACTCCAGCCTGGGCGACAGAGCGAGACTCCATCTCTAAAAAAAAAGAAGAAGGATTTTACATAATGATTGGGAATGGGAAAGCTGAGGAAGTTAGTAAATCCAAGGACCAACCATTTGAAGGAGAAGCTATGGCGAAACGCACATTGTATCTTGGATGGCACTCCCAAAGTTCCGGGGTCTTCAAGGAGGTGAAAAAAATCCACAAGGAGGAGGATGAAATGTAAGAGGAGAGGAAGACCTTTGCTTTCATTCGGTTCTATGCCCTTTTTACTGAGGCCCAGAGAGAGGAAGTGATGTGCCTAAGGTCACCTGATGATTAAGTGTGTTTTCCTGGAACTCAGGCCTGCCTATTTCTACTTTCTCTCTCCTTTTAGCTGTTTCTCAAGAGAAGGTGGCCTCTTTCCATTTTGAAAGAAGCAGCAAGATCTGAGAAACATTCAGTACAGTGTTACACTGCATTTTGTTGTCATTAGCAAATCCATTTCTCTGGTTAGCTTCTTTCTGTCATGAAATGAAGGCCAACTGTCCTATGTCTACACCTATTTAATTCTTAAAGCCGTGGCAGGGTCATTTCAATAGTCTGGTTTAGTTATCTGATTAGACTCTCCAGCAATGTGTACGATACTCTGTTTATATTTGTTGGGAAGCTATAGCCTGAATACATATCTTCTTAAGTGCCTCTGTTCATATACACATATACACACATGTGCACGCATATACTTACTCAGGATGTATGTGTGTGCACATGATGCCTGTGGAAGATGGTGTGAGTTTGTGGATTTCATAGCATGGCAATGGTTGTAAGAATTGCTCATCTTCCCAAAGGCAGGGCTCTGGACCCGAAGACCATTTTGGATGCTCTCTAGCTCTAAGAGTTATAGTTTGTGATTTTGTGTTCACTGAGGAATTATTGAAAACTTCCAGTTCTCTAAAAGCACATACCTGCTTGCTTCCTCAAAGAGAAGAGACCAGATCCAAGCCATTTGATTCTTGATGATTACCCTGTGGGTGGAAATGAGAGAAGCAATGTAGGTCCTCAAAGATGGAGCTTGCAGGGGGAGAGAGCTTTGGGGTTCAGGAGCCTCCAGAGCCCATAGACCTGTCTCTGTGCTCCAGTGCCACACCTGGGCAAAGCAGTGCCATAAGCAAGAGGGCGGGGTCTTCCTTGATTGCCATCTGGACTATGTCCTCGCATGCATTTACTCCCTATTAACCATGTGAGAGGCAGAGTTGTATTAGGTTCTGGAGCACCAAGATAATAAGTAAGGCATGGCTTTCACTGTTGCACAGTCCATCTATAACAGGGACAACAAGCACATTTTTTAAGAAGTATAATCCAAACATGGTGAAACCCCGGGTTTACTGAAAATACAAATATTAGCCCGGTATGGTGGCATGCGCCTGAAATTCCAGCTACTTAAGAGGCTGAGGTGAGAGAATTTCTTGAACCTGGGAGGCGGAGGTTGCAATGAGCCAAGATTGTACCACTGGACTCTACCCTGGGCGGCAGAAGAGAAACTCTGCCTCAAAAAAAAAAAAAAAAGTATAATCCAGTATGCTCAATGTCCTCCTAGAATATAGCTATATAAAAGTACTGTGGGAAGACAGGATAGAATATAGCTATTTAAAAGTACTGTGGGAAGACAGGAAAATAATTCTTCCTTGGAGGAATTTTTCTCCAACACTGGCATAGGGTCCGCTAGATTGAGGTAAAATATCCTTTGAGTGCCTTCTATGTGTTTACCACTGTGCTGTGTTATGAGCTGGGAGAGAATGAAAGAAAGAACCCATTCTGAAGAGGAAAAGGATATCCAGGAAGCAGAGCCCAAGTTTCCTAATTCCCTCTCATTTATCCATTCAACATTCACTAAGCACAAACACTGTTTCACCCGACAACTGGACTCTGAGCATATGAAGATAAGTGAGAGAGGTCCCTGCCCAGTTCCACTCAGAGGATCCATCCTCAGGCCAGCTGCAGGTGTCCATGGGGGAGTCTGTTCTCAGCCAGCATCATAGTTGTTCAGAGAACCCACCTGCCCTGAGCACATCCCACTGCAGAGCCTCGCCTTGGGTGGCGCATTCTCTTTGGTTCACTTTGATGGCAGATTTGTCCATGGGTCTGGTCCTGGGGGCCCAGATGCGATGAGTTCTGTTGTCATTGCTCCTGGCTCCTGACCTCATTCACATCTCACTCTCCCTCTGCCTCAAGCAGTAACTTTGGGCACCTGGTGTCATACACGCTTTGCCTCTCAGAGCCGGCTGTTTGTAGGGCCTCCTTGTGCTTTGTGGTAAGTGCTGTATTAGAGCCAGAGGAGGCTGTCCTATAACAGGTCCACCTGTGGCTGGGATGGTGAAGACCTTTCCCTTCCCTTCTCTCTGCAGCCAATTAGGTGTGGCTCTGGAGGGCTCCCTGTTGTGAGCCTGGTTGGAGATGGGGGTGGAGAGCACAGGAAGGTGCATTGTGCTCTATTTTGGGTCTCCTGGAGCTTAAGTGGTTTCCTAGAATTGCCAGCAGAATGCAATTCATTAGAAGTCAAATTGTGAAAGTTGAATGGGTGCTCGGAAATGTCCTATCTTATAGGGTCCTATAATAACAAACTAGTACTTTCACATTATGTGACTCTAGAGGGCTAAGATTGGGTTTCTCTCAACCTAGTACACAAACCAAAGTTCCCTTGGTTACAAAAGGAAAAACAGTGGGCCTTTCATTACTCACATTTCAATTTATCTCCTGGAGATCTTGGGGAGGGGCAGTAGTTTACTTGTTTATGCTTGTTCCAAGCTGCAGCTTGTGGCCCAGAGAGAGTAGCAAGAGACAGCGTAAAGCCTCCCTTTTCCACCAGAACCCTTAATTAGAACACCCTAGCCTCCTCTAAGGTGTGGCTTAGAGGTATGAACTCGCCAGACAGTGAGTTAATGAGGACGGGGAAAGTTCTGCTTTTCCAGTGGGGCCGACCCAGGAGCCCATGGGTAGGGGATGATTGAAAGAACTACACTGCTTTCCTGGGCTCTGTAGGCTCAGTGTCAAGTGCAATGATTCAAAACAAACCCTACACATGCCGGATGGTCCAGTGCACAAATAGGACCTTCACAATAGTAAAATAGCCCCATGTATTTTAATGGCATTTTGCAACTTACAAGGAATTTTCATGTATTATCTCATCTGAGCCATGGAAACCCCAGAAAGAAAATAGTATTCTCATTTTACAGATGAAGAAACTAAATCCAGAAAAATTCAAATAATTTCCCAATGTTTATATACTCACTCAGTGATTAGCCATGACTTAGCCTTAAGTCATCAGACTCATTAAGACCCTCTCGCTCCACATCTATTCCTGACCCAAATAGGAACAATTTTTCTATTGTTAGCTTTTTGAGATTCTATTAGGTTGGTGCAAAAATAATTGCGGTTTTTGCCATTAGTTTTTTTTTTTTAATTTTTATTTTTATTTTAAGTTCTGGGGCACATGTGCAGAGTGTGCAGGTTTGTTACATACTTAAACATGTGCCATGGTGGTTTGCTGCACCTATCAACCTGTCACGTAGGTATTAAGCCCCGCATGCATCAGTTATTTTTCCTAATGCTCTCCTTCCCCCAGCCCACTCCCCGACAGGCCCCAGTGTGTGTTGTTCCCCTTCCCGTATCCATGTGTTCTCATTGTTCAGCTCCCACTTATAAGTGAGAACAGGCAGTGTCTTGTTTTCTGTTCCTGCATTAGTTTGCTGGGGATGACGGCTTCCAGCTCCATCCATGTCCCTGCAAAGAACATGATCTCATTCTTTTTTATGGCTGCATAGTATTCCATGGTGTATATGTACCACATTTTCTTTATCCAGTCTGTTATTGATGGGCATTTGGGTTGATTCCATGTCTTTGCTATTGTGAATAGTGCTGCAATAAACATACGTGTGCATGTGTGTATCTTTGTAATAGAATGATTTATATTCCTTCGAGTGTATACCCAGTAAAGGGATTGCTGGGCCAAATGGTATTTCTGGTTCTAGATTTTTGAGGAATTGCCACACCATCTTCCACAATGGTTGAACTAATTTATATTCCCACCAACAGTGTAAAAGCATTCTTATTTCTCCACAACCTCACAGCATCTGTCGTTGCTCGACTTTTTAATAATTACCATTCTCACTGGTGGGAGATGGTATCTCATTGTGGTTTTGATTTGCATTCCCCTAATGATCAGTGATGTGGAGGTTTTTTTCATCTTTGTTGGCTGCGTGAATGTCTTCTTTTGAGAAGTGTTTGTTTATGTTCTTTGCCCACTTTTTAATGGGATTGTTTTGTTTTTAATGGGTTTGTTTGTTTTTTTCTTGTTTATTCTTAATTTGCTGATAATTTTTAATCTCAATTGGATATTATATTTTGTCTAATGCTTTTTCCATATCTACTGAGATGATCATGTGATATTTGTCCTTCCTGTTTTAGGTTGATTTTCAGATCTGAAATTAATTTTGCTTTCCTGGGATAAATTTTTGATAAATCTGGGATACTTCATCTTGGTGTATAATTCATTTTATATGTTGCTGGATTTAATTTGATAATATTGTGTTAGTAATTACTATGTCTGTGTTCATGAAGGCTATTTGTCTATACTTTCTTTTTCTTGTGATGTCTTTGTTTGGCTTTGGTATTAAGGTAATACTGGTCTCATAGAATGAGTTGGGAAGTGTTCCCTCCTTTACTTCCTAAACAACTTTGCAAAGGACTAGCAATGCTTCTTTAAATGTTAGAGAGAATTCACCAGTGAAGCTATCTGGGCCTAGATTTGTCTTTGTGGGAAGATTTTTAATTACTAATTTACTTCATTTGTTTGTTACATGCCTACTCAAATTTTGCTTGAGCAAAATGTTTCTTATAAGTAGCAGTAAAAGGGAGGCAATGATAGCTTTTATCACTTGAAGAAGTTAAAAATAAGATTGTACTCTAAGAGTTCAATCACTAACCAGCAGAAAATGAATCAGAATTGAGCAGATTTCTCATGCTCAGTGCTATTGACATTTTAGGCTGGGTAATTTTTTGTTGCGGGTCTGTCCTGTGTATTGCAGAATTGTTAGTAGCATCCCTGGCCTGTACTCACTAGCAGAAAGCAGCACTCCCATCAACAATTCCCCCCAAACTGTGACAACAAAAAATGTCTCTAGACCCTGCCAACATTCCTCTGGGGGGAAAATTGTCCTCGGTTGAGAAGCCCTAGAATAGAGAAATATCAAATTAAAAAGAAAGACTTTAGAACTTACAAATCTTAACTTTAACTAAATATCTAAACCTGTCTAAAAATAAAGAGAGGGAGGGCAGAGGGGACAACTTGTGAAGTGCCCATCCAAGTATATGCCAGCGTGCCTTTTTGTCCCTTCAAACAGTAAGAAAGTTAAACCCTTCTGGAAGGCATGGCCATAGCTGCATGCATTTGGGCATTCTATGTTCCTGACGCCCCTCATTCTTGATTTTTTTCACCAAATAACCCTCTAATTATCCACTGTTGCCCCATATAGCTTTTCCACTATGAGATGCTTCACTGGCCAGAAGATGGGAACACACATCTTGTCCACCTAACAGCAACATTTTTCTTGGTATAAGAGTGAATTGATATTGTAATTTATCTATCATTTTCTGTGAGTTTGGTTAACATAAGTCATTATCACCTACTCTGACCTATGCTGGGATCTCAATGAAGACTAAAGTTTTGAGTCTTTACAATTGAATGAGTTTAACAAGATGACAACATACCTGTGAAAGCTCTTAGAAGCCAACCAGCCCTCTTCGTCTGGTTATCTACCATTGTACATCACACCATTCCAGAACTTAGTGGCTTAAGTCAACAATCGTTTTGCTATTCCCAGTTCTCTAGATGAGAAATTCTGGCAGGGCTCAGAGGGACACATGATATCACTGGATTCACTCATGTCTGGAACCACATTGCTGCTGGGAGCCTGGGGTGCTTCGTGCTCTTCCACTTGGTCTCTATCTCTAACAGGATAGTCTGACTTCTGTGGCATTGCACGGCTCTAAGAGTACAAAAGTAGAAGCTTCCAAGTTTCTTAAGGCCTTCCTTGGTCTTGAAGTGATACACAATCACTTCAGTTGCATGCTGTTAATCACAGCAAGTCACTGGTTCAGCTTGGATCTAGTGACAGGGGTAACACACCTCAAATCATGATGGAAATACTGGCAAAGTCACATTTCAAAAGTGCATGTGAGATTGGAAGGAATATTGTGGCCATGGGAGACGATGTACCACAGTGGCACAAAATAATCTCCGTAAGATTCACGGAAAAATCTATGAAGTTTTTAAGAGAAGTGTATTCAAGAAAGCCCCACCAGTTTGTATTTTAGGACAGAGGCCATCAAAAATAAAGAGGTCTCTGGGCCTCCAGCTTTCTTTGGGAAGAAAGCAGGCTAAGAAAGCTGCTCCGCTGAGGACACAGTCCATTTCTTATAGAAAATGAAAAGTATTTCAAAGAGCAAAGTCCAGAGAGCAAATCTAAGACCTGAGGAAAACAATAAATTGGGGAACCATTTCCAGAGAGCAGAAATGGACTCTAATTAAGGAATGTTGATTGATCCTGGAGTCAAGGGAGCTGACAGTATAGGCCTGGATTTCAGGATTGCTCTGAATCAGCGAATGCTTTGTGCTTCTCAACATCCCCTTGAAGGGAGTGTTCGTGTCATACCCTTGCATGTTGTGTGTGGTGGGCAGGCAATTTGTCCTTTTAGTTCACAGATCTCTATAGGAGTCTCATCCACATTTGGACCTGCCAGAAGTCCCATCAGTAGGTGAGGTCTCTTTCCTCTCCCCCTTGAATCTGGGCCAGTCTAGTTGTTGTTTTGACTGATAGAATATGGTGGAAATTGTGCCATGTGACTTCTATACCTAGAGCTTATGAGGTCTGACAGCTTTCACTTTTGTACTTTTGGAACCTCGACCGCCAAGTGAGGAAGTCCAGCCTAATCTACTGGGAAGAGAGACTGAGTGGAAGAGCATAAAGATGTCCTGGCAGACTGCCAGCATCATGTGCTCACATATGTGACTAAGGACATCTTGGATCCTCTAATCCCAGTGACACCCAGTCCACACCACACTGGACAGAGTTAGGACATTCTGGCTGAGCCTTGTCCCAACTGCAGATCTGCAAAATCATGAGCAAATTAAATGGTTGTTATATTAAGCCAATATATTTTGGGACAGTTTGTTACATAAAAAAGAAAAAAAAAACCTTGAAATACTTCCCATTCCCACAATATTCCTTTTCTTTCTTTATTTATTTAAAAAAAAAGTTTTAGAGACAGGGTCTCACTCTGTCATCAGGCTGGAGTGCAGTGGCACCATCATAGCTCACTGTAACCTTGAACTCCTGGGCTCAAGCAATCTTCTTGTCTCAGCCTCCCAAGCAGCTGGGACCACAGGCACACAACACGGAACCCAGCTGATGTTTTTGTAGAGAAGGGGTCTTGTTATGCTGCCCAGATTGACCTCAAGTAATCCTTCCACCTCAGCCTTCCAAAATGCTGAGATTACAGGTGTGAGCCACTGCACCTGACCCCAATATGCCTTTTTAAAAAAATGTTTTACGCATTTCCTTTTCTCCCTGAATATTTTAAAGAAGTGCTTGAAACTTGCAACTTCAAAGCAAGGTATAGGATATTCCACTGCTAAAACAATGGCATAAATATCAGAAACAGTGACATGAAGGGACACCCTGATCCTACTAATGCAACAACCAAAACTCAGTAGACAAGTACAACCAAAGACCTATAGCCTAGAGTAGACTCAGACAGGCATGGGAGCTACCACTGTAGACCTCCAGGGCTTAGGACCCTTCTCTCCCTCTCTACTCTCCATCAGGAAAATGCTAAGTCACAGTAATTCTCGGGGACTCACTCTTATTCTTCCACCACATCCCGCTCAATCCCAGAAATTACTCCCTAACTTGGGCACCATCATCTGTGTCCTGCCTGCTTCTGCTTGCAGTGTGCTGTGGAAACTGTTGCAGTCCCCAGGATCTCAGCCCACAGGGAAGAAAGCAGACCACCAGCTGTCTCTTGGCTTTGAGAAAAGTCACTGATTGTGGCTCTCTGCTTACAGATGAATTTTGGGTTGCCTTTAACCTCTGTGGTTGCCTCTAATAAATCAACTGTCAGGCATTGTGCCCTGACGTGCACTGGTCTCCCAGATTGCCGAGACCTAATACAGGCTCTGATTTTCTGTGGTGGGATCTATTCCATGGCAAGAGTGGGGGAAAAGGGGAGATGTGAAGAAGTTTGAGTTGTTGTAGGTTTCAGGGCAGCAGATACATTGAGTGGCCTGCTTATTTTGTCTTGGGACACAGAGGCGATGGAGGGCTTCTGTTTCTCAGACTTAATATCTACATTTTACACAGGGTTGAAAATAGCCTTACTTGACATAAACTAAAGTTCAAACAAGGAGCCAGGCAGCAACAATTCTGGGAATTTTTCCTAAGCTGTGCAGACACAGAATGACTTCTTTTGGAATTTGATGAGAAATAGAGGAACTAGAAACCAATGGTATGAAAATATCACCAACCCTGAAGATTAATGCTGCAACAGAGCTGTCATCCTCTGAGAATCTGTAGAACTGGGCTTGAATCCCAGCTTGGCCACTAACCTCAGCTGGGCTCTCTGCATTTCTTGATGATCCCTTTATACCCAGTGACTTCTCTCCTTAAGTCCATTACTAGACCCCACTCCACACTTGCAGCACCGCAAACTTGATTCTACTTTCTTAAAAAATGAAGCCCTTGAGAATAAAATCTTCAACTTCCTACCCCCTCCACTACCACACTCCTTCAAATTTATCAACTCTTTCTTTATGTTCAGCTTCTCACCTTTGGGGTCGGTAGACGAGGTGTCCCTTTTTGGTTCCCAGTTCCCTAGTGCTTGTGGCTCTTGATGCCATCCTTCCCTGCTCCCGTAGAAATTTATTTCAACAACTGCCTCCTTCTTTACTGTGTCTACAACCTTTTATTCTCTCCTGGCTCTTTGCCCTCTGCTAACAAACATGCCTAAGTCTCTCCCCTCTTCATAAAATCCCTCTGTTGACTCTAAGTCCTCTTCCAACCAACAACCAGTCTCTCATCTTCCTGAAAAAAATCTTGTTTCTGGAATAGATGCCTACACTCATTGTCTCCACCACTTCACAACCTAATGACTCCTCAACCCACTTTCAGTCTGATCTTCCTCACTGGTCCATTTAGGTGGCCCTCGTCAAGGTCAATATGGGGCCAGGCTCATTCTGCCACACCCGTTATGTTTGTCAGCCCTTTGTTCTCAGAAATCGTTTCTGCATTTAACATTGTGATCAAGGATATCTACTCACTTGCTGTCTGTGGGACTTCTCTTTTGGTTTGGCTTGTACCTCTCCAGTGATCTCTCTTTGTTCATAGAAGACACCTCAACCTCCCCCTTAAATATGCTCTCCTCAAAAATAAGGACTTCATCCATTATTATTCTTTCGGTAAATTTTTTTTTTTTTTTTTTTTTTTTTTTTTGAGATGGAGTCTCGCTCTGTCGCCCAGGCTGGAGTGCAGTGGCACGATCTTGGCTCACTGCAAGCTCCAACTCCTGGGTTCATGCCATTCTCCTGCCTCAGCCTCCCAAGTGGCTGGGACTTCAGGTGCCCGCCACCGCATCTGGCTAATTTTTTGTATTTTTAGTAGAGATGGGGTTTCACCGTGTTAGCCAGGATGGTCTCGATCTGACCTCGTGATCCACCCGTCTCCGCCTCCCAAAGTGCTGGGATTACAGGTGTGAGCCACCGTGCCCAGCCGGTAAATGTTTTTTGAAAGGTCTTACTAACTCCCTGTATTAAGGACTCCATGCATGTTGAGATCATTCTCTCCAGCCCTAATCTCTTTTCGGAGAGCACTCTTGCCCTCCAGCTGCCTCTGGTCATAGCAGAACTATCCTTTCTCCCTGACTTTCTCATCCTGTTTCTTGTTCCTCTATCATCCCACTTTCTCAACCCATAATTCTACCATCCATCTTGTCACCCATGTGAGAAACTCGAAATCATCCTATACTCCTTTTTCTTCCCCATCCTCCACATCTAATCAAGTCCAGCTTACTTTGCCTCTTAAAGGGCTTTCAAATCTGTCCCTCTTCTCTCCACTTCTGCTTCAGCTGCCCTCATTCAGATCCTCATGAGGTCTTACACAGCTCATTGACATCAGCTACCTTTTGAAATCCTTCTTTCCATATTAGTCCTTCAAAATCCACTCCCCAAATGAAAGCAGAATGTTCCAATTAAATGTAAACATGTTACTCCCCTGCTTAACCTTCAATGACTCTCTGTTATCTATAAAAATAACTCCAATCTCTTTGCCAAGGCATAAAAGGCTTATCTAATCTCATCTCCTGACACTCCCCATTCTTGTGCTATGTGTTCCCATGTTGTCAGACTGCTGGTGATTCCCCCATACTCACCTTTGTCTTGCACACCTGTGCTTTTGCACCGAATGAGATCTTTTTCCCTTTGACTGCCTGGCTAACTCATTCTCCTCCAGAAGAAAATTCAAGCTTCATCTTCTCTGAGACATTTCCTCCAAATCTGCAGGTTGGACTCAGTGGTCTCCTCTGCCCTCACAGTCTCTCAGTGTTAATATCTGCCTCTCTCTCTCACTTACTTTCCCTGCCACCTTATATCTACCTGTTTCGTGGATGTGTTTGTCTCTCTCACAATATGATAGGCTGCTTAAGAACAGGGACTAATTCATCATTGTAGTCTAGTAATGAGCATATGGTCTAGGCACAGGAGGCACTTGATAGATGTTTAAATGGAACAGAACTATCTGAGTGACCCTTAGACAGTCTCCTCCCCTACCCGGGCCTCCGATTCTTCATCTGTAAATGAGAAGGGCTGAATTACATGTTCTCCATTAAAAGGTTTCTTTCTTCTATAACATCCTGTGGTTTTGTGTGATTCTGAGCAGGGAAGTGTTGGCAGGGCAGAGTTGTCTAAATGCCTTCTTTTTTAGCCTACGGCTTCTGTAGTAAATTTTTTAAAAAGCAGATTTAAAAATAGAACATAAAATAGCTGACACTTGCCATGTGCTGCTTGGTGTAGGCACTGCTGAAGACCCTTTGAATGTAATAACTTATTTGATATTCATACCTACCCTATGAGAGGGTATTATTGTTATCCTCCTTTTCATTTGGGGAAACTGAGGTACAGGGTAACCTTACTAAGGTTACCTGAGTAGAAAAAGGCAGAGTGCAGGCCTGAATGTCTGGCATGAGAGCCTGCACTCATAACAATTAAACTATAATACATATATAGACACATAGATTCAGAGATGCACAGACAGATTGATTGCCATGACTAAGAGAGAAGGGGAGTTACAAACCCCCTCCTCCCTCTGTTACTCACTCTCTGATGCCCACGTGGAGCCTGACTTAGCTCAGCACCTGGAAAAGCAGTTGCCTAGTGGTATTTAAGCCACCCGTAGCCTTCTAGGCATCGTGTTGGCAAAAAAAGGAAGAGTTTGTAAAATTGGACTTTACAAGGAGTCTTTGGGCATAATGAATTCCTCCTGCATTTGTCATCATAGTGCTAATTAGGCTACATTTTGTGGGCTTTAAAGTGGCTCTGGCCAGAATTTCCTAGATATTTTATCGTAATTTAGCATTAGTCAGGCTTGAGTTAATGGACACAGGTGGCTTTATTCACCCCGGTTTGGGCCTCGTCATTGCTATTACATCTTTTGATATTCATCCTCGTGACACTAATCAGCAAGTATTGATTTAGACATTGTACATTTCCATAGGAATTCCATTTTAATTCAACATTAGAGTGCCATTAAAATGTAAAGGAAAGGGCACATGAAAGTCACCTTAAAGCACTGCTGTCTTAGGAAATCTGCTGGGTTTAACCATTCTGCCATCTCCACTTGGGGTAGGACAAACGCCCAGGCACGAGGGAGGGAGTAGCCTTCCTTTTGATTCATCCTGAGGGCCGGTAGCTGCTTTATGGCCCATTGGCCAGCGTTTGGAGAGTGGTGATGACAGTGGCTTGGGATGTGGGGGGGACACATTCTTTTGTCTCTGCCCACTGAGGATTCTGGTGGAGCCGGCATCCGCTCACAGCATCCTCACAGCAAGACAGCAGTGGGGAAGGAGGGGGTTGATAGGGGAATGGATAAGTAAGTCCAGCCTGATAGTTGGACAGAGAGAATGGAGTGGGGATGCAAATGCTTTCTCATCTGGAATCTTCCCTGCCCCCAAAAGTAAGGAATCTCAAGGAGGTTCATGGGATTCAACTGTGTCTTAAAAGTCCTGTGTTTCCTCTCTATTCTCTCTCTGTAAAACTGTATTAGTCAGGATTCTCTAGAGAAACAGAACTAACAGGGTGTGTGTGTGTGTATGTGTGTGTGTTAAGATATTTATTATAAGGAAATTACTCATGTGGTTATGGAGGTTGAGAAATCCCAATATCTGTAGCTGGCAAGCTGGAGTGTCAGAAGAGCCAATGGTGTAAGTTCCAGTCTGAAAACCCGGGCTCAACAACCAGGAAGAGCCAATGCTTCAGTTTGAGTCCAAAGGCGGGAAAAGGCTGACATCTCAGCTCAAGCAGTCAGGCAGGAGGAGGTCCCTCTTACTCACAAGTAGGTCGGTGTTTTTGTTCTATTCAGGCCTTCAGTTGATTGGATGAGGATGCCTACATTGGGGAGGGCAATCTGCTCTACTCAGTCCACTAATTCAAATGCTCATCTCATCCAGAAACACCCTCATAGTCACACCCAGAATCATTTTTGACCAGATATCTGGGGACACTGTGACCCAGTGAGGTTTACCCATAAAATGAACAATCACAGAGACCAACAGACAGGCTTTCTTGGCTTGTTTACCCCTTCTATGTCCTCATATCCTTGGCTTGCCCAGATCATATTGTCAGCACGCTTCCCTTTCCATGAGGTATTCTCCCCTGGGCTCAGGAATGTTAAACATTGCTGTCAGAAACCAGAAGCTAGCAGGGAGGTAAGAAACAGATTTTCCCTCAAAGCCTCCAAAAAGGAACCAACCCTGCACACACCTTGATTTCAGATGTCTGACCTCCAGAGCTGGGAGAGAATAAATTTCTATGGTTTTAAGCCACCTGGCTTGGGGTACTTTGTCTTGGCAGCCCTAGGAAACTGATGTACATGCTGAGGCAAGACACACATCTCACCTCCCTTCCCCTGGGAATAAGGTTCCCTGTTGCCTACAGGCTTAGGTCCAAACTCCCTGGCAGCCCCACCAGGCAGCTCTATGGGCTGTGCCCTGCGCACTCCTCCAGTGCAGCCTCCTGTGTCACCTACTCCTGCACAGCCCACAACACACACAGCATATTCTATCATTTTCCTGAAGTTGCCAAACTACCTTACCCCTTTGCACATGATGTGCTGAAATTCTCTTCCCTTCCTTGTCCTTATGGAAAACCAACCATGTCCTCTTAGGAGCCTTCCTCAGTCCACCCAGAGCAGAGCCTATTGTTCCATCTCTGTGCTGCCTCGTTACCTTTTCCCTGCTTAAACACTCTTCTGTTACAGCTCTCATTGCACTGAGTAGCAACTATAATTATATACCTGTCTTGTTCAATTGCCTGACTTCCCCACAGGCTCTCAACAAACACTTTTTTATATATACTTTAATTTCAATAGCTTTAGGGGCACAAGTGGTTTTTGGTTACACAGACGAATTGTGTGGTGGTGAGGCCTGAGATTTTAGTGCAGCCGTCACCCGGGTAGTGTATATCCTACTCTACATGTAGTTTTTTATTCCTCATTCTCCTTCCTACCCTCCCCCTTCTGAGTCTCCAATGTCCATTATACCACTCTGTATGCCTTTGCATACCCATAGCTTAGCTTCCACTTATAAGTGAGAACATATGGTATTTGGTTTTCCATTCCTGAGTTACCTCACTTAGAATAATGGCTTCCAGCTCCATTCAAGTTGTGGCAAAACACTTTATTTTATTTTATTTTTTTATGGCTGAGTAGTATTCTATGGTGTATATATACTACATTTTCTTTATCCAGTCTTTGGTTGATTGACACTTAGGTTGGTTCCATATCTAGCAAACACCTCTTTACAGGAGGTTGATTGGTTGAGAGGATCAAAATGGAGCCTTATTTATCTCTGAGTCCCTTGAGCCTAGCACAATGCCCAGAATGTAGTAAATGCTCAATGAAAGTTTGTGAAGTGAGTGAGAGTAGGGCCAGCTCTTTGAGGAGCAGCTGTGTTTAAGAGGTAAGGAACCAGAGACGGACAGAGGGAGGCAGCTCTTCCCTGCATGCGCTTCTTTGCCTAGGGTCTAGATAGACTACCTTCTTCCTTCATTGTCCACTTGTTCCCCTGTGTCTGGCACATGGTGGGCATTCAATATAGAATTGCTGCAGAAAAGAAGGAAGGAACAGAGGGGAAGTTGTAGTAGCAGGAAAATATCTTGCTATGGATGCCAAAAAAGGAGGACACAGCTTTACCTGGAGCTTCACCATCCATTCTTTATGGGTCCTTAAGACAGATCTGATGATGGACAAATAGGATGAGCATTTAGTATTCTCCCCAGGAGTCTACAAATCTCCAGGGCAGCTGTCTATGCAGACCCTCAGGCTCATTTAAATTTCTCTTGGAAAGAATAATCATGGAATTACAAAATTTTGGAGTTAAAAGATCCATTATGGAATATCTAGGCTTAAGGATTCATAATTTTAGAATTATAAGGAAGGTTGGAGTTTATTTAGTTTCTGCTGCATCTGTGTCTTGCTTATGTTAAGGAGGAAACTGAGGCCCAGAAAGGGAAGGTGGCTTACTAAAGACCATACAGCTGATTGCCCTTGGTTTCTGTGACCCCATTCTCCTGTGTTATTTTGATATCTGTGTAGCATTGGTGTTTTATCCAAAAGCTGAATAAACTACATCCAAGAGCAAGAATTTTTCACAGATGGCACCATGGTCTTTTCCAGCCTTCATGCACACTCTTCAGCAGCCTTTAATCTTTTTCTGACCTTAGAACGAGCTCAGGGACCATTGTGAGTAATGAACAATTTATAGAAACGGAATGAGCATTGCAAAGGCCTGAGGGGGAGAAGGAAGAGAGAGAGCTCCTTCTTTGGAGCTATGAGAACAAGGTTTGAAGAGAAAGTGCTGGTGCTGAGATGAAGGCTGGCAGTAGGAGACAGTGGGAGTGGTGCCTGACAATGACAGGAGGGCAGCTGTACATGTGAGCAGTGGAGGCGGGGAGGGTGTTCCTTTCCTGGGCTCATTAAGAATGGCCAACAGATTATAGAAAGATGCTCAACATTGCTCATCATCAGGGAAATGCAAATTAAAACCACAATGAGATATCTTCACACCTGTTAGAATTCCTATTACCAAAAAGACAAGAGATGACAAGTGTTGGTGAAGATATGCAGAAAAGGAAACCCTTGCACCCTGTTGGTGGGAATGTAAGTTGGTGCAGCCATTATGAAAAGCAGTATGGTTGTTCCTCAAAAAACTGAAAATAGAACTGTTGTATGACCCGGGATTCCCACTTCTGGGTATATAGCCAAAGGATATGAAATCAGTATGTCAAAGAATTATCTGCAGTCCCATGTTCATTGCAGCATTATTCACAATAACCAAGATGTGTAATCAACCTAAATGTCCATTAGTGGATGAATGGATAATGGAAGCGTAGATTATATATACAATGGAATACTGTTGAGCCTTAAAATAAAGGAAATTTTGCCATTCGCAACAACACAGAGGAACTGGGAGGATACCATGTTAAGTGAAATAAGTCAGGCACAGAAAGATAAATACTGTGTGATCTCACTCATATGTGGAATCTAAAAAAGTCAGACTCATAGACACAGGAGTAGGATGACGGCAGCCGGGGTAAGGGAGAGAGGAAATACAGAGATGTTGGTGAAAAGGTACAAACTTGCAGTTTGTTATAAGATGAATAAATTCTGAAGACCTAATGTACAGTGCATGGGGACTGTAGTTAATCATACTATATTGCATACTTGTAATTTGGTAAAAAATTCGATCTTAAGTGTTTTCACTATGAAAAAATAGTAACTATGTAAGGTAATGGATATGTGAATTAGCTTGATTGTAGTGATGATTTCACGATGTATACGTATATCAAAACCTTAAATATGTACAATTCTTATTTGTCAATTATACCTCAATAAAGCAAGCTGGAAAGAAATAAAACAAAACAAAAGAACAGCCTGAGTTGCTTAATAGCTGGGAAGCAGGGCAGGCCCCACCCCCAGGCTCCTCTCTCTGCCCCGGCCTCTGGTTGTGCAGTTGGCTATCAGGAATGTTGCTTGTGGATTTTCCAGCCCATTGGCTTCTACTTCTTTCTTTCTCTGGCTTTTATAGTCTTCTTTTTTGGCAAGTATACTTATGAAACCAAGGAGGCCAATAGGCCTGTGGTGGCCCAGCACTAGGGCCAGCACTTGGGAGCAAGATTTAAGGAGGCACCCACTTTCGGGGCCAACTCTGCACTAGCACAACCCTGAGGGTGGGGACCATCCTGATTCTTACTCCCTAGGTGGCCCAGGTCCTGCTCAGCACTGCCTGTGTCTGGGTAAGAGTGCCCTGTTCCGTGATTCAGTGTTAGGAAGTACTCTTGCCTGCAGATATAATTTCTCTGATACAAGTTGTATCACAATAATAGAAATGACATTTGTTCTGTTGTTTGCATTGGAGAAAAGCATTTGAGAGGTGGTATTGCATAGTGAGAGTTTGGGCCATAATGCAGAAAGATACCATCCCAAATGCCATAATCCTGAATGTTGAAATCTGGAAAGATCAAAGTCTCAAAAATGTAACTCTGTAAAATGTAACCATAAAAATTCTTTAAAAGACATATATTTACATTTTAATGGGAAATTTATTTGAGAAACATAAAAGCATGACAGAACATTTCATAGACCATTTTATACTATAAAATATGTAATGATAACATACATATTTTTTGCAAACATAAGCACTCAGGTATACTAATGACAGTTGCATGGATATAATGGCTATCTATAACAGATGAACTGTATTCATAAAGAAATTGCTTATATAAATGTGATCATCTGAAATACTGTAATGGACAGCCTAAGCCTTTTGACGAGACCCATCAAAAACTGCAATGGGTCACAAACAGCAAATGCAGTTGCCCAAAGAACAGAGATCACAAAATGTTATCTCTCCAACATGGAGATGTACAGAAAGGACATCTCTTCATTTATACAGGAAATTTCAACATTCTTATGTGTATGCATAATGTTTGCACACAGAGTTAACATTATGATAATGTATTTTCGTGGAGTCAAATTTGCCAAAAATGCATAAAACGAATTAGAACTCTCCAAATGTCTTTACACCGTTTATACCTCCAGTGTTGGAAACAATGCGGAAGTGAAATACATAGCGAATGTAAAATGAAATGTAATGTAAGAAATATGTAAAAAGTGAATGTAAAAAGTAATGCTAACAATTTAAAATAGTGAAGAAGGCCGGGCGCGGCGGCTTACGCCTGTAATCCCAGCACTTTGGGAGGCCGAGGCAGGCGGATCACGAGGTCAGGAGATCTAGACCATCCTAGCTAACACGGTGAAACCTCGTCTCTACTAAAAATACAAAAAATTAGCTGGGCGTGGTGGTGGGCGCCTGTAGTCCCAGCTACTCGGGAGGCTGAGGCAGGAGAATGGCGTGAACCCAGGAGGCAGAGCTTGCAGTGAGCCGAGACAGCGCCACTGCAGTCCGGCCTGGGTGAAAGAGCTAGACTCTGTCTCAAAAAAACAAATAAATAAATAAAATAAAATAAAATAGTGGAGAAAAAAACTACAAAAATAAAAAAAATCCCTCCCCCCCAAAAAAAAATTAAATGAAAATTCAACATATGAAAAAGTCTTACAGGCATAGATTATGGCAATTGCAAGGAGATAGTCTATAAGAGCTGGTTGACTTTCACAATTACTAACTACATTTTGAAGCCTTGCATTGCTTTAATAGTTGCTTTTTATCTTTTATAGCATGGGTCTCCTTGGGAAATAGGTTTACATTTATTGTCTACGTGGTGCTACTCTTTTTGAAATTCTTCTATGATTCCATATACACTTACATAAACTTTTTATATTAAATTTACCCATCTTTTATGCCATGTTTCTGTGTTGTTTTCAGTATGTGGAAATTCATTCTGCATGCACTCCTGTACACACCACAAATATGGCAGAAACAATGCTGATGATGGAACAGCAACAACCTTGTGTAAGTAGCTTCTTATCCTAATGTGCATATAATTATTTTCAAACCTGTCAGTAACTTTGCTGGCTTCTTCAGGCAAATGCAGCTTTAATTCATTAAAAGTTCCTGGAATTTCATCAGCTAGAAGGAATACCTATCCAGGCAAATAATGCATTTTTAACTGAAGTTTTTGTCATTGCCTGATCACGTAGCCGATCCACTCATCTGAATTTTCCACGAAAAGCAAATGGAAAAAATGGAAAAAAACAGACTTCATTGGTAACTCCTTGAAATTTACTTTTAGAAACATTGGTGGCACCTAATTCTTAATCTGTCATGGTTTGGGGATTTAAGTAGGGATTTTAGACTTTAGGAATTTAGACTTTAGGGATTTTGATCTTTTGGGATTTCAGCATTTGGGATTATAGCCTTCGGGATTGGGTCTTTAGACATTATCAACACCACTGGCACAGTGCAAAGGTGCTGAAGTCAGATACTCCGCGCTTGTGTCCTGGTTTGCACATTTACCAGCTGAAAGCCCTGAGCCACTTACTTAATCTCTTGGAGGCCTCAATTTTTTTGTTGGTAAAATGGGAACAATAATAATAACTCCCTTATGGGTTTTTTTCAGGATGAAATGAGTTAATACATAATAAAACACTCAAAAGATGGACATTTAATAAATATTCAATAAATGTTAAATAGTAATAGTTTTTAATAGATCACATGAAGTGGGAAAAAGCACAATCTGTACCTTGATGTTTACATTCATTTAAATATTATTTTAATACTTCATTAGATATTTACATTTATTTATTATGTTAATATTTATTGTAGTTCTACCTTTCTTTAAAATAAATTTGAATACTTGATGATTAAACAGGTTTATTCTTACGTTAAGTTCTATTTTTATAGTGATTGCGTAAGTAATTGGGTCAATGTGTATTTCATTTTCCATCAGGTGCAGAGGTTGGCTCCTGCAGCCCTGTCCCAAGATATCCCCGCCCTGTGCAGAAGTTACCCCAATTGCACGTGCTTTGTCAAGAGAGAGTACTCAGCTGATGAATAGCTTATTTCTGTGGCCCATCATTAATGGCAGTCATCACGGCTTTGTCTTTCCATAGCATTTCCAGTTTCTGGGCAAATAAGCCCCCACGCCTTTGGGCCTGGTATAATGGACACATTACATGAGGTGTTTTAGAATTTCTTAACAAATATGTATTTCACAAATATATCATGATAGGTGTAAGCAGTTTGGAACTACTGGGAAGAACTCCAGCTCCCCATTACCCTCTACTAAATGTACATACCAGTGGTGGGCTGGTAAATATTTGGCAATCGATTCTTTGAGGAAAAAAGAAAAGCCCTGATTGGCAGGTAGCATTTATCAATTTCGTGGTATGAATGCTCCTGCCACGGCCAATCTCAAGCTATCAGTGAATGCATAGTCTGGGGGAAGTGTTTTAAGTCACTGAATGCAGTGTTTGGAGAAGAGGGGAGAAACATTGGTTTTTGTGGATTAGTACAAGCTGGCTTCAGCACATCATTGTCCCTCAAAGTATGCATCCCTCATCGCGAAATTGTCAGATTAGGAATTAATTTCATAAGAGAGAAATTCACTCGCATGAGTCCTTGCATTATCAACTCTGCTAGTACATCATACTTATTTTAGGCCAGACACTATTTTAAGCACATCACAAATATTAACTCATTTAGTTTGCAGAGAAACTATATTTTCTATTTACTGAAGTAATGGAGGCGCAGAGAAGTTAGATAAGTTGCTCAAGGTCACACAGCTGGCAAGTAATAGAGGTGGGATTCAAACCGAGGCAGCCTAGCTCCGGTGCCAGCACTTTTTAATAATGGCACTCTGTTCTCTCTCATATCACAGCATTCTATTTGTTTCCCTAATACATTCAATACAGGCTACAGTTATTTTATTGCTTTGTTACTTTTTGTGTGTATACACCTCTCCTACCAGACTACAAACTTCCTGGGAACAGGTACCATGACAGACACTCAGATAAATAGTACTTAGATGTAAGAATAAATCTTATATCACTCTCTCATATATTCAACAACTGTTAATAGTAAGAGTTATTAATAGATAACGTTGGCTGGGCATATTGGCTCATGCCTGTAATCCCAGCACTTTGGGAGGCCAAGCAGGCGGAACACGAGGTCAGGAGATTGAGAACATCCTGGCTAACGCGGTGAAACCCCGTCTCTACTAAAACTACAAAAAAAAAAATTAGCTGGTCGTGGTGGCCGGTGCCTGTAGTCCCAGCTACCTGGGAGGCTGAGGCAGGAGGATGGTGTGAACCCCGGACGTGGAGCTTGCAGTGAGCCAAGATTGCACCACTGCACTCCAGCCTGGGCAACACAGTGAGACTCCTCTAAAAAAAAAAAAAAAAAAAAAAAAGAGGGACAAACACAATCTACACCTTGATGTTCGTATTTATTTAAATGCTGTGTAGTTTCACCTTTCTTCAAAATAAATTTGAATGCTTAGTTATGATTAAACAGGTTACTACTACTTATGTAAGTCCTATTTTGTAGTTAAATTCTTAAGTAATTGGGTCATTAGGTGTTCATTTTTCATCAGTTCCAGAGGTTGGCTTCTGCAGCCCTCTCTCAAGAACTCATAAAGAGATCTGTCTCTTTACTAGAATATAACATACATGAGGGAAACAGCAGAGACTATATTTGTTGTATTATACTACCAGTAATTAGTACAGTGTTGGGACACAGCTGACACTAATAAATATATCTATGGCATAAATTAATTAAACTGTCTACTTTTGTAGATTTAGCTGTTTCTAACATAACGCTATTAAAGTAGCTCATCTTCAGGCACATCCATGCATATTGCACTTGCCTTTGTTCATACCTATGTGCTTGTCTTGATCTCCTTGGATTCTTGGCATGGGAAGAGACTGAGTCTTATTAACCTCATAGCCCTAGGATACAGTATAATGTCTAATGCCCCGTAGGTGTGCCAAACATGTTTTCAGGCTGAAGCAAACAGTAGATGTTCAGTAAGAACTTATTAATCAGTGGGCTAGTAAGGAAGAAGTTGGTCCTCAAAGCAGACTATGCCTGATAGGAAAGGTGCTCGAGTTGTTAATACAGATGCTGTTAATACATCCTGTGTGCCATCCAGGGTGCTGGTGACAGAGGGACACATTGAAGGATTGTGCCGACGTGCTGTGAATGACTTGGAGCATCACTTTTCAAAAGTAGCAAGGTGCTCCATGAAGAGCACTGGCCTAAGAGCCCAGAGTTCAGAATTTCAAGTCTGGTTCATCCACACATCCACACATGTAGGTGAGTTCCATGTTACCTTGTGGGTTAAGTCTTTTCAGCTTATGATTCTCGATTAAAGACCTAGTATATTCCTAGAAGTAGGAAGTTCATAACCAATAATTGACCTGGAACCCTAAGAGTTAAGCATATGCCTGCTACTGAAGAGCAAAGATGCTGAAGCGCTAACACGTGACCATGTATTCGAACACTTTATTTCATAAATCTCAACGAAGCATAATGACCTGATTAATATTAACTGCCTTGTCTTTGCTTTCCAGGCATGGGGTGAGGATGGAGGAAAAAAAAGAAAGAGGGAGAACTGGAGGGACTGAATTCTTAAGTAGTGTGATTCAATTACCTCCAAAAGATCTCCAAAGATGAGCATGCAATTACTACTAATTGCAAATAGTGCTACTGATAATGATAACAATCCATCACTTTGCTTGGCCCTGTTCTAAACAAGACTACTGGCATTCCCGCTGATTAATCATGTTAGTGATCAGCGTTCAGGGGGCTGCGGTCACTAAGGTTTGGATACTTCTGTTTTCTGAATGGTGGAGTAAGAGGATCCAGAGACCGCAGGAAGTTGTCTAATCCCACCCTCCCCCACAACCCACCTCTGGATTCTGCCTCATCTAACCTAGATACATGAGCATCCTCTCTTCTGATAATCACATTTTTAAAAGCAACAACAGCAACAACAATAACCTTCCTTTAATCAGAGTCCTAGAGTAATCGTTTTTGGAAACTGCTTCCTGGTGACCAATGTACCTCATTTTTGTTGCAGTTTATCCTTGATTGGAGCCCAGGACCTAGAAGGGTGGACACAGATGCTAGAGAGTACAGTTCTGTTTCCACGTCTATGGACCTACACAGCAAGAAATGGAACCTTGATTTTTCTGCCTATAAGACAGAAATGATACCAATTATTGTCTCTTTCCCCACCGTTCTGTTGCAGTTGAAATTGCATGGGAAATCCATAGTGTGTCTTTGAGCAAACAGCTCTGTATATGTAAATCAGAGATTATTCCGGGCTTTCTTCTGGTACTTCTAAAAAAAATCACTATGACTGTGCATGTCAGAAAATTAACGGACCATTCACACCTAAACAAAAAACAATCCTGGTTAACTATTGTTATTAATGCATCTCTTTGGCAACAGAACACATGGCAAATATCTCGTATGATGAAACAGTCCAACCCAGAGATGACACAGTGAGGCAGTTTCTTAAGAGATGCTGGCATTGCTCTGTACCCTCCACAGCCAGCCTGGCACAGATGCAGGCAGCTCCTCCTTGCCACTCATGCCTGGGTTATCCACTCCATTATTCCTCCAAAGAAGCTTTGAGTCCCATAGTGATTTCCTCCTACCAATTCTGCATTGAAAAGTCACACATCATTATAAAAGTTAAATGTTTTTACCTCTCCCCCCAAAGTGAAAGGAAGACAGACACAAAAGCAAGGGGATGAAGCTTCCCAAGGCCAGTGCAATTTGGTCTCTCCTTTGCCTTGGATTCTCCACACCAAAGTTCTGACTATGTCGGTAGAGTTCCACCTGATTCTATTAGTGGAGGGAGCATCCTACTGTATGCCTTGTATACCTAGCAGATTGTTTCTCAGTAAAATGGAGCTAATCTCCCTGTAGGGAATTGTAAGCTTCTACAACGACAGAAAACAGCTCGACAGAAAACAGCTATATCATTGTGCAAGGCATCAGCTGACTCTCTCCTGTATGCCTGCTTTGATCCTGAAATATGGAAGCCTAGCCATAAAAGGCGCTAGACAGGGGAGTTCCCCAAGGCAGTGTTGTTGGTTTGGAGTTAGAGATCCTGGAGGATCAGGTTAAAGTAGCCCTCGTCCTTTTTTGTGCAGAGCCAAGTGATCATCCTCATTGTCTACTTTTCCAGATGCAGGTACCTGAACATGCCTGAGCATCCTTATTTGTCTTTCCCAGAATGATCCACTTGTATGGGTTCTTCTTCAGATGCAACATATCATTTTATACCCATTATACAGGTACTCACACAAATACAAAGGGTAATTTTTAGAGTAAAAACCTAGCACTGGATCAATAGGCTCCTGTGATACACGCGAGTTCCCCTACAGTCTTAGCTTAGCTCTGAGGAGGGGACCCCCAAAAGCTGAGGCCAAAAGGGTTCATAAGCAGAGGGTGTCTAGTTCTAAAATTCCCACACTCTTCCAACCTCAGTTCAAATCTGTGGTCACAGTCACTCCACATAGTTGTCATTCTTAAGCCACCAGGAAGATGTGGCAGTGGAAAATATCTAGGGCTTTGCTGCAGGCCTGAACTCGGCTTCTCATGCAACCAGATGCTGGAATCCATCAGGCGGCCCTGGGAGACACAGCTGCCTCTAATCTCCCATGTTTCACTCTGATTTCCAATCTATGCCACCGATAACACCCTGATCCACTACCTATATACCAGGGGGAAGTTTCTGGAACCACAGTGAGCAGGAAGTTACCTGGTGGGCCTGTTTAATATGTATCTAAGTCCTATCCCCAGAGTTCCTGACTCACTAGGGGTGGTGTACAACAGGAGAAATCTGAATTCCATCCAGCTCCTCAGGTGATCAAATGCACTCAGATGTGGAGAGCATGCTGAGGTCCACAGCAGAAGTGGGGGCTCTTTCTGTCTGTGAATTCTAGTCTGGAGACCTGAGACTTCATACTTGTTTCTTTTTCATTAACCTCTCAGGATTCAGTTTCTTTGTCTATAACATGGGAGAGAGAGTCCATCCTTCCTATAAGGTTCTATTTTTTTTAGCAAAATGAGGGTCCAGGGGATGGCATCCCTGTAATGGGTTAAATCATGTCTCCCAAAACCAATATGTTGGAGTCCTAATTCTCACTACCTCAGAATGTGACATTATTTGGAGATGGGGTCTTTACAGAGGAAATCAAGTTAAAATGAGTTCATTAGGATGGATCCTAATTCAATATGACAGGGGTCCTTATAAAATGGGAAAATGTAGACATGGGGAAGTGTATGCAGTCAGGGAGAATGCATGTGAAGGTTGGAGTTGTGCCGCTGAGAGCCAAGGAACTCCCAGAAGCTAGAAAAGAGGTCTGGAACAGACCCTTCCCAGCCCCTTCAGAGGGAGCATGATTCTGCCTACACCTTGATCTCAGGTTTCAGCCTCCAGAACTGTGAGACAATAAATTTCCATTGTTGAGGCTGCCCTGTCAGAGGCCCTTTGTTAAGGAAAACTTAGGAAACTCGTGCATGCCTAACGCTCTTTGTTCCCCAGGCACAGGAATCTGAGGAGTCTTCCTCAATGAGATGTGTGAGTACTCATGGGCCATTGAGCTCCTTCTGCTTCTTGTTTGTCAGAGTTAAGGCTCCACTAAGCAGGGCTCAGCAGAGGGCCTGGTTCCCTCCCATTCCTTTTAGTTCCTTCAAGTGGAGTAGTCAGGAGATCCATGTCACTCCGAGTTACTCCACTGCAAAAATCAACACCAGACCTCCTAAAAGGCAACAGGACTGTATCAACTCAGGTGATGGGGGAAGGTGTACACTGTCAGTTAACATCAATTGAGCTCTTACCAAAGACCAGACACTCTTCCCACTGCTGTGTATAGATATTATTCGGGACATTTCACAGATGAGGAAACTGAGGGACAAAGACATGAAGTCACTTCCCAAGGTTACACACCTAGGAAGTGGGCAAATGCCAGTCTGGTCCAGTAGACACAGAGAAAAAGAACGGTATGAAGTACAGAGAGATCCGTTTAATCACAATTTTTCTAAAAGATTACTTTTGAACTAGTTCTTAGTGAAAAATGTTCCTACTAGTCAAAAAAAAGGTTGTGGGCTGGGTTCAGTAGCTCACACCTGTAATCCCAGCCCTTTGGGAGGCAGAGGCAGGAGGATAGCTTGAGCCCAGAAGTTCGCAATCAGCCTGGGCAACATAGGGAAACCCTGTCTCTACAAAAAATAATAAAAAAAAAAAGTTCGTCTAGCATGATGGCACACACCGGTGGACCCAGCTACTTGGGAGGCTGAGGTGGGAGAATGGGAGGATCGCTTGAGCCAGAGAGGTCAAGGCTGCAGTGGGCTATGATCACACCACTGCTCTCCAGCCTGGGCAACAGAGTGAGACCCTATTAAAAAAAATATGTGTGTAGGAGTGAAAGAAAGACTTCCTCTAGAGAAGGTGTGAAGCTTCTGCCAAGTGTGGGTGGGGTCGCTGTGTTCAGGGAGGTCTAAGACATTGGGCCTGGAGAGAGGCGTGTGAAAACAGAGTGCAAACCCCGTTCCTAGTTCCTATTCCTTACTGATTTCCAGAGATGGTCACCATGAAGAGGACGCACTATTTTTTCTAGGACATGCTGTCCTAACAAGCCACTACCATCATCATCACCATTATCATCGTTTTCCCTGAAATTAATATATTATTTTGCAATCTATAAATGCCTCTCACAAGATTTTCTTCAATTCACTCATCAAAACAAGCTATGAAATAAGCAGAACCCCAATCCAGAAGAAGGAGGACTGAACCAATTTCAGTGATTTGCTTGAGATCTCCAGCTGGCTTCTTTTAGAGGCCGGCTTGAAATCCAGAAGAGCTGACCCTCTCTACCTACCCGGGCTCCTTGCACTCTAGCCCTGACCCACTCCCCACCCCAAGCTGTGGGCTGCCAGGAGCTGTTGGTGATGGGTGCTCTGTCTAAACCCCTGCTCCTCCTTGCCTTGCTAATTATCCCCAAAGCTCCCCGCCCAGAGGAATTCAGAACATGCTGCAGTTATTTGTGGAGCACTTTGTCTCTGGGAGATGGGGGGCTTACACAGCTCGGAAAAAGCAGCACTTGCCCACACAGACAACACTGCCTAGGGCTATTAATATCCAAGCACAATAGCTTCAGGACGAGGTGAAGTGTGGCTCACCCTGGCCACAGGGCTTCTCAGCCATGGAGACTGTTTTATTTTACAGCAGCCCTGCAAATACTGCAGCAATCAGACTCTTGCCCCACCTTCTGATCCAGTGTAAACAGCAGAAGAAAGGGGGAGGGCCTTGCATGAAACTGCAATTGCCTGTCCTCACGGTGTGTCCTGGGAGATAAGGACAAATGGAGACTTGAAGTCTCAAAATAATATTTGATTAGTGACCCCCCAACCCCCGCTTTTTCTAAAGCATCCCAAGCATTCTACATTTGTTGTCTTTCTCAGTCTTAAAGTTATCTTTGTGCATAGGGAAAGGGTCAACACTTTTATACTTATTCACTCACAAAACTTGTATTGATTATCTACTATGTGTCTAAAGCACCTGGGCTCTGGTGATACTAAGACAAGGATGATAGAGTGCATTCCCTCAAGCTTGTAGCGTGATGGAGAAAGACAGTTCATACACTGTTATATCACAGTGTGATTATTGCTGAAATAAAGCTAAGCATAAGAGGCTATGACAGCACAAAAGAAGGAGTGAAAACTCAGTTTCGAAGGGACAAAGTCAAGGAGACTTCAAAGATGAGAAATGATTGCACTGGGCCTTAGAGAGGAAGTTCAGCAGAACAAGGTGGGAAGGGCACGATATCAGAGGTAAGGGTATGTGCAAAAGCAGGGAAATATTGACCCGTCTGGAGGCCAAGAGAGGGAATCCAGGTAATTTCCAGAGAGAGAGAGAGGGGAAGTGTGGTAGAGAAGAGAGAAGATGGACAGGAAAGAACAGACTTGCAAGTCATTGAATGTCTTGGGGCCTCAGTTTCTGAAGACAGGATTCTCATGAGCCCCTCTGAGTGTTTTTGCACTGGGTGATAGTGACAACTACATGTCTCGCTGTGTGCCCAGGCCTCATAGCCATGCACTCCAAAGGCTCTGTGAGGGGCTTCAGGTTCTCCTGAAGTCTAGAGCACTTTAAGAACTAGTGTGTCTCAAGGCAGAGAATGCTTTGCTTGAAGATGTGTGTGGCTCAATGATGGCCAAGGCAGACATGAGAGAATGAAGATAATGAAAACCCACCAGCTGTGACTAATGAAACCAAGCCCACTCTCATCTGCTTTGGGAGCATGAAGGCTGGGAAGGACCCTCTGACTGGCACATCAGCCTGCAGGGTTCCCTTGCTTATTTGTAAAATTTGGGAATCTGCTGACAGACTGACGTATTATTAGTGCAAATTACCCAGGTTCATCTGTAGCCCTAGCTCTTTGCTTCAAAAAAGATCACAAAGCCTGAGGTACTTCAAGATTGAACTGTGAAATGTCATTAGCTAAAACTCAGTCCTCACAGCTCCCAGAACTAATTATAGAGCTAGGAGTGGCTGGGGCCAGACCCCTCTGATATAAAAAGATTTTATGAAAGGCGAAAGGGGGGAGGCAACAATAATTCTCACCCTATTATATTCCTTTCAATTATTTACAGTAAGAGGCACTGATGGTGAACAAATATAGAGACTGGAATCCAGTGACGTCACACAGGCGCTCTGGAAGCCAGTGATGCAGTATCAGAATCTGGGAACACAATGAGGCAATGTTTCAGCTGCTTGTGCATTCTTCACCTCCCATTGTCTCTGTCTCTCTCTTTCTCCTCTGCTTCCCCTCACCCCACAACCAAAGTCAAGAGCGCAGACCCCATGGTAAGGATTCTCATCTTCATCCCACAGCCAGGACTTGGCAATATCTTTTATCAAGGGTTTTAACAGGACATTCGCAGTCTTTCTCCTAACCACACGGTTGGGGGCGGGGGTGCAATGAATGCTGGAAGCCCAAGGGCAGCGTTGGGACGGAGCTAGTCAATGTGGCCTACGGACCCTCTGGGTGTCACATGGCCACTAGGAAGCCCTTGAGCAAAAGCTCCGCAGCACCAAAGATTCCTGTGCTCTTCTGGATGCCCAGCCTCCCTTGTATGAGGTTGGAGCCTCGACTTGCTGACTTCTGGCTAACGAAATAAGCACAGTGAGATAAGCTGCGTGAAGCATGCCCCTTACAGACAGCCTGCAAGATCCTTCAGCTCTTTCTTCCTCCACCACAGTGGCCTTAGATGGCACATATACCAGATGGTAGAGCTCTGAGACAGAGCCCGCTTGACCCACCTGTTATTGGACTTCGATGTCAGCAAGAAACAAATGTTTGCGGTAACATTAAGCCACTGATGTGTCAAGGTTTGTCTGAGGTGACAGTGAACATTGCTTTTTCTAAATCGTATAAACCTCTGATAGCACAGGCACTAGGCATGGAGATATTCATTGAGCACAGTGAAAAAAGTCCACTATATTAAATAAATTCCTCTATTTTTCTTGACCTAAATATTTATGTTTCAGAGAATCCTTGACCTGCAGGTTGAAGGAGAAGTCATAGTAAATAAGTCACTGGAGATAGATGGGCAGATGCTTATGTTACCGTCTTGGAGCTAGAACAATTTAATTCTCTCAAGGGTAGTGGGGGAAGGGAACCTCATGGGGGTTGCTGTGTAATCAGAAATGGTGAGCTAAATAGCAACAAACTTTGGTAACGGTTTTTTGCAAATGCTTATGTACACACACACACACACACACACACACACACCCTTTTTCCCTGTGGAATCATCTTGCAATGTATGTCCATCATTGGAAAATTCTCTAATAGAGAAAATCAGTTGGTATACCCATTATCTTGGACATTGTGTTTATATTTCTGGATGGTCCAGGACCCCTAGCAGTCTTTTTTTGTTTGTTTGTATTTTGAGACCGAGTCTCACTCTGTCGCCAGACTGGAGTGCAGTGGCGCAATCTCGGCTCACTGCAACCTCTGATTCCTTGGTTCAAGCAATTCCCCTGCCTCAGATTACAGGCATGTGCCACCACGCCCAGCTAATTTTTTTGTATTTTTAGTAGAGACTGGGTTTCACCATGTTGGCCAAGTTGGTCTCGAACTCCTGACCTCAGGTGATCCACCCGCCTTGGCCTCCCAAAATGCTGGGATTACAGGTGTCAGCCACCGCACCTGGCCCTAGCTGTCTTTTTGAACCAATGAAAATTTCTTTTCTTTAATAAATTCTTTTGTGTTTTTCTATAATTTCCCTCCTTTCCTTCTATCTCTACGTCAAGCTCTAACCTCTGACCTCAAATATCTGGCTTCTTTTCTTATAATCTTTCAGAAAAGGGCACATTAAATAGTGTAGAAAACAAGACTCCCATAAATGTAGACAGGCAAAATATCCTGCGTAAGTAGCCAGAGGACTGTGATCAGAGCGGGTCCCAACACTTGGGACCTTCCTTAAGTCAGGCATTAGATGGTTTTTATCAACTGGTCATTAAGGCACAAAATTAGAAACAAGACAGCTCCAGAGTCCATTCTATTTGGCTGTTCAAAGCATTGTGTCAGGAGTCATTTAACCCAGGGATTGCACTGGAGAGGATGTGTGGAGGAGGTTTCTCTGCCATGTCTCCCTTGGCACCATCTCCTTCCTAATTGCCACCTTGCTGAGGCAGGCACTCACACCTCCTCTTCCAGGACATTGCAGTAGTCTTCTTCTATTTCTTCTCCTCCAGTTTACCCTATTTGCTGCTGTCAGAGTACTCTCCCAAGGTACAACACTGACCATTCCTGTGCTCAGAAGCCTTCCCCATCTCCCCACTACTTTGTGCCAGAAACTTAACCTGGCATTCAGAGCCTCCAAAATCTGTACCCACTCTACTCTTTCGAGCCCACCTTTCTCTACTCCTTTTTCCATACTTTTAATCAAACTTCCTGTATCAGTTATATCCCATGCCTCCCCACCAACTTCTTCAAGGCCACCATACTCATCTCTGACTGGAAAAATTCTATGAACCTTTTGAGACTTATCTCAGCTGTCACTCCCACGTCATAACGCCATGGCTTCCCTACTTAACCCAACACTGTGCATATATGGTCTCTCCCAGTTTAAAATGCCCCAGGACTTTGAACTTGTCATCTATAGCTAACACGTTCAGCCTTCTATTGCAGTTGTTGTTATTTATTTAGTTCCACTATTAGAGAATCAGGCCTCTGAGAGTGAGCATCATGCACTATTCATGGTTCCTCTTTAACGGTGCATGTCTGTCCTTTTGCAGGGTAGTTACTTAATAAATATGTGGGCTATTGAATTGAATACAGGGCAGCCTAACATTAAAATTTAACCAGGCTATTATCCAAAGTGGGAATCAAGAGTTGACCGAACTTTCCTGAAACTTGATCAGGTCAATCTTTAAAGAGCAGCCTTTCTTGGAAAAATAAAGGGGAGCGGGGAGGGACTCAAGTCATCAGCAAAATAAATGGTAGCCCCCAGATTTTAGAGCTTAGCCAAGGGTTTGTCCATCTGCAAAACAAGGTCTGGCACTACACCCCCACAGAAGAACAAATTGCACAGCTTATGGTTCAGAAGGCTGCACAGGAAGAGATAGTACTCTCCATTTACCAAATGTTTTCTGACTCTTTCCGCTAATCGGGAATCTCCATTAGAAAGTGACACCAGGTGTGTGTCACTGAGGTTCACCCACTCTCAGGCCTGCTGGTGCCTCCCAGACCCTTTGATCCTCTGCTCCCATTGTCTCCTGAAACCAATCCTTTCCATTTTGTATTTTTCCTCCTAGATCACCTGATACTTCCAAGCAAGCAGGTGTTCTTTTCAGAAGCCAGAAGCTGATAACCTGGGCTTTCTGATCTAACCCCAGCCCAAATTCATTGCAATGGAGGAATTGGGGAGGAGATTCTTCCTACTGAGAAGTGGGTGCCAACTCTCCCTTTCAAATTTGTTCATCAACAAACTAAAGGGGATGCCAGAAATGTCTGGAGCAATGGAAGAACCACTGGAATAAGTAAATAACTTTACAAGACAATTGTAATGTGGAATTCAATTAGTCCTATTCTTTGTAGACCTCACTTAAGGAATTATCTTCACAGCTTGATTATAAATTCATTGGTGCAAAAAATAATGTCTTAGATTATTTTCGTGCCTCATGTTAGGTCCAGTCCTAAATTGAAAACATGATAGAATCCTATGCCTCGTTGATTTGTTGCTTCTTTAGTTGTTCCTGGATTAGATGTTTTCTTGGATTATACCCCTCACTGGTCTCTTCTACTAATTAAAACAGCTAGTTCAAAATAGTTGCTCAATACTTGATTAGTTCTCATAGAAAGCTCAGTGGAAAAGTAGGCACGTTTGTCATTCTCCAGATACTTTGAAATCAAGAGTTTGAGATCAAGACCAGAGAGTGTGAGTAATTTTCCAAATATCACTCAGTAAACCAGGTATAGAAACCCCTAAATTGGGGGAAAATTTTACAAGAATAGAGATTGGCCTCATAGTAGGTGAATCCATTGAACAAAGTCAATTGATTTATGTGGTTGCATTTTTTAAAACAGAGAGTCCTCATTGCCTAAATCCATCTTGATCGCAACTCAGTGTCCAACATCTAAGGAGAAATGGATTTAACAGAATATGATAACATTGGCTTATCTTGAGTCATTCCTCTTGTTCAAAAGGACAAACCACCACTAACTTTCCACAGAATTAGCTCCTGAGGGATACAGATATGTGCTGAGGCAAGGGAGAGTGAAAGCATTAGGCTGGGCTTGTCCTCACGACCTGCTTTCGATGTTCAGCCAAGCACCAATTTATTCCTCCTTATGTTTCCCAGAACACAAAGGGAACTTCTATAGTATGGTCAGTGACTGTCTTCAAACACATGGAGATATGATAGCATACCAGAAAGCAATGTCCTGCTCAAGCATCCTAGCCAATGGATAGGGATCTGCTGCAGGTCTATGTCCATACCCAGGGGCAAATCTTACATTTACACATAGGCTCCAAGATTCCTCCAGAAATCCAAGATTCAGATCAAACTGTACACATCTCCCCTTGCTTGGCTGGCCCCAGGGATACAAGCTTAGGATCAAAGGCAATAGTGCTTCCATGACATTATATTCATGGACTAATTCTAGGCATCTTTACAATCTGTGGTGCAATCTATTTGTATGATGAGCATTAATATTTTAAAACACTTTCAAGATTTGGAGTGCAGGCAACAAAGCTTGATGGTGCAATAGGAAGACCAGAGTGCACTTTTGCCAAAAAAGCTAAGACGGCTTCATTTCCCCCACAATAAATCTACTGAGATAAGTAACATAATATTTTTCTCAAACTTGGAAGAAGCAGAGACTTTTGGATCAGGACACCTGAGTTTGGGTGGAGTTGTTTATTAATTGTGTGACTTTTAGCAAATTACTTCTCCTGAGTCTCAGTTTCTTCACTTGAAGAATAAGAACCTAATACCTACTTCACGTGTGTATAAGGATGAAATGGGATAATAATATATGCATAAGTGCTTTGAAAACAGTAAAGAACAATACAAATATGCCTTTCTATTGTTTTATTCACAGTGCTCCTGCCTGATTGTATCTACTTAACCCACTCTCCAAGAGCCAGAATCAGATTTCAACCGTATGGAATCATCTACAATGCAGCAGATGGGTTTACAAGTCTCTTGGTCTCTTCATGTAATTAACAGCCAAGAAGTCTAAAGCTTGCATTGTTTACGTGGAAGATGTTTCTTGCCCATTCCCATGCCATGCCATCTGAAATCGCTCCTTTTTTTATTTTTTCTGTGCAGTTTTTTTAACTTTGTGGGATCCTCTGCATATAAAACTCCATTCAACTACTTCATCCTACTGTAGAAAGCTACTTCCCTATGAGTTTAGCTCCATGATTTACAATGGTTTCTTTTCCCATTTGCTGTCTGAATTATGTTTCACAAGAACCATTTGAAATAAGGAAGGCATGTATCATCTTTCCCTTTTACAGGCAAAGAAACTGAGGCACAGAAAGGCTTAGTAGTAGGTGATCCTGCAAGAATTCAAATGACTTGTCTGGTTCTAAGTTGAGTGCTCTTTTTCTGATGCCACATGTCTTTTCTCCAGAGAAGTAACCTACCTAGACCCAGAGGGATCTTGAAGAGAGATTTTCATCTTACTGTGAGAAAACAAAGACCCAGAGAGTGGAGGGTTTAAGACCATCCCGGTCATTGCCATTATTTCTTTTCAAAGAGACAGAGGCCTCTGTGTGGAGCTGCTTCTGTGTTTGTGGTGTGAATTTTGCTGGTGAGATGTGAGGCTCAAAAGAAATTTGAGAGATTGTGTCTGACCTTAAGGAATTTACTAAGAAACCAGGGAAATAAAGCTATCTTACAAGATGCTTAAAACAACAACTAAAGGCAGCCTTAGATTGGGAGGTACTCCCTCCAAGATAGAACTTTCTTAACCTTTGCTTTGAAGTCTGGTTTCTTTTTCAAGATCCAGAAGCATAATCCGTAGTTAGATTTAGGTTCAAGCCCTTCCTAACTGATCATGTTCTAAATTCCTATAGTGGTCATCAATGTCATGTCAGCTCATGTGAAGGTTTTTTCTCCCTTTTTTTTTAGTGGTGAGGAAAAGATGTAGTAGTATTTTTCATGGACTTTGCAGCCTTCTTCATGGCAAATAACTTATTGGATTAGCTTTCGGTTCTTTTTAATCAAGGAGCTCTACATCTGACTTAGTAGAATACTTTTTCTCAAGGAGAATTGGGTGTCTTACTTCACAGTTGCTGAAGTAACCTGTGCTTTCTCCCCTGACTCTTCCCAGGAAGAAGGCGCAGCAATCGTGTCCCAAGTCCTTGAGGACTTCACAGGGTGTTCTAGTGTCCTGAGAATATACCTGCCTAAGGTAAGGCAGTCATGGTACCCTGGGATTGATGCACTTCTCACCCTCCACTTTGACTGTCAGAGGCATTCATAAGACTTTCTACATAGGGGATCCTTGGGCTGGCAGAGGTGGTCTTTGGATATGCAACGGCTACGTGCTGGCCTACAGAGCCCCTTTCCTGTCCTAGTACTCTGCCTGCTAAGATAGAGAACGGAATTGCCATGACTTTATAGTCTCTGAACACCTTTACCAAAACCACCTGGTTCTTAGGACAGACAAGTGGGATTAAAGAGAGGGAAAGCTCTGGGCCCATAGTTGATTTTGAAATGGGACATGGAATGGTGCAGGTGGGGATTCAGCAGCCATATTGGACTGAGGTTTGCAAACCCTCAGTGATGGCAGGCCCTACGGGAGTGCTGGGGCAGTCAAGTTCCAGAGGCCAGGCAATGTGGCATTTGGAGTCAGAAAGAAAGATCTGGCCATGAACTCCTGTTCCTCTCTATACCCTCTGTATGACCTTGAGCTTGTTGTTTAACTTCAGAAACCTTCCATGTGGCCTGTCTCCTGGGAGAACTGTATTAGTTACAACATACGTAGGCACTCAAAAACGCTGGCTAGCTGTCATCATTTTTATCCTATGCTATGTACAGAGAAAAACATGATCCAAATAGAGTAAAGAATTACAAAGATAATTCCTGGCCTAGGACCAGAAGACTTTCCTAAAGCGAATTAATTAAATATATAAATGTGTAATATTAAATATATATTTAATTAATTAAATATATAAATATTAAATATATTTGAACATATAAACATTAAATGATTAAACATATAAATATTAAATATATATTTAATTGATCATATAAAAATAATTATATCTTTTAAATATATATCATATATTTATAATAAGCAGTAGTGTAGGGGGCAAAGCTACATGGCAAAAATCATGAAGTTGGAAAACAGAGAGACAAGGGTATATCCTAGCCTTGCATCTCCGCTGCCTAGCTGCCTAATCAAGTAAGCTTGGGCTAATCATGATCTCTGTCTTTCTCAGGTTTCTCATCTCTTAAATAAGTATAATAAGATTCCCCTCGTCTATTGTGCAGAGAAAATTTGTGAAGGAAAAAATACCATTCTGTGTGTCAAGCTGCTCTGAAAACATAAAGTTGTCTGTGATTATGAAAGATGATGATTAGTTAAACCTAAATAAGGCTCTGGAAACTGAAATATCCCCACACCTTACGACCAGAGCAACATCATCACATTTGATTCTTCTCTTTCCTCACTCTCCACTCTGCCCAGCACACCATTCTGACCTGCTGCTCCCTCTCCACTGCTCAAGTGCTCAGGATTGCATGGTGTCCTCAGCAACATACATTGGAAAACCATTTTTAAAAAGGCACAAATGGGCTGGGCACAGTGGTTCACGCCTGTAATGCCAGCACTTTGGGAGGCCAAGGTGGGTGGATCACCTGAGATCAGGAGTTCGAGACCAGCCTGGCCAACATGGAGAAACCCCATCTCTACTAAAAATACAAAAATTAGGCCTGGCACAGTGGCTCACGCCTGTGATCCCAACACTTTGGAAGGTCGAGGCAGGCTGATCACAAGGTCAGGAGTTCGAGACCAGCCTGACCAACATAGTGATATCCCATCTCTACTAAAAATACAAAAAATTACAGGCGTGGTGGCAGATGCCTGTAATCCCGGCTACTCAGGAGGGTGAGGGAGGAGAATCACTTGAACCGAGGAGGCGGAGCTTGCAGTGAGCCAAGATCTCGCCACCGCACTCCAGCCTGGGTTACACAGTGAGACTCCATCTCAAAAAATATATATATATAACAATAATAATAATAATAATAATAATAAAAGGCACAAATGTAGCAATCATCTATGCGGGGGCAGGGAAGACAAATTTGATTAAGGACAACCCTGCTCCCCCGGAAGTTATAGTGCAGAGCAGCACTATCGTTCTCACAGCGGGTGGGTGATGGGGATTTCAGGGAGTCCATCCACCTGTGCTCACTGAGCCTAGGCCTGGACCATTTGCCCAGCCAATTCATCCCTTTCATCCTCCTTCCTTCAGGCAAGTGCTGCCTCCTCCAAAGCCTTTCTCAAAAGACCTTTGAGATTCCCTAGACTGAACTCTATGAATGTTCTTTCCGTTTCCCCAGGAATTTGGCTATAGCTGGTATTGGGTTCCTCAAACCAGCCCACCTGCGCTATGGGAATGTCAAAATTGTCCTGGCAAGCTGAGGGGGCATCCAGAGGTCACCCAGCTTTCCCCTGAAGCGTTGCTCAGAGGCCACTGTACCATAAAAGGGAGTTCCCATCCCACACTGGTTCTGAAAGCCCTGGTGTCCAGGCCCGTGTTGTGATCTTTTCTCCTCTGCCTAGGGCGTATCTGTTAGGGAGACTCCCATGAGGGAGGGGAGCCGAGGGAAGAGGCTGAGTGAGGTGAAGAGAGTGTGTTTGTCCCTCCAGCTGTGCCAGGGTCTTCTCAGCCCTTCTCACAGAGGGCTGTCTGTGGACCTCTGTTCCTGGAATCACCCCTCTGCACCACCCAAACTCCCTGATTATGAATTACACAATACATCCCTAATTCAAGCATGCTGCACCGGTTTTCTGTAGTCACATGAAAATTAACTTACAGAAATTCACTTTTATTGAATACCTACTGTGTGGTAGGCACTGTGGTGGGATTCTGCCATTCGAGAATCTCAGACTAAGATCATCTGTTTCAACAAGCATCGATCAAGCACCCACATTGCAGCTGGCACTCTGCTTGATGGTGAGATGAGTGTCAAGACCAGTTCCTTATTTTACAGGGAAGGCCATCAAGGTTGAAAGTGGAAATTTCCCAAGGTCAGAGACAGAGTGGTAGAGCCAGTCCATGCATTCTGGTCTCCTGTCTCCTGTTCCAGTGCTCATTCGTGACACTGCTGCTCTCCCTAACACTTCATCCCACGAGAATACTCTTGAGAATATTGTTCTTGGCTGTTCCAAATAGAAAGATCATCTGTCCATTATTCAGGTGATATGGGCTGAGGTCTTGCCTCTTCTAGTCACTTGGAGAAAGTTCCAGAAGCAAAGACTATGTACCTAATATTCCTTTAACTCTGTTTTCCTGGGGCCATATTTAACTGTGGGTGTTTTCTGTTTCAACTGGTGGCCTGTGGGAAAGAGGTAGTGCCTGGCAGGCTGGCCAAGGACACGGGGACTAAAGAACAATGTTGGAAGGAGATGGGGGCAGCGTGAGGGAGGAGGCGAAGACATATTGTGGGGGAGTCTTCACCCCAATTGAAGTCACCTAAAATCACTCCTTTGTAACTAGAAGACTAAGAAACACTTGTGAAAGCAGGTGAAAGCTGAAAGCACATCTGTGTGTGTGTCGGGGGTAAGTGTGAGGTGTGGCCGAGAGGCTCAGCTGAAGGAAGTCTCGTAGGCTGGTCCCCATATCTAAAGCAAACACACACACAAAACATTCTAGTGTGACTCCCTCTTCTGCAGGATATTCCTTCCCAGGGGCTCCGGACTGGAAAGGTCTTCTCTCAAGCCTAGGGAAAACAAGGAGTTTCTACTTTTTGCTCCTTGCCCCCAAACAGAGAGACAATGGCCTTGTGTATGCAATGGCACTTTTGTCAAGATGGAGCCGCACAGCTTCCATGAGGCTGAGGTGAGGAAAAGTGCATCTCTGCGAACGTGGCTCGGCTCCAGCTCCCTCCACTCGGTGCTCTGCCTGCCAATTAGCGCATCCGTCCTTCCCCACAGGTGGGGAAGTGGCCCGTACTGCTGTCTGGCTGCCTGGGGCCAGCACAGCCGGACTCTGACACCCCACCCAGGGATGCCCTGCAGGGATGGGGGACCCCTCAGGAGAAGAACACTTAGGTCCGGAACCAATTCTTCCTCCTCCTCCTTGCAAGAGGGAAGAGGGGGAAGACCAGGCTGGGGATGGCAGAGAAACTCGGGGGCTGGTTTAAGGGAAACAGACTGAGCTGCTTAGATCCTGCTGAGGCTGCCAGCAGCCCCAGATGGCTCCGAACCTGCTGCTCTTGCTGAAAATTGATTTTGGAGGCAGTGAGGGGAGGAGGAGGGATGGCAGGGGCTGCAGGGCAGGGGGCGGTGGTGGGAAGAGTTGCTGCATGGAGGGTGGAATTTATAAGCCTTGATAAAGACACTTAGTTGAAACTCTAGGGGCAGAGATAACACCCTTAGCAGAAAGGGCGGGGGTCTCTCAGGATTTCTGCTTCGATGTGCTCTTTCCTTCTCACCTTGTTCCTTTTTCCTCATTTGCCCTCCAGCCCCAATTATCAATCATGGAGGGTGCCCCTGGATGCTCCTTCTGGGCTGTGGGGTGGCATGGGCTGCGCAGGCCTGGATTTGAGAAGCACTCCGACCAAGGCACCTCCCTCACCCTCACCCAGGGAAGTGACTCAGGAGTTGAGGAAGACTGAGCTCTACACCCCTCACGATGCAGAGGCCTTGTATCCAACTCTATAGTCATAATTTTTATTTATTTTCCTTGGAGATAGTGCCAATATTTATGTAAGCATTAGTCCCCATGGCACCTGTATCTGCCTTTGTCTCATCCCAGTTATTCATTCATTCCCCAGACACTAATCAGGCACCCCTGAGGGCCAGGCACTGCACCAAGCACTGGGGAAAAAATGTCCATGACCAGATATCATCCTCTCTGAGCTCCTAGAACAGGAAGAAAAATTGCACAAGTTCAGCAAAAAGTCATCATATTTAGTCCACAAGAGCAGGAGAAACAAGGAAGGGTCAGAGAAGGGAGAGCTCACTCCCACAGAATCTTTATAAGGGAAAGTTGCAGAGCAAAGGCTATATTTGATTTCAGACTTGATGGATGGCAGGATGGGAGGGAAGCTGTGGATCTAGAAGGGTAGGCAGGGGGCCTCTGCAGGCAGAGGTGCCATAGAACCCTGGGGTGGAGCAGAGGGGAGGGAGGAGGTGCCTTCTGGTCTCAGTGGGAACAATGGGAGATATGATGGACAAGCCAGCCATCACACACCAAGCCTGGTATAGCCATGCCTGGCGTTTGCACTCCTGTCCCTAGACAACGAGACCTCACCAAGGCACCAGGCAGGGCTCACAGGAGGGGCTCGGACCCTGTTGGCAGAACAGTAAGCTGGAGGACAAGCACAAAGCTGTGGGAGAGTCCAGGGGAGCTGTATATGAGGAGCAAAACCTCGGTATTGTTGGTGGGAATAGAAACAACTTGATCTCCATAAAGGAGAGCCAAGGCAGGTAAGAGTTTCCTCCTCTTAGAAGCAAGGGAGGCTTGAAGACCAAGAGAACATGATAGGCTTCCCAACAATCTGACTAGGAAGGCTGGGTATTCAGCCTTCTCCTATGAATACATTTCCGGCTCCCAGTGGCTCCTCCAAACAGCCAAGAAGAGAGCTGTGCATGACCCTCAGCATCTATATTACCGAGGAGGAGATAGCTTCAGAGACCGAACCTACCAGGCCCACCCAGGTCAGTAGAGGTGGAGTCAGGAAGAGAACTTGGGTTCTAGACCCTGCTCTCCCCATTACAGATGTCCCTAGGAATCACACACAACACCAGGGCAGTTGTCAGCACTGAGATGGAAAGGTGACACCTGCATTCTCCAAAGACCCATTAGGCTATGTGCCCCATGGCAGCAAGGACCATCCCACCCTGTTTCTGCCTCTCCCAAAGCATTGGGAGCTCAACAGTCTGCCTTGCTGATATGGCTCTCCCTTTCTCTCATTTGATTCTTGCCTGGACAGGGACTCATCATTAAAAAGGAACAAAGAGGCCCTAACCCAACCTCAAAGAGAAGGAAAAGGACCTTTTTCTAAATGGAAGAATTCTTTTGTAAGAAACGAGGAAGAGTTAGAACAAGCATCTGCATAGCCTGGGAAGGGCCACTCTCTCCCAAGGCATGCTGCCGCTTGCCTCTGATGTCTGGACGCAAACAGCAGATCCTCAATCTGCTCCAGGGTGTTAGTGCCAACCCTGACCTAGTGAGCTTACTCCTTTCTCTTGGGCTTAGGCACATCTTGAAAGGGGAGATAGGGATGACTCTGTGCATCAGTCCCTCTGTCTGGTCCAGTGGACCTTGTCCTTATGATGGCCTGTGAAAAGATCTTAGTTTCTGAGCAGTTATGCAAGTTGCTCAAAGCCTTTGAGATGTCCCCCAGAAGCTGAGTGTAGAAGCAGTTCCACCACCCAGCCTGCATTATCTACACAAGACAATTAGGCAGGGCTCTGGGAACACTCTAAGGGCCAGGGATTAGGGAGAGAATCAACCTTGCAGCGCCACCGGTTTGGGGAGGTCATCACCACACTGCCCTGCCTCTATCTAAGGAGTGTCTGAGCCCTGGAAAAGCCGCACTCATGGCTGTCCTGTGGAATCCTGGAAAACACCATCCAAACAGGAGAAAAAGCCTGAAATGAGGGAGAGAGGTTTCCCTTCAGCCCTCTGAGGAAAGTAGAACACAGAAACCCTGGACTGAAGGGGCCCCCAAGTTGGCCTGTGCTATCCCCAACTGCTCCTCTCTGGATGCTTCCCACCCTTAGATTAAACCTTGCTTATTGACCCCATAGAGGCTTCATGTTCTCTCCCGGCTCCTCCCAAATTGCCCACTGGAATGTACGTGATGAGGTCATTTGTAGTAAGCTACAACTTTTGTGGTTACCCCTGGCAGGGCTATTTATACCATGATAGGAAATAAAGTCTGTGTAGAACACACTAGTGCTGGTGATCTCTTTGGGGAAACAGGGGTCAAGGAGGTTGCTCCAAGAGCATGACAGAGTGGGAAGAGGACAGATGTGAGAGTGAGAGGCTTTGGTTATCAACTGGCTCTGCAGTTAACTTGTTGGCTGGCCTGAGAAAATCTCCTAAATGCTTGGGCCTCCATTTCCTCCTTTGTGAAATAACGTTAAAGTCCCAACTTCCCAACATGGTTCAGGATGAAAATACGCAAAGTGCATTAAGCATTGTTATAGACAGACTGTTTATGTTCTACCCCATTCATATGTTAAATCCTAATGCTCAGTGTGATGGTATTTGGAGGTAAGACCTTCAGTGAAGCCGTCCTAACAGGGTTAACAAGAATTCTGGACAGGGCTGGGCACGGTGGCTCATGCCTGTAATCCCAACACTTTGGAAGGCCAAGACAGGCGAATCGCTTGAGTCCAGGAGCTTGAGACCAGCCTGGACAACATGGCAAAATTGCATCTCTACATATGAAACAAACCTGCATGTTGTGCACATGTACCCTAGAACTTAAAGTATAATAAAATAATAATAAAAAAAACCCACAAAAATTGGTCAGAAATGGTGGTGCATGCCTGTAGGTCTCAGCTAATTGGGAGGCTGAGACGAGAGCTGGAGGCGGAGGTTGCAGTGAGCTGTAATGGTGCCACTGCACTCCAGCCTGGGTGACAGAGAGAGATCCCATCTCAAAAAGAAAAAAAAGATTCTGGACAGAAATATAATTAAGCATTAATCAGGCTGCCCTTTGACCCACTTCCTTGTGATAGAAAGTCACATAGCACTAGATACTGACCATTTGCATTCCCATTGTTTCTGTAGATAGGATTTCTGATATTAGAATCACAGGGCTTTTAAGAATTTCTGACATTAGAATCACAAGGCTTTTAAGAATTGCAAGTAGATCCTGAATTCCAGCAGAACGGGTGATGCCATCCAATGTGAAGACCTCCACAGAATGAAATCAGCGTGAGACTACAGTTTCTTCATCTCCCTCTTCCATGATTTCACCCTCTGTACTTTGACCAATTGATATGGTTTGGCTGTGTCCCCACCCAAATCTCATCTTGAATTCCCACATATTGTGGGAGGGACTCTGTGGGAGGTAATTGAATCATTGAATCACAGGGGCAGGTCTTTCTCATGCTGTTCTCGTGATAGTGAGTAAGTTTCAAGAGATCTGATGGTTATTATAAGGGGGAGTATTCCTGCACAAGCTCTCTTTGTTTGCTGCCATCCATGTAAGACATGACTTGCTCCTCCTTGTCTTCCTCCATGATTGTGAGGCTTCCTCAGCCACATGGAACTCCAATTAAACCTCTTTCTTTTGCATATTGCCCAGTCTCAGGTATGTCTTTATCAGCAGTGTGAAAACAGACTAATACACCCATCAACTGTCTTTGTACTTTGGCCCACTCCAAAATCCTTAAAATCCTAGCTCTAAATTCCTTGGGAGAAAGATTTGAGGTCTTCTCCCATCTCTTCATCCCTCCCTGTGATTAAACCTCTTTCTCTGCTGCAACCTAGTGTCTTGGTTTGTTGACTTGCCATGCACATCAGGCAACAGACCCATTACGATTGCATTCGGAGTTGATTAGGACATGAGGGGAATCCTCATGATGAGATTAGTGCCCTCATCAAAGAGGCCCCAGAGAGCTCCGTTGCCCCTTCTGCCACGTGAGGACAGTGAGAAGACAGCCTTTTAGGAACTAGGAAACAGGCCCTTACCAGACACCAAATCTGCCGGTACCTCGATCAGGGACTTCCCAGTTTCCAGAACTGTAAGAAATAGATGTCTTTTGTTTATAAGGTATTCAATCTACAGTATTTTGTTACAGCAGCCCAAGCTGACCAAGACAAGCACATAGCCCACCACTGTGTCTGGGAAGTCAGAATTACAAATGGATCTATGTGCTCATTCCTTCCTTCATTCCTTTACTCAACTGCTCACAAAATCGCTCCTGAGGCCCCTTTTTCATCCACTTGTAGGCCATCCTTGAATCAAAGCCCCAGGCCTTTGCATGCATAAAACTCCATGTCTTGAGTCAGCACTTCGCACCCATCTCTTTAGGAAAGCAGAAAGGCCAGCCGTCAGAGACAGAGTTTTCCAGAGGACTGACTGGAAGGGGTGGGGGCCTGAAAGGAGAGAGTCTTAAGCACCAGCTTAATCTCATTTAGGTCTTGTCTCTGGGCGGCTGAGGAGGCTGTTTTTAGCTTCTTCCAAATGAGCTTCCTGCTAAGTTTCCCCTGAGACCTGGCACTGGCTCTACTCACACTTCCAGCTTGGGGAAGACAAAGATCCAGGAAGGGCTGGGCAGCAGGTGCCCTGGAACCCCCGGAAGGCTGTGGCAGAGGGTGAGGCCAGGGTAGCATTGTGGGGAAAGGAAGGAGACTGGGCTGGGTCTGGCTTGAATCCCAGCTTTGACACTCGCCCAGCCCTGGGTGGCCTTGAGAAGACTTACTGGGCCTCTTTGGTTTTCTCATTTTAAAATATCAATCACAGCATGCCTAAAGTGCCTGATACGATGATATGTAGTTATTGTTATTATCATTGTGGTTATTGCTATTACCATTAGAAGGCTGTAGGAAGTCAAAGGGCCTTGCAAGAGGTCTCACACAGAGAAGTTGGGGGTTGCCTGCAAGGTGTTCTCAGTGGGGCTAGCAAGGCTCTAGCACCTCTTTGATATTTCTTTTAATGCATGGCTGGAATTTCTCCTTAAGCTTCAACTTTCAGATTCAGGCTTTGGCCGTCTTAGGGGAGCACATGACGACACTCCTTGATCCTTTGTAAGATGACAGTGCACTAGGAGAGCAAGGCCCTCCTGCCGCGTGGATATAGAAGCCAGAGCCTGGGGAAGAGCCTTTGGGAACCATCAAAGAGAGTGGGAAAATAAGGGTGACGAATAGTCAAAACCACATTTCTCGAATGTCTTAGCTAGTCCTTGGCCCCAACGATTGCTCAAATGATTGTTCTTCTACAAAGCAGAAAGGCACTAAAAAGAACCCTCCCATCCCCCAGACATATGTTTCTTGAAAAGAGAAGCAAGAGGCATCAAAGGATGGAAGCCAAAGAAACTCCATTTGCTACTGTGTTCGTAACTTATGTCTAAAATTGATTTTTGTGGTCTGAGGCAGGTGGAAATTTTCATAGCAATTCTGCTCCATTCCCTGTTTCTGAGCACTTCGAGATTCACTTTCATTCATTTTCTCATTTGATTGCAATTCCAGATCTCACTGATATAAAGTGGATGAAAGGGAGTGCAAATACAGGTTCCTTTTTCTCCAAATTCCATACTCTCTACCAGTGCTCTGGGACTGGTGAAGAATTCTGGGCCACTATCTCTGCAGTGTTACACAAGCAAGTGGCAGGAGAGGTGCCTCCACAATGCAGCGCGCAGCTCCTCCTGGGCGTCATTAGCATGCAGCCTACGTTCTTCAAGATGGCGCCCAGTTCAGCCTGTCAGCGAGTGATCTATGATGTGTCACTTGTGCTATTAACAGGCGTTTTCAATTTCAGCAGCCTCAGCACATTTAGTTCCTCTCCCATGTGATCACTGCTCTGTCCTCCATTAATAACCACTTTCAAACCCTTCTAGCACCCACCTGGGCAGTTCCCTCTCATGCCTTCCTCACAGGGTAGGGCTGGACTCTTTGCCCATGGGAGATGATTGGGAATAATCTCTGTCCTGTGGGGTGAGCTGAACAAGGGGCAACTGCTCTACACATGTGGACCATCAATATATCTCTATTAATGAGTGAATTAATTAAAGACAGACACAAAAAATGACTTTCTCGTTGGTGGAGATTGTCTGTTGCTGAGAAAGGTGATGTCAGCTCTCTGGATGAGGCTGAGGAAGGAGAAAAGGATGAAGATGGAACAAGCCCTGCCTTGTCAATGCTTATGCTTAGAAAGACTGGGGAGACTTGCATGACTATGCAGTGAAGGGTCCCCAAAGGGGGCTTAATCTGCCGACCCATGAAGGATATCAAGCATGACTGGGCCTGTTGTAACATTTCAGAGAATGTCAGCCAATAATAATAAAATCTTCTTCATTCTACATGCTCTTGCCAGTTTAAACACTTTTTATCTGAGTTATTCCCTGTTCAATAATCACTAGTTGTTAGGAGGGGAAGACCTAAGCCCTCTCAGAGTTTCTATCTTACCATCCAACTTCCACTAGCTTTCCCAGTCCACTAGTGGTAGGGTATGGGAATCCAGGAAAAATGGATCAGTAAACAAAACTATTCTTGCTTAATAAAATCCTAGGTGTCTCCCAAATGGACTTCCAAATCACAGTCAGATTCAGAGCTCACCTTGGCATTCAAAGCCCTCTGCAATCCAATCTTATCATATGTATCCAACCTTAGTTCTCTACCTTCCCTCATGTAGAAGGGTGATGGGAAGAGGATGTCTCCACGCCTTCCCTCAAGCCATTTCCTATGTCTAGAATCCCTTCCTTTCCTCTCACTTCTCTTAAAGCCAACCAGAAGTCAGTCCACTTTCTCTGGGAGCCTTCTCCACTATCCTAGCTTACATTCTTCCTTTTAAAAAGTCCCTGTAGCATGGATGCCATGTTGTCCTGAGCCAAAGCGGCCATATTGTCCCTCTCCTTATGTTCCATATTTTGCCTAGTATGATGCTCAACACTGAGGAGAAACTTGATTATGCTAAGACCCAACACAATGGGCATGGCTAACTGGAAAACCTCACAGATTCTGTATTGGTGGCCTAGGAGAGACGAAGATAAGGTGGGGAGAAAGGAAACTAAAGGGAGAGAGTAGAAATGGGGCCCAAAATATGCACTTCGGTGCTTCCTGTACTTTCAGTTAAGAAGCAGTGACTGAGAACAGCTTGGTACACTCCAGAAGCCCTCAGTGGTGCAGGGATGGTGTCCCCAATGGGGATCTTCAGGGGAGAGCTCAGTCATCTCAGTTACCTCATAGAAGTTATCAGTGCCATCCTGTTTGATCTTCCTTTGAAACCACCAGCTATTTTCCTTGCAAACCAAAAAAAAGAGAGATGTATCTATGGACCAGGAGGAAAATAGCAAAGCCAGTTTGGAACCAACTTTGGCCAAGGAAATGGTGCAATCTAGTTGTAATGCGATTAAGTCAAAATTAATTCCAAAAGGAGATGTAATTATGACAGCAACTTCTTTGGGGGCAGGCTGGGATTTATTCTCTTTTGGAGAGCCAAGACCGGATTTAGCTTTTCATGAGCCTGGGGCAGCAAAGATATGGGGCAGCTTATAACATTTTTCTTTCACAGAGAGAAACAAAATTTAAGCAAAGAAGAAAATTCAGGATCAGCAAATGAAAGAACAGTGCTTACAGGGTAGCTAGGGGTAAATGGGATGTGGGCCCCAGTGATTTGGAGGCAAGGAATAAACAAAAGAGTGTGAAGACCCCTCTCACCAAGGAAGACCTCTGGTAAATTCGTAGTTCTGAGAACAGATGGAATGACATCATGCTTGCGGCTCGTGTGTGGGAGGCCTGCAGGAACATACCATTGACCTATGTGACATTACATTGATACATCCAAATCATGCTGAAGGCTGCAATTCCCAAAAAAATGAGCTTCCAATATTGATCCTCATTATGAGCTTTGTTCCAGGCCAAGAACTTAACGTTCCATAAGTGAGATCATCCTCATAACAATTCATTGAGATAGGAATTATATCCATTTTACAGATGAAGAAATGGAGGACCAGAGAAGCCAAGCTTATCTAAGAGCGCCCAGCTTGTAAGAGGCAACACCAGAATTGAAACTCGGGCCTTTCTAACTCCAAAGCCCATTCTCCTGCTTCCTGATCCAATATTTGGGGCTACATGGAGACAGGCTCAAAGCTCTTAGTGTTCTTGCATTCCATGTGTACCTTCATCCCAGTGTGCATTAGGCCTTGCTACAATTATTTGTTTGCTTGTCCCTCTTCCCTGCCAGACAATGAGCATTCTGAAGTCACTGCATCCTTGGCACTTAGCAAAGTGATTGCTGTTTTAGGTCAGGTTCTGCAGAAGCAAACCCTGACAGGAGTATCCATGTACTAATGACTTAAGGAAGTGCTCCCAGGAGATACTGTTAAGAGAGTACGTCAAGCAAGACAGAAGAGGACAGAAAGCCAAGCAAGGGTGTGATTTCAGGGGAAGCCCTAGCTTCATTGGAATGCTGTAAAAATCTCTGTAGCATAAATTATAATTCAGAATTTGTGTTCCCTGGAGGCAAGGGAGCGGCGGCCACCCTAGGAGGAGGATGTGGGAGACAGTTGTAAACTTCTAGCTCTTTCCAACTCTTGCCAGGAGCCCAAGGAGGGGTCTCTGAGGAAGGGCACAGGTGCAAACCATTAGTAGCAAATCACCCAGAAGCTGGGAGTGTGTACACAGACAAGAAATGTCAGCTACAATAAGCTTCCAAATCTGTATTGGAAGCCCCCTGTTAAGCACTGCTGAATTTGTCACATACATCCAGCCATGGTTTCTGTTTTCTAAAGCTGCCCCTCCACCAATGTTGGCATTTCCCAATTATTTCCATTTCCCTGATCCCCTCCATTCAAGTCCCCTAGATGTTTTAGAAGCCTTTATTTATATCCCAGTTGCCATTGTAAAACATGGTCAAGGGAAGGAAATTTGACCAGATGGAAGTGTCCTTCTTTGACCAGGACAATCCAGGCAGAAGCATCCTTCATGCCCTTGTGAGGGTGGCAAAGAGCCTCACCGTAGTGTGGCACAGAAGACAGACATGCTGCTGAGAAGACTCCAGTTCAAAATCCAGCTCTATGAGTGTTTATAAAACTTCTCCAAATACCAGTGTTCTCCTTTCTAAATGGGTGCCATAATAACGGACACCAGAAGCAACGATTTGTGTGCAGGTAATATATTTTGGGGAGTAATCCCAAGTAGCAGAAATGGGGTCTTGGGGATAGTGAAACAGGAAAGGAGGGTACACCAGAACAAGGGCATGTTATCAAGCCAGGGGGCATGGCTATGAACAAGGAGGACTCCTTTCTGCTAGGACCTTTGGAGGAGCCACAAAGCATTCACTTCAAAGTTGCCCACTGGGGACTTTGTTCCACTTTTGTTCCACCTGGGGAACAAAAGAGGGGGGCATTTGTCTGCCAGCTCTCTTCTCCACTGGGCTCCATCTTGAAGGACACTCATGTAATGGAGCTGGTGAGCTTTGGGGCAGGAACCATGTCACACGGCAGCTGAATAAAGGCCCATCAGTTATATCTCCAGGAAGCTGGTTGCCACAGCAGTGGCTGGTGCATAATGCAGGTCTGGGGGCCACATGGCAGGGCACAGGCAGTGTCCAGTGCCACACACTGCAGTTTAGTTGTGACACGTGGCAGCGCATAGGCAGTGTCCAGTGCCACACACGGTAGCTTAATTGTGAGTGTGGGCATGGTTGAGGCCCCCCATGGATGTCCAGAGCCCACTGTTGAAGGGAAAGAGGAGGAAGAGCTTGGCACCGGGATGCTCCATTGAGTTGGAAGAGGCAAAAGGGGACAGCCAACTGAGGAAAGGGCCAGATCTTTGGGTTGTAGAAAGATGATTTGATAACTCAGCCCCTAACTGACTGTTCAGATGCCTAAGTGTCCTTTAGAAATCCATGGATGACATGCCCAACTGAATATCCAGCCTGAGAAACAGCCTCATCCTTCATACCAAGGGCAAGCAGGCTGTTTTCTCTCCCATCTATGGATCTCATTGTTCTAATGATGACACGAATAGGCCAGGAACAGGGGTAGCAGCCTGTGGAGGAGGTAAGAAAGGTCCATATCCTCAGGCAACCTCAACAAGGCTGGTTCAGTTTTCCAAAATAGGAGGAGCTGGGAGCCAGGGCAGGGAAGTGGCTCTGCTGAACAGGGTATGCATTGACAGAGGTTGGAAAAGACAAGAACAAAAGACAGGGGAGGGGGTCTCCTCGGCTGGCAGAAAGGACACTAAAGCCAGGTCTCCTGGGGCAGTGTGTGGGGGTGGGGATTACAAACCCTCTGACAGAGAGCCAATCTGCCCCTTTGCCTAACAGCTTTACCTCCCAGCAGGGGCCCAGCAACCCTGCAGAGACTGTACTCCCTTTTTCCTGGCATCATTAGCCTACATCAATTGACTTCTTCCTCTAAGACTAGGATTGGGAAACTCCCTGAACAAAGACACTTGTGCAGCATCTCAGGTTCTGCCAGTTACAGTTGGCCCCCCTGGTGCTTTATCCACTCCCTTCCCCAGCCCTCTCCCCACACGCAGCCACTCTGAGCAACAGCTTTGATTCTACCTCCTCCCTATGCTTCCAAGACTAGTCATCACCTCTTGTGGCTTCTTTCCTTAAAGTGTCTCTTGCATTTTATCTGCCTTCTCAGGCCTTGAGATAGAGAGAAAGAACATAGTGTGTGTGTGTGTGTGTGTGTGTGTGTGTGTGTGTGTGTCTGTAGGATCTCTGCTCAAATACCAGCCTTTCCACCCACTGGTCCTGTGAGGCTGAATGTTTCTTTCTTGTCTTTCTTCCTCTTGCACCTTCCCTTCCAGCCTTTTGCCCTCTACCACCTAGAATGCATGACCACAAACTCAGTGTCCACCAGCCAGAGGGAGCTGTGTGTATGCTTCTGCCCGGCTCCCCAGATGCTCCCACGCTGGCTAGATGCTCACAGTCACCTACCATAGCCAACCTAGGGTTGGTTTCCACCCCCAACAGACTCCATCCAAAGTTCTGGTCCTAAACCAAAATCTGACCAAAAATAAAACTGTGCGTTTTTACAGTTCTCGACTCAGATGCCTGACCTGTCTGCAGCCTGTTGATGAATGAGGCCGGTGGGATAACATGGACACTTTAGTACAGACTTACATAGCACAGACTTACATAGGAATGAGTGGATGCCAAGGAGGTTAGAGCTGTTAGCATTGTGAGCAACAGGATTTAAGGGGGTGGGCAGAGCCAGGGAAGGAGAACTATGGCAATGGGTCTGTGTTCTGGAGTATGGTATTCATAGCAAACTGGAGGCATAGTAGGGCTAGTAGATCAGGAGATGATTGCCATTGAAGCAAGATTTTGTTACTCACAGTTCCAAGAGGCAGAGGCAGAGGAGGGGAAGGAACTGTGAACAAGGGCCTTTATTGTGGTTTCTGTGGGAAAGAATGCACAGGGTAAGCAGACTTAGGATTGTATAGTTTGAATAACTTCAGCAAGTCCTCAGGCATAGGGGCTGTCCCTAGGTGACTTATGCCAGGCCCTGAGATGATTAAGGCAGGCGGATAGTGGCTCAGGGTGTATAAGGCTGATAAAAGAGGTGGTTGGGTGTGGGCTCTGGATTGGCTGGTTTGCATTTGGTTTGCATTCTCAGGCAAGTTGTTTACTATCTCTAGGAATCGGCTAACCCTGAGAGGGGCAGTCTCTCCAGGGTTAGCAAGGCCGCAGTTGTCAATGCATCAGAATACAAAAGATAAAAGATGCAGTTAATACAGCAAAGGTAGTAAAGAAAGAAAGGAGGCCACTGCTGGAAAGCACTTGCAGCTAGCCTATTTGTACCGAGTAGAATATGGTTCTGTCTCAAGGAAGGAGTACGTTAGCTAACATATCTCCTCAGGGTTCACCACTACGGGGAAAAGACACACCCACCATGAAGGTAGGCTCAGTGGAAGCCTTTGCAATTCACCCCAGCTCGTGAGAGTAAGGCATAATGTCTCTTAATAATACTTAGTACTGATTAATCCCCTTGATCCCAACAAAGAATTCTAGTTTTCAGGAAAATTCTAACTTGGACTGTGAATGATGAATATGTGAATAGTGGTTCTTTGTTAGCCTAAACTAGATTTTAAATATAACATTGAGAAGCCTTGGGAGCAAGTATTAGTACTAATAGTACAATGGGAATAAATTCCTTTTTTCAAAATAACAAATGTGTGTCACTAGTGTATGCCCCTCCCAACTTCTAAGCAGGCTGCCCACTGATAAGAACTAAGTGAGTGCCAGATGCCTCCACTTGATCCCTGTCTCCTGCCATGCCCGGCACACTGGAATCACAAGGAAGGAGGCAGACAGGGCATCACACGGAACAATACAAGACATGCAGTGCAAACATGCTGAGCTATGTGTAGGCATCACATTTAAACACTAAATAGAAATAAGATTTATGAAGTGCTACAGGGCGGTCTTGTTCACATAGATTAATGCATGTGATTGATTCATTAGCCTGTTCTCTGAATGTGCAGAGGATATATGAATGTCTGGCATTTAGGAAAGTTGTACCTTTGCAATTTTCTTGAATCTCTACTTCTTAGTGGGAGTAGAAGCCTCCTTATTTCTTCTCCGTGGCTAGGTAGGTAACTTGGATGGCTGGCTCAAGTGGAGAATCAATAAATACAGAACACAACTATGATAAATATTTTATTCTAACTCAAAACATAAATGTGTATTTCTTGTAAAACTTTATATGTAGGGCCAAGGCCACAGGCCTGGAAATATGGATCTGAAGATGAGTATTCCAATCTCTCTTGCTTTTTGCATAAACCATACTCTTAATGCATCCTTGACAGTTTCCACTTTCAGTTTCTTTAAAGTAGAGCAAGAACTTACATGGCTGAAGAATCTCAATCCAGAAACTTTGATTTTTATTACTTTTATTTCCGTCCCACATCTAAGTGACTATAACTCTTTGTAGTAATTCACCTTTACTGAGACATTCCAGAGCATTAAACGTGGCTTTTACAAAACTGATTCTCTTTAAACATGTATTTGATGTAAGTAGTTTTAAATATAATTAAATTAAACTTGAAAACAAGCACAAACACATAAACATGCATGATAGCAAACACAACTGGCTCTTGGTAGACATATCTCCTAGGTGGAGGCAGCAAGTGTATGCAGGGGTCGAAGAAGCAGCCCACCCTCCAGGCTGGAGCACACAGTGGACATGGCAGCCCTCACCAAGCATTAGGAGGGGACTGTGCTTCAAGTGGAGATTGGCTAACAGACCTTCCACTGTATTTCCTGATCCCATCCTCTTTTTTCATTTTCATGGTAACAGTAATTTATCCAGGTATAATTACATATTTTTAAATGTGCAAATTTGAAGTACCCATCTCAATGCACTTGTGTAACTACCACCCAGACCAAAATAAAGAACTTTCCATCACTCCAGAAAGTTTCCTCCTGCCACCTCCCAGACAATCCCTGTCCCTCAAAGACAACCACTATTCCGATTTCTGTCACCGTGTATTAGTTTTGTCTGTTCTTAAACTTCATATAAAAGAAATCATATCATCTGTACTTTGTGTGTCTGGTTCCTGTTCTTTAATATAATGTTTCTGAGATTAACTCATATTCGTTGCCTGTATCAGTAGTTTTTTAAAAAATTGATTCTTATCCTTTTAAATGAGTTCACTGATGCTCTCTGAAGTTGAGAAGGAGACAGAGTGTAAGAAGATTCTCTTTTCCTACAGTCTTTCTAGCCATTATTCAAGCTTTGCAGACTTCACTAGAACTTTCAGCAGGAATGTGTTAACCCAAAGGCCCAACAGATCCTCTCCTTCAACAGCTAGTGCACTGATAGACCAAAAATCTATCAGTCACATTATCTGGATGGTTGAGTATTCACAGACTTATTTATCTATGCTGCTCTTTTCCCCCATCCCGCTCCCACAAGCATGGAAGAGCAGCAGTTTTGGAAAACTATCTTAGGCCCAGCCATCACAAGACTGCTAATTCATTTTGGCTTGCTCAGAAGTCATCAGCCCATCCCCAGTACCCACCAGTAATACTATCAAGGGAACTTAGTCATCAACATTTACACATCCTACCTGAAGAAGCCTACTAGGTTGGGTTTGCCTATGTTGCTAAATGAGTCATTCATGGGTAGAGGACCCAGTGTTGTTTAACATAGAGTTTATTTTGTAAACATCTTGTGAGGTTAGAATTCAATAAGCCCACTTTGGGGTATGCTGAAACTACGAAAGGATAGCAGCCTTGTTTCTCTCCTGAGTTCAGTGCTTTTGAGAATTTCATCTCATCTGCATCAGGAGGTATTGGCGGCTCAAAGCCAAGTCCATTTGGCAACTCTTGCGACTGCCCAGCATGCCTGACAGGGCCAGGGGTTGTGGAAAGGTGCGAGGAGAAAAGGGGGGGTGGAGCTGAGATCGCTCATGCTGGGTAGTTGGCAAAGACACACTTCCAAGGCTGGACAGCACTCCTAGATCAGCAGAGACGATGAGCAAGGCAGGGGACAAAGTCTGCCTTTTGCCAGGACTGGTCCACATTTCATCATTTGGTTTGGTTGGTACCAGTTGTCCAAAAATCATGAGCCTGGTGTCTGGCAGGAGACCCTTGATGAGCAAAGATAAAAGTTGCCGCGAGATTTTGGCCATATGCCTTAGCTTCTTGTGGACAGTTCTAGAGAAAATGAACAAGAAAGGCCGAGGAAGGGTAAAAGGAACATTGGGAAGGAATCTCTCTACTCTTTTGCCTGCTTATCTGGACACTTCTCTCTCTCTCACTTCCCTAAAGAAATGAGAGATTTGTCTGCTCCCATGCAGACAGGAAAACTGGATTTTATGCTTAAGAATCTGCTGACTGAGCTCAAGCAACAAGATGATAATCTCTTGATTCGCGGTCCTGTGAATACTCCAAACACTTGCCATCATTCTCAGTTTGGTTCTACTTCTTTCAGTGGAGATCTGAGCTCTAGTAGATGGAGGTCAGGCTAGAGAGCTGGGACTCCTGTGTCTGAGTCTCAGGTGACACATTTTGTGGCATCAACAAGGCACTCAAGGTTCTCAAAGGACCTGTCCTCCCCAACCACAGAGGGGGACTTTCCAAGGTGTGTTAGAGAAGTCTTTTGCAAACTGTTTAGAAATCTGGGTAAGATTATAAAGATACAAAGAGAGCAGTCCCTAATAGCCAAACTTATAGCATATTCTTGAATTTATAATCCAAGGTGAAAATCCAAATGTCCTAACAAGGTCTGAGAGCCTCGAGGGTGCCATGAACAGGCTGGGGAACCAGAGTGACACGATGGGGTCTCTCCAAGAGACTATATGTGGGAGGAGGGCCTGATTGTGCCACTTAGTCTGCCCAGCTGTCAGGTGTGGGGATAGGCAGCAGGAGGACTGTCCCCTCTCAATGACTAGCACTCATTGCTTACATGAAGCCAGCTGGTCAACCCCATCAATGTGGGAAGAACTGGAGGGCAGTGGGGAGGATCAGAGGAACCTGATTCTGGTCAAAGATGCCTTTAGACTTCTGCTTAGGTTCACATGAAGAACAGGACCTGGACTGAGTTCAAAATGACCTTCAGGTCTAGGAGATTTGCAATGAGAAATGTTCTCTCCACTTCAGCGAGGTGGGAGCAAAGGAAGCCAACTGGATGGTCCAGGAAAGACTACAGGCCTGGTCTAGGGGAGAGCTTTGAATATTGTGGCTGGTGTGATGATCTCGCCTTCTATTCAGCCAAATGGAGTGAAAGTCTCATCCATGTTTAGGGACCCCACTTTGAAAGAGAAGCACTCTGATGTTCCTTCTTTTATCCTGGAACACATGCTCAACATCTCTGCTCACAGATTCCACCCTGAGCCAGCAGCCCTGAGAACACAGCCCTCTCCACATGGCCCTAAGCCTGGACCTCCCTGCTACCACCTCTTTGTTTTCCCATCATTGAGCTTCTCCCTCACACCCCATCCCCTGGATCCCACCCGCACCATGCACTGCTCATGGCATACATATCGTTCTGCTCAATCCTTAAGTGAAGAGCCACTCTTCTAAGAAGACTTCCTGGGTTGATGCTACCCTAAAGGGATGTAAAATATAGAAACATCTCACCCTTGTTCCAAGAGCCTGACACTCCCGTTTCTTTGACTCTGCATTTCTGCCTCTTTTGCAGACACCTGGCTTGGCATGTGTTTCTGATATATGGCTCTGGAGATACACAGCACAACCATGGAGGACAGTGGTCGCTATCATGGGGCTCCAGGCCAGTTGGTTGTATCACTCCTATGACCCCTTCCTGGTTGGGAAATACCTGGGGATGAAGAAATTTTATGACACTTTAACTGAGAAATAACTATTCTCTGCTGGGTTCCAGACCTGGCCTGGAGACCAGTGACTCAGAAGCTGTTTTCCCCTCTGTGGCTTCCAGAGAATCTCTGAGGACTCGGGCAATTGTCCACATGCTGAGCTTTCTGTCCACCCCAGTCAAGGCCACGTGGACCTGGTGGGCCATGTCCCTGGGCAGGCTAATCACAGGTGCCCTTCACAAAACTGCTCTTCGTGTGTTCACCCTGCTCTCCAAGGAGTAGCTGTGTGCTGTGAAGGGAATAGCAGAGAATGAAGTACCCCAGTGGCACGTCTGCCCTCCTCTTGAGCCCTGAGCTATCCTGTTCCAGCCCCAAACTTGCTGCCCAGTCAGCCAAGCCAGAGCTTTGCAAGATGGGGGGCAGAGTCTGTGGCAGATCTGGTCCACTCCACACTGCTTGTGTTGGTTGGTACTAATTGCCCCAGAATCATTAATGAGGCTGGTGTCTGGCAAGAGACACTTGATGAGCAAAGGTGCAGTTTGCCCTGAGATTTTGGTTATGTTCCTTGGCTTCTTGTTGAAAGTTTTAGGGAGGATGAGCAAGAAGGCTGAGAAAGAACAAAGTAAACAAACATTGGGAACTGGATAAACCCTCCCTAGGAAGCGATTATTGCTGGAGCACGTTTCCCTGGGGTTCTAACCCTTACCCCCAGAGCTCAGAAAATTATTCCTTGCAGTGTAAAGTACTTTATACATATGATTTTCTTCATCTGATTTTACTTCCAGGCCATGTTTAGCATTCATACATTGATATCCGGGAGTTGCCAGCTTCCTCAACCCACACCCTACCCTTCATGGAGCACTTCTGGCACTATTCCTCCTCCAGAGAAATACTACAGCAAACATAGCGAGTGATGACTGGCACCTCGTTCTGGGGATGAGCAGGCTGTCCATGTAAACTGTTTTCTTCTAGGTTGAGGTTGTCCAGAGGAGATGAAAGAGGGTCGTGAGGGTCATGTTGAACCAAAAAGTTAAGGCGCTGCAGAAAATGGACTGTGTGATGTTTGGGGGTGGGGGAGCAGTCTCTGCTGAGGAGGAGGAATAAACAAGAAGAAAGGTGGGAAAGAGCAGTTCGGCTTCCTTCAGCCCTTGGCAAACTCCCCCAAAGTGCTAAACATGACTAAACCACATTTGGGGTTTCCTCTACTGTCCAGAGCCAGGTAAGCAGAGTGTTTGTCAACCTCTACTTGCAATTGTCACCAAGTCTTACAGCACGCCTACCTTCCTTCTCAACTGCATTGTAAGAGGTGAAGGTGAATACGAGGCTGAATGCTACTACAGATATCCCATCTGAGAACCAAGTGAAGCCCAGGAGGAATGAGAGTACACTCTCTTGACTCAGTCTCTCTCAACGTGTGCACGTGTGTGTAGGTGTGGGAGGAAGGGGAAGCAAGGCATCCCGGCCAGGTCGGTGGGTCACCATTACATCTCCCGTACATTATATTTTCCAGGCCATCACTCCACAAGAAAATAGAACGCCACTAGCCCCCTGCCCTCCGAGGATGCGGATGTGTGGGATCAAAGGAGAAGGGATCATAAGAAGGCAGTAGACAAATGCATGAGATTATGATCTTCCCAATCGATGACACGGGGCCTTTCCCAGCCTTCAGCCCCGGTGACCCTCATCCTGCCAGCAGGGCGCGAGTCTGCACCTCCCACAGCTGCTCAATTTAGAGATCCTGTGGAGGAGTCCCCGCTGATCCCTCGAGACCCACGGGGCTATTTACAGCTCTCCGGTTGTCTCCGCCAAGCCCAGGACTTGTGCATCAAAGTGACCAGGGGAGCCCCGTGACTGTTTTTCTCTCTCCCCTGTAGAAGTTATGAGCCCATGCCTGTCCCCAAGGCCTCTTCTCTCAGCCAGGAGCAGAGATCCACAGACAGTCTGAGGGCTCCAGCCTCACAGATTATTTCTGACCTTCCCACTCCAGTCCAGGTAATGGAGATCCCTTGTTAACTTACTCAAGGTCATACGGCAGGCTGTTGGCAGAGTCCACAACCAAACTCAGGCTTCCTGACTCACGACCCTGGGCTCTCCTATGTCAACATTGCACATTACTTTTGTTTAAGAACAAACAAGCAAAAAAGGGACACTTATACCCATGCCCAGTATTAATGTCAAATGATCTAGACCAGCCCCAAGAAACTCTGCAACTGATGCTTGTGTGTCCTGGATCACTCACCTCTCATTCTGCCTCTTGTAGTGCAAGCTGCTCTCCAGACCCCAGTTTTAGAGTCCTCCTCCTAACTCAGGTTTATTTTCTCTTCTCCTCTTAATTCTCTATATCCTACAGCAAATTTGTTCCTGTCCCTGCCCCCGCAACATATTAGAAGAAAAGATTAATCCCTAGGGAATAAATGGTTTGTGGGATTTGGTATCAGAGAGACCGAGGCTGGGCTCCTGCTGGCTGTATGATTAGGAACAGTCCGCTTCGTCTCTCTCTCTCTGAGCCTCAGTTTCCTCATCTGTACATTGAAATAAAATAAAAATTTTGTCCTGACTATATGTCTAAGCAAAATGTACCATAGGGTATTATAGACTACGGAAGACCATGGGTTGCAAGTTACACTTACCTTTAACCTTTTTCTTAGAAAGCTATTTTTACCTAAAGAGTAGAATTCCCTGCAGGAACTAGAATGTACAGCCAAGGCGATATCTATGCCAGGAGCTCAGCTCAGCTACAGACACAACTGTGTTCATACTCACATCTGCAGACTTGGCATCAGGATAATGGAAGAAGATAATGTTTTGTTCTTTTCAGGTTGATTAACTGTTTATTCTTTCAAATGGGTGCAAGATCTAAGAGTCTGAGGTCAAATGAAGATGAAGTGGGTGAAGTTTTGAGAAGAATAAAAACTGGAGAATTGACAAAGCCCTGGAGGACCCCTAAATATCTATCCCAAGCCCTCTGCTGGCCGTCCCAACAAGGTTTTGTTTACTCTTTTTCTGGCTTCAGTTCTGGGTGCCTGGGTCAAGCCCACGTTGTTATTTTGGAGCAGGAAATGATTGGCCCGTATCACAAACCTATAATAAATAGCCTCATGTCATAAAACACAGGCCCTCCGCAGCAGCCCTGCATTTGGAAAACATTAAACCATTTGCAAGTTGTTGCCCAGAATATATATTTGGTATCTTGCTGCTCCCTCCCCTTCTTCTACAGAACAGGACACAGTCCAGGCAGGACAGCCCACAAGCCTGGCAGGAACCAGAGGCAGCCCCTCACCAACAGAATGACCACTCAGGGAGACCTTTTCATGTTTATTCTTCTGTTGCATGCTCAGGACCTTTTGCTGAGGCATTGAAATTAGCACATTTACAAACATGGCACACACACAGAGGGGATAGCTTTCAAAGAAGCAGGTCACAGTTGTCTTCCAAGCAAAGTTCTGCCAGTATATCCTTCACCATCACCACCCAGGGTAAGGAATCGATCCCAAAGCCAGCATGCCCTCTGCAATTCCTTTGGCTCAGCATCCCCAGTCTCTGAGGCCAGATAACTGTGGGCACAGTGGTGCATGAAGGGCCCGAGCTGGAGTAGAAATGGCCATGCCATGCAGATCTAGGCTCAGCTCTGGCGATGAGCCACTCCCCCTAGTCGGACTCGGCTTCTGGGGAGGCTCTCTGAACCTTGGTTTTTGAGGTAAGAAGACAGGGCAGAGAGCAGAGTGGAGCACACTGTGCTCCTGGACTGGACTTCTCTAGTCAGGCCTCAAATGAAGCTTCCGGAAGTGCCCCGGGAGCTGTAGAGCAAACTCCTAATATCTTGGCAAGCTTGACTGTGCAGCAATGGGACCTTTCTTTTCTTTCTGTCCTAACTTTCTGGCTCTACCCCTTGTCTGATCCCTGATGAAGATGGAGAGTAGCTCTGGGTCAGCCTGAGAAGCAATTAACCTGGGCCTGGTCGGGGAGGAACCATAAGACCCCGTTCCCTCAAAAGCTCTTTCTTTCTTTCTTTCTCTCTCTCTCTTTCTTCCTTCCTTCCTTCCTTCCTTTCTCTCTCTCTCTCTCTCTTTCTTTCTTTCTCTTTCCTTCCTTCCTTCTTTCCTTCCCCCTTTCTCCCTTTCTCTCTTTCTTTCCTCTTTCTTTCTTTCTTCCTTCCTTTCTTTCTTTCCTTCCTTCTTTCCTTCCTTCCTTCCTTCCTTCCTTTCTCTCTCTCTCTCTTTCTTTCTTTCTCTTTCTTTCCTTCCTTCCTTCTTTCCTTCCCCCTTTCTCCCTTTCTCCCTTTCTCTCTTTCTTTCCTCTTTCTTTCTTTCCTTCCTTCTTTCCTTCCTTCCTTCCTTCCTTCCTTCTCTCTTTTTGACAGGGTCTCACTGTGGTGCCCAGGCTAGAGTACAGTGGCACCCTCACCATTTACTGCAGCCTCCACTTCCCAGGCTCAAGTGATCCTCCCACCTCAACCTCCCTAGTAGCTGGGACTGTAGGCACACACTACCACACCTGGCTAATTTTTGTATTTTTTGTAGATATGGGGTTTTGCCATATTATCTAGGCTGTTCTCAAACTCCTATTCAAGCGATCCACCCACCTTGGCTTTGCAAAGTGCTGGGATTATAGGCGTGAGCAATTGCCCGGCCCGAAATTATGCTTTCTAATGCTTAAAGCTTTCTCATTAGTATTTCATTCTTTTCATGTAAGGCTTTTTCTTTACTAGTTACAATGTAAATATTTCTGATTGGAACAGCACTGCAAAACCATACACATTTTAGTATGAATAATTTTCTGATCATACTGGGAAAAGGTATGTACAAGAAAAGGGAGGGTCAGAGAAGAGAAGAGCCTGGACTTTCTCACGTGGGGGAATGTGGATTTCAAGAAAGAAGTAGGCTACTTGGGAAAGAATAGAAAGAAAAGGGGCAGGAGCTTAGCACAATGGAGCATGAAAATTTGAGTCAGAAGATCAGGGTTCAACTCCCAGCTCTACCTCCTATTCAGCTGGGATTTCTTTTGAGCCTCCATTTCATCATCTGTACAGTGAGATTAATTATGTCTGCCTCGCTTGCCTGCCTCCCAGGGTTGTTAGATGACAAATGGAAAAGTGCTTTGTACAATGTACAAGGCTCCCCGATGGCAGTGGTTTTTATCTGTAAGCTGCCCCCTCGGTTCTTGCCAACCCACCTTCCGCCTTTCTGCTGGTTCTCACACGTGGCTGCTGTTGGCGAGCCATAGACCTGCTGACTGGGCTTCTTGCAGAGACTGCAAGTGACACCCCATCTCCTACATGTCTCCAGCCTTCCAGCATCAGCATCCTCCTGGACACTACCTGCTGCCAGCCTCAACCCCCCATGAAAACCGATGCGAGGAGCCCCCAATGTCAAATTAGGGAGGCCATGCCCACAGGCAGTGGGCGCGGAGCAGTGCTGTTGCCGTGCAGAGCAGGAGGGATGACAGAAGGGAGCCCCGGGGGGCATAAATGCCTTGGCTGCAAACCCTCCCTCTCCAAAGGGCCTGATCTATGTCTCTCCATGGCAATGGCTGGAGGACAGAGCCAGGTTGTCAGGGCATGATGCTGGGAAGGAGGGGTTTTGCCAAACTGAACTCTGGAGCCTGTCACATTGCCATCTTTAGGGAAGGAGAAGGAGGCGGAAGCATTCTCAGGCCTGACCTAGCCCCAGCCCTAAGGCTGATCAAAGACATGGGATAAAGGCAGGTTTTTTTTTTTTTTCTTCTCATTTTGGGTTTTTCTTCTAGAGGTAAATCTGTGAAGCAGGCTGAATCCATCTCTAGCATCGCTGAACCATGCTGGATGGGCACAAATGTGCACACATAGAGAGAGGTTCTGTTTTGTCACCTCTAATGTTATTACCTGCCCCCGAAGTACCCACTGAAGCTGTGCACATTACGTCATACCTTTGTTCACTTCTTCTTATACCCCTCCAAAACACATCCCCCCAAAAATGTATCTGTCCAGGAGAGAATCCTCTGACTTTCTCATGAGTCTAATTCAGGCATGCAGTAAGTTAAAAGAAGAATCCAGTTCAATGAGTTTATCTGAGAAATGCAACGATTTAATTATTTAATCCATCTGGAATTTATTATTTTACTATGCAGTAAAAATAGAGAAAAGATGGAAAGCTACCCAATTTGTCACAGAAATTCACTTTTACCCTGATATAAAACAAACAAGAAAATACTACATAAACGTATGTAGTACCAATTGCCCTATGCGTTCAAAACCCTTTGTAAAAGACTTGCAAAACAATTCAATTCAAACTACATCAGAAGTGAAATTTTGCTGTCTATTAAGATGGTTGTGTGTTTTATCTTGAGCATAGAGAATAGAAGCAGGGAAAGAAAGAGTTTGGAAAAATACCAGGATATATTAAGAGCTCCTTCAAGTGTCTGGTATGAAGCAGGCAGTCTAGGGATGTTGAGACCATCCAAGGCCCCAGGGAAGACCTCTGCCAGCCTCCTAGAGAAATGCCAAGGAGCTTCCCAAAGGGTGCTGGGACCCAGAGGCAGATGGGATACTGATTTGGCTCATGCTAAATCAGTATGTTTGTTAGGGGAGGTAAGCTCAAGACAGATTGCCATGATGGGGGTGGAAGGCTCCAAACCTCAGGCAGCTGGGTCCAAAGAGCATCATCATCACTTGGTGAGGCCACATGACCTCCTGCTGACTGGGGCTGCCTCCGCTCTCTCTCTACCTCAATCCATGCTCCACACCACTATCCACATGAGCTTTCTGAGGTGAAAATTCCAGCATGCTACTCCCCTGAGTCAAATATCTCAATAGCTCTCTGTCACCAACACACAGAGGTTAAATGATTTTAGTTATTTATTTATTCAGAGAACAGGTCTCACTCTGTCACCACAGACTGGAGTGCAGTGGCACCATCATAACTCACTACAGCCTCGACCTCCCCAGCTCAAGTGATCCTCCTGCCTCAGTGTCTGGAGTAGCTGGGACCACAGATGCATGCCACCATGCCTGGCTAACTGTTCTACATGTTTTTATAGAGACAGGGTCTCACTGTGTACCCCAGGCTGGTCTCAAACTCTTGGCCCCAAGTGATCCACCTGCCTCTGCCTCCCAAAGTGTTGGGATTACAGGTGTGGGGCAGCACACCCAACCTAATGGTTTTATAAGAGTTCTGACTAGTGGGGACACCATGCTCTCCACATACCTTACAAGACATATCTACCCAATGCGGGCCCAATTCCACAATGAGGCACAACGGGTCTTCACGACCTGGCCTCTGCTCAAGCTTTTAGAACCCTTTTTGCCATCTCTCTCCTGTAGCCTGTTCTCTAAAACCATTTTCAGTTTCTTGAACATGCCCTGCTCTTTCTTATCTCTGTGCCTTGCCATATGCAACCCTCTCGGCCTAAAGTTCCCAGCCTGAATTAGGCTCTCTCTGCTGTTGGTAGTGCAGCTGTCTGGTCTGGACAGCTGGCATAGTACTTATTGTAATGAATTGGCTATTGATCCACCTCCCCTTCTAGATTGGGAATCCTCCAAGGGCATGTTTTATCCACTTTTGTGTTTCCAGTTCTAATGCAGTGTCTAAAACATGATTGATGTTCAATAGGGTTTGGTGTAATTTATTATGTCCAACATTTACCTCCTTCCCCAAAAGACCTCATGGTATTGTTAGGGAAGACAGAATGGTGTTAATTCCCAAAGAACTAAGACCTTGATGGGAAAAAAAAGGGTAAAAAGCTGTGGGGTTTCCAAATAGGAAATCCTATCAGTTGCTCTACATTTATCAGCTTAGCCCATTCATTCATTTATTCATTCATTCATTCATTCATTCATTCATTCATTCATTCATTTTTGAACAAAATCTATTGAATACTCTAGCGGTCAAGATCATTTAAATTATCCTGCAGTAACAAATAACTCCAAAGTGGCAAACATTCAGAACAACAAATGCTTATTTGTCACTTAGGCTACATTTCCAGCATGAGTTAGTGGGAGGGCAACACTCCATACCCCATCTCACAACTTTGCAGGCCTGGAGCACACGACCTTCTGGTGTGCAAGGGAAGAGCTGGTGGTGGAGGGTCTCTCATCAGCTCTGTTAGGCTTCAACCTAGAAGTGACACTCATCCCTTCTGCTCCCCAGCTGGTCGATCGGATGAGTCACATGGCACCACCTAACAACATGGAGGCTGGGAAACGTGGGCAGCTAAGAGCAAATATTTGGTAAGTAGCACTCGCCCTGCCTTGAGCTTCTACCATGTTCAAGATATCAAGCTAAGCACTGAGGACAAAATAAACAGACATGTCCTCCATTTTCTCCCTCAAGGAGTTCATAGTCAACTGGGTGATCGAAAGTTTAAGCATGGACTTAAAAATTATCAGGCAGATGTTCTGTCAGGCTTCTCAACACCTTCTCAGTAATAAGCCGACCCCAGTGAGCCAAGTTTCAGAACCAAGCTCGTGAGAGTCCCATGCATTCAATTCAGCCTCTTCAGTACAACACCCAGATTTGCACATTAACCCTTAAGGTGCATTAGGACTGTGAATTGTCAGCCTAGATCCTGAGAAGGATCAGGCTCTTTATTTCTTCTTTTTCTTTCTTTCTATTTTTTTTTTTGTCAGCCTCTTCGCCGCAACTCCCAACCCTCCGCCCACTTTAGATGCAGGATTCTGCTGTGATTCCTCATCTTCTCCTCTCTTCCCTTCTTCTCTAAGCAAGCTATAATCTTCTTTTTATTTTTTTAACAGGAATGTATTTCTTGCCTATTTCTCTGCACAAGGTAGGTGACAGCCTAATATAAAATCAAAGTTTTGTATTATCTGGAGAGGCTGAGAATAAAACCAAATCCTCCTCTCATGTCAGGAAACTTCCAGCTTTGAAGACTCAAGGATATCATGACAGAAAGTCAAAAGTGCCCTAAAAATGTATAAATAGACATTTCTAAGTTTGAATCCTAGTATCCATATTGAGGCACATCCCAATGAATTGCTTACCATCTTTCTCCTCTTTTATTTTCCCTGCAGCCTCCCACCCTCACCCTCTGTCAATTGCCAGGTGACCTTCTGCTATCGCAAGTGATTCAGGTCCTCCATCAATGACTGAACTTCCAGACAGTCTCTTGTTTCATATCCAAGAAACCCCCCCTTTCCTCCCCCCCAAAAAACTACCTGTCCTGAGTCCCCTTTCTCCTCAGATGACCTGTGCATAAAAGGAACGAGGAGCACCGGCCTGGCCAACTGGTCGAACACCGAGAGGTAAAAGATTATGTGTGGGGATCCAGGGCCCAGAGCAGCTCTAGGTAAGGAAAGGGAGGTCTGGCCAAGCCAAGCAGCCAGCTGGCTCTCTTGGCCACACATTCCCATCAGCTCTTCATCATGTACTGGTCTGGGAGATGAATGTGCTTGGAAGTCATGGGGTGAAGAAAATAAAGACCACAGAGGGGCTGCCTTGTGTTTCTCCTATATCAGCAACGGACACAAAGATGGCTATGGGATCAAGAGCCACAGATAGAGATTTTTTTCTCCACTGTCAACCTCCTCTTTAAACATTCCCCCTTTCCCATATATGCATTGAATGTTATGCCCTGTCAATGGGCAATTGTGTTTTCAGAAAGAGCTGCTCAGAAAGAACCTTGGGTAATACAAAGGAATGAATGCTGGTGGCTGAATTTCAGGTATCTGTGATTCTGTTGGTGAGAAATATATTTTCATGACTGCGGACCTCCCAGCAAGTCTAAAAGCATACTGCATAGGCTTAGGCAGCTGGCCTTACCCTGTCAGGTAGCACATCTGAGGTTGCCACTGAATGCAAAACCATGAAACTAGTATTTTGGTACAGTGTATAGGGAAAACACAGCTCATGATGAGCTTATGATTTACATGGGGAAAAAAGAAAGTTGCAGCCAGTTACTGGGGATGTTTAAAGAGCAAGCGTAAGAGCTGATAAGTGTGTAAATCTCACTGCTCAAGTGAATAGTGATGTGAAATGAAAATAATTCACATAGCCTTTAAGAAGTTACTCAACTTTCTGGGTCACGCCTGTAATCCCAGCACTTTGGGAGGCCGCAGATCACGAGGTCAGGAGATCGAGACCATCCTGGCTGACACGGTGAAACCCCGTCTCAACTAAAAATACAAAAAATTAGCCGGGTGTGGTGGTGGGCGCCTGTAGTCCCAGCTACTCAAGAGGCTGAGGCAGGAGAATGGCGTGAACCCGGGAGGCGGAGCTTGCAGTGAGCTGAGATCGCGCCACTGCACTCCAGCCTGGGTGACAGAGCGAGACTCCGTCTCAAAAAAAAAAAAAAAAAAAGAAAGAAAAGAAGTTACTTAACTTTCCTGACTCAAACGTTCTGGAGATTATTCAAGTTGGATACAACTTTAGAAATTATTCTTTTTATTTTTTGAGGTGGAGTCTCACTCTGTTGCCAGGCTGGAGTGCAGTGGCGTGATTTCAGCTCACTGCAACCTCTGCCTGCCCGGTCAACATAGGGATCATCCACAAGAAGTGGTCGTGCAACCTCTCTTGAGCACACTCAGAGATGGGCGTTTGTTGCTTTGTAAGCCACCTATTCCACTGGAGAATTATTACAATCGATTATCACACTGTTACTTTACCAACACCTATGCCTCTAACTTGGTCATCTTCATCCTTTTGAGACATTCAGGTAAACACGGAAGATCTAATAACCTAAAAGCACTGTAGGAGATGGCATGGTCGTCAGGTAAGGCCTGGGAGAAGTGGGCAGCAGTCTCAATATTTCCCCAGCACCCTCCAGCAGCTGCCCTCTCATCAATTGTCCTCCATGTTACCAGCTCATTTTCTCTTATTCTCTCTGTTTTCTTAGTGTCATCCACAGACACTAAACTATGTGTCACTACATTAAAATTCCTTTTCATAAGTGCTCAGTTTTTCCTCTTCCTCTTCCCTTCTTTACAGATCATAGCCCTCTGTGCTACAATAAAGAGATACTAAAATACAATTAACTTAAATATGATGGTTTCTTTCTGTCTCACGGAGCAGTCTAGTGCCAGTCTTGGCTAGCAGAGCAACTCTTCTGCTCCACAAGCTCACTCAGGGACCCAGGTTTCTTTCCTTTCATACTTCTTGGTGGTCCAAGCTGAGCTAACACAGTCAGCATTCCAGAACACAAGGAGCCCGAGGAGAGACTCCAAAGGCACTGCTTTTGATTTGGGTAGGCAAAGCTGGAACTGCACATGTCAATTCCACTCACCTCCATTGGTGAGAGTGGAGTCACAAGGCCCTGCCTCACCACCGGAAAGGCTGGGAAATGTAGTTTCCAGTGGGATGGATGCATGTCCAGGAAGAAAGGGCAAAGAGACGTTGGAGCTTTGGAGGAACAGTTACCAGTATGCCACACCACATTTTCTATATACTTTTTCCTTCTTTTTCTTTCCTTTCTCGCTTCTTTATTTTCCTTATCCCTTTCTCTTTTCTTTCTCTCTGGACTAGCCATAATATGGAAAGTGTATGTATGTGTATATATCTACATAAACACACACAGTATGTATAGAGAGAGCATATATATATATATATTTATGTATATATACAGTCATATAGATATATATATGCTTTTTCTGTATACACATACACACACACACACACACACACACACACACACGCTGAATTGGAAGAGCCTGAGAGGCACCTGCAGCCTGCGGAGAGGAAATGCCACCCACACAGTACTTCCCTGAGTCCATTCTTTCTCTGCTCCTCGGCCTGTGGTTTTGTCTTTCATGCAGGCCTCCCTTCCCCACAGATCCCAGGTGCAAAGAAGGTGGGACTTCTGTCAGTTCTAAGCTGTGTGCTCAGCTTGTGAGTGAATGGGCTCAAGACTCACACTGTGACAGGAGGGAAGGAGCACAAAGGGAAGAATCATCCCTCCCTCTGCACTCACTCTCTGCATTGTCACTGGCGGGCTTGATCCCCTGCCATTCATCCTAACAGCAGCCAGGCTCAACCATCTGACAGAATCTGCTCATGCTCTTATGAGCCTAATCCCTTGGGTCAAAGAGGCAGTTCCTATCACTGAAATATCAGAAACGAAATAGACCAGGAATTGCCAAAGAGAGGGATTATAGAATCCAACTTGGAAATTCAGGCAGTGGGAAAGAAGTTAGTCACGTTCCAGCTATTATGCATGCAACAAATGTCTGATATTTTTTAAAATTTGTTTTGGAGGGTGGTAGGGAATGGAGTACAAAGATGATTTCTTTTTAAATTCTTCAAAATGTTACCTTCATAAAGAATGAACAAATGTCAGGGACAGGCACATCTTGGACTGAACTTCAAGTGAACTGATGGCAGGCCTCACCGTTCTGAAAATATAAAAATTGAAAGCTGCCAGGGCTCAGAGCAGACCATGCATTTGCATCCTATTTAAATAATGTGCAAGAATCTTTGGTTGAATGAGGAGTTTTTAGCCTTGTCAGAGAACTTTGGAAGTACTTAGAATGGAACTGCCAAGGATACCCATGGGCCATGTCACGCGACAGCTTGAAACCAGCCCAAATGCCCTCAAGGAGACATTCCCAAACCTGCGAGAGAAGAGCCTTCTGCATTTCCACGGCAAGCAAGGTACACCTGTCAGAAACTTTCTCTAGGTGCATCTGGTCTAAAGAGTAGTACTTTCTGGTGCTTGAATTATGAGACAGAATCTCCTCTTGCCATCTGCCAGGGTAGTTCAGCTGCTGAGATTCACATTTTTGCCAAACAGTTCCTACAGTCTAGGGCCTAGGGTTCTGCCCTGGTATGTTCTCTATCTGCACTGATATCCTGGGTTTACCTACAGGGAACCAAAGGTCACTCAAAGCCCTGAAAGATAACAGAATAAGTGTGTGTAAAGAAAATCACACACCATAACCATCATGTAGTGTATGCTCAGTCAACATTCACTGAGAGAGTTAAAAGGAAAACTAGAGAATCCTGTCTTTGAAAAAGTATGATCCTCTTGGGTCAGTGGCCAGGCCATATGGAACTCTACAAAGCGGAATTAATTCTACATACTAGATATACAAAGCAACCATTTATTATTACCAAATTCAACTTGTAACCTGAGATAAGGTCATCTGGATGACCCAGGTAGGGGAAAAACATAGAAGAATTACTGTCAATTCTGATGTGTATTAAAGGCAATGTTGTTTTGTTTTGTGTATACCCTGATCACTGCATAACCCACACCTCCTCAAACGGTTTGGAAAACTTCCTGATGAATTGGCCCCCACGCATCAGGACTGAAGAAAAGTTTTCTGTTAGGAGTGTTAGGAGTGTGCCTGGAAGAAAAAGAACACCCCTTGTCTATAGAGATAAATCATTTCCATCAATAAATGGACTTTGGTGGCAGATTAAAGATGGCTTCAAATTATAGGACACTCCTGCTATTGAGCAATGGCCTCTATTTCCCCTTCTCTGAGTTGAGGTGGCCTGTGGCTACTTTGACCAGTAGAGCGTGGTGGAAGTGATGCTATGCTACTTTGGGGACTGGCAGGTCCTGCCTTGGTCTTCAGGCCCTGAGCTGCCCTGTGAAAGATCCAACTACACTGCTAGAGAGACACTTTGGGGCTCAAAGAGAGGCAGAAGGACCAGGTGAGCCCAGCAGTCCAGCTGTCCCACCAAGGCCCCAGGTGAATGAGTGAAGCCGTCAGATGCTCCAGGCCAGTCCAGCTGCCAGCTGAACGCCACTGAATGACCCCAGCCAATGCCACATGGAGCAGAACAATTGACCAGCCAATTCCTGCTCAATGTCTTCACCCACAAAGGACTCATAAAGACTGGCTATAGTTTTAAATCCATTAAGTTTTAAAGTTTTCACACAGCCATAGATAACCTGAAAACCATATGTATGGTTATAAAATTGAATTAGCATGAAGTGATAAATTATGAATCTCCTACAGCCATAGGGACCATCTTTTTCTATTTTCAGAGCAGGGGATGATCTGGTGGGTTTGAGAGAGGCAGAGACAAACTGTTCTAGAAAGTTGGAGATATTGGATCACCAAAACTAAAATAAATAGCATTGAGTTCAGGCACCCAGTGAGGAAGTACTGCTCCAGGAGCAGACCTAGGTCTTGCTGTGTCCCTCTGTGACTGCAGCAGGCTCCGCCCCCCTCCACACTCCCTCGGGCTTGCAGTTCCTCCTGGCTCCCTGGAATATCAGCATCCGCAGTCCTTCTTTAAGAGGCAGCCAGCAGGAACGCCTCCCTTGCTTCTGCGCCTCCCTTGATGGGGAGGAGCCACCAAGGCTACCAGCTGCTGGCCTCCTGAGTGACAAAACCAGCAGCCATATTAGAGTGAAGAGGCCTGGTTGTGGAGGGCTGTGCGCTCAGCGTGGAATTATAGCAGTTCATTTTCTAAAGTGCCACGAGACCTGGGGATGAACCTTCCGAGAGAAGGGAAAACCACAACAGCAGTCCCCTCGTAGAGATGCAATTCATCATGGGCAGGACGGCTGGGTCTGTCAACAGGAAGGGCTCTTTTCCCTGTGACGCACAAAAGCAATCCCACGGGCTCTGTGTTGCAGCAAGAGGACCCTGAACTCCCTCAGACACCCTGGCTGTGTGCAGGGAGCCTCCGAAATCCAGAGACGGGAGGCATGCATCGCCATGTGAGCACCGAGCGGAGGCATAATGGGACTCCAGTTCCTATGCCCCCACCATATTTTCTCTCTAATTAAGAGTGGGGATAGTTTGTGGTGAGGGTAGTTTGCAGTGGGAGTGAGACCCATTTATTTTGTTTCTTGTTATTTTTTCATTGAGATGTAACTTAGAAGTAGTCTCAGGAATAAGAGGGACACTTTTGCTTCCTGGTAAACAGAGGCTAGCAGTCTACTAATAACCTGGCTAAGAGACCAGGCAAGGTAGCAGCTGCCATCCTGAACACCACTGCATCAGCTCAGCCACCTCCCAGGAGTGAGTCCAGCCAGGAGTGAGACCTTGTGACCCCACAGAGCCCACAATACCCCACAATGGAGCAGGGAGCACCAGCCGGAACTCACCCCTGCTGCCATTCCTCCTCCTACCAGCAAGCCTCTAGCGACATCTCTGAACATGGTCTCTCCCTGCTCACACTCAGCTATGCAGAGCGGGAAAAGGTACAACCTTCAGAACGTTCTGCTTAGCTACTACGCTCTAACCCGGTGGATAAAGGATAACCAGCATCCCCTGTCAGGACACAGGGAGCTGTCCTGCAGAGCTGGCTCTACATCAGATCTGATCTGAATGCACTTGTTCTAAAACGCTTCATCAAAAGATTAACTGCATGCTCTTCCTTCAGCGTTTCCTGTCCAAAACAAGCACTGGGGATTCTGAGGAACCTCTGAGGAGCACCCTGCCTTTACTTGCAGTTCTTCCAGAGGTATCTGAGTTTCCATATTGTCTTTCTTTCCCACGTCCCCTTCCCATCCCTGGGCATAAACACAGAGTTTAAGGTTTGTTATGTCTTGTGTTCAGAAAGCCTTTGATAGAGCAACACTTCAGTGCAACCCATTGCGACCCTGCCTTTCACCTAGTGGCTGTCCTCCTCCCCGCCCCCGACCCCGTGGTCTGTGCCAGGTGGAGGCAGCGCCCCCTCTAGTGGTCAGCGCCTTCGGCCTCCCTCCTCTTGCTGAACAAGGCTTCTGGGAAGAACAAGGTAAATTGTTCTGGGGTTTAACGCAGACCCCAGAATCTAAAGGAAAAAAAAAAAACCACTTTTTTTTTTTTTAACAGGAATTATATTTCTGTCCAATGCAAAGGATGCCGTGGGGTCACTCTAGCCAATGAGCTTCTGTCTCCCTTGCTCCACACCCTCACTCCCACATACTGGGCCAACACAAGCAGTGAAAGTCTAGCTAGTCATTGCCTTCTCTGGGCTTCAGTGTCTTCATTTTTCATATCAGAAAAAAATAATTCTTTCTGCTGCCATGATCCGGAATCTCTTACCCATAGGGAACGGTGTTCTATGTCCTTCTAATTCCTCATTTGTTTCTGACAGTTCCCTTTGGCCCCTTTCAGGACTGACATCAGAATAGTCCTTAGAATGTAAATCTCATTCTCTACTTACAACTCTTCTGTGACAGGGAAATTATGACACAGCAGATACTCAGCCCTTCAGAATGAGTGGAATTTGGGGAGAAAAGGTCTTCAGAGGACTGTAAGAGAGTTTTCTGGGTGCTGTACGGCAAAAATCAGACCTTGCATCCTCCCCCAGCCACCCACCCAGCTCCTAAGTTCTAACCAGGTGGGAAGAGTGACCAGAATTCCCTGCTGGGTGTGGGAGGTCATGCGCAGGCCCAGGTTTATTTGAGTTTGCTCTTAGGGGGTTTCCCACCGTCCCTAGAATAGAGCTAGTGGCTTCAGAGTGGGCTCCAGTCCTGCGCCACCAGGACCAGCTCACTGTCCAGCCTCTTGTCTCTCCACTGCCTTCATTTCCCCAGGCCCTGCCACGTGGAGCTGCAAGAATATTCTTGAGGAAGGGAGATGCTCTCTTGTCCCCTTGATTGCACATCTGTGGCTTCCCCTGCTCTTCCCCATGCTCTCTGCTGCATCTTACTGAGTACTCCAAGGGAACCATTCTCCTCCAAATCTCCCATACCTGTAGCTGGCTGAGGGCCTCTCACAGGCATGGGCAGGAGCTACCATTACTCCCCACCACTGTTGTAATGGCCTGATTACCTGTCTGTCCATCGAGGCACATATGGAAAATATCAGAGTCACAGGGCAGATAGGAGCCGTGCAGCTCACTTGGTCCCAACCCAGTCATTTCCACTGTAGAGATTCATTCATTTTCTTTCACGAACTTAACAGAGAAACCAAATATATGACTTCCTACCAAAATACTGCATGCCTCCTAATCTTCCAGCCCCCAGCCTCCTGAATGTTCAGCCTTCATTGCCAAAGAAGACCATTATTTGGGAACAAAGGTATTTTGTAGTCTTGAAGATCATGATTCAGTTCTAATCCTTCTACCCCCAGGCCTTCTGTTATTCAGACAAAATAATCTAAATTCCTTGAAATTTTCTTTTTGGAGTTATGAAAATTGGAGACATCTTATGTGGAGTTTTTAAATTCGAGATTCTTGCCTAAGAAATTCTCCTTCCCCCCATTTCTTTTCTCTTGGCATTTTCCCCCAAGAATCATCTGGAGAATATAATTGTTTCATAACTGTGAGCAATGGGGCTAGTCCTCAGGCCTGATGCTCTGGTGTGGACAGTGAGACCTACACCAGTTAGGGTGTGGATGGGGGTAAAGTGAGATCCTCTTTTCTTGGTAAGCACAGAAAAGTCTGTTAGATAAAGGAATTGGTTGACACATTCCTGGAAGCAGTCTACACCTCTTTGCACTGCCTTTTTTGATCCGACTTTCTCCAATCTTCAATTGTTAAAGGAAGGAATGAATTTTTCACTGGATCATGATAACCAGAAAATGAGTCCATCGTAGCCAGTGTTGACCCCAAACTTGGGAGTTCAGCCATAGGCGATTACTAGCAAGCTCCTGAATGTTCTATCTTTGTAGTTGCTTTGAGCTAATATAACCTCCACCTAGCTGGAGGGGCCCCCGCTTGGATAGCATTCAGCTCTCCTCTACACAGCGATACAACTAGCAAGCCAAGGGTCCCATTGAAAGCAGCAATATTAAGTCACTCACTAGAATCATCCATAGCTGCTTCCTGATTGAAAAAGTCACAAACTTGTGTCGTGGTCCTGGCGAAGTCCTTCCCACAACAGGCAGTCTCAGGGAGGACTCTGAGTACACATCCTACAACAGGTCTCTCTTCAGCAGCTTTGAGATGCTGTGAGAAGATGATAGATATTAATGGAAGCCACTTGATCTCCATCCCTGGAAAAAACCTCCTTGAATGCTCTTGTCACAGCGCCTAGTAAATATATGCAGACTTCAGGGTTTGTGGTTGAGAAAGTTAAGAAGTCAAGATTCCCCATTCTGGCCCATTGAAGAATAAGTAATGTACGAAATAGAAGGGCAGCCTTACCACGTGTGCTTTTCATAACAGAGATGTTGGAGCTGACAACTGGAGACAATATGGCTTGGTGACAACATCATAAAAGGTATGCCAATGAAATGTGTATATGTCTCCTCAGCTTATGCATGCATGTGCACACGCACAAGGCTAGAATGAGTCAAAGCCTCTGTTGTCAAAATCAAGGAAGTGCATCGTGCATGGCGGAACCAAGCAAATACAAATCAGAGGGGACGCTATCCTGAGGGTAACCCTGACAGTGAAGGGTGGGAGGAGCGGGGTCTGGAGATGGGGAGCCTGCCCCTTAGGAAGCAGAAGACAAGCCTCAGAGCCTGCTGTTTGGGGGTTCCCATGCTATTTGCCTGCAGTAAGACTCACATTCCTGTAGCATGTGCTTTCTTGCATCTTCCCTTGCTCAGGCAGTCTCTTCTGCCTAGAGGGAGGGATAAGACTTTGCTGGAAGAGACTCTGACAATTCCAAGGGGTCCTGCAAGTAGATTCCTTGCATGGGGCAGTAGGGAGTCAGAGTCTCCCAGCTAAAGGGAGTATTTTTGTCTGACTCTTTGTCTTCATTCAGGCAGATGTTTAAACCAGTCATTACAGATAGCAAATATTTTTCTAGACTTTTCTTTCTTAGTACGATGATACAGTCTCCTTTGCTAGTTATTCTAAGATTTTACACAGTGTTTTCCCCACTAGAGAAAAATCAATTTCACATATGCAAATGAAAAACTCATTTTCTCTCTCTCTCCTTCTCTCTCTCTCTCTCTCTCTCACACACACACACACACACACACACACACACACACACACACTCAGACACACAGCAAATGGGGGTGCTGGGTTTTGATTCATTCTGGCCAACCAAGGAAACTGCAGTGTGCATTCTTCTGTGGACATCCCAACTGACCTACAATGGAGTGGATTGCTTACTCAGCAATATTTCATTAGGGTTGATTCGGCCATTAATTGCTTTGTGGTTTCTGACTAATTCCTTCTTTCCCTTTGGTGCACCACATCCTTTCAAGGAGAGAGAGCTTTGAGGGTTACTTGGCAGCTTCACAACTTCCATTTGCTTAAAAATGTGGAGATACCACCTAGATTTCTTATATTCAGAGAAAGAGAGAGTGAGATACAAATTCTGTCATTCCAGGGAATTACAATCATGCAAGCTCACACATTCCATCCAGGAGTGCCCCTGGCTGAGCCAATCCTCCAAGTCAGATCCAGGAACAAATCCCCTCATTTGGGCACCCAGGTGCTTCATTTAAAGGACCTCTGAGTTCTCCCCAGAGTGAGAACAAAGGAGGACTACAGAAATGATGATGACCGAGTACCTAATCTTGAGCTTTACTTTTAAATGTGCCGGGGTATCCTATGGAAGTATGGGTTCTGAATAAATTCAGAGTCAAACCTAAGATAGATGTTCAGCTGTGGTTGATGGCAGCCATATTCCTGCTAATTTCTAGCATGGGACAGATGATCACACCTGTAGTTGGTTGGCTAATATCAACATTAGCTGCTATTAGGTTGGTGCAACAGTAATTGCCATTAAAAGGAACGACAAGAACCACAATTACTTTTGCACCAAACTAATAATAGCTGACTCTATAGATTTACAAGTCCTAATCAGTCATTTGGATTACCATGAAAATTCGTTTACTAATAATAATATTTATTGAGTATACATAGCATTGTAAGACTATGTATTTTGCTTGCATTATCTCATTTAGTTCTCACAATATCTTTATAAGGTAGGCACTAATATCATGTCTGTTTCCTAACTGAGGCTCTAAAGGGTTAAGTAATTTGCCAGGGACAGACACAGTTGGTTTCAAAGCCAGGCAGTCTGATTCCAGAGCAGAGCCTGATTCCTAAACTTTAGGCTGCAATGACCTTTGTCATTAGAAAATATATCAACAATTCTTTTTTTTTTTTTTTTTTTTTGAGATGGAGTTTCGCTCTGTCGCCCAGGCTGGAGGGCAGTGTTGCAATCTTGGCTCACTGCAAGCTCCACCTACCAGGTTCACACCATTCTCCTGCCTCAGCCTCCCAAGTAGCTGGGACTACAGGTGCCCGCCACCACGCCTGGCTAATTTTTTTGTATTTTTAGTAGAGATGGGGTTTCACCATGTTAGCCAGGATGGTCTCAATCTCCTGACCTGGTGATCCGCCAGCCTCGGCCTCCCAAAGTGCTGGGATTACAGCCGTGAGCCCCCGTGCCCGGCCCCGATATCAACAATTCTTGAAGTAACTATGCTGCTTCTTCTATGGCTCTGGTTAGGCTGTTAAGTTTCCTAAGGGTAGAAGTCAGCTTCTCATTTTCTTTCATTTCCCTGAAAATGCTCGATACAGAATTGTGCACAGAATGAGCTCAATAATGTTGACTCGTTCATTCAGTTGGGGAATTTGGCCAACAGTTAACTCTTATCTCCTGCCATCTTGCTAACTGTTGGCAGTTCTGCTTCACCCTCAATTGCTGCTTATGTCTGTGAAAATGTTAAAGAGAGATTGGAAGCAGGATTGTGTGTTGATAATTATTTTTCCAGGATTGATGATAATATTGAAGAGGAAGGAGCTAGGAGTGAGTTGCTAAGTGACAGAAAAAGAGCAAGTGGAAGTTTCTTAGAAGTAGAGAAGGAAACAAGAAAGCAGAAAGTGAGAAGGTAGGAGAATTGAAGCAAAGCATTGCTAGAGAAGGATGGTTCAGAGAGAACTGTCTAATTATAGTATGTTTATATTGATGACAATTTAAGCATTTGAAGCACAGCCTTATGACATTTTATTTGGATAAGTTGGGCTTAAAACAACTTGGCTCTGAATTTAGGCAAAGGAATAATAACTTAGCAAACAAATTCAACTGTAATAAATCTGGGAGAAGAATGATGGCGTCAGTGAGTGGTTCACATATGCTTATAGTAGAGACTAGTGAGATGCATTTAACACCCAGCCTATTTCCTTTCTTATATAAGGAACTCCTTTACTCCATGGGGACAGAATAGTTTGGCAAAGCACTGTGCTGTCACTCTGCTGGGCCATATTCTCTTGAAGACATTAAATGACAGTGCTCACCAACATTTAAATGCCAAGTAGACAGTCAATACATATTTACTGAGTACCTGCTTGTACTTAACATACGAAGATCCAAAAGATAAGTGTTATGTACTATCCATGTAATTTTGCTGGAAAGATCAAAACACAAAGATGGCAAATACATGGTACATGTATGCCCTTGCCCCTGCTTGTCCTTGAAGCAGATACAGTAAATCAGTCATGACGCACATTCTCACTGAACTAGGATGCTGCCTCAGAAAACTTCTCATCACAGCATTGCATGCAATCCCTGCTGATCATTCAGAATTGCCCCAAGAAGGGAAGCCTATTTCCTGTCCTTGCCTCCACTATCATGAGTACAACATTAGTCTAATATACTGAATTATTCCATGATAGACTATAGGGTATAATGAGGAATTCAGAGGACATAGAGATTACTCAGGGCCACAGTTACATGGTCTTGAGCTACATGTCAGATGGGTGTGATTGAGGTTGGCATAGGAAAAGGAGGGCTTATCCAGTGACGACAACACAGACAAAGGCATGGTGGTACCTGAGCAGGCCCAGCAGCCACAAAAAGCAGCTAAATCTTGAGGAATAACTTCCTAATTCACAACCATCTGACAAAGGACTAAGGGGTCCAGCCTTGGTGGGTGCTGAAAAGGGAGATGGCCGACTGCCTAGCAACCATTGCTAAACTCTATAAACCAAGGATGAGCTGGAGAAGAGGCCAGGGGCCAGGAAATGCAGTCAGATTTCAAAGCAGAGCTCATGTCACAAACCCAGAGGAGTGTTAGGAGCACTGAATAGAAATGCGAGCTTCCAAAAAGAATATATGGAAAACTTCAAAGTGCTGAATCTTCCATAGAAAACATGCTGAGAAGTTTAAGAGATAACAGGAAAATTAAAATGCCTTGTGGCTTTCCATCACAGGGTAGATAAAGCAGCTGAGGGTCGAGTGAAAAGTATTTCCTGCTGTCTTCAGACGGTAGATTGTTTTCATTTCCACTGAAGGCAAAATAGAAGGGGATATCTTGTAGCAAGAGATATTTAGGAAAGACATCAGAAGCACCTTTTTTTTTAAGAGATGGTATCTTGCTGTGCCACCCAGGTTGGAGTGCAGTGGCGTGATCATAGCTCACTGCAGCCCCAAACTCTTAGGCTCAAGGATGCCCCCACTTCAGCCTCCCAAGCAGCTGGGACTACAGGTGTGCACCAAGGTGCCTGGCTCAGAAGAACTTTATAATAGAGTTGTTGGAAACTGCTCAGGATCAGCAAGCGTGATATGGCATCTCCTTCACAGGGTGTCTTTATAAAAGAGAAATGTCCACAAATTTGGGCTGTATTACATACATTTCCACCTGGAGCTGGAGAATAAACTAAATAGCCCCTAAATGCCCATTCAAGTAGGAGGCTAAGGCTATAAACAGCATGTAATCCTAGACTAGCTAAGCAGGGCAGCATGTCAGAGAAGCTCCTTCTGTCCACTCTCGGATGTCTTACACTCTGTCCCTCCTGCTTCTCTCGCCCCAGCTGTAACCCCACCACTCATATAACCCAACAAGAACAGAATGCAATCAACTCACTGGTGTTGGGTACCTCCTAAACAACTTCATATTATAGGCATTGCCATTCCCTGGTGTGAGTCAAGTTCTTTGACTGGTGTCAGATCTAAATATTTTAGGCAGAATTATATTTAACAAAGACTTTGTATCCTGGTGTTCCTAGCAGAAGATATCAATGAGGAGTGTAACAGCTAGAGCTCAAATTCCTGATATTCTATCACTGATTTTCATTAAATGATCTTAAACAAATAATTTTTACTTCCTTGGGTTTTCATTTCCCTTCTTTAAAGTGGGTATGAGGCCAAATATCTACTTAATTACCAAAACAGAATATTTTGGGAAGAAAGAGACAGTAGCCTTAATGATGCAAGAAGCAAACCGGATACATCTCTTGCTGGCCTAGCATTATGCACTAGAAAAAAAAAAAACAGCAAAAGACAAAATAGTAGAGGTCAGGCTAATCAAAGTCTGTGCATGTTGCCTAAGTGTGGAGGGCAGGCACCCCCAGCAAATTTAAGGCAGAGACAGAAACCAGGAGCAGCAGGAGAACCACAAAACATACAGACAAAAATATTTCAGCATTAAACAATTGCACTCGAGAAAGAAACAATTGTAAGATGATAGGGAGACTCATTCTCTAGGAAGACACTCAAGGGCCTAGGGTGCTATATTTCTCCACAAATTCTGATTGCTTTCTTTCCTGAACAAGGGACATGAAAGACTGCCATTTATAGCATGGAAAGACCAAGGGGTATATATGTATAGATATGACGCAATCCAGTTGACCTGGCAAGATTCCTGGATAGTTTTTGAGGAAAGAGAGAGAAAAGTCTTGGAATTAGCTGAGGAATCCTTTCCACTGTTGTGATATAGAAAAGGATGTGTTTTCAAAAAGAATATAATAAAGAAGTAGGAGATACAACAGTGTATTTAAAATGTTGATCTTGAAGATTCAAGAAATTCACAGACAGACATCCAGTGTATTGTGCTTAAAAACTTACACTGACTACACAGCGTGCTTCAGATGAATGAATGAGCAAATGATCAGCCCAAAAGATCAACCTGCTTATCTTCCACCTTGAGTTGGCAGTTTGGTCTTCGTACTGCCCCCAAGGACCCCCAGACTTATTTCCTTTGAGCTGGGAAGTAGAATTCCTTCTCCCATGTCCACCTTTCCTTCCATCCTAGCCTTTTACCAACCCCCTACTATAGGAGCCGTCCAAAGTTCCAAATAATGCCATCTGTGATTCCCTCTTTAATCCATTCATGCTAGACTTCAAGAGATTCCAGCCATTCTTCTGATAGCTACACACAGTTTATGGTGGGTGTTTCCCTCAGCCTCTTCCTCTGTGGAGGGACCACGTATATCCAACTAACCCTGTTTATCCTGTTGCTGGTGTTTGGCCCTGGGAACAAATTCTCCCAGGGCTAGGTAGGAGTATGCTTGGCATCTGGGGCAGTCCTCGTATTCAAGCTTCCTCTGATGTTCATTTTTCTCTTCTAACCTTCTCTCTTTAAAGGCATGAGGCCCCTTGCAGTCCACTAACTGTGTTTGGAAGTTAATCTCTGAGTTTACAGCAGCCATGACATTCTGGGGGTAAAATATAAAAGAAATGAAAGACAGTAGTGAGGATTAAGGAGCTTCAAAGCCACTTCCCTATTTCTGGGAAGGTTTCCTATCACTCTGTTTTTATTAGGTGCCTTTGTTTCTTGAGGCTGCTATAAAATTGCCACAAACTTGGTGACTCAAAACAACAGAAACTTGTTCTCTGTTTGGGAGGTGAGACGTCTAAAATCTGGCAGGGTTGAGCTCCCTGCAGGTGCTCTAGGGAGAATCTTTCCTTGCCTCTTCTGGCTTTGGTGGCTTCCCCGGCCTTCCTGGCTTGTGACGGCATCATCCAATCTCTGCTCCAGTCTTCACATCGCCTCCTCTTCCACGTGTTTGTCTTCTCTGAGTATCTATCCTGCAAGTGTACATGTGATTGCACTGAGGGCCTACCCAGGTAATCCAGGCTACCCTCTTTCTTTCAAGATCTGTAACTTTTGGGGGGAAAATATAGATCCTTAACTCAAATCACATCTGCAAAAACCCTTTTTCCAAATAGGTAACATTCACAGCTTCCAGGAAATTGGATGCAGATATCTTTTGGGGGTGGAAAGGGGCATTTTTTTTCAGCCCACACAGTGGGGACAAAAAACTAATATTAATTTTGTAAGGCACACAGTATCTCATATTAATTCTACGGCAGTCTGTCAGCAAAGTATTCTTATTCACATTCTGCAGATAAAGAACTTTAAACCCAGGAAGACTTGCTCAGGATCACTAAACTGATAAGCAGGGGACTTGGGTTCTGCCTGGCTCCACAATCACTGTGTTCTACAGGCCATGGCAAGTTAGGGGACTCCATGCTGTTTCTGACTGCGTGCCAGTGGGCTAACCACCTCACTTCCAGGGCTCGGTTTACCCACAGGATGATGAGGTGGCCATCTCAGTGTCCTTTTCATCCCTATGATTCTGGTACCAAGGGACGTCTAATGATCAAATGAAGTTACAGTATAATTTGCATAGTGTTATCGTTGGATAGAAAAATTGTTTTTGACCTTGTCACCAAGAAATGCTTCGTAGAAAAGATGAAGCTTCTTGGCTATAGGTTCTCTCTTGTTCATGCCCTACTTTGATCCTCCAGCAAGCTCCAAAGTTATTCATTCGGTCAATAATTTTTTCATCACGTGTTTATTAAGTATATTTGATTTTCCCAGAAAATTTAATGGACATTAAGAAAACAGTGAAGTTGGGAAAACCCAGACATGGTTCCTGATGGAATTTAAAATGATCAGACTGAAGAAATCAGCCTACTGTCTCTGCAGCAACATGAATCAGTTAATTCTAGAAACCTTTAGAGTGGCAGTTCTCAAGCTTTATCTTGCATCAGTATTATCTGGAGAAGCCAGGTGCAGTGGCTTATGCCTGTAGTCCCAGCACTTTGGGAGGCTGAGGCAGTAGATCACTTGAGGTCAGTAGTGAAACCCCATCTCTACGAAAAATACAAAGTTATCTGAGCATGGTAGTGCATGTCTGTAATCCCAGCTACTGGGGAGACTGAGGCAGAATAATCACTAGAACCTGGCAGGTTGCAGTGAGCTGAGATCACGCCGCTGCACTCCAGCCTGGGCAACAGAACGGGACTCTGTCTCAAAAAAACAAACAAACAAAAATATGTGGAGGGCTTGTTATAACACAGTTTCTTATTCAGTGGGTCTGGGATGGGGCCTGAGAATTCGCATGGCTAACTAGTTCCCGGGTGATTCTAATGCTGCCGCTCCAGGGACCACACTTTGAGAACTGCAGCACTAGAACGATTCCCAGCTGGGGGTCCTTGGACTACTAGGCAACTATGGCATTTTATGAGAAATAAATATAGTCTATTGGCTGAATAAATAAAAGTAAAACTACCATTATGTGGGCTTGTTTAAATATTTTGATGTTAAAAAGAAATCTTCACTCTTAAAAAATTTCTATAACCCTTGAACAAAAGCCAGAAAGTCAATCAGGTTTTATCTCTTTTTGCCAACGCTGATTCTATTGGCAGAGGTTCCTGTAGTGTTGTGCTGAGAATGATTCAAATCCTGCATGTTGGCCCAGTAAGAAAGAGAGCTATAATGCATTAGAAATATTTGTCTAGATGAAGGAGAGATAGTGAAAGTAACTGTACCATGTATTTGCCATTTTAATTTAAATATTGAAGTTATTACAATTTAGACTTATATCTTCTTCTCTTCTAAGTCCACACTCTTTGGGAGCCATCTGATCCAACCCATGGCTTTAAGGATCATCTGTATGCTGATAATGCCTTTCACACCTCCTGCCCAGCTCCCCACTCTGACTTCCAGAGCTATTTTTTCCAACTGTCTTCTTGACATTTCCACTTAGATACTGCATATGCATCTCATAGCCAACTTTCACATGTTCAACAGTGAATTGTTGATTTTCCTCCTCAAACTGCTCTATTCTCATCTTAATAAATGATATCATCAACTATCCATTTATTTTGGGAAAAGCTCTTGATGTCTCTTTCTTGCTCCCTTGTCATATCCAATTTCTATTGATTCTACATCCAGAGAATGGCTTCAGTGCCTTTACTTCTTCCCATACTCATGCTCCCTCACAAGTCACCATCATCTCTCACCTGTATTGTGCCAACAGCTCCACTTCCATTTGTCCTTCCTTGTAATGCAAACTGGAAGTGATTTCTCAGCACCTCACATCCTTCAACTGCTCCCTATTTTGCTCAGGGTAAAATCCTAACATTAATGCCTCGTCCCACAAGGTATTGCATAATCCAACGCCAGACTGCCCCTCCAACCTCAGTAGCATTGTGCTCCAGCCACACTGGTCTTTCTTCGCTTTCTCAAATACCTCAAGCACTTCCTCACCTCAGGGCCTTCCATCTTCCCTGCCTCTGCCTGGAATGTGCCATCCCCACTCTGCAAAGATGCACCTACCTCCCGGTCACAAGTTAGAAGACCACTTCCTCAAGGAGGCCTTCCTTGACCCTCTCAAGCTAAATCAGGTCTTGCAAATACTCTCATGTGGGATTTTTCACTCCACTTTACCCAGCTTGTAAAACTTCTTTATTTTTTATTTATTTATTTTTTAAGTATCTGTGTTTCCACTAGACTGAGAGCTTCCTGAGGGCAAGGAATGTATCCCTATGGTCTCACCACTGTTCCCCAGCATCTGGTTCAATGCTCATAGGTGCTCAATTAATACATGTTACATGAAGAAATGAGTAAAACCATAAAAGGTAGAAAAGGCAGAAACATTTTGCTGTTCATTTCAGGCCCCTCTCTCTTCTGTCTATCTGTCCCATTTCTCCAGTTCTCTGCCTCCTCCCTTATGGAGCCTTGGCTTTCCACAGACGATGGAATGTTTGTCTGATGCTGGGCAAAGAAGATTAATGACAAGGTAATGAGAGTTTCTATTTATGCCAGCTCCTTTGTCTGAGTTCCCAGCCTGGGAACTCTAAACCATCCAGCCACCCACCAGGCCTCAGGAGACAGTTCTTCAGGCAGTGTTGGTGAGCTCTGTGGTGTCACAGCAAGATCGCTTTGTCTTTCACTCCTGACCACGATGTGCATTTTGTAAGAAGGAAGCTTGCTTGAGGCACAAGATTCGGGACTGGCTCCACTTGCTAAGTTGGTTTTGGTTTTGCACAGACAAAGTTTTTTAACTTGCTAGACATTTTCAACATCATCCACAGTTTGATTCCAGATTCCACAGCTAAGCCTTGAGAGTCTAAAGCGCCTCTTATTTTGAAGACCAGCATTGAAGAAAGAGCAGATGGGATGTGGTAAGGGGCACGGTCATGATGGCAGAGCTGGAGGAGAAGAAGGTGTGACCAGGACCTTCCCTGTACCGGATGGAGAGCTAAGCTGCGGCCGAGTGTCCCATGGTGAAGCTAGCTTCATGTTCTTCCCCTGCCCAGGTCTCTCAGCAAGGAAGCCCTCTAGGCCTCAGTGCTTGCAGCAATACCATTTGGAGTCAATGCTCCAGTTCTGGAAATTCTCTTCATTCACAGGGCATGTACAGGAGGTAGGACACACAGGCGAGAAAATCAGGCATTAGGCCTAAAATCTTACATATCAACTGTTCCTTGTTTTCTCATTTTTTGCTTGATTTCCAAGGGCATCAGTGACTGAAGAAGTTAAACTTCCTAGACAAAATTGAAAGTTTAAAAATGTCTACACTCCTGCTGTTTCTCCCTTTGTGAGAAATGCTTTATGCTGGTCATCAAAATGCCTAGAGTCCAGGGGTGATTTGGGCTGAACATTTGCATCCCCCCAAAATCTATATGCTGAAGCCTCAACCCCATGTGTAGCTATACTTGGAAATGGGGCATCTAAGAAAGTAATTAAGGTTAAATGAGGTCGTAAGGGTGGGGTCCTGACCCCATAGGATTAATGTCTTTATAAGAAGAGACACCAGAGATGGTTGTCTCTCTCCCCAGGTACGCACCATGGGAAAGCACAATGAGAAGGCAGCCATCTGTAAAGAAGAGTGCCCATACTGGGTTCTGATCCTGCTGACTCCCTAATCGTGGACTTCCGGTCTCCAGAACTATTGTTTAAGCCACCCAGTCTCTAATATTGTGTTATGAAAGCTCAAGTAGACAAATGCAAAGAGCCCAGATATCATCCTCTAGCCTTCCTTCCCAAACTCACCTGTCTTAGATTCTATTCCATTAGTTCCAGTGTAACAAACTGATTCATACTGATCTAATAATCAGGAACAAATTTCATCATCCCCTCAGAGACATGGTGGGAAATGAGGCTTTTGATGCCCAGCCAATAAAACAACCTAGCAGCCACTTACTTGTCCCTCCATTTCTTTGCGGCATTGGCTGGTGTTCAGGCTGGCTCGAATTACCAAATAAGGAGAGGGAATGGAAGAGGAGACAATGGGAAATGAAAGGCAGTAGACAGATTTTGAAAATGTTCACTTTTATGCATGTATTATGAGCCTATACTTTGCTGCTAGTAGGGAAATAAAAATGAGTAAGATATTTCTTCTATCCCTAAGCCCAACGTTTAAAGAAATCAAACCTAGTGAAAGTGAAAAACACTAAGTCATTGTCACATTTTATTTTTTTCTAGTATCTAAAAAACTGGGCTTACAACAATCTGGTTTTATAATTTTCTTATTTAAAAATTATTTTGTTCAATTTTTTTAAGTGTTCAGGGACAAAGCGGGGTGGATTTCCTTAAAAAATACTACTTGGCAAAAAGCCAGAATTGGCTAATAAGAAATTTTCAGAATTCTGAATAGCGTACACTACATATAGGCAATAATAGACATAAGCTGAGAGAACAGTCGTAAGAGCTCAGCCACCAGGGAAATGGATTTCTGATTGGCAGGACATTGTTCTAGGATTTTGACTCTGGAAGTCAGTCTATTGTGGAGATTTTATTTCTTCCTTTTTCCCCGTTTTCTTTCTTTCTCTCCCTCTTTCCTATTATCCTCTCTTTTTTCTCCCTTCTTCTTATTTTTGGACATTTAAAATAGCAAATCCTAGAATGATTTTCTTTTATTAATGACTTGGCCCCGTTCTGCAAAAAGAAGAAAGTGCAGATACGTTAGCTTCCTGGAAGCAGCAAGAGAAATAAAACTAGTAGTGTTAACTAGTGTAATCCGAGCAAGGATGTTTGACACATAGAGGAGAGGGAAGAAGGCTGGAAAGCAGCCTCTCTCTCCATAACCTTCTACTCCAAGGCACCTCTCAAGGCCTGGGGAGAGAGTGAAGCTTGTTCCAGAGCTCCAGGGAAGCTGGTTCCTGACTCAGGTTCGGTGTCCCGTGAAGGCTACTTTGTTTTTGATCCCTGGTTAGGAAGCCACGAGGCAGAAAGATACTTGGATGTAACTGGATGCTTGTATTTCTTTACATATTGTGATTTATTGCAAGTTGATGTAAATATTTTATGCAATTATTAGTAACCAAAGACGAATTGCTATTTATGCTTTATGTTAACAAAAACATTCTTGTTTCTAGGAATAGTATAAAGGGCTGGATCTTGTATGTGTATGAATCTGGGAAAACCTTAAGAATTGAGACATCTTAGTCTTATCCCTAAGCATCACCACAAAATGAGATTGAGCTTGGTAGGAAATCACCGTCCTTAATAAGGAAGGCAAGATCTGTCCCTTGAGCTCAGATTGGTGACTATGAAATGATAACTGCATAACTGCCAGGCAGGGAGGGGACGGCCTCCCCATGGAGGGCCCGAAAGAGTTAACTGCATCCCCACATGCCCCTCCCTTGCTTCCCCAGCTCAGGGATCTTACTGGATAGGGCTGGACTTGTCAGGAGAACAAGAACTTGCAGTTCAACTAGGAACTTGGACTTCCCGCACAGAAAAAGTTAAAAAAACTTGCAGGAATGGGGAAACCTGAAAATAAAAAGAACAAAACAAAACAAAACAAAGCAGGGTTTGTACTAGTTCATTAGATGCCTACGTACATGTTTGCCTGGCGATAAAGGGGATTTGAGGACATAGGGAAGGGCAAACAGAAAATGAAAATAAAGCCAATTGGCTGGGCTTATTGTCATACACTTCCAGGGCACTTGAAGGGGAACGTCTGCGGACAAACTTATGTTTGGGGGGCCTGGGAGGCACTGAGGGCAGCAGCCTCCACCAGACCCCTATAGGTATTCTGTGTCTAGGGAGATGCTTCCTCTGGGGCCCTCAGGAGAAACTCCTTTGGGTTTTTTTTTTTTTTTTTTCCAAAACTTCAGGCACGACCCTGCAAAGGGAAGGAATGATGGAGGTGGCAGAACACGATTGCTTTCTGTTGAGAAGCGTGTGTGCCTCCAGGCACAGGTGGATCTACTTTAGCCTCCTTAGACCACAAAATAATATTTCTCCAGATTGGATGAATGCAGGGGCTACCCAAAAGATTGAACACTCAGCATTCACACATTGCTCATTCATTCAATACCTGTGAGCCACAGCTCCAAGTCCGTGGCACCTGATCCCTTGACACATGGGACTTCTCTTGCAACACAAATTAATAGATAAAATGAAGAATTTCAAGCTGGTGGCTACAGAGTATTAAACCCCAAGCCACTGAGCAAGGGGCTTTGTGTGATGTTCTGGTGTTCTGCAATAAGTCTTTCTAAAAATGTTATAATATTTAAGTACACTTAGTTTTTGGTATTTGTAAACAAAACTCTAAGTAATACAGAAATTAGTACCAGTCAGTGCTACCCAGAGCATAGGTAAACTGGGGAATTAGGCCCGGTTGGGACAAAAAGCAATAAAAATATTAAATAGTGATAATTTACCAATTCATGGCTTGTAGCCCAGAAACAATGAATTGAAATACTGCCTGTGGTTACTTAGAATGCGGTGCTCATTGCAGCAAGGTTTTGGGAAACTGAGTGGACACTGTTTTGTGAAAGCATAAATGACGGGAGGAAATCAAGGAAGATACAGGGGCGTGGCTGCTTCTGGGTAGCATAAGGAAAGATGATGGTCAGATCCAATTCCTACATTCTTTGCTCAAGGCACATAAGGAAGCTCAAGCACTTTCTGTGACCTTGTTAAGAGAATCTCTCATGTCTTGCAGGCACAGGGCTCCGATAAAAACAATTTCACAGTTTGATCCTATGGGCTGCCAATTTACAACAGTTGAATTCACAACCTCGTGAGGTGTCGTATGTGAGAGTGAGGGCATGGTTAGGAGTGGCTGGGAAGCTGAGAATTGGATGAGGCTGTATAGGAGCGCTAACAACATTTGGAGCCATTCCTGTTACCGTCAGCAGAGGCAGACTCTCCTTCTTCCTTACTTGATAAGTCTGTTAAGCTTTGCCTGAAAGCCCTATAACTCCTTTGATGAGTCAATTCTCTTCATGTCTCATCCCAATTACCCACAAGTATCTCCTGACCTATAGCTATAAACAGATCCTAGCATACTCCAAAGAGTGAATAACAAATCAAAGCCAGAAGTCTTACACACCCTTCCTAATTTGCAGTAGGTACGTCTGAATACCAGGCAAAAGAATAGCTTCTGAGTGTCTCAGATTAAGAAGAAAAGAATATATTTTTAAGATTAGAATAAATGTATGAATATAGGCTCACTTACCATTTATTCTGAATTCAATATGCAGGACTTAACACCTGAACTTGATTTCAATTATGTTTTGGGTTGATATATTGAGATCTGGACTAAATGGTGCCTCAAGTAAAATAAAGTTTATATGCCAACAATTCTTTGGTCTACTGCAGAAATAAAGAATCTGAATAATTTGAGAGATGAAAATGGTGGAGTAGATTTATTACTGCGTGATGCCTATGAATTTCTTAATTCTGTAATCTAAAATCATTCCATTCACCAAGACATTAATCAGTCCATTAGTGAGAAAAAGGCCAGAATTTTTAATCAAAGCTTTAGAGGTTGTTTTTTTAGGAGGAGTACTGATGAGACACACTGCTATGGAAGTGTGCTTCCCAATTTCAATGGATTTGGGAAGATCCCAGCATGGAAAAGGTCAAATAGTAGCTCTTACTCATCACACGGATAATGTTGATCACCAAAGAAGATGTGGTTATCATAATAGACAGCATGGGCTGCATATTTATTAGAATTATTAGAATGGTCTCAAGTGTAGTTTTTTTGTTTTGTTTTGTTTTTTTGTTCGTTCGTTTGTTTGTTTTTGAGACAGAGTCTCGCTCTGTCACCCAGGCTGGAGTGCAGTGGTGCTATCTTGGCTCACTGCAAGCTCCGCCTCCCAGGTTCACACCATTCTCCTGCCTCAGCCTCCCGAGTAGCTGGAACTACAGGCACCCATCACCACGCCCGGCTAATTTTTTGTATTTTTAGTAGAGACGGGGTTTTGCTGTGTTAGACAAGATGGTCTTGATCTCCTGACCTCGTGATCCACCCGCCTCAGCCTCCCAAAGTGCTGGGATTACAGGCGTGAGCCACCACGCCTGGCCAACTACAGGGATTTTAAGTGATGGCTAACTCCTCATGATGTAACCAGTGCCAAAAGAGCTAGGTAGCCCATCTAAGTACAACTGGACTTCAGTAACTTACAAACAGCAGCTCTGCAGACAGAGGCTGGGCTTGGACTCCACAATGAAAGTCATGATCCCTTACTCAAGTTCCAGACATGAAACAGTTGACCAGCACAGAGCCTCTTGAATGAAGAAGTTGATTGCCCTGAAAGAAGGACCTTATGATAATACGATACAATATATGCTATAAGTCTTCTTAGCCTTCACCAAAGAAGACTGCATCCATGAAGTAGGGTAAAAGTGTCCGGGGAAATGTAAATACCCAGATGTGTGGGTAATTTGTCTCCATGCCTAAATCAAACTGCTTCCTGCAAGCCTGCTGCTGGAGCTGCTCGGGCCATAGGAATGGTCCATGGGGCTCCTCAGTGCCCTCCCTCAGTCTCTACCATGGTCTAACAGACCCACACAGGTTTACTCTCACTCTCCCCTAGTAATGGTCCCCTATGAGAGGACATCCCCATTACAAGGCAAGGAAACAAGTTAGCCTCTCTCTCTCTCTCTCTAATCCTTGAATTGGCAGCAAAGCCTCCTCAAAGTAACCACAGAAAGCAAAGCAGAGGGAGACTTGCTGCCCATGGCACCTCTCAGATCCCTTCCTTGCATCTCTAGAGAACCTTAAAGCAATCTTCTTTCAGACGACCAAAGCAATCTTCTTTCAGACGACCAAATTAGATTTCATGGAATTGTGTCATAGGAGCCACTGGTCCCAAAATCCCTTGGAATATTAGAAATTGTGTTATGGCTACGAGTTATGGTCACCACTGATATTTTCAATGTGGGTCACCTGACAGTAGACAGAGACAGCTGATAGTGAATCTACTGATTGGACCCAGTTCATAGTTCTGAAGTAAAAGATGACTGATGATTAAAACAAATATTTAACATAATAATACTTATGTTAAAACATACTAGCAGGCCTGGTGTGGCGGCTCACACCTATAATCCCAGCACTTTGGAAGGCCAAGGTGGGCAGATCACCTGAGGTCAGGAGTTCTAGTCCAGCCTGGCCAACATGGCGAAACCCCAGCTCTACTAAAAATACAAAATTAGCCGAGCATGGTGGCGCACACCTGTAATGCCAACTACTCGGGAGGCTGAGGCAGGAGAATCACTTGAATCCAGGAGGTGGAGGTTGCAGTGAGCTGAGATGGCACCACTGCACACCAGCCTGGGCAACAAAGCAAGACACCATCTCAAAAACAACAACAACAACAAAAAAAAACAAAAAAAACTGGCAGACTGGGCCCCTGCTGGAATATACAGGCTTGCATATGGTTTTCTCCTTCATAACTGTAAAGATCAAAACAATAGCAATCATAATAAACTAAGGAGACCTTGGGTTAAACAGATCATTACAGTTGACAATAGAGGTGTAAACATGACCCTGATTAATGGATCTATAATCTGTCTTCCAAGTTTCTGGCCATTAGCCATGCTTCTAATTAAACTGAGTGTGGGAGCAGCATTCCATCTCCTGAGGGGCTGGTGCAGCGACATTCTGAATTCCTGACCACCCCAGGCTTGACTTTGCAGCCTCTGTTTTGTTACCTGTTGAAATTCAAATAAGACTTCACTTGTTAACAAGACCCTCCTTTAAAACATCTCTAGCCTTTGATCAATCTTTCTTTTTATTCTGCAGGAATCTAAAGAAGTTGGAATGGAAAGCAAAAGAACACTGCCATATTTTTACCAGGTGGCCCCACCACGCGCTACACAGACCAAGAGAGTGAACATGTCCTTGTTCTTAAAGAGCTCACAAATGAATATCTTTTTTTTTCCCTGAGACTGATTCTTGCTCTGTCACCCAGGCTAGAGTGCAGTGGCGCGATCTTGGCTCACTGCAATCTCCACCTCCCGGGTTCAAGCAATTCTCCTGCCTTGGCCTCCCAAGTAGCTGGGATGACAGGCGCGAGCCACCATGCCTGGTTATTTTTTTTTTTTTTTTGTATTTTTAGTAGAGACGGGATTTCACCATCTTGGCCTGGCTGGTCTTGAACTCCTGACCTCGTGATCTTCCCACCGCAACCTCCCAAGGTGCTGGGATTATAGGCGTGAGCCGCCGTGCCTGGCCTGAATATTCTTAAACAAGGAGTGAAACAGAAATAGTGTGTTCCTGTATTTCAGAATGACAAAGGAAACCAGGAACACTTGCAGGTTAATAAGTCCATCCCCCTGTCTCAGAGCAGAGTTCTCTGCTGAAAGGGCTACAGACTGACACCTTCTGTTTGAGGTCCACCCTAATCGAAGTCCATCTCTGGACTTTCAACCTGAAGTTCCGGTGCTGTTTCAGGCTCCATGAACCATGTGTGATCAAAACACTCTAAGGAATTAGTGGTTTTCTCACATGCACTCCTTGACATCTGTTCTTTAGCCTGCCAGCCATATTTGATGCTAAGGGAGAAAGAGAGAGCTGTCTCCCAAACAGAATCCTTTGCCATACATCTATCGTGTAGTGTTGACAGTCCTTCTTGCAGTGTGGTGCGGGGGCAATGATATCTCTGTAAAAATTCTCACTAGGATCCAATGATTTATTTAGCTAACAGCTAAGTTAATTATGTCAGTTTGACAATTTCAAGAGGGAAGGAAAAACACACATGGGCTGGATGAGGAGATTGTCTCCGTAATATTTTATACCAGGACATGGTTAGGAAACCCAATGATTTCTTGGTACAAATCTCTAAGCGATCAAACATTCCCCTATAATCAAGACCATCACTAAGTTTTAAAAGAAATATATTTTCCCCCACAACTGAAACGGGTGAAGTAAGGCAAAAACACCAAGCGAAAAATAAGCATTCGGTTTTCAAGTAATGGACTGTTTCCTCTGGAAGGAGAAGGGAATCTGGGTGTCTGGATCCCGGTTTCTGCTCTGCTTCTTAGTGGCCCTCTCTTCACCTTAGCTTTCTCATCTGTACAGCAAAGGATTGGCCAAGCAGGCATCTAAGCCCTTACAGTTATTGCCTGCCAGGATGCCATATGATCATGGATGTTCAGTTTTCAGGACTCTGGGACAAGGAGTGGAGTCAGGTGAACACTGGGACTAAGCAGACATCACAGGTTCTCTGCCTCAGAGCCAAAGCCACATTCCCCGCCCTGGTCAGAGAAGGCCTTCCTTGTTTCTTATAGCATTAATCTCAGTACCTCTATGCTATTCAAAGGCTCAACTATTGCATTTTCTTTACACAAAATTCTTACTGATCTCTTTCTCCCATAGGTCTTGAAGCTAAGTACAGATTTATTCATCCTTTCTATGCATATTTTTGAGCACCTGCTATAGGAAAAACACTGTTTCCAGTACTAGGGATATAGGGCAAACAAAACAATCTCTGCTGTCATAGAGATACCTGCTGGAGCTTTGATAGCTTTCTGCATGAGAAATGGGCTAGGTAGGATTCTCACATTAGGGATGAGAAAAGGAGGAACCGTGGGCAGACAATTTCAGCACTCTGGAGATGCAAGACAAAAACAAAGTCTGCAAACAGACTAGAATAGAATAGCTTATAAAAGGACATTGTGAGCTGGGAGCGGTGGCTCACACCTGTAATCCCAGCACTTTGGGAGGCTGAAGTGGGCAGATCACTCAAGGCCAGGAGTTTGAGACCAGCCTGGCCAACATGACAAAACCCTGTCTCTACTAAAAAAAAATACAAAAATTAGCCAGGTGGCACATGCCTGTAATCCCAGCCACTGGGTAGGCTAAGACACAAGAATCGCTTGAACCCAGGAGGTGGAGGTTGTAGTGAGCCGAGATCACAGCAATCACTGCAGCCTAAGGGAAAGAGTGAAACTCTGTGTCCAAAAAAAAAAAAAAAAAAAGAAGAAAGAAAAAAGAAAAAAAGGACATTGTGACAGAACAGTGTTTGCATAATACCTTAGTTTCTTCTGCAACTAAGAAGTAACATTTACAGGACAGTCTAGGATGGAGAAATCCCTTCTACAAATTTCCTATCATTTTCTTTAACAAAAACCTGTCAAGGTATTATTATTGCCTTTTTAATCAATGAAGTTGATGAATACTCAGAAAGTTTTACGTGACCAGCCTGAGATAACTATTAAATGGCAGTGATGAGACTGACTCTGGTGTTTACTTCAAATCTCACTCTTTCCATCATGATAAAACTGCTCTCAACATTTCTTATTCCATTTTTGTTTCTGAAAGATGGTTTTAGTGAACTGAAGCTTGCCAAAACCTCATTCTGACTACAAATCATGGAGCCTCCCCCATGAACTTACCAACTGCTTCCAGAGTTACTTCTTAAATCTTGTTTTAGCCATTAAATTTTGGTCTGATAAATAAGGCAGTCATTTTAACTATGTAAGAAGAATGAAAATAGGGGGAAAATGACTAACCCCTCCTACATTTTCCCTGTCAACGGGGAAAGAACAAGTCAGGACTGGATTTAAACGTACGTCCATGGTTTAAGGATGAGGAGTTTGGGGAATCGTCTTTAGGTTCATAAAAGATGCCTCATTTCACTTTCACTGAGAGAATGAAAGAAGATGGGAGTGTTGAGCTTGTAACACAAGGAATTTAAATTAAAGGCATAACAGAACTTCAAAACAGTAAGAGACATCATTCACTGGAATGGAAGGACGCTTCAGAAACATGTGGATTCCTCTTCTCTTGCCATGTGATTCTCCTAGGAGGCTTCGAGTGGAGGATAGGGGTGATGACTGAAATGATTTCAGAAGGTTCCATCCAGTCTTCACTGTGTAGTTTCAGTTGGTACAGTAGAAAGAGTAATGGACAAGGATGCAGGTGTCTGGGTTCTCCAGGGCTCTGTCACTCTCTAGCTGGGCACCCTCCGACAGAACATTTAACTCCTCTGAGCCTTAGTTTTGTTACCTTAATCATAAAATGGGACTAGTGGATCTTGGTCTAACCTCCCTGACAGATGATGATGAAAAGCCCTTGAGATAACCTTTACTATATGTAAGTTCATGAGGGCAAACTTCTTTATTTTTATTACTATGATATTCCAAGAGTGTGCTTGGGAATATGTACTCCACCTGGTACATGGCAAGCATTCAATAAGGGTTTGGTGAATAGATGTATAAACAACTGATGTAAAAATACTTTGCAATGTGGAAAGAATGGAAATGGGAAGTATCACAGGTATATCAATTGCCTGTGGTGACTATTCCAGTGTGTAACCCCATTACCTCTTTCACCTTCATACCATCCCGTGCCCGCCCCTATGAGTCAGCATGAGCTCAGAAGGGACAAACTGATAATGTTGATCTCTATCAAACAAAATCAAGCTGGTGGCTACAGGAAGCATATCATGATACTTGGTGAAAATTGAAGTTACAGATGCTATTGGTGGCTTCTTTTTTGGAAGTTTCTATTTTCCTTGGGCCTTGTTGAAGGGAGTATAGAGAACCTACCTGTTGTTTTATCTGAACTTAACAGGGACGTGGGCATACAGACCAGGAGGAAGGCTCTCCAAGCCCATCTTTGATGAAAGCCCTTCTGACAGATTATCTGTAATTCCTTGACAGGGCAGTGAGTTGCTGTCCCAACTGACTGCAGGCAGTTATGATCAGATAATTGAATTGGCGCATGCCCCTGTGTAATCGAAAAAAGTTGGCACCCATCTCTCAACTTGATATTAACTTAGCGTTTTTCCAGACAACCTCCCTGCCCCATCACAGAGTTGCCTCTCAAATATAAATGTCAAGTAAGGCAGCAGAAATTAATTTTATATGCTTTGTGGGCACTAGGTAATACTCAGAAGGCTAACAATGGAAGAACAGAATTATAAAAGAATTGGGAATGAATATGCTTTATAGACCCTGGCACATTGCCCAGGGCAGTAGAGTAAGTGGGAGAAGAAAACGCTGGTGATTGGGGTGAGTAGTCAGCTTTCTTTTCAGCATGAGTGGTTTTTAGAACAACCAGAATGTTCCCTTTTAAAGACAGCATACACGCTTTTGATTCCTAGGCCTACCTCCAAGACACCAGGACGCTCAAGTCTTCTGATGTCCAGGTACCCAGTTGATGGTGGTAGCAATAGATTTTGTTCTGGCAATTGTAGTGTTCTCCACATGAAGAATAAAGATGGGAGCACCTAATTGGTATTCTGCCTGCACTGAACATTTTAGCTTGTAGTTCAGTGGGTTGCTCTGAAATTACATTGCCTATGTCTGAATTCCACTTTTGCCATTTAGTGGCTGTGCAACCTTAGGCAGCTTACTTAATTTCCATGTGCCTTAGTTTTCATATCCATAAACTACAAATAATACTAGCACCTATTTCATAGAGTGGTTGAAAGGGTTCAACCAGCTGACTCATGAAAAGCATGTAGAAAATTGTCTGGCACATGATAAGTACTCAGCTAACATTGGTTGTACAAATTATATTGTCAATTAAAAATGTATGCAATTTGAACTTTCCAACTTTAGATTAGGGATGGCTATCTTTCCCAACTTTTTTCTTTCTCCATTAGTGTTGAGAGATTTTAATGCTTCTGTGATTCTATAACCCTATCTCTACGTTTAGATCTCGACTTCCATCAATAAGAGGTAGAGTTAGAAAAGTACCTGGGACTGAAAGTTCTGAGTTTGTGTGCCAACTCAGCCAGTAACTAGCTGGATGACTCTAGGGTAAGGTCACTTTCCCTCCTGCAGTCTCACTTGTTTATTTTCAAATGAGGGGATTGGACCACTTGACCTCTAGAGATGCTTCTAGTCCCAACATTCAAGAAATCTGCTACTCCCATGGAAGCTCAGGGACCCTCATACCTAAATCCTTAGGTGACCTAGTTTGGCTTCTACTCTGTGTTGAATACCAGTGGCACATCACCAATCCTCCTTTCCCAAGTACATTTTCACCATACTTTCTGCCTCCCACTCCTCCTACTCCTCCTCTGTCACTTAGCAACTTGGGGTCCCAGCATGAGTAAGTGGGAGGAACTGGAATTTCCAGAGTCCAACTAGCTGCAAACTTCCCCTTCTAGTTCCCTAGGTCACCCTCACATTTCTTGCAGCTTCTCAAGGTCCCTGGTCTTTTTACTTCCAGAACATCTTGTCAACGGAAGACGCTCTACAGAATGAGCAGTCACATGTGAATGGGTCTGTCTCATGTAGTCATGGAGCTATCATTTTCCCCTTAGTTTATCATCAAGTCAACTGGAAGTTGAAGTCCCAATATTATAGGCAACCAGCATGTGCTTCTACCCTGTACATGGTCTTAAAAGTCAGGACATATATGAAATTGTGATACGATATCATTCCTAACTTAAGACCCTGATGCAGAGGAATAATATATGGCCATGATGATTCCTCAAGGATCTAGAACCAGAAATACCATTTGACCCAGCAATCCCATTACTGGGTATATGCTCAAAGGATTATAAATCATTCTACTATAAAGACACACGCACATGTATGTTTATTGCAGCACTATTCACAATAGCAAAGTCTTGGAACCAACCCAAATGCCCATCAATGATAGACTGGATAGAGAAAATGTGGCACATATACACCATGGAATACTATGCAGCCATTAAAAAGGATGAGTTCATGTCCTTTGCAGGGACATGGATGAAGCTGGAAACCATCATCCTCAGCAAACTAACACAAGCAACTAAACACCCTCAATCTGGGTGGGCATCACCTAATCAGCAGCCAGTGCAGCTAGGATAAGGAGGCAGGAGAAGGCGGAATAGCAGACTTGCTGGGTCTTCCAGGCTCCATCTTTCTCCCGTGCTGGATGCTTCCTGCCTTCAAACATCAGACTCCAGGTTTTTCAGCTTTTGGATTCTTGGACTTACACCAGTGATTTGCCAGGGGCTCTTCGGCCTTTGCCCAAAGACTGAAGGCTGCACTGTCAGCTTCCCTACTTCTGAGGTTTTGGGACTTGCACTGACTTCCTTGCTCCTCAGCTTGTAGATGGTCTATGTTGGGACTTCACCTTGTGATCGTGTGAGTCAATTTTTCTAATAAACTCCCCTTCCTATATACATATATCCTATTAATTCTGTTCCTTCAGAGAGCCCTGACTAATACACTACCCAAAGGAAAAGAAGTCATTTTATGAAAAAGGCACCTGCACACACATGTTTATGGCAGCCCAATTCACAATTGCAAAGATACGGAAGCAACCTAAGTCCACATCGATCAGTGAGTGGATAAAGAAAATGTAGTATATATCCACCATGGAACACTACTTAGCCATAAAGAGGAAGAAAGTAATGTCTTTTGCAGCAACTTGGATGGAGCTGCAGGTCATTATTCTAAGTAAAGTAACCCAGGAATGGAAACCCAAATACTGTACATTCTTACTTATAAGTGGGAACTAAGCTATAGGGAAGCAAAAACATATACAGTGATATAAAGGACTGTGGGAACTTGGCGGAGAAGTTGAGAGGAGGGTGAGAGATAAAAGACTACATATTAGGTACAGTGTACACTGTTTGGGTGATGGGTGCACTAAAATCTCAGAATTCACCAGTAAAGAACTCATCCACCCTAAAAACTATTGAAATAAAAAATAATAATATAAAGAAAAATAAAATAAATAATAATAAACTATTGTTACAATAGCTTGGGTGAATCTCAAAGGCATAATGCTGAGTGAAAGAAGCTAGTTTCAGAAAATTACATGCTGTATAAATTCATTCATATGACATCCTCAAAAAGATAAAACTATAGTAATAGAGAAAAGATCATTGGTTGCCGGGGTTAGAAATATGGAGAGAGTATGACTACAAAGGGAGTAGTAGCATGAAGGAGTTCTTTGGGGTCATGGAACTGTACTGTATTCTGATAATAGTAGTGGTTACATGATCCTACATATATGTTAAAGCTCATGGAGCTATAAAACCCCCGAAAGTCAATTTTGCTATATTTTAATTTTTAAAGAAAGGAACATAGAGCTATTTTGAGAAAAATAAAGACATGAAAGGATAGCCCAAGAGAGTCCAGTAGAAGAAGCAGAGGCAAAGTTTTCCTTGGCTCTTGGTTATGGGCTGTCTGCTGAATATGAGTCTTGGATCTTTTTCAGCATCAACTTGCAGAAGCTATGCCTTTCCACCCTTGCCCTTGTAGCTTCTCTGAGTCCAGGTCTCCCCACTCCCATGCCAATGGACCCTTCATAATGGGGAAGGCATCACAGCAAGACGCAGGCTTGGGGCTTTCCCAATGACCAGGTTCTCATTAAGTGCCATCTCACCATCAACCAGCGACAGCAATGTCCCTCTTGCCCAAGCTCCTCCCTTCCCTGCACTCTGGTTGCCCTCTAAATGGCACCAGCCCAAACCAGGGACAGTCACTCGTCCACTCACTTCCCAAATATTTACAGAGCGCCTGTTGGGTGCCAGGCTCCTCCAGGGGCCCTGCTGCCAGGCCGAAGCCCACGGCGGCATATTCTGGAGAGCCCGGCTGTTGGAGCAGCTGTCCTCTCAAGAACCAGCACTGGCATGTCCTGTCCCAGAGGACCCAGGTCGTTATCTCATTTCCCATCTTTGCAGATTTTAAATGCTTTCCAACACTTCACCCCTTTCTCAGATGAAGATTTAAACATAGGCGGGTGGACATCCAATATGGTAATATTTTTCTGTTGATTCATCAACCTCCACAGGCACTTGCTTCCTTGATTCTCTGACCTTATTCAGTTGGTACTTTCAGTGTGACAACTTTTCTCAACTCACTGGCAGAAAAAATCATTCTCGTCCTGTTTCCAGAGGTGCAACAGGAGGTTGGCAAGAGTAAGTCTTAAAGAACAGCAGTGATGCCTGCTAGGGCCCTGACAGATTGGCAATAGAACTGGGGCTAGAGTCTACACCGCAAGAGCTCCCGTGCGTTTCCACAGTCAAACAACCCAGAATGCTGAACATCTTACAATCTGAAGAATTTGTCCAAAAACCAGACAGAAATGGAGGAAGCTCTCTCCCAAGTATCTGCATAAGCAACGTAGGGCAGAAACACTTTCAAAACTCTGTCGTGTCCTGGGGGCAAGAGATGTTTTTGATAGATGTTGCGATGACAGCAGTTCACAGCAGCCCCACATTCAGGGAACTGTTCCAGCGCGCCAGAGGTTGGGAGGCTTTTAACTCTCTTCATTCATCCTCACACACGCCAGCTAAGCGAAAGCAACGTGAAGGAGCTGACAAACCACAAAGACCAGGAAATGCAGAGTAAATGCTGATCGGAAGAGCAGTAGAAGGTAAATGGGTATCAAAATATAATCTGGGAGTGCGGGCTGGCCTTAGGATGCTTGAAAGCTGTTCTGATGACTTCCCAGCACACGCGGAGGAGACCAGCCCGCAGGTGCCAGGAGCGGGAAGGGAAGCAAATGTACACCCTTGTGCACTTGCCCAGTGCACACCGCAAATGTGCTGTCCCTGGTGCGGTGTGCAGCAAGGCTGGCCTAATGCTAAACTTTGGTCAGAGCTTTGCTGAGTGAGAACGCCAGTTCCAACCCTCAATGTGACACTTTATTAATTAAGTGAGGGATTTACAGCAATAACTGATAATCAAATGGAACAATTGTAACAATATACTGCAATACAAGTTTTGTGATTGTGGTCTCTACCTTGCTGTACTGTGCTCACCTATCTTTGAAATTCAACTGACTTCATGTAACTGAAACTGCAGAGAGTAAAAATCATGGAAAACGGGTATTATTGCATGTCTCTTGACCTTGGCAGTCCCAGGTGGTTGGGAGAGCACCTGACAGATCCTAGCAGGCTGACCTCAGTGCTAGTCCCAGCTGTAACTAGCTAAGTCACTGAGTAAGCCATCTGCCCTCTAAGGCTCTGCCGCAGATGCAGCTGTGTGCCCTCCAGGTGCCCAAATAGATGAGAGAAGAGCACAGCAAAATTTCCCATCCAGACAGCCCCTCTGTACAACCCTTGACTTTCAAATCTTGAACCTCTCGGGCATCGGGGCACAAAAACCCTGGTAGGTTCACAAACACTGAGGACCTGAGCCCTCTGATGCCTCTGGCGGGACCATGTTCTGGGTGGGACCGTGTTCTTGGACCACCGTGGGCACACGTCATTCTGAAGACACTTGTTCTCCAGTCTACAGGCCACCCTTTGCCCATTCCCACTCCTCTAGTGAATCTGAATGGCAGAGACTGAGGCAATTCTCCGGATTTCTGAATCTGCCCTTCCTTAAAGGCTGCTGGAAAGGATTGTACCGCCAAAGGGAAGAAATCTCAGGGAGATGCTGCCCCCTTCTGGGAAACATGCAAAAGTAAAACCCCAAAGACAAGGAATTTCCTACCTGTTCTGGAATTCTCGCTGTGGAGATGCACTGCTCTGTGTTCTGGGGATAACCAACACATTATATGCTAGATGCAATTGCCTGCAAGAAGAGGAAACGTGGATTAGATTCATCATTGACTCACCATTGAGACCTTCCTTCAAAGACAGGAAAAATCTCTGAGAGGGAGGGGCCGGATTTAAGAGGTTATTGCTGCCATCCCCTGCCTCTGAGCAAGAGCTGAAGCATGGCTCAGTCTCCTAGCACCCTCATCTTTAAAAAGAAAATCTCCCTCTGTCTGATAAATCCCTTTCCTGCTACACGTTCAAGTTCACACTTCCCTTGGGTCAGGGATTAATGGGGTGAACAAACCAAATCTGAGCACCTATTATTGCTTAGCTCAGGAATGCAAGCCATAGCCTTGCCCTTGGGGAGCTCACAGTATAGTCAGAGGGACAGAAAGGTAGTCCAAGAGAAAATATATGTAACATGCGTGAATGTGCCTGGGTGTTACAGGGGTGTCCGGGAACACAGACTAGATGGGGGTGCATCAGGGTCCTGAAGGTGTCCTCATGCACCTTAACTCAGCTTTAGAGAATGTACAGGACTTAAGGAGTGATGGTCAAGAAGGAAAGCGATAAAAGTGTGAGACTGTGCACAGCTAGACGTGCATGGCGAGAGGAAAAACATTCCTTGTTCTTTCTTTCTGTCTTGTTTTCTTCCCTGTGGGGATGAGAAAGCAATAGGCCACTTCAGCTTGAGTTGAATGGCACGCCATTGAAAGCAGCCGCTGGACTGTCAGAGTTTACATACAACCTTCTGGCCATAAATAGCACCCTGCATGCACTTACACACCCCCTCTGAAAATAGCATTGGCTGTTCTCACAGTGATTTGAACTGAGAGTTTATATTTAGTTTACTCTCTCCCATCTATTTATATTTCTTTTGTTTACATAAATATCCCTCTCGATTTATTGCTGTCACGTCTGGGCACCTGACATCAATAGAAGAACACATAGCAACTTCATTCCATATGAACTGGGCAGTTAAATCCATCTCCCCCTTATCTTTGATGTGTTCTCAAATGCACATCTTAGAATTCCACAATCCCAGGCTTGAAAAGAGACTTGAGAGGCTTTTATTTTCCTCCTCCCCTCCCTCCAGCTAGATTCCCTGGCACTGGACTGTTTAAATTTCACAGACTTCCCAAAAAGGGAGCTGTACCCTACGCCTTTGGTCCAAAATTGGCATTTTTCAGCCATAGATTCATTCTGCTGGAGCCTGTGAACAGTTCACTCTGCTCGAAGGGCGCTTCACGAACTCACAGGCTGTATCCCTGCAGTCAATTCCTTTCCCCAACCAACATGCCCACTTTATTTCCCTGCAGCCCTCAGCTCTTTATTTTTTATTTTTTATTTTATTTTATTTTTTTTGAGACAGAGTTTCGCTCTGTCACCCAGGCTGGAGTGCAGTGGCGCGATCTCGGCTCACTGCAAGCTCCGCCTCCCGGGTTCACGCCATTCTGCTGCCTCAGCCTCCCGAATAGCTGGGACTACAGGCGCCCGCCACCGCGCCCGGCTAATTTTTTTGTATTTTTAGCAGAGACAGGGTTTCACCGTGTTAGCCAGGATGGTCTCGATCTCCTGATCTCGTGATCTGCCCGCCTCGGCCTCCCAAAGTGCTGGGATTACAGGCGTGAGCCACCGCGCCCGGCCTTTTATTTTTATCAATCTTTTTGCCATTTTCACGGACTCTCCTCGGAACCCCCCCTCCCCCTCCGCCTTCCGATTCTGCATTTTCCTCAAGGTTGAGGGTTCAGAATCCGAGTGAGGCCCTGGGTTTGGTGGGAGGCCATCGGAAAGGGTGCTTGAGTCCCTGGGGCAACACCCAGACCCAATCACGATGTTCTGGTGCCACCTTAGGGTATCATAAATAGCACACGAAACTCTGTGGACTCCAGACCTTTCTCTACCCTACTCCTGGAAAAGTAGAAAGAACAGAGGCTTTGGAGTCAGACAGTTCTAGAGGTACCTGTTAAGTTGTGGAGTTGTAGAGTCTTGGGCAAATGCATAAGCCTCTCCGAGCCTCGGTCTCCTCATCTCATCTGTAAAATGGAGACAATAACACCTTTCAAAGCTGCAAGAAAATATGAAGAACAGGAAGAGTAGGTGTCCAAATGTTATGAAATGTCTAATATTGCCTCTGCTCTCTTCCCTTGAGAAGCCCACATGCCCCTCCTGACATTTTTTAAATCCCCCTTCCCATTAAGACTTCCTAGAGCTTCCGTAGAGTCTAAGGAAGTCTGAGTCGCCCTCTGAAGTGAGAGTCGGTGTTCCTAGACAGGAACAAGCCATTTTTACCATAAACTACAGGCCTGGAGTTCCTGGAAAGAGATTAAATTGCTGCATAGTCTTGGTGGCTATTTGGACAGCCTGCCTGGGCAACCAAAAAGCAGAATCCTGTTCTGCGGTGAACAGCATCCTAAGCGGGAGGGACACATTCCCCATCTCTGTTGAGGATTGAGCAGGAGGCGTAGGAGAAGACGGGGCAGGGAGGTGGAGACTGAGGCACCCAGAGAAGAACAGCCAGATGGGGAAGGGGACAGACCGCCTGGAAGAGGCAGGACCGGCAGACACCTCGTTCTCATGCACGCTGTCTCTCTTGCATTCTTGGCTCCAATCTCATCGGCTTCAGTCTCTCACCAAACATACAGCCAGTCTGGTATTTATTCCAGGTAATCTTGCCTTTTATTGCAATCTCAAGCCAAAGGAGGAAAGAACAGAATCAAAAACTCAGAGAAAAACAAAATTCTAAATTGTATCCAAGTTAAATGCTCTCCTTCAGCATGCACGCTGGATCATATAAATCACCTGAGAAAAGGAGGCCACTTTAGGAGCCTGCTCTTTAAAATCGGCCTCCCGGTCAGGGTCAGCACTCTGGCTTCCGGCAGGTAGGGGGGAGATGAAAGCCCCGGGTTCCCCAGAGAGGCAGTGGCTGAGGCAGGCAGTTACCAAGGGAAGCAAAGGACTCCCAGCTGGACCGAGGCCATGCACCCAGGGAGATCGTCCCTGAAGAATCTAGTTTTGTCTAGGCCACACCAGCTCCTGCATCCCCATCTTGCCCAGGATGAGAAGCTGGTCAAGTCCTCCCTTTCCCTTTCATTCAATAACAATTTGTAAAGTTTCCACTGTGAGCCAGGCGCTGTCCTAAGCACTTGCCATCCATCGATGAACTCAGCAGGGAAAACTCCTATGATCATAAGGTTTGCATTAGCTTTCCTGATCCACGGCTAATGATTGTCCCTGATATTAATGTGGTACTTAGTTCCCGATGAATGTCTTTAGATACACTGTCTCGTTTGAATTTCATGGCAGCCTTTGAGGTTAGCTCAGCAGATCCCGCAGCTGCCATTGGTGAATAAAAGAGGAGAGGTACACACAGAGAGCGGAGGCAGAATGATTCAGAGGTGGAGTCAGAACAGGAATTCAGAGCTCCCGATTCTCCCCATAGGGGTCTGTCCTCTGTCACTCTCTGCTCCTGCCTTGATGCTGATGAAATCCAAGTCAACCACTTCTGTGCTGGGGCCATTCCTCCAGGAAGCCTGCCCAGACTGCTTCACCACACTGATCTCCCCATCCTTGAATTACTGTAACTCTTATGCAAGTGCCATGTTAGTTGTTCAACACTGTTTTGGGCATCATACTTCCCTGGCTACAGTGTAAACTCCTGGCTGACAGAGGCAGCGTAGAGAAACTCGGGATCCTTCAGCCGCACTGCCTGACCAGGGTGCTGCAGTCCTTTTTATGATGTCCCAAGACCCTGATGTCCTCGGTTCTCAGGACCACTGAGTGGGGTCTGGAGCATCAGGACATGACCTCTGGCTGCAGGTGGCCTCATTAATTTATTCTGGTGAATTTTGCAAATCACTTTGTATGTGTCCCATTCTATGAAAAAAAAAAAAAAAAAAAAAGCTGGAGAGCTCTGCTTATATCCACTAGCAGAGTACTGGACACCTGGTTGGTGGTTAATAGATACCTGGCGATGTGTTGAATGCTGAAAAGACAAATGTCACAGTATTGCAAGCTGGGAAGGATGGGTGAAGTATCTCATTATTGCAAATGAGGACTGAGACCTAGAGAAGTGGATGATTTGTTGAGGGCCCCACAGTGCATAGGTGTCAGAGCCAGGCCAGGGCCTCGGCTTCTTAGTCTGTATCCATGCCAGGAGCTCACTTTGTTATTTAAATGGGCAGGCTATAAGAATCCAATGGGCCACGATTCCAAAACAGGGCTAAGTGTGAGGAAAGAGGTCTTTTTACATCCTTGCTTCAGTCCTTGGGAAAATTGAAGACTATGCGTTACGGACAGTCTGTAACCTTCGCTCGGATTCCAAGGAAAATGGCTTCAGGTTTGCCAGCAAGTCAGCAGACCAGAAAGAGTGATGGGACAGGGAGAAGTAGCCCATGGGCAGCTGAGGTCAGAGACCAGGACTTTGTCACCAGTCCCAGATGGCCAGAGTCTCAGAGGACTGCTAAGGCCGCAGGACAAAAGTCTCCATTCCCATGCGAGGCCGCATCTCTGAGGCTGTGGGGAACGCCTGCAAGCCAGATGTGCTGGTTGGAGTTTGACTTTTGTCAGTTCTAGGTTCAGTGCACCTCCCATCCCCCACCCTTGCCCACAGTATAAGTGAATACAATTTTGCAGATGGGAAGAGAAGGGAAGCTGAGCAGAAACATTTGGCATGCAACACACCACACAAGATGCTGAGACAATATGTGGCCTATCAGTGACTCACTCCCTAAGCACTCTGTCCAGGCTGTTGGGTAGAAAAAATAGGAGCATTTATGGAAAGAGATTGTGAGACACCCAGAAACCACAGGTTTGAGTCTTGGCTCTCTGGTTAACTGGCTATAGGACATTTTGAAGTTATATATCACCTCAGAGCTCAGTTTTCTCATCTATGAAGACACCAGAAGCTTGGCTTGCTAGTACCTATACTTTTTAAACTATTTCTAACATTCCAGTTAATGCTTCTCTCTTGATGTCTTCAGATACTAGCAAAAGAGCTGCTAACAGTTCACGCTGGTATACTAGCCCTCTCTGTCTCTAGCAGGAAAGAATAGATAGCTACCAGGGTTAGAATATTTTTAAAAAATCAAAGCACATATTTCGATGGCTAGCATAATTCCTGGCATGTAGTGGAATTTCAATAAATGTTTAGTGAGGGACAAAAGGAAAGAAGGAAGGAAGACGGGGAGGAAAGAAAGATGGAAGGAAAGTAGAAAGGCAATACCAATTGAAGCATACTGTTTTTCTCCTCTATGTAAAAATTTTGATTTCTACCTAAGTAATAAAAACTAACATTTTGGAATGCATTATTCCAGATATTATTTTAAGTGCTTTAACCTATTAATTATTTAATCTTTATAACCAAACTGTGAGAAACATGCTATATTTTTGTCCCCATCTTACAGAAGAAGAAATGGAACCACAGAGAAATTTACTAATGCGCCGAAAGTCACCTAGAACAGAGAATGATTAGGGCTGAGAAACCAAAAGACAAGGAGACCAGAAAAAAGTCCAGACCCAGGAAACCCATGCAAAGTTTGCTCCACCTGGATCAGAAAAATGGACTTAAGACTCCGGGAAGACTAAGATGGTCAAGACAATTGTTGGGTGGTTGTCCATGGTCCATAGTTTACACTCCTGAATACCCTCCCCTCCTGCAGTGAAGTTTCTTCCACAGTAATACGGTTCTGTGAAGAGGAACACTGGAGCCAAAACATGTCTGGGTGTGGACAGCAGCGGTGTAACTTAATGTGTGATCCTGGGCCAGTCATACTTTTTTGTGCCTCAGTTTCCTTATCTGCCATTATAAACATTTTAGATAGTCTTTAAAGCACCTAGCCCAGAGCCTGACAAATAATTAGCCTTGAATCATGTAACTTCACTTCTCCTTTGCTGTTTATTTTCTAGAAACCTAATCTCAGATTACATTGTTTATGCTAAGATGGGGTGGAGAGACCCAAAGTGTGCTGTATCTCTCAAGTCATAGTCCCAAGAAAGATCCTCAAGCTGCCAGGTGGTAGTAGGCATGCAGGAAGCTGGGTGCTCATGAGCTAAGCCACAGCTTATCACCTTAGGCCCAGGCCAAGGCTAATCCTCTACCCCCAGGCAGGGATCCAATTAAACCACAGAGAGCTCACATTCATCAAAGATTTCCATAGGTGCAGCACTCCCCAAGCTTCCTTGGCAATAAGTTCTTTCTCTTGTCTAACTGGCATCCCTTCTGTTATAATTTGATCTCGCTTCCTTTGCCCTGCTTCCAAGGGGAAAGAAGAACAGTTGGTCATCCCCACCCACATGCTGGCCCTTCCGATAAAGGAGCCTAGTGCCAAAACATGGGCTCCAAAGCCCTGACTTTCATCCTGTCATAAAACTCGATCCAACCGAGTTGGGACCTTTGCGGTTTAGATGTCAGTTGAGTCAACCTCAGTGGGTACCAGGCAGTCTGTGGGCAGCAGAAGATATTTCCTATGCCCTGGGAGTGGGCCTCATGGTCTTACTGTAGTGGCAGGTGGAGCAGCATCCACCTGTCATTCCACAAGCCCTCTACCCAAGGTGCTAGTAAAGGAAAGGGGTTTCTAGTTTTGCCTGCTGGGCAGAGCAGCAGGTTGGGGAGTAATGGGAAGGAAGATCCTAACGCTTCCCTAGAATAGTGTGGGTGTGGGTGCCCAGAAAAGAAAATCTAAATAGTTCATGATTATATGAAAAGTTATCAGCATCTGCTGATATCAGAGTTATCAAAGAATATAGCTTAATTCCAAAAGATGCCATTTCCTGCCTATGGGTACATTTTGGTTTTTATTTGCTTCTTCTTAGGATAAGACCCAGTTTTATTGGAAATGTGGGGGCTAATTGCTCACATACACAACTGGCAGAAGTATATTCTATGTTAAACTTTCTAAAGAGCAATTGTCATTATCAACCAAAGCACTCAAAACATCCTTTGAAAAAATATTTTCACATATTCTCTGAAAATTCTGACTATTATGGGTAAAATTAATTTAGCCATGCTCACTGCACATTTTTTAACAACTGCGAAAATATTTGGGAACAAATAAATATGTCCAATGATAATAATTTAAATAAATTAAAACTCATCATCACTGTTGAAGAATGTACAACCATTAGATATAAAGAATGTAAAAACAGAAAAATCATCAGAATATACTAAGTGAAAAAATAGGTATTAAAATAGCATATACAACATCTCTTATCTGAAGAGAAGTATGGAAAAAGGGAGATACAATCTCATGGCTTTGCCTCCATTAGGAAAGGGCCAGGGACAGCCACAACGTGTGTATCTGATTATGAACCTTAGATATATTTTAGTTTCATCTAGCCAAGCAAAGTCCTCCTTCCGTAAATGTCTCCTTAAGTCTTTGATCAAAAAGTATTCCTGTATGACCCAGCAATTCCAAGAGAAATGAAAACATATGTCCGCACAAAGATCTGTACATGAATGTTCATAGCAGCATTATTTAGATTAGCCAAAAACTGGAAACTACCCAATTATCCATCAACAAATGAACAAAATGTGGTATATTTACACAACAGGATGTTATTCACAATTAAAAGGAATAAAATACTAATACATGCTATAGCACAGAAGAACTTCAAAAATATTATGATCAGGGGAAATGCCAGACACAACACACTGCCTACTGTAGAGTTCCACTTACATGAAATATTCAGAGTAGGCAAATCTATAGAGATAGAAAGTAGCTTAGTGATAGCCCAAGACTGGGGGCAGTGGGGGATGGGAGTAACTACAAATGGGAAGGAGGTTTCTTTTGGGGGTGATGGAAAGTCCTAAGAGTAAATTGCAGTGATAGCTGCACTGCTCTGTAAATATACTAAAAACTATTTAATTATACACTTAATGCATTTTATAATACATAAATTATACCTTGAAATAAAGCTTTTGTGAAGTTCCCCTAGATGATTGTACTTAACGAACACATCCCACTGAATGCATGATTCAGTCATCAAACATTTTTCAACTGCCCACAACTTGCCAGGTATTACTCCAAGAATTTTTGTGAAAGAAACAGAAATTACCAACTATATTTTAGTGATCTGCAAATCAACCGACATGTTGATATTTATCAATAGACTCTTAATTATTTCTTATTAGTCGTTCTAACCCTTAGGTTTTGCACAGTACCTGGTATAAAACAGACCCTGTCCAATATATGTTGTTGGATAAATGAATTAAATAGATACAAAGAGATCCTGAAATTTGAGAGGAATAGAGAGAGCGATGCCTTCCCTGAGCTGATCCTTAGAGTGGCATCCACGGAGGGAGAGTGACCAGGGAAAAATAAGCCAAGGCAATTCCGAGAAGACTCTGATGTTCCTCTGGCTTCTCAGGACCAGGGAAGAGTCTCCCTGAACCTCTGGTTGTTGGGATTTAACAGGTGGTAATGTGTGCAGCAGCCCCCTCAGGCCACATTTTTCCAGATCTTGCCCAGTGTCTTGGTGGTGGTTCAAGCACAGGGATTGGGAGTTTCTAATGCTCAGAATGTCTGAGCTCCAAGCCTCATGCCATTACCAGAGCCCTGTCTTTCTTGAGGGATTTAGTGGGCAGCTCGGCTAATTTCTTCCCTGCTTCCACCTTCCATTGAGCTCAAGAGCCCTATTTGACACTGGCCATCTGGTAGGAAAGGGTGGTCAATATCAGTGTCTCTCCACCCCACCTTCCTCCTGGAGTGCTCCAGAGCTGACTGTATCTCACTCCCTCCCCGCTGCCGCACACACAGTAAATGAGGGCCTCTTGGAACTTCACAAGATGTGTGCAAAGCTGTAAAGATGTCTATTCCCTTTGACCGAGTCATTTTACTTCTAGGAATGAATTTGAAGGAAACAATCAAAGCTGTTCATAAAGATCTGTTCTTCAGGTTGTTGTGGTCATATTTATAACATTGGCAATATTGAAACTTTGGAAGCCACCCTAAGTCAGCAACAATGGGGGAATGGTTAATTCGGTTATAGTATAACCACATGGCGGGTTACTATGCCGTTCTAACCATCCTGTTGCCAGTGAATTTAACTGTGAAGGGAGGGATTTGACCTTGACCTACCATTAATTAACATGTCTGCACGTGTGTAGAGGAAAGAGTTGCTGTGCTTGTGCATGAACACAGCAAGCATTATCTCAGGTGGGGGGATTGTGGCAAATGTTTTGGCATATATTCTTTGTGGAATTCTCCAATGTCTTTACAATGAACCAAAGAAGAAATATTTTATAAATCAAAAAGGTAAAACAGAGTCCTGCTTATTCATTGCAAAAAGAACAGCAGCTTCTAAAAATTGTACTCTAAGATGTCAGATAGACATTTGCTCTACAAATCACCCTGTGAGATGTGGATTGCCCCCACTCTGACTTGAACTGAGGGCCCTAAACCACTGCGTGACCAGACAATATAAGACTTTCACTCTTCTGTCATTGACCACAGACAGACCTCAGCTTCAAGGAAAGTGAAGATGAGGGTTGCTTCTCTTTCACAAAATAATAATACTTTAAATGTATTGAGATTTTCCTCTTGAAATTTGGAACTGATGTGTCATATCCCGATAAATGTCATTCTCGATGTGATTTGTAATTGCTGCGAGAACAGTCCAATATGAAGGAGATAGCTGTAGTGCCAGTCTCTCCCTCTGAGCCCCTACTTAGCCTGCAGAGGCAGAATGTGGCTCAGGAGGTGAACCTCAATAAGTGAAGTCAGAGTATAGCTTCTTCTGGAATGTTAGTCCCAGAGCGCTCCTCAGAGGAGGAGGAATTTCTGAAATAAACTGAAAGTTGATGGGGAGAGATTCACGTGATCTGGGAGAAAGCAAGGATGAGATCAAGAATCTACCCAAAGGAATAATACAAGTATCCCCTTAAAACTTCAACCCAACTCATCTTCTCTGACCTGAGGACTTCACAAAAGATCCACTTAGGTCAGCCCACAAGAATGGATAATTGTGGCATTATGTGTGTAGCTATGGGTAGCTGCCCACTTTGGGAGAGGAATCTTGGCTAAATGTCCTGGGATTTCTTCATATACTCTGCAGGGCAGTAGGACAGTGGAGGAGAGGCAAGGAGTGTGATGAAGATAGAAAAAAGGTCCCCTATCCATCACCATACCTTACTTCCCCCAGCAAGGGTGGTGGTGACTGGGAGAACCTGGTGACCTTGAACTAACAGGGTTCTTGGGGAACAAGCATTACGCATGTGTCCTCCAATCCATACAGAGCAAATGGGGAGCCTTGGAACACAGAACAGTCTCTACTATGTTGTTTTCTGCTGTTTCTCCAGGGCCAAGTACAGTACCTGGGGTAGAACAGAGACTCAACAACTATTTCGTGAATTAATGCACATGTGCTGATGGGCTAGAGGAGGTAAAATAATCTCACCCCACTTGATTGAGGGACCACCATGATTTGAAGGCTCCCTGGGTGACTGAGAAAGCCCTGAGCACAGCCAGACTCGGATTATTTCTCCTATTCCCACCAACAGCACTGTCAAAGGCAGAACCCTACTGGCTTCCAGTGACTGGGAAACCCACAGAGTTGAACACGTCCTGGTCAACACATCAGGCAGACCTGTGAGGAGAGCCTCAGCCCAAGTCCTGCGTGCTCACTGTGGGAGAACACAGCCTGGTACAAGAAGGGCTGGGGAAGGACTCCAGATGGAGACACCTTCCGTTTTTCCTTTCTGGAGAGAGCCTGCCAGAAACCATAGACACCTGGGGAAGGGGAGGGGTGGGCTTCCCATTGTGTGTCATAGCCCTGTCCTCTGAACTGGACTTGCCCTCCAGGAGTGGATCTTCTGGATGTGGGAGGGGATTGTTGTGTATGTGTGTGGTGGGGAGTGGGCTTCAAGACATTCTTAGAAAGTGGACACTGAATGGCTTCCCTGGGCTGGCAAAGGTGCTCAAGAAGGGGTTTGAGTTTAGGGTCAGGATGATGGGAGGGGAAGTGGAAGTCATTTAAAGAAGGGGTTTGAGTTTAGGGTCAGGATGATGGGAGGGGAAGTGGAAGTCATTTATTTGCATTTTCCTCTTTTTCATTTTGGCATCTCAAATCTAGCAGCACCTCCTTTCATAGGATTTCATGTAGGACGTCAGGAGAGTGAGGGTGACTCTGCTCTTCATCCTATCTCCAAAGACCCTCAGAGTGGGCAAAGAGAAAGGCAACTACTTTCACATGGAGAAATGTGCCCCATCAAATCCTGATGGGATCTTTTTGACTCCCCTCCTAAGACTCTGGCTTGTAAAATGGACTGAGACACTGAATCAAAATGGTAGCTGCAGACATTTCAGCAGGATTCACTGATGTGACAGGCAGAGCTAAACTAGTTGTTAGGAATGAATGCAGAATATCTACTTGCACAGCCCACAGATGAATATATGCTCCCCACAAACACATTCTCTCCCCCTCTCTTTGTCTCTCTCCCCCTCTCATACACACACTTACTTTTCAGCCTGCTTCTTATTTTTGAGTCACTCTTCCTTGGCCTTCAATTTCCAGAATTCTTTTATCAACTTGCACCTGGCTAAGTAAGGAAAGAGAGAAGCTACTTGAGTTTTTAAAAATACTATACACTTAAAAAATTCTATCTATAGTTTTATTATTACAATATAATAGGAACATAGTCATTAGGCTGGATGCAGTAGCTCACATCTGTAATCTCAACTGTGGGATGCCAAGGCAGGAAGATCGCTTGAGTCCAGGAGTTCAAGACCAGCCTGGAAAACATAGAGAGACCCCATCCCTACAAATTTTTTTTTTAATTGTCCTGGGCGTAGTGATGAACACCTGTAGTCTCAAGCTACTCAGGAGGCTGAAGTGGGCAGATCATTTGAGACTGGGAGATCGAGGTTGCAGCGAGTTGTGATTGAGCCACTGCACTCTAGCCTAGGCAACAGACTCTTCAAAAGAGAAACAACGATGTAATCATTATAGAAAAATAAAATAATAAGCAAGAAAATTTCACTATTATCTTTCCAGAGCAACTACTCTTACTCATATCAAGATCTAGAACCTTCCAGACATTTTTCTATTCTTAATTTTTCCTACAGCAATTTAGATATAGATATAGACAGAGTCACAGATAGATCGATACACATATATATTTTTAAATTTAAAGGTGAGATTATGCCTTTACAATATGTTTTATGAAAATTTATTTAACTTATAAGGGAAAGCTTCTCGGGCCAACAATACATGTCCACAAAAATTACACTAAATAACTGGAAAATATGCTAGTGGAACATTGGCATAATTAACCAGTTCTCTATTGTTGGACATTTAGGATATATTCAAATCTATAAAATAAATGTAATTAAAGCCAAATTTTTAGTTTATCAATTTACAATACACTTTTAGCAGTGAATTTGCCCTTATAGTCACTTCATGTACCTGTTTTCTCAGTAAAGTTCATGTAAATGACCATCACAAACCAGACTTCTTGAAGAATAGAGCCTTGTCCAAAGGAATGAGTTCAAGTTTGATGGGAGAGATGAAGCTGGAGTGTTGTACATGCATTATTGATTGTTGTTAGGAGCAGAATGAGTGACTAAGGACAACTGCAGAACATGAGGAGAGAAAACAAGTCTCACAGGTGTCTCCAAACCCCAGAGGCAGAGCTTTCAAGAAGCTAATGAAGCCTCAAGTTCAAGGACCCTTATTGCACTGGCCCCTTCCAAGGCCCTTCCAGGGAGAGGTCCTAAAAATGTTCTCACATGGTGACATGGGTTTGAAAATTTTGTGGGAGTAAAATATTTTCATTACAATTTGTTAAGATATTGCATCCCTCTAACCCCAACTTTCCCTCCTTCGCACTCCCCTTCATATGAGGGGGCAATGGAGTAGCCCTAGACATTTTTAGGACAGAGCTAAGGGTGCTTTTAGTCAGTTACAGGGTTCCTAGCTACTCCAGTGGAAGAATGGCTTCCAGGAAAATGTGCCCTACACACTGTGTGATTCTCCTCATGCTGAGGCCAAAATTGTAGGACCAGAGGTGAGATTGTGATATGCACACATCCTGTGGCTTCTTCGCCTGAAGACTGTGGGGAGTGGGTGAGAAGCAAAGTTAGAATTGAAGGAACAAAAGCTAGTCTGTGGAAAAGACTATTCTGATGCTCAGATATGGGCAGTTGCATTCCAAGAGGTCTGTTCTCATTGATTCCTCATCAAAATGGAAATTCCTTCCCATAAGAAATACATTTGACAATGCAAATATATCATTATAAGTACAACATACATTTTTCCTTTATGACAGGAGTCAGACAAAACCAAAACGGATTAAAATTCCTCTATTTGTAGGGCCTAAACTTAACAGTACTACAAACAGTGAGTCCTTTTGTTGTGTGAAATCAAATGTTTTGTGCATCCTGATTATTGCTCTTAAAAAAACAAATTTCAATTAAGGAAAGACTGAATTATCTTTCCTCTCTCTATACAAAAAAATGGTTTTATAAAGTTGTTGCCATAGGAGGAGGTGATTGAAGAGAATGTAGAGAAAAAAGCACTGTGTTGGAAGTTAATTAATAAAAATGTCATTATTTTCCTGAATTTGGGAATGTTTGTTGTAGATGTCAGCTTTTTAAAATGTTTACTTTGTTGTGATTTTTTTTATCGTGCAAAATAAATATGTTTTTTACTTAATTCTGCTTGTAGAGTTTTTACATTCTTTTTCTGCAATCATGTGAGCTTATGCTTATCAAAACCTAGATGAACTCCTGGGAACCCCTATATTTCCCAAGTACAGTGCTGGTCACAGAGGAATTTCTTCAGTTAATGTTTATCTATCATACTGACAACCATCAAACTTGCATAGAGCAGATGCAGCCGCACTGAACGGCAGAGAAACAAAAGAGACAGGCTTGTGTATTCCGTTGATAGTCAATGTTCTGTGATTCCTTCACAGACATAGCTGACTACCCTTTTCTTGAGTTTTTTCACTTTTCCTGTCTCTTCAACACTGTATCTACTTTTGTATTTTCACCATTTTCCCTCTTTATCTTTTCCCTCTGCTCCACCCACCTTACTTCATTCTGTCATTTTCCTTCCAAGTCTGGAATAGAGATCTTCATACAAAACTGGTAAATGCAGCAGCTGAGAAAACTGAGGCTCAGTGGCCAACAGTGCCCACTTCTGATACCAGCAAGCTCCCACAGCGTATGATCAATAGAATCTTCTGCATTAGTGGCGTGTGAGACGTTTTCCCCAAAACTGGGAGAGACTATGGATTTTATCCAGTCCCATCCTTTAATGATACATGAAATAAAGATACCCAGAGAGAGCAAGTGACTTGTCCAAGGTCACTGTTGGCAAAAAAGCTGCTGGCAGAGCTGGGACAGAGGTCCAGGTCTCCTGCCTCCCCTGCTGGTGATCTTTCTATTAAACCACCTCATGGGCTGCTAAACCACACTCAGATTATCAGTGCCAATGAGTTTGCTACCTACTGTTTACAGGTCGGTAGGGGATTCAAGGTGTGGGGAGTTCCAGATGCCTAGCCCTGGGTTCCACTCGTGCCAACAAGCAAACTACATCCACTTTATCACCCAGCTTGGTGATTTCTCCCTGAGTCCTGCTGAGTATCAGATGTCATCTTCTGACTGTTCCCCCAGCCCATCCTCTGAGTGTCCACATTCCAGCTCAGAGCTGGGCTTGCCGGTAAATACAGGGAAGATCCCAGTGGGATGGCCTTCAGATGGCCCACCAGGGACCACGGGCAGTAGGGCCAGGAGCCCCCAGCTTTGCAGGCAGTGTTCACAGTGGTGGAACAAGAATCCCACCTTCGGGGCACATGGGACGGAGGTCACAACAGCCAGACCTTGTGTGTAACCCATGACCCAAGCAACCACAGAACAGCCAGAGGTGGCTCAGTCTGGCCCAGGCCATTCTATATCACTTGGAAATATTTCACTGTTATTTCAATCTGAACAGTCTCCCCACCACTGCACCCCTTACCCCAAATTACCAAAGGCATTTGGGCAAACTGGATGTAGAAGGGGGAGAAGTAGGTTCAACTTTTGATTTTTACCATTCATGTTTTGTGTCACACTGGGCTAAGTCCCCTTGGCTTACTACTGCATTTCCTCATTTGTACAGTGAGATCACACCCCAACGGTTTGCGAGCCAACAGGTAGGTTCTGGGAGGCACAGACAACCTCAGGCATTTTCAGTGCCCTGGCCTCATTCGCTTTACTTGTTGTGTAGTTGGCAGTGGGTGACCCTGACCCCTGAGGTCTCAGCTCACAGAGCCCATGCTGGGCATGGGTTGAGGCAGCCCCACCTGCCTGCACCCAACAGTTTTCTTTGTCGTCTTTTGGCCTTTTTGAAAGGTACCTGCTTCCTTGGCCCCATTGCCTGGGCTGTCCCTACAGGCTTCCTGTGATGCTCCCTAACCCTCCAAGACAATGATGTAGAGCAAGGAGGAGCCACAGCGGAGTGAAAACTGCAGATCTGCCAGCCTGTGTTCTCCCTCTGGCCTGAGGGGTGTTGTAGAGGCAGAGGTGGAATCTGCTGGAGATGGTCCTGCAGAGTCTCTGTAGTTTGTGTGTGATTCTGTTTCACCTGCCTTTTCTGAGCCCTCTCCTCCCCTCACCAGGCCTCAGGAATTGCTGTGTGGGGCCTCAGGGAGGAGAGTGGGCTACAAGGAGAATTTGGCAACTGGTAAATCTGTCTTCGAGGATCCCACAAGCAGCAGCGTGGGTGCTGTCCACCTGGCCAGCCTCCCACCACCGCAGGCTTCCGGGATGCTTGTTCAGCCCACATCCAGGAGTGAGAGCCAACCCTCCCGCCGGCCGCTGTCAGTGCGAACCGGACAAGGGCAAGAGGGGAAGGAGGAAGACCAGGGGAAATAGGGAGAAGGAAGTTCTGCAAAAATCCTACCTCCTCCACAAAGCTTCCCTGCTGCATTGAGCTTCTGGCCTCACTCCCTCCTCAGGCTCCCAGAATGTTCCTGGGACCCCCATCATCTTGTATGTGGCATGTATGTCCTTGCTGTCCTTTAATATAAAGGAACCCTGTCTCAACCACACAAAGCCACTGTAAGTGCAGGTGCAAACACCTAGCACAGTGCCAGGTGCTTAGGAACAATTTGCTGACGGTTCTTTCCTTGTGGTGATAATACAGAAGAGGGGAGGTGGTGAAAGGATGGACAACTCAGGACTGGGCAGACTTGATTTCACCTGGACTCCTGAGCCTCAGACCACATGCAGAGCGATTGTTTGCTATTCCCATGAGCAGGGAATCCTGTTCATTTCCATCATCACTGAGAATGATGTGTGTCACTGTGGCATACGGGGGTGTGGATAAAGGGGAGGTGGAGGATATCTAGTGTACAGAAAATCACTTAGCTATCTCTTGACCCCAAAATGTCCTTAATCACTCTCCCTTACCCTACTTCCCTCTCAAGGATGTTCTCAACCAGAATATTGTGAGAAATTTCACCATCTGACAGAAAAATTTGTTCCTCCGTAGGAAACATTGTCCATATTTTTTGAAATGTGTAAGGACTATTGTGTCTACCTTCGGCATCTGTGCAGCCTAACCCTTGAGAAGGGAGAACAGCAAGGCAAAGAGCCCACCATCCTTCTGAAGACACCATGATCCAAGGCAGAGACCCCAAAGTGAAGAACATGTACCATGGGTATCCAGAGAAAACTGTGCTGGTGCATGGAGGAGCACTGGTGGTTTTTAGCAGGGATGTTCCATTTCGATTCTCCTCCTTCCCTTCAAGGAGAATGTGTCGGTCGGGTGCCAGGATCTTGTTAACACTTTTCAAACTCTTAGCTCCTACTGTAATCCCCCAAATAGGTCTTGACACAAGAACCCTCAACAGACTACAGTACCCAGCTCATTCCACAATGTCATTTTCCATTAATCACATTTGCCTTTTGGTCTCCAATATTTAAGGCAAGTAATGCTGCTTTTCCATAGGCATTAGTGACATAGTTTCCTTTTAAAATAACTGCATTTAAGTAAAAAATGGATCTGGCTAAAGAAAAAGTATTAAGTAATAGCACAGGTGTTTACAGATATGCCAAAAATAATGAAAATTCTGTGCTCATGACCAGATGTTGGGAATCAATGGGATGGTTCTCAGGGGTAAGAAGTAAGAAAGCTTTTTATCCCCACCCTGACACTCTTTAATGTGTGGTCTGTGGCAAGCCACTCTCCCTCTTTTCATGACTGTTTCCCTATATGTAAAATGAGGAGAACTGTACTCCAAAGGCTTTTAAAGTATATTAGTGTATTGCAATTCTCCAATTCTAGGATTTTGTGTGTGGGAAGAAGAGAGCATGGAAAAAATTTCAGAATACTAAAGAGAGGTGGAATTCTTCTGCTTGTCATCTTTGAAGCCAGCACAGAAGAGCTTTCTCTTCAGTTTCACTACAGACTGAGACTGAGAAGCAATGCCAGTCTGCTAACAGTTCTGCCTGTTACCCTCTGTCACGCCCTCGCTGACCCTCAGAGACAGAGCAAGCTGCAGCTCCCAGCAGCTGCAGACACAGCAGCTCCTTAGTTCTGCAGATGCACAGCCAGGAGAGGGCTCTGCCGGGTCTGAAACCCCCTTGCTAATCACCTCATCCTGAAATCCGAGGCCCTGGGAATGGCCTGTTCATGAAGGGCTTGGGCCTGGTCTAACAGCCAGAAAATTCCCTGGAGGATCCTTATCAGCCACTGCGTGTCTCCCCACTGTTACAGGTGAAATGAGAAGCTTGGGGAAGGAGCAGCTCCCTTTTCACAGGCCTCATTCGAGTTGGGGGTAAATAGGGGAGGCAGAAGCAAGCCCCCCATTCCCAAGCCCAGGGAAGGAGGACACTTGGCTTTGTTCCCCCTTCAACATTACAGACTTTTTTTAAAAAAAAAGAAAGAGAAGACGTTTGATCTTGGATGAACTTTTCTAATCGTCCTTGAAATTGATTGAGCAAAATGCCTGATTCTGAGCACTCAGAAGTGGGAAAACCTCTAATATGACACTGGGGAAAATCAAGTGAGGGGAGACAAGAAAGGGGCTTTGAAGGGAACAGAGGTTGGGCACCAGAGATGAAGCAGGGAGAACACTGCGGATATGCTAGTGCCGAGATGCAGCTTAGAGCCTGGGGACTCTTCCTTGGACGACACCATATGCGTGTGATGCTTTTTGCAGAGAGAAGTTCTAAAATAAAGAGACTGAATGCCTTAGTGCAAAAAGGGCTCTTCCAATACCCTCCTCCAACAAGGCTTTTGCCTTTGTCTCTAACCAATCACTATGCAATCTCTGGCATCCCCTCAGAATGTTTACCTGTGGACCCGAAGCTGGAATTTGTAACTGTTTCTGTCCATCCTCTGCAGCCCAGCAGCAAATCAAAATGCACACATGGGAGGCCACTGTGTCTGCCTATGTGGAGCAGTGGTGGGAACCGCAGCGTAACAGAGTTCGTGCCGTATCTCCAGATGGCTCTGAGACAGGCAGGGAGGCCAGGCAGATGCCCCAGTCAATATGGTTTTCCAACAGTATCATGAATTCCAGATTTTTATTTGAAATTCCCAAATTTAAAAAATATATTTTGTGTTGGAGGAAATAAACATGTTTGCAAATTTCCAATTTGCAGTTCATTTCATCCATCTTTCTCCCTAGTTTTTGCATCATGAGCTCCATCTAGAAAGAGCTGTGCCCCTCCTTTTAGTCCCTGTCCACACCCCAATCTTTGCTTCCTCACTCTAGAAACAAAACTTTGTACCTATTGAAGTTGAAGAAAAAAGTAGTGCTAAGAAAGTGCTTTACAGTCTCCACTTAGCACCATCCTGTCCTGGTTTCCTGCTTTCTAAGCAGAGAAATGTTCTATTGCTTTCTGTATAGCTCAAGGGCTCAGGAATTGTGTTCAATCAACCATCTCTCCAGCAGTATTCCTTGAAATCCTAGCACCATGACTAGGACTTTGAAGTACAAAAATAATGCATTTATAATGGAAAGAAAAATGGATCTGGCATTAGATCTGGATTTCAGTTGGGCAAAGACAGGGAAATTTAAAGGCATTCTGGTTATAAAAAAACAAATGTCTAAGGGGGGAGTGTGTTGGAGAATGATGAATTGCCCCATTTATCTAGAGAATAAGGTACATGTAGGTGACAGATCGGACAGGGTTTGGGGGAAGGAAGGCACTGGGCCTTGAAAGACAAATTGAGGGCTTGGGCTACTCTACTCCAGGCCTTCTCAAACTTTTACCCACATACACTAATGGTGGCAGGCAATAAATAGATCACTCCTGGGGACCTAGGGATTTACTCCAAAGTAGTGTCAAGCTTAAAATTTCCCTGAAGACACGTGTTTTATTTTCAGAATTTATAATTTTGTAGTCAACTCCATATTTCTGTAGGGCTTTGAAAGATAAGACAGCAGCACTCTCCTCGATTTTTGAGTAGGTTGATGTTTTCAGGGAAATGTTCCATGTTTGTCTCTGACTTTGCTCAGTCCCTGGGACTCAACCATGTATTCCTCAATCATAGATGCATGCCTGTTTAAGAAGTGCCACGTGGGGTATGTGAAGGACAGTGGCATGGTCAGAGCAAGGGCATAGGAAGCTTACTCTGCAGCATGAGGATTTGTGTATGTCCAGAAGCCAGTGAATTCTACAGGAGAGGAACAACGTGGGTCAGGAATCCATTGAGTTCCACAGGGAGGAAAGACCCTGGCCTGGTCTAGGATAGCATCAGCAAAAGTGAAGCAGAAACAAGAGTCTAGGTAACCCTTGCAGGAAGAGCTCGTGGATTCACAGTCTTGCTGACTGGACCAGAATGATGCCTTGAAAACAACTTAGAGAATACTTTTCACCAACTAGGGCATGTGCCGGAGCTGACTGGATTCCAGAATTAAAGAACCAATCCAGCAAGTAAATAACAAATACAGCTTTTCCAGCCTGCTTTGGGTTAGGGCTGGCTTGGAACTAGCAGCTCCTCAGTTCAAAGAAAAGAAAAAAAAAAAACAGAACTCCCCAATTACAACAACAGACTTAAGCCAGGCTTATCCCGTCAGCTCATAAAAGACTCCTTGGACAGAGAGGGATTTTGACTAAACAATATTTTGATGAGTTAAACGCAAATGAATCGGAACCATGTGTGGCCACTTCTCTCCACATGGAGATTACAGTCGGGTGGGGGTGGGATGACGGTGGCGGGGTGAAGAGGGCCATTTGAGATTCTGTCTAAAAAACCAAATCGTGTGAAAAAAAGAAAAGTAGCAGCAGTTGTACCAAACCTACTTTCTCCAACCTTCAAATTGTCTGGGGGCTTCCCTGGCCCAACTTTGATAGATGTAGTGGAGCCAGGCTTTCCAAGTGTTCTGTTTGGCAAATCTAAAGCCAGTACATGCCAGGCTAGAGATGCTCATGGTTCATTATTGAATCCTTTGCCTTCTCTGTTTGCCTGTTTCTATGAGAACACAGCCAAGCTTGGGGCACTCTCTGTGTGAAGGAAGGCAAGAAGAACCTGAATAATCCAATTCCTCTGGAACCCCATATCATCTATATTTAGGAAAAGCATTACGAACTTATTTCAAAAATGATTTCCTCCCTTAACAATGGGTGGCTCTGCACTCAGTGTAATGGGTTTGCACTCTGGATGGTGGGGTGGGTCTGCTGAGTGGGGCGTTGGGTGTCGGGGAAGTCTGGAGGTGGGAACAGCTGCAGAGGGAAGGTAGGGGAGAATCTATAATGTAACTGACTTTGTCTGTGCTTTTGGTTTTTGGAGGAGGAGGAGTTGAATGGAAGACTAGCATGAGGCATGGATAGCCTACCCACTCCTAAGAAGAAGGATTACACACTAATAATTAGGGAACCCACTTAAGTAAAAAGCAATATCAAGAGTTCCTTCTTCTACTAGCACAAGTCCTTTCTAGGTCTCTTGTACGACGTCGTTCAGAGGCGTCATCTCAGCTTTTCACTAAAGCACTTAGAAGACAGCCTGGTTGCAAGCAGAGAGCCAAACCATAAATCAACTCCCATTCACAATTTCTACAAAGAGAATAAAACACCTAAGAATACAGCTAACAAGGGAAGCGAAGGACCTCTTCAAGGAGAAATACAAACCTTGATTAAAGAAATCAGAGAGGACACAAACAAATGGGAAAACATTCCATGCTCATGGATAGGAAGAATCAATATAGTAAAAATGGCCATACTGCCCAAAGTAATTTATAGATTCCCATTAAACTGTCATTGATATTGTTTACAGAATTAGAAGAAACTATTTTAAACACATGGACACATGGGGGGAACAACACACACAGCTTGTTGGCGGGCTGGGGGTAGTGCAGAGGGCGAAGGGAGGGAGAGCACCAGGAAGAATAGCTAATGGATGCTGGGCTTAATTCCTGGATGATGGGTTGATCTGTGCAGCAAACCTCCATGGCAGATGTTTACATGGCAGACGTTTAACAAATCTGCACATGTACCCTGGATCTTAAAACAAAAGTTAAAAAAAAAAAAAAAAAAAAAGAAGAGAGCCCAGGTGGAATATGCATTATGTACATGTTTGTGACTGTTACTACTAATTATTGCCTCTTAAAAAGAATTTCAACATACCTGTATCAAGCAACCTGCTTTGTACTAGGCATTATGCAAGGTACTTAGAATGCAGAGAAAAATGACAAGAGTGTGGGTCCTTAAGAAGTTTACATTTCTAAGTCTCAGTGAGGTATCTTCTTCCCTATGTATTGTGGTTCTGTTGCCTCCATTCTGCAGCCTCTTCCCAGCTGTCCTCACATACCCAAGTGAGGGCTCAGGGAATCCACAAGGCAAGCATTGTGGAGGGGTTCAGTAGGGGAATGACAGTGAACGTCCCACTGGCCTGGGGTTGACAGATAAAAAACAGGTCCCCCATTAAGTTTCAATTTCAGATAAATCGAACTGAGCATCCTGGTGTTTGTTTGGCCAAATCTGGCAGCCTTAACTGTCATGACATCAGGCTGGCCACTGAGAACCCTGGAATCTGCCTCCCAGACCCCCATCCCCTTTTCCTGTGCATTTTTCCCTCTTCCATCAGAATTGTATAACTGTGCTTTCCTCCAACACTACTCTTAAGAAAACATCCAGTGAACTCAGCTCTCCTAGGGATACTTTGATTATAAGCCTTAGTTCTAATTATGAAGTGAAGTCTGTGCCCCACTTTAAAAGAATATTAGGCTATAGTTGAGGGGTGGAAAATACTATTTCAGGCAGGAGGTCTTCCCGGGCCCTGGCAATCACACCACCTTGGCTACAAGCCATGGAGCCCACAGGTGAGGCCACCCTACTCCCACCCGTCCCACTCCTTCCTATTGGCCTCCCGGCAGCATTTGTTTCCCTTTGGGACCTAGGCAACTCCCAAATCTCCACTGCAGTTAGGTTAGCCCACTCCCCTTGCTCTGTGCCTTGGATAGCTTCTCCCGGCTGCAGATAAATTTCCAGGTCTCCATCGTTATGGAAGCCTGATGCCATCTCCTAACTCCCCAGCACCCCCAACCAGAGTGTGGTCGGAAGGCTCTTCCATTGTCCTGGAGCATGGAACACCGCACCTTCCCCTTCCCAGTCCAGGACCAGAGACATCCCCTTTCAATCTCCAGTCTACCCTCATGATGCACCTTGGCTGGGCAATGGCTTTTAAAGAACTGCTTTATTTGGCAGGGACCTTGTGTCTCTACCTTTTGTGAAATATTCTTAATGAGGTGTGCAAAACCTACATTTATCATAGAAGATAGGCAACTGCACAATGATTCATTTCATTCCTTTGGGACATGTCTGGACTCTCCCTGCCTCAGTGAGCCCTCCCAGTGGGAAAGGTAATACCAACTGAACTTTTAACCTTGAGGCTCAAATTCAGTTTCACCCACTCTCTCCCGCACATACACCTTCCCCAGTCAAGAGGTAAAGACAAGTCTTCATCCATTTACTCCCTATTCTGTCTCTGTTCTTTTCTGATAAATGTTCACTGACCTTATGTGACTCCTTCAAGGGCTTGGCCTCTGCTTCCGCCATCTGGTCCTGTCCAGGTGCTTTATTCTTTTTCTGAGCTTGTCTTTGTCAACCAAATCCTACTATTCTTGAATTAGAATGCCTGACTTGACACAGAAAATGCCTCCTACTCCTTCCCAGTGATGGCAACAATCTTACCAGAGGAGAAATTATAGATTTGGGCTCTGAAATCTAGATTATATTGATCCATAGCTAGAATCTTTAAGTGGCCTTGGGCCATGAAGGTGTGGAATATATTAGATTTGAAGCATCTTGAGAACAGAGACTACATTGTATCAATTTCTTCATTCTCATAGCACAAGCTTAAGGCATGGCGTACAGCAGGTGCTCAAACATCACTAATAAATGACTAATTGATGTTCCAGTCTTAGATGCTCTGCTCTTAAGTGAGCATATGAGATGCTAGTGTGGTTCCCCCAGGAACTAAAATGTCTAAGGACTGTTGAAACCTTATCACTTTGTGGAACATCTAAAATAAAAGTTACTGATCCTCAGTAACTGATTAGACATTCTAACATTATCTTGTGTTCAGATTTGGGAGTGACATGTGGGCATCCCTGGAGCTTTAAGAATGAAATTAAGAAGAAACATCAAAACGAAAGACCATTATCCCTAAGCTAAGGAAACCCAAAGACAACCTAGAAATGTGGACAGACGTTAGGGGATACTCAAGGCTACCAGGATGATTCAGGAAGGCAGCCTGGAAAGCCGTTGCAACTAGATGGCTGAAGTGTAATTAGGAATGTGTTGACTGAAGGGTGGCAGTCAGCTCCTCAGAGAGAGCAAGGATTTGGAACTGGTTGTTCAATGCTAGCCAAAGGGGAGATTGGTCAGCAAAAAGATTCCAGGCTGCCCTCATGGTCGTTGACTGTTGCTTCTACTTCAGCTGACCTGCCCCTCTATCTTCATTTACCCTTGTGTATCATGAGGAAATGTCATATTTATACTATGGGAGTTATGCTGAGATCTCAAATCTATGTGAAGTCATGGGAAGCATCTTCTCACACTACCTGATTTCAAGTCTTATTTTCTATTAAGCAGCCATAATCAAGAGAGTGTCATAATGGTGTAAAGATAAGCAAATAGATCAGTGGAACAGAGCAGAAAGTCCGGAGATAGACCCACACATAGGCAAGCAACTGATTTGCAACAAAGGTGCAAAGACAATTCACTGGAGAAAGTATCGTCTCTTCAACAAATGGTGCAGAAACAATTGGATATCCAAAGCAAAAATAAAATTAACGTCAATCCATACCATACATCATAAACAAAAATTAATTCAGGAAGCATGCCATAACTAAGTGTAAAATTTAAAACTATAAAAATTCTGGAAGAAAACATAAGAGAAAACCTTTGTGATCTTGAGCTGGGCAAAGATTCCTTAGATATGATATCAAAAGCAGGATTCACAAAAGAACAAATGGATGAATTAAATTTCTTCAAAAGACAATATTAAGAAAATGAAGAGACAGTTACAGGTTGGGGGAAAATATTTGTCAAACACATATCTTATAAAGGACTTGAATTCAGAATATTATGAAGTACTCTCAAAACTCAATAATAAGAAAACAAACAACCTAATAATAAGTGGAAAAAAATATGTGAACACATACTTCACCAGAGGAGATCTATGGATGGAATATAAACACATGAAAAGCTGCTCAATATCATTAGCCATCAGGCAAATGCAAATCAAATGAAAACCGCAATAATATGCCACTACATACCCACTGGAATGGCAAAATTAAGAAAGAACGGGCCGGGTGCGGTGGCTCACGCCTGTAATCCCAGCACTTTGGGAGGCCAAGGCAGGCGGATCACGAGGTCAGGAAATAGAGACCATCCTGGCTAACAAGGTGAAACCCCGTCTCTACTAAAAATACAAAAAATTAGCCGGGCTAGTGGCGGGCGCCTGTAGTCCCAGCTACTTGGGAAGCTGAGGCAGGAGAATGGCGTGAACCCGGGAGGTGGAGCTTGCAGTGAGCCAAGATCATGCCACTGCACTCCAGCCTAGGCGATAGAGGGAGACTCCGTCTCAAAAAAAGAAAAAAAAAAAAAGAAAGAACTACCACAGGTAACATTGGTGAGACTGTGGAAATACAGCACTCTCATACCATACACAGGAGATGGGAATGCAAAATGGTATAATCACTTTGGAGAATCTTTTAGCACTTAAAAAAAAAAAACTTGAACATACACTACCATATGATATAGCCATTTCACTCCAAAATATTTACTCAAGAAAAAGGAATGTACATATATACATGTGTCTGTGTGTGTGCCTCTGTGTGTGTGTGTGTGTGTGTATACATATATATGAATAGGTAGGTGGGTAGACAGATAGATAGATCAGTCTCCATACAGAGACTGTACATGAATATTTTTAGCAGCTTTATTTTTAATACTCCCAAACTGGAGACATTCTGAATGACCAGCAACAGACAAATTGATAAACTGTAGAATATCCATATAATGGAATACTACTCAGCAATGAAAAGGAATGAACTAGTGATACACTTAAAGACACAGATGAGTTACAAAGTAATTTTGCTGAGTGAAAGAAACAAGACAAAAGAGTGCATACTGTTTAATTCTACATTCAATAAAATACTGTGTAATTCTACATTCAATAAAACAAAAACAAATTGATAGTGGCCGGAAGCAGATCTGTGATTGCCTGGAGAAGGGAGTGAGAAAATTTTAAGCATAGTCCTAGCTCACTGCAGCCTTGAACTCCTGGGCTCAAGTGATCCTCCTGCCTCAGCCTCCCAAAGTGGTGAGATTACAGGTGTGAGCCACTGCACCTGGCCAGGTTCATTATCTTGATTGTGATGTTAGTTTCGTCAGTGTATATATATGTCAAAAATTCTCAAATTGTTTTCTTGGATTTGAAACATATCGTATGTCAATTATGTCCCAATAAAACTATTAAGAATACATATGTCTGAGTTCTGGCAATTTCTCCCTATTTGTTACTACAGAGGTCAAGGAAAGCATTAGAACTTTGGGGAGGGCAGGCTGCTTCAGGACCTGTTTTGAAATGCCTTTCTGTTTTCTTTCATGTTGGACAGGGAGAAGAAGATGGAGTAGTATAATAGGCTACCGTGGCTTTGGGATAAATTAAAACAATTTTTGGGCTGAATAAAATTTGTATAAATTTCCCACAATTATAAGGAGTTCCTACAGATTACACAAATGTTCAGACACACTCACATATATATACTCACAACAAAACAATCCCATAGAAAAAATAATGGGCAAGAGATATGAACAAGGAATCCAAAGAAGCAGCTTGAATCTCTGCCAACAATTAGAAAGAATGAATTTAAAACACATTGATAAAACCATGTTACACCCATCACATTGAAGGAAAAAGCTTAAATATGTCACCACCGAGTGCTGACTAAGATGTGGAACAATACAGTCAGATACTCTGCAGGGTGCACACTGGACAATGAATTTAGGAAGCAATTTGGCAAAGTTGAAGATCGTCACCCCTACGACACAGAAAGTGTACTTCTAGGTATACACCCTAGAGAAATGTTGGCACACGTGCACAGAAAACATGTATAGCAACACAATAGCAGGAAATGGAATGATCTAAATGCACTTTAACAGGTAAATGCAGAAACTGTGGTGTATTCACATAAAATTCTAGACAGCAGCAAAAATGAATGAGCTAGAATTACATATATAAAATATGATTCTGAAAAATACATTGTTCAAGGAAAAACAATATATTGTTCAAGGAAAAAACAATTGTAGAATGATTCACACCATAGAAGGTCATTTTACAGCATGTAAATCCCTATCTTATGTGCAGTCGGGGCACAAACCTATCAATGAAATTCAAATGACTTGCATGGGCGTTATAAACTTCAAGTTCAAGATAAGAGCATTATGGGTGTTTTCAACCATAATCATAATTCTTTGTTTCTTAATTTCAGTTGTGGGTACTTGTGTTATTCTTAATACTGCGTGTACATCTAAAATAATGGAAATTAATAATAATTTCTTGCAAAATAATTACTCTTCACTGTTCATTGCTTCTGTTGATCTATAAAGTGAGTCTACCATTCCAAAGTCAGAGTAGCTTGGGTTTGGCTATTCATCATGCCCATGAATGTATTCGTTACATTTGCATTTGCTTCTCACCCAGCCTTTCACTCAACCAAGCTCCACAACTACGATGAGAGACCCGTAGAGAATTTACAAGCTGAGGAGGTTTGCTCTTGCTCTTGACACACAGTATTAATTCCATCTGGTCTTTCCTGACCTCTAGTCTTCCTTTGTAGATTACCAGTGCTCTCTCCTTAGGGGGTTGGTTTAAATCTTGATTGCTGCCTGATTTCAGGATGTTCAGTGTAGGCTAAGAAATGGGAAAGGTGCTGAGATTAGAATGACTCTGCAGCACGTTCATGCCATGACCCAGGGAATTTGGAATATGTGTAGGCTTTGATTGTGTATTTGTTTTATTTTATTATGTATTGCTTATGTATTATCATGTATTGTTTATGTATTATGTATTATTGATTTTATTATGTATTGCTCTTTCACTCTTCAACATGCTTTCTTTTGGGTAACTGCATTTAAAAGCCTGAGTCTCTATATGAGAAAATCTCCAAATAACTGTGATTAAAAGTCATTCTATTAATACTTGATAACTCCAAGTGTTGGCAAACATGGGAAGATTCATATAAACTCATAAGATGTGTTGGGTGTAGACATTCTTACAATACCTCAGGAGGGTAATTTTTTATTTCTGGTAAAAGGAAAAGTATACTTACCTTTCAACTCAACAAATCTACTTCTAGGAGGAGTCTAGCAAATGCAGAATGTTTATTGCAGGATTGCTAGTAAAAGTGTTAACTTAAAAACAGCCCAGATATCAGTTAACAGCTGAATCAATAAAGAAACTGGGAAACATTCTTAGAGCAGAAAGTAGTGAAATAAATGATTAGATCTATATAGCAGAATGAATAAATCTCATAAAGGTAATCCTTTTTTTTTTTTTTTTTTTTTTTTTTGAGAGGGAGTCTCGCTCTGTCGCCCAGGCTGGACTGCAGTGGCGCGATCTCCGCTCACTGCAAGCTCCGCCTCCCGGGTTCACGCCATTCTCCTGCCTCAGCCTCCCGAGTAGCTGGGATCACAGGCGCCCGCCACCGCGCCCAGCTAATTTTTTGCATTTTTAGTAGAGACGGGTTTTCACCGTGTTAGCCAGGATGGTCTCGATCTCCTGACTGCGTGATCCACCCGCCTCGGCCTCCCAAAGTGGGTAATCTTATATTTTAAATATTTATTATGCAAGCATACATGTTATAGCATGCTGTTTGAGGAAGGTGATATTGTTTGCATATTTGTCTCTGCCCAAATGTCAAGTTAAATTGCAATCCCCAGTGTTGCAGCTGGGGCCTGATGGGAGGTGATTGGATTACGGATGATGTGGAGGTGATCGGATTACGGATGATGTGGAGGTGATCGGATTACGGATGATGTGGAGGTGATCGGATTACGGATGATGTGGAGGTGATCGGATTACGGATGATGTGGAGGTGATCGGATTACGGATGATGTGGAGGTGATCGGATTACGGATGATGCGGAGGTGATCGGATTACCGATGATGTGGAGGTGATCGGATTACGGATGATGTGGAGGTGATCGGATTACGGATGATGTGGAGGTGATCGGATTACGGATGATGTGGAGGTGATCGGATTACGGATGATGTGGAGGTGATCGGATTACGGATGATGTGGAGGTGATTGGATTACGGATGATGTGGATTTCTCGTGAATGGTTTGGCACCATCCCCTTGGTGCCGTTCTTGTGATAATCAGTGAGTTTTCATGAGATGCGGTAACTTAAAAGTGTGTGGTGGGTGGGAGCGGTGGCTCATGCCTATAATCCCAACACTTTGGGAGGCTGAGGCAGGTGGATCACAAGGTCAAGAGATCGAGACCATCCTGGTCAACATGGTGAAACCCCGTCTCTACTAAAAATACAAAAATTAACAGGGCGTGGTGGCACGTGCATGTAGTCCCAGCTACTCTAGAGGCTGAGGCAAGAGAATCGCTTGAACCCAGGAGGCGGAGGTTGCAGTGAGCCGAGATGGCGCCACTGCACTCCAGCCCAGAAACGGAGTGAGACTCGGTCTCAAGAAAAAAAAAAAAAAAGAAAAGTGTGTGGGACTTCCTTTTTATACCCTGTCTTTCTTGCTCCTGCTTTTGCCATGTGATGTGCCTGCTCCTCCTTTACCTTCTTCCATGATTGGAAGCTTCCTGTGGCCAGAAGCAGATGCACTGTGCTTCCTGTACAGCCTGCAGGACCATGAACCAATTAAACCTCTTTTTTAATAAATTACCCGCTCTCAGATATTTCCTTATAGCAGTGCAAGAACAGCCTAATACAGAAGGTTTAAAGCTATGAAAACTAATACTGTATATCACGTGAGGATACATACACATAACGTAGTAGAAACAAATGTGGGCGGAAGTACTAAACTTGAAGTTCAGGTAGTAAACATTTTTGGTGGGGGAAGTAGAAAAATCAGATCAGAAAAGCATTTACTCAGGGAACTCAAATGTATCTGTGACATTTTATTGCAAATGTTTTAAAGTAAAGGTTTTAATTCAGTAGTCATCTCTAAAATGGACATTTTCTTATACAACCATAATGTTATCCAATCTAACAGAATTATTTATAACTTTTGTTATCACCTAAAATATATAATTCGTATTAAATTTCCACAATTGCCTCAAAAATATCTTTTGACACTAGCTTGTACAAATCAGGATCCAAGCAAGGCACACAGGTTAAGTTTTGTTTTAATGTCTCTTAAATTGCTTCAAACGGAGAGCAGGACTCCATTCTCCCTTATCACCCTGGAACTCCCTAACACACACTTTTTCCGTATTTTCCTTGTTATGAAAGATGGATCAAGCTGTCCTCTGGACTGCCTCCCATTCTGGATTTCTCTGTTTGCTTTCTCCTGCTGCCATTTAACTTGTTTCTTCTCCTTCTATGTTCCCCACAGAAACAATGTGTGAGATTTGGTTAAATTCAGATTTAATGTTTTTTTTTTTTTTTTGCAAGAGCACTTCCTAAGTTATGCTGTGTACTTCCATTGTGCCATATTGGCAGGCACACTATGTTTTAGTAATGGCAAAATTGGTGAAGATGGATAAAGATGGGGGCAGCCTCATTCCTCCACTGCAATGGTCCCTGACAACCTTTCATTTAATAGTTTCATCCATTGATGATCGTTGCCTGCAGTGATGACTTCATTTGTGCATATACAATGGTACTTGTCAAGTTAGATTGCATTACACTGAATTCTTCACTTAAAAAATTTTTCTTCATCTACAAGGGCTATTTAGTTATCCTGAAATATAGTTCACAACAGGAAGTCGGGTAGCACACTTGATTATTCCCTTTTAAAGACCAATTTTCAGAATTAAGAGTTAATGCTTTCTCTCTTTAAAACAAAAAACTCAAAAAAATATGGCTAAGTTTTAAGATTTTGTAATGCTGGGTGGTAAAAAGTATAAAACTATAAAAATATTAAAAGGTATTTATAACTATTCTCTAAACCTTTCTAAACTTCAAAACATTTTATGCTGAAATATTTAATTAAACAAGAAAAAAAGTCCTATTTTGTAAAGTTCAAAATATGCTTAGTGTTCAAATGACATTTAAAAAGAAGCTTGACCTAAGCTTTAGGAGTAAAAGTTATCTAAAAGTTTTAGTTGGATGATTGGAATTTGTTTTAAAAGTTTAAAAAAGGGAAAACAGAAATAAGCTAATAATATATACCAGAAGAGTGAGGAGACACAAAGAAAATGCAACCACTCAACCCTGTGGGGAATGGAGGGAGCGTGTGGGATCCACTGCCCAGCCCAGGGAGTCTCCCTACAGTCCAACTGCCTTTCTCAGATCAGAAGGCAAAAGAGCAGTCTAGCAAGCAAACAAACAGCAACAACAACAAAAGTACTGAAAGTTTTCTAGAAAGGCCAGACTCAGGAGCAGAGAAGAGGCACAGTGGGCAGTGCCAGTGAGAGGCATGAGTCCTGAGTCAGCTGGGATGTCCAGGGAGCTGGCCAAGGGCCTCAAGAGGAGGGTAGAAGGAAAATGGTATCCTGACACCTGCTGGAAAGAGCACTGGCAGAAAAGGCTCCAGGAATGCATTCAAGGGACTTCTATTTAGGGACCTAAGAAGGAAATGCAAGCATCAATTTAGTTAAGCAGAGCTGGATTCAGATGAAACTTGAGGAAAAGCAATGAGACTAGAATAGGGTTGAAGAACTAGGGCTGAGTAGTCTGGAAAACCAGAGTTTGAATCCCGATTCTACACTTCCCAGTTGGGTAGCCCTAAGCCTGTTACTTAACCACGGTAAGTTTCAGTTTCCTTATTTACAAAATAGGATAAAAATACCTCTTCATAGAGTGTTGTAAGGATTAAGTGGGATGACTGTGTCATAACATAACAAAGTAGTGTTTGAACAAGCATAGTTTGTATTCTCACTAGTATTATTACTCCTAGAGGCAGGAAGCAGAGAAAGGCCTAGGCAGATAGGGAAGGGTCCTCAAAGAATCTCCATCCCACCCCCAAAAGTGTTTACACTAGATGTTTTGTGCACGTAGGGAACCTGCACAGATTCTTGCCTGGGCATGCCCACAGTGGACTGGAAGCCCACATGCACTGGGGGAATGGGGTGGAGCCACCGGAAATCCACGCCTTATGCAGGGGAAGAGCCTGGCCTCTTCAGCTCGTGTGTGGTGGCCCTGGTATTCATTTTGGGGAGGGGGTGGAAACTTGCTTGTACGACCCCCTGTCTTTACTGAGAACTTTCTTTTCACTTAATAAATTCTATCCTCCTCACCCTTCATTGTGTCCGCATCCCTCATTCTTCCTGTTCATGAGACAAAAACCTAGATTAGCTGAGCTAAGGAGCAAAAAATCCTGCATCTTTACCATTCTTATAATATTAATTTCAATGTATAAATCTAAATCTATATCAGTTGACACCAATGCCGTACTATATTATACAAGCAATTCAAGTAGGACAGTCAGGCCATTGTTTGGATCATTACTGTATCATACCATGTTCTAAAATAATCTTCACTAAAAGTATATTTGTGAGAATAAGGATGAGAAAGTCTGTGTGTATGTATGCATGTTTATGGACATGGCAAGATTCACAGGGTGGCTCAAGATGGTTCCAGAGAGCTCTTTCTGTGAAAGAGGGAGGGAGGGAGGAAGGGACCTGTGGTCAAGAGACTTTACCTCTTTGGTCCCTTGTTTCCTTATTGGTAGAAATACATAGACATGGGGTAGGTACCTGTTAAATAAATGTTATTTCCACAGCATTTTACTCTCTGCACGCACCTGGCAGAATAAGGACCTCCAGTACAAATCATATTTGACTACACTCCCGGTGAAAATGCTACTTAATTATCCTGCAAAAATTCAGGAATTGGGTCAGCAAGTACATACTTATGCCACTTTACATCACAAACACATTCTGATGTATGAGCTGGATCATTGGGAAGGTGGTATTTCAAAGTGGCAGGGAAATAACTTGAAAGCTCTGAAATCCATTGTGAATGTGAGCCAGCCACCCTCACCAAGGCCCTGGGCCTCCATCCAGGGAGGCCTCCCCAAGACAAGTGCCTGCTGCCCTGTTCTCTGCCTGCTCCCTCCTGCTCTCCAGGGCTGCTGTGTCTGTCTCTTTTCCTTGGCCTCCTCTGTCTTGCTTCCTCTGAATTCTCCCCTTTTCACCTTTCTCAGCTTGATGTAATCTGCTGTAATGAATCAGCAGTAGCCCAGAAGTCTTTGCTCCCTGGTAGTCATAGCTGCTTATAGGGCTTATTGGCTATGGAGGCCTGAGCCCACCACTGAGAAGCTGATTTACAAGTGGGCCCTTTCTGCATCTCTCTTCTTTGTCTTTTCCCCTGCAGTGATGCAGGTTAAAAAATCCTAGAAATGTCCAACTACACCAGGAAACCCATCCTCCTTTCTCTGATGGCCTGAACAAGGGAGAGATGGGGTCTGGCAGCCCCTCAGGAGGGTGCTGTTCCCCAAGTAGGACCCCCCGCCCCCAGCATGACTTTGTTTTTCTTTAACAAATGAGAACTGTCAGAGAAATGGCAAACAGCCATGCCTTGGAGTGATTAAGTAGAGCCTAAGTTTAGAGGGGTTGGCACACAATAACACATCAAGTCCTTCATTCGCAGGTTCCCCCTGGCCGCCACATGAAAGATGAGTGTGAACCTTGCCCTGGGGACAGACCCGTGCATGGACAGGACAGCACAGCCCCAGGAACACGCATCAGAAATGCATAATCCAGAGAAGACTCACTTAGAACAGACCAGATAGAGAAATAGTGTGAGAATCCTGGTTTTAGGCCCATGAAAAATATTTTTGACATGACAGCTGAAAAAAATTCCTGAAGACTTTGCTCATTGATGGGTCCGGCCTCAGTGCCCATTTGGGCCACTTTCAGCAATCCAGTGGCACACATGCCTCCGCTGAATAAGACCATACAAGGTAAGGCTAATATGAAGTGTCTGGATCTGATGGATTTGAGGTGCAGACACGAGCCCCATCTCCAGAGTCAGGACTCTGTATTTCTGAAGAAGGGTAGAAAGTAATCTTTGAAGAAATTCCAGAGAATTTCCTTTACGGTTAAGAGGAGAGTGTGGGGAAAACGTTGCTGCCTTTTCTTTTCTTTCTTTTCTTTCAAGGCAAGTTCTTCCTTTGTCATCCAGACTGGAGTGCAGTAGCACAATCAGGGCTCACTGCAGCCTCAGCCTCCTTGACTCAAGAAATCCTCCTGCCTCAGCCTCCTGAGTAGCTGGGATTACAGACATGAGCCACTGCACCCAGCTGTTCCTGCCTTTTAAAAAACAGGAGCTATGAAGTATGTATTGCACTCCTCTGGCCTTCAGGGTAGTATCTGAGGCACAAAGTAGATATAAGGATGAAAAAGACAGAGGACCTGGTCCTGAGATAGGACATAGACATAAATTAGTCAGAATGTAAAAAAAAAAACAAAAAAACAGATTGGTTTCTACGAAATCTTCAGAAGGAATTTAGTGCCTGCCCGTGACCAATAATGTGGTGATACAACAACCATTCTGTTCTCAAGGAAATTCAAGTTTAGTAGGTCAATACCATCAGCAAGTTAGTTGAGTACAAGTTCCTGGGAAAGATAGTTTGGTGTTATCAGGAGGAGTTAGGAAAAGAACAATTGATGTTGTAAGGACTTGGCTGGGCACCTAGAGGTGCATGGGGAAATGAGTTCTAACCAAAGGAATTGAATACAATTTATATGTGTGATTTACCCTTCCTTTTAAAGTGTTTTTCATCCTCAACCAATAAGTAGATAAAGAAAACGTGTCATATGTATATAAACACATATACATGGAATATTACTCAGCCTTAAAAAAGAACGAAATAATGTCTTTTGCAGCAACTTGGATGGAACTGGAGATCACTATCCCAAGTAAAGTAACTCAGGAATGGAAAACCAAATACCACATGTTCTCACTTATAAGTGGGAGCTAAGCTATGGGTACGCAAAGAAAGACAGAGTTGTATCATAGACATTGGAGACTCAGAAGAGGGGAGACAGAGGCACATACACATGTGCACACACACAAATGCAGCATGACAAAGTGAGATAGGTTTCAACTACGGTGCAGTGAAATGAGCATAGGCTCTTAAGCCAGGTAGATTTGGATTAAAATCTAGGTCTATCACTCAAAATTGTGTAACTTGGGCAAACTATCTAACTTTTCTGAGTTTCAATTTCCTTGCCTATATAAAAAATAATAATCCCTACACTATAGTGTTGCTATGAATTTTAATAATAGTGTCAGTTACCATCTATTGAGTACAAACTCTGAGCCAGGCTGTGCACAGGGCACTATAGCTATATTATCTCATTTGATTCTTATGACAACCCTGTGATGTAGATATCATTATCCCCATTTTAGAGATAGGGCAACTGAACCTCAGAGAGGCTAAGTAGCTGGCCCATAGTCCTGCAATTAGAAAATGCTGCAGGCAAGATAAAAAACTTTTGTTTGTAAAAACTGCACTAGGGTCCCCTGCAAGGAGCTCAAGGCAGCTCAAGGAGCTGCAAGGAGCTCAAGTGTGAAGAGTGGAAGGCACTGAATGAATGGGTGCTCCCACACACCCTTCCCTTGTTTCTTCCTAGCATCCAAAGAACCCTTAGTTCTCTCCATCTCTCTCAATGTGTAGGTCTCTAAAATGTGTATGCTTCTAATTTAGTTTAGCCAGGTCTCTGTATGCTTTGTGCATATGTTTATTTCTCCTGGAGTGTGTCTGTGTGTGTGTGTGTGTGTGTGTGTGTGTGTGTGTGTGTGTTTCTACTACATGAAAGAGTTTCTGTTTGTGTCTCTGCCTGACTTTGTCTGTTTCTGGCTCTATCTGTATCTGTTTCTCCATGTCTTCACTTGTAACTGGATTATGGGCCCGGTTTTTGTTTTCTTTCTTCCCTCCACACATCTCTTTCTCCATTCCTCCCTCCCCTTTTTGTCCCTCTAGTATAAGAGAATGGTAATTCAATTGTTTTCTGGATAATAAAAATTGTCAACTTAAACAGGATATGTAAGGGGCATTTTATTTTTCTTTGATTCATTGTAGTTTTTGCACTCTTAATTATTTCCCTGCCCTTAGGAATCGGTGACTACAGTTTTTAGAAACAGAAATATCTATCTCTGTCAAGTGTCTGCCAAAGGATGAATTCATTGGGCTGTTGTTCATGGTTTCAAAACAACGGGCCCAATAAGCAGTGGTTCCAGGTCCCTTCCTGGCCACAGGTACATGCTCTAATAGAAAGTAGTTTAGTTGATATTTCTCGTTAGAACACACTTGTGCACATGCTCTCCTTGGAAGAGGAGAACGCTTCATTTTTCCTTGTTTTTGAGGAAGGAAGAACATCCTTCAGTCCCACTTGCTTATGTCAACTTCACTGAGGGAAGTGGGGGATGCTTGCTTCCACAGAAAAACAAAAATTCAAAAACATTTCCCCAGAAAACTTGAAAACCGTGCTTGTAAACAAAAGAAACCTAATGTAGTCAGAAATTGGAGATAAAACAAAACAAAACAAAAAAACAAAACGCCTTCTCAGCCTGCTGCTAGAATGTCATGTGTGTTTGGTGAAGACATTTGGACAACAGAAAACATCCCATTGCTGGAAGAGGAACAAGGGTCAAAAACATAAAAGTCATCCAGGTTTCAACATGCCCCAGTCTCTTTCTGGAAACTTTTCATTCTCCCTCAACAATCGGAAAACTCACAGAAAAACAAAACCTCTTTGCGGTTTGGCAGAGAGAGGACAAGGTGAGGACGGGCTGAGAGGATTTATCTATTTGATTTATGTAAAGAAAAAAGTTAGAGTAAGTGGATAGAGGATGTCAGTACTCAAATGTATTTCGTTTGTGATATTCTCTGTATTATGTTTCAAATACAATATGTTGTCAGGGCCTCAGGGAGTAAAAGCATCTCTATTAGTCATTTGGTTTACATGTATTTTCTAGAAATCTCCAAATCAGGGAGTTGCCATCTAGTGTAGAAGCAGAGAATCATAGACTTTTAGATTTTATTAGACAGCAACCTTTAATCTTCTATGTGAAACTCTAATTTCTTATGCAACATCTGCACCATTTAGAGCTCTAACTTTGATAAATGAATTACTGAAATCCAAACACTCCTTATACATTGCATTTACTTGACTTCTCGGCAGGAAATGTCTTTCACTGGGCATGTTCTATGATTTGTCTTTAATGCATCCAGATGACTCCCCATGATCAGATTACCCTCTTCCAAAATTCACACCCTCTCTTTCCAGCCATCCTTCTGGAATCCTGCCCTGACTCCCAGGCCTCCACATTCCTTCACTTTTGACAATCAAGTCAATGTGTACTTGAAGGTAGAGGTCCGCCACCTCTCCTGTCCTACTCTGGTTCCTCCTAATTTAACAAAAATGCTTTAGCAAGCTCGTCTGCAAGTTTTCTCAGCTCCCTGGGCTGGGATCCCTTTAAGCCAGGAAGCTGAACCACATGTAGAGAAGACAGGAGCTCCCTTACATCTCTTCACCCATGGGCAGCTTTGATTCTCTCCGTTCCATCCATTCCAGTCAGAAGGTCATTTTTTTAGAGGAAGAACACCACAGCTGAAGAGGAGCAAAGGAGATGCATACTCTCTCTGTTGCCTGTTGACATGCTAGCCTTAGCACTGAGCCTTGTACTTGACCCAGCTGCAAATGTGAGTTAAAAGCCCTTTGGGTTGCTTTGCATTTGTTCTGATCCTTAACCTTTTCATGTTTTGACAAGACTAGGAGTAAACAGGAAGCTCACCTCGATGACCTCATGTTCCAGGTTCTCTAGATCTCTGGAAAAGAAACTCATCTTTTACTGAGGACATTGTCACATTTCTCCTTGTCCCTGTTCTCTCAACTTCATCTATTCCCTTGACCTTACATCAACAATAGACTTCAAGACACCCAGGACAGAGGCCCCATTTATTCTTCACAATCCTGAGGAAAGAACCTCACACAGAATGTGCACTGTCCTACTGACCGACCAAACGATGGTCTTGGCTACTCTGAACCACTAAGTTGTTGTTAAGAAGATGAACTTTGGATCTAAGGTGAAATCCCAACATATGACCTTGGGTATAGTTCTCAATGTTCCTATGATTTAGATCTCACTTATGCAACCAACCCAACAGATGTGAGGGTTACACCAGATACAATATGAGTGGTCAATAAATAGATTTATACTATTATTATCACCAACAGGACAATGAAAACATGGAAGTTACTTCACAAGGCTATTTTGAAGATTAAATTATAAAACCTTCGATAAAAATATCTGCCACATTGCAGGTATTTAATAAACATTAGTTAGCTTCTTTTCTTCTTTCAGAAAATGGATTCTATTATAAATTACTCTGACAATTGTTTTATGGATCAATTGAGTAATGTGATTAAAAAGAGAGTTAACTTACAAGCCACAGCTGAATATCAATTTGCAAATTATTGGCATATTCATATAAAGAATCCTTAATGCTGAAATTGTCTCAAACTTAATTGAATTAACTTTGATTTTTCAAGAGGCATTTTGAAGTATGGACTGGTGGGGGTGTATGTGGTGTGGCAATGTGGTGTATAGTGGAAAGAACAAGGAATTTGTCTCAGAAGACATGAGTCTTTATTTATGTGATGTCAGGCCTCCCTACTTCCTCATCTATAAGTGGGAGTTATCATAGTGTTTGTTCAGCTTATTACATAGGTCACCGATGTGCAAGTCAAATAGCAGAAAACATTTCAAACTGTAAAGCATTATTTGGAAATTAGTTGTTATTAGGGAGTAGTCACTATAATAAGTGCAATTAAGTTACAAATAGAAAGTTTAGGGAATAAGAGTAGAGCTACACATAAATCTCTAATGTTATTTTGTTGATACCAGAGTCCTCATCGACCCTTTCCGGGTGGAAAGAAGCTGTTTTAGGGCATGAATCAACTACCAAGTTGTTGAAGGATGATTTTAAAAATAGGATGTAGTCATGACTCTCATACAAATATGAAATTAAATATCTCCAAAGATTTTTATTTAACTCAATTAATGAGAAAAGCAGTAAGATGTCACAACTGATCAAAGAAGAATTCAAGGAACATGTTTATAGAGGTAAAGGGAGGCTGAAATGAGTTTACAAATAGATGCAAAAAGTCGTTTAACCACAGGGCAACAATGCTTTGTACTCCACCAGATAAAACAGACTTGTAATATGGCAAGAATCATTTGTATTACTACAAGTTTTATACAACATAAAGAGCTGTTAAAAAAGAAAAGAAGACAGAATTGTTAGGTAACCCCAAAAGAATGAGTGAAAGAGCCAATCAGGACACACACAAATCTATCAGTCAATCAACCAATCTATTGATTCACTTAAAAGTTTTTCACAAGTTTTCCTGGCAAAGCCCAGCAGTAGGTTAAGCCAATAACTAACTAATTATTTTATCACTGCTAAGTACTTTCTTTGCGTTTGGGGACAGGTTGGTATGGAGAAAGAAGAGCGTGTTACTTATGTGTCTGAACATCAAGGCACTTAACTTTGGTTAGGGAGCCATGAAAAGTGAAGAAATAATAGACAATCCCACTTTCTTTTTCCTCAGCCTTCAATCACCCCTCCCTCTACCCTGAGACTATGCTGCCCCAGTTTTGCAGAGCTGCTTATTGCCCTTACCTGCAGAAGGCTGGCAGAAGCAACCAAGCCTAGGCACCAGCCAGCAAGGGTCCTGGCAACTTCCAAAGAGACTTTCTGAACTCCTCTTCAAGAGTCTTTGTGAATTACCCTGTAATTGCTGGCAAGGCATTTCAATGCCAGAGAAAGTCACACAGAAAAGGAGCACACCATCCTCTTAAGCAGCTCAAGGGCAGCAGTCTTACATGAGTAGGAGAAGCAGGAGAAAGAGGTAAGGAGGGAATTGGTTAGCCCTTAGTTTTGGAAGTCATTTTCAGTGCCAGAGAAATAATCTTTATCATCACCACCTTCATCTTTATTACCAGCAGACCTAGCAGCAGCAAATTCACACAATGAAAACCTTTATCAAGTCTGAAGCATCTGTAAAATCAGTGAAATAGTTTTGAATGTGTCGCTTTACTTCAGAAAAAATTACAATGGGGAGAAAAAGGCATGAGACAAAACATTTTAAATGTATTTATCTGGACCATATCCAGTCTTCAAATAGGTTTTCTAAGTCCTAATAAAGTAGATAAAGTGACTATACACTTTATAAAAATGTGAATCTCTGTGGCATATTTTAAATCCATTTAATAAGATTGAAAACATTCCTTTACTGTTTCCAGTGATCATACTCACTTTTTGCTGTTGTAGGATGTCTTATAGGACATGTGGCCAATCACTGGTTCTTATCTAAAGCCCAATATTTAGTCGGGAAGGTAATCTGTTACATTATAACATTGTTCAGAAGGGAAAATATGGGCATGCTTTACATTCGTTCACGCTATTACAAGATTTCCCAGAATGCCCCGTGTAAACAGTGGAGGGTATATACGGCAAAAGAGATCACTGACTCTTAGAACTGGAAAATAATTAAGTGACTTTTGAAGTCAAAAAATGACTTTTTTAGGATTCTAAAATACTCTTCAGGTTATTCTACCAACACTGAGTAGGTTTACACAGGTTATTGTCTGACTGATTAACTCACTGTTACTTATTTGTTCAAGAAATTTTTCTTTTAGCATGAATTATGTTCCAGACACTCTAATATAAGTGGGGATATATAGCTGGATGACAGAGTCAACTGTTTCAAGAAGATAGAATCTCTTTAGAGAGACAGACCAACCATGGCACAAGCAGGGAGAGTCTACATCAGCTTTGAGCTTGGGAAAATGATAACTCAGACATAGACCTAGAAGAAGTCAGGAGACAGACCATAGAAATATGTAGGAACATGTAGACTGCAGCCAGGGCTTTATCCAAAATTTCCAAGTATTGGATATGATTATATTAGTAACATTTGGAAATAATTTGGGAAGTCACAATAGCAGCCCCTTGAGCAGCTCACACACAGCGGTTTTATATGTACAGGAGAGGTAGGAAGCAGTGGCAGGGAGAGAATTTGGTTAGCAAGGAAAAAGGAGGTTCATGTGCGCTGTGCGTTTTTCCTAAGAAAATGGTAAGCTTGGCCTTTTGCCCCCGAATTGAAATCTTTCGTAGGTCAGACTTCATGTTTCTCATTCATCATTACATCTACGTCCTGCTCACATACACACTTGAAAAAATCATCCTCACTACTTTGAATGGGCAGTGAAAGAAAGGGTTGTGGAGCCCAAGAGATGGCTGGTTGAACTTAAGGCTGAAGAATCATACCTAACCCATAATCCAATAAAAGAGAAGTAAACCAAAACCGGGGTTATTTATCTTCCTCCTAAACATCAGCGTCAAAATATTTCCCAAATGCAAAATAGGGGTCACCCAGGACCATAAGAACATTGTCAATATTCTAGACATTCCAGATGCCTAACATCAACATGTGAGACATCAGATTTCAGACCATGAGAAGCAAGGAAATGGCAAAATGTATCTATGGTACTGCTATCCACCATTTACCTAAAATTTCTTCCCCTCTTGAGATCTCCTTGTCCCTACCCAAATCTCATCTCTTGAAAGTCTCTGCTTTGATCACAAATATTTAAACCACTAAGTTTTCTGTGCCAGGAGTATTTGCAACTTAAGCCCTGATCTTACAGTGGAGAGAGATATCCTCTCCCTTGCATGATGGATTCTTTGTTACTTCCTCTTTTTTCTTCCCGCCAGGATTCCAGAGAAGGATAATGATTAGTGTATCTAAGCCAGTGGTTCTCCCTACTGGCTGCTCATTAGACTCACCTGGAAGTTTTGCTCTGCCTGGAATTCATCTCCCAGAGATGCTGATTTCGTTGTTCTTGGCAGTGGCTTGGGCATTAGTCACATTTTAAAAGCTGGTAGGTGATTTTAATGTGTAATCAAGTTTGAGAATGATTAGGATAAGCTAATCTGCATAGAATATTTTCCAGTGCACAAAGCAAGGGTTGACAAAGGGAATCCGCCTTAGATGAAACTGACAATATAGTCAATTTCCACTGTAGTCAATACTACCGGGACCTTAAAATCATTACTGATGCCACCTCTGGACTTTTGATTGTTTTTTCTTTTTTAAATTTTTGTAAACTGTAAGGGGATCTGTTACTTGCAACCGAAAGCATCTATGTTGGCCAGTATAGGATAAGTTGTGCTATACTAATAAACCGCAACATTTCAGTGGTTAAACACACCAAAGGCTTATTTTTCACTACAAATCAAATGCAGGCTAAATGATCTGCCTCTGTTTTGTAGCTATACCAACTGGGAAATATCCCTTCCAAGGTAGAAGTATGTGATAAGAAAAAGTATAATGATAGTAATTTTATGTGGCTAGGCTATGGTGCCTAGTTGTTTGGTCAAACACTACATGTAGCTGTGAAGGTATTTTGTTGATGTGATTAACACAGTGAGTTTACTTTAAGCAAAGGAGATTACCCTAGATAATGTGGGTAGTCCTCATCCAATCATCCAAGGCTCATCCAAGGCTTTAAGAGAAAAAAATGGAGATTTTTTTGGAGAAGAATTATGCCTCAAGATTGTAACACAGAAATTCTGCCTGAGTTTCCAGCCTAATCTCCTGCCCTACAAATTTCAGACTGAAGACTTTAACATCAACTCTTGCTTGAGTTTTCAGTCTACCAGGCTCCAATATGTATTTCAGACTTGTCAGCCCCCCAGTCTTGTGAATCATGTGGGCCAGTTCAGTTCCTGTAAATCTCTCCCTCTCTTTCTTTCTTTCTCTCTCTATCTCTCTCAGAAAATATATTCTGTTGGTTCTGTTTCTCTGGAGAACTCTGACTGTACTAATAGTGGTCTAGAAAAACAATCTTATGGATGACTTTTCTAAATTGGTCCTAGGGTCCCTGGAATTGCTTCTCTAATCTGATAAGATGTTAAAATTTCGAATGACTATTCTTAGTAGTAAAGAGGGCACTGATAGACTGTGGAATAATGTGGCAATAGAGATACAAAAAACAAAACAAAACAAAACAAAACAAAACACCATTGGATATCCCTAATCAAATGCTTATAAGAAGCAAGAAGCAAGGTTTTGAGTGACCATGTATTTGATACTTCAGAACATTTTTGTTAAACTAACAAGTATGGTGAGATTGACTGTTTATTCCCAATTGCACTGGACAATGTGGTGAAAGAAAAGGATGAGCTCAGGAATTTAAATCCCCAGTCCAAGCACTGCATAAATGACCTAGAGGTTTCTATGTCTGTATTCGAAAAACTCTCATGTCTAATAATCACAGAGATGAGATTTCTGAAAACCAAACGCAGAGTTTCTTTTCACAAGTGACTGAATTACAATGCAAATTGAATTCTCAACTTCATAGGTTAACTGCTGTTAAAGTGAGGGCACTTACTGGGAAGGAATGGATCCTGAAAATTGGAAAGAGGATATATGGGCAGATCCTGATGAAGCTGAGGGCACCAAGCCCCTAAATTCTGCTGAGTCTTTTATTGCCAGCAAAAGTAGCCCCCATTTGAGGAGGTTAAGCTTGCTTTGTTCTAGGAAACTCTAATGGTCTTCCCTGAGGTAGCTGTCTTGCAACAAAATGCTGAGTCTTCTCAGGATCCATCTCCACCAGCCTTCTTTGCTTCTAGACCTATAACTAGACTCTACTCCCAACAGATCCCAAAAGGTGAAGTACAAACTGTGAGCCACGATGAAGTATGGTACATCTCAAAAGAATAGAGTGATTTTTTTATTTATAAAGACATAAATTGGGGAGTATCTGTAGAAATGAATATTAAGAGTGTGGCATCACAGTGGAAGGAACGTAAAGTTGTATCAGGATGAATTTATTAATATGGGCCACCTAAACAGAGATTCTGGATCCAGTGTTGTAGCCTCAGGAGTTATAAAAAGCTTTAACGGCTTGGTTAGTTGGTTAACTGAAACCTGTACAAAAGGTGGCCTACCTTAAGTGAAGCTGAAATACCAGAGCAACCTTGGTATATATCTTAGTCAGGGTTCTCCAAAGAAACAGAAACAATAAACAATAGAATATATGAGAGGAAATTTATGATTGGAATTGGCTCACATGATCACACAGGCAGAAAAGTCTCATGATAGGCTGTGTCAAGCTGGAGAACCATGGAAGTTGGTAGTGCGTCTCGTATGGAAACCTCAGAGCCAGGGAGGACAATATCACAGCCTGCAGTCTGAGACTAAAAGCCTCAGATACCAGAGGGAAATGGTGCTACTCCCAGAGTTCAAAAGCTGAAGAACCTGATGTCCAGAGGCAGAAGAAAAGGTGTCCCACTTAGGAAGGGAGAAAGAGAAAGAGAGGGAGAATCTTTCCATATTCTGCATGTTTGTCCCAGCAAGGCCCCAGGTGATCGGATGGTGCCCACCCACGTTAAGGACAGATCTTCCTGTCTCAGTTCACTGATGCTCTCTGGTCAGTCTCTCTGGAAACACCCTCAGGGACACACCCAGAAACAATGCTTCAGCAGCCCCAGTCATCTAAGCATCCCTCAATCTAGTCAAGTTGACACCTAAAATTAACTATCACAGCATAGTATAAAAGATGATCTCAAGAGGCTAGGGAGACTGCAGTGTTAGAGTGGATTTATAATGTGAGACCTGCTCACGCACCCAAGAAGTATCCAAAGGACACATCTTTCACTAAAGAAATAAATTTGTTAGGGGAGTCCCAGCATCCATGAAGAGCACTGTAGTTCCTCTTCTCTACAGGTGAGAAATCATGGTGGGAACTGATGCTACTGAACTGGAATCCTTAGATGCCAGAGGGATAGTTGGATCCCAGAGTGGCAGGGGACAAGTGACAGCACTTAAACACCAAATAATTGGGTGTGGTTACTTTAATGGACAACAAAGTCAAAGCAGGAATCAGAATAGCCTCACACCACAGACCTATGGCATTAGCAAGTTGATCACAGTGTTCTAGAAGTGAAATAGGCAGACTGTATACTAAATTCTGACTTGATCTGCATAAGTGGAAGAGTTTAAGGTCAAAGGAACAGAAGGATAACTTCTGTAGTCATAGCCTTTCAATCAATTCTAGACTTGAGCCAGTTTACGGACCCAGAACCCCTTGAATTGAAGGGAGGCTAGGTCCCCTTCAGGAAGGGCCCAGCTGCAATGACGAAAATTTCTACCGTTGATCTTTCTCCTGTGTTACCTCAAAGGGACCCATGGCCTTTTACCAGGGTGACTGTGCATTAGGGAAAAGAGGATAATCAGACTTTTGGGGGATTATGGCTTTGAACTGACATCAGTTCCAGGAGATCCAAAACATCACTGTGGACTACCAGTCAGAGTTGGGGCTTATGGATCTCAGGTGTTCAATGGACTTTTAGCTCCTTTTCATCTCAACTGGTCTCTGAACCCATCCTGTGGTTATTTACGTAGTTCTGAAATGCATAATTAGCATAGACATATTTAGCAACTGGCAGAATCCCTACATTGGTTCTTTGACCTGTGGAATGAAGGCAATTATGTTATGAAAGAGCAAGTAAAATCCACCAAAACAGCTTCTACCTAGAAAAATAGTACACCCAAAGCATTACCGAGTCCCTGTAGGGAATACAGAGATTACTGCCAACATCAAGAACTTGAAGGATGTAGGGGAGGTGATTCCCACTGCATTACTATTCAATTCATCTATTTGGCCTATGCAGAAAACAGATGGATCCTGGATGACAGTGGACTTTCATAGACTTAGCTATGTGGTGACCTCAATTGCAGCTGCTGTTCAGAATGTGGTTTCATTTCTTGAGCAAATTTACACATCCCCTGCTACCTGCTGTACAGCTATAAATCTGGAAAATACTTTTTTTTTCTCAATACATGATAGTAAAGACAACCAGAAGCAAAACTTGCTTTCATCTGGCCAGGCCAGCACAACACTACCACTTTCCTACTCAGGGGTATATCAATTCTACAGCCCTACATCATAATTTAGTTGCAGAAATCTGGACTGTCTTTCCCTTGCACAAGACATGACACTGGCCCATTACATTGAAAATATTATACGGATTGGACCTAATGAGTGAGAACTAGCAACTTCTCTAGACCTATTGATAAGACATTTGCATGTAGAAGGATGGGAAATTAATCCAACAAAAATTCAGGGGCCTTCTACTTCAGTGAAATTTCTGGAGATCCTGTGGTACAGTACATGTCAAGATATCTTCTCTAAGTTGAAAAATTAAGTTGTTGCATCTGACCCCTTCTATAATCAAGAAAGAGGAACAATGGTAAGTAGACCTCTTTGGATTTGGAGGCAACACATTCCTTATTTGAGTATACTACTCCAGGCCATTTACTGAGCTGCCTGAAAAGCTGTTAGTTTTGAATGGGACCCAGAGAGAGGCTCTCCAGCAGGTCCAGATTACCATGGAAATATCCCTGCTATTTGGGCCATATGATCCAGCAGATCCCATGGTGTTTGCAGTGGCAGTGGTAGAGAGAGAGATCTCTTTGGAGTCTTTAAAAAGCTTCTGTAGGTGAATCATAGTCTAGAACATTAGGATTCTGGCACAAAGCCCTGCCTTTTTTTGCAGATAGCCACTCTCCTTTTGAGAAAGCTTTTTTTGCTTGCTATTGAGCCTTAGTAGAGACTGAATGCTTAACCATGGGCCACCAAGTTACCTTGAGACCTGAGCCACTCATCATGAACTAGGTGTTATCTGACCCACCAAGCCACAAAGCTGGGTGCTCACAGCAACATTTCATCATCAGATGGAAGTGGTATGTATGCGATTGGGCCCACAAAGGCCCTTGAACACATAAGCAAATTACATGAAGAAATGGTCAAATGCCCAAGGTTCCCTCTCCTGCTACGTTGCCTTCTCTTTCCAGTACACATATATTGCCTCATGGAAGGTCCCTACAATCAGTTTACTGAGGAAGAGAGAATTTGAACCTGGTTTCTAAATGGTTTCATGTGATACGCAGACACTACCTGAGAGGGGACCACTGCAGCACTACAGCCCCTTAACTGCAATCCTGAAGTATGGTTGTGAAGGAGAACCCTCTCAGTGGGCAGAACTTCACAGTGCATCAGGTGATTTGGTTTGCTTCAAAAGAGAAGTGGCCAGAGATGTGAGTGTATAGCAATGCATGAGCTATGACCAATGGTTTGGCTGGATGGTCAGGAACTTGGAAGGAATGTGATTGGAAAATTGGTGACTAAAATTGGGGAAGAGATGTACAGATAGACTTCTCCAAATGGGCAAAAAGTGTGAAGATATTTGTGTACCATATCACCAATCATTTGTGAATGTTCACCAAAGGATGACCTCTGCAGAGGATAATTTTAATAATCATATGGATAGGATGAATTATTCTATGGATAGCAGTGAGCTTGTTTTCCCAGCTACTTCTATTATTGCCTAATGGACTCATAGGCAACACAGCAGCAAAGATGGAGGTTACACACAGGCTCAGTAACATAGGTTTCTACTCACCAAGGCCAGCCTGGCTATAGCCATTAATAAGTGCCCAATCTGCCAGCAGCAGAGAACAATGCTGAGTCCCATCAGGGGCTCATTACCTGGAGTGAGAAGCCAGCTACCTGGTGACAGTTTGATTACATTGGACCACTTCCATCATGGAAGGGGCAGTGTTATGTTCTCACTAAAATAGAAACTAACTCTTGATACAGATTTGCCTGAATGTAATGCTTCTGCCAAAAATACCATCTGTGGACTTTCAGAATGCCTTATCCACCATCATGGTATTCCAGGTAGCATTGCTTCTGATCAAGAAACTCACTTCACAGCAAAAGAAATGTGGCAATGGGCCCATGCTCATAGAATTCATTGGCCTTATTACATTCCCCATTATCCTAAAGCAATTGGCTTGATGCAATGGTGGAATGGCTCTTTGAAGATGCAGTTACAGCACCAGCTAGGTGACAACACCTTCAGGGATAGGGGCAGTGTTCTCCAGCAGGCCGTATATCCTGTGAATAAGCATCCAGTATATGGTGCTATTTCCCATAGCCAAGATTCATGGATCCGGGAATCAAGGAGTGGAAAAAGAGGTGGACTCACTGTTACCCATAGTGACTCACTAGCAAAATGTTTGCTTCCTGTTCCAAGAACCTTATACCCTGCTGGTCTAGACATCTTAGTTCCAAAAGGAGGAATGCTTCCACCAGGGATACATACAATTTCACTGAAGTGAAAGTTAAGACTGCTACCTGGCCACTTGGAGGACTTTATACCTCTGAATAAATAGGCAAAGAAGGGAGTTACAGTTGTGATTAGGGTTATTGATCCTGATTGCTAAGGGGAAATTTGAGGGTTATTGATCCTGATTGCTAAGGGAAAATTGGAGGGTATTGATCCTGATTACTAGGGGTAATTGGATGGCTATTACACAACAGATGTAAGAAAGAATATATCTGGAATTCCAGAAGTCCTTTAGGTACCTCTTAATACTACCATGTCCTGCGATTAAAGTCAATGGAAAACTACTACAATCCAATTTAGGCAAAACTACTGGTGGCCCAGGCCTTTCAAGAATGATGGTTTGGGTCATTTTATTAGGCAAAAGCACAACCAACTGAGATATTTGTGGAGGTCACAGGGAATATGGAATGGGTAGTAGAAGAAGGCAGTTATAAATACCAGCTTTGACTATGTAAGCAGTAGCAAAAACAAGGATTGTAATTATTTTTTTAAATTTTATTATGAATATGTTTGTAGGTGTATATGTATAAACATATCTGTATACATAAAATATCCTTAATATATCTTTGTTTTCTTCCTTGTTATCCCCTTATCCTATAACATAAGATGTATTAGCTTTATATTATAGTATTTAAGCTACAGGATGTCAAGGAGGAGAATGAACATTATCCAAGGACTTTGGATCTTCTTCTAAAGAAAGGCTTAGTGCACTTTCAGTTGTATGCAGAATAGTTGTATCGTTAGGTGGGAGTATGATTTTGTAGTTATCTTTACTTGGATATTAAGTATGGTTTAAAAAGATGTGTATGGATGGCAAGTTGACAAGGGTTGGACTGGGAGTGTTAATTGAATGTGTCACTTTGGCTGGCCTTGGTGTTCACCTGTTTGGTCAAACACTCCATGTTGCTATGAAGGTATTTTGTAGATGCGACTATCATTTACAATCAGTTGACTGTAAGTAAAGAAGATCATCCTAGAAAATGTGGATGGGCTTCCTCCAGTCAGTTGAAGGCCTTTAGGGCAAAAAGGGCGATTTCCCGGAGAAGAAATTCTACCTCAAGTCCGTAGCACGGAAATTCAACCTGAGTTTCCAGCCTGCCTGGCTGCCCTACAGATTTCAAACTTGCCAGCCCTACAGCTGTGTGAGCCAATTCCTTTAAATAAATCTCTCTTTCTGTGTCTTTCTCTCTCTCATATATATGTATATATACATATATACACACACATATATGTGTATATGTATATATATAATCATGCTTTACTCTTTATTGTGCTTCACTTTAATGTGTTTTGCAGATAATGCATTTTTTTTTTTTTTTTACAAATTGAAGGTTTGTGGGAACCCTGCATTGAGTAAGTCTATCAGCAAGTGCTCACTTTGTTAGCACTTCTTAGCAATAAAGTATTATTTTACTTAAGGTATGTACATTTTTTATACATAATGCTATTGCACACATAGATTATAGAAGTATAAACTTATATGTACTGAGAAACCAAAACATTCATGTAACTCACTGTATTGCAGTATTTACTGTGGTGATCTGGAACTGAAGCGATAATACCTCTGAGGCGGAGGAGCCAAGATGGCCGAATAGGAACAGCTCCGGTCTACAGCTCCCAGCGTGAGCGACGCAGAAGACGGGTGATTTCTGCATTTCCATCTGAGGTACCGGGTTCATCTCACTAGGGAGTGCCAGACAGTGGGCGCAGGTCAGTGGGTGCGCGAGCCGAAGCAGGGCGAGGCATTGCCTCACTTGGGAAGCGCAAGGGGTCAGGGAGTTCCCTTTCTGAGTCAAAGAAAGGGGTGACGGACGCACCTGGAAAATCGAGTCACTCCCACCCGAATATTGCGTTTTTCAGACCCGCTTAAAAAACGGCGCACCACGAGATTATATCCCACACCTGGCTCGGAGGGTCCTACGCCCACGGAGTCTCGCTGATTGCTAGCACAGCAGTCTGAGATCCAACTGCAAGGCGGCAGCGAGGCTGCGGGAGGGGCGCCCGCCATTGCCCGGGCTTGATTAGGTAAACAAAGCAGCCGGGAAGCTCCAACTGGGCGGAGCCCACCACAGCTCAAGGAGGCCTGCCTGCCTCTGTAGGCTCCACCTCTGGGGGCAGGGCACAGACAAACAAAAAGACAGCAGCAACCTCTGCAGACTTAAATGTCCCTGTCTGACAGCTTTGAAGAGAGCACTGGTTCTCCCAGCACGCAGCTGGAGATCTGAGAACGGGCAGACTGCCTCCTCAAGTGGGTCCCTGACCCCTGACCCCCGAGCAGCCTAACTGGGAGGCACCCCCCAGCAGGGGTACACCGACACCTCACACGGCAGGGTATTCCAACAGACCTGCAGCTGAGGGTCCTGTCTGTTAGAAGGAAAACTAACAAACAGAAAGGACATCCACACCAAAAACCCATCTGTACATCACCATCATCAAAGACCAAAAGTAGATAAAACCACAAAGATGGGGAAAAAACAGAACAGAAAAACTGGAAACTCTAAAAAGAAGAGCACCTCTCCTCCTCCAAAGGAACGCAGTTCCTCACCAGCAACGGAACAAAGCTGGATGGAGAATGACTTTGACGAGCAGAGAGAAGAAGGCTTCAGATGATCAAATTACTCTGAGCTATGGGAGGACATTCAAACCAAAGGCAAAGAAGTTGAAAACTTTGAAAAAAATTTAGAAGAATGTATAACTAGAATAACCAATAAAGAGAAGTGCTTAAAGGAGCTGATGGAGCTGAAAACCAACGCTTGAGAACTACGTGAAGAATGCAGAAGCCTCAGGAGCTGATGCAATCAACTGGAAGAAAGGGTATCAGCGATGGAAGGTGAAATGAATGAAATGAAGCGAGAAGGGAAGTTTAGAGAAAAAAGAATAAAAAGAAATGAGCAAAGCCTCCAAGAAATATGGGACTATGTGAAAAGACCAAATCTACGTCTGATTGGTGTACCTGAAAGTGATGGGGAGAATGGAACCAAGTTGGAAAACACTCTGCAGGATATTATCCAGGAGAACTTCCCCAATCTAGCAAGGCAGGCCAACGTTCAGATTCAGGAAATACAGAGAACGCCACAAAGATACTCCTCGAGAAGAGCAACTCCAAGACACATAATTGTCAGATTCACCAAAGTTGAAATGAAGGAAAAAATGTTAAGGGCAGCCAGAGAGAAAGGTCGGGTTACCCACAAAGGGAAGCCCATCAGACTAACAGCAGATCTCTCGGCAGAAACCCTACAAGCCAGAAGAGAGTGGGAGCCAATATTCAACATTCTTAAAGACAAGAATTTTCAACCCAGAATTTCATATCCAGCCAAACTAAGCTTCATAAGCAAAGGAGAAATAAAATACTTTACAGACAAGCAAATGCTGAGAGATTTTGTCACCACCAGGCCTGCCCTAAAAGAGCTCCTGAAGGAAGCGCTAAACATGGAAAGGAACAACCTGTGCCAGCCACTGCAAAATCATGCCAAAATGTAAAGACCATCAAGACTAGGAAGAAACTGCATCAACTAACGAGCAAAATAACCAGCTAACATCATAATGACAGGATCAAATTCACACATAACAATATTAACTTTAAATGTAAATGGACTAAATGCTCCAATTAAAAGACACAAACTGGCAAGTTGGATAAAGAGTCAAGACCCATCAGTGTGCTATATTCAGGAAACCCATCTCAGGTGCAGAGACACACCTAGGCTCAAAATAAAAGGATGGAGGAAGATCTACCAAGCAAATGGAAAACAAAAAAAGGCAGGGGTTGCAATACTAGTCTCTGATAAAACAGACTTTAAACCAACAAAGATCAAAAGAGACAAAGAAGGCCATTACATAATGGTAAAGGGATCAATTCAACAAGAAGAGCTAACTATCCTAAATACATATGCACCCAATACAGGGGCACCAAGATTCATAAAGCAAGTCCTGAGTGACCTACAAAGAGACTTAGACTCCCACACATTAATAATGGGAGACTTTAACACCCCACTGTCAACATTAGACAGATCAACGAGACAGAAAGTCAACAAGGATACCCAGGAATTGAACTCAGCTCTGCACCAAGCGGACCTAATAGACATCTACAGAACTCTCCACCTCAAATCAACAGAATATACATTTTTTTCAGCACCACACCACACTTATTCCAAAATTGACCACATACTTGGAAGTAAAGCTCTCCTCAGCAAATGTAAAAGAACAGAAATTATAACAAACTATCTCTCAGACCACAGTGCAATCAAACTGGAACTCAGGATTAAGAATCTCACTCAAAACCGCTCAACTACATGGAAACTGAACAACCTGCTCCTGAATGACTACTGGGTACATAACAAAATGAAGGCAGAAATAAAAATGTTCTTTGAAACCAACGAGAACAAAGACACAACATACCAGAATCTCTGGGACACATTCAAAGCAGTGTGTAGAGGGAAATTTATAGCACTAAATGCCCACAAGAGAAAGCAGGAAAGATCCAAAATTGACACCCTAACATCACAATTAAAAGAACTAGAAAAGCAAGAGCAAACACATTCAAAAGCTAGCAGAAGGCAAGAAATAACTAAAATCAGAGCAGAACTGAAGGAAATAGAGACACAAAAAACCCTTCAAAAAATTAATGAATCCAGGAGCTGGTTTTTTGAAAGGATCAACAAAATTGATAGACCGCTAGCAAGACTAATAAAGAAAAAAAGAGAGAAGAATCTAATAGACGCAATAAAAAATGATAAAGGGGATATCACCACCGATCCCACAGAAATACAAACTACCATCAGAGAATACTACAAACACCTCTACACAAATAAACTAGAAAATCTAGAAGAAATGGATAAATTCCTCGACACATACACTCTCCCAAGACTAAACGAGGAAGAAGTTGAATCTCTGAATAGACCAATAACAGGAGCTGAAATTGTGGCAATAATCAATAGCTTACCAACCAAAAAGAGTCCAGGACCAGATGGATTCACAGCTGAATTCTACCAGAGGTACAAGGAGGAACTGGTACCATTCCTTCTGAAACTATTCCAATCAATAGAAAAAGAGGGAATCCTCCCTAACTCATGTTATGAGGCCAGCATCATTCTGATACCAAAGCCAGGCAGAGACACAACAAAAAAAGAGAATTTTAGACCAATATCCTTGATGAACATTGATGCAAAAATCCTCAATAAAATACTGGCAAAACGAATCCAGCAGCACATCAAAAAGCTTATCCACCATGATCAAGTGGGCTTCATCCCTGGGATGCAAGGCTGGTTCAATATACGCAAATCAATAAATGTAATCCAGCATATAAACAGAGCCAAAGACAAAAACCACATGATTATCTCAATAGATGCAGAAAAAGCCTTTGACAAAATTCAACAACCCTTCATGCTAAAAACTCTCAATAAATTAGGTATTGATGGGACGTATTTCAAAATAATAAGAGCTATCTATGACAAACCCACAGCCAATATCATACTGAATGGGCAAAAACTGGAAGCATTCCCTTTGAAAACTGGCACAAGACAGGGATGCCCTCTCTCACCACTCCTATTCAACATAGTGTTGGAAGTTCTGGCCAGGGCAATTAGGCAGGAGAAGGAAATAAAGGGTATTCAATTAGGAAAAGAGGAAGTCAAATTGTCCCTGTTTGCAGACAACTTGATTGTATATCTAGAAAACCCCATTGTCTCAGCCCAAAATCTCCTTAAGCTGATAAGCAACTTCAGCAAAGTCTCAGGATACAAAATCAATGTACAAAAATCACAAGCATTCTTATACACCAGCAACAGACAGAGAGCCAAATCATGAGTGAACTCCCATTCACAATTGCTTCAAAGAGAATAAAATACCTAGGAATCCAACTTACAAGGGATGTGAAGGACCTCTTCAAGGAGAACTACAAACCACTGCTCAAGGAAATAAAAGAGGATACAAACAAATGGAATACTCATGGGTAGGAAGAATCAATATCGTGAAAATGGCCATACTGCCCAAGGTAATTTACAGATTCAATGCCATCCCCATCAAGCTACCAATGCCTTTCTTCACAGAATTGGAAGAAACTACTGTAAAGTTCATATGGAACCAAAAAAGAGCCCACATCGCCAAGTCAATCCTAAGCCAAAAGAACAAAGCTGGAGGCATCACACTACGTGACTTCAAACTATACTACAAGGCTACAGTAACCAAAACAGCATGGTACTGGTACCAAAACAGAGATATAGATCAATGGAACAGAACAGAGCCCTCAGAAATAACGCTGCATATCTACAACTATCTGATCTTTGACAAACCTGAGAAAAACAAGCAATGGGGAACGGATTCCCTATTTAATAAATGGTGCTGGGAAAACTGGCTAGCCATATGTAGAAAGCTGAAACTGGATCCCTTCCTTACACCTTATACAAAAATCAATTCAAGATGGATTAAAGACTTAAACGTTAGACCTAAAACCATAAAAACCCTAGAAGAAAACCTAGGCATTACCATTCAGGACATAGGCATGGGCAAGGACTTCATGTCTAAAACACCAAAAGCAATGGCAACAAAAGCCAAAATTGACAAATGGGATCTAATTAAACTAAAGAGCTTCTGCACAGCAAAAGAAACTACCATCAGAGTGAACAGGCAACCTACAAAATGGGAGAAAATTTTCACAACCTACTCATCTGACAAAGGGCTAATATCCAGAATCTACAATGAACTCAAACAAATTTACAAGAAAAAAACAAACAACCCCATCAAAAAGTGGGCAAAGGACATGAACAGACACTTCTCAGAAGAAGACATTTATGCAGCCAAAAAACACATGAAAAAATGCTCATCATCACTGGCCATCAGAGAAATGCAAATCAAAACCACAATGAGATACCATCTCACACCAGTTAGAATGGCAATCATTAAAAAGTCAGGAAACAACAGGTGCTGGAGAGGATGTGGAGAAATAGGAACACTTTTACACTGTTGGTGGGACTGTAAACTAGTTCAACCATTGTGGAAGTCGGTGTGGCGATTCCTCAGGGATCTAGAACTAGAAATACCATTTGACCTAGCCATCCCATTACTGGGTATATACCCAGAGGACTATAAATCATGCTGCTATAAAGACACATGCACACATATGTTTATTGTGGCATTATTCACAATAGCAAAGACTTGGAACCAACCCAAATGTCCAACAATGATAGACTGGATTAAGAAAATGTGGCACATTTACACCATGGAATACTATGCAGCCATAAAAAATGATGAGTTCATGTCCTTTTTAGGGACATGGATGAAATTGGAAAACATCATTCTCAGTAAACTATCGCAAGAACAAAAAACCAAACACCGCATATTCTCACTCATAGGTGGGAATTGAACAATGAGATCACATGGACACAGGAAGGGGAATATCACACTTGGGGACTGTTGTGGGGTGGGGGAGCGGGGAGGGATAGCATTGGGAGATATACCTAATGCTAGATGACGAGTTAGTGGGTGCAGTGCACCAGCATGGCACATGTATACATATGTAACTAACCTGTACAATGTGCACATGTACCCTAAAACTTAAAGTATAATAAAAAAAAATAAAAAAATAAAAATACCTCTGAGGCATGCCTGTGTATGTATGTGTATACATTTTATATATGTATATACACATACATATCTCCTGTTGGTTCTCTGGAGAACCCTGACTGATACAAAGCAGATGAAAGAGACACATTGACTCTTCTAAGTGCTTTGATGTGGGAGTGGACATGTGTTACTTCTCAGTCTTCTGGCCAGAACTAGGTCTCACTTTCCTGCCAAGACAAGGGTAGAAATTGAAGGGAGCCCATGGACCCTTAGGGAGCACTGTCTCTACTACATCTTCACTAGTAGAGTAATTTTAACCATCTTTTGGTCTGTTGAGGTAGTATGAGATGTAGAAAGGAGACTTTATGGGAGCAGGGCTCTTCCTACTTCAGAACTCATGCCACAGAGGCAGCTGCCTGCCTTGTGGCTATAAGGCAATATAATTCAGTGGAATAAACCTGTTTTCAAACACTGGCTCTGCAACTTACTAGATCTATGGATGAATCAAGTAAAATAACTTCTTTAAGCCTCAGTCTACATTCTGATAATATAAGAATGATGTTATCTAACCTATCACATGCTTAAGAGGCTTAAATGAGGTAATTTGTATGAAATTTAGTAGGCTAAACTGATAGTTATTAAGCAAGCTTTGGTCTAGAACTCATGATTTTAACAGAAGGCAATGTTAGCCAAAACCGAGTCTTCACGGTCTAGTGGGATGGGAGATCAGGTGCCTTGGGGATGGCCTTTTCCATGGTGTGTGGCATCTCCATGAGTCACTAGTGTCTTGCATCAGATGAAGTCTCCTGGCATTTTCTAGTTTTACTTTTTGTTTCCAACAGGCATGCACCCTTTTCCATACACACCCACATTATGTTCGGCTCTCTATATCTACAGATACAGAAGGACTTGAGCATCCTTGGATTTTGGTATCCACGGGGCATCCTGGAACCAATCTACTGACCCTACCAAGGAGCAACTGTATAGTCTAGCTTATACCTGCATCTCCATGGTCTCCAGGAGTGTGGACAACAAGCCATTCATAAAGGTCCATTCCAAGTGACAACAGTTCTCATGGGGCCTTGAGCCAACTGTGGAGAGGATAACAAAGGACTGGATAGCAGGAGGACTGGGCATGTTGGTCAAGGGAGTTCTGACCATACTTGTCCTAGGCCTAAGGCCTTGGTATTCTCTGAAAATAGGAAGAAAGAAAGCAGGAGGAAAGAGTTGAAAATGTTTAGGAAGACAAGCTAGCTTTGGAAACATCGGAGAGGGGAAGGGGAAGCAACAAAAGAAGCTGGAACCAGGGAGCTGTCCCTAGTTCTTTGCCTAAGTTGACATTCTTTCAAATTCTTTTTAAAAATAAAAGAAAAAGAGGAGAAAGGGTAATGTTATTGTACAAAAGCTACTGCTTTTAATTCTCCCATGGCAAGAGAGACAAAAGCAGGAAATTCATCCCTGGGTTTGGCCAAATCTCAGAAAAGCACATAAGAAGGATAGCCTAATTCCAAAGCGGCATTATAGAAAACATCAGAATGAATGAAATTTAAGCCTGAATGCAAACATCTGTGGAATTTTTACTTGGGGGAAGGAGAAAGAAAGTGAGATTAAGACCTACAGCATCTGAAAGAACAGGTTAATAGAAATAATAAGTATTTACCACAGTTTCGTAACTCTAATGGCACGCCCACAAGGCAAAGATTTTCTGAAACATCAACATCCTTGAGAAACCACAATGTTTACTCCGTGTTTAACCTGCACGTAATGTACCCACGAGTGTTGTTTTTGCTTTCCCGACCTCTTTTCTCCCTCTTCTGCTAAAGAAACCCTCCTTCCTGTGAAAATCCATTCCAAGTGGTGCAGGCAGAGCTGCCCTGCCACCAGTCTGCCAAAACGGTGCATTAGTGACCAAACCTGGCTTCTGGAGGTGCTTCAGTCCTCAGGCCAGGGTGGATTGCTCAGAAATGGGCACATCACCCAAGTAGGGCCAAGCAGAGCCTGTGGTTTGACATGTAGACTTTGGGAAGGGGCAGGGGGCTTTCTTCTTCTCTGAGATCGTGAAAGTTGAGGACCAAAAACCTTGGAGAAGCTGGGAACTACTTTGTCATTGCCTGGAGGGTGTCTGCTGAGAACAAAGACGATGAAGAGGAAAAAAACAGACTCAGGAGATGGAGTGAGACTCAGCTCTGGCTGACAGCTTTCCAAACAGGAGGCTGTGGTTTCTCAATGTCTAAGGAAGTCCCTGAGTGACCAGCACCAATAAGAAAGGGGTGCTGAAATGGTGCATGCCTCAGAGGGAATGCCTTCTCCATCAACCTCCTGAGATATGTCCTGGAAGACAAGAGCATGGACCAAGAGCAGAGCCCACCATGGAGCTCGCTGCTATGATAGGCAGGGTGCCCTGTGTCTGTCAGGAATCAAATCGTGTCTGCACTACCCTACAGACTTGTCCTCCTCTTCCTGGTTTTCAAATGAGAGTTCTTCATGAAAGGTCTCTTCCAATAAAATCTTACCTAATTGAAACCACACAAAATGTTGCTAAATTCTCCCAGCATCTTCTAAGTCTCTTAGTCATGAACATCAGCACACTTTCTAAAAAAGCTACCATAGATAGAGTTACAGGGATTAGAGGAGGTGACAAGTGTGCACTTAACCTTAAAATAGAACCTTCATGTTAGGGGCTCATGGTGATTGTCTTAAAGAAGCCTTAAACTGGTGTCCGTGTGTGCGTGTGTGTGCGTGTGTGTGTGTGTGTGTGTGTGTGTGTGTAGAAAGAAAAGAGAGACAGAGATGAGTCAGGGCCAACCAGATTTGGCACAAGCTGAAAAGTATCTAAACCTGATACCCCTGAAAGACAGAAGGTGAAGGCACAGGAGGCTAGGGGTGGAGGTGATTGAAGGTTACCTGTGACAGTTTCCATCTCAAAAGTCAGGATCTATACTGACTCCAGGTCATAAACACGGCAACCAACATACCCAGGCCCCAAGGGCACTCACTGAGTCCCAGCTGTGGGACAGGAAAAGAAAAGAAAGGAGACAAAAGGCAAAAGTAAGGATGCATTCAGACAAATCTCTAAAATCAAAAGGAAATAAAACAGAGTAAGTGGGTGGCAGGTAGGAGGGAGATCTTTAACTCTTTATCAAAATCTGAAACTGAAAATGGAAATGTCTCCTCCGGCCTGCAGTTGAACACTTTAATCATTCTTAGGGAATGATTTGATCATTAGGGAAAAAAGGATCAAAGAAGAATTGGATAGCAGGTCTGGGATCGAATTTGAGTGTTCCCACTGCTGATTGTCACACACTGCTTAAAGGCCTGGGCTTCATTTTTGTAAGGTGGGGGTGATAATGCCCCTGTGGCAGGGTTGTTGAGAGGAGAAAATGCCCACATGCATGGAAATTGCCCAGCACAGTGTCTGGGATGCAGTAAGCTCAGCCAGCATGAGCTCGTATCTATTTTCCCTTCTGCGTGTCCTGGCTGTCTTCTCACAGTGCCCAGGCCAGTTCCCAATGGTGCCAGTCTTACCTATTGTTTGATACCAATGGACATGCAGCATCACCTCAGGAAAGAAAGGGCTGGGCCAGCTCCAGCTCAAATGGAAGTCCCCCTCTTCCATGTTTCAGCCAGTCTTCAATCTAGTCCAGAATAAAGTCCCGCCTCCTACCTCAGTGGTATTCCATGAAGCTTTCTTTATAAATTCAAAACTTCTTAAGAATTTTCCCTACCTATCCAACCAGGGAGCTACCAGGATTCTCCTCTCCTTCAGAGCCCAACAAATGCACTTACTCTCTGCTTCCACATTTCTCAGTCTTAGCTATTCTGAGCCCATCAATTCCTCAGGCTAACCTGACTCCTCTCCCAAACATATCTCCCTGAATGAGTATCACCAAACGTAACATCCTCTGTAAGCCTTCTACGGGAATGAGTATAGCTCCCATAGGGACAGCAAAAAGACAAGTCTTGCAAGAGTAGAGGATAGATGCTGGATAACAGAGCAAGTAAGGTCCTGTAGGTAGGGAGAGGCCAGATTCTGAGGCACTAGGAAAGCCCGGTCAGTTCAGATCTGTTATGATGGCAAGCAGGAAGCCACTGAAAGTCTTTGGGCATGGATGTGTTCAGTGACACCATCCATGCAGGCATTGAGATTTCTAGACAATGTGTTGTCTCTGGCCATCCTAGTACCAGCTTCCCACCCTTTCCACCCATGGGTATATAGCTAATTTCCCCAGTGATTTGGGAATGACCCAGGTGAAGAGAAGACACATATGAACAAGGTTATGGATTCCTGTATGATCATTTTGATGATGAATGCAGAGACATCCATGTGCTCTACTTTTGTTCACAGTGAAAAATTCAAGCTGAACATTAACACAATTTTTCTTAGAATTTTTGGGCAAAAGCTAAACGGTCTGAGGTGAAGGACAAATGGCTCTCCCAGCTACTGGCTTTCAGATGTAACCAGCTGCACATCAGCTCTCCTCTTCAGGCCCCAAGTAAAAAATGCCACCAGTCTGGGGGAGAGGGGGGCAATCTTTTTTCCCAGTCGTAAAGTGAACCGGAGCAAGATCAACAAACACCTGCCTGAATGCCTGAAAACAAACCCTTCGTGGGGCAGTTTCCAGGGTGACATTGGAGCCGAAAAAGGATCAATGGTCACCAGGAGAATGTGTGAAATTCTTTCATGGATGGAATCAGAGCCTCTTGCCAGGTGAAGGGCAAGCCCAGAATGGGTAGGGAGCTGGCACTTCTACGTGGCACTTGGGGATTATTCCTGAACATATTGAAAAGGAGAAAGCCTCCACAAAAAGCAGAGTTCACAGAAAAAAAAGAACAAAGTCATCTGGTTTGTCTCATTGATGTTTTTAACTAAAATTCCAGGAAGCAAATATTTCAAAGGAACAAGAGGCCAGTATACGGAGACGGGTTCAGATTGCACTAACATTGAGAGCTTCCCATATGCTAAGCACTGTGCCGGCATTTCATAGGTGTCATCTCATTTCATCTTAGCAACAACAAAAGCTACGTTGTCATCATCCTCCTGTTCAGCTGAAATGCTGGGATGTAAATGAATTTAAATTTTTCCCATTTAAAATTGATGTATAATTCACAGGTAACAGAATGCACCTATGTTAAGAACACAGCTTAAAAAATAAATTGACAATTATACCTCCAGATAACCACCTCCCTAACCAAGATACAGAGTATTTTCGTCAACCCAGAAAGTTTCTTGATGCCCCTTTTAAATCAAAAACCTTCCCCCAAGAGGCAGCCGCTCTTCAGTTTTCTATTATCATTTATTAGTTTTGTACATTGTATTAATTTGCTAGGGCTGCCATCCATAACAAAGTACCACAGACTGGGTGGCTTAAACAACAGAAATTTATTTTCTCACAATCTGGAGGATAGGAGTCCAAGACTGAAGTGTTTGTAGGGGGTTGGTTTTTTCTGAGACCAATCTCTCTCCTTGGCTTGTAGATGACTTTCTTCACCCTTTGTTGCACATGGACTTTCCTCTGTGTGTCTGTGTCCTAATCTCCTTGTCTTATAAAGACACCATATTGGATTAGGGCCCATGATAATGGCCTCATTTTTATTTAATTACCTCTTTAAAGGCTCTATCTCCAAATATACTCACATTCTGAGTACTGGGGATTAGGATGTGAACATATGAATTTTGGAGGGGACATGATTCAGCCCATAACATCTATGCTTGAACTTCATATAAAGATAATCATATTAATGTAATCTTTTGCATCTGGCTTTTTTCACTCAACATAGTATTTTTGAGTTCTATGGTTGTGTGTGTTGGTAGTCTGTTCCTTTTATTCATCATATGAATACATCTTAGTTTGCTCATCCATTCTTGCTAATGCACATCCAGATTGTCTTCAGTTTTGGCTGCAAAGTCTGCTATGAATATTCTCATTCAGGACATTTTGTGCATATGTGTTCATTTCTCTTGGGTAAATACCTGGGAGTGAAATTGCAGGATCATGGGGAAGATAAAGGGCTAACTTCATAAGAACCTATCAAACAGAGTTCCGAGGTGGCTGTATCATTTTATAAGCCCACAGCAGTATGAGAGATCACTGGTGCCTACACATCCCTGTCAACACTTGGTTTCATCAATCTTAAATGTAATCATTCTAGTGTGTGTGGAATGGAATCTCATTGTGATTTTAGTTCAATTTCTCTAAATACTGGTGATATCAAGCACTTTTTCATTACTTATGGGCTTTTATATATCTTTGTGACATATATAGCCAAGGTTTTTTTTGTCCTTTCTAAAAAATTGAATCATTCATCTTTCTCATTTATTTATAAGTAGTAAAACTTCCTATTTTTCTGTATAAAAGTCATTTGTGGCTGGGCACAGTAGCTCACTCCTGTAATCCCAACACTTTGGGAGGCCAAGGTGGGAGGATCGTTTGAGTTTAGGAATTCGAGACGAGCCTGGGCAACACAGTGAGACCTTGTCTCTACAAAAATACAAAAAATAGCTAGGTGTGGTAGTACGTGATATAGTCCCAGCTTCTTGGAAGGCTGAGATGAGAGGATTGCTTGGGTCAGGGAGGTTGAGGCTGCAGTGAGCCAAGATTGCACCACCATACTCCAGCCTGGGCAACAGAGTGAGACTCTCTCTCTCAAAAAAAAAAAAAATCATTTGTCAGATTTATGTATTAAGAATATTTTCTTCCAGTATGTGATTTGCTTTCCAATTTTCTTCACTACCGTTTGTGATGAGAAGAATTTTTTAATTTTGTGAATTCCAATTTATTAATATTTTTATTGTATATTTAGTATTTTTGATGTCCTATCTGATAAATTTTTGCCTACCCATAATCATAAGTATATTCCCCTATGTTTTCTTCTAGAAACTTTATAACTTTACATTTTACATTTTGTTCTATGGGCTATGTCAAACTAATTCCTGTGTATGGTATAAGGTAGTGGTTAGGGTAGTGTCTGCAGTTGTTTTTTTTATCCCCCATATGGAATCTGGTTTTTCCTGAATCATTTGTTTCAAGACTTTCCTTTCTCCATTGAGTTGCCATGGTGACTTGGTCAAAAAATTGACCGTATATGTGTGAGTCTATTTCTGAACTCTCTATTTTGTTCCATTGACCCATTTATCAATTCTTATGTCAGTATCACCCTGTCTTGACTATTGTGGCCTCATAACAAGCCTTGAAATCAGGTAGCGTATGTCCTCTAACTCTAATCTTCTTTTTTATGATTGTGTTAGAAAATTTGGTTTCATTGTATTTCCATATAAGCTTTAGAATAAGCTTCTCAATTACTACCAAACAAATCTTCTTGGATTTTCACTAAAATTTCACTGCTTGTTTTCAGCAATTTAGGAAGTGTTTCCACCTTAATGTATTCAGTGTTCTAATCCATGAATATGCTACATCTCTCTATTTATTTAGATATTCTTCCATTTCTTTTTAAATATAGAGTTAGAGGGCACAAAAACAGCTTTGTTACAAGGATATATTTCATAGCAGTGAAGTCCGGGCTTTTCGTGTAACTGTCACCTGTACAGTGTATCTCGTAACCTCCCAGGTAATTTATCATCCCTTACCCTCCTACAACCCTCCCACCTTTGCAAGCCTCCAGTGTCTGTTATTCCACTCTCTATGTCCATGTGTACGCATTATTCAGCTCCCACTTCTAAGTGAGAACATGCAGTATTTGACTTTCTGAGTTATTTCAACCTAAGATAATAGCCTCCAGATCCATCCATGTTGCTGCAAAAGACGTGATTTGATATTTTTATGGATAAGTATATTCCATGGTAGATAAATACCACATTTTCTTATCCAGTCATCTGTTGATGGACATTTAGGTTGATTCCATAACTTTGCTATCGTGAATAGTGCTACAATAAATATACAAGTGCAGGTCTTTTTGAGATAATAATTATTTTTCCTGTGGGTAGACAATTAGTAGTGGAATTTCTGGAATACTAAGACCTGAAACTATAAAAATTCTAAAAGAAAACCTAGAAAAAACTCTCCTGTACATTGGCCTAGGCAAAGAATTTATGACTGAGACCTCAAAAGCAAATGCAACAAAAATAAAAATGAACAAATGGGACTTCATTAAACAAAAAAGCTTCTGCATAGCAAAATAAATAATTAACAATGACAACAGACAACCTACAGAATGGAAGAAAATATTTGCAAACTATGCATCCAACAAAGAACTAATATCCAGAATCTACAAGGAACTCAAACAACTCAATAAGAAAAAAACATAAATAACCCTGATTAAAAAGTGGACAAAGGACAAGAACAGACATTTTTCAAAAGAAGACATATAAATAAAAAATGATCAACACCTCTAACCATCAGAAAAAGGCAAATTAAAACCACGATGAGATACCATCTCACACCAGTCAGAATGACTATTATTAAAAAGTCAAAAAACCACAGATGTTGGCAAGCATATAGAGAAAAGGGAATGCTTATACACTCCTGGTGGGGATGTAAATTAGTACAACCTCTACAGAAAACAATATGGAGATATCTCAAAGAACTAAAAATAGAGATTCTTTAATTTCTTTCAGCAATATTTTCTAGTTTTCAGTACAGAGGTTTTGCACATTTTCCATAACATTTATTCCTGAGTATATTATATATTTGATGTTTTGTAAATCGTATTTTAATATTTTTATTTGTCAGGGTTTTTGCTAGTATATAGAAATACAACTTTTACATATTGATGTTGTTTTCTGCATCTTTACCAAACTAGCATTATTTCTACAAGGTTTTTTGTTGATTCCTTAAGATCATCTCTCTATATATAATGATGCCGTGTGTAGATTAAGAGTTTGACTTTTTTCCCCCAATATTTATGGCCTTCTTTCCTTTATCTTGGCTTGTTACATCGGCTAGCACTTCTACTACAATGTTGAATGGAAGTGGTGAAAGCAAACATTCTTGTTTTGATTCTTAGGGGGAAAAACATTTAGTATTTCGTGTAGGCTGCTAGCTGTAGTTTTTTCACAGATATTATTAATATTTATCAGATTGTAGATGTTTCCTTTTATTCCTAGATTGTTAAAAGCTATGCTTCTTTTATTTATTTATTTTTCATGAATGGGTTAAATTTCGTGAAATGCTTTTTCTGCGTTTATGGAGATGATCCTACGTTAGTGTGTTAAGTTATGTTAATTAAATTTTTAATGTTAAACAAACTGCTTTTCCGAATAAATTCTTGGTCATAAGTATGTATAGACATTATGTAGAGCTAGACAGAATTGCTAACATTTTATTAAGAATTTTTGTGTGTTGATTTAGTAACTCTTTCATAGTCACAGAGTTAATAAGTGGGCAACTCAACATTTGAGCCCACATCTTTCTGATTTTGCATCCAGTATTCTGTCTAGTATTACATACAATTATATTCAACTGGGGTGTGTCAGGAAGCCTATGCTTTTTTAAATATCTAGGGAGATCCTAGGAAATCTGCCAGTAGCAGGTACCATTCAGGTGTTCATGCCTGCTGTGATGGGATGCTACTTGGAATTAGCCAGGTGGACTGCAGAGATTAGATCCAAGGAAGGTGTCAGGTTATGTGTGTATGGACAGACTTCCATACTGGGAAAAATCAGAATCTTGATTATCAATCAAAGCCCACTTTAATACCTGGAGAAAATGGTTCTGCTTAAACTGAAATGTGTTGTAAAGATAATGAAATATAAGCAGAGATCCTCAGGTTCTTTATTATATTTTATTTCATTCTATTTTTAGTTTGTTACATAGGTAAATGTGTGCATGGTGGTTTGCTGCACCTATCAACCCATCACCTAGGTATTAAGCCCCACATGCATTAGCTATTTACCCTGATGCTCCCCCTCCCCATGACCCTTCCCCCGACAGGCCCCAGTGTGTATTTTTCCCCTCCCTGTGTCCATGTTTTCTCATTGTTCAGTTCCCACTTATAAGTGAGAACATGTGATGTTTGGTTTTCTGTTCCTGCGTTAGTTCGTTGAGGATAATGGCTTCCAGCTCCATCTATGTTCCTGCAAAGGACATGATCTCGTTCCTTTTTATGGCTGCATAGTATTCCATGGTGTATATGTACCATATTTCCTTTATCCATTCTATCATCGATGGGCATTTTGGGTTGATTTCATGTCTTTGCTCTTGTGGATAGTGCTGCAGTGAACATACGTGTGCATGTATCTTTACAATAGAATGAGATCCTCAGGTTCTACCCCCAGCTCGGCCACCAGTTAGATGTACATCTGTGCATAACATTTAAATCTCTCCATGTTACAAAAAACTTACTTAAGATTACATAAAGTGCTAGACAAGTGCAATCTACTAACAATTAAAATCCAAAACTGACTTTAATAATGGATCATCAGTATTGACTTTTACCTTTGTCTATGGGGATGTTGGTAATATCCTTCTAGAAAATCAAATGTCCCTTGACCCAGCCATCCCATTACTGGTTATATACCCAAAGGACTATAAATCATGCTGCTATAAAGACTCATGCACACGTATGTTTATTGTGGCACTATTCACAATAGCAAAGACTTGGAACCAACCCAAATGTCCAACAATGATAGACTGGATTAAGAAAATGTGGCACATATACACCATGGAATACTATGCAGCCATAAAAAATGATGAGTTCATGTCCTTTGTAGGGACATGGATGAAATTGGAAATCAATCATTCTCAGTAAACTATCGCAAGGACAAAAAAACAAACACCGCATGTTCTCACTCATAGATGGGAATTGAACAATGAGAACACATGGACACAGGAAGGGGAACATCACGCTCTGGGGACTGTTGTGGGGTGGGGGGAGGGGGGAGGGATAGAATTAGGAGATATACCTAATGCTAAATGATGAGTTAATGGGTGCAGCACACCAGCATGGCACATGTATACATATGTAACTAACCTGCACATTGTGCACATGTACCCTAAAACTTAAAGTATAATAATAATAAACAATAAAAAAAAAACAAAAAAAGAAAGACAAAAAATAAAAATAAATAAAAAAAATAGAAAATCAAATGTCCCGAATAGCCTCCCTTCTTACAGTAGGTGCATTTCAAAATACTTTGTGAAAATGTAACAAAAACAGACAGAATAAAGCAATACAATAATGATGATAAACCTGGGCCCTGTTCCTTCAGTTCACTTATATCACATCTAGTACTCAGCCTTTAAGGTCATAAAAGGGAGAAAGTCCACTTGAAGTAGAAGCAGAATTCTCCAAAAGCAGTTTTAAACTCACAGCAGGCATAGCACCCAAGGCTTAAAACCTAATGTTTGATCTATATAATAGGTATTTTAAATCAGCAACATTTGAAGAAATGGGTAAAACAGTGCTTTGAAACATCGTGTTACTAGCATAAAAGTAATCTACCAATTCAAAAGGGAATTACATTTATAAGAAACTGTAATAATAGATATGATGAAATATCATTTTTGCCAGAACTCAATTTTAGATACTGAGTTCATCTGACCTTTAAAGTTCAAGAAAAGTCAGTATTCCAGTGTGTCTAAATAAATCCATGCAGCTTCTGAATGGAGCTGGAGTCCGTGTGTTTCTCAGTCTCCCAAGACTTAGACTCCTCAAACCCTACTCAGAACAGCAACAGATGTCAATCTGACAACCTATCTTCTCCTCCCTCACACTAAATTAGGACCCTATAGAACCTCAAGAGAGTTTATTCAGATTACCCAGAGCAGACCATTCAGGTCAGGTTCAGGGAGCTGGGAGAAGAAAGTTATCAAATCCCTGCCACAGGCTGACGTTGAAGAAAGCCTGTTTCTTCTCATCTGCTGGGATCTGGGTCTCCAGCACTTCTTCAGCCTGAGAGGCTATTTTTCTTTCTCTCTTTCTTCCTCTTTTCTTTAAATAAGTACCCAACGGCTGGGAATGGCTTCCTGGAACCCCTTCTTTGTTTCTCCCGGAAATGATGATAAATTCATGGGTTTGCCTAAGAAAAATAAACCCAAGACTTCCAGCTGCTGGATTCTGTACTTTATTCCCTAGATTAGACAAAAGGCTTATTCCTCTTTCAAACATACCAAATTATCCCCAGATCAAAGTTTAAGCCCTTGAAACAAGTGATAAATGATAAGGCCCACAGGCCCACGGCTGTTCCTAAAAGGGCTTCTGTGGTGAGAGAGCAAATCTGGTTCCAATAGTAGGAAGAGAAGTTAAGGACTTTCTAATCCTATTGTAGTGGGGAGAGGATCAGACCCGCAGTCCTCAAGCTTTTACTTAACTGGTCATGATGCCTGGGGGACACGTTTGGTCCTAGGTGTGTCTGAACATGTGTAGTCAGTAAATAATGTGCTAGAGCTAATTCTTAGCTTTAGTGTTAGTATCTAGAATAAAAAATGTTAAAACAGTATACTTTTGAATAGCTTAAATAATTGAAGGAATGACACATTCTGGTGAGTTTAATATTTTAATAGCCAGAAAATATTTTTGCTCCTAACTCAGGTTGAATTTTTTTTATATATATTTATGAGCTGATCTCATTGTGTAACAGAAAGAGATTCAACACTGACTCTTTCACCATCCAGCAGGGGCCCCTGGGCCAATTTGATTTCCTTCTCAGAGCCTCAGTTTTCAAATCTGTTGGACTATGTGATCTTTAAAGCACCACGCTGCTCTAATATTCCATGGCCTTGCCTTGAGGACAGTAGACTCCACCGACTCTTCCTTTGACTCTGAAGGATCTCAAAGGAGGATCATTCTCCAAAGTGTCAACTCTGATACTGCTGGACTTGGAGAAGGAACAAGAGATTGGGTTGGATGTGCCCTTCTCGTGGAAGATGAGTGCTGCTTTATTTTAAGCCAAAATCTAATATTAATTCCACAATTTATTTCAACATGCATTTGCTTCCAAGTGCTTACTAGATGCAAGCAGCTGTTCTAGGTGCTTTGGGTGCTATAAGGAAAAACAAAACATAAATGTAGCCTTCAGGAACTCAATAGGGGAAATATGACCTGCATTGGACAGATAGCAATATTAGAAGGTAGCCTGGATTAGTGCTGAACTCCAGGTAAAAGGAACTGAGGGATTATTTGGAAAGGAAAGACACATATCAAAGAAATCTGGCTGAAAACATTGAGCAGATAGCTGAAGAAAGCTTACTTTCTAGTGCTCTGATATTTTTCCCTCTAAACTACTCTTTTAAAGGCCACTACAAAAACTTATTTTAAAGGCCACTAGAAAAACTTATTTCTAGAAGGCAAGAGTCTTCATGCTATTTATGGTAGGGAGAACTGAATGTTATATATAAGTTAGTTAATTTTATTGGTGGTTTATAAGATGTACTAATAACATAACATTGAGAAGGGTCAGAGGGCAAACACTAGTAAAACTTTAGGAATTTTTTTGCTGAAATTTTAAAATTTATTTAACTAGCAGTATATGACACATGGAGCTCTGTGTGTTGATGGTGACCTGTGATTTCCATCACCAGTATGGGGCATCTCATCCTCTTCTCCATCGGACCAGCCTTAGGAACAGGAACTCAGACTTTCACATCTTTGTGTGTGGTAGGTGTTCTTCCCTACTTTTAATAGGTGGATGTCTTGTTTATCCAGTCAACATGGAGATAGTAATGTTCTTTCTGATCTCTCAAATTATTAATGTATCTTTTGAAGAATTACTTTCCAAGTTAACTGAAGTTGAGCAACTAGAGAATTTCCCTACCCCAGAGAGTAACTGCCATTCCCCTTGCTTCATGCTTTCGTGCTGAGATGTCCACTGAGTAATACGTCCAGCCTTTCTCCCTGGCTTGGTCCTGGCCCTTCATGGGCCTTTACTTAGACGGACTTGGTGTATTAACAACTAAGCATATTGTGGTCTCTCTTCTTTTCCCTTTCTTTGGCACCACTTTCCTGACACTGAGATTGGGCATGTCTACACTCCAAACCATAATTCTTCCAAGATAATGGAAGGGCTAATTGTGGCTATCTGTCTCAACCACTTAGTTGAATTCAGCTTAATTCCTAGTAAAAATGGCATTTTGGTATTCGTCTGTCTGACTCTTGTATATTCTCAGCTGATTTAGAACTCAGAAATATTTAAAGAATGAGATCAGTTATCATCCACAAAACTCAGCATCTTAGAGCAGGGTTATTAAGCAACGATAACTACTGAGTGGGCTTACAAAATCCTTAATAATTTCTCTTTGTCTGTAAAAGATCCTATCCTTTTAGGAGGGAGAAAGAAAACACACTGGATAAAATTGCAAACAGGGACCCTGTCATTAAAATTCTTCATCTATTTTACCCACAATACAAAGCCCAGTGCTGGGCACTGATGAGTTGATACAAATGGTGCAAACCCTTGCACTTGGTGGAGGAGAAAGGGAGGGAGGAGGAAGGGAGCATCCCAACCACAGATTTTGTCTGTATGGAAGCTAATCCCCACTTGGAGCTGGAGTTAACTAGCTTCTGCCACACTCTTCTCCACTCTGGCATGACACAGGTCCCTCCATAGTCCCTGCGCTAAGAGAACATCGTTGGAAGGGCCAGCTTCTCCTGAGGCACAGCCTCCTGGGTTGGAGAAGCTCCTCCTCTGAGGATGGAACTCTCCCAGAGTGGAGTCCCTGAGCTTCCCTAGCTCCTCAGCCTTCTCCAGTTAAAGAGGCAAAACAGAAGGTCAGGAAGCTGAAATGGACGCCAGGAAGAGGGAGGCATCCATGCTAAGAGCAAATGCCTGATGGTATTATTGATCTCCTAATTGAAGCCTAAGTTTTTGCCTGAAACTTTGCCCCAAAGACAAAGGCTGAAAAAAAAAATCCCTATTGGTTCAGAGGCAAACTCTACCTACTTCAGGTGACCTAAGAAAAATCACAGGAGCTGATCTAATTGAATATCCTCCCCGGGCTGATAGACAAGGCCACACAACAAGGATATCCTCACACTAGGTGGCTTTGGGCTCTGATTCTGACACTTACTAGCTATGAGAATTTGGGAAAATTATTTGACTTATCTGATTCTTAATCAGATTCTTCCTCATTATAAATGGAGATTAAAAATACCTACTTTCTTGTGTGGCTCTACAAAAATGTATGTATAGAAAGCACCTAAAATAATTCCTGATATGTAATAAGAACTAACTAAATGGTATCCAGCATTCTTCATTTTCAGGATAACTCCAAGAACTGTCTGTAAGTAGTTTTGACATCCAGGCATGCACCAAGACCTCTAGACATATACAGATGTACCTCATACATACACATGGACATGTTCTTCAGCACTTTTGATTCATCTGGGCATGATTCCCAGTTTAACCCTTCTGGAAGACTCTTGACACACACAAGATCCTTAGAACACTGCAAATAAAATACAATGAGTGAGAGATGACAGTGACTCTTAACCATGCTTCAGAAGTCACCCACAATCTTGCAGGTGATGCCTCAGAAATGAAAATGATAGAAAACTCCCCAAATATCTTAAGAAAGGAAACAAACATTTGCCGGAACCAATCTATTCAAGAGTGAGACTGAAAATAGGCCACAGTGAAGCAGAAAGGAAAGGGAAAAGGAGATCAAACAGCAGCAGAGGTGATCTTACATTGGGTTAAGTCCATAGAAAAGACTGTGAACATTAGAAGTCAAACCCTGCTGATGTTTGCAGCTGTCTGCTGACAGGAGCTCACCGTGGGGCAAGTCACAGAAGGAAAGGGTTGTGAAAAAGTAGGTTTAGAAACCAAGACCCATAACATTTCCAGTCTGAATTGTGCTCAACTGGATTCAGGATTTACAGCAAAATTGGAGTTCGAGGGTAGGAAATTTAGAGATGATCTAGTCCTAATACTTACTTCCAAGTTCTAGGAGGCAGAGGTAAAACTCTTATGCGTAGAAAAGTGTGCATAAATAAAGGTATTTAAGTGTTAAAAATAATAGGGGCAGCTGAACTACAGAATGCAATTAAGTATGATAGGGTTACTGTAAAAAGCATTTAAAAATTTAACTTCCAAACTTCCCAGTTGTTCTGCTGTAACTCTTTGGGTCAATAACTCCTCAAGGAAATCTGATCCTCAAAACCCTACTTGGAACTGTATGGGCTCCCCAGTGACCTCAGGAAAAAAGGTCAAAACCTTATCCCTTGCTTCACAGCTGAGGGATAAGCAGATCAGAGGGAGAAGTGATCATTCCTAGGCCATCAGCAGGTAAGTGGCAGGTGGGATGGAAACCCCATCTTCTGTCCTTTGTCCTGTGCTCTTCCCAATATGCCATACTACTTCACAAAGGTGTCCCAGGTCGTTGTTCCTGAAGAGGTGGCTGAAGGTAACTAGAGGCAGCATCTCTTCTGCAGTGATTTGAATGCCATCCTCCCTGAAGGCAGAGGGATAACCAGCCACAGCCCTGCCAGCTGAGCAGGCCATGGGTCAGTCCAGACCATAAAGGAAGTGATGAGTGTAGATGGACACCGTACCAGTCAGGGAAAACAAAAAAATCCTGCAAAGTTCTGGGCCAGAAATTCCTACCCAGAGTTAGAAAATTAACTGATAGCCCTTCTGCTCTAATTCAGAGGCATTTGAGCAATGCAGAGCAGTGAATTTTCCACGTTTAAGTCCAATATCATAAGGCATTTCAATTCCCCAAATCCCTTCTCTCTTTTCAGCCAGCTGTCTCCTTTCTTCATAGTGCTCTTTGTGTAGAGGCCTCTCCGGACCAGTCGGCTTCTATCATGGAAATCATTCTGTTTCCCGCTAAAAGGCGAAAGAAAATTCACCCACCGAACCACAGCAAATTGCAGTGACAGTGTGGAGACCCCAGAGAGGTGCCATATTGATTAAAATGTTCAAGTTAGTAAGAAAGGAAGAGAGAAGAAAGGAACCGTGTAGACTCTTTAAAGATAGGGACGGAGAGGAGGAGGAATAGGGGTGGAGGAAAACAGGGAAAGGAGCATCCACCTCTTGCAGCCTGTCCCCCTGGAGACCTTCCAACATGATCGCTGGGCACGCTGCGAGAAAAAGCATCTAAGGTGCAGAGGGCCAGGCTGGAACTGTTGCCCATCCCTGCACTCGCGCATGGCAGATGTGCATCGCCGATGCACTTCGCAGCCCTCCGCTGTCGCCCCCTTGTGCGGAGCAATACTGCGAGGTGCAGCCAGGAATCTGCAGAGCAGACCCTACCAGTGTAGTGGACAGTGGACAGCTGGATGCCATCTGGAGGTGTAGGTACAGCCCTAGTCCGAAGGGGGTTTGCAGGAAGCACTGAATTTTTCTGAATGACCTTGGGAATAAGGATCCATCACAAGTGTCAGCTTAAATGGTTCCCTGCATTAACAGTCATCAGTAAACAGAGTAGCAATGGCTCACATTGTGTCACAGTGCTTGACAAAGTGCATTATTTCATCTAGTCCTTGCTGCCTCCCAATAAGGGAGAGATTTTTGTCACTGTTTTGTGGATGAAGAAACTGAGGCTCAATGAGGTTCAGTGACTTACCCAGGAGACAGGAAAGCACAGTGCCTTGCCTTGAATGAGGTCCCAGCACTCCAGGCTCATAAAGCACCGTCTGAAACCCCAAGGAAAAGTGGTCTAACTCCTCCGCCTCCCTTCTACTCCTCTATGTGGCAATGACACTGACTCTCCCACCCTCATAGACCAAGGTGGAGCTGGTCTGACTGTAATGCTCCTCACGTGCTCTCCTGGTTGTATGTGAACTCAATTGGAACGGGCTCCAGTATCAGGATTCACTCAACAAATTTTTTTTTTGAATTCCAACTAGAAACTGGGAGATTCTGTGATTTTAAAAAATCCCAGGTCAAATGGGCCAGGAATTTTATTATTTTCCCCACTGAACAGAGAAAACAAGAGAAGCTCAGAATGAGACAGCTGCCTCAGTCACAGCACAAATCAGTTAGTCTAAATTCAAGACTTTTTGCACCCAACATGTCACCTGCATTCAGGGACCAAGCTCTTTTGCAGAGAAGTGGGAGACTGGACTGCATGACCTTGAGTACTCCCCTTGACCCTGGGGCTCTCATGGAGGACTGCGGCAGACTTGGAGGTGTTAGGGCTGTGATTCCTCCAGACTTAGTCTGGTGGATAAGTAGTTGAATGGGATCTCAGAGACTTTGGCTCTAGGCCTGAATTTTACCAGAGGCTGGATGCGTGACTTCAGGCAAGTCGCTTCACCTCTCTGGGAGTTGTTTTCCTGAGAGTGATCTGAGGGGTGGGATGGGAGGGTCTCTTCTTCCTGCTCCATGTGCTGGCCCCAGAGCCAGGTGGCCTCATGGGTTTGCTCTTCTGTGCTGGTTGCTGTTGAGGGTGTTGACTGAGTTCATCTGTTTACTGAGACACATGCAGCTGTCCCCCCTTCAATTACTTCATCACAGGCGCTGACAGACCCTCCGGGGCAGGGGTCTTGGCACTGCCTCGCTAGGGAGCATCTCCAATCATTGCCCGTCCTCATCAAATTCAGATTTATGGAGTGTGAGGGCAGAAGAGGCTGAGGAAGGCCACGGAACACATGGTCTCCAGGCCCCTCAGGAGCTTGTGCTCTGCTCTAGGGCCATTTCCCAAGACACTCTGTCCAGCGGGTCAGTATCAGGGTTCTCACCTCTCCTAGGGCAGACAAACTCACCATTTTAACAAGGCCACTCAGCAGCTTTACCCCAGCAGTGGTACAAAGCCAGACATGAAGCTCGTGTACTATTTCTGTTTTGTCTGTATTTTTTGGACCACCAATTATGCTATGGGTGTGATGAAGACCAATATGCAGGAGAATCTTGAATCTAAACAAATTACATCAGCTTTATCCTCGAGTAATGGTAATACCAAGGGACAGTGTTTTCAACTCGTTATTGTGTGCCAACCATTATTCTAAGTCCTGTACATACTTTTACTCATTTACTCCTCCCAATCATCCCTGGAGGGTGGATTGATTAACTCTGTTTGACTTACAATACAGCCATGCCTCGGAGTGCAAGCTGCTTGCCTGGGATTTGGACTGGAAAGGTTGTATGCCTCACTCTTGCCCATGTATCCCAGTTTAGTTGGGGTAACACAAACCAGTAGCAAACAGAAGAGTCCACCAACAAGGGCTAAAATCGAGTGGCACAGAGTACAAATGTGCGGGTGTTGGAAGGAAGGAGAGAGCACCAGAGGATGGGGCATTTGGGAAGGTTGGTTGGGGGCTGCCCTTTCCAGGATGAGTAGGATTTATCCAGAATAGTAGAGGAAGCAGATTCATAGCAGGGAAGAGCCTGAGTGTAGTGAGGTTGGAGTAGGATCTGCGTGGTGAGTGGAAAAGAAAGTGGGGCATGTTTCATTCTCATCCCTTCTGTCCCCTCCCTCGTGGCTTGATGTCCAGGGACTTCTGTCTCTGTGGATGGGTGTGCAGTGGGGATTTCAGACAAAGGCCTGCTTTCTTATGGGAGACAAGAAAGATAAAGAGAATATGACCCCAAATATTTTCTGAGCCTCTCTGCATAGTTGGTGGACACTAGTTTTCAGGTATTTTTGTTCTTGGGGCAGAATTTCATCCACTACCTTTGAGAGCTAGAAAGTAGAAGGAGTTAAATTGCACCCTGCATTACTGCACTAATTACACAGTGAATTTTCAGTCCTGGTTTGCTCTTTGACACACCCTAAGCAGAATTCTTGCCTATTCGGATGACAGTTTGTCCTCAGGCAATGCCTCACACCCTGCTCTGTACCGCCATTCAGATGGACAACAGAACAGTATGTATCTTCGGTGAACCCAAAGGCAGTGCTAGACGTTGGTCAAAATTTGGCAGCATGTCTAAGAAGGGGCTGAGGTGCACGTGTGCTCTGTGACTAAGGGATGGGAGCCAAGCCCCAGGGCTGAGTGACCGGAATCCATGCCAGTGAAGGCCAAGATGGGCAGCAGAGTGGACTGGGGGCAGAAGATGCCAGGTCATTAGCAAACCAGAGACTTCAAGGACTGGAATTCCAGCTTGTGGTTTTAGGTATTACCACTAACCTATGCTGCCACCAAGTGCTCATTTTACCAGCAAAGGCTTCTTAGAGCCAGGGCTGGAGATGCCTCTCTCCTCCAGGCTTGCCTGGCTTCCACCACCCCTGCAACACACACAGCACACACATTCAGAAATGGGAAAGGTCAAACCGCAAACCTCCCTGACTGCTCTGTCCCCATGGCTTTATTTTTAGGCTAGAAAAGACCCTTTCCTCTTCTGACTCATGATCCCGCTGACAAATATTCCCTTAGTAGAGAAAGCTAAATAGAATCATTCCTCATGTCACATTCTCTTGAATCAAAGAAGCTCTTGTGACTGGAGCCTGTTTTGTCATTCTGCATGCTGCATGCACCCAATGTCCATGCTCTGTGGACACTTCTTCAGACCAGGACACTAAGGCCAAAGAAGCCACTCCCTCCCTCCAACTATACCGACCTTCCCTCTTGCCCCCGGCCCCCACCAAACTAAGGCAGTTTCTTGTAACATCTTGGGTGATGTTACTGGACATTTTGCTCAGGAGTCACTCCTTTGATGGCAGAGCACCCGCATGTCAGAGATGACCAGAGATATAAAGGGGACTGGGGAAACTGAGGTAAACTATTGACTTAGTCAGGACACTCTCAAGTACTGTCTTAGCCCATGAAATTGCAGAGTGTGTTGGAACCAAAAATCCCTTGCTGATGAGACCTGGATAGCAGACTCAACCCTGAATTGTGATTTTGGCTAGTCCTGGTGGCTTTTCTGAACCTCAGTTTCACTATCTTCCAATCTAATCTTTAGCCCTGTGAAGTCCACATGTTTCTCCCATCACCTTCTAGGCAGTTTATTGCTCACAGATCCTTCCGTAGGGAGTAAAAATTAAGGCATGGATATCCAGCATGTCATTTCCCTATATCCTCTTCATATAGAAAACTGACTAAATTATTTTTAAAAGTTTGAGACTAGAGGCTAAAACGAAGATACCTGAATCTCCTGTGAGTTTCAGGTCTCATGTCATCTGTCACTATAGAGAAAAGACACTTGGTTGAGAGCATCACAAACTGTTGATTTGATCTGATCCACCACCAAAATGGCTCACATTCTTCCAGCAAACTTCTCCACATTCATGATTTTATATAATGTTCATGACAATCCTGGGAGATAGGTATTTCTGTCCTCATTTTACAGATGAGAAAATTGAGTTTCAGGAGAGACTAAGTCTTTTGCTCAAGACCACTGAGCACTTGTATGACTTAGGACTGTCTTCATCCCAAGTCTTCTGACCTCTAAGAATCCTTCACTGAGTCACCATGGAACAAACATCTGCCACACCGGGCACTAGGAATTCCTATGACAATGACTTTCTAGAGGTCCTGGCCTTTCATGTGCTCCCTCACCTTTCCTGGGAAATTGTCCTCCGTGGTTGCAGAGACCCAGAATTGCAGGTGGGAAAAGCCAGGCGCACAGCTGGTTCTCCCACCAGTCTCCTTCCTTTGCTCCCATGGAAAAGAAACCCAATCTCTCCAGCCCAGTGTTTGGGCTCCCGAGAGCCTCAGCCTACAGTGGCTGATTGAATTATCTTTATTGGCCTTATTACCATTGCCAAACCTCTGGGGAGGTGAACCAGATGTCCCCATTTGACCAGCCATTGCAGTTGTGTTCAGCAATGTCCAGCTGTTCCAGGCTTCATTCACAGAGCATCCCATTTATCTTGGATTTCTTAGTGCCATAATCAAGCTGCCAGGGGAGAAAAGGATGCTCCGTTCCTGACATCAGGGGGAAAATATGAACCAGGAATCTAGAAAATGTTGCTAAGCATTGTTTTCTTCCCAGCATGCACCCAGCCCTCCCTTTGCTCCCCACTGAACCAAGGAGGTATGCTTTGCTTTCCTTCCTTGAAGAACCTGATCCAGGCATCTCTCCTTTCAGAAAAGATTTTCTAATCATTCCTGAAAATCTGCTGCATTTTAAGGTCAATCCCACTAAGTGATTAGCTCTTGGGTTTTAGTTCCGTGTCTTTGGAGAATTAGGATAACACAGCTGGATGAATAACTCAGCTTCAAAGATCACCAAAAAGAGCTTTAAGCCCCGGGAACTCTTGGGGACCTTCAGCCCTTCACCTTCCCTTCCTACCCGAGTGTGATTTCATATTTATTTCCAGGACTGGGATAAAGTGCCACTCCAGCTTGATTGTGATCAAGGTAGAGAAGTCAAGTTGTCACAGATTCAGTGCCTAATGTGTGCTGAGGCATTGACAAGAAACTCACACTGTTTAAAAAGTGGAGGGACCTGTGTTTTGTTCTGACTGTGCCTCAGACATGCTGTGTGGTTGGATACACACTAGGGGTGTGCTCATCTCACAAAGATTTGGGGGAATATTTTCCACCCATCCTAATACTAAGGGGAGTCCCAAGCTGACTTATATAAGCAATCCAATCTTGCACCTCTGGAGCCAACTTAACGTATCACGACTTGGGTACTGACCCAGACTGGACCAGTCAGAGTCCTTTCCCCAAGAACTTGGGCTTGGAACTAGGAGAGCCCACCTCCCTTGGGCTGGTCTCTTACACTGGTGAGGGGTGCCGATGGCAGCCTTTTTGTCTATCACACGAGCTGGAGAGCAGAGATGGCCCTGAAGAGAGAGGGGAATGAAGGGGGCCTAGAGAGAAATAGCTGCCCCCAGAAGTGACATAGAAAGGAAAAGAGATGACCACGGGAAGCCAGGCTGTCAGCTCTCTGCACCTATGCATTTTTCTCTGGGAATTCATTTGACTCAGCTTAAATAAAAAAGGTGATTTATGAAAGATGTTGAAACTAGTGGGTGAAAGTTTACAGCGAAAAAGTATATGTGCATGATCTCAAAGCAAAATTTGTTAATGACAAATGGAAAATAGTGACTGCACAGTGAAGAAGCTGGCAAACACCATCTTAAGAAAGTAATTGAGGTTAACTTCACCAGTAATGAGATGCCTCAGAGTCGTGTACCACCTGATGTGCTGCACTGAGAGGGACAGGGGAGCGTTTGGTGGTAATGTTTGCAAAGTTCCATAACCTCAGTCCCATCATGAGAAACATCCAGAGACCCAAACTGAGGGACCTTTTACAAAATATCTGGCCAATACTCTTTCATGATCTCTGTCAAGATCATGAAAGAGAAGGCTCAAAAACTGTCTCAGATTGATGAGACATGAAAATTAAATGCAACATGGGATGCTGGATTAGATCCTGGTAAAGAGAAAGACATTAATAGGAAACATGGTGAAATCTAAATAAAATCTGCAGTTCAGCTGATAACATTGCATGAATATTTGTTTCTTGGTTTTGCTCGCTGTGTGATGATTATGTCAGAAGTGAACATTAGACAAAGTTGGGTAAAGGATGTGTGGGAATTCTCTGTACTGTTATTGCAACTCTTCTGTAAGTCTAAGAGTATCTCAAGATAGAAAGTTTTACAATGAGAACACAGGACTACAAAGAAGGGAACAACAGAAACAGGGGCCTACTTGAGAGTGGAGGGTGGGAGGAAGGAGAGGATAAAAAGTTTACCCATCAGGTAGCAGGCCTATTACCTGGGTGATGAAACAATCTGTATCCCAAAGCCCTGTGGCACACAATTAACAAATATAACAACACTGCACATGTACCCCTGAACCTGAAACAAACATTATATATTTTATTATATTATAATATAGCATATAATAATATAATATGGCATATATTATAATATTATTATATTATATTATATATTCTGTATATATATATAATTTTTAAGTGGTAATATGTTATCAAGATAGAGGGGTCACTCATATAATTCAAGATCATAGATGTATTTGAGCCTCAGGCTTATGTTAGTGCCAGTGACTTTTGTTTCTTACAACCAAAACATTCTGACTCGTGCACCCTGAATAAGTCGTTTAAATTCTCAAAACTTCAGAGAGAATCGACCCTCAATCACCACAGAACATTGAACTTCAGGCCCAGCATCTGACAAGTTACAAAGCATCATCCCTGTCCTCTCTTCTAGCCTTGCAAAAGCCAATTTTGAACATTTATCATGAGATCTTCTCTTTCAGCAAATTTCTAAGTGCACAACACTCTATTAACTCTCGGCAACCAGACACCAATAAAGCTGTTTAAAAAAGGCAAGTATGAGGACCAGATGGAAATCATGCTTCTATAAGGACCAGGAAGAGAGAAATGTAAATCTTATTTACTCACTTTGGCAATACTGCTGATCATTTTCCAGGCTGAATTATGGACTTTCAGAACTAGACTGCCATCCAATGATCATCCAGCCACTTGGACGTCATCTAGTGTAGCCTCCCTCCCAATGTAGGAAACCTTTGCACAATCCTGCCTAACACTATAACACATCTCAAATAACAGAAAGATCAGCACTGTACATCAGCCTTTTCATTTCTCAGTCAAGTCTGTACTCATTAGAAAGAGTTTCTTGTGCCTGGGGTGATGATGGATGGCCTGGTTTGCGCAGGGCAGTCCCAGTTCATGGGTGTCATTCAGGTGTAGTTATTTCTAGTACCTGTCTTATTCATCACCTTCCTTATACTATTATAGGTTCAAAACAAAACAGAACAAACAAAAAACCTGTCTCTTCCTAGCTAAACATGAGGACTAAAACTTCATAAAACAGAATAAAACTTCATAAAACACTCTTTCAAATAGTGCTTCAAATATTTGAAAACAGCTATCTTGTCTACCCCCATGCCTAATAGTCCAGTTCCCCAAGCTGAGCTTCCTAAGCCACAGCTTCCAGAATCCTCAGCACCCTCTTAGGCCCCCTCTGGATGTGCTGTGAGGACTAAGGCTGGAATAGAATGCAAACCTCCAGATGTGATGAGACTAACTCTGAGGCATTAGGATTATTACATCAATCTTCTTAAGGTAACATTGACTAGTGTTATCATAATGCAGGAATTAGAGGCCCATCAAATGACAGACAAGATGGGATAAGTAAATAGTTTATGGTATTATCAAACTGTGGAATATTATATAGCCATTAAAATCGCACTGGAGAAACACACTTAAGACTGTGGAAAAGAACTCATGATACAATCTTAAGAAAGCAGGACACATGGGAATGAATAAGCTATAACTACCTGCAACAACAGGGGTGGACCTCAAAGCATTATGCCAAGCAAAAGAAGCAGATACAATTCAGTCTGGTTCCTTTCCATAAAGTTCAAAAACAGCCAAAACTCACTAATAGCGTTAGAAGTCAAATTAGGGCTTTCTGTGTATAGGGGAGACATGACTGCCAAGAGTCACGGGGCTTCTGAAATTTTGATAACGTTTTGTTTCTTGATCTTCTGGGTGCAGGTTAACAGAATGTGCTCACTTTTTGAAAATGCAAGCCTTACACTTTTGAGTTGTGCACTTTTATGAATGTATTTTATGCTTCTAGAAAGTTAACATTAAAAACAAGAAGAAAGAAAAAATCAGTATACAAAACTCAGTTCTGAAACTGCTACATATATTTTAGGACTGAATAAGTAAGTAAATGAGTCGTCAATAGTGAAAGCCAAGATTTTCACTGTCAGAGAAAGAAATTACAAATTAGTGAAGGAAGAAGACTAGAATGAACCCTATAATCGTGGATTAGAGATTAGTGTAACCACGTGAATTCTTGTTTATTTTAAGAACTCGTATTTACTTATACTGATAAGTAGAAATACAGAAGTGATTATAGCTATGTGTCTATGCACATGTACATACAGATATTTCCTAGCTCTGTCTGCTGAGAAGGTCTGGAAGCAGTGACTGACACCCCAGTAGCAATGAGCATCCCCAGGGCCCAGTGATTGGTTTTTAAATACAATTCTCCAAGGAAAGAAATCAGGACTCCTAGGAGAAAAGGCTGATTGTAAGGCAGAGCAGGAAAAATATAAGAGGAACCTTATAGAGCCAGAATGAAAAAAAAAAAAAAAAGAAAGAAAGAAAGTGCTCACCAAAAACAAAAAGGAGGTGGGGTGGGGAAGCTGAAGAACACTGGAGCCAAGCTGAAAGAGACCCTCATTCCCAAACTGGGACAACCTGAGTGACAACATGAATAATTATAACCCTGCAAAATAAAATGCATATCCACGGCTCCATAGTGATATAAATAAATGATTGAACACATAAATGAGAGACAAAGGACAAATATTTCTCTCTGAAAAATTCCAGATAATATATGTAGATACTCCCCCCACCCACCCCAGAAGGTTTGGAACTTAATCCCCCTCCCCTTGAGTGTAGGCTGGCCTGTGACACACTGCCAAAGAATAGCATGTAGGATGGGGACACAGTAACTCCACAGTGGAGAAACCAGTCATAACCACGTGGTAGGTCCTGTTGACGTTGACGTGACACTCTCTGCTGTGGTGCAGTGAGGGGGTACTTCACCTCCGTGGTCCTCCCATTAACCCACAACCCCAGCCTAATCATGAGAAAACATCAAGAAAGTCAAATTGAGGGGCACTCCGCAAAATATTTGACCTGTGCTCTCCAAAATTCTCAAGGTCACAGAATACAAGGAATAGCTGAGAAACCAGGAGACTAAGGAGACGTGAAGACTAAATGCAGTGTTGTATCTTGTATTGGATCCTAGAAGAGAAAAAAGGACATTAGTAGAAAAACTAGTGGAATCTAAATACAGCCCATCATTTAGTTAATAGGAATGTGCTGATGTTAATTTCTTAGTCTTTGCTATATAAGATGTTGTTAACATTATGGAAAGCTGGATGACAGGTGTTTAGGAATGCTACTATTTTTGCAACTTTTTCCGTAAATTAGCAAGAATTATCCCCAAATAAAATACTAATTAATAAAAGTAATGATCTCTAGGTATTAGATGATCCTGTTTGTTTAAATGGACCCACAAGCATATGCACACATATGTACATACGCACACGCACACACACATACTGCAAATAAAGAGCAGAAGAAAATACAGCAAAATATTAAGCATAGTATGTGTGAGCATACTCCATACCTGCAAGAGCAGTGTTCCCTGGGGGAACTCCTGGAGACAGGAACAGAGGCAGTGAAAAGGACCCTCTTATCCATTTTTTTCTGGGACATTACCAGAGATGAGCAGGCTGGTTGTCAGGGTCTGGGACAGAGATCTTGGCCTTTGGGTGGCACGGTTGTGAGTTGCCTGATTAGAGAAGCCACCAGCCTGGCATCATCAGGGCCAGGATGCAGCCACAGTGGGACATGGCAGGGCCTTGGCCCCCATCCTATCTGGCCAGCTCTGTGTCTGTGGTTGTGCAGAGCACCAGGCACTTCCCTCCTAGTCAGAGAGCTGGGCTCAAGCACTGCAGCTCCAGTTGTATGACGTGGCAAGCCAGTGGTCAGACTCACATTGGTGTTCACAGCTGGGGAGCATCAAGGAGACTTCCTTGGCACTAGGCCAGAGCTGGCTGCCACCTCCTTGCCCGGGGAGCCAGCCTGACATGGATGTCTGGGACAAGTTAACTTTTACCTCTTAGTCACCACCCTGGTGCAGAAGCGCGGCTTTGAGACACTGCGCCCCACCCTGCTAGCAGCCAGTACCACGTCAGTCCACGGGGCTGGGAGGTGGGGCACAAACATCCCTGCGGGCCCCTGGAGGATGGTTGGAAAAGGCCCTGTGGACTTCCTGCCTCAGAGCACGTTCACTCCGCAGAGAGGCAGACAAGAAAGCCGTTTAAAAGAAAATGTGCATCTCCTGCCTCCTTGTTTCGTGGCCTTGAACATGCGTTTGGAAAGCATGACGAGGCCGGCGTTTGCAGCCGCTGCGGGAAGTCAAGGAAAGGCTGACTGGGTGCTCTGCCCAGCCACTTCCAAGGGTGGAATCTGGATGGTTTTGGAGGATGGGAGAGTTACCCTGTGTGGCTCACTCAGGCCTGGTCCTGTGGACCAGGAGGCCAGGCACTGCCAGCCGCAGGATGGGGACGCTTGGAGCCCCGGCGACGGCCACTGGCTCTCCCTGCCACGTCAGGCCACATCACAGATCCAGCCACAGGTGTGTGGAGGAGGGACTCACCTGAACGAGGGAACAACTCTCCTGTGCAAGTGACTGAGCACCTCCCTCCCACTCTTGTGAAGTCATGGCCTCCCTCCCACCAGGCAAGTGAACCAGGAGTTGCCCAGTCACCTCCAACTCCCCTCCTGTGGCCTATGGTGGCTGAAGAGCACTCACATGCCCGGCAGGGTGCCTTTAGGACAGGGCGTTTGCACCTGGGGGCCCGGGATTGCATGGAACAGAGCACAGGGAGCAGGCACAGCTCTGAGTAGGTGGCCTGCCAGCAGCCTGCAGGGAGATGGAAATGCTTCCAGAGGCGGCTGGTAATCCCAGCTGCTTAAGAGGCTGAGGTGAGGGGATTGCTTGAGTCCAGGAGTTCAAGACCAGCCTGGGCAACCGAGCAAGACTGGTTCTCTTAAATACATACGTACATACACACATGCTTCCAGGCAGACGTCCTCCCTTTGGTATGGGCGCCGTCCAGACTTCCCAGCCGCCTGAGGGAAAGAAGAGGCGTGGAGAGAATATGCAGGCAGGGCCCCTGCACAGGTTGCTGTGCTCCTCCCCGTCCAGCTCCTAAGTCGCTCATAGACCCCTAAGAACAGGAGGTGGCTGCACTCAGCCACATGGAGCTGTAAGCAAGGCAGGAGCTGCTGCATTTTGTCATTGGTTCAGCTGTCCCAGGTCCATGGTCAGAATCAGGGAATAGGCCTTGTCACTCCCTGTGTATATGGTGGGTCTTCATAGAGTTATATCTTCCCGGGGCACCTTAAGAAAACCTACACTTCCTGCGTTGATCTCGGGGCATTGAGGAGGAAACAATGGCCTGTGAAGCTATTGAAATCCCTACCTCAGAGGCCAGCCCTGCGTGTGCAAAAAGGTTCCAGTGTGCAAACACCTGCTCTATACACGAGGAGAGGCTGTGACCTCCTCAACTCCCTCAGTGGCCACTCTAAGTGACCGTGGTGGGGCTAGAAATATAGTCAGTGTAAAGGAGCCTCTTTTCAGACAAGGATGCGAAGGCAAATGTCACTTCATTTACAGCAACGGGCTTAGAATTCCCAATATAGCAACAGGGGAAGGCTGCCTACCCGCCCTCCCCAACCACACACACACACACACACACACACACACACACACACACACACACACACTGAGGGCCAAGAAGCAAGGAGGCTGGAGGAAAACCAGGAAGCCCGTTTAGGTGTCCAGACATTGACAGGGAAGCCGGGCAAAGACCTAGGACCAGCAGTGAAGGGACTTGTGGGGTATTTACTATGGATGGCGTGGTAAGCGAGGGGGACTTGTAAAGTCAGCTCTGTCCACAAGTACTGCGTGTGTGGCTTTGTCTTTTAATCTATTCACCAAATTTTAATGAATACCTTCTAGGTGCACAGAACTCTGCAGCTCTTGATTAACCCTAACAAATGTTGAATCCCAGCCCAACTTCCCAAATACACTGCCAAGCCTTGCATCCTTGATCTATCTGGAATTACTCTAGTGGCAAATAAACCAAATCCTTTGAAGAAGATTTGCCCTGCTTTTCCTGCCTTTGGCCCAGAGAGTCACAGAAAGGCCTGGAGGCAGATGCTACAGAGCCTTCAGATGAAGAGCTGGTGTGTGTTGGGCACCAGGGCCAGCCCATCACCTCTCTGTGCACATCTGAATCCCAAATCCTGTCTGGGGACTGAGCAACACGAGACACACAGCATCTCCAAGTCTTGGCCCCTTCTTCCGTAGAACAGAAGTTTCACTCTCATCTTCCAGCTCCAACGACTCATCTTAGTGCCCACTCCTGGGTTTTTCCTTCCCAATGATCTCCAGAAAGTCTTTGTGCTTTAGCGTCTTGTGAGATGAAAGAGCCCGTATCAGTGAACCGGTGATGAGAGCTCCCAAACTCTGTCTCTTGGCCAGCCCCAGCCTTCCCTCTAGAAGCTCAGTGTAGTCATTGATTCAAGTAGGTTGGTTAAAGCAGGGAAGCCTGATGATGACGCCAACTCATCAGCAGACACCCCTTGGAGCTGACACTTCTGGTTCTGAAGCATCTCTTCCTACCTCCAGAAGCTTTGTGCCTCCATGCACAATATATTGCAGGACTTACAGAGGATGACTCTCCGCTATGATTGGGCTTTCCCTCAAAAGCCATGCCACAAGAGCCTGTGTGTTCTGGAGCAGGGCACTCTCTTGGGCATGAGAAAGCTGGTGGATCCATCCACGCTTCAAGGGAAACCATTATGACTGACCAGAATGAGGGTAGAATCTCTGCCATAAGCTCTTCATAAAAATAACTGATCCATATAAAGTTCAAACCCAAAGCCTTGATATCATTCGACTACATCCTTTCAAATAAAACATCTCTTTTGTGCAAGAAGTGATTCATTCATTAAGCATTTTGACCTCATACTGTGTGCCAGACCACATACTGAGGACTGTGGATACAAAGATGAATGAAAGAAGCATTGCCATGGAGTCACTCATGGTGCAAACCACTAATCCTGTGAGGTAGCATGCATGGACGGTACTCTATGTGGGAGTGATTACTGCTACCAGGAAGGAAGGAGGATGCAGGAGAGGCCTCACTGAAGAGGTTGTATCAGTCAGGGTCTTCCTGGCAGAATGCAGAACACACTGGAAAGGAATGACAAACAGAGCCTAAAGAAGGTGCAGGGGTGTGGGCAGTGCCATGAGAGCCAACAGGGCACCGGGAGCAGCAGGAAGCCACTAGACCTCTAGGCCCAAGGAGTCAAGTGGATGGAGTGAGTGTGGGATACCCAGAACCTGCAGATGGCTGTGGCTGTGGAGAAGGGCTGTTACAGGACTGGGACCTAGGAAGAGGGATGCACCCACTCCCCAAATCACAAGGAGGACTGTGAGCACCAGGACCTTGCTCTCTGGTCTCTGGCTAGTGCAGGATTCATGGCTGAAGCCAACTGGAATCCAGAGAGAATGGAGCCTGAGTGATGGTCTCTGGGACAATAAGCAAGGAAGAGAAATGAGGAGAATGGATCTGGAGGAGACAGCAGAATGGCCAGCCTACAGAAGTGAGAAGAAAGCATGTTGTGAGAGGAAATTAATGCGGTGGGCGGTGGAAGACTATGGGGAATGGAGATCAGCAACCATGTGTGGCTGGAGCTCAAATTTGGTGTGTGTGGTGGGACACAGGTGGCAGGGAGGAGAGGAGCTGGGGATGAGGCTGTCGATGCAGTCAGGAGTCAAGGATGTTGTGCAGGAGGCCAAGACGGTTAAGCTTTGTGCTGGCTGCAGTGAAAACCATGGCAGTTTTATTTTGGTTTTTGTTTTAAATCAGGTGTGATTGGATCTTTGTCTTAAACATACAACTGACTCCACCATGGAAGGGCGTGAAAGGGGAAGAGACTAGAGAGCAGGGACCAGGGATCATTGCAGTCATTGCAGTAGAGATGGGAGGACTTGAACCATGAGGGAAGTGAGGTTGGAGTAAAAGGGCATGAGGGAAGAAATCATTGCAGCTTGAAAATAGCAAAACTGGGACCACAGAAGGGAAGGCCTCTGCACTCTAGTCCCAGAAGCAGCATTGCAAAGCAATCTGGCTTTGGACCAGACATTTCAGTTCCCCTACCAAACAGCTGAGACAATAATCTTGTCATTGCCCACCTTACAGGATTTTAGGGTCAGGCTCAAATAACAGAGGTACTTCGTAAAAGTAAAGGGTAAGACAAAGGAAAAGTGGTACTGGGGTCATTGTCATGGTTAGTGGGGCCTTGCTGATAACAATGGTTTTGTGATACCGTGAAGTTGTAATAAAAAATGCATGTACAGAGAACAGTAGCCCTTTCCTTCGGGCCTGGGAGGTGGGTGATTCACCCCGAACGCATTCCTCCCCAGGACCCCTCCTTTGTCACCTGGATTTTCTGAGCTCAGCTAGCTGATGCATATTTATCAACTCAGAGGTCTGATCCCCTGGCTGGTCAGTTACCTTTATTCATGGAAACAAGTCAAAAATATCTGTTGAATGGTGACTCTTTTCTGCTAGTTTGTGTACTGTTGGGCAGAAGAAAAAAATGGTTGCGATATGGCATTTAACCATCAGGTGTCACCCAAGGACCATGTCCAAGATTCAGCTCTGCCTTCTAGCCTTTGATGGAAACTCATCCCCTTCCCTCCAAAAAAAAAAAAAAAACACACACAAAAAAAACAAAAAAACAACAACAAAAAAACCCTAATCAGGAGAACCAGAGAAGACGCTCCAGGCTTTGAAATAGTTTTCTATGGGATACAAGTCTGTGGTGACAGAATAAGGGCAGAGGGCCTAAAACTACACTCGTTGTGATGGATGGAAATGAGTCAGGAAAAAGAACATTCCAGGGTTGATATGCGCTCGCCAATGGAATGGAGACTTCCATCTTTAGAGGACTTTCCAAATGATAGCCCCCTTTAGCAGTCTAGAGACAGGCGATGGGAAAGCCAGCTTCTGCAGAAACCTGTCATTGCTTCCAACCCAGGAGGCATATTTTGGAGCACATGAAGGTTGGTTTATTCTTGTGATTTTAGGGCCTGTCTCCAAGCTCTGAAAGTTCTTGCAGCTCTTGCTACCTAGTTTAGGAATTTTAGAAAAGATAAGAGAAAATGTGGGCAGAAAAAAAATCTGAAATTGTGCACTACATTCCTTTCATTTAATAATTATAGGTAAATTTGACTGAGTACATAATACATGCACAAAGCATTTTACAGGAACAATCTGATTTCATCATCACAGCAAACCAATGAAGTGGAGGCAATCCTCATTGCACGGAGTATTAACTTGCCCCAGTCCCACAGCAAGTAAGTGGCAGAGTTGGGACTTCTACTCAGTTAGACCTCAAAGCTCATCTTCACACCTACAACATGTGGGAGCCTCCTGGTGTGTGCTGGGGATGGCATGGCTGCTGTGCCAGGGGCTGGGCATAGAGATTGATGAGACACAAGTTTCTGACCTTAAGGGAATCTGGAAGATGACTGACACATGAATGAGATACAAGGTGCCAAGACTAACATACAGTGCTCTAACAGCCCAGAGGATACACCAGTTAATGGCCTGAGGGGTCATCAAGTAAAGTTTTGAAAACCTGAGAGGCAAAGAAGGCCATTCCGGGCACAGAGGAGAAGTGGTGCCAAGACACAGAGGCATAAGCTTACACAATGTCCAGAAAGAAGGTTAGTACATGATGCATAAAAAACAGAAGGAGATGAAATTAAAAGCATCAGTGAGGGTTGACACATGTATAGCCCAACATGGGGGTTGGATTTTCAACATCAAGGCTGGAGGTGGTGGTTTGGGCCAATGCGTTTTGGAGGATGGGGAAGGGAGAGGTGCTTTGCAGAAGGACGATGGTGTATGTTCCCACTGGCTGCACAGTCCTGAGGGCTTTTCCACCCTCCCATGGTGAACCTGAGCAAGTTCTTGGTACCTTAGTCAGGGGGGAAGGAAAAGGACATCTTTCTATGTTAAAATGAATGAAGAATAAATCAGAAATTTGAGTACCACTTTGGAAACCTACTGGGAAACTCCAGCTTATCTACTGAGGTTCCTAAAGGACCAAAGCCTCAGGCTCCTAGACAAAGCTTTGTGAAGCATAGGCAATGGTCAGGGCACAGTGGGAATTGCAGAAGGATGGGGCGCTGGCACTGTGGTTTTTAGGGACACTGCAGAAGAAGTTTCCTTTGGAACAAAGAGCTCCCTATTAAGAGTCAGGAACTAGAGTCTCAGCTTGTATTTGCCATCATTCTACATAAGTAGGAATCTCACCTGTGCTGGGGAATGCTTCCTTTTCACAGAATGGCATCTGAGCTAACACATCTTTTGTCTTTTGTTTTCTCTAGACTATTTCTTAATTTAAAGAAATTAAGGGCTCCGATATAGGGCCCTGAAATAGTCAGAAAGGCCAATTACTGAATGTGGGGAACCACAGAACCAAGAGAAAAATACAGTAACAACATTCTAGCGTGTGTGTGTGAGTGTGTGTGTGTGTGAGTGTGTGTGTGTGTGTGTCTGTTTCTCTAATCTTTTTCCTGTTCTCTAGGTAGAAAAATTCTTATTCTCCAGATAGTCTTCCTAGACACAATATTCCTGACCCTTGAAGAAACAATGTGCCCGCAGTAGCCTGACCCTTTAACACGCACTCGGCCTTCTTCTTTCACTCCCATGCTCCCTCCGCTGGAGCAAGGTGAGCCTTATCTGCCCCCTCTCCCACCCGGCTGTCACAGAGTGCCAGCTTATCCCTCCTGACCTCCATGGCTTTATCTTGCTTAAGAAGACAGATTTGGCAGTCCCAGAAATCAAAACATTTCTCTGTCTAGATTCTGCTGACCAAGATACAATTATCTCTGACCCATTAAATGCATTAAGTGGTTTTTATTATTATAGAAATAATTGCATGCCCATGATCTTAAAAAATAGCTACATCACAGAAAGACATGAAACAAGAAAATTCTCCCTCCTCTGCCCTCCAGAGATAACCGCAATGACTAGTTTCTGGCTTTTGTTCTTCTCATGGTTACCATCTTAGTAGAAAACAAAATGTTTATGCTTCTATTGCTGATTTACCTAATTTTAACAGAAATTGTTGTCTACCAAGTGTCACAGATAGGGAATTTGTTGAATTCTGCAACCTCATACCCTCTCCTCGCTGGATCTTAATTTTTATCAGTAACTATTTTAATTTTTCCCTAGTACTTATCTTTGTGACATTAAATAACATACCTAAAATTACTTTAAACATAAATAAACTTTTAAAATACTTAGAATTTTAAGATTAGTATTTCCTTGCAAATGTGGACAGTATCTGTTAACCTCTCTCTATGAAAGATGAGAAATTCCTTTTTCCTCTTTTCTATCTCTCAAAATCCCAATGTATTGTGTTATTTCGTCAATGTCGACAATGATCCTATTCCACGCCAAAGCATACCTTCTATCTGAAATTTTAACATTAATAAAACCCTGGTTTCTCTTGTTCGGTGTTAAGGGCTTCGCACATTAATACTGGTCTACAAAGGAAAATCCCCACAAACTAGCTGATACCCCCCTTCCGTTTCTTGAACTCCTCTACCTCCACCTCAATTACGTCATAACAGATAAAGCTGGATATATCTTTGAAACCATAGAAAGCTGAAACTGGGATAAGCAACTTGTATGGCTGGAGAAGAAGGGAGATTATTTCCCCACCCTCAGGCGTCCTCAGGGAAGCCGAGGATTCTCATCCAAAGCTTCCCTCCGCCCTGCTGGGTCACCAGACGGTCACTGTCCATCCGAGCACTCCGCCAGCCAATGGGGAACTGTGAAGAGAGACCCAAGCACGTTCCCAGGCAGGGGAGGAGGGGCTAAAGAGTGGCAGCCTCCAAGGATGGAGCGTCTTAGGAATGAAGCTCCTAGGTGCCTCGGTCCTCTCGCCATAGAGCAGGGAACACAGAGAAAAGGGATTTTCCTGTCTGCCGCTTTTGGTTCCGCATCAGTAGAACCCCATGGGAAAGTCTGGACTGGTGAGAGATTCTCTCTGCTAATTCCAATAAATGGCTTTCTTGTCTAGAAAGGAATCATGCAACACGGTGTCGTCTGGGACTTAGAGTTATGGACATGTGCTGAGCTGGGCTAGCGTAAGCTTGCACCTCAGCAGATAAAAATGCCAAATAACATACATTTAAAAAATACATACGTAGTTGGGCTTACAAGAGGAAGAAAAATCCATAGATGTCTGAAATGATTAATTGAAAGCCAGAATGGGGAGATCTCTTACTGAAGCAGTTCCCAGTGGAAAGGTGGCTTGGGGTAAGGAATGTCTAGACCAGACCTGAACTGGGCCCACAGGCTTCATTCATCAGACACCAGGGCAGGAGAGAAGGCCATAAGGATCTGGCTCTGAGAACCCTATGCTAAGCTATGATCTTCAGTAAAAAGAAACTACAAAATCTCCTACTCATTCGCAAAGGGCAATGACCTCAGTAAAAAGTGACTATGCAATCTCTACCCTCCAGCTCAGGGAGCTGGCAGGGATGTTTGTCTTTACTTGGAGTTCTGGGTGGGAGAAGGCTCCCATGAGAAAGCAAAAATCTGCAAGGCTGTGTTCAACAAGACTTTGGTGTCCAAAAATATACTATACACATGATGAAGGAGGACATCAATATAGAAATTGGTTCTGGGCCACGATCCTCATTCTGAGACCTTTTGCGGAAGCCAAAGCCCATGCTGACCAGCAGGGACCCTATAGCCAAGTGGCCCAGGATTTGCATTTAAACAGTTCAGGTAAAGATGAGCTCAAGAGAAAACCCTACAGACCACCTTGAGAAATGGCATGAGAGTCAGCAAACATGTTAAACACCTGACATAACAATGGAAGGGATGGAAGCACCATGAGAGTTACCTCATCTACACCTGACCTCCTCGAACAAAGCTGCCCCCAAGACATCCCAGGACAAAAGCCGGAAATTCCAAAAGGACCAGGCACCTTACAACCCAGCCCCACTCCTTGTTTGACAGCTGAGGACTCTGAATCCCAGGGAGCAACTCGTGGTTGTGTGGGAGACCGTGATTTCACAGGACAGCTCGGGCTTCTAAGGCCACAGACGGGCTTTGAGGTTTCAAAACTGGAGGTGGGGTGGCCATGGGGCGGTATAGGGAAGCAGTTGTAAGATAACCAGGGAATCATAGCATGGTTTGTTATGGCTTCAGAGCTGCCACGGTGGAAGGATTCAGGTGGGTTGACTTGAGCCTTCTTTTCAAGGGGCAGAAGCCGCGTTGCCCTGATCGCCTCATCGAGTAGCCCGACCCTCCCTCCCCATCCTTCCAGATATCCAGATGTGTGTCTTCCACATTACAAATTCTGAATCTCTGCTAAAAGAAGGGAAGAGAGGGACCCTGAGGCTCCTGTTTTTGCTGAGACCCAAAGTGAGCACTTGGTGGTATCCTGGCTGCATCCACCTTGGTTTGACTCAATGCCATTCTCTTTGCTTTTTACATTATCTTTAAAGTGGAAGCGCCCTCTGCAGCAGTGGTTCTCCAACTTCAGTGTGCATTCAAACCATCTGGGAGGCTTTGAAACACTGAATGCTGTACTCTATCCCTTGGATTTCTAATTTGGCAGGTCAAGGGTGGGGCCGGAGCATGAGTTTCCAACAAGTGCCCATGTGAGTGAGGTTGATGCTCCTGGTTCACATACTACACTTGGAGAACCGCTGGGCTAAAACCTTGCTTCTCAAACTTTAACAGGCATAAAAATCACCTGGATATTTTGTTACAATACTGATCCTGATTCAGCAGTTCTGAGGTTCTGTGTTTTTTAACATGCTCCCGGATGATGCTGAGGCTGCTGGTGCAGTGCAGGGGCCATATTTTGAGTGGCAAGTTATTTTCCTATTATTCTACTTCTTGTGACATATGCCTATCCTAGACAGATGTAGAAGAGAGGAAGGAACCACTGTGATTCTTCATAAGGGCTCTTTTCCTTGCAGAGAAGCTGGGGGAGCCAGCACCGAGCCCATGGCCGAGGTCAGGGAACTAAGGGCTGCCGTGGAGTGACCCGATTAACATTGCTGCCCTTTGCTTTGGGTGACACAGAGAGAAGGCATAGATGGAGAGATGGGGAGCTGATACCTGGGATGGCAGGAGTGGTCTGGGTCAGAGTCTGAGGAGGCTCAAATACCTTGGCATGGAACCGGTACAGAATGCCCTAAGCACCAGCTTGCTTAGAAAAAAAGGAAAACTGTTCTAAAATTGGCCTTTCTTCTCTTGGGAAACTCAGATTCTTTCCAAACTGCCACTAGTCTGTGGAAGATGGGGTGGGGGAGGGTAGGTAGGTCCTTCCACACACCATTACCTTCTATGATGAATGACTTTTCCCTCAGGGCGTCACTGAGAGCCAGTGTGCTGAGTCTTGGCTCAGGCCCAGCTGTCTGGGAGCCTGGACAGCCCTGTCTGATAGGGAGGCACCGGGAACCAGCCCCTCCACTGGGTTCCCAGCACCAGCCCTGGTTTTCTAATTATAACAGTCTCTTAGCTCCCAGGTTGTGCACGTGCTTCTCAAAATTCTCCATTCGCTCATTCATTCCTCTCATCAACAAACACTGGGTACCTGCAATGTGCATAGTATTGCATTCTGCCCCTGAGGAAGGAGCTGGGAACCTAAAAGTGATACTGATCACTTGACTACAAGAAAGGCACAAATGCCACCCTGATGTTTGGGTCTCCCGCAGTGCTCTTTCCCCACGACATCTTGACAGGCAGGGAGGCTCTAGCGAAGGGCCTTTCCTAGCCCACAGAGGAGCACCCAAGGTCACAAGACACAAATAGTGAGCCCGGGAGCCAGGCCTGCAATTCGAGGCACATTTCATGAAAGCACTAGCATGGATTCCTTTGGGGGCTTTTCTCCACCTCCTTTTAGACCTCAACAAGAGCAAACAGATTCAGAAGAGGAGTTTGAAGGTCTGAAATGAAATAAAAGAAAAACCCCTGCTTGTGAGAGCCGGGGGACCCCAACAGATCCACGGGGAGACCACCCAGGACTACTGAATGGGGGCTGTTTCTCCCTGCATCATGCCTGGGGTGTGAGAAGTGATTGCAGCCTGGCAGGGAACTAGTGGGAGAGCTTTGGGTTTATATCCAGCCCTATGGCCTCAGATGCTCTAACTGTCTGTGGCCAGAGCACAGTGCCACTGGGTTCTCCCAACAGCAGGAACTATTGCCTCCTGGCAGAAACCTAGTGTAGAAGTGCAGCTTCTGACACGGGAGCAGAAGTCGACCTCCTCCAAAGGCTGACATTTGGTACAAGAGCTGGTTGAGAGACCCTGCAGCATAGACTTTACAGTCAGGTAGACCAGGGCAGCTGTTCTTACGACGTCTGAGCTGACCCTGGGGGGGTCAGAATCACCATGGGCTGCGTCTTCTGAGACTCTCCTATGTGCCTGAGTTGGGGCCCAGGCTTCATAGGTGGCTCTGAGATGCAGTCAGAAAGGAGATGACCAGGTGGTAGTAAATGGTGTAGGTATAGCTTCTCACTGGCAGAATTCTTTCTTCCCCCAGGCCTTTTTAAAAAATGGTTTGTTATGAAATTTCTCAAATAACCAGAAAATAATCCCTGCACCTACTGCCAACATTTAACAGATGTTTTTGCACCCTGACACATTTGTTCTGAGTATTTCTGTTTAGAAAAAAAATTACAGAGGCACGAAAACCTATCTGGAAGCCCTGTCTCACTCTCCACCCTGCCTCCCAAGAGGAAATTGCTCTCCCGAAGTCAGTGCCCATCCTTCTCATGCATGGATTCTACTTTTCTACCAGTGCACGTACCTGGTTAAAAGGTTTGCATGGATGCTATTGCAGTGCATCTTGTATTTTTCACTCCACATTATGACCTCAAGGTGTATCAACACCAATCCATATTGATCAACCTTGTTTGCCTTTACTGCTGTGGAGAGGTTGCCAAGCCCTGGACATGGAGTGCTGGCTGAAGACTTGCCTCACTGCCCTGGAATCTTTCTCTTAGGGCTTGAATCTGGCATTTGGATCAGGCGCTTATGGACTCCCGAGTTCCAGGGCTGGGTTGGAGTTGGCCCACACCCATGGTGCTGTCACAGGATCCACACTTGTTTGCCCAACAGTGCGTGTCAGGAGAGCCAACTCACCTTGCTGCTTTCTTGGGAGACCGGATCCTCTTATGGGGCAATTAGAAAATCCTGGGCCTCAGCCCTCTGCAGCCCTCTTGTTTCCTTTTCACCTCCTTGAGAAAGGGGTGATCAGCAGGATCCAGAGGTACCTACTCCCAACATTTAACAGATATGTTTGCACCCTGACTTCCTGTTGCTGCGAAACTTTCATTCTACCCTTTCCTTTTTCCGAAAAGTAAGGATCAGACACACCGAGCCCCCTGTTCACTCTAGCATCCCTTCGGAAGGGACAAAGATCAATCAGAGTAGAGGCCTGAGTTTGTAACTTACCCACAGACCACAGCATGTTGGGATGGAAGAAACCTAATGTTTCCATTATTCCTGATTTAACGATTGGGTTTTCCGTCTCTGTATCTATCCCATTCCCACCTCATAAAACCGTGAATGCCATGGGATGGGAACCTCACCTCTTCAAGATAATTCTCAATTTATATGTTATTAAATGCTTGCTCTTTGCAAAGCGCAAGGCTTGGAATACGTACAGGGTGGAGGAGACTGCAAGAATCAGTAAAAACCAAGCCTCTCCCTGCCCCTGCAGCCTGCACCAACACTTCTCTGATAGCTGGCAGATGCTGATGAGTGAAAAGAGAGTCATACAGAGCCAGGGTTGGGTACCCCGGACTTCAGAGGGACATGACTTAGGGGATCCAGAGAGCTTCTTGGAGAAGGTGGGCTGAGCCTGGTACAGTCCAGCTTGATCCTTAGAGTTTACACCCACTCACATCCTGGAGTGGAATTACTCACTGCTACACTGAGCAAAATGGCCTTTAAAATTTACAGCAGGAGCACCTATTGCTTGGAACTCAAATGAGAACACACAGTCTTCATTAGAAGTTTCCAGGAAACTCTATCAGCTGCTGTTATGAGCAGAGAGGAAGAGAAATAAAGGACTAATAAACAGGCCAAGAAGGTAGAAGACCCCAAGTGTAAGGACCTTCTACTCGCTCTTTATGATGAATACAGAGGTTGAGTGCAGTCCGTGGAAGGAAGACAGCAGAGACTACAGCTCAGAGAGGTAGCACCAGCCTGAGCCTCAACTGCTACTGTGCCGTGGGCCACAGAACAGCTCAGCCCACTGGGTAACTGCACACCGCTGACAACCCCGGATGGAGGAGAGGAACTGAGGGAGTCCCACAATGCACTGTAGCGGAGACCCCAGTCCCTCTGCATTCAGTGTGTGGCAGAACTTGTTCCAGGGATGGGGGAAGGTATCTTCTGCATTTCCCAAGGAGAACCCCATAAAAGATCTGGGAGATACTTGAAATCTTAGTAATAATGATTCAGGTTGCTTTCACCAACCTGAACTCATTAGGTTTGCAAAAATCCTGGGATTTAAACCACTCAGTTGCTATCAGTTTTTTATAGAAACAAACGCATGAAGATGTAAAAGTCTTCAGTCTTTAAGCTAGGGCTACAATTCCAGTCTTCTGATTACAAATCTATGGGATCTCCGCTATGGCATACCGTCTGTCTTGGACGTACTATGTCACACACAAGCACCAACTGCAATGATGTCAAAAAGTATAGGCCCAAGGTCCTGACGTACACTTCTCTTTAGCTTATAAAATCACTTTTCCAATGACTGCAAGAGGGTGCAGAGCTCTAAAGGAATCATGTGACTAAAAACAATCCAAGTGTGCTTGGAGAAAGAGCTGGGTCTGGAGATATAAGAAGGAAGAAGAACCGAAATTGCCTCATGGTGGGGCATGCCCTGGGCTACCACATCATTAGAGGTGAGCCTCAGTCTAAACCAACTGGCACCTTCCTTCACCATCCTTAGATCCCGTTGCCTGTCTTGTACTCTGATGAACCTTTTTCCCCACTATTAATGTTGACCAAAGTCCTGGAGGTCCTATGTCCCTCGGTGAAGCATGCACTTTCTGAGTGATGTGTCTTTGGGGCATTTTTGGCTAAATAACACCCTTTGTTTGAATAATATATGTGGTTGTCTTAAAATCTTTCTCTGAAAAGGAAGATAATTTCATTTATACTCTTAAGGTTGCCACCTTCTTTGACTTCAAGGAATGGTCAAATGATCTCATTTGCATATGAACTGCCTTCCTGCTCTGAAACTGATCCAAAGGCCCCAAGTACTTTGCAGATTATGGTATTAAAGCACACTGGGAATCCCTGGGGACCTTGCCCCTCTTCTGCTCTTTGTCCCTTCTTCTGCTCCTCGCTCCTGTGTGTAGCACTATGAGCGGCTAAGTAAGCATCTTGTCCCTGGCTCATCGGTGGCTCCATCTGTCCTTACTCCCACCTGTCCTCCCATCCCACCTTCAAGGGGTTCAGTGCAGGAGCCCACAGGTGGGGGTGCTCACAGGTGGGTGTGCTCACAGGAAGGGGATAGAAAGGCAGGCACATTTCAGAGGCGGTCATCGGGTAATTGCACTGGGTTAAGGCAAAACTGAACGCAGATCACACATGGGATCCAGCTGCTCTGCTTTACAAGTAATTGTGGTTCACTGGAAGCGTGAGCCTGCCAGCATCATTCAGGTTCTCAAATGGGGAGAGGGTGATACCACGAAAGAAAGGAGAGGGAGTGATCATCCTCCGCATGAATTGAAGAGGGTTCCTCAGACAGCTTCACAGTTTCCATTCCCAGGATGAAATCTTGGAAGCACATGGGAGATGGAGGGAGGGAATGAACCAGAAGCCTGAACTGTGGCTACAAGGATGGCCTCCTGGGACTCTAAATCTTAATATCAGGCACTTTGCAAGCTAAATCCCCTCCATGGCCCCCAGGACAGTCACGTTAGGAGATACTGCCATCTGGTGGAAATGTTGCAGGGCTCCCCAACTTTTCCAGGCCTCATGCCCAGAATTGAAGAGCATCCAAAATGGCTGAAGGGTGGGGCCCAAGAGGTCTGTGCCCTTCTAGTCCTTCCAAGGCTTGCTGTCATTACAGCCCATACCTCTTTAGGGTATGGATCTCCAGGGCCATTGCCTCCATTTCTGTGTTTTGAGATCTGGGTATTCACGTGCTTAGCCCTCTCTGGTAACAGCCTTTGCCTTATACCACAATGGATGGGACCTCTCTGCCTTTGCCAAGCCTGTTCCCTTTGCCTGGAATGCTCACTTTTCCCCTGTGCACCCATCCCAGCATCCAGTGCTTTCAGACCCAGCTCATTGCTCTCCTGTCTAGCAGCCTCCAGTATTGGCCTCCTCCAGTTTGGTTTCCCCAATTCTTACACAAATTGCAAGCCATTCTGTATGCCCATGTTCCCTTCACTTGTCTGGTTTGCTGTTTAGCATTTAGAAGGTGCTCAATACATGGATGCTGATTGATGCCCAGCTTATATAATAAGTACATTCCTTGAATTAGGAATCTGAATGTATAACTCTGACCGCACCTGATCCTTGGAAGCAGAGACAGAATAGGAGACGCCTTTGATTCCATTTTTAAAGATGAGATCTCAAGGCAAAGTTGCATTTAGTTGTATTTTCACAAATAGTACAAGTAGGAGATGTGGACTCAATGTGTGGACCTGTGTGAGTCGGACACTGTAAATGCAAGGCTTTTGTGCATGTACCTCTGTGGGTCCTTCTGGTGTGATGGTCGGGGCAAGAGGGAGATGTGTGATGCCCCTAGTGGTGTGATGGAAAGGTTTTGAGTCCTAAACCCGATTTCTGACTCTGTTTATTGATAACTTACTATGGGTCAGTCACTGAACCTCAGTTTCTTCATCTATGAAATGTGATTGGTAATTCAAGACAAAGGTAACAAGGTTGGCCCCAATACTTATCTCCCGTACATGGAGGAGCTCAGTTAATATTTGTTGAAAGAAAAAAATACCCACATTAGTGTTGCTGTGGAGAATTAAATGAGACAACACGAAAGCCATGTATAATCTATTCCTACTGCAAACTCTATTCCAAATGGTGACAACTAGAATCTGCAATGCCATGCAGATTCTAGTTGTCACCATTTGGAATAGAGTTTGCAGTAGGAATGGTTAGGCTGGGTGTCTCAGCATCCACTCCCTGCCCGCCCATTCCTTTCCTTCACAAAAAGGGTTCCAGCGTGCTTCCTCTGTTTCTTTCTCCTGCTTTCTCTTTTCCATTTGGATGGTTGTCTAAGCTAAGCATGGGTACCTCTGACAGCAGAGCCTGAAGTTACCATGAACAATGCTCCAACCCTAGTTACTTTTCTTCAGGCCCAATTGCAGCACATTTGTCTGCTGAGAAGAGGATCACAGCAGAGCCAGCCTCTCCAACAACAAAATGCACCATAGCCAGCCTCTGATTTTCCCTTCTGTAAGTAGGTCGCCGCTGCCAGAACCTCTCAAGGTCCTGCTTCTGATGCTTCCTCGGGCCAGCCACAGCACAGCCCTCTCCAGCGCTTTCTCTCTGCTCCAGTGAGCAACCCAGAGCCACTAGAAGCAAGCTGGCTTGCCAGACTGCCATTGGGCTAGGAGCACACAGAGGTGACAGTAAGGCGGAAGTCTGGGAGCTGGGTTCAGAAGAAAGAGATGGAAGACCAGATTCTGGCCCTGGAGCTAACTCCACCTACAACTATTACCAGAACTTTATCTTTCTGGTCTTCAACTTCCTCATCTGTAAAATCAGAGGCTTAGGTTGGAGGATTTCTAAGCTCTTGTCCGGCTCTGTAATATTGGGGAAGATTCAGCTAACACAAGCAGATTGATGTACGTGTCCCATGATAATCTTCACCTTCCAAAAGCCAGAGGGAGTGCTCCTGGCCCAAGCCCCTAGATTAAACATAAAACCCTGTTGATGGATAGCCTGCTATGCATCAGGCCCTGCAAGAACTGCTTTCTATGCTTTTACTTTAATACTTCTAATGAGCATAATTAGTCCAGAATGATCATTCTCATTTTATAATTAAAGGGAATGAGACACTGTTGATTGACATGGTTAGCCTAGTTAGAAGGAGAGTGGATTATTTTTAAATTCAAGTTTTCTGACTCCAAAGACCATCCTGATACCAGGCTGGCAGGTCACCAGGGCACAGTACTCTGCAGGTATGGTGGCCTCACGCTAGAAGGAACATTACAATTTCCTTTCACATTTATCCATCCAGTTTCAGTCACCTCATTTACTCCGTATTGCCTCATTCAGTATTCAGGATAACCCCCTATTGGCAAAGTGTAAAATAGCCTCCTACTGACAAAGGAGAAAGCTGGCTTGCCTACAGTTGCACCACTTAGCTGGCAAATGCAAGGACCAGGACTGGAGCCCTGGTCACCTGAGTTCAAATCAGGATTCCTGCTGCCGGGCCACAGCTGGGAAAGAAGAAACACCAAGCTCCTTTTTCTCTCTCTCTCTCTAATGTCCCAGTTCGCAGCCAGGGTAACTGAGGCATAAAGAGTCTAGGTTTCAACCAAGCCGGAATGAAGATTGTGAGTTTGCACGAGGGAAGCCTCTCTCGCTTCCAGCACACAGTTCTTCCCGTTTATTCCTCCTCACTCCCCATGTTAAACCAGGCAAACTCAAACTCCTTCCTGTGGCTCACAGGGCCCTGCCCAATCTGCCCCAGCTCCTGTTTCCAGCCTGCTCTGTAGCCTTATGCTGGGACTCAGTGTCCGAGAGGGAGTCTCTGCTCAAGGTCAAAGAGCTTTGAGCCCATAGACCTTGGGCCTGGCTGGTCTATGGGTTACAGCCAGGGATCCTCAGGGTAGCTCAGAAGAGGCAGAGGGGCCTGGTGGGCTTCAGACATAGGGAACTGGAGTCTAAATGCCTGCTTAGCCACTCACTGCAAGTTCCTGAACTCCCTTAACTTCAGGTCTCTTACGTATAATATGAGGATAATAGTGTTCGCCTTATGGGGTTATTCTGAGGCTGAAATAAAATATGTATATGTATTGGTAGTAGTAGTATTGGCTGCCCTGTGGAGGTTGTTTGCAGCTTTAAATTAAATACATATATGTGAAAATGAAAAGCACGGTGTGTGCTAAGTAAGAATATTCAGCAAGTGTTCATTCCTTTCTTTCTCATCCACCCCTTAGTTTCACCCCATTAAAATTCCTAGATGGCAGAGGAGGTGTTATTCTTCTGTATTCCTGGCACCTACCACAGTCCTGGGTACACAGCAGAAGCTCTATAAATGTTAGATGAAACAGAAAGGAAAATAAGAGAAAAGAGAAAAAAAGACAATAATTTAAAAATGTTTCTCCTGCCTGATAGGTTTTTTTAAAAAGTCAAACCATAACATTATCATTACACTCAATTACCAAAACTATATAAATAACCATGCATTTTACAAATGACCTATAGAAATACAAATCCTTTGTCCCCAGCTGCTCAAAGGATCTGGATGAAGAGGATCAGATCTCTTGCCCCATTGGCTTTATTACCTGGGTTTTGAATTCAACTCTTGGCCTCTTGCCATGAGTCCTTCTATCACCTCTAGGAAGGAGTGGGCCACCTTCCCTATGAGGCTGGCCAGCTGACCCTCCCCCAGGGCCCTCCTCTAAGCTGAATTCATTATGCTCCTGAGATAAGGTCCCAGAGGATGGGAAAAAGGTGGCCAGAAAAATCCCACAACAGGTCAACACTGGGAAGATAAAAGTCACAGGCGTATCTCTTCACACCAGCTCCATCAGCTGGAGGTGCCTGAGGACCACCCCCAAAATAGCCCCCTCTTGAGAAATGTCACTCCACACCCTCCTCACCATCGCCTGAGCCTTTCTTCCTTTCAGCTCCCTCCCCAGAGACACGCAGAGCAGAGGAGATAATAACAAAAGCAATAACTGAGGTTAGAGAAATAATTGACAGTTCCTGAAGCTCTCTCGCAGAAACATCTTCATTTGGTCCTCCCCACCTCTCCCTAAGATAGGAAAAGCAGAAAATAAGGGGGTTCCTTCAGCCGCACCTTGGGATGAGCGACTGAAGCTCAGAGAGATCAACAATCTGCTCAAGCAAGTGACAGAGGCGGGACCTGGACCCAGACTTTTTCTTCTCTAAATTTGAAATCACGTGACTTTCATACCAGCAATGAGGTTACACTGAATTTCTATAGTTCATCTCTTTTGAGAGGCCTTAAAGATTCAAAAATATATTTCAATTCTCAAATATATTTTATAAATCTTCATACTGTCTCTGTTTATTGGGGAAAGCCATATCTCCACATTTTATAGATCAAAAAAAAGTAGAGCAAGAAATAGGATTTGATTAACGTTAGGCTCATGCACGCATACAAACAGCACAAAAAGAGCTCTTGTTGGTATTGCTTTACCTACTTTCCAACCTTCGTGGGGCCTCTTTTGGGGGCTTTGTAATGGGATTTTCAGTGCAACATGCAAGGTCCTATCTTCTCATCTACATTCTTCGGGTTTTGTGTACTAATCCAGCTTCAATGGGTGATTGAAACCTTCAGTGAAACAAAGTAAGAACTACACATTTGTAAGACTCAATTCTCTCTGCCACTGTGCAAACGAGCACTTGTCAAAGAGCAAACAAATATCTACAAAATGGCTTGAAGAACAAATATCAGGAAAAACTTGAAATAACTAAGCAGCAATTTTCTGCATATTAAAAATCTTGGTAGGGCGTGGTGGCTCACACCTCTAATCCCAGCACTCTGGGAGGCCTAGGTGGGCGGATTGCTAGAGCTCACAAGTTTGAGACCAGCCTGGACATCATGGTGAAACACCATCTCTACAAAAAATACAAAAAACAATTAGTCAGGCGTGGTGGCGTGCCACTGTAGTCTCAGCTGCTTGGGAGGCTGAGGTGGGAAGATTGCTTGAGCCCACGGAGGCTGAGGCTGTAGTGAGCCATGATCACACTACTGCACTCCAGCCTGGACAACAGAGTGAGACCTTGTGTCAAAAAATAATCTCTTCCAAAGGCCTCAGTTATTGTTATTTTTTTACTACTATTACTACAGCTATAATTTATGAAATACCAGGCACTTTACTAAGTATTTTGTTTATGCTATCTCAGTCCACACAACCTCCTCAATTAGGTATTTTTTAATCACCATTTTACAAATAAGGGAACAGAAAATACAGAGGTTAAATAGCCTGCCCAGGCTAACTCAGATCATGAATAGCAGAGCACAGTCCAAAGCCATTTGCACGTGACTTCAGCCATTAAACCCCCAGCTGACTCTCTCAGGAGTGTTTTCTGAGGTTATAATGCCAATGTGATTATGCCCCAATTTAATATTTTCAACAATGATTTACAATCCACTTATTATGTGAAAGATACTTCTTCTGGGTAACATAAAGCAAACTAAAATGCTCAAGCCATGAAGCTGGACCTAAGAAGCTTATGCACTTATAAAGGATGTGTGACATACACACAGATGTTCATGACAGAGGCATGGAGTTAAAATGTCATGGGAGGTCAGAGGAAGGAGAAACCACTTCTCATGGGAGAAATTGAGCTTGATACACATAAACACAGGACAATACCAATGGAGAAAAGTCACCTCACCTGAGAAGGATTAATTACACAGCAATAAAGAAAAGCTGAAGAATGCACCCGCCTCTGGAGTGCCTCATTGTAGTCATTATTCTCCTTGACAGACACAGATAACACTGATGACCATTGCATGCAGACATGCACTCTGACTTGTTTCCCCAATAGAAGTGGCAGGTAAGCATGGATTCTTACCCACTCTTGCACAGCTCCTCTTTGTACAGAATGACATGCTTCCTGAAGTATGAAAAGGTGTGATCTTTGTCAAGCTTTTTTAACAACTGATATTCCCAACGACCACCTGTGCTAGGTGGAGGGCTTGAATGGGGGACACTTACTGCCTACAAGGAATTCACGGTCCACCTGCAAGGCCCACAGATGGATCAATTGCATCACAAATAATAGATGTCAGCTTATTGCCTGCCAACTTGACATTAACATTTAAATAGGTTCTCCTAACACGCAAACCTTTTGGAACACATCTTTTAGTATCTAATGGGAGGTCACAAGCAGCTGTAGAAAGGAGAACATGAATGAAAACTTACAATGGAAAAATAACACAAAAACAACTTACAAACATGATTCCCATCAGCAATGGAGATATATAGTTTTAGCTATATGGATTTTGTGATGAAAATTATTTCTGGTCAGGCATGGTGGCTCATGCCTATAATTTCAGCAATTTGGGAGGCTGAAGCAGGAGGATCGCTTGAGCTCAGGAGTTCAAGACCAGCCTAGGTGATGTAGGGAGACCCTGTCTCTATACAACGTTAAAAATTAGCCAAGTGTGATGGCACATGTCTGTAGTCCCGGCCACTTGGGAGGCTGAGGCAGGAGGATTGCTTGAGCCTGGGAGGTTGAAGCTGCAGCGAGCTGTGATTGCACCACTGTACCTCAGCCTGGACGATAGAGTGAGACCCAGTCTCAAGAAAGAAAAAAAATGATTTCCATGGTATGGTGATATGGTTTTTTAAAATTGATAATAAAATAATTACATTTAAGTAATCAATTAAATAACAACAATTATTTGAAGAGATTTAAGCATGGAGTGGCCTGGGGCAAGCAACTAGAAAGGAAGGAGAGAATTCATCATAGAAATGTGGTGTAGGAAGACTACCTAAAATCGTAGAAAATATTGGCTGGGCGCGGTGGCTCATGCCTGTAATCCCAGCACTTTGGGAGGCTGAGGCAGGTGTATCACCTGAGGCCAGGAGTCCGAGACCAGCCTGGCCAACATGGTGAAACTCTGTCTCTACTAAAAATACAAAAATTAGCCAGTGTGGTGGCGGCTGCCTGTTATCCCAGCTACTCAGGAGGCTGAGGCAGGAGAATCGCTTAACCCAGGAGGTGGAGGTTGCAGTGAGCCGAGATCACGTCACTGCACTCCAGCCTGGGTGACAGGGTGAGACTCTGTCTCAAAAAAAAAAAAAAAGAAAGAAAATATGGTAAATAAAAGAGGGTTGGGGAAAAAGATAAATTACTAGTATTGTAGAAAAAAATGTAGTCTTTGGAGCCAGATAGGCCTAGATTAAACCTTGGTGCATCCATTTATTAGCTACATGGCCTCTACTATTAAGCCTCAGTTTGCTCATCTGTAAAACGGGACACTATATTTACCCAGCAAGCTCCTTGTGAGGACAAGATACCTTGTTTAGTAAGCACCTAGCATAGGATGTGGCCTAGAGTAAACAATCATTCATGTTACAAATGTTACTGAGTGCCTAGGGGTTGCAAATACAGTAAAGAACTGAACAAAAATGGTCCCTGCTCTCATGGAGTTTACAGTCTAGCAAAGGATAAAGGGTTGTTTTAATTATTGTAGTTAACTAAGCAGCAAAACACAGCATTACAACACATAATCAGAGCATAAAAGGCCAGTCTTATAAATGGTGTAATAGCTACAACTAGTGCTTTCTCATGCAAACTCAACAGGTCAACCAGAGTCCTAGCAAATGAGCTAGTGAATACTTTAGAAACAGGTCACTCCACAAGTTGTTGGTCTAAAATTCTGGGTATGTTCGTCTCACTAGGCAGGCAGACATTCCAGTATTTGATAAAAGGAGGAATACAGATGAATTCCGTTACGTGAGCCAGCTGTATCAGTAAAAATAGTATGAGAGCTGGTACCACGAAATGGAAACATCTGGCTCTGGAGAAAAGGCTAAAGGAAGTGTGGTGCAGAGTGAAGTGAACAAAGCCTAAACGAGAGGGCTAGATTCTGGTCCTAGGGCAGCCCCTCAGTAGCCGTGTGACTCAGAAGAGACCCTTAGTTAGCCTTTCTCCAGGCCTGTTCTCTGACTGTGAAACTGAGTGAGCCCTGAAATCTCATCCACTTCTGCCATTCTAAGATTCCATAGGCACAAAAATGGAGGAATAGTTCAAGTTAGTTCGCATAGCAACAAGATTTGCTTCAACAAACTATTGGAGCATCTAGTAAAATAAAAGACTAGATCGTTCCTTAGCATCATTTTGGAAGGTAGGATTTCTGAACACTGGCCATCACTTGGGGACCTGTGCCTTCACAATCAACTACTTGATGTTCTGATCACGTTGGTTTCCAAATACCGACTGGAGTAATGACTAGCATTTCCAACTATTTCCAGCTCTCTACCTTCTGGGCAGAATCGTTCTTTCTGGGTCATTTGTAGTTTGCTACAGTCATGTGACTAGTTCTGGCCAATGAGTTGGGAGTAACGGGAGTATCTATCATGTCTAGGCAAGCACATTTAAGTATCACTGTGAGATTCTTCACAAGTCTCCTTCCCTTTGGCATGGTGGCTCGTAACGTTCGGGTGCTGGCTGTTTGTCACCATTGGTTCCTGAGTGACTAGAGTGACCAAAGCTCCCTGCTATTCCAAAATGGACAGATGAAGTGAATATGAAATAAATCTTTGTGTTTTAAGCCCTTGGGACTTGGAGGCTATTTCGTTACTGAAGCAGAATCCAACCTATCCTTACAAATACATTGCTTCCTATGAATGCTTTGCTAACTTAATAGCTTTTTGAAATACAGACTGGAACTATGTACTAAACTGCTTTTTATTGTTTTAAATATGATTTTCTTCCACCTGACTTGACACCACTGCATTGCCTGATTTGACACTACTACAAAGGATACAGACACCGTTCACATCATGACTCTGAAAATGCCATTCATATGGAATGCAGTATGACTGGCAACACGGCAGTCTGGATTTGCAACAGTATAGGTGAAATATAATCATTCCACTTAGCATTTCTACTTTATTCCTTTTCAAGTTAACAGACAAAATCCTTTTTATTTCAAAGTATTTTATAGTTTTTAGAAGGTCTTGCATTCAAAAGAGATTACGTCATTTGTAAAATATTCAAAACCCTATAAGGCATACAGTATTAGCTCCATTTTACAACAGGGATCTGAAAGTCACACAGCTTAAGGGACTGCATGAGGTTGCCAGTTAGTAAGTGGCAAAGCAGGGACTCTTGTTTCCTGGCTCCACATTTGGTGCTAATTCAACTATGCCACATTTCCTTCAGCATCTTTACTCTCAACAGAAGTTTTTTGTTTGTTTGTTTCTGTCTATCCTAATCATATTTTCCTGAAGTGGGGGAGCACTGTAGCAACCAGTTGCTCATCATTATTTGTTTTATGCAACCCAGTTGTTCAAAAGAAAGTGCTGCTGGCAGAAACCCTGGGCTCCCAGGGCAGTGGAGTTGCTCTTACCGGTGGGTCAAGAAGAAAATGCCATCCTCCAGGCTGGATAAGCTGAAGGCCGGCTATCTGGTCAGCTCTGAGCTCCTGGCATCCTGCCTTTGTTATCAGTCCAGGCCTTGACGTTGGAGAGGCTGACAACCTGTGCTACACATTATCTCACACTCTGAAGTAGCCCACCCATGAATTGTGGGGACAGTGAGCAGCATTTAGGGCAATGACCCTACAGGTACTTCCTGACTCCTTTCCCTCTTCCCTCACTGTCATCTTCTTTTTTCCTTCCCTCTGCTTCTCCTTTTGCCCCTTCTGATAAATCTTTGGTTGGGTGGATTGCCTCCTTTCCTAAATTGGCTCTAAGTGAATGAAATCTTTCTATTTTCTGGGTTGCTTCTCAGATATTAGTAAATATCTGAGATCTCGGTTGAGCTGGGGTAAAAGGACTGAAAGACCTGGTCGGAAAACCTTCATCATCAAGGCTCCTTCTGAGGTGATAAAGAAGCCTTCTTCTTTCTCTTCCCAATGAATACAGTACACCCAGATTGTCAAACACTTTGGAAATCACCTGTATAGCCCCCGAGTTTCCAAAGCTCTCCCATGAATCTATGCGGTGATGCTCACGCCAATCTATGGAGGCAATGTGTCCTCTGGGGGCCCTAAGCTTGTCCCTCATTTCATCACAGAAGGCACTCCAGCCAAACATAGAAGAAGGGCCTTGTCTGCTTCTCTAGGATGTACCACTGGGACTCCAGCTCCCACGGAGTCTCCATCCTCGTCTCCCCTGAAATCTGCATGCTGACCCCCATTTCTCTCCAAGCAGATCTGATGCAGTTGATTCGCTTTGTGAACTTTCTTCAACCTCAGAGGGTCTGGTGCTGAGTTCCCACACAGAGAAAGAGTAAGCTTTCAAGGTGTTCTCTAGGGAATCATCTATTTCACCCCTCTCAAGGGCTCAAGGGATCCATTCAAGGCAGGAAAAACGAGTCTGTTAGAGAGGGAAGAAGAGAAGCTGCCTAGAGGCTTGCATAGCACATTGTCCTGCTTCTTCTGTTCTTTCACCCCAAGGCTTTCAAAGCTAGAGTTAGGTTTTAAGGTCCCTAGCAGTAGTGACCACAGATAGGCTTGCAGACTCTTGGCATAAGGGGCCTTGTAGTTCCAGGTCTCTATCTCCAACACACCTGAGAAGGTAAACCATCACTTTCAGGCACCATAGACATCCCCTTCAGTGCTTTTTCACACATGCCATTTCACTTAGGTTTATGGGACTATTTGATCAGTGTCTCTCTCCTCCATTAGACTAAGCTACATAAAGTCAGAGACTGTACAGTTTTCCTTCACCTGGCAAAGAGTAGGCATTCAATAAATATTTGCTCAATGGGTGAATTAATCTTCTTTGCTGACACAGCATGAGGGAATAAGCTTAAGCTATGGCAAGAAGGATTAGCTCAGAGCTAGCTCTGGAGCTGGACTGCCTGGTATTAAATCCTGGTTTTGCAATTTGCTTCCTATGAGACCTTAGGCAAATATCTTTCTCCTGCCTCATTTATAGTTCGAAATGGCAATAATAGTAGTACCTACTCCCTGATTGTTTTGAGGAGTGAATGAGATAGTACACAGAAAACACTTAAGGCTGGTACGGTGGTTCACACCTGTAATTCCAGCACTTTGGGAGGCCAAGGCAAGTAGGTCGCTTGAGCCCAGGGGTTTGAGACCAGCCTGGGCAACATAATGAAACTGTCTCTACAAAAACAAAACAAAACAAAACCACACACTTAAAACAGTCTCTGGCAAATATAAATGCTCAATAAATATTAGGTAACTACAGTTTGCTTGCAGATTGTGGGTAACCAAGGGAGAAGTTTTAATTTTGTCTTTTGTAAAATAGAGGAAAGGTTCTATGCCTTACACTTATCCTAGGAGGCAACTTTGAGAGTTAAGACAAAAATAATTTTCTAACTGCAGTATAACTGTTAAGAAAAGTTTTGGCTATGCCTAGAGATAGTGACCTTATAACTAGAGACAATGAGCTTGTTGAAGGAATCAGGACATAAACCATGGAGACCTTTGGCAGTGGAGAACTGATCTTAAAGCATGTAGGACCAAAAGATATTAAGTGGACATCCCAATAGCAGTCTATTTTAGTGAGGAAAAAACTCCAGAGGTCTAGCATGTCACACTTGAGTCAGTTCATGGACTCAGAGCCTGTCCAAAGAAGAAGAGTTCAGGTGAAATACAACGGTTGGAAGAGGACAAACTTTGCAGCCAGAATGCCTAAGCTTCAATCCCAGGTAATTCATGACTTGCCATATAACTTGGGCAAGTTACTTAACCTCTCTGGGTTCCAGCTTATCTGTAACATGGGAATCATAATAGGACACCAGTTTTCCAGCGTTATTACAAGGGATGAATGTATAATAGTACATGGTAACACTGTGTATGTGTTAGGTATAATTAAAATGATTGAAAATTGTCACCTCTAGCCATGGAAAAGTGGCTATCCATTTTTCTTAAAAGGGAGATAATCTGAAATAAGAGCCTCTATAAAATAATAGAAAGTTGTCAATATTTTCACTCCTTAGTCAAGGACCTAGAAAGGCCAAAATTGTAAGGGTGGTGGCATGGATATTCAAGGAAGAGGTGTAAGGAGAAATCCTTCTGAAGGGGCGCAGAGTGTGTGAGTGCCACCATAAGGCCCCATAGGGAGCTGGAGCTTAGCACTCAGATCGACCAGATGACCCTCACTAGGATGTCATTCCGCCTCCTTCTTTGCTTTCCAAAAACCTACTGTACTAGGAGCAATTCTGCCTGCTGAGCTTAATCAGACAAGATTCATTAGTGCTTCCAATGAAGAGGTCCAACTAATAATGCAGACTCCCGAGACCCAGTAAGCTAGAAGATCTGGGGAGAGGGCCCAGTAAGCTTGATTTCTGGAAGCATCCCAAGTGATTTTTACACATCCTGAAATTTGAGAACACTGCCATTGTTGGACTCTGAGACCCCTTGCAACTCTGACAGTCTCTGATTCTGTGGTTGTCTGGTTGGATAAACTCCTGAGATCATCCCATGTTGTCAGATCCAATGGACACAGTTTCCAGAGGCTGAAGCCATCCCTCAGATGTGGAGATGACAGGACAGCAGATACCCCAGAGCCCTCGTCCCATCCCTCTCCCCATGCCCATACACACTCCCATCTGGCATAGGTGTATCACCTGGGTCTGGGGTCAAGGGAGCTGGCACCCTCTCTCCTGGTAAAAGTAACCTTTCCTTTTCCAGGAGCCCTAACTACCTCGTAGAGGGAAAAATATCATAACATCTCACTGCCCTTCACGAGCATGTGAATTTCCAGCAAAAGATAAGCATGGTATTACTGAATATGTGATTTGGGTCTCCCATTTAAAACAAGAGGCAACAACTTCCCTTCCTTCCCAGAATGGGACGGAGAAATAAATTATGACCTAAAACATCCAAGTTGTTTCTAGAATCACCATCAGCATTTATAGTAAGAGAGCAAAATATTTGTACCTCCCTGTGATGGCAGCACATTGGCAGGCTTCCTTCTGGCTATGAAAATGTGCTTGCTTGGATTTGCTGAGTGCTCCCAGGCAACCCTGGACATGGTCGTGGCCCCCTGGTGTAGAGGAGTCAGGCCACAGGCTAGCAGGAGCTGGATAGAGCACTCTGAAGGCCTATTTGTGGGGAACATCAGCAGCTGTGCGGAAATGGAGGTGAGCAGAGAGGAGGGGAAATCTTTCTCAGGCAGAGCAGCAGATGGGGGAGTGGGAGCCTCCTCCTGCCTCCACCACGACAAAACCTTATCTCTGGTTTCCCTGCCTCAGCTCTCCGACATGCCATTCTCACCAGTCTTCCTAAAATACCACTTTCATTATGTTAATTCCCCTCTGCTTTATTTTCCATTTTTTAGAGATGGGGTCTCCCTCTGTCACCCAGACTAGAGTACAGTCACCCTATCACAGCTCACTGCAGCCTTGATCTCCTGGGCACAAGAGATCCTCCCATCCCTTGCACTAGCTGGCACAACAGGTGCAAGCCACCATGCTTGACTAAGTTTTCTACTTTTTAGAGAGATAGGGTCTTGCTATGTTGCCCAGGTCAGTGTCAATCTTCTGGCCTCAAGCTATCCTCCTGCCCCAGCCTCCCAAAGCATTGGGATTACAGGCGTGAGCTACCACATCTGGCCTTAATTCTCATGAGAGCTCCACAGCTGTCTTCACCTAAAGTATAGCATCGGTTCAAAATTCCTCAGTTTGTTCAAAGCCTACCACAGCCTGCCTCAACTTGACTTCCCAAATTTGGCTCACAAAATTCCCACAAACAGTCTCACATGCTTGCCAACCTTCTGCTCAAGCAACAACAGCCCCTCCCTCTCTTCCCAGTGTGTTTCCCGTCTACTCCTCACCAGGCTTCTGCAGCTGTGATTTCTCCTTCCTGCTACCCAGCTCTACCCCCTCTGCCCAGGCCCCTCCTCTCCACCTATGCAAAAGCTTCATTGCTCTGCCTGGACAATCCACCAATACAGATTTCTGCTCCTCTGTGTCCAGCCTTGACTGGCTGGCTGGGTGGAAAGAGACACAGTCTGGAGTCAGAGAACATGCGTTCGAACCCAGCTCTGCCGGCTACTAGCTGTGTGGTTTGAGGCACATCATCATCCTCTCTGAATGTCAGTAGCTCTACAACCTGGCACACCATTCCAGGGACTGGGAATAATGCATATAAAGTGTCTACCATGATGCACGGCACACAGTAGGTGCTCAGCAAGTGGTAGCTAGCAGTGCCAGTCATACCCACTACCTGGAATTCTTAAATCTCTTCATCTGTGTAGGGACTGACTCCCCAGTTTGACTCTTGGTATTTCACTGTGTCCTCCCTTCCCTATAGTATTTTGCTCACTTCTCCTTCTTAGAAGGGGCTCACAAGATATTTTCTGGGGTCTCTAGGTGTTTGTGCTACAAGTTCACTAGATTTTCTTAAGTAGAAAAATGGATAGTGATGAGGCCTGAGACCTGCTTTGTACTCAGTTGACAAGCCAGCTTCACAGAGTTCACAGACGAATCCGAATAACAGCCTTAGGATGAAGTCAGTGTGCACATCTGCAAGGGGAACCCCCGGAGAGTTTCAGTCCTGATCCGAAAGCCAAAGCTTTCTCCACCGAGCTGCCTGAGAACACCAGCAGCTTGCTAAAGAAACCACTTGGTTGTCAAAACATATCCCAGCTTCTCCTGTCAGAGGGTGTCAGCCAACATCTTGGAGAATGGCAGAGAAGCAAGCTCTTGGGAGTTCAGTGCTGATAAATGACTTGTAAATGTCACGTAGGCCCAAGGGATGAATGCCAGTGTAGATGGAAGTTACCTCTCTTTCAAAGCAATGGAAAAATTGTGAAACCTCCAGCTTTCTTGTATAAGCTCATGGGCCGTATTTTTAAACTTATCAACAGTAAAAATGACTATAAATCTACTTACCCTTATCCTACCACAATAATAATACCTCCCCTGCACTGGAAACAATTTTCTATGCCTTTTTCTGTCCTCAAGACCCATAATCTCATTACTCCCTTTACTCCATCCAGGTAAACCTCCTCTCTGTTCTGATTGACTCAGCCAGTCCACTAACAAGTGTTTATCACGTTCCCCTGCATGTGCGGAACCTGGTAGGCAACTAAGAAAGTCTACAGAAGAAAATGTGGCCTCTGTCCACAAGGAGCCACTTACAATCTAGTGGTTTTGTCAGATCTGCACCATCCCAAAACCAACTTCTAGTGACTTTCTTTCATCTAGTAATGAGTTAGTCAACAAGTACTTATTACGCACCACTGTGTGCCTGGAATACACAGGGTGAATGAGCCAGGCAAGGTCCTGGTTCTCATGGAGCTTGCATCTTAGTAGGAGGATGAGGCAATATGCAAGTAAATAAAGAATACAAATTCAGAGAACAGTAAGTGCTATGAAGAAAGTAGGGTAATGAGATAGGGGGTGATGGGGTTGCAGGACGTGGAGGCCAGAGAAAGTCTTTCTGAAGAGGTGGCATCAACAGCCTGTCAAAAGTGGTGAGATAGAAGAGAAGAGACAAACTCCCTTCAGGAGAGGGCCTGCCCATAGACCCTGCAGAAACTCAAAGGACATGGGGATGAACACAGGGCTCCTGCCTCTGAAACTTTCTGTGTCTCTGGGTCAAGGGCTATACTTTATTCACAGCACCTGATACATAGTAGATGGTGAATGATGAATGATACTGATGAGTAGCATTACTCACAATTTTCTATATACCAAGCAATGTCCTTGCCGTGCACTATTCCTTTAATTCTCATCACCACCGTGTGAGGAAGGTGCTATCATCCCTACGTGACAGATACAAACAGATATTCACAGAAAAGGAGAAGCAGAGCCTGGATTCAAATCCAAGCACTGTATTTCCAAACCACCTGGTCTCAACTCCTATGCTGTACTGTGTTCCTTCTACTTGATCTTAGGTCTCATAAGTTTCTAGGAGGGATACAGAGGTGAAAGTTATTTCAGGCCTTGGGTTGTTGGAATCTGTATGTTAAATTTTATCTGGTATGTCACTATACCCAAATGTTCACACTTTTTTTTTTTTAACTTAGAGTTGGGTTCTCCCATCACTCAAGCTGGAGTGCGGTGGTGTGATCATGGCTCACTGCCATCTTGAATCCCTGGGCTCAAGTGATCCTCCCACCTCAGCCTTCTGAGTAGCTAGAGATACAGGCATGCAACACCACACCTGGCTGATTTGTTTGTTTGTAGAAATGGAATCACACTATGCTGCCCAGGCTGGTCTCAAACTCCTGGTCTCCTGCGATCCTCCCACTTCAGCCTCCCAAAGCTGTGGGATTGCAGGTGTGAGCCACTATGCCCAGCCCCTCATGTTCACACTTTCTTCATTATCCAATCAAATATGGTTACCTGTCTCAGAAAAGAGCCAGTCCCTGGAGGATTTAATTTCTGAGGTTGGGCAAATCAAGCAGTGAAAGAAATAGCACTTGCTATTCTGTGTAGCTCATCTGGAGAGAAACTTGTGAACTGGCAGATTTTTAAAATGGTTTCTTAATCATTATAAGTTCATTTTATTATTGACAAATGCTGTACACTGTGCTGCGGTGAGCAGGAATAAGCCCAGTTCTCAGATCCATGTTGGAAATGAAGCTCATGCTGAGATGAGGTGAGAGGGCACCATTGCATTCAGGGCCCTACAAGTCCTGTTCAGGACAGCTCTATTCCCACTGCACAGCACAAAAGGGTCCCCTCACAGACCTGGATGTCCTCACCTCTGTGCCTTCGCTCAAGCTGATTTCTTCTCAAGGACTTCCCTCTGCATTTCCCCAGCTGTGCGGACCTCCTCCATCCCTCCACACCCATCTCAGACACAGCATCCTCCATGGGAAAGGCTCTTTTGAGGGCACCCCCCATACCTGACCCTTGCCCACTCCTGAGGACCCAAACTCTGCTGTCACCCAAACTGATTTCTATATCAGTTTTGGTTATGTGTGCACTTAGTCTGTGCTGTTTAGTAGACTGTGGGCAAATAATTCCCTCTCATTCAACTTTTTATGTCTTACAGCTGTAGTGCAGCACCCGTGATAAACAGTGTTGAACTAAATCTGATGGTGTTCCCATTTTGAAGGGGCAGAGCTTGCTCTAGGCTTTCTCCTGTACCTTTATATAATAATAACAACAACTGGCCTCTACTGAGGGCTTCCTTTCTGACAAACATCTATGTCGTTTATTACATTTGTCCCATGACAACGCTAAAAGAAGGCCGTATTATTTTCTCTACTTCATAGTTGCACAAAACTATTTTATAGCAGGCTGCTTAGAAAGGTATCACCTGCATTTGGTCACATAGCTAATAAATGACAAATCGAGATTCGAACTCAGACCTACCTGCCTCCAAGCCTCACTCACCTAACTAAAATGCTGGACTGACTCCATGCCGCTTCCTGCACCAGCCCCGAGGCTCCTCCTTACGTCTTCCCAATTCTCTCTTCCACCTCGGCCCCTTTTCCCAGCTTTCTGTCCTCTCCCTCCTGGGGCACAGCTCACTCTGCAGCTGCTCTCTGGAAGCCCTGTTTTCTACTTCCCCAAATTCCTTATCCCCCTCTGTTGTCCAGCATTCACTTCCAAGCTCTCCTTGCCTCGCTTTCCCCAGCTTAAACTCCCATTTCCCAGACTGTCAGATTATAGTTAGTTGCATTTGATTTAACTAATTCACACTAAAGTGTGAGTGACAATTAGCCCCTTAAAGTTCAATGGGAACTTGTCATTTGAAAAGAGGATATTAGTCATCTCCAAAAACAGAATTTGAATGTCTTCCCAACGAGAATTCCAAAATGTTTGAAGCAATGGCAACATTTTCTAATCACCTTCTCCAAGACGACCTTCTCCAAGTTGACTCATTTGAACATTTATTTATTTATATGCCTGAAAGTCCATAAACATAGATTTGCTTAAAAAGTATAATAAATTTATGGTTTCTTCACATGCTTTTTATGATACAATTCAATTGTCTCATTAATGTTCATTTTTCAAAAGGACCATATCATTGTTCCCATTTCAGGCCAGTCTCTTTTGTCTCAGAAATGTAGTGTTCACACTAAATCACCTCTGCAGCCTATAGCCTAAGGGTGGCCATGCCCAGCATCAGTGATGGGTGATCACTAATCAACAGCAGAGATCATTTAATCCTCAGCTTTGCCTTCTCAGTGTTTTCTTAGAAAAGAGCCAACCAACCAGACCCCTCTGCAGGTGGCATCAGAGCAGCCTCCTTCAAAGTTGCAGAACAGTGGCCGGGTGCGGTGGCTCACACCTGTAATCCCAGCATTTTGGGAGGCCAAGGCGGGAGGATCACATGGGGTCAGGAGTTCAAAACCAGCCTGGCCAACATGGTGAAACCCTGTCTCTACTAAAAATACAAAAATTAGCCAGGCATGGTGGCGGGTGCCTGTAATCCCAGTTACTCAGGAGGCTGAGGCAGGAGAATCACTTGAACCCAGGAGACAGAGGTTGCAGTGAACCAAGATCATACCACTGCACTCCAGCCAGGGTGACAGAGCAAGACTCCATCTCAAACAAAAAAACAAAACACACACACACACACACACACACACACACACACACAAAGCTGCAGAACAAAGGCCTCTGTGTGGCTCTGGGAAATTGCAAGCTCCACACAGACTTAGGTCTGCCCTGGTGGCCACCAGCTGTCAACATCTGGAACCTATTTCTCACTCCAAAAAGCCACCCAGACAGAACTGACTTTACCCATGATTGGGCCCAGTGATGTGGCCAAGAGAGCTCAGTGGAGGGACCCCTTGTTGATTGCAGGGGATTGGGGATGTTGGGTGAGGCCTGATTGGACCTCAGTAAACCTGGGCACCAGCTAAACAGAGTATCAAAATTTTTTGAAATAACTTGACATTTGATATTTTAATAAAAGCACTAAGGGAAATACTAGAACTTTCAGGGATTTTCTTAATTCACGTTTTGGTTGGTATTGTTCTTATTTTTGCACTATGTATGGGGGAGCATGATATTATTTTCAGTGCTTAGGACTTCTACAGATTTACCCAGTCCTGGGCTGAGGATTGGAGAAGTGTATTTTATTGGATTGGAGTTGAGAACCCTAATTAAATGCCGCACACAGCCCCCTAATGTCATATTTATGCTTAAATCTCAGCGTCTAGCATAGCCTCTGGCACATGAAAGCTCAGAATACACGTGGTGGCCTGGTTGACCTTGGCCCTGAAGGCACCACTTGCCGCTGGTATTATTAACTAACCTGACCACCCAGGGCTGCCCCACGAAAATGACAGCAGAGAATAATGGAAAGAGAAACTAATACCACCCTTACTACCCACTACTTCCTCTCGGGTGACCATTTCATTCATCTTCCAAACTGGGACGTTATGGAAGAAGATGGGATGAAGTGTTATAAATAATGAATAAAACTTCATTGTTTCACGCCTGTAATCCCAGCACTTTGGGAGGCCAAGGCGGGCGGATCACGAGGTCAGGAGATGGAGACCATCCTGGCTAACACGGTGAAACCCCGCCTCTACTAAAAATACAAAAAATTAGCTGGGCGTGGTGGGGGGGTGTCTGTAGTCCCAGCTACTGGGGAGGCTGAGGCAGGAGAATGGCATGAACCTGGGAGTCGGAGCTTGCAGTGAGCCAAGGTCCTGCCACTGCACTCCAGCCTGGGCGACAGAGCAAGACTCTGTCTCAAAATAAATAAATAAATAAATAAATAAATAAATAAATAAATTAAATTAAATTAAAAAATTTAAAAAAAAACTTCACTGTTTAACAACATGTATACCTGGTTGTCCTTGGCAGATGAGACACATGGTCACTCTATCTCTCACTGACATTTTTTGTTTTTTACCCAGAATATGAACATGTCCAATATTCTAGGTCTATCCCTCAGCCTATCCTCTCTTTCATTCTCACCTTATAGTTCTGCCTGGTCTCTGAAACACTCCCCTGAATCCCTGTCCATACAGTTCTCTTTCTTTTTAATTCTAGGAGTCCAGCTCACATTAAATGTTATCATCCACCTGGACTGCACACATGGTGAGTCAAGGCAGAGCAAAGGGAACCATCAAACAAAGACCCTGCTCCTGCAGCTTCCTGGATGCCAAGGAGCGTCTGTATCAACTGTTTCACAAACGCATTTGATGTAGGAGGCACATAAGTGATTGTATTTTCAGTCAGAAGAGGAGGCAATGCAGTCCAGAAAGTCTTATTGGGTACCTGCTTGCTGCCACAGCCCAACTCTAGGCACTGGGATATACACGGGAACACGATGAGCTCTGATCTGCTCTCGAGGAAGGGTGAAGAAGTAGAAGTAGAAAAACAACTAACCACAGTTGGGGCAGGATACGTCTGTGATAGAAGTGCCAAAAAAGGAGAAATGGCACTGGACAAGAGGGACTAAGGGTAGTTTCTTTGAGGAGAAGATATATTTGACATCACATAAAGAAGGACTGAGGCGGGTGGATCACCTGAGGTCAGGAGTTCGAGACCAGCCTGACCAATATGGTGAAACCCAGTCTCTACTAAAAATACAAAACAATTAGCCCGGCATGGTGACATTATAATTTGTAATTGGCCTAAGTGATGTCCATTTTAAAAAATGCAAGTGATTGCAGTAATGAAAAGTTTAATCTGCTAGGGAAGAAAGCAAACAAACATGCATTGGTGTCTCATGTGCATTCCCTGTAATTGGCATGGATTACTGAGAGCTACAATTCAGGTTGTAGTAATCTCAGTTGTTTATAAAACATGCCTAAGGGGCAGCTGTTTGGACTCTGGAGCAAAGCTGCTGTATAAATCTTCAGTTTTATAACGGCAGCGATTTGGAAATTTATAATAAACATTACAATTGCAATAGGGTCACATTATTCAGAAATTCCTAAGAGTAGGTCTTATATTGGAACACAATTCACAGGATTACCAAATAATAAAGCTGAAGGCTCCTAAAAGTAGCCTGGTTCCAGAAGACCAATTACTACAAAACCGAAGACGTAAAAAAAAAATGGAGCAAAGCTTGTTTTTAAAAAATGTAAACTCAAGATTCAACAGATCACTATTGATCTCTTACTATATTGCAGCAAATGGGCTCAATCTGTGTCAAAGGCCATGAGCCAAGAGGGCCATGGTGAGTGACGAGACAGGATCTGCTGAGCAGGTCAGCTTGCAGCCTAGGTGATAGCCAGTTCAAGGGACAGAGTGACCATCAACATGAGAGGCCTGGGGAGTTGAGAGGAGGGTTCATGGGGCAGGAGGGTTCATGGGGCAGGAGGGTGGGGAAGACCTACAGTAATAAAGACACAGATTTATATGTGACCCTTCTTTCACACTGCTTCTGAAGGTCTCCTCTTTCAGGAATCCTGGCTCAAATAAGTGCGCCAGGCTTAGATCAATCCCCAAAACCATTAAGTGCAATTATATTTCTCTGTGGCATTTATAGCTGGTTCTTTAGATTTTGTCCTTGATTTTTATATGTGTGGCTCCCTATACAGGCAGGTGTAGCATGCCCACATCAGTCAGTGAGTTTCCTGAGGGTAGAATCTGTCTCATTTCTATCCCCACCACACTACCTAGGATTGACGGGCTTGTTCTGAGACTTGAGATCCCTGTAGGAGGCAGAAGTGACATCCTCAGTGCACACAATGTCATGCACAAGAGGTTATAGAAAGCACAATGAGAGGAAGGGGCGCTGAGCAATCCCCTTTGACAGTTAGCGCTGACGTCCAGCTCCTGCACAATTCACATCTCACCACTTCTCCCAAAGGCAGGGCTACAGGAAGGGAAAAATCCCATGCCTACCAGAGAGTTGCTGGAAGGAGGGACTGGTGTGTGCAGGATAAAAGGGGAAACTCCATTGTCTTCCAGAGCACTCCAGTCTGAAACATAAATGAGCATGCTTGTAAGGGTCCAAATCAAGTTCCCCATCCAGGTGTAAGTGAAGCTTTCCTTGTGAATTTCTGAGAAATGGCATTTTTTGCACACAGATGTTTGGTTTTCCTGATGCTCTCTTCTTGGCCCCACCACATCCTCTCTCAGATTTTTCGGTTCCTGTTCCTGGTCTTAGAATAGTTTTGAGGAACTCTGGGCCTCTAGGACTCCTTGCTCCCTCTGCACCCCTCTCCTCACCTTGGGACCTGCCTCCTCCAGGATCCCCAGGTTGTTTGTATCTGCTTTTTGGCACATACCCAGAATCCACTGGGGTGTGCTGCTGGCTGGTGAAACAAGCCAGGGGCATCTGAGGGCCTTTGCCTGCCCCCTCAAATTAAAGAAAAAAATCAGATTTCAGCCTGCTGCTTGCCTTTCGGCAGAAACTTATGCTGTGCCTCCCTCAGTGAAGTGGTCCAGCTGCATCTCTTTGGATTTGCTGCCTGCAGGGGCAGGGCTATCTTCCTGCTTCTTGATGGTGAGTGGCCAGGGCTGGCCCTGGGATTGAAAATCCTGCCCAAAGCACTCCAGGTACTTGGCTTTCCTCAGCTCCCAGCTCTGTCTGAGGTCTCCACCCTCTGCTTCTCCAAGAAAATTGAGGCTCCCCACAAAAGTCCCTGTAGTTCCAGCACCACTGCTCCCAACTCATTGTCTCTTTTTATGTCTTCTTTTGCTTCGCTCAAATGTCTCCTCTTCTGTAGCCATGCATCTCTCTAAGTAGCACATCTGTCCCCCAAATGTAACTGACATTGCTCATTTCCTCAATTTGAAAATTATCTCTTCATGCTTACTTAATTGTTGATCCTCCCCACTAGACTGGAAATCCAATCAGGGAAGACCTCTTGCTAGTTATTCTCAGAGTCTAGCACGGTGCCTGCCTCATAGTAAATATCTGTTAAATGACTTGAACAAATGAATGAATGATAGTACTAAGTACGCTGGAATTGCAATGCTTCCATTTTCCCCCCTAGATAGTGAGATGCTTCTTTGGGGGGCCCTGTTCATTGCTATGCCACATTTCCATTGCCTATACTGCCTTGAAATTTGAAATAAACACAAGTTGAAATTAGTAACATCAAATCAGAGGAGGCAAATCAGGGCTTCAAAGGCAGCTTGGATACAGATAAACTGACATGGCAGGGATGTGCCTCAGGAAGGAGTGTAGGTAGGGCAGCTGAATGAGAACTGGGAGGCTTTCATGCAGAAGACATGGAGTGGAATTACTGGGAGGAATCAAGCCTAGGAGTCAGGGAAAACAATGCCAATCCTGCCTTAATTGGAGGCGGGACCTTGGGTGAGTTACCTCTTCTCTCTGAGCCTTGCTTTGTTCATCTGTGAAACGAACAGGACAGACCAGATTATTTGTAAGGTTCCTTCTAGTGGAAACATCCCTTGGAGGAAAATTTGATGCTAGAAAATAAATGACAAGTAAAAGAGAAGGTAACAGGCATCTTCCTCTGTCTGGAGGTCTGTGGTCTGGAGTTGAGTCACTCCAGGCTGGGCTACCCTGGCCCCAGACCCATGCACACTGCTACATGAGTAGACACTGCTATACCTGTGCGTACCATACACACACCATGTGCACACAGAGGCCACCCGGCCCAGGGCTTACCTGTATAGCCAGAGAAGAACCAGCTAAGGAGGGTGGGGCAGGTGAAATGCCCCCTCCAGAAAAAGTCTAAGGCCAGCAGGAGAAAGAGGCCTATGCTCTGGTGGTGGGGGTCCACTTCCACCAACAGCTCAGCGAAAAACACACTGGCCAGAGTCATAGGCAGAATTCCCAGTTTGGCATCTTATTTCTCTTCCCTGAAAATAGAGCAGTCTGTCCCACAGACACATAGAAAAAAAAATCTAAATTTTATGAGGCGGTAGAAGCAAGCTAAATCTTTCTTCCCAGGTCTACCGTGGGCTAGGAAATGCCAGCATGCGACCTCCTCCCCAAACCAAAGATTGGCATTTGCAATAAACGCAAGTTGAACTGAGCAAAGTCAGATCAGGGGAGACAGATCAGGGCTTCGCAGGCATGACTGGATACCCAGGAGGCAGCCTCTGTGTGACTGATTAACTGGTGAACTGACGTGACAGGGATGTACAGCTCTGGAGCTGAGGCTAAGTGTTCACATTTTTAAAAGATTACATTGTATATGGTTATATAAGTAGCTACACAATAGCCTCAATTTTGCCTCTTGGCCTACAAAGCCTAGAATATTTACTTTCTGGCTCTTTCAGAAATGTTGCCAACCCCTCCCCTGAACAATTGCCGCATCCCCCAGCTACTGGTAAAATTGGAGCTCCTACTACAGTCACCGATCTTGAACTCTGGACTCTATCCCAGAAGACAGTGATGGGGACACAGCAGCGATTCTCCTCAGAGCCACTGCCCTCCCTGTCCTCATCCGGCATGCCCTCCTTTCTTCCCAGCCTCACTGCAGGGCCTGCAGCAGCTTTTCTCTTCTACACTCACCCTCACTGATTCTCTCACTCCCACTTCTGTTCCACATAGCTCCATTTTGGAACCCCCTTCAAGGTACATGGACACACATTATCTTGCATGACTTGCTTTTGCTTTATACCTGTGAGACTTCAGCTATATGAAGGCAGGAATCACATCCTAATATTTTTCCCAGTATGTCCTTCCACACGCAGGAGAGTGCTGGGCCCAGAGTAGCTGCTGAGTAGATCTGTGCCACTGAGGTCAAACAAGAGAAGAACGCTTGTTCCTCACCCAGGGTCAATATCCACTGTGCACAAATCTGCCACTTCTGGAGGGGACTTGAAGAAAGGTGTCCCTGCACCAAGAGAAACACTCTGTGTCATGCTAAGCCTGGGAGTGCTTTCATCATTCACGCGAAAATAACACAAATCCCAACTCTCTGGAAAAACTCCGCCAGGGCTCCTTGTCTGTTTCATTCTCTCACCTAGGGGACGTCCCCAGCAGGGCAAGATGAGGAACTGAGACTTTTTTTTTTTTTTTTTTTTTTTTTGAGACGGAGTCTCGCTCTGTCGCCCAGGCCAGACTGCGGACTGCAGTGGCGCGATCTCGGCTCACTGCAAGCTCCTCTTCCCGGGTTCACGCCATTCTCCTGCCTCAGCCTCCCGAGTAGCTGGGACTACAGGCGCCCGCCACCGCGCCCGGCTAATTTTTTGTATTTTTAGTAGAGACGGGGTTTCACCTTGTTAGCCAGGATGGTCTCGGTCTCCTGACCTCATGATCCACCCGCCTCGGCCTCCCAAAGTGCTGGGATTACAGGCGTGGGCCACCGCGCCCGGCCGGAACTGAGACTTTTAAAGCATGTGAATTTTTTTTTTCCTGAACCTGTAATTATCTAAGGTTTAGCAAGCATTTAGGGCAGGAGAAGAAAAAAAGTGGGCAGTAAAGAAGAAGGAGCCAGATGTTTTGCTGTCCTTACACCCAACTGCAGCCTGCTTTCTGGGCCTTGGTTGCCAAAGCTGGTAGATTATAAACTCAGGAGTGGTCTCCTCCCATGGGAACCAAGAAGAAACATCTGGATAAAAGGCTTGGCAGAGGCTCCTTGATTTAATCTCCTCAGGAAGGTAAAGGCTATGGAAATCATAACAGCAGAGAAGCTGGGGAGGGTGGGAGGGGACAGGAAAGGGCTCTTTACCTCAGGTAGCCTGGGGAAGAGTCTTGACTCTCAGAGCCCTTCCCTGCTAATTACATCAAAAGGCAAAGCAGGTTGGCTGGAGTGCAATAGTGGAGGCTGTTTCCAGAATCACAGAAACAGGTGCACTGAGAATATGGCGAGACGGAAATACTCTGAACTGCCTAGTGGGTGCCCCCCCAACCAGTGCTCCAGGACAGATCTCACACATCACTGGTCCCCAGGACTGAAGGCTACAACAGGGAACTGAGATGCTGGACTCCAGGGTTCCCTCTGGAATCACTCTGGTCCCTTTTGGAAACCCGCTTCACAATATCCTCCCCCCAAAAAAAAAATTACAGGGAGCCTCACTCTCTCACTCCCTCCTCTCTATCCTTGAGGATTTCTACAAGATTATGCCCGTTTACTGGACATTTTAAAGATGCAGTCCATTCTAATTGAACCAACATCTTGTCAGGCACCTGGACACATGGAAGCCTGGACATGGAAGCCTGGGGGGCTTCTCTCTCGGTATTTGCTTGAGCCTAAAGGAATAAACCTTCAGGTCAAAGGTGGTGACATCGCTTGTTTTTAAGGAAAGCTGGAGCCCTAAGGGTGATTTCCCCGTCCCAATCACTAGGTGTGTGCTAAACTGCAAACATTAGCTTTAAAGGCAGAGAGGGCTTGGAGGTGAGACCGTGTACAGTTGAGCTCTGGCAAGATGCCCTGCTTTTAGGCAGATTGTAAATTATAAATAAATAAAGTGTCTCTGTTCTTCTTCCTTTGCCTTAGCATGCAATGAAAATCAACAGAGCCCTGTCTGCACAATCCTTCTGTTTCCTCCTCAGATTTGGTGTTAAAAGCTTCTGGCTAGAAATGACTTTGGGCACTCGCAGACCCCGGCTTTCCTTACCGTGCTGGCCATTTTATTTAAACCCACAATTCCCAGGCATTGACTTATAGATCTCCTCTCACCCACAGGGAGACCTGACCACACCCTGAGAACTAGCCGTGAAGCCCACTGTTGTCCTGGGGGAGGTGTGATTCCAGCCCACCAGCCCACCCTGGTGAGGATGTAAAACAGCCCCAGCTTTGGATCATTCAGCAGAAAAAGCAACAGCAGGAATCCGTGGGGCTCCGGATTCCTATCAGCAGATAGCTAATCCCAGAGAGAAATGCTAGCTAGTGTTATGCCAACTGCAATGTTTTGCCGCAGCCTTCCAGTGACAAGGGAACAAGGAGATTTGTTCTGAGTTTAGGGATTACTTGGGGGCAAGGCCACAATCTGCAGAAAACAGCTCTTAATGTGAACAAGCAAATCCTTCCATTTGGCCTCTCACTGTTGCTGTTGCCATAAAGACATTACGTGCTCCTCTGCCATGCCAAGAGGGCAGTGAACAACCGGTGCAGGTCCCTCTGTGACTCGCACACTGGGGCTGCCAGGACTGCTTCATGTCTGTGAGAATCAGGCTTGCTTTTCTCAGAGCTGCTGAGAGCCACCCTGAGGAGGGCTGAAAACCTGCAAACAAAGGAATGAAAGCCAGTGCCGGGAGACCCAATAAGACTGTCAGGGGTCTGATCCCCTTTTTCCTTTAAGTGCCCTCCCTACTCCAGGCTGACCATAAGGGCTGATACTACTGCTTCAGAGAGCATCTCACAGGGGCGTCCGTGCCATAAACAGCCTGGACAAAATTCACCCACCATTGTCTATGAGGCACCAAGGGGTGCACTGAAAAGACGTCGCCAAGCAAATCATGAGCTTTTCAGATTTCCTCTAACCCCAGTCAATGCGTTTGCTCTGATGTCAAAACCAGAAACAGCCAGTGACAGACTATTTTTAAAAATTTCAGAAAATGTATCAGCTGCAGAAAAACTAACACTTGCCTCAACAAGGTAACCTTTTATTTCCTGGGATAAAAATAAAGACAATAAATTATCAGAAGTATTCCTCCAATATCATTAAAATGCTTTTTGAAGAAAGTTACAAGAATTGTTTAAGGCGCACAGAAAAAGTCAGATTTGCCTTTCTTCAAGAACATACTCTGCCCTAGACACAAAGCACCAATACCACATCCCAGAAAAGACAGAGGCTTGGAGACACAGGAAACAGAACAGCCCATACCAAGATCTCTGACTCTAATATAAGTAACACAGAAAAACATCAGGACAACTCTTTCTTCCATAAATACAACATGTATCTTGAAAATATACCCAAAATATCTCTATCTGAACTACAGTACAAAAAGCCACTTACCAGGCATAAAAATAATATTTTCCCCTATACACAAATACAATCATATGTAAAGCAAATTTGGAACACATGGATGGAGGAGTTACATAATCTCTTGGGATCTGGGCTATTTAGAGTCATTTTTGTTTGGGTTATCCCTCTGCTGGGTATAGGAGACTGGCTACAAATACATCCATCTCACAGCGCTCACCATTTCCACAGCTCCTGCGTCATGGAATGTGGTACTTTTTAAAAATAGGCGACCCTTGGGTGTCATGGAAAGAATAGAGAAAATGGGGGGATCGAGGGAGGGAGGAAAGGAGTGAAAGGAGAGGGGTAGACTGAGGTTACAGTGTGACTTCAAATACTCTGCGGTATAATGTAGATATCCATGTTCAGCAAGCCTCCCATTCCCTACTCCACTGCCACCAGTCTGCCTGAATCTCCTTTCACAAATCTGTTTCCCGGCTGGTGTCCAGGCAGAGGGCATAAAGGGACCTCCGCAAGTCCACGTTGCTCTTGGCCTTGACGTTACACTTCTCTAGGGGGCAGCTGCCCCTTCGGGCACTGTCTGCATTCTCCAGGGTCCCCCCAGCCTTGCAGAAGGATCCCCTGCTCCCGCTGACCTTCCGCTGGACTCCTCTGTCCAGCCCCGGCCCCTGGCTCTGAGTGCCCTGCTCTTCCTTAAGGACTGCCGGCTCCTCGTGATCCGTTTCCCGGTGGTAGAAGTAGTTGAAGTTGGAGACGATGACGGGCACAGGCAGGGCAATGGTGAGGACCCCGGCGATGGCACACAGCGAGCCCACGATCTTGCCCCCAACAGTGATGGGCCTCATGTCCCCGTAGCCCACAGTGGTCATGGTGACCACTGCCCACCAGAAGGCGTCAGGGATGCTAGAGAAATGGGTTCCCTGGTTGTCAGCCTCTGCGAAGTAGACGGCACTGGAGAAGAGGATGACCCCGATGAAGAGGAAGAAGATGAGCAGCCCCAGCTCCCTCATGGAGGCCTGCAAGGTCTTGCCCAGGATCTGCAGCCCCTTGGAGTGGCGGGAGAGCTTGAAGATGCGGAACACCCGGACCAGGCGGATGACTCGGAGGATGGCCAGGGACATGGCCTGCTGCCCATTCTGGCCGCCTCCTCCACCCCCTGGCTGCTGCTCTGCCAGTTCGGTGCCCAGGGTGATGAAGTAGGGGAAGATGGCCACCACATCGATGATGTTCATGATGTTCCGGGAGAACCCTGCCTTGCTGGGGCAGGCGAAGAAGCGCACGAGCAGCTCGAAGGTGAACCAGATGACGCACGTGGTCTCCACGATGAAGAAGGGGTCGGCCAGGGTCCTGGGCAGGAGCGGTGCCACCGTAGGGCCAGAGGGCGGGGCCATGACCCCGCTGCCGTTGGCCCCAGGGGCGGGCGCGGGAGGCTGGTGGGGCGCCGGAGGGTGGCGGAGCAGCTCACGTTCATCCCTGAACTCAGGCAGGGTCTCCAAGCAGAAGGTGATGATGGAGATGAGGATAACCAAGACCGAGACGATGGCGATGGCCCGCGCGGACCCAGAGCTCTCCGGATACTCGAAGATAAGCCACACCTGGCGCTGGAACTCGTTGCGGGGCAGGGGCTTCTCCTCTTCTTTAATGAAGCCCTCATCCTCGCGGAAGCGCTCCATGGCCTCGTCCCCCAGCTGGTAGAAGCGTATCTCGTCCGCGAACACGTCCAGGGAGACGTTGACCGGCCTCCGCAGGCGGCCCCCGGACTGGTAGTAGTAGAGGATACCGTCGAAGCTGGGCCGGTTGCGGTCGAAGAAGTACTCGTTCCTCAGGGGGTCGAAGTAGCGCAGGCGCTTGGCGGGGTCCCCCAGGAGTGTGTTGGGGAACTGCGCCAGGGTGCCCAGCTGCGTCTCAAAGCGCAGCCCGGAGATGTTGATGTGGACGCGCTGGTGGTGCAGGGACGCCGTGCCCAGAGCCTGGTCCTCCACCGTGCCCAGGCCGGGATCGCCTTCTTCCTCCTCGTCCTCGGGAGGCGGCCGTCGAGGCCGTGGCAGCTCCTCTGGCAGCGGAGGCAAGGGCCGCACTCCCGGGTCCGGCAGCGGAGGCAAGGGCCGCACTCCCGAGTCCGCGTCTCTCTGCGCGCCGCGCCCCTTTGGCGCCGGCTCCTTGGGCCCATCGCTGAGCCCAGCCGTCGGGGGACACTGGAGCTCTCCCCCTGTGGCCTGGCCGCAGCCTGCCCGGGCCTCATCGCCTCCTCTGACGGTCATGGCACCGCCGTTCTCCAGGGGCACCAGGGCGATCTCCATGGCGCGGGAGCAGAGGGCATGCTGCGCCCCAGCTGACCGGCTCCCGCGCCCCCTACTCACGCTCCGCGGGCGCCTGGCGTCAGGCTCCGCTCCAGCGGTCGGCCGGCCCCTCTCTGGGGAGAGCTGGGGTTGCTGGCGCGATCCCCTCGCTTGGCCCTGACGTCAAGAAGCCGCTGCCCTGCTCTCTGCCTCTCTCTCTTCTGGCAGCCCGTTACCAAGCAGCCGAAAAGCCTCCTTCCAGCAGATGCAACCTTCAGCCGCCCCTCTCTGGCTGCGCCGCGCTTGGCCTCCACCCTCGGCGCCTCCCCCGCCTTCCCCTCCTCTCCCCCTCCTCCCGCTTCCCCTCCCGGGTCTCGTGGCAGCGGGTGTCTCCCCGGAGGGCGCAGCTGGGGCCCCTAGCAAGGGAAAGGAGGGGCTGAGAAGGGTGCAGCCCAGCGGAGGGAGGGAAGGAGTGGGGAGGATGGAGGAACAGGTTGTACCGACAGCGCTGAAATTCCCAGGGCAACCAGATGAGAATAGCTCTGGATTTCAGTTCACCTGGGAACCCGCTGGAAGCCGAGTGGACTCCAGGAGGAACGAAGTGCCTTGGGCTAAAGGGACGAGGCTTTGAGCTGAGTCGGAGTATGAGAGACAGAGACGGGAGACACCAGTCCTTTTTATTTTGGAGAAATAACGGTATTTCTTTGGGAAGGATTACAGAAGGGAGGGGGGCCACGTAGTTACGGACCTTGAAATACATGTATCAATGGAGAAGCATCTCTCTTCCCGTCTTCCTACAGATCCACAAAAATGTACAAGGGGGTTGGAACCCTGCAGGATTCCCATGCCCTAGCCTGTTTCCAGTACAGACCTGGTGGCAGCCCAGGCAAGCAGCCTAGTCAGGAGATGAGCTGTCTGGTCTCAACCCAGCAGAACCCCTCCACCCGCTCCAACGAATCCCATTTGCAAAAACCACAGCAGGGAAGGGGAGAAGCGATTTTTACAATCCTGGTGAGGGCTAATCCTGCCTGGTGAATCTTGGACCGAGCAACTGCATCTAGGTCCATGAAGGAGACTGAGGGTGGAGGTGGCTTATGAGAGGGAGCCAGGGAGGTTGTCCAATCTCCAAGGCTGGAGCATTCCCAAGAATGGAATAATAACAACCAATACTTACTTGGCTCTCATTATGCACCAGCCCACTCTCAGCACTTTACAAATATTGTCTCTGTGTATTCCTACAGCAACCTATTTTGTAAGTACTATTATCATCACCATTTTATAAATGAAGAAACTGAGGCACAGAGAGATTGACAGACTCACCCAGGCTTATGCAGGTGGAAACTGATGATGCTGGAACTCAAACTCAAACAATCAGAGTTTGGCCCTTGTCCCCTATATTTCACTCCTCTATAGAAATGCATAATCCCTTTTCCTGATACAAGCACTCCCTCACTCCAACATCTGGCCTGAGAACTTTAGTTCCCTGCTGCAGAAGGCAGGATGATGGCTGATATAACATATTAATCTTTCTAGGTTGGGACACTAGGAAATCTTCCCCTGCCCTGTCTCAACCCCTGCAGGGTTTTAGCAGGCATTGGTAACCAAGAGGAATCTGTTTCAAGGTGTGTGTCTGGAACTGCCAGACACAGTCTCCAGAAGTTTCTTGGTTTTAAATTATCATAAAGTGGCTGTGTTTTTGAATGTCTGTTTTCATTGTCTATTTTTGTTTCTGCATATTGCTTCAGATTTATATGCGTGAAGTTAGGACCTCTTGTCAATGAATGTCTCTATCCAAAGGGTGTGATTTGGAAACTTGGTCCTGGGTGCACAAGTGTGTGTTGCAATAGCAGCGCATAGACACACAAACTTGGGTCAAGGTTTGAGAAGTATGTGTGCATATGGCTTTTTAAGAGTTTATATGTGAAGGTGGATGTGAATTTGGTGTGCGTAAGTATTTTCATTCTGTGTGACTGTGCATATTGTTGGCTGTCTTTGCAGACGTGCATGAGTGAGGAAGGGTATGAACATGAAAATCAGTATGTGAAGGCATCACTGGTTAACCACAGGGCCTTGCATCCCCTTTCCCCATATCTGTGCCATCCCTGCTTCATCTCCAGTGGGCTTTCATTCTTCTCTGGCTCTGAGGTTGCCAGTCAGGATCAGGTATTTTTCCTGGGGAGCCTGGGACTTACTGAGCTTGCAGACAGTGAGGTCAGAGACCCATGACAGTCTTGTCTACTGATTCATGCATCTTGTAAATATAAGGATGCTACATTGGTTCACCTGGGTTCTCCTCGGGCTCCCCAGAGGAAAGAATTCTCTGGAGCTTGTCTTTCAGGGGCTTTCTGGGAGATTGTTCCCTGAAGAATAAGAGTACAACATAAACAGTCCAGGAAAAGCACAAAACCCAGGCCTCCTTTAATGTGGTATTTCCTTAAATCTGTTTCCCATGCATTTGCCAGTTCTTATAGGTTTCTGGCAAAATTACCTTCAGATGTCACATGTGGTAGCCATGGAGGTATACTGCTCAAATCTCCCTTAAAGAAAGAATTTGCTTTTCAACTGCCAGAGTGCAGTTAGCTGACAGGCTCCAGCTGTTGGCACTGCCTCAGCTTTAGTGCAGGGGCCACACTCCTTTGGGGTAGCCCTCTGAGCACAGCAGGGTTACAAAGACCTGGCCATTTCTACTCAGTGCAGATTTCCACTAATGGCAATCTTTGCTCTGCATTTCCCCAGCAGATTGGCCAAGACTTTGAAAGATCTACATTCCACTCTGAGACTCTGTCCAACCCCTCTTCCTCCCCTCCTTCCTTTCACAAGTGCCAGATCAGCATCATAATCTGAATGCTTTCCCTAATGAATTCTTCTTCCTATCACTTTTAACTTTCTTTATTATCTCCCAGTAAACCTCTTACACTCCTACCTCGATCTCTGTCTTCTTCCCAGAGCACACATTGTATAACTGAAAGCTGCCTTCTTTACTATCTAATCCTACGAGGTTAACTCTTTTATAGCAGTGCTTAATGTGCACCATTGCCTGAGGATCTTGTTAACATGCAGACTCTGAACCAGGGTAGGGCTTAGAGTGCATTTCACACAGCGCCCAGGTGATACTGATGCACCTGTCTAGAGATCACATTCCCATAAGAATAGATTTTTATCTCTGTGTATGTATGCATGTATGTATCTAGCTATCTAGCTATCGCATCTGCAAATGGTATCTACCACACTATATCTGTCTATCCATCAATCTATCTATCTATTTACCTACCTACCTTTCTAGCTAGCTACTCTCTAGTTACCTATTTATCTATTTATAAATGATAGGTAGGTAGATGAGAGAGAGGGAGAGAGCTAACAGAGAGAGAGAGATATTTTGAACTCAAGGAACATTTTTTATTGATCTTTGATTTTCTTCACAACACCAAACATGGTGCCACGTCCATATTATGCATTTCACTAAATATGTACTGAACGCAATTGAACTAGGGGAAGGAAATTCAGCTGTTGGAGCAGCGAGGGAGGGGAAACCTGGGAATAGGAACTGAAAGGTGGTTTCTGAGATTAGCTAAGTACGCAAAGTGGTTGTAGAGATGGGACCTAACCATCTGAAGACTTATAACCATTTGTTCGGGTTATATACCACTGCATTATCACAGACCACTTCAACTTTGTGGGCAAAAAGCAACAATTTCATATTTTGGACTGTATGGCTTAATTTCTTGTGTTTGAGACCTGAGGTGACTATAGCTCTGTTTATTATATGAGTAACACAAAACAAGGAGACCTGCTGGATTTTCAACTAGGTCAGGGAAAAACTTTCCCCATTGGACAGCATTTAAAGGGACAGAGGGAGGCAGAAAATATGCCACTAGTCTTTCTGTCAGACATTGATTTTACTCCTCTGTGGTGCAGGGAGTTCATAGATGCAGGAAGCCCAATGTGAGGACAGGATCCTAGCAGTGGCCTTGTCTGACACACCCTGCCAGCCAGGTAAAAATACTAGCCAGTCTGTCTGTCCAAGTCTCGGGGCTCAGGATCCCTCTGCTCCTTTCTTTCAAGAGGAAGAGAGGTTGCTGCTGAAAAGACCACATCTCTAAAGCATCCCTAGCCAGCTCTGGCAGGGCTCCACCAGGAAACCCAGGCATGGTCCAGAGAGCTTGAGTAAGAGAAGTGCGCTCGGAGCTGCTTTTCCAGCTTCTTTTTTATTCCTCTGGTAAACCAGTTATTCCAACTTACCCCCATTACACCTGTGCCTGACTTCCCCAAGTTTTCCCTCCATTAAAAAAGAAAATTGAGCAAAACCAGCATTGTATCTTCTCCACAAGGGAGGCTGTCAGCCCCAGATTAGAGAAAACTTGTTTTCTCCAACCTCCCCACCATTCCTTGGCCAGCATCTTTCATCATCTAAAGCATTTAAAGGGACAGAGGGAGGCAAAAATTATGCCAGTAGTCTTTCTGTCAGACATTGATTTTCCTCCTTTGTGGTGCAGGGGGTTCATAGATACAGGAAGCATCTATGTGTTACTCATATAATAAACAGAGCTATAGTCACCTCAGGTCTCAACATGGAGGCATTGGAAGTGGGAAACAAGGGCTCAGGACTTCTTAGGCTGGACCAGCAAGAGCCAAAGAGAAGACAGCTTGGTCAAAATAAACCATACTAAGGCACCTTTCTTTAAAAATAAATAAATACATACATACATAAATAAGGAGAACTTGATTAACAGGTCCTTGGTAGACTGGGTCTTACTGCCAAATATCACAGAGTCTGTAATTCCATGGTACATCACTATTCCATAATGCATGGCAAAGATGGATTGTCAAGCAATAATTGGTAATAGTGTATTAATCAGCAAAAGACTGAAGCTGTCTCTCACCTAATCCTCTATCCTGGATGCATTAGCCTCATAGATCTGCAGAAAAAAAAAACCCAAAAAAACAAAAACACTTTAATGAAGGAGGCAGCTGTTCTTCCCTTCCCTCCCCTTCCCTTCTCACTGGCCCCTCAATCCAACACCTTGGGAAGGAAGCCCTGGAAATGACCTTCCTTTCCTGTTTGATGGGAGTGACAAAGATGGAGTAAAACAAAACACAAAAACAAAACATGCATGCCTGTGCTGGGGACAGGTGGCTGGTCACTTGCATGTTAAGAGATGGAAGCAGGAGGGGGAGGGGGGGCAGGAAGGAGGCGAAGGGTTGCGGGAGAGCAGGAGATTATGCTTAAACCGACCCAGATCCTGACAGAGACCTCCGAGGGCTACTAGGATTTCCTGTTTAGAAAGATTAATATGAGAGCCCATTCACACAAATCAAGGCTCCCATCTGGAGCTTGATTTCTTCTTTTCCTCTCTCCCTCTCTAGGTATAATCCAGGAATAAATTCATTAATGGATTCATTAAATCCAGTGCATTTTCAAAGGCCAGACATAGAAAATAAAGCATCCTAAACACACAGGGGCTGGGGGTTCAAGGGACAGCTTGCCCTGTGAGTGCTGCTCTTCTCTCTCTCCTTTCCTTCCCTTCCCTCCTCCACGGGCAGGCTGGTGGGTTACAGGTGCATTGTCACCCTCTCTCAGACTCTCTTTTTCTCTTGTCCATCTTTTCCTCCCTCAGACATCTCAAAGGTTTCTACTCCCATAACATGAAAACCTAACTGTGAAATTATGAACCAACGGCTTCATTTGTAGTTTAGGGCTAGACGTTGTTTGAATTGTTTTCTGTGTCCTCAAAACAACTGCAACTCTTATTTTCTAACTCTCTGCTTAGGTGCCCAGACCAAGGAAGGCATTCATTAACTACTTTTGAATATAAAGTATATTCAACTGAATATATGTCTTTTCTGGCTAGATTATTGTCCACATTGTATAAAGATATATTTATGAATTCAACTTATGTATCAAGACATAGTTTTTAAAGTACTTTATTTTAAAAATGCTAAGCAAATGTAAGACGATTTTATTATTATGTAAGCAACATCCCTTCTAAGGCGGGAAAAATCAAGTGGTTGCGACACAATTCCCGCAGTCCAGGCAGACAAAGATGTGCGTAATATGAGCCTTTGCACCCATTTTTCCCAATGTCCTATCAAAATAAGTTCTCTTTATTTCGATTTGGCAAAAAGTTGGTTTAGTCACGGAATGGGATTAAGGCTCCACCACGGTTTGGATGTAACCGGACCTGGGGGCTGGGATGGAATGGCTTCCAGAGGCCTGCTAGTCAAAATGCAGTCCATGGATCAGCAGTATCAAGGTCACCTATAAATGTATCAGAAATGCAATTTCCTAATCCCATCCCCAGACCTACTGAATTAGAACATCTGGAGACTGGGCCCAGGAATTTGTTTCTACAAGTTCTCTGGGTGATTTTGATGCCTGTCAAAGTTTTAGAACATTGCCCTACAGGGCTGATTCTTTTACTGGGTGCCATGGTGCATAAGGAATTCTGGGGCGGGGAGAAAAATTCTCTTAGATAAGAGTTTGGGATCTGGACTGGGGTAGACCTAGCCAGAGTTCCAGCAATATGCCTTACTCATGTGACACTCAGCATCTCTACGACTCAGTTTCTCTATCTGTAAATTAGACACTACTAGTACCCACCTCTTGCAGTTGCTCTAAGTATTAAAGCTCTGGTGGAATATATGTACTCAATTATTATACTTGGTATTGTTAATGCTAGTTAGTCTGTGAAATTTAACAGCTGACAAGTACATGCATAGTCCCCAAATTATCTGTATTAATTGTCTACAGTGACCACTGGGGTAATTAGTGGCCTCTATTTTTGTTCACCCAATGATGTGGCCATGATCTTCTAGCTTAGTGGAAAGTGAGGCAAATTGTTTCCTTGGGTCTTAGCCTCAGCATGGCAGATACCCTAAGTGGTCGGTGTCACAGTAAGAGACCCTCATCATCTGGTCCAGGCCTTCCTGGTAATATCAGTTTTCCAATTGCTGCTGTAACGAACTGCCACAAACTTAGTAGCTTAAAACAACACAAAATTTTTATCTTGCAATTCTAGAGGTCGTAAGTCCCAAACAGGTCTCTCTGGGCTAAAGTCAAGGTGTCAGCAGGGCTGGTTCCTTTGGGAGACTTCAGGGGAGAATTTGTGTCTTTGCCTTTTCCAGCTTCTAGAGGTCACCCATATTCCTTGGCTCATGGCCCCCTCCTCCATCATCAAAGCCAGCAACTGCATCACTCTGACCTCTGCTTCCTTTGTCACCTCTCCTTCTCTGACTCTCCAGCCTCCCTCTTCTAGCTTTTAAGAACCCTTGTGACTACATTTGTTCCATCTATATAATTCAAGATAATTTCCATTTTAAGATCCTTATTTTAACTACATCTGCCAAATCCCTTCTGCCATGTGGTAACATGTCCACATGTTCCAGGGATCAGGATGTGGACATCTTTGGAGGACCATTATTCTGCTACCACACTGTTTTTTGTCCCTCTAAAGTATGCTGGGAGACTCATAGGATGAGGCTTCCAGAGACGCAAGAGACCTAAGAGATCAGCTAGTCAAATCATTACATTTTACTGTCAGCAAACATTTGGAGATTTGCTCTCGAGGAAGAACAGAGGCTGAACAACCTAAGACCCTGGCTTAAAACCCAGATCTGTGGGGTCCAGTGGTCTCACCAGCAGGCAAACTCTCTGATGCAGAGAAAAAGACCCCAAGCAGCCAATAGCATCAAGTCATAAAAATTTAGACCCGGACTTCCAGGAAGATGAAAGGTGATACTAAAGACTGAGTCATACCACGAGGTGCCTCAGTCTCCAGGTCTGTGGAGGAAGAGTTTATCGTGTTTGCTTATTCTCTGAAAGCTGTCTTTCTACTCCTGAAGTCCGGTGCATGCATGGAATATTTGCAAATTGGAAGCCTGGTCTCTCATTAATCACTGCCACTTCTCATGGAGCAAGAGACAGTGTGATTTCTCACACATAGCAATCATTTCTTTCCCTGATAAAGACAGTAATCTGGGGAAGGGCAATTATCTCAGCAGAATTACCAATCTTGCGGCGTGTCTGAAAGCACACGGTATTCATTTGCTGCTATTTTAATGTCTGCCGTCTTCCTAGCCCCTCCCCAGCCCAATGCTGAAATCCCCACCCTCCCACCCTCCTTCTTTTCTTTTTTCTTTTTTCTTTCTTTCTTTTTTTTTTTTTTTTTACTAATCTTGAGAAATAACTTCCTTATTTGTAGCGGACTGATGCCAACTGTGGGAATATGATATTGAGGATCGCAATAAGGACTCTCACACTCTCAGCTGAGGCTTGGCCACCACCCATTGCATTTTTCGATGGAGCTTCAAAGCTTTTGTCTTTGCCGACAAAGAAATGACTGGCAAACGCCCCCACGGCTGACTTTGTGAAGGGCCTGGTGACTCTCAGCTCCCTGGTATTACTCTACTAAACTGGATAACATTGAAAACCAGTTACCAAGTGGTGAAGGCTGCTTTCCTAGAGCCCAGGAATAAGGCAAAATTGCAATGTGTGTGTGTGTGTGTGTGTGTGTCTGTCTGTCTGTCTTTGGGCTGAGGTGAGGAGGGCCTGGCTGCTAGCATCCTCTCTAGGCCATGTAATGAGCATGACATTGGCAGGCAGAAAACAATGGTTGAGTCCCACTCTACACCTCTGACCACTACCTATAAGGTTTGAGCAGCTAATTTATCCTGTCTAATGTTTTAACCTATAAAATGGGAAATGCAACATTGAGTTCATGGTTACAATAGGGTTTGTGTAAAATAAACTGCATTTAAACTGGGGCCTATTATGTAATCGTAATAGTTAACATTTCTTGAGCTGTTGTTATATGCCCAACCTTGAACTATAGTTTTCACATACTCCACAATGCTGCATCCTCAAAACAGCCCTAAGGAGTAGATGTTATTGTTAATTCCAGTGTATAGATAAGGAAACTGACTAATGCAGGTACACGAATTGTCGAAGGTCTCTTGAGTAGTAAACAGTAGAGCCCTGGTGGCTGCTGGTCACTGCTATGCCATTATTGGGGCATCTCCTCTGAAGGACTGTACAGCAGAGGATGTTTTTCACTGGGGTTCTCCTGCTAACTCTCCATACCCTTCTCTCACCCTGGCCTTACTTACATCAAGTACTATTCAAGGACAGTTGGAGAAAAGCCAATGATAAGGTATGAATAACTGAGAGCCCCGAAGAGCTCCCACGACATTGCTTGTTCATACACAAGAATCTCTAAAAGGTGGAATGCCTTACATCTTGTCAAACCCAAGTGACTTCAAGAGGCAGAAGTTTCAGACCTGATCGTCTATGTGACTTCTGACGGGGGAGCAGCCTATTGGCTCCTCAGCCAACCAAGGCAGCTCCACCTGCTGCCTCCTGGCTCCTGCCTGAGTCAGATCTGTGCAGCCTGGTTGAGATCAGAAGGAGTGAGATGAAAAGGAAGCTGTTGAGAGAAAGGAAAGTTAAGGCCACCAAGACTCAGCTGTGGAACGTCAGAGGTTTGGTTTTCAATCTCAAAGGAAGGAGCCTTTGTGGAGGCCATTAGCACTTCAGAAACACTGGAAATAAAGAAGCACTTTCTTTTTGAGACAGAACTGATAGTCACCAGAAGCCACTGCTGGGCTATGCCAGTTTTCACCTCGTTATGGACATTTGTAAAGATTCAGGCTCACCCAGGGCCTTCCTTTGGGGGAACTCTGAGCCCCTGAGCCCATCATCTCAGCTTTCACAGGAAAGAGGAGACAGGCTAGGATGAGAAGTCCGAATCTCTGAAGGAAAGGGCAGCAATACATGGTGATGGGTGTGAATTCTGACTCTGCAAAACTTACTGGCTGTGTGACCTGGGGCAAAACACTTAGCTTCCCTGTCCCTTCACTTCCTTCTCTGTAAAATGGCACTAATCCTATTACTACTATATTAATAGTAGTAATATAACAGAGTTGCTGTAAAGATTAAATTAGTTAATATTTGTAAACTGCTCAGACCAGTGTCTGGCACAAAACAGGCCCTATGTGTTTATTAATAAATGAAATTTTAAAGATAGATTTCATGCCAGGAAGAGGGCCCAACACATTCCTCTTTAGAAAGACTATAAATAGAGCCAACCAAAGGACACAGGAATTTCCTGTGAGTTAGGAAGCTGTAGGGGCTATGCAGCGAGGCAGAGGGAAAGATCACAAGCTTTGGAGTAGAAAAATCTGGGTTTGGATCCCATGACACTATTTATGCTCTGTGTTACCTAGAGCAAGTCCTATAACTTTTCTGAGCCTCATGTCTCTCATTTGAAAGAGGAGAAGATGGCATCCAGCCCGCCAGGTTATCACCCAGATTGATGATACATGAAAAGTAACTGGGACCCCACAAGCCCCAGTCAGGGTTTGCTCCGTTGCCATCATTCTTATCATTGTCCATCTACCGAGTAGGAAAACACAGGAAGACCATGTAACCTTTGTCAGCTACTCTCTCCACTCCAGTTTTCATGCAGGTACACATACTGCCTCAGGACATCTTTCCTTTTTTTTTTTTTTTTTCTTGAGATGGAGTAGTCACCCAGGCTGGAGTGCGGTGGTGCGATCTTGGCTCACTGCAACCTTGCCCTCCCTGGTTCAAGCGATTCTCTTGCCTCAGCTTCCCGAGTAGCTGGGACTACAGGCGTGTGCCACGACACCCAGCTAATTTTTTGTATTTTTAGTACAGACGCGGTTTCACCGTGTTAGCCAAGATGGTCTCAATCTCCTGACCTTGTGATCAGCCCGCCTCGGCCTCCAAAATGCTGGGATTACAGGCATGAGCCACCACGTCTGGGTCATTTTTTTTTTTCTTAAGAGATGAGGTCTCACTCTTGTTGCCTGGGCTGAACTGCAGTGGCCTTGTCCCCATTTCTTACTCCAGGTTTTCAGTGAGTCTGTGAAGCTTGTGTACATTGCAAGGAGGCTGTATTGGTCAGGGTGCAAGCAGAAACGCAGAACCTCTAAGAGGTATGTGTAGTAAATAATCAATTACAGGGACTCGACCCTATGCAATCCCGGGAGCTGGTTGAGAGTCTCTATAGGGCTACTGTCTTTCTGTCAGATGCTGGAACTCCAGGGCCCCAGGGAATGCATCAAGAAGGGAAAGTGGGAACCAGAGCCGCAGCCGGTGCTGGCATTGGTGCTGGAACTGAGGCTGGGACCGCTGCCGGGGCTGGGGCTGGCGTGGCTGGAGGAGCACTTGCTGGTACCGCCGGTGTGGCCATCTTGTGGAGAAAGAAAGCCTGGGAGGACCATGGCAGTGATGTTCACACCTCTGACAGTGAAATATGTATACTGTGACACTGAACGCATTGGAGTTGACCTGATCGTGAAGACCTGCTTTAGCCCCAACAGAGTGATTGGACTCTCAGGTGACTTGCAGCAAGTAGGAGGGGCATCCGCTCGCATCCGGGATGCCTTGAGCAGAGTGTTGCAATATGCAGAGGATGTACTCTCTGGAAAGGTGTCGGTTGGCCGCTTCCTGGTGAACCTGGTTAACCAAGTACCCAAAATAGTTCCCGATGACTTCGAGATCATGCTCAACGGTAACATCAACGACCTGTTGATGGTGACCTACCTGGCCAACCTCACACAGTCACAGATTGCCCTCAGTGAAAAACTTGTAAACCTGTGAATGGAGCCCAAGCAGTACGCCTGCTGGTCTAGGTCTTAACCCCAGGACTCAGAAGTGAAGGAGAAATGGGTTTTTCGTGGTCTTGAGTCACACTGAGACAGTCAACTGTGTGTGACTCTAATAAACATGGCCTACTTTTTGTAAATTAAAAAAAAAAAGAAGGGAAAGTGGATGTAATGTGGGAGAAGGCAAAGACAAGCTGGGCCCCTCAGGGCAGAATGGAGCCCATATCTCTGTCCTCACTGCCTCCAACCCTGATGACGTGCTTGTCCTAAAGGGGAAGGTGGCTCCCTCTGTCATGGAGCTAAAACACATACCTGGTCCAGGAATCAGAGAAGCTGGTGAAGGATTCAGAGAAAAGCAGAACATGTGCAGGCCCACCTGCCGCCACCCCAAGGGCATGAGTCACAGATCAGTGACAATGTGCCTGAGCTGCAGAAGCACCTGCCCCACCTTCTGACAGTGAAAAGTAACACGGCTGCCACTTCACTTTTGTCCTTCAAATTTCAAGCAAAAATGTCTCTTATTCCCCACTCTAACTGGGAACTTGCAGGGAAAAGAATTCTGGGAAACATATTTCAGCCTGGCCCACTTGACACATTACAAAGCCGCCACAGCAATTGTTGAAAAACCTAGACGAGCCCCTTACAGTGAGTTCACATATTCACAAGCTGCAAGGTTCTCAACTCTAATATAAAAACATAACTTTTTTTTATAACTGTTTCATCTATTTTGTGCCACATTCAGTCCCTGCAAAGGCTCTTCAAAGAAAGAGGCTGTATAGTGTATACTGAGGTACTAGTCATAGACATTTAGGTGTCTAATTGAAGTGTAACAGTGATTTTTTTTTAGGGAACATGTAGGAAATGTGTTTCTACACTAAGCTAAGAATCCTTGCTATCTGAGGCAGGGCTAAAAGGCATCCGAATTCACAATAGAGTGGAGGAGAAAGTCATAAACATCATCAGTGACCTTGGGGCCAGTTGTAGAAACCAGGAAATGGTGGAGCAGAAGGACCAGGAGGTACCAGTAATGAGGAATGAGTTACAGAAACATGACTGTAGGCAATTATGGAGACCGCTGGACAGTCTTTAGAAGTCTGCTGTCTTCAGGTCTGATTCTGGAGCTCTGAAAGACGCACCTGTGTTTCGTTTTTGGCTCTTTGAGAATCTGAATACGCATACATACCGTTTTTTTCCTCTTCTTTTAAAAGTAGTCTATTTTTACCTTTCTTTCCTCTGCATCTTCTCCCTTTTCCCCTCTTCTCATCCTGATCCCATCTTGATATTTTGCAACCAGAGAACTGAATGGTAACTTTGATTGCCACAGAAGCACTATATTTGTAAAAGAAAGAGGGGAGGCAAAGACACAGGATGGCGGTAGATAGCAGAATATAGAAGCCTAGTATCAATTTTTTTAGTAGGATAAGTTACATTACAAGATAGGATTCAGTTCCAGGGTGTGCGAACTGCCCTATAAGAAGAAATTATTTTCGTCTTGACCCAGTCCATTAGGACACAGAGCCCCAGATAGGGAGTCAAGAAGCCGAGGTCCCAACCCTAGCTCTGTCAATATATTAATTCTTGACAAGTCTCTTCATTTATGGAGTGCATTTTGTTCAATGACTAATAAGAGTCATTAGATATTAAGGTCAACTGAAACTTGATAGAGCTGTAGTTCAAAGATAGCTACCACTCGGTACTATCAATGTACTGTTGCTATAGATGTGAAGACTATTATTGGCCTCCCCTGACAAACAGTCTCTGCTTGGCCAAACTTTAATCAGGCTTCGAACCTTCTCCTAGGTCCATCTGTGTACTCCTAAGTCTAGTTTTAGCAAATAATCTCCCATTCTTGATACCTGATCACCCTTCACTTCTGATAAGGTTCTTCGTCCTCCACTATGTTGTAACCAAAACACAGGTCAGTTTCTTGCCACATGCAGAATCCAATGAACAAGAGTAAGACTTGGTACAAAAATAGTGAATTTATTCCGAAGTGAGCTTGGGGAAGGGGCACAAAACTTCTTGCCTTTAAATGTGCTGCTTCACCTCTGGAGCAGATAACAGACACTTTTACAAGGTAAGGGGGAAAGTGAGCAAGGGCAGGGGTTCCTCCTGCAAGCTTGGTGTCTTATCTACCAGACCTTTGAGTCATACCTTCCTGGGCAGAAATAAGTTGGAAAAGGGGTCAAGCTGGCATGCTTTTGATATGCCCTTCTGGTGGATGAAAGTCTTGAGGCAATTCCCAGAGGGTGGAAGTTCCAGGCCACCTGCTGGAGGTGACAGTTCCCTGGAGGGTGTGCTTTGGCCTGCAAATCCACTGTCAGCTCTGGAAGAGATATCTATCTTGGAGCACACAGTTAGAAGAACTTGCCCTGCAGGGAATGTCTGGTGAGGGGGAAGGGAAAGGTTATATTTGCATTCCTAAAGGGCTAGATGGAAAGGAGAGAGAAGAGAAAATAATAAAAAATAATAATAACTCATTCTTTTTCCTAGAAAAAAATGGGGGCACTCAGTTCAAATGTCCCTGGTGATGTATGTTCACCCTGGCCTATCTTCAGCAAGAGTCCATGAGGTCAGTTTAGCCAGAATGCCCCGTACCCTGATGTTCCTTTTAGTAATTTTCCATCCACTGACCTCCCACCCTGTTCCTTGGCTATATATTTCCAGTTGCCCATGCTATATTCAGAGTTGAGCCCAATCTCTCTCCCCAACAGCCAGACCCCTTTGCAGTGGTCCGCATACCTTTCACAGTGGTCTTTAATAAAATCATCCTTATCTTGCTTTAACACATATCATTGATTAATTTTTTTTCCGTTAACATCCCTTAGATTCTTACTCCAAGAAACCTCCCTATTAACATGGAATGAGTCCATGGTCTGTGCAAAATTTAGTTCTTAGATGTGCATAATGTTTATTTTTTTTATATTTTTTTATTATACTTTAAGTTCTAGGGTACATGTGCACAACGTGCAGGTTTGTTACATATGTATACATGTGCCATGTTGGTGTGCTGCACCCATTAACTCGTCATTTACATTAGGTATATCTCCTAATGCTATCCCTCCCCCCACTCCCCCACAACAGGCCCCATTGTGTGATGTTCCCCTTCCTGTGTCCAAGTGTTCTCATTGTTCAATTCCCACCTGTGAGTGAGAACATGCGGTGTTTGGTTTTTTGTCCTTGCGATAGTTTGCTGAGAATGATGGCTTCCAGCTTCATCCATGTCCCCACAAAGGACATGAACTCATCATTTTTTATGGCTGCATAGTATTCCATGGTGTATATGTGCCACATTTTCTTAATCCAGTCTATCATTGTTGGACATTTGGGTTGATTCCAAGTCTTTGCTATTGTGAGTAGTGCCGCAAGAAACATACGTGTGCATGTGTCTTTATAGCAGCATGTTTTATATTCCTTTGGGTATATACCCAGTAATGGGATGGCTGGGTCAAACCATATTTCTAGTTCTAGATCCCTGAGGAATCGCCACACTGTCTTCCACAATCGTTGAACTAGTTTACAGTCCCACCAACAGTGTAAAAGTGTTCCTATTTCTCCACATCCTCTCCAGGATCTGTTGTTTCCTGACTTTTTAATGATCGCCATTCTAACTGGTGTGAGATGGTATCTCATTGTGGTTTAGATTTGCATTTCTCTGATGGCCAGTGATGGTGGACATTTTTTCATGTGTCTGTTGGCTGCATAAATGTCTTCTTTTGAGAAGTGTCTGTTCATATCCTTTGCGCAGTTTTTGATGGGGTTGTTTGTTTTTTTCTTGTAAATTTGTTTGGGTTCTTTGTAGATTCTGAATATTAGCCCTTGTCAGATGAGTAGATTGCAAAAATTTTCTCCCATTCTGCCCAAGAATGAGGTTGCCACAGGAAGACTTGATTCAGGGAGATTAGCAACCCGCCCCATTTTCACTCTTTTTTTTTTTTTTTTTTTTTTTTTTTTGCTTTTTGGCACAAAATCCTTTCACTCCCACCCTCTGACCAGACTGGCTTTTTTACTTTCCCTAGAGCAGTGGATGTGGCTAAAGGCTTTACTTTGTAAGCATTTACATGGTCCTTACAATGAAAATCAAGTCTGGTCTTTGTGTCTGGACCCCCAAGACCCAGCTCAGTGCCTAGAAGGCAGCAAACCCCCAATATTTGTGTGTTGAATGCATGAGAGGTCAACAGTGGGGTCAAGTATGCAGGTCAATAATGAAGACCTGATTAGCAGATCAAATAAATACTTCAATAATCATCAGAAAAAAAGAATAACAATCCTGGATTCATCACATTATAATATTAAATTTTTATGAGTAAAAATAGGCATTGCAGAAAACAGGAAAATACAAAACAATAAAAAAATCCATAATTTCACCATCTAGTGAACATTTCCGTGTTTATGTTTTATATATAATTCTTTTCAAAATAGAGATTTTCCTACTTTTTTATTTAACATTGCATTGCTAAATTATTAAATATTTTTCAAGAAGGGTTTGTAATGACTGTGTTATTATTCTACCAAAGTATATTTATTAGAGCCAAATGCACCTCCTATCCTGATTCTATACATGAAAAATGCACTAAAAAAAAAAATGATGTGAACTGCCCAGCATCCCTCCCACAGCCAGGAAGAGGACAAAGGTAGATTCTGAGCTCAGATGTTCTGAGAATCCAGAACTGCCTCCCTCGCGAATGTGTCTCTAACTTTATAATGGCTGTTATGCATGGCTGGTTTAAGTCACTCTTCCCTAATTTTATTCAGACACCTTTGTATGCCTTACCCCCACTAAAATACAAGATTCCTGAAACCAGGGTCTTTTATTTCTCAGTGTTCTATTCCCTCCTCTTCCCACCACATATCCCTGTCCAGCGTCTAACAGAACAGCTGAAGCTTTCACACTGGGCGACCTTAAATCCTGTTTGGGAGGGTTTGAATTTCAAAAGCCCCATTAAAGCTCTCCATTTCCTTTGTAACAAACATTTTGCCCAAAGAGTACTCAGGGACCGAGGACAAAAAGCAAGCACTTGCTTCTTTAGAAAGATGTTCCTCCATGTATATGGAGAATTGCAAGAAAAAGAGAAAGGGAGGGTAGGAAAGGAGGAAATCAAATCATCTTTTCTTCTGATTCCTGGCTCCAAGAGGACTGGTCAGGCTGCAGCAGCTCTTGGGGACATGTGGTCAGCTGAGTGGACAGTGGAGTATGTATGGGGGTGGGTTGGGAGGAGAGGTCTCCACAGAATTTTTAGCAGGAAGAGGACAATGAAGGCCACTGGGAGGTGGTTTTTATCTCTCAATTAGATGTACTCTGATTTATGAGGTGACAGCCAGGAGCCCAAACCGTCAGTTGCTGGAAGCTCATGGGAGACAGGGGGTGGGGGCCTGCCCCCTACTTCTGTCTCTGGAACATTCCCTCCCAGTACTCTGAGCCTCCTTTTCTCTGAGCAGTAGCCCAGCCCTGCTATGTTATATACTTAAATGTCTACCACCACCCTTCCTTGTCATTATCTTAAACAGTTCATAGAGATGAACGTCTACAATATTAGTTAAGAATTTTGGTATTTTTGCTAAATATAAACCACTTTGGTTTATCATATTCACACAATCAACCTACACTAATGAACAATACCTACAAAGCACTCCTACATCAGAGCTGGAGTTGTTACATAGTAGTACAGGATAGAAAAATGAAGGGCCTTCAGTCCATTGAGAATTTCCCCCAAACTCTCTCTGGGACACTGCCTCACAAAGGCTCTCCCCAGCAAAAGTCTCATTCCATTCAGACGTGACCTGGAACATATCATTTCCCTTTGCGCTGCTTTATCAGGCAGAGGCAGCCACAAAGAACTGGGCAAATATTAATGCTAAACTGTGAAGTGACTAATTTTTCCCTTCCCTTGGCTGCTAAGCAAATGAACAAACCTTACTCCTGTGTTTAAAAAAATATAACAGTTTGCCTTAAAATAAGCACCTCACCACCCCCCACCGCCCACCCAAAGGCACTCAACCAGTGCATGGAAAAGGTGTGGAATGTGCTCACATCCTGCGTAATTTAGAGGGAATTTTCTCTGAGTATTCTGTCCACAGGATGTAGCCTTGCCTGGCCTTGGGTTGATTAACTAAAAGGCCAGATGGAGACACAGTCCCCAAATAGCACTGCATAACCTTCAGCAATTCTTTAATTTTCTTGACTATTGAGGCATGGCAAAATAAGAACTTACCTAGAGATGAAAAACAGCCGAAGGGCAATTATAAAGGAGAAAAGTCATCATACTGGAGACATAGAGACAGCTCCCAGGCAAACTGCTTTCAAGAAACCCATCCTATTCTGGGTTTGAACAGCTCAGCCAATATTTGCTTCTGCCATAGTATCTCAGTCATATATTCCCCTTTGCTGGTCCTCAGTTTCCCTCTCTGTGAAGAAGATGGGTGTGCCCCATTTCTCCTTTTTTCCCATTTATTTTTGGAAGCTCTTAGTGGAACATGTATTCGGAGATTTCTCAGTGGGCTTCCATGTCTCCCATCAGAACAGGAGAATTATTGATCCCAGTGGCTTTTATTTGCCAATGTGGCACTTTCAGAGACTTACAGAAGAGGCAGGCAAACAACACAAATGGAGAGAAACCCAAATGGAAACATGCATGTATATTTGAAAACAAGTATTCAGACATGTGCACATGGCCCTCTCCCACTCCCCAGGCACATACACAGAATCACACAACTCTATGAATACACATGCAGGCAGTTGTGAGTAGACAAAAATATATGCAGGGCTAACTATTTACACAGCTACACCTGAAATCAAACAGACCCACACCCACTCTTGAATATTCTCCGTCACAATTTCCCACTATAGGGTTAGAGATCAAGCGAACCTTGACCTCTTTCCTACTCCCAGCCCTCTTCTTCACCAAGGTTATGACGGCAGTCATGGGATCCAAGGATCCAAACACACACGTTTATTGAGATGTTTATTGAAATTCCAGGTGTGGGGAACATCAAGAATAAGAGAGTCCCTCCCGTGAGGGGCTTAGGTCTAGTAGAGGAAGGAGATGCACACAAAGCTACAAAGTCACATGAGAAGTGCTCTAACTGAAGTGAGCACAGGAAATTGGACCTATTTGTTTGATCCTGAGATCTGGACAGAAGGCAATCCTCCTCCTTCCTTCAGAGGATACAATGGAGACCCAGAGCAATCTGCTCAGCACCAGTAAGCTGGAAGCCATGCTGCCTTCCACCCAATTCTCTGTGGGGATGCTGTGCTGGTTTCAGTCCCTGGGTCCTGCTCCTAGTTCAGCCTCTCTTGCTTGCTTCTCAGATGTGTCTGGTGGTAGAAGTTGAGGAAGAGAACGAGGAGGCTGAGGGCTTACAGGAGCACAGATGTGTTGAACCCAACAGGGAAGGGGCACTCAGTGAGGAGACTGTAGGAAGAGGGGGCAGCAGTGGCCACAAACTGACCCTGGGCAAAAGAAAGCATGAGAAGAAAGAGAAGGGAGAGCAGTCAGTTTTTTCCACCCCATGATCCCAAGAATCTTCTTGACCCTTCTCCTGGTCGTGGTTTCCCCAATTCCCCCATCCAGCCATGTCATGGTGGCCCTGATGATAAACTCAGTCTATCCAGAGCCCCGTATGGGACACTTTAGGCTGTCATCACCATCTGGGGGGCAGTGGTTCTCCCAAAACTGCAAGACATCCAGGCACCTGGAGGGTGCAATCGGTGATCACAGACTCACAGGATATTAATGCTTAGAGGTCATCTGGCTGAGGCCCTCATTTTATAGATAATGACATTGAGACCTGAGCATGGAAGCCATTTGCTCAAAGTCCCACACTGTGCCAGTGAGTTAGGGTTAGTTCCAGGATCTGATGAGATGGCTACCGAGGCCCTTGCAAGTTAGGAAGCTAAGGAAGATCTAAGGATGAGAGGGCTTGTTTATGGGCAGATGCCAAGTCACTGGTATAGAGTGACAAGCCAAGAATAGAACCAAGGGTTCAGCCAAGGCCCCTGGAGCCAATGAGATCTCCTTACCAGCTGTAGGGTGGTAAGATATCATTTCCACCAGAAGCAGGGCCACATAGAAGGCCACAACCTGGCCAGTCCATGAAGACATGGACCAAAGAATTAAGCATCCCTATGAAGAAGGCTGCAGAGTGGGGTGTGGGGAGATAAAGGAAAATAAGTGGAGCTGGGCTTAGCTGTGGTGTGGGAGTTCTCTTTGATGTTTCAATCCTCCAAGCTGCAGAGAGCACCTCTGCAATCTCCACAGAGAATCCCTGGAAAGACCTTATCCTGCAGAGGTCCGGCATGAGCCATCTGAGATCGTGATGATGGAGGGCTGGAGTTATTGAGATGCTCAATGAGAATGTTTCTACTACCTTTGTGTTCTCTGGGCTGATGGCTATGAGCATCTCCCAGCAGCCACCTCCCCATCCCAGAGAGGGGTAGCCCGAGAGCTCTGAGGAGCCACAGGGACAAATGGGAGCAGAGGCCTGGTCTCATGACCTCAGGGAAGGGAAAAGTTAGAGACCAGCCATGATATTCCAGGGATGCAGGTCTCCTGAGCTGGGACTCAGCCCAGCAGACCAGCCCAGCAGACCTGCCTTACTAGGGCCTGGAGCAGGGCCGTCCACGGCGCGCATCACTTACCTGGCTGCCTGCTACATATTTGACTCCAGCCCACCCATCACAGGGCATGGTGCCATGGTGGTAGAGATGCAGGAAGGTGGGCTGCTCTGGCTTCATTCATAAAGTAAAGAACACCTGGAGAGGAGGAAGAGATGGCATCAACTCTGGAGGTCTCCTTTCTCCAGACTTCTCCAGGGGCCTCAACTACCCCTTAGAGTGGGATATGGTAATTCTACCTGTTTTACTGAAGAAGAGAGTAAAACTAAAGGGAAATAACAACAGTCAAACACCAATTTATGACCTACTGTGTGCTTTAATTGAAGCTTTTGAAATTCAAACCCTCGCAGGATCTAAGGTCTCAAAGTGTGAAAGCTTCAGGTGGTCTTCTAGATGCTGGGCAGGGCTGTGTGGTGGGAAGAGGAGGGAAGAGAACACTATTCTACTTTATGTGTATAAAATAATCACTTAAATACCACATAATTGTGTGCAGTTTATACTTCTACTACTTCCATTTTTCAAGAAAAAAAAAAAAAAAAAAAACAGAGGCACAGAAAGGTTAAGTAACTTGCCCAAAGGCACACAACTAGTAGGTGGCCAAACTGGGATCAGAACAGTCTGGCTTCAGAGACTGGGTTCTTTCCAATGTCCGATCCTTGCCCCCCAGGCCACCGGGGTAAGAGTTCAGGTGTTGAACAGTCAGCCCAAATCCGGACACCCACACAACACATTCCCACGTGATCTTTGCTCAGATCATTTTGGCAAGAGACTGAGAAGAAAGAGTACCCTCTTTTCATCACCAACCACACCAACATTATGCTCTTGCCCCACCCTGCTTAATCCCACAAGCTCCCTGGCCTCACCAGCAAGGTTTCTTCTCATTAACATGGAAGGATGGCTTTTGCCGTTGGATGACCCTTGCTATATCATGTCAGTTTTAAAATTTGTTTAATTTTCCATTTTAATTTTACCTGGAACCTGGATACTAATGGGGCAAATGCCTACTCCTACTTCTGTTGATAGAAAGCAGGGACCAGGGGAGCCGGCAGAGAGGGATGCTACCTCAGTGGCTGAGCATCCTCCCTCAGCCAGGTACTGGACCAAGGCTTTACTCTGAAATTAGTCTCTGGCATGGCTGCCTGGGCAAACCTAGAGAGCATTCTTGCTGGCAGAGTCAGACACCACCCCAGATTTGGCTGACGGATATACAGGAGCCCATGGGTCCGGGATCTTACCTGTCAAGCAATTCAACGTCCTTTGGAAAGAGGCACCAGCAGCACACGCTCGCCATCTGCTGGGCAGGAAGGGGAAGTTCCATCAGACTGCAGTCCGGCTGGTGCCACGGCTTGGCCCACCTGGGCTGGGTTCAGCCCCAAATCCTCACTGTTCTACGCACCGCTGATTCCACAGTGCCTACCTTCCTGTCTCCAGGAAGATGCCTGTTCGCACAGGAAAGAAGGGGAGAAGCTACTGGAGTGACCACAGAAGGACTCTCCAAATGTGCCCCAGCCCAGAACCTTGGAATCTAATGAGCATGTGGGCATCTTGTTCGTTGAAAAGAAGATTCTTAATCAGTGTGCCTGGGGTGGAGCACAGATTCTGCATTTCCAACAAGCTCCCAAATGATGCTGCTGGCCCAAGGATCATACTTTGAGTCACAGGACATGAGCCCATCACCAACATCCAGTGACTCAACATCCATATCAGCTGGTGAGAAGCCTTAGCTACCTGGAGACAGGCTTCAGCTAGAGTCTTTTGTTCTGCTTCCAGTTGAAACAGAGAACAGCTAACAGTGATGAAATCACTACCACCTAGCTACCGCTCAGTGTGTGCCGGCCCCTGTGCTAAACACTTTCATATATTATCTATCATATATTATCTGATTCCGTCTTCCTTCAATCATTTCGCTTTATAAAATAGGTATTATTATCTCAATCTTATAGATAAGAAAATTGAGTCCCAGAAGAGTTAGGTGTGCCACCCAGAGTCACACAGCAAGTAACTGGCAGAGCTGAGATCCAAATTGATGTTATCTGACTCCAAAACTAGCTAGTCCCCTGCCTCTCATCAAAAGGCTCAGGTGATACCTCCTTGACCTCCGATTGTTATGAAGTTGTTCCTCCTAACCCTCTCCAGGCTTGCTTCCTGCTCCCTGCCATACCCTCATTCCATGCTTTCTCCATCTGTAGTCCACTGGCTGGCAGAAGTAGCTGCAGTTAGCCAGCAGCGGGGTGACCATGACCTGAGAGGAAAAGGAAAGAGGAAAAGACCAAGTCATAAAGCCTGCTGCCACCATGGTGAGCCCCGACTGGCTCGGGCTCCTGAACACCAACACCCCAATGCAACCTCTGCTGACACTTGGTCAACAACTGCTAAAAAGAAACTCCATGGGGTGGCGAGGTTAGAGGCGGCAACTTGCATATATCTTGCTGGTCTCTAATTTTTTAATGTGAGCAAATATAGGCTACAACCCTACCCCGGGTGCCTACTATGCATGAAAGCCTGAGGTGGGTGCTGGAGACACCAAGGTGGTCCATACGCCAGCCCTGCCCTAAGGAGCTCAAAGCCTGGCTGAGAATGTAGAAAAAAATCCTAACCTTACAGGTTGGTGCTAGAGGAAGAGTAGAAAATAGCAGGTGTTCCAGGAGTCGGATCAAAGAATGAGGCGGCTTTGGGCAGACAGAGGGGAGGGAGTGGGAGTTTCATGCCAGGACAAGAGTATGTGGTACCTGGACCTGAGGGGCTAACTAGGAGATCAGCGGGACTGGTGCGGAGGCTCTGACCAAAGGAGAAGCTGGCCACAGAATTGGAGAGACAGAATTGTGAATAAAGGGTCTTGAAGCCTGTTGTAAGGAGCTTGAATTTTATCATTTATTGATTTATTTGACAATAATGTGTTGAAAGGTACAAAGCATTTCTCCATGCTGGGCACTGTTCTGAGCACTGGATCTCATTGATAAAACCAAACAGATACAAATCCCTACCTTGGGGGACATGGCATTCTGGCCATATATGCAAAAGGACCTACTGAGGTTTCTGAGCAGGAAGCTGACTGTGGGCGTGGCAGAGTTTTCAAGGGACTGGGGTGGCAGGAGAATGCCTGGTTGCCATAATTAAATGACAAATTCTCTAGGGCATGCCTCACGTCTCATGAGTTATTGGCAGCCCTCATGTGCTACCAGACAGTACGCTGGGTCTGTCTGTAAACGGATAAATAAGACAGAGGCCTTGCCTTTGAAGTACTTGCCATTTGGGAGGGGAGAAAGACACATACGAAAGTGGTGACACAGTTGGAGAAAGACACAGTCAGTGGGGGGTCAGTATATCCTTAATAAGCTCCTAAGGTGGGGGAGGTGTCTGCGGGGTTTGTCAATTCCTATGGTGTAAATACTGCCACCAGGGTGGAGGGACTTCAAGTTATTTCGCACAAAGTCACTGAACATGAATTTGCGGGGAGACCCACACCTGGTGCTCACCCGCGGGTAGAGTGGCTCCAGCCCACCTCAGAAAGTCCAGGACTGTACCCAGAGCTGGGAATGGCTAAGCAAGGAAACAAATAACCTGGCCGTAGAGGAGTCAGGGACCGCTTCCTGTGAGGCGACAACTGACCTGAATCTAAAGGATGTGCAGGAGTTTGTCAGGAGATTGGGGGACAAGAGCAATTCTGGCAGAAAATCAGTGATGTGCCCAGGCCTGAGGACTTGCTGAGCATGGCTGTGTGGGCTGGCGAGCAGGCCTGTGCTGGATGAGGGTGGTGTGCAAGGCTGCTGAGAGCATATAGAGGGAGACGAGGCGGAGTGGAAGACAAGGCCAGAGAGGACTCTAGAGGGCTTCATGTGTCCATGAAGGGGGTTCAGCCTCAGCCTCTGCGGGATGGGAAGCATCAGAGGCTCCTAGCAGGCAGTGGAACCATCCTCCCTGTGCTTGGGGTAGATTATTGTCAGTAGGGTGGAGGATGCACTGTAGCTCAGCAATAAGAAAGGAAGAGACGAAGAGGAGTTGGAAGAGATGGGGCTGTCCGGACCTGCTTCTTCTGTCTCCTCCCTGCTAACTCACCAACAGGTGGAAGAGATGGAGGAGGAGGCTGCAAGCTGTTCAGTCAGGGTGCCTGGTTTGCACTCTGCCTCTGTGCCTTGCCACCTGCTAAGTTACTTAACCCCTCTGTGCCTCAAACAGTGCTATCATGAGGATTAGATGAGCCAATCCTCATAAAGTGTCGACACCAATTCCTTGCCTGTAATCAACATGGAAACACATCTGTGATGATCATTACCACCTGTGAAAAGCTTTTCCTGACATCCTCACCCCTGGACCAGAGACCAGGTTACTGCCCCATCCTGCCTGCCCTTGGTGCGTGATACATCCTCTCTGTTGCCCACTCAACACACTGCATTGCAACTGCCTGTGTCCACACCTGTCTCCCCTCTAGACTGTGAGCCTCTGGAGGGCAGGGGGGCCTTATCCAACAGGGATTCTGCAGGCCAAACACAGCCTGGCACGAAGCATATATTTGATATACACCTGCTGAATGACTGTTTACAAGGTCTGAAAGGAATACCAGATTTGGGGATCAGAAAACCAGGCAGAGATGAACAGAGCCCAGGTGGAAACAGGAGACTGGGGATCCACATGAGGTGGGAGGGATAAGGAATTCCACTCTGGCTTGCCACTGACCTGTACTCTCTCATGTGAGGAAATGAAGAGTGAAAGTTTGCAACAGGGATTGAGCAGCCAACGATGGCACAGAATCCCAGCTCCTGCATGTGACCCCATCAAAAAGGCTTTTCAATTTTCTATGTAGGAATATCATGGTTCTACTTATCCCTTGGTCAGCCCTCCAAAAAAAGATCCTAGAACTCTCCAGGAACCCCAGCCCACCAGCCTTACCTCCCAGAGGCACCCTAGGAGAACCACCAGGCCCAGGTTGTAGGCAGTGAGGGCTGTGCCAGCCCCAGAGGCTCCTGTTGGGACACGAAGCAAGGCCTGACGCCACCAGGAGAAGATAGAAGACAAGGAGGAGGGTGGCAGGGAGTGGCAATGCACCAGGAGCCAAGAATCCATCCTCAAGCCTAGACAAGCAGAGGAGAAGTGATCACCGGGCCAGCCACACTGCCCATTCACCCCCAGTCCCTCCCCACAGGAACTCCCAAGGTCTTGTTCATCCAGCCCTTGTTCCCAAAAAGCCTGACACAGAGGCTGGCTGAGGAAACAAATGAAAGCTCCCACTGGATGGCATTGTCTCCTGCCTCTGCTTTCTAAGGCCCAGGTGTATTTATTCCAGAGCTTTTCCAGGGCACTGGCCATTGTGAGCACCTATAAGTAGAAGCAAGATTTGGGTCTTGTTCAAACCACCAACTCATCTACTTTCCTTTCCCCTCCTCAGTAACACAGTTGACTGAGAGTCCACAAACCGAAGTTCCTCAGTCTCTCCCATAGGACCCCCAGCTATGGGGTTGCCCCAGTACTCCTGCCTTTAGACACTGGATCACCACCTTCCATGCACTTTGGGGAGCCTCCATCGGCCACAACTTTGTGTCAATCCTCATACCTTTTGCTGCTCTACTTGAGATTTCCAGCTTCTGGCAGTGGCCTCCAGATTGCAGGGTACAAGAGACATGGATGTGGCTACTATGCAGCAAGAGGGGGACAGGGGGCAGAGAGGCACGAACGCTTCCCCTTTCCCTCCTCTCTCGCGCACAGTGCCTCCCCTCCCAAGCATCCCTGGCTCCTCCCACTTGTCACGGGGCTCAGCCACACCCAGTCCCTCCACAGCTTGACTTACACCTCTGGCTTCTCCCAGGCTCCTCTGCGCAGCGAAGAAAGCGGCTCCGGCTGGTCTGGTCCGGTGTTGCCAGCTGGTGGTGGGTTTGAGCGAAGGGTCCTCTGGGCTCCAGGGTGCAGGACGTGACTCACGGGTGGCCCCACCCTCCCAGAAGCGCTCTACTCCTGTGCTCTGATCTGTTGTCGACTCCAGCCCCAGCCCCTACACACAATGCACACACACAGGCACTCACACGTACACATGCACACATGCACACACACACAATTATTGAGAACAGGGAGCTGAGGCCGCCGTCCAGGCCCTGGCTGGGCTCCCTGCCATTCTAACGGCTCAAGGGAGAAAGAGAACAAGAGGCGGCGGGGGTGGGAGGAGAGCACTCCGAGGGCAAAGGACAATGGTAGCAGCTCCGGAGAGGGGTGGGGAGAAACTTCAAGATGGGCAGCACCCACATCCTCAGAGTGTCCCCATGGCCTGTGGCCCACACTCTTCCCTCAGAGCAAGGACGAACCTACCAGGGACTTGGACGGGCATGTAGAGGACACGCGCCTCTCCTGCCTCCACCAGGTTAGGCCACTCCTCTTGCCTCAGATTTCAATCTTACTCTTCCGTCCCTCTTTCCCACTGTTAAAGAGTAAGCGTTTATCTTTCTTAACCTGCTAAGTCCGCACCCCTCCTCTAGCTCCCCCTCAACAATAGGCCAAGGAGTATGGGGGATTGGGAATCCCAGATCCAGGCAGCCCTCTTCCCCACACCTGCCTCTATCCACCTGTGTCTGATAGGAGGCAATTACAATGGCCATTTGTCCAAATAACCTCTCTTAGGCCCATCCTTTCCCTCTTTATGAGATACAGGAAAAGAACCAACTTTAGAAGCCAGATCCCTGAAGGAAGGGGCCTGGCAGCCCACACTCTGGGTCTTACTCCACAGTGATTCAAGGGCAGGTCCTAGAACCAGCCTCTTTAGAATAGAGTGCCTCAGTTTCTCCTTCTGGCAAGATGGCACACTGTGGTGTTGTCTGTGTAAGCCCCGGATTGTTGATGCTCACAGACAAGAGGGTTAAGAGATATGAAGAACTAGAGGAGGTAAAGGTAGGTTTAAAAGCATGGTGGGCCACACACAATGGTTACATGCATGTACATTTGCACATGCTGCCAAAGGCCCTCGCTCTGCCCTGCCCTTGACTCTACTGGGAAAGATTCCCAGCTGGTTTCAGTTAGAAGACAAGCCCTCCTACACTGTCGTATGTCATTTTCCATAGAATCAAGTCAAAATTATTCCATCGGGGCTTCAAGGCTGCCCTTACTCTGGCCAGACCACCCCCCCGATATCCCCTCTGATCTTCTGGCAGAAGCAGAGGTCAATGTGCTGCTTCTGCCCCCTCCATGAACCCTGTCTGCCTGCCCTCTCTGGCATGCACACATCCATGTCTACTTCTCTGGCCTTTCCACACTTCCTTCTCCACTGACTGTTCAAACCCAGCCGTCATCCTTGCTGCCCTGAAGCCCCTCCTCGGCCACAAAGCCTCCCACTCCTTTTTCCCAACTCCCCACAGGACTAGCACTGTCTGCACCCAGAGTGTAGCCTATAAGTTTGGTCTTCCAGAGTAAATGGGAAAGTCCCTGAGGGACACGACCACACACTGCACTTAACAGATTGATGGAAACATCAGGAAAACCCTAGGGCGATGTTTCAGGAAGATGAAAACCATCTAGCTCAAAGCTTTCGCCATCACTCTGCTGGTAACTCTCCCTTGTGTATTCATAAAACCATCCCCTCATGTAGACAGCACCTTACAACCGATACGGGCAACTCTTGGGAAGTCCCCTATATAGCACCTGAGACGCTGTGGTGCCACGCTCATCCCCCAGAAGCAACTCAGATCAAGAGAATGGGGCTATGAATTCTAGGCCAGTTGCACCACAGCCAAGTGCTCTTTCTCAGAGCTCAGCCACATCACATAGCTGCTGTGAAGGAGGAGGCCACTGACCTCCTGTGACCGCCCCCTATTAAAGGCCGTTTGGGCTTATAGATCATATAGATTAGGGAGAAGTTTGTCTACCAACATCCTGCAGCTGTAAAATAAGATCATGACTGCATGCTACCACAGATTCCTTCTGACCCAAGCAAAACAACAAAAGGACTCCAAACCTCATTCCTTTCCCTCCTCAACCCACCGCGTTCACAGAACCCTGACTGCAGCTCAGCCACCTGCTCCCACTGCTGAGTGAGCTAAGCCACCATGAGGCCCTGAGATGAGACAGGCTGGCTCACCTGAGGGCAGAGGGCTGGAAATTGTGTGGGCAAAAACTGATATTGCAAGGAGTAGTGTATTTATATACCCACAGCATAATGACAGCTGACATTTATTCCCAGACCATGTGGCAAATGCCATTCTAAACGTCGTACCCATGCTAACACATTTTCTCCTCACAACACTCCCATGAGGTAGGTACTATCAGCACCTATTTCTGCAGATGAGAAAACAGGCACAGAAAGGTTAAGTAACTTGTCCAGTATCACACAGTGATAAGTAGCAGGGCCAGGATTCAAACCCAGGCAGTTTGGTTTGGAGCCCAGACACTTAAAAGTGCACTGTACGGTCTCTTCAGTCTGGTAGTGTGTCGTGGTTTGTTTTATTGGGATGAAATGAGCCAAAGAGTGGTCTTGATGAACAAGAAGAGGAAGCCCCAATTTATCCGATTCAAAATAGCAACTTCCCTACTGGCTCCCACAAGAATCCTGTGCAAGTGGCAATGAAAAGCAACATTCTTTCCTCCCTCCCTTCATTCCTCTATTTCTTCCCTCCCTCCCTCCATCCTTTCACCTAGATGGGACAAGGGGTTTTCAGATGCTTGGGATTCAGAGCAAAGGTGCCTCATCAGGCCTCACCACTCTCTGCGTGGGGAAAGAGAGGCCCTAAGAAAATGGTCAGCCCTTCCCCCTCTGAAACAATGACCCACCCGCCCTCTTTTCTCTGTGCTTGTGCAAGATTTTATTGGACTAGAAGAGTATCACTGCTTTTTATAAGTCATTGAACATGACTGGTATAGACAGTGAAGATGAAGCTGGATAATTTGGGCCACGATACTTTGGTGTGTACTGGCGGGAGTGCTGGCCTCCCGTGCCATCTTCCGAGAGGGATGCAGCAGTCATAATGGGGTCTTTTCTTTCTCCACTGGAGGGGTGTTATCCAGGGCACCGCCCTCTGCCTCTACAGGTCCTCTATATCAGGACCCAGGGCGATATATTTCTCACTGTCAAAATTAGGAAGGGCCACACCTCTCAGGGCCAAATTAGTAGGCCCTCAAGTCATAATAGAGAGATTTTCAGGTGCTAATCTCATCTTTAATTTTATTATATTTTTTACATAGTATATTCCTCCGACATAATTTAGTTTATCCTTCTGTTTCGCTATTATTGTAAGTAGCCTGGAAATTTTTACTGAGTGGCATGCAGAGGTTGTCAACATGAATAAATCTGTATGTATGAAAGCAGTTTTCAAGCATCTATCTTTTGCTGTGTATTAAATGGCTTATGCAGAGTCACAACCAGTCAAAGGAGTGAAGCCAGGTCAATGCACAGACCACCCACCCTGTTACACAGCCTCTAATACCTGCCTCTGTGCACACTCAGTGCACCCTTGGTTCTGCTCATTTCGCAAGAGTCCCTTAACCACATGTTAGTCTAGTCTCTTTAAGCTGAAACACATTTCTCAGTCACAGCTCTGGGCAGCTATTTCCCAAACTGAAGAACTTATTCCTGAATGTCATCGTCCAGAAGACAAGATGAAATGTGTATGTGCAAGTGTGTGTGTGTGTGTGTGTGTGTACACATTCTTGTGTGTGTTAACACAATGTCCTTCAAATTACTTTCTCTGTTTATGTCTCTATTTACCTTGATCAGTTCTACTTGTTCCAGTCATGCCCATTTCTGTCTACTTTTCTTGCTCGTGTTCTCCCTTCCCTTGAAAAGCAGCAGGAATGAGCACTAGAGGAAGATCGGGCCTAACAGGAAACGAAGGAGCAGTACTGTACAGCCACTACTGGGGAGCGAGGAGGGAGGGGAGCAAAAACCCAGTATTACCAGCAAAGGAAAGATGTTCTCTTTGGCAGAGGAGTTGAGGGAGGGGGAGGAGCTGTGCCATGGTGTGTGATGGGGAGAGGTGTTTTATTAATAGGATACCCCAATATGCTTCAAGGTACCTCATCTGCCGGTCAGCCGAGCTGCTCCCTGGACCCAAGGAAACCTGACATGATGCATGTCCCCACAGTCCTTCAGGCTGTCCGTCCCCTGTGCTAGGGGGAAGCAGCCCCAGGCTTTGCAGGTCAAAATTGGCAAATGAAGAGCTCAGTCCCGGCCTCATTTCTTATTTTGCCCCTAGATGCTCCCAGCTCTTGATGCATCGTGGGGACCATGCAGGGGACAGGCTGCACCCCTGTGGCCACTGGCAGCCTTCTCCTCTCCAATCAAGCTGATAAGAGAGCTAATTGTAAGAATCGCTCACAGGTGCCTTGGCCGGCACTCCTGCCAGCCTCATGGATGCAATAATGGGTCTTTGTGCAGTGTGGGCCATTACTAACAAGGATAACTAAATCATTCATTTCATTAACAACGGGGTTTGGCAGATAATTGTGCAAGAGGCAATTCTCAGCGATGCATGTTCCAGGAAGGAGTGTGGTCGGCTGATTTTCAACAGAGCTGCCAGGAGAAATATGAGACAAGGTTGAAACCACCACTGGGCCCTCAACCCCAGGATAGCCACTCTTAAAAGCCTGTGGCCTTATGGCTTTATGGTCAGAACTGGAGACAGATGGGAGAGAGAGAGAGGGAGAGAGAGAGAGAGAGAGAGAGAGAGAGAGAGGAGAGAGAGAATGAGAATGAGTCTGCTTCTTGCACAAAGATTCCCTTGCTGACCTTGACTTTTCTCTCCAATTTAATAGAATGAGGTTCCAAATTTCATCATCCTCCATCTCTGCCTCACCGTAGATCTGGTGTTTATGGGCCCACCACAGTAATCTTCCTAAAACACTAATTTTTACTATGTTAGGAGATGGAAAAAAAAACTCATTGTCTATAGCTTTCAAGTTCAGCTCAGACTAGTACCAAGATCCTTCTGAAAGCATGAACAGATGAAGAGGTAAACAAAAGGTGCTATATGCATGCAATGGACTATTACTCAGTTGTAGAAAAGAATGAAGTACTGACATAAGCTACAACATGAATAAACTGTAAGACATTAAAGGAAAGAAGCCACACGCACAAAACAACATATTGCAGGATTCTATTTATATGAAATGTCCAGAGTAGGAAAATCTGTAAACACAAAAAGATGAGTGGTTGCCAGGGCCCAGAGGCAGAAGGAAGGGAATTAGCCGTGACTGCCAATGGGTATGAGGTCTTCTTGAGGTGATAAAAAGGTTCTGGAATTAGATAATGATGATAGTCTTGTAGCTCTGTTAATATACTAAAACCACTGAATCGTACAATTTAAACAGGTGAATTTTACAGTATGTGAATTAAAAAAATCTTTTCTGAACTCAAGGCAGAGGGTCAGGTGGCGCCTGCCAAGTGCTGGACTTGTGGGGACAGAGACAGTTTTCGCTGGCACTAGGCTGTTGGCACGGTCCTGGGAACAGAGCTAAATAGCTTCCACTGAGGTTTGTGTCATGTTCCCTTCAAGGAGTTCTTCAGGCCCGTTCACAAAAGCAGTGCATGGTGCAAGTTAGGATTACAAAAAAAAGTGTCCGTTCTTTCTAACATTTCTCCTATTGGCTAGATGATCTAATTAGCTCCAAATTCTGAATGACCCTTCCCTCTATCCCTGTTCTAATTTGCAAAGGAAGGTTCTGAGGCATTCCAGAGTATTGCAGTGTGGAATGGCAGCTTTTCTCCAAGAGCAGGACCGCCAACGTGCCCAATGAGATATTTGTTCATTTATGACCAATACTCACTCCCTCATTTCCAAATCCTGTCATCCTACCTGACTAATCACTTGTCCAGAATTAATATTTTTTCAAGCATGAATTCCTATGCTCAACTTTGTAAATTTTACAGTATTGCATAAATGTAATTCGGTATTTCTGAAACTACTACTGTTATTATTCTCATGGTATATTAGATGAAAGAAGAAAGACATATGCCATTAGGAACTGATGCTTTGAGCTACAAGGAAGAGACATTTACAAAGGAGTAAAACCTGCTTTAGTGACTCCTGTGAGTAATTGTAGATATATTTGCTATATCATTGGTCATATTTCTCCAGTCATTTCCTGAGTGCCTCTTTGATTCTGCTTCTCCATCTAGAAAATAGGGGAAAACACCCACTGGTCGAATTCTTTTTTGTTTGTTTGTTTTTGTTTTTGTTTTTGTTTTTTTTGAGACAGGATTTCCCCGTGTCACCCTGGCTGGAGGTGCAGTGGCGTGATCTCAGCTCACTGCAGTCTTGACCTCCCAGGCCCAGGTGACCCTCCCACCTCAGCCTCCTGAATAACTGAGGCTAATTTCTTTTTTTTGGAAACAGAGTTTTGCCCTGTTGCTCAGGCTGGTCTCAAACTCCTGCATTCAAGCAATGTGCTGGACTCTGTCTCCCAAAGTGCTGGCATTGTAGGTGTGAGCAGCCACTGTGCCTGGCCAATAGAATTCTTAAGGGATCTTATTTCCTTATTTCATTACAGTCTTTTCACAGTCAAGAAATAGTTCTGATTATTATTGTCTTCTCTTCCCTATTTATTTTATTTATTCTTGTTTCAGTTTATTGTTTCCTGAACTGAATTGGGAAGGGAAGGAAAGTCATCAATAAAGCCAATTTCCTGTTTCTGAATATTTCACAAGACCAGTCTAGGAAGGGAAGAAGTTCAATGTCTTGGGGCAAAGTTTAGGCTTATCTGTGGAGTTGAGGGCCCCTGCAGCATCAACTGGTGGGAAGGAAACTGGGGCAGGGATAGGAAAGGAGGATGGGCCAGAGCAATGGGGCTCCTAGACTCTGGCACCAGCTTGGCCTTTCATTACATAACAAGGAAGATCATTTTTCTGGGTCTCAGTGTCTTTACCTGTGAAATGAAGTATCTAGAACAGGGTCCCGCTCTGGGTTCTCTAGGTTACCTGTGAAATGAAGTATCTAGAACAGGGTCCCGCTCTGGGTTCTCTAGGTTACCTGTGAAATGAAGTATCTAGAACAGGGTCCCGCTCTAGGTTCTCTAGGTTACCTGTGAAATGAAGTACCTAGAACAGGGTCCCGCTCTAGGTTCTCTAGGTTACCTGTGAAATGAAGTACCTAGAACAGGGTCCCGCTCTAGGTTCTCTAGGTTACCTGTGAAATGAAGTATCTAGAACAGGGTCCCGCTCTAGGTTCTCTAGGTTGCCTGTGAAATGAAGTATCTAGAACAGGGTCCCGCTCCAGGTTCTGTAGGTTGCCTGTGAAATGAAGTATCTAGAACAGGGTCCCGCTCTAGGTTCTCTAGGTTACCTGTGAAATGAAGTATCTAGAACAGGGTCCCGCTCTAGGTTCTCTAGGTTGCATGACCTCCAGGCTGTCACTGTGTCATTTCATCACAGTAACATTGTTCACTTCATATCTACCACCCAAGAGGTGGGCTTTTCAGAGCCACTGTGAATGGTAAACAAAGCAGTTAGTTACCAACAAGTGCACTCTCTCTGGAGTTGGCACAGAGGCTCAGTGCTGAGATTTGCTGGGGAACTGTGGGGGAGGTAAAATGATCTCATCTTCATTGAGTTCCTCTCTGAGTAGCTCCCAGTTGCTCTGGCACATTCGCCATGACACATGTCTGTTGGCCACATCCGAGGAAGGCAGGGTGGCTGGGGACAGGATGCCAAGGCAGGTGGATGTGGCCTGGGAATGCCAGGGCTTGGTCAGACTGCCCGGGACGAAGCCAGAAAACCCGTCCACAGAGGTTAGGGATTCGAGGTGGAATAATGTCACAGGATCCTTGCAAGCAGGGCCTGCATCTTCATCTTCTTGTGGCTAATGCCAGGGCTGGGCTGGGAAGAGAAGGTATGTCCTTTGGCACTGCTACTGAGGGCAGAGACCAGGGCTTCCAGTCAGAAAAGCTCTCTGGCACTACCTACTCACATTTGTGACCCACATCCTCTGCACACTCATTTTGCTCCTGCTCATAGAGCCCAGAGAAATTCTCTGGAGGTCTGCTGAGGATGTTCCCAGCAGGGACATTTGTGGGACAGGGAGGGGAGGCTCTGCAGTGGGAGGATGGCCAGGTAATGTGGCAGAATGGAGAACAGCATTGGGGGTGGTGCACACCATGAAGCAACAAACTTGGAGAACACACAGTAATGTAGATGGGCCTAAAATCCACAGTTGGAAAGGAAAAGGTAAAAAAAAAAAAAAGTTAAATTGATAACATGATCAATTTTGCATAACTTTAGCAATTGATTATGCCATATATGAAAATTAAACATGCATGCATACAAAAGCATAATACACAGTTGGGAAGAATGCATACAAATAAAAAGATATATATTAAACACCGCAGAAAGTTTATCTATGGGGTGAGGCATGGAAAAGGGAATCAAAAAGAATAATACATACATGCATGCATATATACATACGTACACACATACATACACACATGAAACAAGACAAGGTCAGTTTAGTAACTTGAGGAGTGTGATTAAGCCCAAACCTCTGCACTGGAGATAAAAATAGAGAGAACACCAAGACTTGATGGCTGAAAATTATTTTTTGGAGAATGTGTCTAGAGCCAAATGACCTGAAAATCTAATGTGCTCACCATCACAAAGTCCTAGGGCCAACGTGTCTCACCCCCATGATGCTGCCTTTCTCCACTAATTACGCATAGGGAAGGAGAAATACAAGAGGAATTTTGTGGTGCTCCTTTTGTGTGCAGCCTCCCTGCTGGGATGGTTCCCATTTAGAGTGGTAAAGTAGTGAACTACTGAGGGCATGTCTCCCTGCAACTGGGTGGGAAGGGATGTTTGACCAACTCTTAGAGCCTCTACACAGGGCCAAGAAAGACTCCTCTGACCTCTTGTTTTATTATTCCTTATTAGACGAGATTATGGGAACATTAAGATGTCCCAATTAAAAGTAATTTTTTGGTAAGACAGCAGCAGCAAAATGCATCCTGACTCCTGGATCTACAGGGACACAACCACACTGCTTTACAAAGGGCCCCTCACATCAGCACCCTGGCTGGCCACTGTAGTATGTCACCCCAGTGTCCCCCAATGGACATGCTTCCCACTATTCATACTCTCATATGGTTCCTGCCCACATTGGCCGTGGGCTTAACCATGTGACTTCCTTTGGTGAATGAGACATTAGCAAGCATAATGCAATCAGAGTTTTGATAAGCACTTGCATGTAGTGGCTTAGACTCTTGTGGAGCTCTTGAAGCCGAGAGCCATCCTGTTAAAGTTCAGTTACCCTGCTGGAGACACCACAAAGAGAGAACGATGCCTGGTCAGGCCCCAGCTGGTCCTGCCATCCCAGCAGAGATGCCAGGCATGGGAGTGAAGAGACTATTCTGGCCATCCAAGCCCTAACAGAAATCTTGCAGCAGAAAACCTGCCCTGTCCAGCCCAGTCAACACATAAAAATGATGAGAAATAATAAGACACTGTTGCTTTAAGTTGCCAAGTTCTGGGGCGGTTTGTTACACAGCAACAGATAATGGAAACACTGGCATATAGCAAAACAGAATAAATTATATCAAATTATTTTTATGAACCTATTTCCTTCTTTTTATAATAAGGCAAAAAGAGTGTGACCCTTTTTTCCCAATGCCAGGTGAAAGGCATGTCAACATCCACAGCTGTGGTCAGGTAGATGCTACTATCCCACATTTTGAGTGGGGAGGAGCCACAGAGTCTAGTCCATCACTGATCCATGAGGTCCTGGCACACTGCTAGAAGGGAACAGGCCAAACATGGACTTTCAATGATATGCCCAAGGTCACCTGGCTAGTAAATGGAGGAACAAGATTTCAAACCCAGTCTAACCTACTGTCTGTTCAGGGCTCCTCCTGTTGTATTACGCCATTTAATTGTTGGGGCCATTTCAGGAAAGTCCAAACATGAAAGGTCGCAGATTAAATGATTGGCTAGTGTTGTTAACTCCCCACCTGTGTCAGGAAATATGCACTAGAATGAAAATCCCATGACTGGATAAACTTGCCTATGTGTAATTTTTATGGGAGAGGGGTGGCTTTATGAGCATTTTTCCAGCTTTATTGAGGGATAATTGACAAATAAAAATTGTATATATTTAAGGTATACAATGTGATGTTTTGATACATGTATACATGGTGAAATGATTACCACAATGAAACTAATTAACATAGTCATCACCTCACATAGTTGCTTTTGTGTGTGTGTGGTGAGAACATTTAAGATCTACTCTCTTAGTAAATTTCAAGTATACAATGCAGTATTATTACTATAGTAACTATGCTATACATTAGATCTCCAAAATTAATTAATCCTGCATAACTAAAACTAAAACATTATACTCATTAAAATATAATTCCTTATACCCTCCTTTCTTCAGCCCTTTAGCATTCTGTTTTCTGTCTGTATGAATTTGACTAGGCTAGGTACTTTATATAGGTGGAATCACACAATATTTATCTTTTTGCGACTGGCTTATTTCACTTAGCATAATGACCTCAAGTTTGATTCATGTTGTAGCATGTCCTTCCTTTTTAAGGCTGAAATATATTTCAGTGTGTGTGTGACTACACACACACATATATGTTTACCCTCCCACACATACATATGCATACCATATTTTCTTTATCCATTCATCTGTTGATGGACACTTAGGTTCCATGTCTTAGCTATTGTGAATAATGCAATGAACACATGAATACAGATGTCTCTTTGACATACTGATTTCATTTCCTTTGGACATATACCCAGAAGAGGGTTTTCTGGATTATATGGTAGTCCTCTTTTTAATTTGTGGAGAAACTTTCATATTGTCTTTCATAACGATTGTACTAATTTGCATTCTCACCAACAGTGTATAAGGGTTTCCATTTTTCCACATCTCAGCCAATATTTAGTTTTTTTCTTTTTTTTTTTTTTGAGATGGAGTGTCGCTCTGTCACCCAGGCTGGAATGCAGTGGTGCGATCTCAGCTCACTGTAACCTCCACCTCCCGGGTTCAAGCAATTCTCCTGCCTCAGCCTCCCAGGTAGCTGGGATTACAGGCACGTGCCACCAAGCCCAGCTAACTTTTGTATTTTTAGTAGAGGTGGGGTTTCACCATGTTGGCCAGGGCAGTTGTCTTTTTTATCATAGCCATTCTTAGGTGTAAGGTGTAAGGTAATATCCCATTGTAATTTTGATTTGCATTTTTCTCATGATAAGTGATAGTGAGCATTTTTTTGTATATCTCTTGGCCATTTGTGTGTCTTCTTTTGAAAGATATCTATTCAAGTACTTTGCCTATTTTCTTAATCAGATCATTTGTTTTCTTGCTATTGAGTTGAGTTGTTTCTTTTGGGGGGGGTTGTGGGTTTTTTGTTTGTTTGTTTTTGCTTTTGTTTTTTTGTTTTTGTTTTTGTTTTGTTTTTTGTTTTTTGTTCTTGTTTTGTTTTGTTTTTTTGACAGTCTCACTCTGTCACCCAGGCTGGAGTGCAGTGGATTGAACTTGGCTCACTGTAGCCTCTGCCTCCGGGGCTCAAGTGATCCTCCCACCTCATCCTTTCAAGTAGCTGGGACTACAGACATGCACCACCATGCCCAGCTAATTTTTGTAATTTTTGTAGAGATGGGGTTTCACCATGTTGCCCAGGCTGATCTCAGACACCTGGACTCAAGGAATCCATCCTCCTAAGCCTCCAAAAGTATTGGGTTTACAGGCATGAGCCACTGCACCCAGCCTTAAGTTGAGTTTCTGATATAGCCTGAATATTAACTTCTTGTCAGATGTATGGTTTGAAAATATTTTCTCCCACTTTATAGGTGTCTCTTTCAATCTGTCAATTATTTATTTGCTTTACAGAAGCTTTTTTGTTTGTTTGTTTTGATGGAGTTTCGATCTTTTCACCCAGGCTAGGGTGCAATGGCGCAATCTCAGCTCACTGCAACCTCTGTCTCCTGGGTTCAAGCAATTCTCCTGCCTCAGCCTCCCAAGTAGCAGGGATTACAGGCACCTGCCACGAGGCCCAGCTAATTTTTTTATTTTTAGTAGAGACGGCGTTTCACCATGTTGGCCAGGCTGGTCTCGAACTCCTAACCTCAGGTGATACACCCACCTAGGCCTCCCAAAGTGCTGGGATTACAGGTGTGAGCCACTGTGCCCAGCCCAGAAGCTTTTTAGTTTTATGCAATTCCATTTATTTTTGCTTTTGTTGCCTGTGCTTTTCTGGTCATATCCAAAAAATCATTGCCCAGATGAATGTCAAAAAACTTTTTCTCTATGTTTTCTTCTAGTAGTTTCACATCTTACTTTTATGTTTTTAATGCATTTTGAGTTGATTTTTTATATGGTGTGAGAAAATGGTTCAGTTTTATTCTTCTGCATGTGAATATCCAGTTGTTCCCACACACTTTATTGAAAAGAATATATTTCCCACCTTGTATATTCTTGGCAACTTTGTCAAAGAGCAATTGACTGAAAATGAATAGATTTATTTCTGGGTTCTCTATTCTGTTCCATTGGTCTATATGTCTATTTTCATGCCAGTATTATACTGTCATGATTACTATTGCTTTGTAGAATATTTTGAAATCAGGTAGTGTGATGTCTCCCTCTATTCTGCATAATGCTCTCTGTGTGTGCATAATTCTGCTGCTGTTGGATGGAATGTTCTGTATGTGCCTGTTAGGTCCATTTGGTCTATAGTGTTGTCCAAGTCCACCGTTTCCTACTGACTTTCCATCTGGAAGATCTATTCATTGTTGAAAGTGAAGTATGGAAGTCTCCTACTATTATTGTATTTCTGTCTATTTCCCCCTTTAATTTTTAAAATATTTTCTTTATGTACTTAGGTGCTCTAATGTTGGGTGCATACGTATTTATCATTGTTATATGCTTTTGATGAGTTTATCCCTTTATCATTATACGTAGGATAAAACTTTTTTATTTCTTGTGACAGTTTTTCACTTAAAATCTAATTTATCTGATTTTGGAATAACCACCCCACTCCCCTTTTTGGTTACCATTTGTATGGAATACCTTTTTCCATCTCTTCACTTTCAACCTATATGTATCTTTAAAGCTGAAGTGACTCTCTTTTAGGCAGCATATAGTTGGATCTTTTTCCCCCCCAAATACGCTTAACCACTCTATTGTTAAATTAAATTAAATTTGGTCTGACAATGCCTCTGCACTTTGAGTCCCTCTTTAATTAACTTCAACCTAACATAGGATGGAAACTAACTGCAAGCCTAACTTAGGAGTATAATTTTATAACAGGTAACTGAGTCTCAGCCAGTCTCAGCAGCTGAGCTTCAGTCAGTTGCAGGGGGCCAACTGATAAGAACATGCTCAAATAAGACAAATGAAGCCATAACCCATCAACTGGTCTCTGCACCTCCCTTCCATTTTCTGTCCATAAATGCTACCTGACCATGTTGCAGCCTGGAGTTCTCTGAACCTATTTGGTCTGAGGACTGACTGATTCATGAATTTTTGTTATTTGCTCAATTAAACTCTATTAAATTTAATCTGTTTAATGTTTTTCTGTTAACATTATTAGACTCCAGGATCCTGGATTCATAAGGGCTAGCCTAGCACTAGGGTCCACAGTGAAACTGGCGGTCACTTCGCTCTCTTTCCTCCACGTAGAAGGTATCTCTCGGTGATGCCCTGCATAGGCTTGGGGGTGTGAGGACACAGGTAATCTGAAGCTGTCCTTCCTACTGCCTTCAATGTGTCTTTTCTTTTTTATTTTATTTCATTTTATTTTATTATTATTATTTCACTTTAAGTTTTAGGGTACATGTGCACAATGTGCAGGTCAGTTACATATGAATACATGTGCCATGCTGGTGTGCTGCACCCATTAACTCGTCATTTAGCATTAGGTATATCTCCTAATGCTATCCCTCCCCCCTCCCCCCACCCCACAACAGTCCCCAGAGTGTGATGTTCCCTTTCCTGTGTCCATGTGTACTCATTGTTCAATTCCCACCTATGAGTGAGAACATGCGGTGTTTGGTTTTTTGTCCTTGTGATAGATTACTGAGAATGATGATTTCCAATTTCATCCATGTCCCTACAAAGGACATGAACTCATTATTTTTATGGCTGCATAGTATTCCATGGTGTATATGTGCCACATTTTCTTAATCCAGTCTATCATTGTTGGACATTTGGGTTGGTTCCAAGTCTTTGCTATTGTGAATAGTGCCGCAAGAAACGTACGTGTGCATGTGTCTTTACAGCAGCATGATTTATAGTCCTTTGGGTATATACCCAGTAATGGGATGGCTGGGTCAAATGGTATTTCTAGTTCTAGATCCCTGAGGAATCGCCACACTGACTAATCAGGTACTGTAATCTATCACCCAGATTCCTGAGCTCTTCTGAAGGTATTTTCGTGCACAGATTGTTGTTCAAATTCATGTTTCAGTGAAGGGGCAAGTGCTGAAAAGTCCTTTTCTGCCATCTTGCCAATGACGTCACTGCCTCATTGCCTGTTTTGATCACTGTCTTGATCTACTTCCTAGAGCCATGCCCACACATAGCAGACACTCCATAAATATTTGTTGAATGAATAAATGAATGAACAAATAAACAGGTGAGTGAAACCCTCTACCCCAGGCCTGGAATGTGTTCTGTGATGACTTCTGTGTGTTGGCCTTGCTTGGGTTTGTGCTGCCTGGTGCTGCTAGGTTTCCAGGTGACCAAATACACACCATCACTCAAAGGCAATTGAATCTGGTTGGCAAGCCTGGCCCGGAGTGGCCAATGCCTTTCCCTCTCTCGCCACTAGAGGACAGAGGCGACCCATGGATTCAGCCAACGCCAGTCAGTTCTGCCACCCGGGCTCCAAAGGCACCTTGGGCTTCCTGATGAACAGAAACTAACTGGCCCTGTTGTGACACCTCTAACTCAGAGGTCGCCACTGAGGTACCAAGTAGAGAAAAGGCATAAAATGCAAGTTCCGTATCCTCACCCAGGGTATGAAGATTGAAACAGGAGTTGTCCTCACTTCCTTGGCTGTCCCTGCAGTGGGGACGCCCAAACTAAGGGCTCCCAGCGCTCTGCGTGTTCTGACCCAGGCAACGTCACCTTTTGGAAAGACAGGCTTGCACCCTGCTCCGCAAAATGAGGAAGGTAAATGTTCCTAACCCAAAAACTGCCTGAAGAAGCAGGCCTGAAGAGTTGAAACAAGAGGAGGGCCTCAGTGCATGCCCAGGAGTGTATGTGAGATACAGGTCAGTCCAGCCAACCTGTCCTGGGTGCTTGCCTACATGTCTCTGCTCAGATGGTCCTCCAGGCACTTCTGCAAAGTGAGTATGATGATTACAAGTTAACACGTTAACTTGTAATGAGTGGTAAACTTGCCCACAGTTACATAGCTGGTGCATGACAAAGCCAGGGCTCTGGCACAGGGTGAACTGGCTTCATGGTTCCTGCAGTTCCCCCCATGGGACCACCAATTATAAGGACACTGGGGCTTTGGAAAATGAGCAAACCCTGGTATTGTGGAAAAGGTAGTGAAGCTCCAGGATGGATCAACACACGTAAAGAACTTCGTTGACTATCACAACTTCTCATTGTATTCTCACAACAAATCTACAAAGAGTGGTGGCTCATTCCCCATTCTGGAGCCGAGGAAAAAAGGCAGGGCCAGATGAAGAAGTGCCTGCCGCGTGCTGACCACAGGCCACTGCATCCCATGACCAGAGGATAAGAGGAGGGGCCACACTGTTCCTCCATCTCCTGATTCCCCTAAAGACCAGCACATGTCCAGGCTCTTCTATTTCTCTGTTACTTCTGTTGCTCTGGTTCCTGCCCTGCAGAGGGGGTGGCCATGACCCCGCTACCCTTCATCCAGCCCTCCAAGATACCCATTAGCCTGCTCCTCTTAGGCCTGATGTGAAAAGTCTGAGATGTAAAAAAAAAACAAGACTGTAACCCTTAAAAAATGTGCACACTCTGCTTCTCTTTTTCAAAGATTTTGGCAAGAATAACATGAGTTTCCATGGGACAAATCACAAGCCTTTTTCTTTTTTTTTTCCCCTCAGCCCCTAACTCATTTCAATTCAATGCAACAGAAATGGACTTGGCTAGGCACCAGCACTGTCCTAGGCCCTAGCAGGGAGCTGCGAGGTGGGTGTCCATGAACCTGAGCAGTTCAGCCCCCGATGATGGGAAGAGCAGCCATGCACAGAATGCAAATGCTGGGTGCTAACGCTGCTTGCATTGGGGTATACTTCTTTCACTCGGTAGCTTGGAGATGACCTCAATGTTAGGATGAGGCTCTACGAGGCAAAGGCTCCCAGGCCAACCATGGGCTCCTCGGAGGGCAGAGTCACAGAGCACCTGCAGCCACAGAGTTCTCCCTTCTCCATTGCTGCTTCTCGTGCTAGGAGCCAGGTTTGTGTTCCCAGGAGACACAGTGGCCGTGGGGCTCCATGTCTCTGAACTGCTCAACCTCCCTAGCAGCCCACACTGGGTAGAACCAACTTGCAGCAAGCCTGTATTCTCCTGACCAGCTGAGGCATAGGCTTCTCTCTCCCTGGGAAGACAGCATCCCATTTCTTTATCTGAGGTGTCTGCTCTTAACTGGGCTCAAGCCATCATAGTTGCCTTTCCTGCTGCAATTGCAGGAAACACTTTGTAGGTGGGTGCTTCTTTCTCTAAGGCACTCGAAGTCCCCCAAACCTTCTCTTGTTCACCACTGTGAGTAGGTCACAGCACTATTCTCCCTAATTAACTGGGGCAGAGGAGGAAGGCCAGGAGATTGCTGCTCTGAGTTTTGCCATGCACTATCAGCCAGATTGACAGGAGCACATGGGTACGCACCTCCCGGGGCTGGGTCTCATTCATGAGTTCACAATACACAGAGGCCTCCTGCTGTGACCAAGTGCATTTTCAGCATGGGGAAAATGGCTGGCACATAGTAGGTGCTCAAAAATGTTGCCGGATGAAGGAACTGGTGGCATGCTTGCTCAGTTTTGACAAAATAGCTCTCCAGAGCCTCCAGATATACAGGTCACTGTTGCTCCAGAGCATGAAAATGCTGTGATCCTCTTTCTCTTGCCTCTGCAAGGGGAGCCAGAGGACTCTCTGACCCTGAAAGAGGCGGCCACAGCCCCTGCTGAGGGGAAGAGGGAAGAGCATGTGAATGCAAAGAGGACTGCAGAGCCTGCTGCAGCTGTAGCCACTCGCTCGGAGTGGGAAGTCCAGGCCACCCGAGGGCAGCAGCTTGTCCTCCTCTGCCCTCAGAGGCTGTGGTCATTGAATGAGTCTGGATCTTCTCCCTGGGTTGGGGGAAGGAATCCAGGTGACCCCTCAAAGTGTCTTTCAATGTGTGAATTGGAGAGCTAAGTTCCAGGTGGCTTCTGCTGGGGCTACCAGTAGGAGGAAAAAGGAGAAATCTAGACACAGATAAAAAGCATTCTGCTTCCTCTGTGCCCTGGACCTCCAGATCACCACCAGGACTCTGTCCCAGGACAGCAAGGTGGACCCTGAAATTCCCTGAGCATCGTTACCAGAGAGGTGAGGGGGGCACAGAGCAGAACCATGGAGCCTCCAGACAGAATGCACGCCAGTGGTGCCCCTTGAGGCAGTGTACACAGCAAGCTGTGTAGATCCCTTCACCAATACTGCCACCTAGGAGCTGTGTTCCAGAGAAGCAGGTTCCAGAGGGAAGCACATTTTGCCTAGCCACAGATCTACCAGGATGCATAAAGGTTGGGAGAAGGTTACTAGCTCTTCACTCTCCCCATCCCCAAGTCAGAGAGGACGAGGGCCTGCTGAGTAAACCTGGTTGATCCACAGGGTAAAGACTGGCCCAGCTTCACGGAGAGCAGGAAGTAATTGTCCTCTGTAGGGCTGGGCCACAAGTTAGCCATGCGACCTGAGCAAACCACTTCTCAGAAACCTCATTGATGGCATCAGGAAATGCTTATGTGCCAGTCTGCTCTGGTAATTCCATAACATTTAGTGCGGCATGCGACCCATCCACAAAGACCCCACCTATGACAGGCAGCCGCTTTGGAGGTTTGAAACTCATTGGCACTAGACAAATACATTTTGAATGAGCCAAAAGAAGAATGACTTATTATTTTAGTTATTAAAAATAAAGTGATGCTCATCCTCAGGGACTTTTTAGATTGTTCATTCATGGTAAGCATCACCCAAGGGCTGGTTCTCTCTCCTCCATGCCTCAATTGTGTAACCTCATAATTTTAGAATGTTTTGGCTAAAGGAAACCTCATTCAAGCCCTCCTGTTCAGTGCATGCCCAGAGAGGGCAGGCGCTGGGTCTAAAGTCACACAGTGGCCCAGCAGAGACCAGAGCTTAGTCCTGTGGAGTCTAGAGGCACAATGCTTATTTGTCACATTTCTTCTTCGTCTTTTTCTATCTCCCTGTATTACTACTCATACCTTCTAACCTCCACTGAAATGGTCTTTCCTCTGCCTTTCAAAAAGCCTGAGAATGGAAAAACATAAAGAGAAAGAAAAATGAAAAGATGGAGAGGGAATCAAGTTCACATTTCACATGAGAAGATGTGCCATCCGATTTCAGATCACAGTCCTCGAAAGGTGAGAACTGCGTTTTCTCTTTGTTCCAGGCTGCAGTGACTGCACCATGGATATGAGAGTGAATGCTTGTCAGGCCATCAGTTGGTGTTTTCCCCACATCGCATGTGTGCACAGGTACATACCTGTGAGGCACATGGCCAGGGAGGCCACCTGTGCTTCTTCCCCAGAGAGAGACCTTCAGACCACCCTCCATGTAAGCAAAGGGTATGTGGTGATTACAGAAAGGGATGGGCTAGGCCTCCAAGAGCATTTAGTAAGACTCCATTACAAACAGATTTTAGGAGGATGAAGCCCAGAGAGGTGAAGACACTTGTCTAAAGTCACAGAGGAAGTTAGTTCCTGTCTGAGGACTAGAACTCAGCTTTTCAGACTTCAAGTCCTGCGGTTGGGTGGCAAGGGGGAAGTGGGGATGGTTAATGGGTACAAAAAATAGTTAGAAAGAATGAGTAAGATCCAGTATTTGATACCACAACAGAGTGACTGTAGTCAATATTAATTCAATTGTACATTTAAAAATAACTAAAATAGTATAATTAGATTGTTTGTAACACAAAGGGTAAATGCCTGAGGTGATGGATGCCCCATTTTACCCTGACCTGTGACCACGACGCATTGTATACCTTCATCAAGTGCACTCCATAAACATATACACCAACTATGTACACACAAAAATAAAAAAATAAAAATAAATCTATACGTGGTATTACACACACACATGCACGCATGCACAGAGGACCCCTATTCCCATGTGAACAAAGACTCACAGCAGTCAAGCCCAGCAAGATGCACTCTCTGTAGCGGGAACTGAATGACCCTAAGGGAGGGCACCTGTCCAAAGGTAGGGCCCATACCTGAAACCCATCAATTCAATCACATACAGTGAGGCACGGCCAAGACCTGCAAGATATCAATGTATTTAAAAGACTCATCTTTACATTTGCAGGAGGCTGGGCAGTCTGAGGTCTCCTAAACAAGAAAGTGGGCAGAAAGAAGAGAGGGAGAGGTCCTGAAGATCAATTTTGCTGCCTTCGTAACTCCACGGAGGGTGGGGATCACGGTCTTCCCAACCCTACTCCTTCCTTCTAGAGCAACTAGAGAGACAGGGAAATTCCTGCCTTTAGAGATCTGCGGGAGGAGCTGAGGGCAATGAGATGATGCTGCTGTGGCTGCTCCTTGGCATTTGTTTTCTGTTCACGAATCAACTTCTCTCAGTCCCCTGAGGAAGGGTGGATTTAGGGGGAAGGACACGGAGTCTCTCGGAATCTTTTGCATCCAGGGATGTGAGTGGGTTTTTATATTTAGTAGATGACTCACCTCCAAGCACATTAGTCACTGCCTCCCAGCTCCATTCTGGCAGGCTGGGTGCTGGGGATCGCAGTGGGGTGAGATCAGACAGGAGATTGGGAGAAAGAGCAAGAGAGCTCAAGGGAGGCAAGAGACTGGGAGACTAATGCCAGAGGAAGTAAGATTAGCGCCCCGAAGCAGAAGGCTCAGGGAAAGAGGGCGGCCAAGTCATGCTCAGCAGAGAAGTTCCAGGGAAGTTCTGGCTCAGCCTTGCCCCAAGCACCTCACCATGGGGGAAAGAGAGAAGGGCAAGATCCAGAGTCCCTGGCTCAGCCGCCTATAAGCCCTCCAAGGGTCCCCTCTTGGCAATGTAGGCAGCTCACCAGCCTGGACCCCATCCATTGGCCGCCTCTGGCCATGACAGATGGCCAGGGCAGGGGTTTTCAGAGAGTGCCACCAGAACATGCTGGGGCCAGGAGCCTGGGCAGGGCAGAAAAAGAGAGCATCCGTGAAAGATGCTCTGTGTCATGAGAGAGGAAGGACCACAGATGAAGGAAGAACATATGGGGTCTAAAGCAAAGGCTCTCAAGTGTGGTCCCTGGGCCCCCTGGGTCAGAAGACCCCGGAGAGCATATGAGCAATGAAGACTCTAGCCCCATTCCAAGTCTGCACCCTCCTCTGGGTGGGTCCAAAGAACCAGCTCTTCACTGGGCCCCAGGGAATTCTCAGGCACATTCGGATGCAAAGCCCTCAGGTCTGGAGCAGGAAGGCTGCATCCCAGCGCTTCAATTCCTACACAGTGTGGGATAAAGGCCATTGGTACGCTTGACTGCGCCTCAGTTTACCATTCAAAAATGAGATGCCTACTTCAAGAATTGTTCTAATTTAAAAACAAACAAAAAAACAAACAAACAAAAAACAGGAAAGGGATGTAAAGTTGGCTTGTATTTTATACTTCTTAACTGGGTCAGAACTGGGTCAGGTCATAGTAGAGGAACACCACACCTGGCTGGATTCCACAGCTCTGGAAAGGACAAAGGTCACCCTGAAGCAAGCTCCTTTCTTTCTCACTGACCTGCAAGGTGGGTGCCATTACCCAATGGTCAAGGAGAGGAGATAGAGGCCGAGAGGTAAGTGACTTGTCCATGACTGGATGGCCAACACCAACAGCAGGACTTGAAGTCAAGCCCAGAGCCCGTGGTTTTGTTTTGTGTTTTCACTTCTCCAAACTGTCACTTCACTTTGTCACCAGGATCCTCTGGGTCGCTTAATAGACCTACCAGCTTCTTGCCAATACAGTCAGGATATTGATTTCTCCCTCATACCTTTCCCCTCTTCCTCCTCCCTTTTCTCTATTGTGGCCCTAATTTTTAAAAGGCTGCATTTGGCTCTCCGTATGGAATTCTTCTCCCCTTGATTTTTGGCCCATTTCCTTCCATTCTAGTGCCTGTGTCGTCCAAAGCTATATGAAGCTCATCTTGGAGGACCCTGGCTCACCCTTTCTCCACTTCCCTGCCACCCGCTGTACACTGTCATGCCCAGTCGGCCCACAGGTGTTTGAGTCTGTTTTCCCTGAAGGTTGGTTAGGGTTCTTGTTGACATTCTTGGCTTTCCTGGACTCTGGGCTCTCTGAGGACAGGGATTGTGTCTTCTCATTTTTCTGCCTCCCTCATAACTTAGTGTAAAGCTTTATACCTGGAGAAATCATCCTTGTTGGCAGGTAGCTTAGCCACAAAAAGGAGCCTCCCAGAAGTGCCCCAGCAAAGGCCTGCACCTCTCACCTTGAGAAGCAGAAAGCAACTTCTGCCCCTTGACTTGCCTGCAAGTCTGCAAGTCTTTGCTGCCTCCTGCTCTCCATAGAGGTGACTTGGTTGAGGAACTTGCCAGGCCAGAGACCTGGGATGCATTGCATGCTACAGGCAAGACGCTCCAATAGAAATTGAAAAGCACAGTCCCTGCCCTCATGCAAGTGTATGCAATTCTCTCTCCTCTCTCTCTCTCTCTCTCTCAATGCTCAACTTCCCACCAATCAAACTGCAAGCTCCTTGACAACAGAGCTATGGGTTTCCTTTTAATCCATTCCTGAGCCCGGAACCCCCATCCCAGCACACACATTCTGCTGGTGCTGAGTACTCCGCTAGCCCGTTTCCATCCCCTCCCACATCTGCTTCATGCTTATTTGCTTATGTCTCTTGAGGGTGCATTTGGCTCTCCATATGGAATTCTCCTCCCCTTGATTCTTGGTCCATTGACCTTTATTCTGGTGCCCATGTTGTCCAAGGCTACATGAAGCTCATCTTGGAGGACCTGGGCCCATGCCTTCTCTACTGCCTCACCACCTGCTGTACACTGCCATGCCTGATCAGCCCACAGGCACCTGAGTCTGTTTTCCCTGAAGCTTGGTTAGAGTTCTTGCTGACATTCTTGGTTTTCCTGGACTCTGGGCTCTCTGAGGACAGGGATTGTGTCTTCTCATTTGTGTCATCTCCCTTGAGATAAGCAAATAAGCATGAAGCAGATGTGGGAGGGGATGGAAAGGGGCTAGTGGAGTCCTTAGAGAACCCCGTTTCACATGCCTGGTCTCTAGCCTCAGTTATTCTATCTAGAAAATGGAGAAAATAGCATCGACATCACACAAACAGTTGGGAGGGTTAAATGAGATAACCTCTATTGAAAGTGACTAACAAAGTGCTGGCTCATAAAACACATACATAAAATGGCAGCATAAGCTAAATTAACTCTGTGCTAGTGCAAGCTGTGCACATATCAGAAAATGAAGGGGGTGCATTAAAAATAACAACTCCCCACCATGTGCCAGACACCATACTAGATGCTTTGGCCATGTCACCCTGTAACATTCACATCCACCCTGTTTCACAGAAGAAGAAGTTGAAGCTCAGAGAGGTCAAGTTACCCACCAAAAGTCACACAGCTAGCAAGTGGCCAAGCCCTGCTCCAAAAGGATGCTTGTCTTTCCCCAAAGTTGGAGCTCATTCCTTTAAGCAACAGTGCTTCAGACGGTCTGGGAGATGTAGAGGAGATAAGATTATTTTCAAATAGATTTTGAAGAAGGCTGTGGGAGGCTAAAGGAGGGAAGACAGACAGCAGAGCTATAATGCAGCTTTGGGCACTCTTTAAGAATGGGTGGCTTCACTGGAGAGAGGAGGCTGAGCTGTGCACCACTGTCACAAGCAAAGCAGAAACCATGTCAAGGCTGAGTGTATCCCGCAGGTGATCAGGAGAGGACTCTAATAGTAACAAGCACTGATTGTGCCCAGGAAGGCCCGTGGATGTCAGAGATTCCACTGGCTGGGAGCCTAGGCAGGGTGAAGTCCTGGGGGAAGCAAGAGCGATGGCAGTGGTTCAGCCTGTACCATGTGCACATGTGAGTGTGAACTGTGTGCTCCAGTTCAGGTAGCTATTTAATGTCAAGTGAAGTCCTTGGGACAAAAGGCATCACGACTCTTCTTTCTAACAAACACAAGTTCCTTGGATCCAAGATTTAAGAGGGAAAGAATAATCCCTCCTCCCCCCAAATCTCTCTCAACTTCCTTAAAAACTCCTTCCCCAGTCGGGTGTGGTGGCTCACGCCTGTAATCCCAGCACTTTGGGAGGCTGAGGTGGGTGGATTACCTGAGATCAGGAGATCGAGACCATCCTGGCCAACATGTTGAAACCCCGTCTCTACTAAAAAATTCGAAAACTAGCCAGGCGTGGTGGCAGGCTCCTGTAGTCCCAGCTACTCAGGAGGCTGAGGCAGGAGAATAGCTTAAACCCAGGAGGCGGAGGCTGCAGTGAGCCAAGACGGTGCCACTGGACTCCAGCCTGGTGAAAGAGCAAGACTCTGTCTCAAAAATAAAAACAAACAAAACAAACAACAACGAAAAAAACTCCTTCCCCAGGTTTAAAAATTGTTGCTGCTGGAAGACCTAGCACATCCAGTTGGGATTTCTCCTACTGAAATTAATGTCATGAAACACACAAGGAGAAAACAGGTTCCCAGCTAACTCCTGGTCTATAGTCTCCAGGAGCTTGGCCAGCTGATCACCGGGCACTGGCAGTTACTGCCTGATAAGAACAGTGAATTTTTTCACGATGCCTCTTGGCATTCCCCAACAGACTCTGGGGTCCCCTAGAGAAGCTGGGGACACAGTGCTTCTCTGTGATCTCCAATGTGCCCAGCAGAGCACTTGGCATGTAGTAGGCATTTAATTATATTTATTGAGAGTCTATTATGAGGATTGCCATTTAGTGTTTCTAGATGCAGTGGAAGACAGTGCAATGCTTTCCTATCATTCATTGTTTGTTATTTACTAATTCATGATTAATTAATAATTAAAAATCCAATGGTAAAAGCAGAACAGACCAGGGAGACTGGGAGCTGGGGATTTCTTAGTTCTCTGTCTTCTATGTTTTGTCCCTAATATAACTTGTTATATTAGGAAAATGCCAGAGCCTGCTTTTAGGATGCTCTGAATAAGAGAAAAGGAAGGAAAGGAATTTCAGCAGCCTCGGTTTTTTTCTATAAAGTCGACTCTTTGAGGTTTCGGTTGTACATTGTGCCTTGGCAAATACAAAGCCACTCGGATACCATCCTGCTCTTAGAAATGTGGTAGGTCTACAGTTCTCAGGAGCCACCGTCCCTCCTATTGCAAAGACTTTGCCACCCTCATCTCGATATTCCTCTCCTACGATGCGTCTGAAAGTTAACCAGAAAAAAAGAGATGTACCTGCCTGAGGGTAAGAAGGTAGCTTCCCAATGACACTTTCTGCCAATGCTTGCCTTCCTTCTTTCTTTATTTTTTTTTCTGAGATGGAATCTCACTCTGTTCTCCAGGCTGGAGTGCAGTGGCATGATCTAAGCTCACTACAACCACCATCTCCCAGGTTCGAGCAATTTTCCTTCCTCAGCCTCCCAAATTGCTGGAATTACAGGCGCCTGCCACCACACCCAGCAAATTTTTTGTATTTTTAGTAGAGACAAGGTTTCACCATGTTGGCCAGGCTGGTTACGTTTGCATCTAGCTATCTTTGAGGCCAAGTACTGCAACCCATATGTTTATGATTTGCTAACAATTCCTCAAAATGTTCTTTGCCTTAAAAGCCACAAGAAGCCTAAGATGCACAAGAAACATTTTTTATTTGCTTCCTTAAGTTTCTCTTTATTTAATAATAGGGAATTCTGCCAGGAATAACCAACCCCTACTGTATTGAGTGCAGAATGGACCCCATGTGGCTCGAGGACCAGGCAGCCAACTGCAAGATCTTGGGAGTCTGATTCTGCCTCCCCTCTTGCTCTCCTGTGTGGCTGGGGCGAAAGTCCCCAACGTTTCTACTCCTGCATTCCTTCCATGGTCCAGCAGAGCCTGGGGACAGCCAAAGGGATCCCTCACCCTATGCTGGCCCCATAGACCTACATATACCACTGATGCCAATTCTCCATGGAGAAACTTTGTGTAGCTACATCAGATGTGGATTGTTCTCATTAGACTCCACTTTATTAAAAAGGAAGATATCAGCTGTGGCATCAGAATTCAGTTTTCAAAAAAGACTGCCCTGAGGAGATTCTACATTTGACTCAATTTCCATTTCCTGCATCTTTTATCATTATATGTTACTCTGGCACTCTCTGCAATAATAGAAGCCAAAACAACACATCTGCCCTATACAGGATACCACTAAGCTCCAGATCTTTTCCTACAATGCTTATGGCTTCCATAATAGCTCTACAAGGTAAATATAGTCATCTCCATTTCTGCAGGCTAGTAAATAAAACCAAGGTTAATAAAAGTTAAGCCAGGTGTCAGAAATCACATGGCCTGTAAGTGCCATTCAAAGCCGAAATGAGACACCAGATTGTCTCATTCCAAAATCCATGTCATTTACGCCTTAATGAGCCTCTATTCTCAACTACAATGAGCCTTTATCATTCAAAGACAGGCTCGTTTACTTATGATATTTGCCAAGGTTGGAAAAAGGGCTAATGCCTGTAGGAAGATTTTTAGTAGCATGGTGCAACAGAAAAAAAAAAAAGAGGGGGGATGTTCTGGTTAACTTTCAGACATTCAGGAAAGTGCATTAGTCAGAATAGCACAGCAACTGAAGAATTCAAATGTAGCTCCATGAGATGTGACAGCTATGTGGGTTGTCACAAGGGGAATTTCAGAGGGTTAGAGGCTGCTTGTACCTGCTTAAAGCTGTGTTCTATCTTTCTATCTTTTCTTTCTTTCCGAAGTTTTGGGCTCTCAAATGTATATGCACATGAGTGTGTGCACATGATTTGTACACATGTGAGCAACTGTACGTGCATGAATATGTGTGTATGTGAGCAAGTATGCATGTGAATGAGTGTGTGCATGTGAGTGTGTGTGCGTGGATGTATATGCATGTGAATGAGTCTGTATGCATGTGAATGCGTGTATGTGAGTGGATGTGTGTGCACGGATTTGTGTGCATGTGAATGTATGTGTGCCTGTGACTGTGTGCACCCACACAGGAGATGAAGGGTGGTGATGATAAGAGCAGAATCTCAGGCATAATCTGGTCACGTGATTGCTTTAACCAAGGACAAAGAAATGGATCACATTGCAAAGGACTAACAGGGTGGATTAGGTAAACCATGAAGCAAGTAGTGTGTTTCTTGGCAACTGAATAGCGTGGTGCTAAAAACACACATAAATTGACTTATACCTATATCATTGGTTGCGCAAACAGGCATGGCTGCAATTATAAATACATAACTAAGAATGGAATGAGGGATGGGTTGTTTTCCTTTCAGGAAAGGGACACCACAGGCCTTTTATTTTGCAGCATGGCTCTCAGCTGGTGAACCCATTTAATTAATTAAACACTCTCGGGATGGCCTTGCAGATTGCTTTCCTACAGCGTCGCCCGTCCATGTAACAACAACAGTTTCTCTGCTAAACAACCAGGCCTGTTCATCTCAGCTTTGTCCCATGAGCATTTACTACTCCAAGTGAGGACCCAGTCATGTATGGGGGTTGGAGAATGGAAGCCCCCATGTCACAGCCACTGAAGCTCATCTCAAAAAGTTACCTGGCAACTACTATGTCCTTTGGCTCTGTTTTCCAAAATTAGGGGAGGGTCAGACAGACAGATGGGTGGATGAATGAACAAATGGAAAAAATGAACAAATAACAGAAAGATGTACACAGAGTGCCTACTTTATGCCAGGAACACAGATGGGAATTTCTATATAAGTTTTCTATCTGCTTATGATCTAGAAGTCCAGCACTCAGGTCTCTGCAAGGAAGTATCACCTTATTATCTGTAAACAATTCCTGGTTTAAAAAAAAAGCCCAGCCAGAAATATTATATTTAGGGAAGAAAGCATAAGGAATGGTGATGCATCTACTCCTTTGGGCATTCAAAGTTCATCCCATATCAAACTAAATGCTGAAAGCACTGGCCTCTCAGGAGCTTTGTGGAGCCATCATCACTAAATTGCAGTTTGATGCTATGCACTCAGCTTTCATCAAGATTTGTTGTGAAATCCACTTCTGCATCTGTTGTAAGATTGTAGTTGACATTATCCACTTTGTTCTTCAGGGCCACACATAAAAATTTGTGTTATATAATTTTATTCCCTTTCCCTGTTTTACCTTGGCTGGCAAGAAGCTCAGAGATAAACATGATGATCAATTATAGTGACAAGATACGCCTACAGCATTAACATAACTTTTAATCTTGATATACAAATATATTTCTATATTAAGCATATTATACCATAGTTACACTTATACCTATAACTTCACTTACGTATCACCTATATCCTTAGTTGTGAACTATCTCAGGTCCTTTTTTGGGGAAAGAGGCAGTAGATAAGTAAAAATAAATGAAAAAAAGCATAGTATTTATGTAATGTTAGCATGTCTACTTCTAATGGAGGCTGAGAAGAACAAAACACTTAACACAAGACTAATCATTAATGCATTTACATGTGGTCTAGGAATCAAATTAATTTGGCTACACACTGTCTTGCACACCCAGCCACAGATATGCATGTCCATCCTGGCACCCATAGTGAGCTATAGAGGCACACTCACACTTGCACTACTCCCTAATTTGTACGGCTACCCACATCTCCAACACTCTCTGGCTCAGCCCTGAAGTTTGGCAAAACCAAGACTTAGCATGCAGATAGATGAGCAGATAATTGACTTGCACATAGTCAAGATTTAACTGGTTTTGTTTAGCATGAATCTTGAATATGTGCCAGTGGTGGTTGCTGTCTTCAGTGTGCTTACTACTAGACTTCTGGGACTTGATTTCTCTTCCTGGTCATCCAGTGTTAGGTGGAAAAAAAAAGCATTTCATAAAAATTTTGGGTGCTGGTTAATATTTTCTGAATACCCACTATGTTCTAATCCTTGTATGGTTAAAGGCATGGTTACATGCGTCTTCCAAGTGGGAAAACTGAGGACAGAGGGATTAGCTCACTTCCAAAGGTCGCATAGCCAAAACCCAGGATCTTCTGATTCCACAACCTGTACCCTTTCTCCTGCCTGACTCTAACCCTGGGGTGATGTCAAAGATGTCCAGTAGGGAATGAAAATGAAGAAGACCCTGGCTTTTTCTCTCCTTCATCTGCTGTATCACAACCACTTACTAAAACCACCTTGATGCCGGGGGGAAAAAGACTTGACGACAGCATCACAGGCAGATGAAAAAGCTGCAGGTAGGTGAAACAAACAGCAAGTTATAGGGGGTCCTCTTTTTAAGGGGAGAAATTTAAGCCCTAATACTTTGCTCTAAGGCATGTATTCTGGTAAAGTCTTAACCTGGTTACCTGTGTTTCTGGCTCTCCCAAGTCCCTCCCAGACCTCTGGGCACTTGTCTACATTTCTGAATCTCAGCATGATTAACATTTTCAGCTGGATAATTCTTGCTTGTGGGGGCTGCCCTGTGCATTGTAGGAGATTTAGCAGCATTCCTGGCCTCTACCCACAGATGCCAGTAGCACCTGCCCCAGCTGTGACAAAATGTCTTCAGACATTGCCAAATGTGCTCTAGGGACAAAATCACACCAGGTTGAGAACCATGGACTAGGGGAACGGTTGTAGAGTGGGGCTGCTGATAGGCAGAGGCAGAAAGGGGCAGCTCGAGGAGGCTGGACTACTTTGGTGGGCCAGGTGGCCAAGAGAGGCCTCTGGACTGGAAGGGGGTTCAAGGAGCCATGTCACTGACCACTGCCAGCCTCTCAGCCTATCTCTCTGGGATAACCCTCCACCAGTCCCTGCTCCGAGGCTGGAGAAATGGAATGGAAATCATTGGTATGGGCCCTTCCCATTTCCTAGGTGTTTTGCAGTTTGGGTCTTTGTGATTTTGAATTTATGACAAATAAGCCAACCTGCACTAAAGTGTTCCTTTTTCCTCAGCTGAGCGGAGGACTGGCTGAGCTGATGAGTGGTATAAATCAACAAGGTGGCAAATCGGTGAGTTCTGCTGCTCCTTTGCCCCCAAGGAACCACTTGTTAAAGCTCCTGAGCAGCATCCACCTCCCTGAAGCACCTGTCATGCAGGCTGCGGGTGAGAATGACCTCATGATGAGCACAGACCCCAAGGAACTCCAGATCGCGCCTTTCAGATGCTTCCCAAAGATAGTGCTTAAGAAGCTCTGTAATCTGCTTTCTCATGAATTCAGAATATCTTGCTCTCCTCAGACCCTGTTGGCCTTAATAAATGCGGCTGGAAGGTGGGCCCTAGGGGGTAAGGCTAGAATGATGTGCCCCACCTTCCCAGTGAGGCCATGCCCCTGGGGAGTGAGGCTGACCTGACTCCATGAAGCAGGTGGTGTCTGGCCCCCGGCATGGTGGGGTCAGCTGGGGATTGGGTCCTGGGCTCATCTGCTGAACCTAGCCCTCAAGTCGCACTCAACTCCCCTGGCACAAGCAAAATACACTCTTCTTCCATGCCTGGTCTTCACCTCTTCCACTCCCAGATGGATGCCTTAAGATTTTTCTTTTTGAAGAAATTCAATTTTGAAAAGTCATACCTGAGTCTTAAACCTACTTGCTTTGGAGAGAACCCGACTGTCTCAAGTGTGACAGCCAAGAGAACCCCTTGCTCTCCATGTGTGAGCTTCACCGCAGCAGCGGCTTCCCGAGAGCTGGCTAGAAATACACAACCTCGGGCCCCACCCAGACCATTGGAATTAGTCTGCCTTTTAACAAGACCCCCAAGTGATTTGGTGCAGTCACACCTGAGAAGCACCGTGTTCCCCTACAAGTGGAGAGCACTCTCCCCAAGGCCCCTGATGGCGGTGAATAGCCTCTTCAGGATTTCCTGCCCCTCCTCTGGTCACCCGACCTGTCTGTCCTAATGGTAAATGTCCACGGAAGAGGTTACCTTCACCACCCTTACCCCTGTTCAAACAGTCTCTCGATCCCGGCAGCCAGGAAGACCTTTCTCTTGCCAGCCCTCCATCTCTCCTATTGTAATCATGGCTGGATTATGCTTGCTGTAACCTCAGCACGTCACTATTTCAATTACACTTCATTTGCTTAATGACAGTGAGTCACTGGCTGTTTTATGGCTCATTTCTGGTTGTTTTCGGAGAAGAAACCTGAGGTCCTTAATCGTAGGGGCAGCAATGTGTACCAGTCACTGGATACACAGCTGGAGACAGAGCAGGCAAGAAATGAAAGTCAGCTAGTGGAGGGGCCTGAGGTCCTTGCCTCTTCACCTTTGGACCCATAGCCTCTGCCTCCAAAGAAGAGGCCTGGAAATCTCCAGGAACAATGGCTCAAGCTGTGCCGGAGATTACAAAACACAGGCTCCATTTTGTTGTCTGGGGAAGCCAAGAGCTCAGGGAAGGATGGAAGGTGGATGGCTGCCAGGCAGGCAGGAGAAGGCTCTGTGGCCCGTTCCTGGATGCCTGCCTCCTCCTCCCACCCTGGAGTTGAGTGGGCCACAGGCTGCTCAGGGGTTTCCAGCTTTCGGCAGGCAGCGTTCCCCAAGGACAGGTAGCAAAGCACTCCTGTAGGCCCTGTGCTCTGAGCCTCAGTTATTCTCAACAGAGCTTAATGATCCCCATCTACAAAATGGGTGGGAATAACCCAGCTCTTTACAATAATGTAAATATCTTTCGAATACTCCCACTTGAGACAGCTGGAAGGACAAGTGAGGAAAAACACGAATCCGCTCCTTCCACCGTTCAGGTGGGCTTCTCACAGCCCTGCTTCAGGCAGAACTTCCAGCTTCCTGACTTGATGTTCTCTGGAGTGGCTCCCTGTTAAATCTGCCTTTGGGAGCCCTGCCAATGTTTTAAGGACCAGCTCAAATTCAAACTCATTGAGGCCACCTTCCCAGGCTCTCCTGTGAGAATTAAGTAAGCTTTCCCCTCCCCTGGGCACTTGATTTGTAAGCCTGGTGGAGCCCTTTTGTGGTTCTGGCTTCTATTTGCATGGTATATGATGGAGTCAGTATCATGGTGCTGGAATCAGCCAGAGGTGGGTTAAATACCAGCTCTATACCAGCCAGGCTCAGTGGCTCATGCCTGTAATGCCAGCACTGTGGGAGGCCAAGGCGGGTGGATCATGAGGTCAGGAGGTTGAGACCATCCTGGCCGACATGGGGAAACCCCATCTCCACTAAAAATACAAAAAATTAGCCAGGCATGGTGACACACACCTGTAGTCTCAGCTACTTGGGAGGCAGGCAGGAGAATCGTTTGAACCTGGGAGCCAGAGGTTGCAGTGAGCCTAGATCACGCCCTTGCATCCCAGCCTGGGCAACAGAGCAAGATTCTGTCTCAAAAAAACAAAAATAGAAACAGCTCTATTACACACTAGCTCGATGCCTTGGACAGGTGACTCAACCTCTCTGAGACTCAGGTTACCCAACCACCAAAATGGGTATAATGGTAACAGCACCTATCTCCTAGGAGTGAGGGGGGAATAAACAAAGTGATGTATGTCAACGGCTTTGTGCACTCACTGCCTGACACAAAACGTGAGCTCACTCAGGAACTGGTGGACCATGCTGCTGATTCTGGAGCCCAGATGTACTGCCACTCTGATGGCGATTAACCACCATGGTCACTAGACTGAGCTTCTGGAGGGACGAAGCCATTTAAAAACCACCTTTGACCCTTACAGTGTCTAATCAAGTGTCTCTCACACAAGAACTGACCACATCTCTTTTTTCAGGAACTGTCTTTCACAGTTCCTCTTTAAATAAGACAATATCGTTAAATGAGATAATAACGTAAATGAGAGCAATTAAAACAGAGCCTCTCAACAAGAAGCTCAAGAAAGTTGAATATCTCTTTTCTAAACAAAAAAAAAAAAAGGAAAGTTGGTTCTATGGAAGCTTCAACAGCTTGAATTAAGGTTGCTAATCCAAAAGGCTTAAAGGTTATTGGTTGGGGACTCCAGGAACTGAAAAGTGATTTCTGAAGAGACCATAACTTTGTAACTATGAGGAATGAATTAACTGATTGAGGCAACTGATTGAACCGGAATGGATTCAAATCAAGTCTTCCATGTCCTGGTCTCGCCCTCATAATGCCTGCAGAAATGACAAAGGGAGATAAATGATGAGCCCGACATGCTGTCGGGAGGGTTGCAATAGCAGTGGTATGAAAGCGCCTGGAGAGTGTATGAACCCAGAAAGGGCCAAGCCTGACCCCAGAGAAGGGGCTTCAAGGGCTCTAGAGGAATCAGGTTATGTCAAGGACCCCAGAAGATGAGCATGGGGGAGAAACTGATTACTCATGTCTCTTTCCAAATCAATGCCTTCCCCACAAATAACCTTCCCCAGGTCATGAGATCTGTGGTGCCTAGAGGAGGAAAGAAACACTGGTTTCTGCTCTATGCCATGGGGAAAGCTAAGCTGAAACCAAAGCAGCAGCTGCCTGCATGAGCCGGCAAGCACACATCCCCACGCACAGCCAGGCTCCAGAATCAGTCCCGGCTGCTCTCTCCTCGCAGACAAATATTCCAAGCTGCGGTGCTTGCTGTCAATAAAAATAAACAGTTTCATCACAGCATAAGAGGAAAGCGTGGCTGGCAGACAGGGGAACAACAGCTCGGAGAGAAGACAGGTGTGTTGCTCTCTCCTTTTCCCTCTCCCTCCCCAGGGGCCTTACTGCCTGCCATCATCTGCCACTGCAAACAACCTGTTCAGCAGTGTGCAGCTGTGAGCACATCCTCTGAGAGAAGGCATCTGCTACCCGAAGATACCTTCAGGTATGCCTGAGGAGAGGAAGGGTACTTTCTGAAATCTAGACCTCTTGGGTCAACGTTCTAGAACTGTGTGGTTGAACATGACCCTGGACAGGTCACTGAATTCTCTGGGTCACAGTCTCCACCTGTGGAATAGAACATGGGGAGAGACACAGGAGATGGAGGCGATAGCTCTGGGATAAAGAACAGATAACCACTCAGTCAACAGCCATTGCTTTGCTAGCATTGGAGATAATGGCCATGATGTGACTTTCCACATTATAACTGTGCATATGTTGACTGGACGCTCACTGAGCCCATCTCATATTCCTGGCACACAGCTAAACTGCACTTCTCAGCCTCCCTGCATCTAGACATGATCTGGGATTGTTCTCACCAATGGGATATGAGCAGAAAAGATGTGCGTCACTCCCTGCCTGAGGCAGTTAAGAGTGGGTGTGTTTTCTCCATTCTTTCTGCCATGAGATGGACTCCCCTACACTCCTGTGTAACTGCAGAGAGAGCCACCCAACTCATATTAGGTTGTGATGAGACTGAGACATGAACTTTTCTTGTATTAGGCTACTGAGCTCTAGAGGTTGCCTATCAGAGCAGCTGAGGTTGCTTACCCTGATGGGTTATCAGCACGACCCTTCATTCTATGAAGGATAAATAAATGGCACTCAATGACAGTGACGTTTGGTGAAAATATTACTGAGCTACAAGGTAAGAGACTGAACTTCTAGCCTAACATCAAAAACTATCAAGCTCTTGGTTTTCAGCAAGTCACTTTCTCCTTCTGGCCCTCAGTTTCTGATTTCCAGAAGGAGGGAGTAGAACTACACTGCCACCATCATCCCACACTGCTCTGAGACATCCACAATGTGAAGCCAAGGGGGCTCAGGCCCACCGATGAATCCATCCACCTGTACTGAAATGTGCCTAATGATGTGTCCCAGGTCTGAAGGGTGCTGACCTTGGCTAGACAGCACTGCTCATTATTACCAGACAGCCCTCAATAGCCCCTGCTTGTACAGTACATGAGAATGGCAGAGATACGGTAAACCCCAAGTACTCAATGGTTGCTCAGCCAATGTCTTCTGTGCAATTGCTCACTGATAGCCAAGGCGACAGATGAAATGAAAGTGAAATTTCTCAAGATTCTTCACTACACCTCCCCCATCTCTCCCAAGCACCCTCTATCAGGCTGCCATGTTGCATGACTCCAGGCTGCATCATTCATATCACAGTCTGGATTACGCGCCTCTCCTGGAGTTGTGCAGTACACAGCTGGTGGGGCATTGGATGGTGGCCTTGGCTCTTCTATGTCCTCAGTGAACACACCATGCATTCCCACACCTCCTTGCTTTTGTCTGTGTGGCTCCCGTTGCCTAGAATAACTTCTCTCTCTTCTCCAACTGCGAAGCTCTAGCATTCTTTCAAGGCCTGCTTGAAACATTTCCTTCTCTGGGAACCTTTCCCTGGTTGTCACTACTTGCAGAAGAATTGTTTATTCCCCTTTGGTAGTATCACCCATTTTGCCACTTGGTTAGTCATTTACAACTCTGCCTCCCCTACTGCACAGTGGGCTTCTCAAGCACCATGACCTTGTCTTTTTCTACTTAAGTTCCCGGTACCCCAACAGTGCCAGGTTTATGATAAATTTTCAGTGAATATCAATACGTTGAATGAACCAAGTTTTCTTTTTCTTACTGCCCTGGGTCATATACAGAGATACACACAGAAAAATGTGTTTTTGAAAAGAAAAAGCACAAAATGTAAAAACCCAAAACTATTCAGAACCCCTCTCCCTGACAAAAAAAAAAAAAAAAAAAGGCAAAGATGGCTGCTGATATTGGTGCTTTGAGATGAGAGCAGTTTTCTTGAACAAATAAAGGACTTGGGCCAGAAAGGTGTTGCCCAGCTCCCCTAAAAGAGGCCTCATGGTGAAATTAAGTCAGGTGGTGAAACTTCCTAGAGCATCAAACCATGGGCCCCCAAGGCAGGGGGCCACATTGAGATGTGGTCTTTATAGTTCCCCATTGACACATGGACGCCATGTCTCTACAAGTTGACAGGTGCAGCCATCCCTCTGAATAATTTTGGTGGAGTTGCCCATCCTCAGGGACCCAGAGAGTGAATGTGAGGGCCAGTAATAGACCATGAAATGCATATGAGTGGAGGAGAAAAGGACGCTTAGCTTAGGTCTCCATCAAAGTGTTGATGGTGAGGTCAATGGCAGAATAGGCAAGTTCCTTGGAGGGGTGAAAGATGGGAATGAGGGTGATGGAGACCCTGCACTGCCTAAGCAGGCAAATAATGCCAAAGAGCATCCAAGAGTTCCATTCCCCCTGCTTCAGAGGGAGCCAGGCAGCTTCTGAAAAGCCGGCAAGGGGAGAATGCCCATGCCCTCTCACAGATCCTGTGCGGCAGCTATAATCACCAAGAGAACAGTTTCCAGGTGAGGGCTGCAATGGTGGGTGGTTTGTGGACAGCTCTCTGGTAGTTTGCATAATCATGTCTATACGTTTTTGTCCCCAATCACTGATTAACTTTTGCTCAGCCTCACTGCTGCCTCAACCATTACTGAGATACTGAGCTTCCCAATTTTTCCCAGGAGGCTTAATTGCCACCCCATCCACCCACCCAAACCCCAAAGTCAGTGAGTAAGTGATGTAAGCTGGATGTAGAGATCCTCTGGGCCAGTGGAGTTGATAAGCATGTCAACAGTCAATAACTTCTTTTCCAGAAATGTTACATGAGTCTCACCTTACGACACAAACTTTGCTAATCAGGCCAAACCCATTCCCATGTCACCAAACTATCCCTGTTGACCTCACAGGCTGCCCCTGCTCTTTAAGGAAGAACCTCACTGCAGCTCCCTCAGGTGGGCATGGGCAATGGCACAGCTACACACTGGCTGACTTGCATTGGTTACCTAACTTGCCTCTCCCAGTAGACGATGAGCTCCCTGGGATGGGAGCTCTTAGTCACTGATTATCTCAGTGTCCCCAGAGCCTACACAAGGCCTGTGTAGTAAAGGAACTAACCTTTCCCAAAAAGAGGTTTGGTTCTGTCCTCCACTTTTTGGAGGTGATAGGAGTATCTTTGTTTGCTTGGGACCTTGGGCCAGGCAGAGTAACAGTGTGATTTATGGTGTGGGTTTTGAGCCATGGCAGCAATGTGCTAGAAGGTGGACACTTTGAATCACGTGGTCTCAGCTTGCCTTCCTGACAGGCTGGAGACAGAGGTGAGCCACATGGGAAGTCAACTGCTTAGGCGATGGAGCTCCAGTAAAAGCTCTGGAAGTCAAGGCCTGAGTAAGATTCCCTGTAGGGCAATACTCGTGTATTGTCACACATTGGTGGAATGAGAGTAATGCTGTCCTGACTCCATGGGGAAAGAATAACTGGGGTCTTCACATATTTTATTTTTAAGACTGAGTCTTGCTTTGTCACTCGGGCTAGAGTACAGTGCTGTGGTCTTGGCTCACTGCAAACTACTCCTCCCAGGTTCAAGCAATTCTCCTACCTCAGCCTCCAGAGTAGCAGGGACTACTGGTGCCTGCCACCACACCCAGCTAATTTTTGTATGTTTTTAGTAGAGATGGGGTTTCGCTGTGTTGGCCAGGCTGGTCTGGAACTCCTGACCTCAGGTGATCTGCTCACCTCTGCCTCCCAAAGTGTTGGGATTACAGGCAAGAGCCACTGCACCCAGCTGGATCTCCACATTTTGAATTGTTCCTAGACTATGTGCTTCTTCCCTTGGCTGATTTCAACGTTTCTTTTCCCTGTAACAAATCATATTCAGGAGTATAACATCTTTCAGCAAGTTCTGTGAATCATTTTAGCAAATGATTAAACCTAAGGATAGTCTTGGGGACTCCTGAACTTGCAATTGGCACCAGAAGTGAGAGCAGTCCTCTGTGGGCTGTGCTGTCTTTAATGTTGTAGAGCCCTTCATATAATGAGAGATAATAAAGGTCTATCCACTGAGTTTCCCCTTCCATGAGCAATTTTACTGGGAAGTCTCGCTCAACCCAGGGAAGTTGGACAATAGATGCTTTGGGTGGCTAAGGATAATTATGCTGGCTTTCAACCCCAAGATTCTTATCAGGGTCTCAAGACCTCATCACAGAGCATAGTTTCCCTAGAAGTTTCTAAATCTGCTTTCCAATTGTGAAGCATTTGCAGATGTACACCTCATCTCAGGTCTGTCCTCAGTAGTCCTAAGCTTTGGAGACCACAGATGACAGCACTCTCAGAAGCTGAGAACCTAACACTGAGGGTTGTAGGCAGAATATTCCGTCTTGAGCAAAGATTACTCTAATGCTCCCTCTCATTTGAGGAATAAGAATATTAATAATAACTATCATAATAATAGTAGCAGTGAAATTGACTGAGCACTTTCTACATGCCAAGAACAATTCTAAGTCCTTGGCATTCATTATCTTACTGAATCTTCACAGCTCTGTGAAGTGGGCATATTGTTATTCTTGTTCCACTGATGAGAAAACTAAGTGGCTGAGAAATTATTAAATTGCTCAAGGTCACAGATCAAGTAAATGACGGAACCAAGATTCCAGCCAAGGCATTTTGACTCTGGGGCCGTGGTCATAACACTACCCATGTCCAAGCACTAGACTCTGGAATGCCTGACATCCTGTCTAGATGGGCATGTCTGAACGGTCTCTGTCAAACTATAAGCCTCTTGAGGGCAGCTACTAGCCCCTTGCAATGTTGAGGCCAGAGCTTGTGCCCATTCAAATAAAGCTAACTTAGAGATAATCTCTCAGGCACTAAACCAGGTAAGCTCTTTTGGACATGATATCTCACTAATCCTCCCACAGTGCTGTGAGTTGCTGTTCACTCCATGACATAGATTGAGGAGCTGAGTCTGCTTTGAAAATGTGAATTCCCAAATGTTCCAGTTCCTCTCAAATGAAATAACACATGTGTTTTCAGTATCTTTGATGTATTAGGTTGGACCCTAAAATACTTTCAGTATGTGACTATTCTTGACCACCAAAAATGACAGTTTCATGTGGTTTAACCTAAAATAATATGTCAGGCTAAGTACAATTGGCAACAGCTGATGAACAGGAGTAATTGGAAATGTTTGGTCAATGAGTGGCCAATCATGGCCAACTTTAGGTACTCCCCAGTGTTTAGTCACCTGTATATTATCTCTTTGAAAGCATTGATGGCTCCTGAGGCTGTGAGCAAGTGACATTCCAAGGAAGGGTTCACATAAGATGAAAGCTAATGTTTAAGAGTCCAGGAAAAGGGGCACAGTGTAGGATATGGTTCATTAAAACTCTTATAAATAACCCAAAGACCCAGGTTAGGGTTTTCAGCTCTGCCTTTGAATATCTATGTGACATTTAGCAAGTGACTTAACATCTCTGAGCTTCAAATTAAAAAAAATAGAAATGCCACTTTGCTCACAGGACAGCTGTAAGAAATAACTGACATTGAGGATGTGGAAAGATTTTGTAAGCTGTCAAGTGCTGTACAAACCTTCTGTGGCTTAAGTCCTCTGTGCTGAACAATCTTAGGGCACGTCATTACTCAGAGGAAATCACTGCCGATGTTCCATCTGCATTCGTCCACCTGACCCAGTTTTTGATGGTAACTTTTCAGGAAACCCTTGCATTCAAGTACCACACTGCCTGGTCATTTGTCCAGCACACCTGGTGTCCTGTTGTGTATGTGCTGAGCAGGACTTGGGGCAGCCCAGAGGAATCACAGGGAATGAACCCAGAGCCCAGCACTGCAGCCTCCACTTCCTCCTCTCGCACCCCTGTGCTGGGAGAAGAGAAAAGGGTGGAAACACAGAAATCCGCACCCCTCCTCCCTGGCCTCAGTCCTAGGGGAGGAAGAAGTGAAGAACCAGCCCAATCTCCAGGAGCCAAAGGAACAGCTTGCACTGCCTGAGCAGGCTGGTGCCAGGAGGGGATCTGAGTCACTCTGACAGCAGCAGGGGCGCAGTGCCAGCCCATCCAAGGGGCCTCCTGCCCCTCCCCTCGGGCACTCCGCTAAGGCATGACAACTGACACCGTGGCAGAGAAACGCATCTCCCAAGCAGAGGGCTCCAGCCTGGCTTTTAGGGACTCACAGAGGCAAAGACCTCCTCTTCTTAGGTCATCACATTGTGATGCAGAGGTCCCTGGCTGCTCTCTCAATCTCAGTCACCTGTATGCTGAGGCCAAATGGCCATGCACCTCCCCACATCACTCACCTTCAGTGGGTCCCATTGTCCACAGGACAGAAGTGGCACCTCTTAGCCTGGCACTCACAGCCTCTGTAAACAAGCTCAGGTCTGCCTTTCCGCCCTATCTGCCACTGCTCCCTTTAGAGGATCCCTTGTGTCAGCCAATCGGACTTACACATGAACTCCCACCCCACCACAAACATGCTCACACACATGCCTTGTTTATTCCCTATGGCTCATTTTGCTCACGTTTTCCCCCTTCCTTTGAAGTCTTACCCATGCTTGAAGACCTAGCTCATATGTCACCTTCACCAAAAGCTTCCTTCCCTGACTATCCATCCACTCGACTGATGTTTGTGAAGCACCCACTACGTGGCTGGGGCTGTTTGGGATGCTGAATATAAGAGGGCACAAAAAGACTGGATTGGCTGGGCGCAGTGGCTCACGCCTGTAATCCCAGCACTTTGGGCGGCCAACGCAGGCGGATCACGAGGTCAGGAGATCGAGACCATCCTGGATAGCACGGTGAAACACCGTCTCTACTAAAAATACAAAAAAATAGCCGGGCGTGGTGGCAGGCGCCTGTAGTCCCAGCTACTCGGGAGGCTGAGGCAGGAGAATGGCGTGAACCCGGGAGGCAGATTTTGCAGTGAGCTGAGATCACGCCACTGCACTCCAGCCTGGGCGACAGAGCAAGACTCCGTCTCAAAAAAAAAAAAAAAAAAAAAAAAAGACTGGATCTTTGTTCTTCTGAGATTCCCATTCCAATGGGAAATTACAGAAAATAAAATAAACAAGTAAGTAAAGAAATAAGACTCAGTCAGAGATAAGTAATATAAGGAGAGTCAACCAGGGTGACGTGTAGAGAGTGAGTGACCAATAGGGACACAGCACTCGGAAGCCTCTCAGACGAGGTGCTACTTGAGTCGAGATCTGCAGGACAAGGACTCAGTCATCCCAAGAGTGAACAGAAGGGCATTCTAGTTGATTCTATCAAGGAGGAAAGAGCAATCACTACTAAGCACTCTGATCTGGCCTCTGACTTGGTCAGGGTGATCCACTGCTTGAGACACCCAGTTTCTCTGTCTGCAGAATGAAAGGACTTCCACAAAAAGTCTTGACCTCAGCCACCTTGTAGGTGCCCTCAGCCCCGGGGCCTTGTCTCCCCCATCTGCTGCCCACTCCGGTTGTTGCCAAAGTCTTGCTCAGTGCCAGCCACCTCAGACAGGCAGTCTCCACCATTTCCATTACAATGCTTGAGGAGAGAGTCCCATTTTCTCTCATTTTCCTCCTTCGTTTCAGGCACGATATAAAGGACTGCCTACCATGAGGTACTGAAGTCATCCTCCCCCAGACCATGAAGAGCAGTAGTGTACTCTCCCTTTCTGCAGGCTGCCTGGGATCCTGCTATGATCGGGCCTGGAAGCAGAGCCCGTAATGAATCACCTGTTTCCAGGCAGTTTTCAAGGTATGTAAGATGCCGGTGCCACCACTCAGAAGGCTCCCGTGTGTTTTCTTCTACGCCACCACAATCCTGAATGATGGGTCCTCCACCCGTGGAGAGAACCATGCTGAGGAACAGCACGGGAGAACAGGACGGCACCACCACACCAGCAGGCATGCAGGCAAATGGCATGTTTTAGGGCGGGAGGCACCAGCCGTCTCCCTTCCCCAGCCTTCAGGGCAGCCTGGGAAGAGCCGGAGCCTCTGTTCTGGGAGCTTGCCCCTGGTGCCTCTACTCAATTTCAGACCTCTGCAGAGGGAAGCAACGGCTCCTTTCAATGGTCACAGTTCAGAGTCCAGACACACACCCTGATCAGTCACTCCTTGGGTGACCTTGATTGTGCCACTTAACCATGCTGAGCCTCAGGTGCACCATCTGCCAAATGGGATGAAATAGCCCTGTCCAGTTCACTTTACTAGAAATGTATGAATGTAATTGAGCCCTTAAATGTTTGAGATGACCACTTACCATCTACCTATCAAATCATAATAGTTCTTGGGCCACACAAAATCAGGCTGGAAGAGATCGTTGTTGAATAAAAATTGAACCCCTAACACAGCTCTGGGGCTCCTGGCTTCCCAGAGAATTATGTATGGTAACAGCGAAAAGAGCATGAGACACACAGGCTCCTGTTCTGCTTCTTACCTGTGCAACTTTTAAGCATCAGCCTCCTGATTAGTATAGTGCCGACATTAATGTCCAGCTCACAGGTGCATCTAGCCAGCAAGGGGACCAGAACGAGGGATGTACCCTGTAAGTGTTAGCTATTAATACCATTATTTAACTCATCTAAGCCCTGCTGCTGACTAGGGGCAAACAGAGCTGGGGATTACCCTAACCTGGTTAAATACTGTCCAACTTGCCTGATAACAAAACTCTATCTAGTGCAGGGCACAGTGGCATGCACCTGTAATCCTAGCTACTCAGGAGGCTGAAGTAGGCGGATCACTTAAGCCCAGTAGTTTGAGACCAGCCTGGGCAACGTAGCAAGACCTCATCTCCAAAATTAATTAATTAATTAGTTAAAAGTTAAAATTTAAATTTAAAAATTAGCCAGGGGCAGTGGTGCACACCTGTGGTCCCAGCTACTCAGGAGGCTGAAGCGAAAGGATTGCTTGAGTGTGGGGGTTCAAGGATGCAGTGAGGCGTGATCATGCCACTGCACGCCAGCCTGGGTGATGAAGATTCCAGCTCTAAAAAAATAAACCACGAGAAAAACTCTACCTAGGGCCTTGCGTTTTCCTAGAGAATCTCAGACTCCTTTTCATTATGTTATCACTCATCTTCCCAAGCTCTGAGAAGGCGGAGGAAATGGCTTTTATGCCGTAGCACGGAGCAGTTAGGGGACTTCATCAGAGTCTCAGGACAAGCTGAGGTAGCAGTAAGAGAACCCAAGTTTCCTACTTCTGACCACTATGTGCCGCAGCACTCAAAACAGAGAGATGGCGCTCAGGCCGAGAAGGACTCCGCCCAGCCTGGAGCCGCACTGGCTGCTGGCAGCCGCTTTCTCCAGGAACAGAACTCAAGGGTCTGGGAGCTCAAGGCACAGAGGCTGTTTCCGGAGCCTGGTGCTGCCAGGCCTCGGCCTCCCTGCCAGCCCTGCAGCACTGCTGTACCCATCCTGGAGAGGCCAACCAAGGCAGTTACGAAAGCAAACACTTCTAGATTTCAAGGTCTCTCAGTTTTAAATCCATGACCTTCCATGCACTTTAAATACTGCTCTCCATTTCACAGGAGTCTTTATGTAAGTGGGTGGAGGGGCTGTGCCTGCCAGCCTGCCAGTCTGTGTGTCTCGCCTTCAGGAGCTCCTGCGAAAGGTCACCTCGCCACAGACGCCTTCAATGGCTAACGCTTGCATGTGTTAGCGACGCCTTCCTTTTCGGTTTTTTTTTTTTTTAATTTCATTCATTTTGCTTTTAAAAAATCAATATGTCTTGTGAGTTTATTCATCCTCTTAGCTCAAACTTAAAATGCTGGATACACAGGGGCTGCATAAAGGTGCAGATCTGGGAGTAACCAGTAATCAGAGGCAGGAGATGAAAGGGGAGAAAGAGTGGTCAGAGAGGTGGGAGAACCAGGAATGAGCTCACTACCAACATCAGGAACGGAGGCTCAAAAGAAAGGGCACCGCCCAACTCAACTCCACTCAGCTCAGCAACCATGGTTTTAAGCCTACTTTTCCCAGCAATGTTCTAGGCTAGCAATTCCAATACAACCATCATGGGAGCCAAATATGTAATTTAAAGTGTTCTCATAGTCACATTAAAAAGGTAAAAAGATACAAGCAAAATTAATTTTAATAACATATTCTAGTTAACCCAGTATATCCAAAATATAATCATGTTAAATGTAGTTTACTGAAAATTATTAATGAGATATTTTACATTTTTGTACTAAATATTTGAAACTCATGTATATTTCACACTTACAGCACATCTCAATTCAAAATAGCCACGTGTCTGATGCTAATGGCTCCTGGTGGCTAGTGGTTATCATACCAGGCAGCCCTATGTACTGGTTATTCCAGGAACTGGGAATCCAAAATGAAGGAGGTACGGTCCTGGCCTTTGAGGAGCAAAGGGCAAGCACACAGGCAATCTCAGGCAAATATAGCAAGAAGTGTGGGCTCTGGTACCCACAGGCTCTCTGGGACACACATAAAGGGTGACAAAATTAGCCTAACCTGGAGGAAGCTCAGGAAATCTCCTGGTTCAAGCACATCAGAAGAGCGGAGGGGTGGGGACATGATTGCTGAGAACGGGCCAAGGCATGTGGCAATCAGGAGGACAGGCCAGATCCTGCTGGGGAATGAGGCTGACACCAGATTGCAAGGGGTTAAGAGTCAGTCAGTGGGGAGAAAGTGTAAGCAGATGGCTGTGAAGTGAGGCCAAAGGACAAGATAAGGCAGTGGTTTGCAGGAACAGCAATCATTATAACCATGATCATTAACTGAAGTACCTGTTCTGGGCCTGGCTAGAGAAGGCGTTTCATTTTGATTTTAGGAGGGGAAACTGAGCACATATGTTTATAGAAATGGAAGAAGGGTCTAGCCACGTAGGAACGTTTGGAAAATGCAGGTGAGAGAAATATTCTGATGAAGAAACATAACAGAAGAATCCTGAAGGAAGAAGGTCAAAGGTTCTTATATGGAGGAACCAGCCTCAGGCTGTGGGGTAGAAAAGCAGGCACACTTGTTCATGGAGGCAGGAGAAAAAAAAACGGAGGAGAATGGGGAATGAAGAGCCCCTTTAAGGTAGGAGAGGAGGAGAATGGGGAATGAAGAGCCCCTTTAAGGTAGGAGAGGAGGAGAATGGGGAATGAAGAGCCCCTTTAAGGTAGGAGAGGAGGAGAATGGGGAATGAAGAGCCCCTTTAAGGTAGGAGAGGAGGAGAATGGGGGATGAAGAGCCCCTTTAAGGTAGGAGAGGAAGAGAATGGGGGATGAAGAGCCCCTTTAAGGTAGGAGAGGAGGAGAATGGGGGATGAAGAGCCCCTTTAAGGTAGGAGAGGAGGAGAATGGGGGATGAAGAGCCCCTTTAAGGTAGGAGAGGAGGAGAATGGGGGATGAAGAGCCCCTTTAAGGTAGGAGAGGAGGAGAATGGGGGACGAAGAGCCCCTTTAAGGTAGGAGAGCAGGAGAATGGGGGACGAAGAGCCCCTTTAAGGTAGGAGAGGAGGAGAATGGGGGACGAAGAGCCCCTTTAAGGTAGGAGAGGAGGAGAATGGGGGATGAAGAGCCCCTTTAAGGTAGGAGAGGAGGAGAATGGGGAATGAAGAGCCCCTTTAAGGTAGGAGAGGAGGAGAATGGGGGACGAAGAGCCCCTTTAAGGTAGGAGAGGAGGAGAATGGGGGACGAAGAGCCCCTTTAAGGTAGGAGAGGAGGAGAATGGGGAATGAAGAGCCCCTTTAAGGTAGGAGAGGAGGAGAATGGGGAATGAAGAGCCCCTTTAAGGTAGGAGAGGAGGAGAATGGGGGACGAAGAGCCCCTTTAAGGTAGGAGAGGAGGAGAATGGGGAATGAAGAGCCCCTTTAAGGTAGGAGAGGAGGAGAATGGGGGATGAAGAGCCCCTTTAAGGTAGGAGAGGAGGAGAATGGGGGATGAAGAGCCCCTTTAAGGTAGGAGAGGAGGAGAATGGGGGATGAAGAGCCCCTTTAAGGTAGGAGAGCAGGAGAATGGGGGACGAAGAGCCCCTTTAAGGTAGGAGAGGAGGAGAATGGGGAATGAAGAGCCCCTTTAATGTAGGAGAGGAGGGAAGCTGTTGCCAGAGCCTGATCATGTCACTCCAGCCAAAATGTTTCATGACTCCTTGATAATAAGAAATAAAAAGCAAATTCCTTAATAGGACATGTCGAATGCCCACTACCTGTCCTATCTCCCAGCCCATTTTCCATGTCTCATGTCAGACTTTGGTCACATAGTGCTGCAACCTCATCTCCTCCTCTTTCACCCCTGGTGCCGTCACATGCCTTCTTCCCTTAAAACTCACCTTTATCCACTAGTCCAGAAACTGCATTATTTATCAAAATCTGAAGACTCATTAAACCTTACTTCATCTACAAAGTCTGCCCTGATCTTTTCCTAGGGGTATAACCTCTCATTCTCCTTGCTGCCACACGCCTCTAGTCTAGAAACTACCACTGCATGCCAGGAGTGGGGTCTCATAAACAGATGAACAACTTGAGGCCAGGGACAACATTTTAGCCTTTATTATGTCCCCCAGGATCTCTTACAGGGCTTTATATATATAATAAATATAACCTCCATGAGGACTGGGACCCTGTGTTTTTGTACACCACTATAAACCCACATTGGGGTTCCAACCCTGAAGTAGGCACACACTGGATGTTTGACAAATATTTCTTGAAAGTGTGGATGGGTGAATGGATGGATGGAGGGAGGGGTAGATAGATGGATGGATGGACATCTGTCTATGCAGTTAGACCAAATACTTAAATCTTCAAAAATAGAGATGATATCATAAAATTATTTTGTATTCTTCAGCAGCACATAGTATGTGTATTATTTGGGTCTTTGACCCCTCCAAATCTCATGTTAAAATTTGATCCCCAGTGTTAGAGGTGGGCCTAGTGGGAGGTGTTTGGGTGATGGCGGCAGATCCCTCATAAATGACTTGGTGCCTTCCCTGCGGTAATATATAATATATAAGATCTCACTCTATTAGTTCATGTGAGAGCTGGTTGTTTAAATAAGCATAGTACTTCTCCTCCTCTCTCTCTTGCTCCCTCTCTCACCGTGTGACACACCAGTTTCCCTTCCCCTTCTGCCATGAATGGAAGTTTCCTGAAGCTCTCACCAGAAGCAGATGCTGGTGCCATGCTCCTTGCACAGCCTGCAGAACTGTGAGCCAAATAAATCCCTTTGCTTTATAAATTACCCAGCCTTAGGTATTCCTTTATAACAGCACAAAACAGGATAATACAGTATGGGCCTCTATCCACAGGAGCATTTAAATAATTCTATTGACTGCGTATGTATTGACGATAACAATAACCTGAACTTCTATATTTCTTTTTCTCCAAGGAGAAGATCTAACACTTTAGAACAGAGACTGCAAATTGGGGGATTGAATTATTTTTATTTTGAGTCTCTGTACATGTCCTGCACCCTCCACTTCACCTCACTATTAGCCTACACCTCAATAACACTTCTAATAGCATTGCCTATCTGGTCCCGAAGGTATATAAGTATTAGGTTGGTGCAAAAGAAATTGCGGTTTTTCCATTGAAAGTGACGGCCAAAACTGCAACTGCTTTTGCACCAACCTAAATATTTAGAAACCGGTGTGTCCTGTCTACAGAGGAGGAAACAGAAGGATGCAAGGCTTGAGTAGCTTCATTGAATCTAACAGAGGTCCTTGGAAGAGTTAAGCCCATGTCCAGGTCTCCTTTCCTTCAGCATTACAAAACTGCTCTGTGGGACCCAGCTACAGGTCAATATTTTCCAAAGTTTTAGCATAATTGTTTTCTCTAGACCAGTTTCCCTTACACAGCCTAAGATGCAGGTAAATTCTTAGTTCCTGGTAAACTCCAATAACCTCAGTGGCAGCCTTTCCCAAAGAAGAGATACACTTACAGAACAAATGGCTGCTTTTCCAAACAGACACCTACTGTCCACTTTTGAATACTCATGGATGATGATGGGCTGACTAAACACATCCATAAATCAGAGTAAACCATTAAGAGAATTCCTAATAACTTTGTAATTTTGCCTTCAGAGAAGCCTGAGTCTTCAGTGATAGAAATCCTCACCCTGCCTAACCAAGTCTAATATCCCCACTCCATCCCCAGACAGCAGCTGTCCTGGATCCCCAGCCCCATCCATGTCTTTGATTTGAACATAGAGCTTCACATTCCACTCTCTCCCTGATTCTCTGTCCCTGCTCTGGGGCATCAATGTCCTTCCTCATCTTGACCAGGTTTCTGAGTGCTCTCTTAAGGATACACTCAATGCCCACACAAACTGCCTCTGAGAGAAACAGAAAAACCACCACATAACTATTGTAAACCTCCGATGTGGCCTGATGAGTTACCAAGATGCTCTGATCAAAGATTCCAACTTAATTCCAAGTAGGAACATTTCTATTCATCAAAGGGCCTGGAGAGCCCAAGAATGGTTAAGTAAAATGGGAGAGAGAAAAAGAAGTGCTTGGCAACAGGAAGATTGTGGGTTAATGAAAAGAAGTTCATCAGGTCAGGAGGTGGTTGCTGGAGTCACTGTTAAGGCAGCACTCCTTAGAGTGGAGGACACTTAGGCCATCACTCACAGTGCTCCTGAGAACAAGTCTTTTAAAGAGACGAGCTTTGCCAGTCTGGGACCTCCATTTATAAACATTTCTTGAGCACCTTTAACAGATCATGGAATGTGCTAGGTTCTGTAGAGGATGCGGTGATGAATACACCATGATTTTCTCACTCAGATAACTTATCATCTCATCTCATAAAGAAGATAGAACACGTAGGCACATACCTACAATCCAAGGCACGATGTGATGTGAATGCTACAACCTCACTGCAGAGGGGGCATGGAGGACGGAAAAGCAGGTTTCACCCTATAGGGCTGCAGTTCTGACAATCTGGAATTAAATCATCTTTTCCATGAAGGTTAGGAAAACAGGAGTGAGGGACAACCTTTGAGGAGATGACTCAGGCTGAAAAATGATCTGATGTCGACTCAATGCATAAATACATCTTTAAATTTTCTTTTTAGGAACCAAGATAAAGGAAATGCATGCATCCAGGAAGTAATTAATATTGAACTGAGGCAAATATTGACCTATGGCAGGTGATAGAACACCCAGAAGTGTGCAGATAAATAAGCAAGGGTGAAATAGCTTTAGAGACTGGAGAATTGACCGGAAGATTCATGGGTTCCTAATATTGCTTATTTGAATTTAAATGTGAGTGGAAATCACACTAATTAGAGTTCCAAATAATTGACCTGCTCTCTCTTTTATTAACCCTCTATTCATGGAGCTCAGAGTACTCCCCATTTTTATCTTGGGAGCTCCACAACCAAACTCAGTGCTAGGAATGTAGTAGGTGATCAATGAACATTGAATGAATGAATGAATGAATGAATGAATGAATGAATGGAAGCATAAATGAATAGGCTAATCGATGAACATAAATAAGAGCATAAATGTGAGTTCTAGTGGTTCTCAAACTCATTAATTTTTATTTAGCTTTTAGTCAAGACATTCAATGTCTCTGAGCCCTAGTTTCCTCACTGGCAACATGGAGATGATTATAAAGACTTGATTCCAAGGACCCTTGCGAGGATTAAATGACATGGGAAAATGCTACGTAATTTAGGAAGAAAAAATTTCTGCCTAAATTGGTATCGCATTTACACAATAAGGAACACCCATTATTGGAAAACTAGAGAGTCACCCTCATGCCACCTCTATCCTGTTTGCTTGTCTGGGAACTGTCCGACCAGATTCTTTACTGGAAAAGAATGTGCCATCACTACTACCTCCTACACAGGAGAAGAGTGACAAAATTCCTGCTGAAAATCCATAACCAGAGATGTCAGCATGGCCGCTCTTGCCACTTGGAGCTGAGGAGTTTCTTAGCCTGCTACTTACAGGCAGGACATTTCATTATCCCTGCTCTGGGTTTTCTGAGTCCCAGAATTAAGATGTCAGCTGGAGATCCCAGCTTTGTTCACATGGAAAATCTGCTGATTTATCAACCACTTGTACACACACACTCTCAGGCACACACTGCTGACACCTGCCTGCTCCTGCAACATAACTGGGCCATGTGGTGACAATATGAATCAGAAAATTGTCGCTGAAGAATGAATCTGCAAAACTCTCCACCTGCTTGCCCATGATACTTTGTTAACACACAACAAAAAGCCAACAGGGTCTGACAGGTCAAAATAGTATGGTTGTAGTTTTCTTTAGGGCAGCAGTTCCAGAAGAAATACCAAGGATACAGAGAGAGACCTGGATAGACTTCTGGGATGGAACCTGGCCTCCAGACCCTTCTTTGCAAGACACGCATTGTCTGGAGCTTGAGTATGAAACCCTAAGCTTGACATTCAGGGCTCACCAGCAGTTTTATTGGGGAAGGGGTGGCAGGGTGAGTTCTCCGGCGTTCAGGCCTGGCATTCACAGGAGCTGGGTACAAACCCCAGGTCTGCCTTGAGCTCTGTGATCTTGAACTATTTAATTTTCTCTGAACTTCTTTCCATACAATATGAACAGTATTGCCTTCCCTGTAGAGCTGTTGTGAGAATTAAATAAAATTACGTATATGTAGCATCTCTATATTAGCTATTGTCCCTTTCCTTGCTTTCATAAGTGCTGACCATGCCAACCAACTCACTACCATCCTTAGAAGAGTTGCTTTCTCACAATTATGCTCTGCTCCAATATATACCATCACCTGAAACGCCCTCCCCTTTCCCACTTACCCAAATTAGACTCAGCCCAGAAGTCTCAGCCACATCCTCTCTCTCTGCAAAATTCTCCAAGACCTCCCAGCTGAATATGATTGCTCCTTTCTCTGAAATGTCACAGCAGTATGGCTAGTGATCTTTTCAATGTGAGTGACAGAATCCCCTGAGGGTTGCAATTGTTTTTTATGCATCTTGGTACTGCATTTTAAAGTGAGTTACATAGCCTATTATTTATTGGACCATGTCCTAAGCCGTTCTTTACAGAACTTATCATATTGCTGGTGATCAAATCTGTTTTCCCAGCAGAGGATCTTCAGAACAATCCCTCTGCCTACTGTAAAAAATAATCTCGTCTATGCCTAGTAGTGGTAGAAAAGTCACTTTAAGAAACATCTATTCTGAAGTGAACAATATACTCACCTGGTCACCTAGCATGTATTGGGTCCTGCCATGTGGCAGAATCCATGCCTAACTCTGCAGTCATTTAAAATTACTGCTCAGCTCATGAGCTGTTTTCCAAGTTATACCTGCATCAGAATCCTTAAAGGAGCTCATCCAAAATGCAGCCTCCAGATATCAACTCCAGAACCCCCAAACCAGAGTCTCAAGAGCTGGTGCCTATAACCTGCGTTTTAACAAGGTCCCTTAGTGAGTCTCAGGTACGTTAATGTTCAAGAACCAAGGCTCTAGGCCAGAGATCTTACAATGGTTATGTTGCTCTAAAAGTGCACCAGCCCTTGCACATGACTGACCCAATGTCTGAGGAAGAGGAAAAAAAATGAGCAAGCAGTTGTGAAGTACTTTCTACGAGGATGAGTAGAAGGAAGAGGGATTATGATGCCTGGAGTAGATGGTTATGGAGGTCCCGACTGGACATTCTCATACCCCCAGTAAATTTCATAAAGAATTCAGTGGTCACAGTTTTTATCTCCACAAGGGTCGTGTGGAGGACTGTGGATGTAACACTTAGCACAAGTGGATTGCATTAGTGTCCCAGGGTCCTGAAATGGAAGAGTCAGTTACAGAGAACTGAGAACTGTTTTTGAACCACTGGCTTCAATCTGAAGGTCACTGAAGGTCAAACCACATATAGCCAAGGAGATGGATTTCCATACGTTCCTCTCTCCTCTGAGATTTAGGAAGTACAATTTTAAACTAAGGTAAGGAACAGTTGACTTTTTCAGAAAAATGGCTCTAAAGGAATTAAAAGCGGAAGTTGAGTGCTGGAAGGAGCAATGGACCAAGAACTCAGCTACTCATGACCTTGAGCAATAGGCTTTTCTACTTGCTCTGCACATGGAGTCATGGAAAGGGTACTAGACACGGAGTCAAAAGACTAGGGCTTGGGTCCTTGTTTTTCTTTCTGCAAATGTAAGATTCTGGCTACATCCCTTAGCACTTGGAGTTTCTGTCTCCTCGTCTATAAAACTGTGATAACACCTACCATGCTCATCTCACAGAATTGTTATAAAATGCCAAGTAAGAAAACATGTATGCAAGTACTTTGTAATCAAGAAATTCTTTTGTAAAAGTCTACTTAATTCAGTGATAAGTGTAGTTCTATGGGCATTCAATTCCTGCTGTATTTGTCAAGTTCCTTCTTGAATTAGATGGAAACAATGAGGGCAGGATTCATGTTATATGAAAATTGTGTTTCTTTCTTAATCCTCATTTACTAAGCCAGTTGACAGGGGTTTGTTTTTGTTTTTGTTTTTTGTTGGAGGGAGTGAGGGAAGATACAGTACATAGCTTGAACCTGTAGGATTTGGCCCACGGATTTCCTTCCTCTGCCAGCCATTTATACAGATCAGAAGGGCAATGACTAGTGGAAGAGGGGCCCTCCGACAAGTAAAAAGGACTGAAAAAGTTTCTTGAAACTCTACTCGGCCCAGGACAGACTCTGAGACTCTAGTGGGGAGTGGACATGCCACCTTGGTGATTCCGGAAACCATATATCTAGTTGGAGAAATCAATACCTTCTGTATTTGTTACAAACTCATTAGAGTTCTTCTCATTTACAATGTAGGGACTTGTTATGTTTATTATATTATTATGATCATTATTACTATTACTACAATTATGATTATGAATTGCATTTTAAGCCTGTAATATGTTCCAGGTAGAATAGTTTCATACACATTATTTTATTCCATCTTTATAGCACTTTGAGGTAGGTATTCTTACAATCCTCTTATTGTAGATGGATAACTGAGATCCAGAGAAATTAAGTAGTGGGAGAGCCTAAAGCAAAGGAACCAGAACTCAAACTCAGGTATTCAACTTCTATATAATATGTTGCCTCATCTGCAGAAAAAGTGATGAAACCAAGACTGCCTTTGCAGTGGGGAGAGTGAACTTTTGCTCTCAAAAGAAATGAGCAACCATATATATTTACATTTCAGCTTTTCCTTCAGCAGTGGGGAAATAGTGGGAAAAGGAGAAGGTGCCCTCCTTAAGGTTGTCAGGGGTTGGGGTGAAGGAGGGACGAAGTTTATCCATGGCCCATACTTCTTTCCCAATAGATGCTTTATCACACACGTTTTAAGAAAAGTCCACTCTTATTCAGTTGAGGAACGACATAAATTAACCAAATTTGGGGAGTTGCTTTTTTCTAGATTATTATATTTTATATCATAACCCTAAAAAAGAAAATATTTTTAAGTGGTTCAATTCAGTTAAGGCAAAACAAACAGCAGCTTGTCACACCTGTGAAGACTAAAACCTGCATTTTTAAGGGGTTTGCTCTCATTAATTCGTTCATCCACATAACCCTGCTGGTACACAATTAAATAAAACAAAGTCTAAAGGGGCATTACGTCCCGTTCAGGCTTTACTCAGAGAGTCTACTGCAGCCAAGAAAAAAATCCAAAGTGCCTCCACAGTTGTTCCTTTTCTTCTTCTCCTTCTCTTGTATTACATTTCCAGAGCCCCTACTGTTCCTGCCACTGATAGTCACGATGATAACGGTGGGCATCATTGCACCCTTTGGCAGTCTCTGCCTCCAAAGGAGAGGCCATGGGGTGGAGCATGATGGAAAGCAAAGGCTTTGAGCCAAGCTATTGTACTCCAAATTCTGCTGTACCACTTCAGGCTGGGTGACTCTGGGAAAGAAACTTAAACCATCTGAACTCCAGCTTTCTCAGCTGCAAAATGGGCATCTCATAAGGTTGTGGTGAGGATTAAAAGAGAAGAAAATCTAGAGGTACCTGAACCCAAAAGGCAACAGAATGGAGAGGCAAAGAGCATGGAGACATAAATCGGAATTAGGGCTTTGCTACATCCAAGCTCTACAACCTAGGGCAAGTGATTTAATCCAAACCTCGGTTTTCTCATCTGTAAAATGGCACCGGTGATAATGCCCAAAGTGGTAAGCAGCCTCTCTGGAGCATCGTGAGAATGAGCTCTCTCCTGTTTTCGTGACACAAGGGAAGAGAAGCTGAACTGAGCGGGGAGCCTGGAAGAAGGACCTGAGCAGGTGTGATTCGGCCCCTTCAGGGTTTTCCCTCTCAGACTTTCCTGGATACAGAAGTGATACACTCAGTGCACATCTGCTGAGCTCCTACCTGATGTCCAGCCCTGTGTTAGGCTCTGGGGAAATAGCAGGAAATCAAAGTTCTAAACAAATATGCATTTACAAATGCATACTATAATGGCAAGCCGTGACAAGTGACGTAAGTGAGATAAAGGAAAAGATTGTGATGGAGAGGACAGCTACTTTAGAGAGTGGTCAGAGTAGGTGTCTCTGAAGAGGCAGCAGTTGAGCGGTGACTTGGATACAATGATGCGGCAAAGATCCTGGAGGAGAATGCACCAAAGAGAGAAGGGCCTGTGCAAAGGTCCTGAGGCAAGAGTGAGCTTGGAGTGCCCACACAACCCCAAGAAGGGCACAATGGCTGAAGCAGTGTGAATGAGGGTGGGGTGAGAGGACAGGAGGAGATAAGGTCAGGGAAGTGGGCAGTAGCCATCATGAAAAGCCTCCAAGGCAAAGGCGAAGGGCTTAGATTTTGCTTCTAACAGCAAACCATGAGCAGTTTGGAGCAGAGGAGTAAAATAAGGTGATGGGTAGTTTTAAACCATCACTCTGGCTGCCATGTGGATAAACTATGTTGGTGAGCAGGGGAGCAAGGAGAGCAGCTGAGAAGGTGTCGAAGTTGGCCAAACAAAAAACGAAGGTGGCTAGGGTCAGGTCAGAGTAGCAGAGGGCTGAGGAATGGTTTACGTGAGATAGATACGGCAGGACAGAGAGGCTGGAAGGCTGTCAGCCCCAGCAGGTGGGTGCCCAGTTGTGCCACTTCCTTCAGTGGGGACCCTGGGAAGGAGCAGACTGGGTTCTGGACTTGTTGGTGTGAGCCAAGGGCATAGAGGCCCCACCTCCTCCTCCATGTGGCAAGAGACTCCACCCTACGTGAGAGGCCAGGTGTGTCCACCCCCACCTCGGACCACATGGCCAAATTTAACTCAGAGGTAAAACCGCAGAACACCTTATTGTGGCCACAGGTCAAGTCTTGTTCTCCAGTTCTACTTTATCACTAAAAAATGCTAATAATATGATCCCGATCTTTCCAACAATGAGGTCCTACTTCTCCATTGGTCCAAACTGGAAAGGAAAGATCATTTCTAAGTTCCGTGAGGCCAGAAAACTAGAACCCAAATATATATATAGTCCTAAATACCCTCTGTCAGATACATAAGCCATATGTTTTCACTGTATATAACCCCAGGAGAGGAGATATATTAAAATATTGAGGTTTGCAACCTGTAGCTTGAGTTAATAAATAAGGAACCTGTAAAAATATTTGTATACCAAGTGTTTCTGCAAATTAAATCAACAACATGTCCCTTCCAGCTCTGTATTTATCTCTACTCCTTCCAAACAGGCTGGGAATTTCACGGTAAGAAAGAAGTCTGGTCATGAGGATGTGTCCTGGAGGCCACAGCCACAGAGAAAGCTTCTCACCTCCTCTCTTCAGGCTTGGGCCAGCTAATCCAATCACCCACTGACAGTTCAGTACCTGAGGAGAACAACATCTATCAGCAGGGAGAGATCTAATCCGAAACAGGAATCTATCTAATCAAAAGGTGGGAAAAATGGAACACTGATAAGAGTTGACATTTATTGACACAGGCACTGTGCTGAGTGCTGTATAATCACCTCATATCATCCACACACGCTATGAGGCAGGTACTCTTATCTTGCATCTTACAGATAAGAAAGTCAAAGCTTGGAGAAATTAAGCAACCTGCCCAAGATCACACGGTTAGTCGGGGACAGTATCTGCAGTTGAACCCAGGCAGTCCCGTTTCAGAGTCTAAGCCCTTAGCCCCCCTCCCTCCCATCACCTTCTAGAAGGCTCTGCCCCAGCAGTCACTCAGCAAAATGTCTCTGCTGCCTCTGCACTGATACATGTCCACCCCCACCCGACTGTCAGTCTCTATTTTGCACAGAGACAGGTGGGTCTTGACAAACGAAAAATGATTTTGCAATTAGACAGTGTCAGGACCAATTGCCTGCTGTGAGGAGAGCGGATCGTGTGGCTTAGACCTGCGTTGAGTATGACAAAGCCCTGGTGTGACTCACAGGCGCACGAGGAGGGGGTGCTGAAAGCAGAAGCTCAGGGAGGCTGCCTGTCCGTGTCCCAGCCAGGATATGCCTCCAAATACTGCTAGCTCTTTAGAGACGGCTGAACTTGAGCCCAGCCCAGCAGTCAGGCACACGGGTCCTGGCCCTCAAGCCCCAGACTGAAACAGGCCCTACGCAAGTGAGAATCGAATGCAATTTGAAAATACACACCAGCAGATCCTGCTCTGTGCTTAGATGACGCAGCCGGTCTCCTGGATGAGTTTGGGAAAGAGAGCAGAACAGGGAAACTTAAAGAGCAGATCATTCCAAGCACATTTCTTTTTGGCATTAGGAAGTATTATATGGTTTTTCATTATTTTCTTTTTTTAATTGGAGATTAGCTTTACTTTTCAGATTATGCCTCAAAAACGCAAGTCTGGCTGAGTCTTTCCTCTGCTCACGGTTCTTCAAGGGCTCCCCATTGCCACAGGGGAAGCTGTCTTTACCTGGCCTCTGCTCTCCAGCTCTACCCAGCAAAATGGACCACTGGAGCTTGATTTTTGGTCTTCCCAGAATGCCCTGTCTTCACCCCTTTCTCAGGGAATAAAAATCCTCTTTTCCTGGGGAGAATCTTCCCTCTGTGGGACAAGAGTGCTGACTCTGTGCCTTCACTTGCCCAAGGATAGGCCTGGGCTCAGAACTTGCCAAAGCTTGTCCTTCCTCCCCCAATGGCTAAGAGGGCCAGTGACCCCAGCAGTATCATGTTTTCATGAGATTTGTCATCTGGGGACTGGGACAGAAGCATCTGTCTTTCTCTAGATCCACTAGTTAAATGGAACACATGAGCCTAATACTCCAGGAACGACTCCCCTTCCTCCTCTTCCCCACCTCCATCACCCCACTTTCCATAATGGAGAAAGCCTGCCTAGGAAGTAGATGCCTAGGAGACAGCAAGCTCAGACAGTCAGAGAGACAGAAACCTGAGGGTTAAATGTGGGTGCCTGAAGCCAGTCACACCTGGACCTCTCAAATACTGGAGACAACAAATTTCTTTTTTCATTTTTTCCTCTTTAACTCCTTTAAGTTCAGTTTCTACTATTTGCAATAAAAAAGAATTTTTAGTTCTTCAATGTACCTTGTCATTCCCGTTCTCAGTGGCGCCCCTGCATGCACTGTTCCTGCTGCGTGTAGTGTCTGTGCAGACTGTGTCCACCAGATCTAGCCAAGAGTCAAATCAAGGGCCTCTGCCTCTAAGAAGCCTTCTGTCCCTGCCATTCTGCTGGCTGCTGGGAAGCTGTATCACTGCAGATCTTTCTCACTGAGCAGTGATTCCCCAGCAAGTGCAGATACCTCCTCCCCTAGACTCTGTGCTCCCTAAGGGAGACAGCACTGTGTTCATCATATCCTTAGTCCTAAATGGAGCACAGGAAAGAAGAGCTCCCAGAACCAGAGGGACAGCTGTGTGGAAAGAGCCACCCAAAAGGAGCTGTAGCCTCGGGGAGAAATATGGCCAACCAGCAATGACCTGTGGGGAGGGCCAGGGAATCAGACCCAGTGCCATGCTCCTGCTGCCTGTCTGGAGGCAAGGTGGCCCAGGGCTGCATTCCTTACCACTGCAGACGGAGGAGCCTGGAGAGTGAATCTAGAGAAGGAAGGGGAAGATACCCAGCCCCCGAGCCTCCTCTCTAGAAGGGATAAGAAGGCCTCTAGAGGGGAGATAGAGGGACTCTCAGACCATTAGGTACCCAAGGCCCAATAACCTCCTTCGAAGATATTTATTTTATTAAACTCTCCTTAATTACCTCATTTGAGTGTGGTATTTGTTTCCCACCTGCACTCTGACTGATACTTCTAGATATTCCGGTGTTCCCTCCCCAGCCCACCCAGCTGAGGCACCTCACTTTGAAGAGACATGGCTGGTGATGCCCAAGGCGGGGCAAAGGAGGCAGAATACTGAGAGCTGATTGAACCAGGAAGAACAAGAAGCCTCAGTGGCCTGCACAACATCACATAGCAACAGAGCTAAGAATAGACCTCCGGCCTCCTGCCACCCACCCAACCGGAGCCTCCCCTCCATTCGTGCATGAGAGCACACAACAGGGGACTCTCACTAAGAGACCCCTTCTTCCATCCTACTGGAAGCTACTACATTTCATTAAGCTAATGAATGTTGTTCCCGAACACAGGGTTATTTGGGGGTGTCTTTTAGAGGCAGAAGGAAAATCTGAGCAAAACAAGCAAATCTACTCCTCCAAAGGAAAGCTGCAATCCCAAGCCTGCCTTGGGCAGCAGTGGGCCTGGGGGGGCACATGTTGGCTCAAGGGTCTCTGCCTCTAAGAAGGCGGAATTACGGATATAATCAGCAGCCGCCCAGCAGCCCTGCCAGCCCGGGCCTGCAGTCCATACTCAGCAAGGTGCCCCTGCAGCCACACCTCCCCAGCTCTCTGCCGCACCAACACTGCGGAAGGCATGCTGGGCTGGGAACCCGAGGGCTGGGCTCCAGTCCAGCTCTGCCACTAGCTAGCTGCGTGACTTTGAGCAGCCCACTTTCCTTTTCTGGGCCAAAATTTTCTCCTCTGTAAAAGGAAGGCTTGGAATTCCGGCCTCTGAGAGGACTTCCATCTCTATCTCTCTACGGTTTTACGACATCCCAGCCGTGTTTCTCAGCATTTGGGGCACGACATTCCTTTCCAATGCAGACTGAAAGCTGCATGGCAGAATGTTTTGTATTCCTGGGCTGGCATCAATGTCACGGTGATAGCCCCAAACCTTTCTACTCATTTTCAGTCCCCCCCCGCAGGAGGGCAGCTCTGCCCTAGATAAAGACCTCATACAGAAGGAGCAGAGAGGTTTGGGAGGCAATGTCACTTTTCTCTGCAACTCCTTGGCCACTCCTTCAAGAAAAATAAGAATGCCTTTACATCACTCCAGGAAAATGCCCAAATAATTCACTTCTATTGGTATAAGTTGAATGTTTATGCCCCCTAAAAATTTGTATGTTGAAACCTTATCCCCTGTGTGATGGTATTTGGAGCTTGGACATCTGGGCAGTGGTTAGGTCATGAGGGTAGAATCCTCATGACGGAGATTACAGCAGTTGTAAAAGAGATCACAGAGAGCTCTCTCACCCCTTCCTCCATGGGAGGACACAGTGGAAAGACGGCCATCTATGAATCAGGAAACGAGCATGTACCAGAACTCTACCATGCTGGCACCCTGATCTAGGACTTCCCAGCCTCCAAAACTGTGAGAAATAAATTCACAAGCCATGGTATTTTATTATAGCAGCTGAACAGACTAAGGTACCTACGCAGGCAGGTTATCTCAGGAAGTTGCAGTGAGTGGGGTAGTGAGGTCTATATTTTGGATTTAATCCCCAAGGAAAAAAGAATTTGATTCCATAGCATCCAAAGACATTACTAACACCAGTCAACAAAATGTGATCTGTGGTTTCCGAGGAGGGTGGATGTAGAACATTACTCATCAATCAATCCAACTGTAAAAACACTAACTCAAAGACCTAAAGACTAGAACTAAAAAGATATTTCCTCCCTAGAGCATTCCTACTTTTTCAAATGACTTCATATGCATTTTCCAAATGGAGCCCTGCTATGAAGCAGGGAGGGCTGTTCTTGCCAGCCTTGTTTGGAAGTTGGCATGTGTCCAAGTTCCTACCAGAACCTTAGCCTTGTGAATCCCAGCTTTTGGCTTGCCCATGGTTTCAAGGAGAAGAAACACAAAGGAGAAGAACAGCCAAGTCGTGGTGGGAAGCTGGGGAGCAGGCCTTGTAACTTGTAACTGAAATTTGACTCAAATGGAATACCCCTTATAGCTCTGGCCTGCAGGGGGACAGACTAGACTGGACAAGGGCGGAGTGCAGACAGCCAACCTCACGTCACGTCATAGCACAAGAGGACCAGTGGCTCAGCAAAGTTGGACTTGAAAAGAAGGAGTGGGCATGCGTGGGAGTGGTAATGGAGATGCAAGATTACCTAAGGCTGTTTGAGGGGCTCCCTGGAGAGGTGTGGGACCCTGTGCAAAATCAGATCTGCATGAGGTAGGATTGGGAAGGAAGAAGAACAGGACTTGAATTGCATTTAGTCATCTCTGGTGTGTCCAGGTAGGAATAGAAGCTACCACTGAGAATCTCTCACCAGTGGAATTCCATTCGGGAGCCATCAGGAAAGAATGAACTCTTAGGAGGAGCCCTAGGTGGAAGCTCCTCCTTCTCAAAGTCCGAACACCATTGCTTCCCCAGCCTACCCCGGGCCTCCATAGTTATGGCCACTTGGATCTGAAAGTTTGGGGTTCTAGCCCTGAACCTCTCTCAGACTCCAACTTTAGCCCTGAGATTATTGACTGACCTCTCTATCCTCATTCTTCCTTTTGACAAAAATCTCTGCAGTTCAACATGGACAGATAACACAAAGAAAGAAGACTGATGTCCATGGAGTCAGTGAGCTTATGATGAAGCCACGGCTAGCATGCATCATCGCTTCAGTCATCAAAAATTCATTAAGTGCCCATCTGCAAAAGGCACTATACTAATTCTCCTAGAAGGAGAATGTCAATATGGCTTCCTTGTGCCCTGCCAAGTTTTTATTAATGTGCTTATTAGGTGAGAAATATCTACTTCCCTGTGTTTAAAGAGGAGACTGAGAAAATACAGGAATCCTAGCTTCCTTCTTACTCCATAAGGCAAACTTTCAAATAATAAGCAGATCCACAGCAGATGGACTGGTTTTTAGCACTCCTGAGGGGGAGAGGATGGAGCCAGTCTGTCTCTGTCTCTCTCTAAATCTAGAGAGAACGTGAGCCAGCGTGAGCGTGAGCATGTCCGCCTGTGTGTGTGTGAGAACTACAGGGAGAAAGAGAAGGGGACAGGGCTGAAGGAAGGAAAGGAGGGAAGAGGAAGGAGGGCCCAGAAAGGAGAAAAAAGAAACAGTAATCACCCAGAGCAGAGTAGAAGAATCACGAGGACAAGGAGGCCAAACAAGGGAGAAGTCAGACATGGAATGGGTGGGGAGAGCAAAAGGGGGAAAAAAAAGCCAAGAAATAAAGCAAAAAAAATAAAAATAAAAAAAATAAATTGTTAATACAGGAACTCATTGATTTCGAATCCATAACTAGACACTTAATTAGTTATGTGAATTGAGCACTTTATAAAAGGAGACCATCAGAAAAGCCAGCTCATTAAACGCTGTGGCAAGATTCAGGACACTAGGGACTCACTTCCGTCCCTGCTACCAGCCGGCAAGGTGGCCCAGCTGAGCACCTCTCATTCTGAAACGTCTATAAAATAAAGGAGTCAGACTAGCAGAGGTGGACACTTCTTTCCAGTTCCATCTTAGATGGTAATTCCAATTACCATCTAAGAGGCTATGAACAAACGAAACTATCAGACACCTCAGGCCTTTAAAGAAACCACAGACAGTGAGATGCTTCTGTGGCCAAGTTTGCCCCGGCTCTCCCGGGCCAGGATGGAACTGGTTCTGACCACAGTCAGACTCCTACTGTCAGGACGGAGTCCCGAAGACCAGGCTTTGGGGACACTAGGCGGCAGTGTCCCTGTGCCAGTCCTTGCCTTGTGTCCCCCGCTGCGCCAACACATGCTGTCCACGGAGAGTTCTCTTCTCGGCAGACAGATGACCTCCGCCTCCTCTCCCAGGCTCTCCTGCCCATGCTTCCTCTAGAAGATGCCAGTTCTCCCTGCCTCCAGCAAGGCTGCACTGTGTTGTTTATGTGTGTTGCTTTGAGAGCTCTTGTTTTGGCTTTTCTCCTTGTGGCTTTTCCCTACTACTCTGCTATCCTAAATGCAATCAAAATGCTCAGATGCTGCCCATGAACAGTTCTGACCAGCACGCACAGCCATTCTCATACTATGTAACTGGTTGACCTTGCTTACCCAGATCATTCCTAGAGAAGGCACTGTATGATAATTACAAATGACTCTGGAGCCAGACTGCCTGGATTTGAATCCTTGCTCATCAGTTCACTAGTTGTGTAACCTTGAGCTAATTACATAAGCTCTGGGTCTCCGCTTTCTTTTTCATCTGTAAAATGGGGATGTTAATAATAAGACCTACCTTCCCTGGCCACTGTGAAGATCAAGGGACTGGCCTGTAAAGCTTAAGGACGGTGTCTGTCATATGCTAAGTGATTAATAAAAGGCTGCCCTGATGACTACATTCTGACACTCTTTGTATCCCAAGGCAACACCACCAAAGATACTATTCCCAGCCTCCTCTTTGTATCATAAGCCAAGATCACTTGAATCACCGTGGATAGTGATTACTGATACCTCAACTTCTCCTCTCTTCTGTGCTCAAATTCCTTGCATTGACCTTAAACTTTAGCCTAACTCCATAAACAAGCTGACACGAATTAAATGCAGATCACTGAAATTCCCCTGTACCTTTCTTGTCAGCAGGCAGCCACCATGCTCTCCTCTGCTTAATTCCCGGTGGAAGAGTGAGTCATACATGTCTTCTCTAACAAGGGTTCACATTTTTGATATAATCCATTGTTCCTCTGCATATTTTTCCTCCCTCTGCTCTCTGCCTGAGATTTTCTGGCTGCTTTCTTTCACAAGATCTTTTCACATACCACATAGCTGAAGCTCTGCTTCCTTTTACATTTTGTTAACCCTTCCAGGGATCCATCCTAGAAAAGAGGAGAATGGCAGCCAGCTCCCAGCGATGGGTTCTGAGTGAGCTTGGCTTGGCATCCCAGGCCATTATTAACTACCCTGGTTGACACTGCAGAGTATATATGTTCCTGTGGAAATGGAGGCCCTTGAGTCCTCTTACTAAACAATTTTAACCACCTTAGGGTGAAGACTGGGGATGGTGATGGACCTGGCCTTTCTTCCAGCTTCTAATCCCTCCTTCACATGGTGGGCAGAGGAGATTTGTAAATTCACAGAAGACCTCCTATCACCTGCATGTTAAAACCCCTCTGGCTCATGTGGTCCTTCAAGATCTGCCTGGTGATGGCCTCTCTTGACTCATCCCCTTCTGTTTTCCCTCCTCTCTCTTCCAGTCCGGCTTCCCCAACCCTCTACATCTTACCCATATGGACGTCTCCAACATAGGCAGCTCTGCAAAAGTAGCAGGGTCTCTTCCACTTCTAGCCTTCATGCACACTCTCCCCTCTTCCCAGGACATCTGCCAGAGGCACTCCAGATTGTGTTTTGGCTTTGCACATCCTCTGAGAGGCCGTCTTGGTCCCCTTCATCCTGCCCACCCACCCCACCTCACAGCAGCCCAGGTGGGCAGCTCTCCCCTGCTTTCCCCTGGCACTTGTGTGCACCCCTGTTGTTCTCCTTGTATTCTCTATTCCAGGTAGAACTTTCTGAGGGCAGAGGATGTCTTTTCATCTCTAAAGTATCAGGGTCCCCCACAGTCACTGATACGCAATGAAGAATTTCCTGAGGTGAGTCAAAATGGCACATATAAACAGAGCTGGATTTTTCTGCTGGCCTAAGAACTAATAGAAAAACATCTTAGGCAAAGCAAACCTCCAAGAAATGGGAGTCAGCAGGCCCTGACAGGAACGTACAACACCTGACTCTGTGCTGTGCCGTTCCGCTTCCTTGCTCCCTGGTGGCTTAAGGAGCTGCAGATGCTGAGACTGCTGAGACTGAGTAGGCTCTACATTGCTAAGAGTGCCCTGCTTAGGCATAGGCATGAATAAATATAGTTAAGGAGAAAATAAAATGCCAATCTCAACTTATATTTGACGTATCCTAGATATTATTAGCCTGGTGTAAGCTTCTGTGGGCCAGTACAGGGTCTAGGCTTCTCTGCAAGTCTGAGTTAAGATGAGGAGTTTGGGATGCTAGGCAGCCTTAGAGGGTCTGTGATTCTGCTGACTCTCTGCAAACCACCCCCCGCCACCCATGGCTCTTTGTTTCTCCACTTCCTCATCTTTATTTGGGTTTTGCTTCCTGGCCGGATGCAATAACTGGGGCTACTGAAGTCTCTAAGTGCTTCCTTCTGTGTCCTAGTTATTCCGTTGGGTCCCTGATACGCCAAAATCCCCCTATCAAAAAGGACGACCAGATGTCAGTGGATGTCAGTCAAATGAGTATGTTAGGATATCAATGACCTCATATAGACAAAGTCAGGCATACACACACACACACACACACACACACACACACACACACACATCTAAACATTTCAAAAACAAAAAACACACAGTAAATGTTCCCAAAGTATGCAAATTTCCCTGGATATGTGACTGAGAGAGTCCCATCCCATAAATCATCTGGACGTGAAAAAGGCTTGGGAAGTAAAAAAGGTGCTAAAGTCTCAGAAAACCTGCACAACGAAATTCTAAGAAACTGCTGATGCTGCTTCTAGTGCTGGCTCCCAACAACCCAGCAAATGTTAAACTGCAGCATCCTAAAGCCAAGGGAAGCCAAGGGGCAAAAGTCTCCATTCCCCTGCCTTGCAGGAGGCTGATATTGAGAGAAGTGGGTTTCTCCTAAAGTGTGAGAGGCCACTGCCTTGGTCTAAAAGAGGATGAATAGAGCATCTGAAGCCAGAGCTCACTAAAAAGGACTTGATAAATCAGTTGTGACTTGGAGGAAACAATGCCAGGCAGGCAGAAAACTGGCCATCATCTCTAGCAAGCAATGACAAGTGAGGCAAAGAATGGCAAGGAATGTCACATAGAGTGGACAGGCAGAACACATTTCTCCCTGCAGCAGGTCCTCACCCCAGAATCCAGGGTCCCCTCCAGGGTTCACGATGGGCTCCACTTATGATCACGACTGGGCCTGTTAGGATGGAGAAATGGGTGAGAGGCTGAGATCTCAGCTCTGTCGTAGTAACAACACCTGAGAATGCTGGAGGTTTCATGGCATCTCCACTTCCAACATGTCTTTCCTTGCTCCAAGCCTCTTTAGGTAACTATTATGCATAGTTAACATTTACCAAGTGATTACTTGTGCCGAGCACTGTGTTAAGTAATTTATCTTTATCTCATTTGATCCTCATGAGAACCCTACGGTCACATAACAAGTATTAGAGCAAAGATTAGAACCCAGGCTGGACTGACGTCAAAGCCTGCACTCTTAACCAGTAGGGGTGAGAAAAAAAATTAGCCCATCAGGAAAGGCGATACTAATGAGCTACCAGCAGGAAGACAGGTACTCCAGGAGCAAGTGTGTACAAAATTCACCAAATTTTCTAACTTTTGCCAACCAAAAAAATTTACAGTAAGTTTGGCCTGGGGAAGGGTACAGACTGTGGTCATAGAACAGAATTTTTCCCTAAATGAAGAAAACTGGCCCGCACAGGATGCAAGTAGTATGCCCAGGATGTTTGGGAATAAACCCTTGGCTGGAAGTAGAAGACATAATGTTGGAGAGAAGGTGGATAGGAGAGAGAAAAATATCTTCATCCTCCTTTCTTTTTCATTAACACTTTGCAGAGAAAGTATATCCAATCATTTCCTCCCTTCCCTGTCACAAACATGGGGCAGAGACCACAAAAAATCAAACCCATCCGGAAGATCTTTTCCAAGGGAAATAATCTCAGTCACAGAACTTTGGCAGGCAGGAGAGATTTGGAGGAACATCAAGAAAGATCTAAGGATGATGATATTGGTCAGCAAATTAAACACAGCATTGCAATCCAACAAGGCAGCAAAATTCATTGCTAATGTGACCTGCAAAGTTTCCTCAGCCAAGGTACCAATCACACTGGAGGTTAGACAAGTGATGAACCCCTTGCTCAGAACCCTGATGGGTCATAGTCACAGTGCAGCATGCAATGTGAGCCTTGGCTTTGGAAAGCTCTTAACCAACAGTCAATGATCCTGGGAGGAAAAGAGATGGGACTGGGGCTGAGGAGGAGATGTACGTGGGAGGGTCAGCAACCATTTAAATGGCTACTAACAGATATGGGTAGATAGTGGGTGAGGTGAGCAAGAAAAACAGAGACTGAATGTTGAAGAAAAAAGAGCAATAGTGAAATTGCTTATCCAGAGGGATACGTAAAGGCTAAGGCAAGAGAGCCTCAGGCTGCCAAGACTCACTAGGGTCTTGAGATGCCGTTCACTCATTGCCTGTTTTGGGCTCAAGGTCATAACCAGGCCATCCCCGACAGATGAGTACTGTTTTACTTCCTTAAATCTTTTCCATGAAAGTGATTTAAACCTCTCCTCGGAACCTTAGGCTAATTTCTTATCATTCGTATACACACAGAAATGTCTTCTTGGATTGAACCCAAATCCTTCCTCCTCAACTTAAACCATTTCTTTTTCTACTGCTTCTAAAAAAGAATAATAATTTCTTAGAATCCTTCATGTAAGACACAATTTCACTCTTGAAGGCTAACAAATGACCATTCAGTGTTCACTTTCTCAAACTAAACTATCCTTATTTCTCAGCATTCTTTCATAATTTTCATTTGCTGGCTGTCTACTCATTTTTGTTTTTGGCGGAAAAAAATCAAAGAGCTAGGAAGGAACTTTAAAATGATTTAGTTCATACCTCTGCCATTAAGGAACAAACTGTGTGACCAAAAAATGAGCCATCACATCCTTCTACGGCAAGGTTTCTCAACCTCTGCACTACTGGCATTTTGGACCAGAGAATTCTTTGGGGGTAGGGGTGCTTGACATGGTAGAATGTTTAGCGGCATCTCTGGTCTCTACCCACCAGATGGCAGGAGTACTACCACCCCAGTTGTTATAACCAAAAATGTCTCCATATAATGTCAGATATCCCCTGGAGTGTAAAATCAGACCAGTTGAGACTGTATCTAGTCCAATCCATGTATTTCCCGTGATTGTGGATCCTCTAGGTACACCACAGGGTCAGAGCTACCAGGGTGAATCTACCCAGAGCGTGTCCTGCAATTCCAGCTCAGTGCACTCCAGAAAGTACTTGGCTGCCACACGGGATCCTTGCCTTCCTCCAACAAGCCTGGTTAGAGACAAACCAGCCAGGCTAGCATGGTGCTAAGTGCTAATAAGAGAACCAAATGGAGATTTTTTTTCCTCCTCAGCAGGAGTACAGGGCTAGAATAAACATTCTCTTTCAGGGAGCTCATGTTCTCTAGAAACAAGAGAAAAGGAACACAAACTCACCTGTGAAGAATGTTTGTGTCAAAGGCAGGGGCCAAACTCTTCCAGCTTTGCCTGCTGCTTGGCTCAGCCTGGAGCTCCACGCCACAAATGCTACCTTAGTGTAGCTTTTAGCTCTAAAAGTGCTTCATGTCCAGCATTTACTAGAATCAAATTGTTCATAAGAGTCTTTGTGAGCATTTTCAGTGCCATCAGTTCGCTTCCATCAGTCTCCATGAGCTGCACAGTATAAAATTACAAAAACTCGGGTGCTGGTGGCTTTGCAGAGCAGTCAAAGGATCAAGTCCCTGCCCTGGAGATGTTTGCAGTCTTAGTAGATATTCCCCAAGAGAAACAACAACAACAAATCAGTGTGCACTGTACAAAAACCATACCATGGCTGGGGTCACTGCACTCTCCGTCGATGACGGGAGTGGAGAGACAGGAATTCTGACCTTCACATCGCACCCACTGGGTTACCTACAAGGCCGCCAATTAAGAGCATTGTATCTCAGCAGAAACCCAAGACTTAAAGACCAGATGGAGCCCAGTCCTATTCCCCAATCTGATGCTAAGATAATACACATTTTATTGTTGCTATTAGCAAATATTAATTCTGATTAGTAAAGTGCTTTTTTTCCCTAAATATTATAATAACCATTAAGAATTTCCCTCCCGAGTCATTCATCTAAGTAGAGTAGGGAAGAGCTGGGTTAATTACCGCTTTGCAATTTAAGGCCCTCAGGAACAAGGGTGATTCCCTCTTCAGGATGAGTGAATCAGTGGTCTAGATGTCTCACATTTTGTTTCTTAGCCTAAAAGATTTTTGCTACCTCAGTGAGGACCTCTCACTTGATGCACATGTTCGTGAACTGTAAATTAACATACTTTTGTTATTACCAGGGGAAAAGAATTGCCAAGTCTGAGCAGGTGGCTAGTCCAGCTGCAAATCCCAGTTTCATGTGAATTTCTTCCAGCCTTAGATCCTTCAGCATTGGTTTGAAGAAGCCTTTTAAAATATATCTAAAATAATGTTTACAAATATATTTTATATTTTCAATAAAATATAAAATAAATTTGCAATCCCTTCCCTAGTGGGAAAATTAACCCATGTTTTTGCTTCATTTACAATTTAATCACCCAACAGTGTTTTGCAAACTATCATTTGGCGATGATGAGCCTGTTTAGCCTTAATGAGCTTTGGGAAATTAAGTTTTTTTTTTTAAATATAGTAACTTTACTTTAAAGTAGTACACCAACAGTACATAAGGTTTAGAAAAAAGAGAAAAACACCTCTAGTCCCACCACCCCAAGGAAACACTCCTTCTGTGGTGAATGACAGTTTTTAAATGATAGATGCTTAGCTGCTGAGAGATGCTTATCCAATCAGAATTTCAGGAGGAAGGCTGGGTACTTAGGTCACCTGAAAGAATAAAAGCATGCAATAGCCCAATTTGGAAGATGCATTTTGAAGGAGTTTAGGAAAAATTCACTGCGGTCCCATCTGTTTAGCCTATATAGCACAGTAAGGAAGTTTCTCCCACCTCTGTTCCAGACCCTAGCTGCCTCTGCCTCCTCTCTCTTCCTCCACCCAGTTTTTCCTCCATTTTCTCCCCAAGGTCCCTTTAATGCTGTCTCCTGCCACTGCACCCAGGATCGGTATTGGGGCACACCCAGGAGCCAGTTTTCACCTCTGCCTGCTGCTTTTGCCATCATCATGGCTGAGAGAGCACAAACCGCAGCGGTGGACCACAGAGTCCCCAGGCCTCTTTGCCGGACAGCCCTTCTATTATTATTTTGTAAAATAATACCTTGCAAAATAGTACCTTGCAAAAGCCTCTTCTATACAGCACAGAATGGAGATGTGGCCACCATCTAGCTATCTAGTGCATTAAAAACAACTGTTAGGAATCATGGAATCATCTGTAGTTAGAGCACAGGATACAGGGAAGAGTTGAGAGGCCTGCGATTAATTAAATCCACAAAGATAACGAGATCCGATGCTTTAATCCAAAAACATCCTTCCCTACAATATCAAGACTGGTGTTTCCCAAGTCTTTTTTCAGTCCTGCACACATATGTGAACTGGCTGAGTTGAACTTAGATAGAGGCAAAGAAATACCCCAGCATCCAACCATTGTCAGTAGTAGCAAAAAGTCCCATCTCAAATGTATGAACTTTGTTCCTCCTTCCCGTGTCTTTCTTTCCAGGGTCCTCTGTCCACTGTGCTTCATTCCACAAATTCAAAAGGATAATACACATGGTTTTGCCTCATTTACAATTTAATCACCAAACAGTGTTTCTTAAACTATCATTTGGTGATGACGAGCTGGTTTAGCCTTAATAAGCTTTGGGAGAACTTAAATTTGGGGGTTTTTTAAAATGTAGTTAATTCTTTTTAAATTAATATACCAACAGAACATAAGGTTTAGAAAAAAAGAGAAAAACACCCATAGTCCCACCACCCTAACAAAATATCTGGATGGATGAGCAATTTTTAATGAGAGATATTCAGTAGCTGAGGAACGCTTATCCAATCAGAATTTCAGGAAGAGGGCTGATAATCAGATCCACAGAGGACGTATTTTAGAACCATGGGTGTGTGTCATTCCACACACAAGCAGAGACCCAGTGCTCCCACCACTGCTATGGAACAAGGTCAGTATCCCCAAAATGGGTTTGGGATGATTGTTTCAGGCTGGTTGCCCACACAGAGCCAATATATTTTTCTCTCTCAATCTCTCTCTCTCTCTAACCAAAATACCATCTGACTTTTTTACTCTGAAAACAGTGGGAATCTCAATGTGCAAATACAATGTATGCCTAAAAATACTTGTGGACTTAAAGGAGCAAATAATCTGATATTTTAATAAATGAAATATTATAATTCAGCTGTCTTAATTTCATCTGCGGATGAAAAAAGATATCACGTTTGATTGAGGTTTCCATGGTTTTATTTCTTCAAAAAATGTTCTCAGATATAGCCCCCTTGTCGCCAACTGGCATCTCTGAGTATATTTTCCAAACCCTTCTATCTGTATGCTCCTTCTCTGAAAATATCACAGACCCTATGTTCTCGGAGATCTCCGTAAGTTGTCTCTGCTGGTTCCTGACTAATCATTCAATCACGATATTTTCCACATAGGCAGGAAAAAACGGAAGGAGGGAAGGGAAGGGAAGGGAAGAGGGGGGAGGGGAGGGGAGGGGAGGGGACGGGAGGGAAAAGGGAGAGAGAGAGGGAATGATAAGAACCCCCTCTTCTTCTCCTCTCCCCCTTCTAGAATTTTATACTACCTTATTTCTAGAAATAAACCTTCTAGACTTTTATACTACCTTTTTATTTCTTTAATTAATTAATTTATTTATTTATTTATTTTGAGGTGGAGTCTCACTCTGTCACCCAGGCTGGAGTGTAGTGGCATGATCTAGGCTCACTGCAACCTCCGCCTCCTGGGTTCAAGCAATTCTCCTGCCTCAGCCCCCCAAGTAGCTAGGATTACACGCATGCGCCACCACACCCAGCTCATTTTTGTATTTTTAAAAGAGATGGGGTTTCACTATGTTGGCCAGGCTGGTCTCGAACTCCTGACCTCGGGTGATCCACCCACCTTGGCCTCTGAAAGTGCTGGGATTACAGGCATGAGCCACCGTGCCGGCCTATACCAACTTTTATTATCCATCCTTTTAGTCTTCTGGCTACTCAAGGCAGCAGGCACAGATTTAGGGACTGGGAGTTCTAGTCTAATACCCTACTTTTCAGATGAGGAAACACTTTTCAGAGCAGCCCCCTAACCACCCATGGTCTCCGTCAACACCTCCCATTTCTGGACTCCGCTATTCTTGCTGTTTCACCCTTGTAACTCGCATCTCCCCACAGTCTTAATGTACACTCACTTGGTTTAATTAATCTAAACTCAAAAGACGGAATGCTGAAATTGCTAGACTGTACTTGTATCAGGTCCCCAGAGGTACTAGCAAGGAGGCTTCTCTGGCCTGGCACACTCAAACAAGCCTGTTTATCCCAGGGCCCCAGCCGGAAGGTGTCCAGTGGGTGACAACTGGGGCAGATTCGCAAAGCCTGTCACTTGAGCCCAGGGCTCACAATAAATAGGAAGCCTGCGTTAATCTACTTTAAAAGTCTCGTAGCAGGCACATTTGGTGTTTTTTTAATCTGCAGTCGGAATCAGCAGGCTGCCGGGGAGCGTAGGTCAAATGGAAGTAATGTGCCCCATCACTCTGCCTGCTCAGAGCCCCGGGAAGCCCAGGGTCCTGTGGGAAGGGAGCATCATTTCTCAGGCCGGTCTTCAGTGTTATTGATCTCTAATAAAAAAGACGACTCTGCAGTCCAAAGGAATGACAGTGGAGCTGCAGAGGATCGCATCACCACCTTCCTTCCTGCTGCCTTTGCGTTAAGCACGGCCAGGTGCTTTTCCCAAAGGCCCGATTGGAAGGAATAAAGGGGAGAAGAAGCTCCGATTATAAAGTGAGGAGGAAAAACTAGGAGCGGAGTAACTCGGCCTGGCAGAGAGATACTGAAAAGAATCAGTTGATGACAAAACCTCCTCTCAGCTTGCTAAGTGTTCCCACACCAATGAAGCCCCTGAGACGGGGACAGCCAAAGCCCTGGCTCTCTGTTTTGCAGCTCTGCTGGAATTCCCACTTTCAGGCCAGGCCTGCTTTTACTGAGGTTTCACACCTACACGGAAGGTCTGTGTGGCAGCCAGTCTGTGATATGACACGAAGCATTCCCCAGGCAAGGGCAGAGCACATTTAACCCTGCACTAGTGATGGGAAGAAGGGTGCTGGAGAGACCTCAATTTCCAGGCCTTCTTGGCCTTTTCCAACTGCTGTGTTCCCCAGCCCCCTCAGGTCACTGCCATGGGCAACTGCTCCCTCTGAAGAAGCCACCACCAAACCAAGTCCTGAGCCAAACAATCCTCATCTTCGCTCTCTGTGGGAATCCCAGGATGCATAGGGAAAGTTTATCAGAAGCCATGGAATTGTGACTCCCATCCTCTGAATACTGGCCATGGGCCTGCAACATGCTAGGTGCTTCATATCTGATACGGCTTGGAGGTGTGTCCCCTCCAAATCTCATGTTGAAATGTGATCTCCAGTGTTGAAAATGGGGCCTAGTGGGAGGTGTTTGGGTCATGGGGTGGATCCCTCATTAGCTTGGTGCCCTCCCTATGGTCATGAGTGACTTCTCGCTGTTAGCTTATGCAAGAGTTGGTTGTTTAAAGGAGCCTAGCACCTCTTCCTCTCTCTCACTCCCTTTCTCACCATGTGACACATCTTCTCCCCCTTCACCTTCTGCCATGACTAAAAGCTTCCTGAGGTCTCCCCAGAAGCCAAGCAGATCCAAGTGCCATGCTTGTATAGCCTGCAGAACTGTAAGCCAAATAAATCTCTTTTCTTTATAAATTACCCAGTCTCAGGTATTTCTTTACACCCACACAAAATGGACTAACACAATATCCTTCACATCATTCTATCTCACAGTGACCTGTGAGGTAGAAGTTAATAGCCCTAGTGAATAAAAAAAGGTACTGCTGGGTGTGGTGGCTCATGCCTGTAATCCCAGCACTTTGGGAGGCCAAGGTGGGCAGATCACGAGGTCGGGAGTTTGAGACCAGCCTGACCAACATGGTGAAACCCCTCTCTACTAAAAATACAAAACTTAGCCAGGGGTGGTGGCGCATGCCTGTAATCTCAGCTACTCGGGAGGCTGAGGAAGGATAATTGCTTGAACTGGGAGGCGGAGGTTTCAGTGAGCCAAGATTGCACCACTGCACTCCAGCCTGGGTGACAGAGCGAGACTCCATCTCACAAAATTAAATAAATAAATTTTAAAAAGGTAACAAAAATTAAGTAATGTGCTCATGGTCAAATGCAAAAACAAACAAACAAACAAAAAAACACCAAATTCCTTTTCCATAGAGGAGCACTATAAGAAATAAAGGCATGACCCACTAGGATAGCTTAATTTTTTTTAATTAAAGAAATGCAAATAAGCATTGGTGAAGGTGGGCAGAAATTTGAACTGTTGTATATCACCAATGAGGCAGCCACTTTGGAGTCAGTTTGGCAGTTCCCCAACAAATTAGGCATAGAGAGTTGTCATATGACCCAGCAATTCCACTCCTAAGAACATTACAACTAAAAACATACAGTCACATGGAAATTTATGCACACACTCACAGCATTATTATTCATGTAACCAAAAGGTAGAAACAACCCAAATGTGCAGTCATCAGCTGATGAATGGGTAAACGAAATGAAGTAAAAAGGAATGAAATCCTGAGATACGTGCTACAAGGATGAACCTTGAGACAAAGGGCCACATGTGATACAATTCTATTTACATGAAATGTCCAGAATAGGCAAATCCACAAAGACAGACAGTAGATTAGTGGTTGCTTAGGTCTGAGGACAGGGGTAGACTGGTGACTGCTAGTGGGTACAGGGTTTTCACAGAAGGTGAAGAAAATGCAGAATTAGGTAGTGGTGATGGTTGCACAACCTTGTTACTAACAACCACAGATTGCACACTTTAAAAGGTGAATTTTATGGTAATGAAATATATATATATATATAAACATTTTAATAGAAGAGTGAGAAAAAAAGTGCTCAGACTTGAGTTATCTCTAAGGTACCTTCTAATCTAAAAACACAACGTCACACAGCACTGGAAGATGCTATGAGCTCATTCTTTTATTCATTTCAGTGAGTGCCACTATGTATTCAGCTAACAGCTGGAAATACTAAGCAATCAAGGCAGATGTGATCCCAAAACTTTCAGCACTCGTAGTCCAGGAATAAAGGCAAAAGAAACTATACAAAAATGCAATAATAAGAGATGCATGGGGTGCCATAAACATGCAAACACAGGCATCTAATCCCCATAGGGAAGAAAATCAAGAAAGGTCTCAAGAGGAAGTGATGTTTTACCTGAGTCTTGAAGGGTGAATAGGAGCTAGCTGAGCATTCCTTGCAGAAGGAGTAGTCTGTCATGTACCTAGCCCCAAGTGGGTGCTTAACATTATGTATTGAGGGAATGAATGCACAGCTTGGGCAAACACCCTAAAGGAAGAGCAGAACACATGAGAGGAGCCAAAATAAACTCTCAGTGGCTGAATCCTAAAATGTTAAAGCCTTAGGTGAGTGGAGACAGAGGAGACTATTCAGGTGAAATGAGGACGTAACTGTGTTGGGAGGAGTGTGGGCTTCATCCCAAGGACTATGGGCAGCCATGGAAGAGTTTCAGTTGCTAACTCTGGTAAGGGCTTTCTGTAGGACTAGATGTAATCAAAGAAGAGAAAGCAAAACCCCTTTGGCAAGTCTATGTGAGCTCGGAAGTAATCCCAGACCGGCTGGATAAAGTGAGGCAGACAAAATTAAGGCCTCCAAGAGGAGCAGGCCAGCCCTTCACTAGAGCAGGAAGAAGGGCACGGAAGCCCAGAACATCAGGCTGCAGAAAAGCCAGGTCATTTCCCGTGAACCTGGGAACACCCGCACTGCTTTACCCACTCTGAGCTGACAGGCTGCAGAAGACTGACCTTGCAAGGTGGCTCTTCTGGGACACCCTGTGTCCTCTCAACAGTCTTATACTGCGTGGTGAGCAGCAGTGCCCACTGAGGGGAATGGTCACAGAGTAGCAACTGGTAAAGTCTTAATGCCCAGTCAAGGGGAGAGGTTTGGGGGGCAAAACCCCAGGACAGGAGAAAGGAACCTAACATTTACTACTCAACTACTAAGTGCCAAGCAAGATGCTTCCCTTTTCTCAGTCAGTACTAACCACATTCTCTCCAGGAAGTTATTTATTATTTTCATTTCACAGATGAGAAAGCTGAGAACGAACAGCTAATTCTGGGGTGAGGAACCAGGCTCACATGGAAACTGGAAACCTCTGACTTCAGTTCCCATGCCTTCACTTTTTTTGTCGTTTCATTTTCAGATCTCAGGGCCTGAGAGTAGAGTACAACACACCCCTCAGTTCACGGTACGCTTCAGTTAAGAAGCATTGCAAGGCACTTCTTTTGTGCTGTTATTTTTTTTTCCCCCTTCATCGCTGATCCTGAGCCTTATTTCCCTCTCCTTAGCCTCCTGATAGAACCCATTCTAATGTGATAGGCATGTGTTCTTGGATAAATAGGAATTCTCGAAGAAGAGACAGTGTTCTAATGGCGGTCTGTGCATTTTCACTTTCCACTAGTAAATGTGTATTATAGAGCTCACGCTTAACTCAGGCCAATGCCTTTACAGATCCATCCATGGCTTCATGTACAGTATTCTACAATGCTCATGCACCACAGGTGGCTTGTCCATTCCCACAGTAATGACACCTAAGCTGCGTCCAGCTGCCAACTTCCACAAACAATGCTGTGGTGGGCGTCCTCATCCTGTCTCCAGACAGACCTGTGCAAGAGCTGTTCTGAGGTCAGCCCATAGGAGTGGGGCTGTGAGGTCATGAGTGTATGCTTAAGCCAATTACTGCTCAAATGGCCTACACTGATCTTCAGTTCCACCAAGTGAGCTTCTGTTTTTCTACATCCTCATAAATAAAAAATATTGTCCCATTTTAAAATGTTTTCTAATAATGATCAGGCCAAAGCAACCTCTCTTTTAAAAAAAAATTAGCATTCCCCAGGCTGGAGTCCAATGGCACAATCTCAGCTCACTGCAACCTCCACCTCCCAGGTTCAAGAGATTCTCCTGCCTCAACCTCCCGAGTAGTTGGGATTACAGGCACCCACCAACACACCCAGCTAATTGTTGTATTTTTAGTAGAGGGGTTTCACCATGTTAGTCAGGCTGGTCTAGAACTCCCGACCTCAGGTGATCCACCCACCTCGGCCTCCCAAAGTGCTGTGATTACAGGCATGAGCCACTGGGCCTGACCTCATTCCTCTTCTTTCTACTGACTTCTTAATGTTCTGTGGAAGAAATCCCTTGATGATTTTAGATGCTGAAGATAGCATTCCTATGTCTCGTCAGTGGTCTGTTAGTCTTTTAACTCAGCATAAGATCATTTTCATCTTACACTTTCCCCATAACCAAGCCTGCCTATTGTTACTTATACAGTAATGAAAGCAATACAGGTTCAGAAGCCAGGTGCCATAGGTTTTGATCCTTTGGATTTTGAGAATAAAGTGTAATATTTGCCAAGTGTGACTTACTGACTCTGCTGAGGTCCTTCAGATGACTTTTCCAAGTCCATGTTGATATCCTGTCTGCCTTTATGTTTCTACTCAGCCTATCAGTAGAGAACCAGGACATGAGAGGCAAGTGTAGACAAACAGCATCTAACATTCTCCCCAAAACTACCTATCTTTAGAAAAGTTTTTAAGTGCCTTGATTGTTAGAAAAGTTTTAAGTTCCTCCAATATCATCTGTTAATATTATTTGGGGGAAATACACCTGTGGTTGCTCCATAGATAGGTGCCTGCACTGAACAGGTAGGTGTGTCTGTGGGGATGCTTTGTTTGCATGTGTGTGGGCAAGGAAGAACTAGGAAAGCACTAGACTAGGAGTTCAAGATCTAGTCCTGGCTGACACCTGCTCACTGTGTGTCCTTGAGAAAGCCATCTCTGAGCTTCAGTTTTCACATCTGCAAAATCATGATCCAATGTAGATGGCCAGATAAGAACATCGGATTAAAAAAATATTTGCCAAATCTGAACGTGTTATTTAATCCTTTTCAAGGAAAAGTATTAATTATCCACTGTATATAGTGTCCGAAGTGGGTCAGAAACCTTCCCTAGGCTGCATTCATCTGGAAAGACAGGACTAAAGTCAGCCTGATTTTAGTGAGTCAAGAGGGGAGGAAGCACACAAGGAAGCTTGTCTTCTTACTGCCTCAGTAATGAAGCAGCAAATATGTCTTTTCTGGACCTGAAGGGGAGGCCTGCAGGGTCACATCTGGCTGATGCAGCAACCACAACAACCTCACAAAGACAAGACCCAGAACCGGGAGCAACAGCAACAAATCAGAGCCGGCCTCTTCTACCCTAGGTTCCAAAGACACTACATTCTCCTGGCCTTCGATGGGCAGCTCTGAGCTCCAGCTCAGTTTGGCCATTACCTGCAGCATCCCTTGGATCCCTGCCAGGGCCCTTATCACTTGCCTCTCTCCTCCGTGATCACATCCACCCCTAAGGCTTTGCGTGTCACCTACTTGCTGAGGATTTCCAAATCTGTATGTCCAGTGTGCACCATTCTCACTTTCTATCCACTTTTGTAACTGCTAGTCACCCATCTCTCATGGGTACACCACAACTTCCAAAAGCCAGCCTTACTTCTCATCAGATGTGTTCATTCTCTTGTGTGCTACCTGTCAGAATTCAGCACTATTTCCTTGCAGCCACCCAAGCCAGGAGCCTGGGAGCTATCCGTGATATTTCCCACTCCCCTGCCCCCGACCTTATTCAATCCATCACCAACTCCTGTTTATTTCACCTCCTAATAGACTCCAGATCCATCCACTTCTCTTCATGCCCCTGCCACAAGGCTAGCCAAAACCTCCGTCACTCTTACCTGACTACACAACAATGTCCTTCCGGTCTCCACCTGACAATCCATCCACCACACTGCAGCAGAATGAAGGATCTTTCCAAAATATAAACTTTATCATGGTATTATCTGGTAGCCTCTTGTTGCCCTTAGAATAAACCCCTCTAGAGCTCTTCATGATGTGGTTCCCACCTTCCTCTCCAGCTTCCATGCACGCCACATGCCCACCCCTCAAGCCCCTTGCTCTTTTTACCCAGGCCATACCAGCTGCTCAGCATATGTTAGGGTGGAGAAGGTGTAGTGCTTGCCTTGGCCCCAGAACCTCCACACTTGCAGCTGCTTCAGCCTGAAATGCTCTCCCACATTGCCTCGCCTGGCTGTCTCTAGTAGGCCATCAGATTCCAGCTTAGATGCCCTTTCCCCTGGAGAGATGCCTTTGTGCTCCTAGAAGAAGTTAGGTACACCTATTGTGTGCTCCTACTGTATTCTCCTATATACCACACGATGTCCTTATCTATATTTGTTTCATGTCGGTTTTTCCCATTATACTGCAAGTTCAGAAAAACCAAGAACTCCATCCCTCTTGCTCATCACTGTATCTCAGTGACTGGCACAAAAAAAGGCTCTTAGTAAAGGTCTGCTGAATGAATGAAAAGGGGAAGGTAGTACCCCAGTAGACTAGCAAGAGAAGTAACATAGAATCTGAGCTACCTACAATGTCTTGCTCAGTCTTATCCTCATCTAGGAAATCTGGTTACTTCAGTGTTACCAAATAGAGTAGGTCCATCCTAACTTTGCAAAATAAAGTCAAATGCTACTCCTTGACTCATAGTTTTCCATTGGTTTCCTGTCTTAAAGTAAAAGCCAAAGTCCTTAAAATGACCTTCAGATCCAACATAATGTATCCCCCTCCTATTAGACTGTTGTTGGAACAAGCGAGGCCCATGGCCATCTCAGGTCCCTTGCACTTGCTGTGCCCTCTGCCTGGAATGTGCACCTCCATATATCTGTAGGGCTTGCTGCCTTACTATTGTTGGCCTTCATCTAAATATCACCATCTTAGTGTTGCTTTTCCTGGAGTCTATTTAAAATTAGAATCCCCTGATATTCCTTTTTGTCCTTCTCTGCCTTATTGTGCTTCACAGCACTTAGCACTGACTAAAACCCTAGATGTTTTACTTATTTACTGTTCATTGTCTGCCTCCTCCCACAAGAATATAAGCTCCCTAACAGCAGAGACTGCTTGCCTGTGTCATTCGCTGCAGTATCCCCGACATTTAGAACAGCCAGAGTGAGAAAATATTGGGGGAGTGAATGAACGAATGCCCTCTCGTGTCCATGCCTGACCACTGCACGTCACGTTTGACTGTTTTGCCTTTTGCTTCCACAGCCTCCTGTGCATCCTTCCTAGGAGTCCCTTTCGAACATTCCACCATCTGCGGTGTCTGCAACAGATTACGCGAGTGATTGAGAGTTTGAGCTGAATATAATCTATCAGTCTTATTTCCCACCCCCACACCTGCTCTAACTGCTCCCGATTTAGCAAGTGCTATTATATAGAGAGGCTAATTATAGGGGAGTGTAACAAAAGCAGCTTCATGTTGAAATAGCATTCACGTGCGCCCTCCTGAGAGGCAGTCAAACGTATATGGCAGACTGGGGATGTCACAGGATATGCACGAGACAGCTGGGTTTCAACTGAGCATCACTAAATGGAACTGAGGAGTCAATCAAACCGCGTCAGTCTAGAGAAGGGCATGGAGAATGTCTTCCTAAAATACAGAGACATTTTCCAGGGATCCGCCAGGAACCTGGCCCTCCTTAGTCATGTAGTCATGTCTTCATCCTATAGATGTGAATCTATATAAAAATAGCTCATGATTTAGAAGAGACAGGCTTGTAAACAGACAAATTACCTGACAACATGAAAGTGTTACTGGACAAATATGTGAAGCAACTCAGTCTGCCTGTGTGAGTCAAAAAGCTTCCATCAAGGAAGTGACATGTGAGCAGTGTCTTCAAGGAGAGCTAAGAATTGTCTAGGAAGAGATGGGCGTGGAGGCAAAGGCATGTGGCATGAGAGGGCCTGCGTGATGCCAGAGGCGGTGTCTCGGCAAGTGTGAGAAACTCGGTGTGGCAAGAGCTCAGAGCTGCAAAGATGCAGCAATTGAGAGCTGCTGAGGACCACAAGGAAGTTTTAGTTGAGGAGTTCGATTAACTGTCCACCACTTCAGAAATGGAAGAGGAGCCGGTTTGAGGGCAATGTGGTGAGTGGCACTATGCATTCCTCCCCGTGGAAACAGGGGCCTGAGGAGAGGGGTGGATAGAAACGTCCCCTTCCCACCTCCACATCCAGTTCTGGGAAAACTGAAGAGACTGGGCTGAGTGGGCAAGAGTGACTAAAAAGAAATCATAAATGCTTCCACTCTCCAAATAGCTTTTCTCCTCACATTCTCAAATTAGATTCATTTGAGTTAACAAATGCCTCTTTAATGTGAAAGTACTAAAAGTCATTCTCATCTAATTGTGACTTGATCAATCACTCCACGAAGACTGGTAAATATCTACTCTGAATAAAATTGAGAGTGGAGGAAATTAACACTTTGTCAAAGGAGGCCTGAGGAAGGAGAGAATGCTCTGAAGCCCAGGTCTGGTGTGTGGGGGGAACACTATGGGTGGCTGCTACAAGTAATTTAAATGTCGCAGCCTGGGACTAGGACATCAAGTAGTCCGCAGGAGGACAGGAAGAACATCTTAAGCCAGAAGGAAAAGAACAAAGGCACTTTCGAGGGGGTGGCGAGGGCAGACGCCTTCCTCCAACCTCATGTGACCTTCACTCTCTCTCTATCCCTCCCTCTCTACAAAGATTCTTCTAAACACTGTCAACACCTACTCATGTCCTATTCAATCCTTAACTCAATGCAATTGGTCCTCTCAACCATTCTTCCAATACTGCTCCCAACAACATCACTGTTAATTTTCCATGTGAAAAATCTGTGGGAAGGAATGTAGTCTTTTCTTTCTTCTTCTTTTTTTTTTTTCTTTCTTTTGAGACAGAGTCTTGCTCAGTCACCCAGGCTGGAGTGCAGTGGCATGATCTTGGCTTATGGCAACCTCTGTCTCCTGGGTTCAAGAGATTCTCCTGCCTCAGCCTCCCAAGTAGCTGGGATTACAGGCACATGCCACCATGCCTGGCTAATTTTTGTATTTTTTAGTAGAGACGGGGTTTCACCATGTTGGCCAGGCTGGTCTTGAACTCCTGACCTCATGATCCACCCACCTGTAATCCCACCCAAAGTGCTGGAATTACAGGTGTGAGCCACCAGTCCGGCCAGGAATGGAGTCTTAATCTTGCAAGCTGCCCCCTTGCCTGCTGTATTTCCATATTTCAGTACCCTGGATAGTATTTTTACCTTTAGTCTTGGCCCTCTGCAGTCTGTTTTCCAAATAGCAATCAGAGGAATTGTAAAATGTGAAGCTGAAGCTATCACTCCCTTGTTTAAAATCTTCCCTCCCCCATTTCTGTGGAGTCAAGTCTAACGTCTGAAGTGTGCCTGGCAAAGCTCCACACAGTTGGCCACAGTCTGCTTCCTGCCCCCTTTGCTGGTCTCTGTGCTCCATGCTCACAGGCCTCCTGTGGCACTGGAACTCCCCAGCACTCTGTCTCTGTGCAGGACCCCACCACATGCTGTTCCCACTGCTTGCAATGTCCTTCCTGATCTTTGCCTGGCTAAGGCTCATTTATCCTTCAGATCTCAGTTTAGAAGTCACTTCTTGCAGTTTAGAAGACTTCCTGGATCTTGAGTCCTGTCTAGGTTCCCCCATTATGTACTGTCAGGAGACCTTGTATTTGTCCTACCATGGCATTTACCCTACAATACTGAAATCCAGGATGACTTCTCTGGGTCTTGTTATAGTCTATGATCTCCTTAGGCGCAAGGAGCTCCAAGGTAAAGGTCTAGCACAGTAGAGATCTCAGTGTTTCTGAATAAATTAGTTAATTATTTTCATGCCTCCCATTAGCCAATCACCATAGTCTACCACTGCCTAATATCCTGTTTGTACATGAAGCAGGGGTCCCACCTGTAGAAACCTTGAGCTCAACACGTAAAAAGATAATAGGGGAAAGTACCTGAGTGGAAGATCTAGGCCAGTCCACCTGGCTAACTAGCTATGTGTGTTATTTAAGTTTTGTTTGTCTGCATTTCCTCTTAACAAAATGGGGATGACTATAGTGTCACTGTAAGGAATGGGCTAGTAGTGCTGCTAAGTGTTTAACAACTAACTCTTGAAGAAATAAAAAAGGGTCTGGAGTGGTAGCCAATTTCCCATGGTGTAAACACTCCCACCATAGTCAATTTTAAGCTACAAGCTTGACATCACTGATCATGGAGTTTTTCTACCATATGGATAAAATAGATGTAAAGAATCTCAAGACTATAGATAATGATAAAATTGAATAAATAATTGGGAGCTGAGGAGCTATAAATATTGCCTTATTTTTCATATGATTTCTTTTATTTGAAGTTTATTAAATTTTTTTTATAATGGCTATGTTTTACAACAGGCTTGCAAAATTCCTGAAAATTTAACAATTGAAACTCTCAAGTTGACAATATTAGGCTCCAGCACAGTACTGGGTGGGGTTTGTGTGGTGAAGATGAGACATTGCTCTAAATTCTGCTCCTCAACTCATACCTGAGTGGGCAGGTTCTCGCAGAGATGAGGAGGAAGAGGATGGTCCACTTGGGTTTGGAGTCTAAGTCATGCTCTATAATAACATTCGGCAAGGCCTTGGGTAATAAGCTGATATTGTCACCCGTATTTGGCCCAGTGCTCTTTGTTTATGCCTTACCTGCCACAAGCACTCTGGAGAAGCAAAGGGGTGACGAAACACAAACCTTGGCCCTAACAATTGCAAACTAGCATCAACTAGTACATCATCTCTTTGAAGACTGCTGGTCTATGTTATGTATCATGTCTTATTTTAACATATCTTTATGATATTAGTCAATGTTTGTTATATATTAAACATATGAATCAAGTTTTGATCATTTCTTACAATGATTTATGCATCTGTGATATCACATTTTTCAGCATGAATTATATTTCAGAAGCTTCTATTGAAGGTCTATCAATACACTGTAAGTAAAAGAGAGTTTCATAGTTCAATGGGTTTGGGAAATGCTGCATCATAGTTATCTATGATGACAACATCGCTTCATCACAGTTATCTCCATGGACTTTAAGAATTATCTTTTCTGGCTGGGCGCAGTGACTCACGCCTGTAATCCCAGCACTTTGGGAGGCCGAGGCAGGTGGATCACAAGGTCAGGAGTTCAAGACCAGCCTGGCTAAGATGGTGAAACCCCGTCTCTACTAAAAATACAAAAAAACAAAAAAAAATTAGCCGGGTGTGGTGGCAGGCACCTGTAATCCCAGCTACTCGGAAGGCTGAGGAAGAGAATTGCTTGAACTCAGGAAGTGGAGGTTGCAGTGAGCCGAGATTGTGCCACTGCACTCCAGCCTGGGGGACAGAGCGAGACTCCGTCAAAAAAAAAAAATTATCTTTTCTACTCAAGGCTGTCTCCCCAAATGAGAAAGCTATGCCATGTGGGGGGTTTTCTACCTTTATTGTTGGCCTTACTTTAAATACTGAAACCTAAGCTTGTCTGAAATATTCAGCAGCCCACTTCCCTCTCACACAGAATAGATTTCCATAGGGTGAGAATTCAAGAGAAACTTTTTAATTGTACAGCAAAGTGTTTACTTTGCCACCAACCTGCCCTATAGCTTAAGCATATGGCTACCTTTTCTATCAACAGCTGGGCTTCTGTAGGTTTGGCACTCGGTATACCATCCCAGCGCAGTCAAAAACCTGCAGGTGACCATTAACCTTTGAGACAGACAATAGAGGGAACATGATAACAATTTGATCTAATTTTCTAAGCTCCATCACTGTATGCACTTAAATTATCAAAATCACAAAACAAAAACAAACACCTATGTACCTGAACTGCTTTATTTTACCCAAGTAGAAATGCTTTCATAATTACAATTTAATATGCAATCAGCCTTATTTGAACATCAATATAAAATATAGTTTTGTGAGATAAAGATTCTACATCTGTTGTAAAAGCACTATTAAAATATGAAAATAAATTATATTGTCATAAAAATCATATATTAAATTGCTCTGAGAGCTTGGTATAAGAAAAAATATTATGTCGTCTCACCTAAATGCATAGCATGCTTATTTTACTAGATGATGAGAGCTGTGTGACTCATGTTTCCTCTCTTTCCTGGGCTGCCAGTAATCTCAAAGGTAAAGCATGTGCTCAACTGAAAGGAAAAGCTTTAACTCTGGCTTTCTTGTATGATGATCTCTGCCTGCATCATTACATGGTCATTTCATCTTTGGTTTTAAAGTTCTATTGAAAAAGTAGCTTTTATTGTATATTCCTCCTTTTATTTTTGGAAGAAGTCCAAAAATGAATAATTAATAAATGAATAAACATGGCTCAGAAGGTTTGGCTTAGTCAGCTTGCACTACATCATCACTATGTCTATGTAAGTGCCAGCAAAAAATCATTCTATTAGCACATGAAATGTCCATATCATTATCATCAAAAGAAACTATTTTGACTTCTTCAGGCAAATGGAAAAATGAGCGTAAAACCTTAAAATTAAATTCACAAAGAATTGAAAAGGTTTGGCTAAGAAACCAATTTCAGTCTTCCTCCCTCAAACATTGCAAGAAGTGCCTAGAAGTAACATTTGATTCAATCTCCCCACTTTCCTCCCCCTCACTCAATCATAAAAAAGCATGGCAGAATATGAGAAGCAAGGGGTCTGAATAATTCTTCACAAAGTGAAGAATTGGATTGACCATGATAAGTAATACAAATTCAACCATGATTTGGAATTGTAAGACTGAGCTGAGAAATGCAAATGGCTACAAGAATTCTCCTGTTCTACTTTGTCTTGAGAGCTGGAGGGATACCTAGAAATCAGGACTGGGAATAAAAGGGAAACTGAGGCCCAGAGGCAGGAAGTAACTTTCCCAGGATCACACTGCCTATTAGTGACAAAACAGTAGTAGAGCCCAGGTATGCAGAGTCCCACCAGACTTTGTTCTACTGAACCTACTCATTCCACCAATATCATACTTACGAACTTAATTTTCTACCTTTCCCCTACTATATTCATTCCCAAGCAAAAAGAAGGGATAGAAAGATAATCATATTTACCTCTGTCAACCATCGCTCTCAGTTTAGAACACCAAAATGGGATTGAAACAATGTATATACCACATATAAGGGATGTAAATGTCCTAGATGTCAGAATGACTGAAAGGAATGGAGAGAATTCTTGGACATGGTGATCTGAAGAAAGATTAAAAAGTTTACGTACATTTACACTTTCCTTTCCTTTCAAGCTTTAGATGAGTGGTTTTAGCACTGTATAAGTCTAGAGGAAAAATTACACCAAAGCCCCATTCTAACTCTGGCAACCCTCCCATCAGAGGCACAGGAGCTGCCAGCCCACAGGAGTGCTGAGGGTTATGAAAGGAAGTGTGCAGAGGTCAGATAAACAATGTCAATGTGAAGTGAGAAGGACAAAACACACTCTATTTTTTCAATGACAATGATTGACACTTTTTAATACCATTACCTTTGATTAAATGTATCTGTTACAATTTTAAAGTAGAAAAGTGGGACAGAAAGATTTCAGAAGGAGAAATCATTTGATATTTAGTTCAGAAGATATTAGGATAACCACTCATTCATTCATTCGTTCATTCATGTGTTCATGTATTCATTCATTCATGCAGTATCAAGCCATTTGCAGGGGGTCACACATGTGTATACAATGTGGCTCTTTCCAAGAAGGACATTACAATGTTGTAAGGGAGAAAGATATACACAAATAATTATTATGTGTTGAGTACCACAAAAAGAGGTAAATATAGTGGTTTGAGAGTTCAGAGAATAAAGATACTTGACTGAAATTAGTTCGAAGATTTGTTTCAACCAAACAGGCATTATAAAGGAAGAACAAAGAAAAAGCTTCCTTTCCTTTTATGGGATATCCGTGCCTGAACTGCAATATGCAGTTTGGGCGACTGAAACTTAAGAGAGGCAGAAAATGGATGGTCATGCTGAAAAGATCAGTGCCCACAGGTAGGAAGCAGAGTGATCTGTAACAATAACATGTCTCGATGCTTACTGGGTTAGGGTGGGTCCCAGTCCAGTGACTGATATCCTTTCAGGACATGGGAAATTTGGACACAAACGCACAGGGGGAAGACGGCCATGTGAAGACAAAGAGATTGGAGCTATGCAGTCATAAGCCACGGAGCGCCAAGGATTGCTGGCCGCTGCCAGAAGCTAGAAGAGGCAGGGATGACTCCTCCATCTGCTGGGAGAGCATGGCTTTGCTGACTCTTTGATTTCAGACTTCAAAGCCCCAGAATTGTGAGGAAATAAATTTATATTGTTTTAAGAGAAGAAGAAGAAGAAGAAGAAGAAGAAGAAGAAGAAGAAGAAGAAGAAGAAGAAGAAGAAGAAGAAGAAGAAGAAGAAGAAGAAGAAGAAGAAAGAAAGAAAGAATGCTCTAAGGCCCAATGTAAACATTTCCCCCTCTCAGAAGTTCTCTAGACATTCCTTTCAGAACCAGGACTTCCTCTTCTGGGCTCCCCTAGCTTGTTCTTGGCTTCCTCTGCTCCTAGTGTTCTTGGCTTATCCCAATGTCCGTGGTCATGTCTGTCTGTCTCACTGCACCAAGCTCCTTGTGGAGCTTGAATTTAGAATACCAGAATTTAGAATGCCAGAGTTTAGAATACCAGTCAAATACAATTCGTCCCGAGAACGGACCAAGAGAATGTATTCCTCACCCAACGTTTGGGGGTCAGCTTACTGTGAGCCTATTTTTAAGCCACAAGAAAATGAGTGAGTGTGTGTGCTTCTGCAAGTGGCTCCACATCCATTCTGGGCTTGATGAAAGCTGCTGGCATCTCTCTGGCAGATTAACAGGCTACACTTGCCATTTTCTTGGCGTCTGGGTCCTATATCAACTCTCAGGGTACCGTCTATTTTTTCCCTGGAAATAATTGCAAAAAAAAAAAAAAAATCCGTCCTCCAGCATTTGTATTCCTTCTTTCCCAAATTCCTTACATCTCATGAAAGTACTCTTCCACTGAACAAAAGCTCTCCTGTGGATTACAAGATCGCTAAAAAGTGCAGGATTCTCTGTCTTTCTTGTAAAACAACTGCAAGTTGGCTTGGATGTAAGCACTGCCACATGGATTAGAAACCGTTGAAAGGATTGTAAACAAAGGGTAATGATAAATGGTTATGTGGCACGTGGGTGGGAGGTGTTTAGTGGGGTGCTCCATGGATTGGTGATGGGCTCAGTTTCCCTTAACATCTTTATTAATGATGAGGTAGGAGGGGAAAACACTAACAGCACATTCATTAAAGGCAGGAGGATGCTAAATTGGGAGGTGTTGCAAACACACAAAGGACAAAGAAAAAGCACAAGATTGGGATGGTGGAGACAATCTCAGCAAAGGAGAGCAGGAGAGGATTCAACTGGGTGAAGGGATCCAGTTCACCCGCAGAAGCCATTGGGTCCTCAACACAGGACATAGCTTGCATCAGTAGTCATTCATGTAGAGAAAATAATTTTTTTTCAAAAAACTCCAACGTTTCTATAATACGATGATATAATGCTTTTTTTTGGTGGGGGTGGGGGGGGTTGTGCTAGTTTAATCCTGGAAACATTAAAAGAGTTAATCTGCTTTTATGAGCCTTGAAAAGCAGAAGGCCTAAATGGAAAACCCCACATAATTCCTGGACCTGAGTGAGAACAGAAGGACGAAAAGCAGTCTCTGCTGCACTCTGAACAGTCATAGCCTGGTGTCTAAGTGAGAATATTTCTACCCTGCTGGGACTTCTGGTTTCTAGTATCAGGTCTGCCATGAATTTAACGTCATTTTTGAAGGCTCTCTTCCTTTTCTGGGCTTGTTTCATTATCTCTTCCAGAAAGGTCTTCCGGTCTTCCAGAAATGTCTCCCTCTCCCTGGAATGCTTAAAGAAGTGTAGTTATTCATCCCATTATGTAATTTTTAATTTAGTGTATAAAGGCATGAAATTTACTAGGAAGACCTCTGTGAGTAGTGTGAGGAGAGAAATCTGTTTCCTGCCCACAGGAATAACAGATGGAGAACTATTTACCTTATTTGCAAAAGTCAAATTGTAAATCTGGAAGGATAAAATAAAGCTAAAGACTTTAGAACATTAAGCTCCTTGAAGAAAGCTGTTGTATAAATAATATATTATAAGCACTTAAAATTCTTACCTGCTTGCAAAAATTTCCTTGGGTCTTCCCCACAGCATCCAACATAGCAAAATATTCTTTCTTCATTCAGGACTCACTGAACACCTACTGTGTGACAAATATAAGTCCTACTCTGGTGGAATTCAGGGTAGTGGGGGTGACAGAGACAAATAAGAATTCACATTCAAATATATTTTTCAAATCTTTGTGGGATACAGTGGTGGTGATGTCTGAGCTGGGTCTTTATGGATCCAGTAAGAATAAAAGTGGGAGGGCAAAACAAGGTCCGGCAAAGGTCAATGCATGCAAAGCTGTAATAACAATACATATGACGTTACTATAATGTTTAGAAATGCTGGGTGGTTCTGTGAGTTTGAAATAAATACGAGATGCACAAAGTGAAGTTGCAGAAAATGATATTGTGAAATGAAAATTACTTGAGTGCTAGCTACTTCAGAGAGCAGAGAAGGAAGTGCACCCCTGCCACAAGGTAGTTTTGCTGTGTTAGATTTGTAGGGTCCTTCTTTACCATGCTAAGGAGATTGAGCTTTATCCTCTGTATAATAGGGAAGCATTAATATTTTTAAAGCAGAGAATAATGACACCCAAAAAAGTGGGTCGATCTATTTCTGCTAAAATTTTTATTTAACCAAAGCCTGATATTATTTAAGTGCAAATGCTTAGGCTGATAAAATGAAGTCTGGCATGTTAAAAAAAATCTAACATTTAATATTACAATATACAGCACTGGTAAAATATGCAATCATGTACAAACTTGCAGTAGGAAGACCTCAACAAATTTATTTTTAAAATGGGCTTTTGCAAATTTCAAATTTATTTCTGTCTGTAAAAACAAATGCATTTTAGATTTGGCTTAAAAGAATGTTCCTAACATCATACTAAATAACCATTGTGTCAAGATAGGCTGACTTAACGCGGGCATGTGAATAAAATACATTAACTGCTATTTTCACCATCTTTCTAAGCTTGCATCAGATCACTTATTTTCATATCAGTATGAGACCACATAAACTAAATCCCAGTTGAAGAATCAGGATTCCTGACTTTTATCTCTTTTAGCATTTGGATTTATGACCTTCGGCAGTTAGACATTTTCTACTGTGCTGCCCTTCGTCATCTATAAAATCAAGCTTATGATACATCGATATAATAATAAAAAGCTGGATGTGTAAACAAGTAACTGCAAGTTCTTTGAGTAACACACCCAGAAAAGATGTGAACCAGGCAAGGATAGTATTAAGGTGGTTCAAATATGAAACAGGTGAAAGACAGAGATTACTTTTAAAGTTCAGGTCAACTCTGAGATTCTATGACTCTATGACACATATCCAAGTCATTGTTAGTATCAGATCTTGTTGTCATTGGCTTACAGGCAAGGTCCAAATAACAATTGTAGCTTCTCTCGATGTAAAGATCTCAGTGCTACGATGGAAATAAGGAGTTGTCTCTTAACACTTCACACACACACACAAAAGATCAGCTATGAATACTACAGGACACTCGAACATAGCAACTTAATAAATGCGGGGGGGAGGTTCTGAGTTCAGATTTTGCTTCCGAGTGAGTAAAAAAAAAAAAATCCCTCAAAAACCCTTCTACGTTACAGTGAGCGCCTTTGTGAGGCCGCCACTGAGTTAAGAATACTCTCACCTAAATACTGCCCAAGATGTTACTAGAGGCCCCAAGGCTGCCACTGCATGACAGTTGCAAAGACCCAGAGAGAAAATTTCTAAGGCAAGGATGTACTTCCTTAATCCTCTCTCTTAAGGAGCTGGCAGCCAAGAATTATTCATTTCATAGTAACTAAAAATATTCCCGGTCTTGCATATTGTCTAGATTTTTCTGTCTATTCCAGCCCTGGACTGGCATTTGTGCTCACCAGACTGCCTTGACCAATACAGTTCTAAGAATTAGTCTTAACCTGTAACATATCTCATACCATTACCCACTATTTCCCAACGAAATGTAATGAAATTCCAGCTGATTCCTAGATCTTCTGTAATATTCAGGATGTCACTTGGCAGCTTGTGTTCAAGATTCCAGTTTTTGTGTGACCTGAGACCCAGAAAACGATAATAGTCTTCTATTGTTCCACCTTTAAATGTGGATGAATTAAAATTCTGTTTAAATAGAAGCTGTGCTGTTTGAGATAGTCAAATTTGAAGAGGAAGTCTGGGTAATGACAAAGGCCAGGATCAGATGTGCTGCCAACAGCCATTGGTGCACTTTGCTTGAAGGAAAATGACGTGGATCTGTGCCTCCAAAGGCTCCTTACACACATGTAGACACATGGCATTCATCACAGTTAAATTCAGCAAGAGGGTAGGTAACTCAGAACTTCACACCCTTGTAAATTTCTTTCTTTTCTTTTTCTTTTTTTGAGTCAGGGTCTCATCCTGTCACTCAGGCTGGAGTGCAGTGGCGCAATCTTGGCTCATTGCAGTCTATACCTCCCAGGCCCAATCAATCCTCCCTCCTCAGCCTCCCTGGGACTACAGGTGTGCACCACTACAGCTAGGTAATTTTTGTATTTTTAAGAGAGATGGGGTTTCATTATGTTGCCCAGGTGGGTCTTGAATACCTGGGCTCAAGCAATCCACCTGTCTTGGCCTCCAAAAGTGCTGGGATTACAGGCTTGTGCCACCGTACCCTGTCCCCTGTAAATTTCTAAGAGTGGATCAGTAGAGTCTTAGGTAGGACCAAATATTTTTACTTGCAAAAGTGAATCTATCAGTTCTGTATGTCTATTCAGTTTACGTCGTAGAAATAATGCCTTCCTTCACCAGAGGGCACTTCAGTGTTAATGATCTCATTTGTTTAGAGACTTTCTCGTCTTGTTGTCCAGCTCTGAAGAGAGAAGGGAATCCATTTGGGGAGACTTGCTCATTTTTCTAGGAAGAACGAGAGAACTTCTATGATGTTGCCAGGGTGCCAGAAAGAAATGGACTTTTCTGTTCCAACTCAGCTCTTCCCAACAGGTCACTTTTCTAGAAGAGCCTGATTTGGAAATAAGGTCATAACTAGCTATTTTTTACTGGTGGTTGGAAAAATTTAATGAAAAGTCAGAAAGAAAGGTAAGTAAGAAAGTAAAGGCTCTGCAAAGCAACATACATAGACAGTATTTCCAGTGTGGAGGTCAGAGAGCCAAACCTTTGAGGTGGAGGCTCCCCCATCTTCTCTCTTCCTTTGTTCAGAGACCTGCCAGCTTCTGGTAGTCTCAAGGCCCCAGTAATTCTGGCAATATCCAAGTATCACAGGGTCTTCAACACCTCTGAAACTGGCTTGCCATAAATATGGCTAATCCAGTTTTACTCCTTAAATGGTTCATTTGTAAACTGCAGGGATCCATGAGCATCTATGATTTGATACCTAAGCTAAAAGAAGTTGGCATTCTATTCTAAAGTTCAAGTATTAAAATGCTAAGGTTCAGGATTTAAAGTATGAAACCTAGATTTCCAACACAACTGCGATTTAATACTACACAATGGCAGAAGTTTGGGGAATCATATTTGTTTTCTGAATAGTTTCAAATCTGCTCTGTTTCTGGTGAAACAAGTTGGACATTTTCGCAAAATACAAAGTTCTTGCTAACAGTTTGAAGGCACAGAGTAATAGAGGAATCACCAGTAATCACGTAGCCTACAGGTTTTCTCAGATCCAAGTGCAAAGCTGCCCAAACAATGAGTTCCCCTGAGATCTGTTTTCAGATGAAAAATCTAAATAACTCTGTCATTTCTGGACCAAATGCCAAGTTGACTGTCTTAATGAAGATCCAGGTGTATTAATTCCATGCCGAGTACTTCTAAACTGGCCACAAAAACACTTAGGGGCATGGTGATAGTACCACACGGGCTGAGGGCTTGCTTTTAAAAGCCCCCTTCCCACCAGCTCCCTTCCAGGCACTTCTTTATCATCCATATGACACATTAAGAGGAAGTGCTAACGTTATACAGATGCATTAAGTCACGCAAGTGGTTTGGTGCATTTCACTGGGGCCTCAAAGCATTACACCACTGAGGGGTCCAGACAAGGGAGGAGCAGGCTGTATCAGTTCCAATCAAACCTATGTTCTGAACACGCATTACAGAAGAGCACAATGACCCAGTCTGTGCCATTAGGCAGCATTAGCCAGCATCACCCATCGCTTCTGATTAATAATTGAACTCGATCCATACAAGAGAGCTCAGGCTAGTCTAGAGGCTGCCTTCTGGTGTGCATTAGAAAGGGTCATCTCCAGGGGCCGCAGAGCACTTTGTGCATTTAACAAGTCAATTTATAAACTACAGTCCACTCTTGATTATTAGAAACTGATGATCCCTTGCATGAGTGTTCCTTGTGCTTTACTGTTCATCTTTTTCTTTCTTGGTGCCTTCCCTCTGGCCACAAACAAATGTATTATACTGCCATAGTCAGTGCTCTGATGTCATATCCTGATCCCCTTCACTATTGGAGAACTTATACTCCAGCTTCTAGAAGTACCTTCAGCCATCAGCTCTCTTGGGGAATTGCCTCTGACAACAGAGTTGCCTTGCCCAAGGTCATGTTCCTTCCCAGGGCAGCTGCACCCATGGACAGGTCAATGAGAGAAGTGTGAAGTCCTCACCTCCCTGTGCCAACTAAGGACAACTCTGAAGGGCCATCTTAGCTTCTGCAGAGCTCCCTCCCAGAGGACTTGGCCTCTGTGTTGATTGCATTGCAGCTTTGCTTCTCCTTCTGTTCAGCATTTCCTTTCTCCCCTCAAGCATCATACCAAGAGCACTCCCTAATAATCTTCCCGCACATAATCTTCATCTCCTCGTCTGTTTCCCAGGGAACTCAATTTTCTTTTTTCTTTTTTTTTTAATTATACTTTAAGTTTTAGGGTACATGTGCACAATGTGCAGGTTAGTTACATATGTATACATGTGCCATGTTGGTGTATTGCACCCATTAACTCGTCATTTAACATTAGGTATATCTACTAATGCTATCCCTCCCCTCTCCCCGCACCCCACAACAGGCCCCGGTGTGTGATGTTCCCCTTCCTGTGTCCATGTGATCTCATTGTTCAATTCCCACCTATGAGTGAAATTCATGAAGAACTTTCTCATACATCATCCTATTTGACCATCACACTAGACTCTTGAGGTGGTGGGTAAGCATATGTATTTCTTTCTGCATGAAAATTGAGTTCCCAGCTTCATCCATGTCCCTACAATTTTCATGCACAAAGAAATACATATAGCGTACCCACCACCTCAAGAGTCTAGTGTGATGGTCAAATAGGATGATGTATGAGAAAGTTGTTCATGAATTGTAAAAAATATAAAGGAAACACTTATTTCCTCTTTAACTAAGATGCCATTAAATTATGTGATATTTGTATATGGGGTAGACAAATGTACACCTTTTCTAGGTTCTGCGGTGTTAGAATTTAAATAAAGCCAGAAGGCCCAAGCTTACCGAGGCATGAATTTAAATAATACTAAAACTGCATGCCTTTAGCATATTATATCACTTACATTTTTATTCATTTATGACAAGTCTTACATGAATCCAAATTTGAAGAGTGTCACTGGGATTTGTAGAGGAAAAGCACTTTTCTTCAAAAAGAATCAAAATAGTGTAGCATTAGTAATTCAGCCAGATAGCATTGCTGAGACGGATATTCTTGTTATCACATATATTTCTAAACCAGCAAACAAAATTTTGGGGTAGCAAAGAGACATGGAATTGGTCCACAAACCCAAATTCTACAAATTTAAGGTGATAAATTAAAGCTTAAAAATTTAAAGCCTAGTGTTCCACTTAGAAATGTCACTTTCTCAGCTCAGCAGATCATAGGACAGAAAATACACATTTTTTTAATTTAACGAAGTAGAAGGCAATGGCCCAGGCAGGAATAGACCAGCATTCAGAGATGGCCACATCTCCAGCCATGTCAGAGCTCCACGTACATCTTGTTGCCCCAGGCCCACTGTTTGTCTTTGTGCACTTGAGCTGTCCGGGGAGCAGATGGAGCATAGACCAGGCAGGAAAGAATCAGAGTGCTCCTCACCACATTCGCTGTGATGTGCACCCTGGGCCCAAAGGAAAATATCCTGGGATCTTCAACTTCTGCTCTTTGGTTTTGCTTTTTCCTTCATTTGAGTGGCAATTTCTCTAATTACAAAATGGAAAATTTTATTATGATCTCTTTATGAAAATGTGTTCTGCTTAATTATAAAGGGGTGGTGACAAGTCTTTTTTTCTTCTTCTTCTTGAGATGAGGTCTCACTCTGTTGCCTAGGCTGGAGTACAGTGGTGCTATCACAGCTCACTGCAGCCTCCATCTTCCAGGTTCAGTTGATCCTCCCACCTCAGCCTCCCAAGCAGCCAAGACTACATGCATGCACCACTACACCCACGTAATTTTAGTATTTTTTTGTAGAGATGGGGTTTTGCCATGTTGCCCAAGCTGGTCTCAAACACCTGGGCTCAGGAGATTCACCTGTCTTGGCCTCCCAAAGCGCTGGGATTTCAGGCATGAGCCACTGTGTCCAGCAGACAAATCTTTAGTATCAGTTGAAAGTGCTATCTCATTGGGGCTAACACATACCTGCCCTATAGCACGGGTGATACCAACAGGTTCATGGACAGGTGTATGGGTGTGTGTGCATGCATATTGTTGTGTGTGTATGACAATGTTCACCCATGTATGCATGAACCAGGGATGGGAATAGGTATTTTCCTGGAGACACAAGTATCAGGGACCCCAAATAAGTGATGTATGGGTGTTTAAAGCCTATGCAAGAGATGAAATATATCTGGACTATAATTCAAATTCCAGAGACTTCTCTACCAACACTTATTTTTAGAGTCCCATTTCTCTATCTTCAAGTTAAGTGCCGAGTTCTCCTTTCCCACTTTCACTAAAGTGACAATAAAACAACTTTTAAGACTCTCAAGAAATATTAGAATGTCTACACTCATCAGTCCAAAAGATGATGCTCTAACAAATCAAATCCCAGATGGTCTATGAACATAAATCATTTTTTAGCAAAATTAACTGCCAACCTCTGACCTCTGAAGAAAGCAGGGATATATGTGGAGAATGCACCAATCCAGTCTTAAGCAGAATGAAGAAGAAATATATTCTCTGGAAACGTTCAGGCTACAGGTTTTGAGAGTGAATTCAATTAATAATGAACTATTTTTATTAAAACAACAAACTCTGTCAAAGTGACCCAAAATAAAGATTCCTCCCCAAAGGAAAGGACACCAAGAACAACCGTTTTTGTTGAAAATCCCGATTACTATGTTTTCTGAATTGGGGAACTGAACTCAATATAATAAAAGTTCAATGTCAGCCCAGCCAGAGAAGTTGGGAATTGCTGTAACAGGCCGAGAAGTTCAGAATTTTCATTCACAGAGTAATTGTATAATTTATGTGAATGGTAAAGATTTTGCCTAATATATTCATCAGGTATAAAGAAAATGCAGTTAAATGAAAAACAATCATCCCTACTCTATAGCCATTATAAGACTCTGCTTTTTAACAATCATCTTTAATCATTTGCCACTTAGGTCAGTACGTAGCTTTGGGACTCATGACATGTTGCCCTTTAGTATCAAACACTAGAATTTTAAGGCTTCCCAAGATCACAGCTTAAAGTCATCTAATGTATTCCTCTTCCTCTCTGCAAGACTATGTCTACAAAATCTGTGATAACTAAGAGTCTACGATACTGAACACCAGCAAAATTCCTGGATAATTTAGTCCAGAGTCCAATAACCATTTCTGTCGTATTTGGCTGACCATTGAGCACACAAAATTGACATGTTGGATGATTTACATGGCTTTTTAAAAACAGCATCAGAGTCCATCACTTAACATTAAATAGCATTAACTGACGAGTCATTGTTTTAGTCACCATTTTAGCCTCGGGTACTTATTGAGTGACTAGATATACTGCATATTGCTCAACAGGTAAGAAGGATGTCAAATCTTCCCAGTATCATTCTGCTTCCTAATCATCTATCTGAAAACCAGAGACTGGAAAGTTGCCCTGGCCAAACTTACCACCTTTGGTCAGCTAAACGTCATCATCCTCATTTTACGCTTCATACTCTTGCTGCAAATTCTTGGGCATTATAACTAAAATAAAGTATTTGGCTTTCACATGCTAAGCAATCTTCTTTTGCCCTTGCTTTATACCTGGTGGGTGTCTTTGGCTTAAAACATTCGGTTCTAATGCACTACTTGGAAATTCTTGCAGTGGGCAAACAGTCTTCTTCCAGCACACTAATTACTTTGTATGGGATAAAGTTAAACAATTTTCTTTTTTGTATCACCAACACCATGATTAAATTATGTTTTGAGTACTTGTTTTTATCCATCAGGGGTGAGCATTATTTTGTAAATGCCAAAAAAGTGATCTTCACCCTGTGTAAACTTAAGACAGCTATTCCATCTTCACTAGAAACTTCCTTTAACAATAAGCTAATATCCTTTGATCTTTCAAAAACTGAGGTGGGCATTCCATCTTTTAAGGCTGACACATGCACAACTTTCTCCTTAATACTAAAAAATGTTTTACCTGTTAATGAAAGAGGAATGCAATGTACAGTGAATCTTCGTCTCAGAAAGATTCCCTTTGAAACTCACATAAAACAAAATTGGTTCCTTTCTGAGGCAGTGAAATAATGATGCTGAGTGGAATGCAAAAAAAAAAAAGTGTCATCACTATAGAGATAATTAAAGCATTTGGGGTTTCCAAACACTCTTAATTCATTATACTGAGGAATAAACATTTTTAACAAAAGTTGAATTTGGCCTTGGGCCCAAAAACGTAATTATTCTAAACTTAGTCCCTACTTATTGATCATCCTCTGATTTCAATTCTGAAACAAATAAATTTCAACTGGAATTAGTTTATCTGGAAACATTCCTACAGTGCATTTAATGCTCAACACTTGAAATATTGAGAATATGTTAGCACACATGGACAAACTGCATAACATCTATTTTAAAAAATGATTAAGATTTAAAGAATTCTATCTAGCCCCTGAATATTATCCTCTAGAAAAATGTTTTGTGAACCCAAGATTCTAACAGATTGATTCTAACTCCTTACTTTAATTCCAGTGAAGTTCCTAAAGAAATGCAGGCAAAAGTTTACTGCTGTTTAAATTCAATCGGTTTTAAGAAGGAAGAGCTAGACCGCTGTAGAGATATTATAATTATAAATTTTTATAAGCATCTGTGTAGCATGTGCTATTCAAGAAAAGACTATATTGATTCATGTATGCTTGTGAGCATTGTTTTATTTTTAGCAAGGACAGTTTATAATAAATTTTTATATTTATAAAATGACTCTCAGACAAGCATATGAGAGCCCTTCCCAAGCATCTTGCTTGATTTTTCAATATTCACAAGCGGAAGAAAACATATCAAATCAGACAATATTTTGCACATAGGAGAAATGAGGTGATCAGAAGTAATATAATTATTGAAGATCCCTTCTTGTTCCTCAGCTTACTGCATGGCACAGCTTAACCTTCACACTGGGGGTCTGAAGATGTGAAATAGTATTAATGCCACAGGGCAAGGGAGGAACAAGGGCTAGACATAATGGCTGAGGGTCCTGGGAGGCTGCTGTATGCCTGGTACTATGTGAAGGATGAACTGAAGTTCCTACTGAAAAAAACTCAGCCCCAAGTCTTCAGATCCGCCATCATACAAGACGTCATTTGAATTAGGCACCTGATCTCTCTGGAGTCTTCCTTTAAAATGTGGCTCCCCTTCTGGGGAGGACTGATGCAGTGGCCTCCTCCTGCTCTTTCTTTTGTCCTTGTAATTAATAACATATCTATTAATATCTCACAGTGATGAAACTCATTAGAATTTGCCAAACATGTGGACCTATATTATCTCATTTAATCCACACAAACTTATGAGCTATTATATTTGTATTTTAGAAATGAGCAATTTAGGCCAGGCACAGTGGCTCACACCTGTAATCCTAGCACTCCGGGAGGCTGAAGCGGGCAGATCGCTTGAGGCCAGGAGTTCGAGACCAGACTGGTAAACATGGTGAAACCTTGCCTCTACAAAAATACAAAAATTAGCGGGGTGTGGTGGCACCACCTGTAACCCCAGCTGCTCAGGAGGCTGAGGCAGGAGAATCACTTGAATCTGGGAGGCAGAGGATGCAATGAGCCAAGATCACGCCACTACACTCCAGCCTGGGCAACAGAGTGAGATTCCATCTCAAAAAAAAAAAAAAAAAGCAATTTAAAGGCTCAAAAAGGCTAAATGCCTACACAAAATCCACTGGCTTCTTTTTACCATGTAACATTACACTTTCCAACATTTGATCAGCTCAATAAACATTCAGAGCCCCTACTGTGTGCCAGACACTGGCCCATAGAATCTTCAATAAACCCAGGCTGGCTTCATCTGTCCAGCAATCTTGGGGGTAGATCCCTGTGCCTATAAAATAAAGACAGCAATATCAGCCCAACCTAATTCACTGAGTAGAATAAAGCAATATAACTAACGTGGAAAGGGTTTGAAAACTGGAAAGAGAGCTATCCAAACTGGGAGCATTGCTGTTAGCACCTTACTGGGAATGAACGTGCCGGGTTGCTTTGAACTTTAAAAGCAAAGGGCTGCTGATGATTCTGAACATCTGATGATAGAGGGAGTGCTTTTATAGGGTGAGAGAGGGAGTAACACAAGACCAGCCTCCTTCCATATATCACAATTAAGTCTTCAGTCCTTCGCTGGGCAAAGGATCTGTAGAGCACATTGCTTTGTCAACTAACACACCTCCAATGCCTAGCACGAAGCCTAAGTCAGCGGCAGGCCCAAGAAAAATACTGAGGGATAAAAATATAGTTAAAAGAAGATCTAAAGGTTCTAGCCAGGGTTCACATCTGCACAAAACTGCCAAATTTAAGGGATCAGAATTCAAACATTTAACCACGCCAGGAAACAAAAGCGGGGGAGGGAAATATTAGAATCACTATAGTGTATCAATTCTAAGATTCCTCTTTTTACCTTTTTACATCTGTAAAATTGGGATGAATCAATGCAAAGGCAGGTCATAATTGTCAGTGTTCTCTCTTTCTTACAAATATGTCAGATAACACTGCATCTTACAATTAATGGTATCTTAGATTTAATTAATTAAATAAGATGTCGTAAATTGTCTGTTTTCGAGCTGGTTCAAAGGGCTGCTTTCCAGGTATACTGCCTACCATGCTGTGTCTTATCCACTCAGTATTTTGCCACCAGGCACCTCTGCTCAGCCTTAGGGCTGGCCCTCCCTCAACACTCAAGCCTGGTCAGAATCCAGAAATCAGGACTGACTGCGGCAGGCAGCTTCCCACCCAGTGGCAGAGTAGCTGACTTCAGATCATATCTGCTCTCTGTTCTTCCCCTTTAAACTGACTTGACTTCTTTTTAAAGCTTTGTAAACAACAAAGCTCCCAGTTATAGCCCCATTCCTAGCAGCTACCTGGTTCTATCTGTTTCTGCTTTAAGAAGACCATTCTAAGGCTGAGCTTTGAGAAACATCCACTGCTGTTGGGGTGTCTTGGGCTGTCTCTTACCTTCTCTGTCAGAGCTTAGCCTGGCCTGTTTCCTGACCACAAGAGAAAAATCATGGGCAGCCTGCCCAGCTTTGTAGTCTACTTTCAGTGGTAACTTATACAGCAAAAGCAAGATTCATCTGCAAATCTTGTAACATGAACCTATCACAGCGCAATACTCTTCTACGATAATGCACCAACCACCCAGTGCATTTAGCATGTAACAGACCGCTGTCAAGAGCACCTCCCCCTGTTTGCTCTGACATAAAAGAATGTGTAGAAAATGTGATATTCACAAGGAGGAAAACAGAAGATCTAAATCTCAGGAAGAATCAAAAGGAAATGCAACAAGGAGTCATAAAAAAAAAAACAGAAAGAAAGAAATGTGAACATGTAGAACTACATGGAAAAAGCCTGTGTAAAGAATGGATAGGAGCCACGTTGTTTTTCCACATCAAAATCACTCCTAACACCACACTGCAACTATCAAGTCAGTTGATTCCAGACCACAACTCTGTTACACTCACACACACAGTCGTGTCTCTGTCTCTGTCTCCCTCTCTCTCTCTCACACACACACCCACAATTATTCTTCCTGCAAAGCTTCTCAGACTGTGCATAAAAACTAGTTTCAAATCAAAACAACTTAAGTGGATATAACCAATTACTTTGTTCCCCTGAGCCTCATTTCTTGTTTTATTTTGAAAGCTTGATCCTCCTTCCACTCTAACTTCCACAGGCCAAATTCCAGTGGTCTTCACTTGGGATCTTACCTGAGACCAAACTGAATTTATCCTCAAAAGGTAACCCCCGGATATGTCCTTGGACAGCAGAAACAGACCACGTGGGCCAAAGGAAACAAGTCTGTTTCATGATCTGATCTTGGATTCACCCCACTATTTAAAGAGACCCCACAGAAGAAGGGAAGAAAAGGGCCCCCAAAAGACCAGTTAAACAAGAGACAAATAACCAGTCAAGATATTCCTTGATAAGATCCTTAAAAAGTATCTTTAATTGATGCCAAATATGAACAGATCGTAAAGTGACAGAAGCAAGTAAAATTGCATAGATGAAAACTATGCGCATCAATTAGGTTCTCAATTCATAACATTCAATGTCCTTGACCTGACATATTACACAGTTAGAGAAGGGAGAATGCGCAGTAGGTGAAGATGAGACACGTCCTTAACTCAAGGTGGAAGCAACTGGCAAACTCAAGAAATAAAATAGCGTTTTTTCAGCTTAAATGGTTTGTTGTCCTGATGGTGCACTTTAAATTAATACTACTCAATTTTTATTTTTAACCTCAGTAATACTTTATCTTTACTATTAGAGGCATGTCACATGGAGTCCATGTTGTCTACTTACATCTGCTGCATAAACAGTCCCAAAACAGTGCGCTGAAGAGAAGAAAGGTGCTTCTGCAAGGTTTGGAGAGGAGACAACTTTGACCTGGAATATTTTACAAGAGATTTCTTGTTTTGTTTTGTTTTCTTTCCATACACCATTTCTTCTTCTTTGATTGTGGTACAAAAGTTTTCTATACTCTTTGAAGTTTCACGTCATAAAGAGTAAACTCCTAGTTAGCTCCTAAATGAAAATCACTGTGACTAGGGTTAATCTCCTTAAAGCGAAAAGCCCTGAGGTCAGCAGGGCCTCACCCCTTACATACATGCTGGACTTCCCAAGAAAGCCCAGGGTCATTTTGCCTGAGCAAAGAGGCTGGCATTTAATCCCAAGGCTTCTAAACTTTATATCTGTACCCTGAATTAGTTTGCACAGTGACCCAAGGTAATGGAACAGTTTTGGTTAACAATTCAGCTCCTGTTTGCTTCTTTACAAAAATGGTAAGTAACATACATTCTTTAAAGGTTTACCTGAGTCATACTAGACATGTTCACATATACCCTGAAATTCCATGATATAAATACAGGTAGTAATATGCCACATGGTGAATGAGAGTTCACCTCCTGAGATCACAATTCAACTTGGGTTGTGTCTGGTCTTAAAATTTTAGTTTGTTTGTCTTCTTAAAATGAACATAAACATCAAAAGACTTCATTCTTGCTTGGAAAAGCCTGAAGATAACATGCTTGTTTGGCAGTTTATATTCTTTCTAACAATTTTATACTATGGATGGTTACCACCCACCAATTCTCACCACCCCAGGAATAAGTCATTCCTGGAAGAAAATGGGAAAGTGCCTTCTGCTAATGTTCTTTCTCCTTTCTTTCAATCCAATCTACCAAACTAAGAATTAAAATGTAAAATTGTTAAAAAGCATGTGTTTTGAGGTCTCCTATATTAAATGAGAGGGCTAGGAAACTATTTTTATTGACTTTTAGATGGTACCTAATTTGAAAAACGTGTAACTATACACAATGTGAAGAAGGCCTTTTATAGGCTAAACCAAATTTCTACTTTAAAAAAATGTATTCCTCATTTACCATTTACATGTATTTTTTTAATTCTCAAGCAAATCAAGATTGTGACACCACCTGTGCTTCACGTCCACCATAGTGGAATCTAAACCTGCCCTACAATTCATTTCAGGGAAATGACTGCCCACTGGCCAGAATCCTGGAGAAGGACTTGCTATTGGTTTATCTGATTCTGCAAGGCTCACCCACGAACACACTCCCAATGAGCTGATATAACTGAAAATCAGAACTCAAGTCTCCAGGGAGTGCAAGGGGAGTTGGGCACAAATGGGAAAAGGGAGATGCAAAAACAGAAAGTTTTCCTGGCTAGAATTTGTCTTCTAGAAATCTGAGGACAGAGGAAATGAATGTCTTTGGTCTCTCTGATTCAGATCACTTCAGGTGAGTTAACCACTTCAGAGATTCTGGGATGGCTAACAGCCCTGGTGTGACCAACTCTTCTATTGCCACCCTATTGAACTAGGGCCCCAATAGACTGGAAGAGAGGAATTATAGCTATCAGCACATCAGAAGTCTTCTCCTTCTGGAGAAAACACATAGTCAGGACATGAGCTGTTACAGCTCCATGCCTAGGAAGGGGAAGAAAAGGTAAAAAGGCTGCTAAAATAAATATGAATAAGTAAACCAAAAAATAGTCATCCCTTAATAGGCAGTTTTGTTAAGTGCACCTTCAGGTCTACAAAGACATTTCAACACATTACAGTGCGAGGGTAAGAGCTTGGTCAAACATTGCATGCCTATGCTACACAGATAATCCCTGTACTCCATTCTTACTGAATTCATTGCAATGAGCTACAGATGAGCTAAGCAGCATTCACTTTCCTCACACCACCCCAAACTCATAACAACAACTCACCCCCAGTCCCAGACTGACAGGTTCACCGCATGCAGCACTTTTTTCTATATCACATGCAGAAGAATCAACCAGTCCAGAGTGTAACCACGGTAAATATACCAAATACCCAAAGTCAGTCTTGGTGCCGTTTTCTCATCCATTAACCCATCCATCCCACAGTACTGAGTGGATTATTGCTGTTGACAGAGTGCGGTGTTTCAAGTTCTGTGTGCACTAGACCTCAACGTTGAAATGAAAGATCAAGATAACCCCAAGCCTGGGAGGAGGTTGGCATTTTTTTCCTAATTGGGGATTTTTAAGCAAGTAGGAAAGGAATCGCCAGAATGAGTTAAGGTTCAGACGAGAAGGAGACATCACATGGGAGGGTTTAATGCCCTGTAGTCGGATGCTGCGCAGTTCTTGGCCCCTCATCTTCCACGATGTGTGTTGTGTTCATCTCACAGATTCACAAAAGTCACATAGGAAAATAAGATATCCATGTTCTTTCTTTTAATCGAGTTAGCCAGAATGGGTGTAACTCGAGTTTCTAGGGTGATTGCCTCACTGCTAGTTCTAGGACAGGATGGGGGAAAGGGGTGGGAGAAGCAGGACAGATTTTCAGAAGAAGCTGGGCCAGAATGTCAGGTAACAGGCAGCCACATGCTAAGTGCAGAATGAAGATTCCCCACCTCAGGGTCCTTTGAAAGGCTGTGAGTACCTCTCCACCGGTGGGCAGCTGCCGAGCTCCAGAGGCCTGTGTTCCGTGGCTCTCTTTCAGCCAGGAACAGGGTCCCCACCATTCTCTGGGCTGGGTAACGGGGGGGCAGCAGAAGTTAGATGTTCAACCTGTGAAGTGACTGCCAGGTGGGAAGATCATAGGGGCATCAGGAAATATCTGAAAGGGGTAGACCAGGAGGGAAGGCCTAGGAAAGGTTATTATGAACTGAGTGTTCCCACATCCACAACAATGCCTGAAAAGACTGGACCGTCAGAGAGATTTGCAAAGTGCTGTTACCGACAGAGAAAAAAATAAGGAAAGGTGCCAGGAGCACTACACTGGACCTGAGGAAGCCTTGTGTGTCCAAAGTGGCCCTCGATAGGAAACAAATTCCCAAAAAGTTTATCTTGGCTTTGGTGGAGAGAGGAAAAAACAAGTTCACAGTTCATGTCCAGTTCAAAGATGGGTCTCAGTTCACATCCAGCGTCAGGCTGTCAAAGGGACCAATGCTAGTAGATGGCCAGAGAGACAGCACCCTCCTGGGTCTCTCCTCTCCAGGGTTTAGGGTGGTGTGGTCTTCTCACAGTGGTGAAATGAGAGAGCGAGAATGGAAAAAGAAAAAGCAAAAGGTCTGTGCCCCAACCCTTCCCCACTTTTGCTACCTAACTTCTCAGCTGTGTTAAGGAGGCACTTTCTACAGTTCACTGTGGGTACAGGATAAAGGCACTAAGCAACTATTAAATCAATTGGTTTAGTTTCTTCAGGGAGCCTCAAGGGGAGGGCTGAAGTCTCTACAGACTTCAAAGAATGACTGCAAAGAAAAAAAAATCAGCTCTGCTTCGGATGCATATAATAGAGAAACATTTTCATTTACATCCTAAGAATGCACCAAAAAACATGCAGTATTGCACCTTTTTGTTTGTTTGTTTGTTTGCTTGTTTGTGTTGCTTGTGTTTGTCTTCAGCTAGAAAGAATACTTGTTCTTAGGTGTTGCTATATGTACTTTGATGACTTATTGAGTTTTTCACATGGCTTCCCTTTAAGGGATGGGCATATTGGTCCTCTCTCCGCCTATACCTGCACAAAAACCTGGTATTTCCCTGAGCAAAGGCAGGAAAATTGACTGAGTGCCCCCACCCCCACCCCCCATAATTTCTATTGGGCCTTTCACCCCACAGACTTGTAATTTTTATTACTTTTAAAATTTTTATTACTGAAATCATGCATTAATTAATTCAAGGTACATCTTAGTCAAATAGGCCATAATGCTGAATAAGAGAACATGCTTTGAGCTCCAAAAAGTTATTGTTCCCATCTGACTAACATATGCACTTAAATACAGTACTTTATTTACTAATAAAATAGTTAATAAATGGAGGAGTGCACTTTTGGTGAATGCAAATGAAAAAGGATCTATTTTTAGAAGAATCGATTTCAACTTAAGCTTATCCCCTATTGTCTGGGTTAACTTCTCAGCATGCGATTATAAAATAAATTGTATCAGATTCAAACATGCTTACATTTAACTTCATTTGTGCTCTCTTGCAATAAGGAGGCTAAGGTTTTACATCCAGTTCTGAAAGCCAGGGGTCGGAGTGCAGGCCTGGTGAGAAAAGACCTGTATTTGGCTCATCTGCAGTTGAGACCATTTAGCGGCACTGCAGAAGAATCAATTAATTTAATTCAGTTAACTTTTTCTTAGAGAATAATCTGGATTAGAAAGAGAATGGGCCCAGGGGGAAATCCCTACAGATCAGGACCAGTATCCAATTTATAAGGTGCTTTGTGAACCAGTCTTAAGTAATCGGAGTTTTCTTTTTTCACCTTGTAATATGCAGTTCAGTTGATCGAAATAAAAATATCTATTCATTGTCCATTTTGGCTGGTCTATCATGTTACATATAATACATCTGATGCACTGTCTTCAATGTGCTACGCAGTTTGCAAAGATGTTTTACTGGAGTCCCATGCGAATTTCAATTTCATATTTCTAAGTGATCATCTTGTTCTGAGTTTTTAAAAAAGTTAAAGAAACCAAAGCATTAAAAATGTTTCAGTTTGGGGAAGCATATGATTATTATTTTACCTAGACTAGTTCGTGGACTGAATCTTTTTAAGCCAGTTTTAGAAAATACTCTCTCTTTTCCCATTTTTTAATAAAAGGAAAATAGTTTATTTTGTCATGGATCTTGAAAGCTTCTGGTTCACCACCCCCAAAATCCTCAATGCAACAACGCATTGACAGTTAAATAGAGCATTCCAAGTCTACTTAGTAAAGTATCTACAAAGCGTGACATGAGTCACTAGGTTTTCTGTTTTGTTTTTTAAGTCTTTTGAGCTGCTAAGTGGGGCTTTTTTGTTTGCTTGCCTTTGTTTTTTAAACATCGGTCAGTAGCTTGCTCTTATTAACGCAGTTTTGGTTAGCAGTGGTGCAATTGGCAGTTCTGATATTGACCTGTCTATAATGGGCTATGCTATTATTCATATCCTCTTCGATCTCCATGTACTCAGACTTGCTCATAGTAGAGGAACTGCGGCGACTGAGGTCACTGTCAGAGGCTAAGTTAGGGGAACTGACGTGGAGCAACTGAGCCTGCTCTTCCCCCTCAGTTTCTCGGTGGTAGAAATAGTTGAAATTGGACACAATGACAGGTACGGGCAGGGCAATTGTTAGCACACCAGCGATGGCACACAAGGAGCCCACGATCTTGCCTCCAATTGTCACAGGGTACATGTCACCGTATCCTACAGTGGTCATGGACACCACCGCCCACCAGAAAGCATCGGGGATACTGGAGAAGTGCGACTCAGCTTCTTCCGCCTCGGCAAAGTACACTGCACTAGAAAACAGGATGACCCCGATGAAGAGGAAAAAGATGAGCAGCCCTAGCTCTCTCATACTAGCTTTGAGGGTCTGGCCCAGGATCTGGAGGCCCTTAGAGTGGCGGGAGAGCTTGAAGATTCTAAAAACCCTTACCAAGCGGATGACCCTGAGGATGGCCAGGGAGGTGGCCTGCTCGCCCTTCTGGTTTCCTTCCTGCTCAGCTATCTCGGTGCCCAGCGTGATGAAATAAGGAATGATGGCCACAATGTCTATGAAGTTCATGATGTTTTTGAAGAAGTCCGTCTTGCTGGGGCAGGCGAAGAAGCGCACCACCAGCTCGAAGGAGAACCAGATGATACACAGCGTTTCCACGATGAAGAAGGGGTCTGTGAAGATGTTGGAATTGTAGATGACCGTGGTGTTGTCGATGCGGTGGACGGTGCCCGTGAAGTCCTTGTCATCCTTCAGCTCGGGGAGCGTCTCCAGGCAAAAGATGACGATGGAGATGAGGATGACCATGACGGAGACGATGGCGATGACCCTGGCGGGCCCCGAGCTCTCGGGGTACTCGAAGAGCAGCCACACCTGGCGCTGGTACTCCTTCTCGGGCAGAGGGCGCTCCTCCTCCTTGATGAAGCCCTCGTCCTCCCGGAACTTCTCCATGGCCTCCTCGCCCAACTCGTAAAACTTGATCTCCTCGGAGAACATGTCCAGGGGCACGTTGACCGGCCTCCGCAGGCGGCCGCCGGACTGGTAGTAGTAGAGGATGGCGTCGAAGCTGGGCCGGTTGCGGTCGAAGAAGTACTCGTTCCTCAGGGGGTCGAAGTAGCGCATGCGTTTCTTAGGGTTGCCCAGCAGCGTGTTGGGGAACTGCGCCAGGGTCTTGAGCTGCGTCTCGAAGCGCAGCCCGGAGATGTTGATCACCACGCGCTCGCAGCACTCGTGGTCGTCGTGGTCGGCCTGCCGGGGGTAGCTGCCATCCTGGGGGTGGCCCGGGGCGGCCGAAGCCTCGTCCACGTTCTCCCCAGACATCACCGTCATGGTGGAAGCCGGGCGCGGGGGTGGGAGGCCAGGAGAGAGCCCGGGGTGGGAAGCAGCCAGGGACCAGGGGTGGGGGGGACCCAAGCGGCCCCCCCACCGGAGCGCGCGTCTCCCTCACGCCCAGGGGGAGGTGCTTCAACACGAGCAGGTCGGGAGATCTGCGACTTTGCCTCTCGCTGCCTTCCCCTCCACCCTGCCTTTCACTCAGTTTGGAATCCCCCTCGCCTGCGGGCCGGGTGCAGCTTTTTGCAGAGGGTTGGGTTTGGGTTTGGGGGTTTGTTGGTTTTCTGTTGTTGTTGTTTAGATATTTCTTCCTGATCCCAGGTGCCTTAACGCAGTGCCGTTCTAGCGGACTGGGCCATTGCTTCGGGGGTCGCCCTGGCCTCCCCTCCCCTCCGAGAGCCTTCCTAGGACCCGGTGCAGTGCCGGCTCGGCAGATCCCCACGCCTGCCACCCTCTCTGCTTCTCCTCGGCTCTCCCCCCTCCTACCCCTCTTCGCCTGCCGCCTTCTAAGCTCCCACCAGGGCGATCGATGCACGCTGCAGAGAAATAGAAAGTGATACGGGGGTAGAAAATCAGAAGCATTCAGATGGGACGGACCTACAGACACCGAAGAACACAGACCTCTAGCTTGAGAAAGCACTGGACGTTTGCTAGGGCTATCACACACACACGGACAGACGACACGCAGACACCCGGAAATCCAAGTTTGGGGCTCTTCCATCCCACTTTCCCCAATGCCCAACAGCCGATCTGTTTACAACTTCGTTAAACTAGAGATCGGAAAAGCGCCGAGAGACGCCGGGGGAAGCTCAGGGTCCCGGACAGCATCCCCGCACCCCCGGCCTCCCCCACCCGGTCCCCCCAACCCCCGCTTCTGCATCCCCGAGCTGGGGAACCCCCTACCTGGCCGGCTGGCTTGGCGCAGGGGCGGTGCTGAGTCAGCGGAGAGCCCGAGTGGGAATGCGGCAGGTCGTCTTTGCAGTGCCCTGGCGGGAGCCGCGGCGGCCGCCGCAGCAGCATCCGAGACGCGCCGGGCAAACTCGCCGCCCTGGTCCACTCGTCCGACGCCCCTCTCAGTTGGACAATCGCTTTACGGAGCAGCTACGGCGAAAATGTTCCTTCCCTACCCCCATTCTCACCGGTTGCCAGCAACCTGGAGACGCCGTCCTCTCTCCGGTGCAGGGAGTTCCGGAGGATGCGGGGCGGAAAAGCAAAATACCACCCTCTCTCGAAGCTCCGAGGCAAATGACGATAAACAGCACTCTCGCCCCCTCCTAACACTATGGGAGCCCTTGATTCGATCCCGAAGGAGGCGGGCGGGCGAGAGCCTGGATCTACATGGCTCTCCAGTTCCCTTCGCTCTCCGCACCCCAGCGCGGACCTCGCCAAGGCTACGCGGCGCGCCAGGAGCCCTTAGGAGCTTGGAGTGGAGCAGGGTGCGTGCGGCGGCGGGTCCGCTCGGTCCATTTCTGGGCGCTGCAAGATCAGCAGAAACCTGAGAAAGCGCCTGGAATACCGAGCAGCGATTGGCCCACCCGGGCGTGGGTTGGGGAGGGCGGGGGAGGGCAGGAGCGAGGAGGTGGATGGAAAATATGAGGGGGTGGTTTGGAAGAGAGCGGGGTTGTCATTCAGTTCCCACCCTTGCCAGCACAGCTTTTTCCTCTCCTACCAGAAAAGCCGACCGCTAACTCTACTTCCCCTGTGGCCCGCCGCCCCGCCCACGAACGGCCCCTAGCGGCTCGCGACCTTCCCCGGGAATTTCACATTGGAAATGGTCAGGTCCGACGCAATGCAGGCGGTGGTGTTTCTGGCAAAACTCCTCCGACGGGTTTGCTTTTGTGCAGTCCCACAGTAACCCTCTTCGATCGCACTGCTCTGCGCCCCATCCCGCTCCTCCCCCAAGAAGGCCCTTGCTCTCTGCGGGGCCCACCCAGCTTCCCCCGCCGGCTGGACTCGCAGAGCTGCAGACTTTGGGCAGAGCTGTGCAGATGAGGATCCCTGGGTTTGTTCCATGTAGTTTTACTGGGCGGCGGCGGTACTAAGAGCCTGTCCCTCTTTAACCTACGATGGGACTTGAAGTTTTCTTACGATCCGATTATTCTGAAATACAGGGAATGTGACTTGTGGGGGACCGAAGGCTTCGTGGGTTTGTGGGGTTGTCTGCCAACTTGGTGCTAATTGGGAATAATCTGAGAAGCAAGTCGCCTACTCACCTCCCACCCTATGTCCCTCCTCCCGCAGCCTTTTTCCCCAGCCTAGTGCCTCCACAGGGCCACTTTCAAAGCTTGCAATTTATTTGGAAAGGGTCCCCCGCAGAGGCGCATGGCAGCAGGAGCCGGGGGCGTGTGCCTTGCCCTGCGAGTGCGGCTGGAGCTGCGCCCCCAGAGGCGCTGCATCTCCGCGCCTGCAGCGCGAGAAAAGGCAGCAGGCAGCTTGGTACCTCCAGGGCTGCGGAGTCTCTAAGGAGGCTGCAAGAGCCCAGAGTCGCCGCTGATTGGCTCCTCCCGCGGCCTTGGGACCACCCTTCTCACCACCGTTGCCTCCCGCCTACACCACCCACCTCCTTAATCAAAGCCAATGATTGCATCCTTCCCGCTCTATTGTGGCTAGTGGAAAGCAGGGGCCCCTGCGGGATTGCCCAGGCAGTGCAACAGTCCCTGTCTGGAACTAGTTAAATCCTTCCTCCAGATTCAGACGCCAGCATTCCTTTCAGAAAAACAAAAGTGTATGTTCCCTCCCCTCCTTCAGATCCGTACCCCAGCTTTTCTTTCATGAACAATGAGTTCTCTTATACTCCTCCTTCCCATATTAAACTCTTCCCCTTTCCCACCTTCCACACGCATATCCCTCAATCTCAATAGCTCCAGGGATCCCTACCTTTCTGCACTGCTGTTCTAATGCAAATAAATATATTTTTTAAAAAAATTTAAAAATAAAAACAAAGATATAAATATGAAGCTCCCAGCTGAAGTACTGCCAAGTCTTTTGGTTTTGTTGCTGCTGCCACTGCTAGAACCCTACTGGGGATAACCCTACGAGACAAGGGTTTTCTGACCATATCCTAGCACTACTGAGCTTCCCTATTCTCCACTTTATCTGTCCTTATCTTGTACCTCCCTCTTCCTATAACCCATTGCCTTCCTTTAAATGTCCCTAAGACTGTCATCTTCCTAGCTTCTTGTGAATGCATGTGCCCTGACTCAGCATTAGGAGATTGCCTTACTACAAGGGATTCACAGATTGGATGAGATCCCAGGTTCCTAAATTCCGGGTTTTATTGGGGGGCATATTAGGAAATCTTCCACATCTCTGATAGATGTGTTTACAGCAGGACTGGACCTCCAAGGGACTGGAAGAAAATTGTGAGCTGGGAACTCAGCATTCTCCTCCTCCTCCTCCTTCTTCCTCTTCCTCTTCTTCCTCTTGTTCTTCTTTGAGACAGAGTGTAGTAGTGTAATCATAGCTCACCGCAACCTTGAAGTATTGGGCTCAAACAATCCTCCCACCTTAGCCTCTGGAGTAACTGGGAGGACAACAGGCACAAGCCATCACTCCTGGCTAACTGGAACTCAGCATTCTTGATGGAAGTCCTCCCTTGGTAAGGGTCTGAAGATATTTATTAATTCAACAAATATTTGCCCAGCCCCAGCTATGGGCCAGATGGTGCCCTTGCACTGGAATGGAGACATATAAGGTCCCAGGTCTCATGGAGCTCATATTCTGGTGGGAGATACAGACAATAAACATATACGTCATACATTATAGTGTTAGATAAAGAAAATTAAGAATCAGGCACAGCAAGTGACAAATATAGGTTTGCAGATAAGAAGGGCCTCTCTGCAGAAGTAACATTTGAACAAAAAACATCAAGAAGAGAGAGCAAGGAACAGGAAGATGAAAGGATGGGTGTAAGAGCAAAGGTCCCAAGGCAAGGACAGACTCAGCATATTCAGGAAACAAGAGAGCCAGTATGGCCAGAAAGAAGTCACTGAGAAAGAATGTCATCAAAGGTAGGTCAGAAAGGCAGGCAGAGCCCAGATCATGCAGGGCCTCTAAGGCTATGGTAAGAATAGTTCATTTCATTCTGAGTACAATGGGAACCTACTGGAGGATATGCATCAATATAGCAATATGATTTGCATTTCTTGGAGATTATTCTGGCTACTAGAAACAAGACACAAGGTTGGAGGTTACTAAGTAGCATAAGCAATGTTGGCTTAGATGAGGGAGACTGTGGTGAGCTTGTAAGGAGTTTTTGGAAGAGAATTACATTTTGAAATAGAGATGGCAGAATTTGGGATGTGAGGAAAGAAAAGTTTTAGGACTGTCTCCTAGGCTTGTGGCCTTAATAACCAGATAAATGGTAATATCATTTACTGCAGGAGTGTCCCAAACAGTTTCGCTCCTACCTAGATGTGAGTTCCTTGAAGTCTGAGATCTTCTGTGTCTTCTGAGATCTTCTGTGTTGGGCAGCTTAGGAGCTCCTTGAAGTCTGAGACCTTGTGTGTCTTAGTTGTCACTGTATTGGGCAGCGTAGGCCATCTCCTCAGATTCTCTCCAGCTCACCATTGTCTTGTCCAATGGCCACTTGCCCCACTGCAGGTGCTGCTGGAAAAGTCAACTCGATGGGTGGCAGAGTTCTGCCTCTTGAAGTTGACAGCACTGCAAGGAGTGGAATCTGGATTCCTCAAGACTGCAAAAAGGCCTAGGTGAGTAACACAAACCTAGGGGTGCATTAGCTCAATGGACCAAGAGGAGCTTGCCCAGTGGGAGATGCAAGCTAGGATGGAGCTCGTCGGTAAATCCCCTCTACCTTTATTATTTTCATGGCCAAGCAACCACATGGTCTAATGAAAAGGCTGTGTCTCTTTGTGACTCATGAAGCAGTAACTAGTTTGGTAACTCTTCTCCTTGGATCTGCACCCTGTCCTTCCCTGTCTCACTCTCCTTTTCTCTTCCTCTCATGGTTCTGGCTTCACACCTCCCATTAAAGCATTCGCACATAATCCTGTCTTGGGTTATGCTTTCTAGGGAAGCTGAGCTGAGGCATGGGGAATCACAACTTTGGTTTGGGACATGTTACCTTTGAGATACCTAGAAATATGCAAATGAGGATGTTGAGTAGAAAGTTAAACATACAAGGTTAGAGTTCAGAGAAGAGGTCTGGGTAGATCAAGGTTTCTCAACTTTAGCACATTTGGGCTGAATACTTTTTATTGTTGTGGGGTGTGGTCCTGTGGATTTTAGTATATTCAGCAGCTTCCCTTGCTTCCAGCCATTAGATGCCAGTAGCACCTTCCCCTAGTTGTGACAACCAAAAGTGTTTCCAGACAATGCAAAAATCACCCTCAGCTGAGAACCACTTGGGTAATTAAAGCCAGAGTAGCAGATTACAGAGATTACAGCACTTGAACCTGAGGGTAGAAAAGGAAGAGGAAATATGCAGAGATCATGCCTTGGGACGCTCTAATGCTGAGAGGTCGATAAAAGAAGGAAGAGCCACCAAAGGAAACTGAGAAGGAGTGATGATGAGGTGAACAAAACAGGAGAATGTGGGGTCTGCAAAACCAAATGAGAACAGTATGTTAAGAAGAAGGGAGATATCAACATTGTTGCTTACTGCCAGTAAGATGAGTAGAATGAGGAACATAGAAATGACTATCAGATTTAGAAAAATTGAGTTGAAAAGAGATTGAGAGAGAACTGAGGACAGTAGGTAAAAACAGCTCTTGGAGTTTTGGTGCCCAGGGGAACAGAAGAATGGGGTAGTAGACTGAAGGAAGATGATGAGTGATGAGACTTTTTTTAAAAAAATGATGAAATCTATTACAATATGTTTGTATGCTAAGGGCAATGACTCAGTAGAAAGAAAAGAAATAGTGATGTGGTAGAAAGAGAAAAATCAGAGCAATGTTCTTGAGAAAGCAAAAGGAGAATGGAATCTAAGACCCAAAATAAGGGATTGGCCTTGGAAAAGGGCAATTTCTCTATAGAAATGGGAGAGAGACAGAGAGCAGAAGTCAGCTGCAAGTAATTGAGTAGAAGTTGTGGGAGTTAGTGGACATTCACCTATGCAATCAGAAGAAATTTTCTCAGTAAAAAGGAAAGCAAGGTCATCAGCTGAAAGTGAGGATGGGGAAGGAGGCCTTAGAAATAGGAGGGGTGGCCAGACGTGGTGGCTCATGCCTGCAATCCCAGCACTTTGGAAGGCCAAAGTGGGTGGATCACTGGAGGTCAGGAGTTCAAGACCAGCCTGGCCAACATGGTGAAATCTGTCTCAACTAAAAATACAAAAATTAGCTGGGTATGGTAGCGTGCACCTGTAGTCCCAGCTACTTGGGAGTCTGAGGCAAGAGAATCACTTTAACCCAGGAGGCGGAGGTTGCAGTGAGCCAAGATTGAGCCACTGCACTCCAGCCTGGGCAACAGAGCAAGACCCCATCTCCGAAAAAAGAAAAAAGCAAATAAAAGAAAAGAAATGGGAGGGGAAAACTGCAAAATAACCACTTAGGAGAATTGGAAAGTGAAAGGGTTGGGGAATGTAGCAGGGTTGCCTGGCAGCACCGAGGGCTCACTTGTGGTGAGGAACCATGCAATTAAGTAATTGGGCACTGGGTGTCTGAGATTAACTTGGAAGTGAGTCAGGATAGAATTCGTCCTGATGATCATTTATGAAAAAATGTGCACTCGTTCTACATGTAGTGTCCTTCTTAAGATCAGTTTCTTAAGTGTTATACAGTGGTAAGGCAAGAGACGGCATGAAGGGAGGTGGTCATACTAGGCAGGAATATGCCCACGGACTCACTATAGACCCTGTTGAGGGCAGTGTCACAAGCAGAGGAATGGGGGTCTTACAAGATTTGAAGTATAATTGTAAAAAGTAATATAGAACAAGTAGGACTTGAAAGGGAAAACTCAGAAGTCACCAAGGATTTAAGATGACAATGAGTAATATGGAGTCCTCTTGGTGGCATTATGATTAGGCTCATCTTTGGAAGGACAAGATCCAAACATAATTTTATCAAAATCTCAACGGGAGATTACACTGTTATAGTTAAAAGCCTACGTTGTTTTTGTTGTTTTTTGTTGTTGTTGTTGTTTTGTTTTGTTTTGTTTTGTTTTGTTTTGAGTTGGAGTCTCTCTCTGTCACCCAGGCTGGTGTGCAGTGGCGCGATCTCGGCTCACTGCAAACTCCACCTTCTGGGTTCACGCCATTCTCCTGCCTCAGCCTCCCGAATAGCTGGGACTACAGGCGCCCACCACCATGCCTGGCTAATTTTTTGTATTTTATAGTAGAGATGGGGTTTCACCGTGTTAGACAGGATGGTCCCCATCTCCTAACCTCGTGATCCACCCACCTCAGCCTCCCAGAGTGCTGGGATTACAGGCGTGAGTCACCGCGCCCAGCCAAAAGCCTAAGTTCTTAAATCAGAGATGAATTCTAATTCAATCACTTTGATCTTGGATAAGTCACTCTATCACTTTACATGTTCATCTCTTTATTTGTAAAATATAATCCCTATATCATAGGCTCCTGGGAGGGCATAACACAATCAAATACTGATCAGTGCCCAACATAGAGCTGATGGCCAACAAAGTATCAGCTTCAAAAGAAAAAGGCACCAAAAAGGTCAGGAAACATTACATTAGACAGGTCTTTAATAAATATTTACTGAGAGAAAACAGTCAATAAATACTAAAGAATCAGAGAAAAGAACAAATGCTACCTCTACCATCAAGAATCCTTACAGCTAACTTCAACATTCAGTCATATCAGTATAATGAGTACAGGACTTTTCCATCATAAAGTAAAATACATATGTGGGGCAGCACTGAGCAATAGGCAGGACAGGATGGCGACCTTTTAGAAAAGGGAAACAAACGAGGTGATCCCTGTGATCACCTTGGCTCTTTGCCTGGAGGTACTTTTCAGAAGCTATGCAGAAGGATGAGACCCAAGCAGAGTCTGATGTTCTCACTCAGACAGAATTTTAAATTGAGAAGGGTGAGATGACTGAAAGTCATGAGACAAAGCACCGGAGAAGAAGGAGATACATAGAGAAAAAGCAGCAGAAATCTGCATAGAGTCCCCTTTGAGTCTGTTGCTGAACACTAAACTGTGCATGGGTGAGGTAAACTCTACACAACTCTATGAAGCTGAGTTTGTTTAATATTAAAAAATTAGTCAATGCAATTCACTCAATTCAGAGAATCATAGGAGATTCAAAATTGATTCAGAAGAGCTATTTGACAAAATTCAACACCCATTTATAATTAAAACAAAACAAGCCTTTTGGCACACAGAGTAGAGGGAATTTCTTTAATCTGATAAATGGCGTACACACACACACACACACACACACACAAAAAAAAAAAACCTACAGCAAACATCATATTTAATTGTAAAAAAGCTGAATACTTTCCTCCTAGGACTGAGAACAAGGCAAGGATATGCACTCTTATCATTTCTACTCAACATCATATTAGAGACCTAGCCAATGCAATAAAGCAATACCAAGAAATAAAAAATATATATTGGAAATAAAGAAGGAAAGCTGTCATTATTTATAGACAGCATGATGATTGTGTATATGGAAAATCCTAGGGAATCTACAAAAAGCCACTAGAATACAAGTGAATTTATGAAGGATACCAGTTGAGTATTTAAAAATCAGTCACATATCTAGCATTTAAAATAATAAAAAACATAAAATACTTAGATTAATATAATAAAATATGTTATATGTGAGACCTATGCATGGGAAACTACAAAATACTGTTGAGATAAATTAGAGAAGACATGAATAAATGGAAAGATATACCATGATCATGGATTGGAAGGCTCAATACTAAGATGATATCAATTGTCCCCAAATATCTAAAGATTCAAGATAATCAAAATACCATCAGACTTATTCACAGAAATTGATTCTAAAATCAAACTGATTCTAAAATGTATTTCAAAAACTACAGGGGACCTACAATAGCTAAAAGATGTTTTAAAAGGAACTAGGTTATAGGACTTACTCTACCTCATTTTAAGTCTTACTTTAAAGCTACAATAATCCAGATGGTGTAGTATTGGTATAAGGGGAGACACATAGATCCATAAAACAGAATACTCTAGAAATAGACCCATTAATATATGGTCAATTGATTTTCAAAAAAGATGTCAAGGTAATGGAGAAAAGACAGTCTTCTCAACAAATGGACCTAGAACAACTGGACATTCATAAACCTTCACACCCATCTCACATGCTATACAAAAATTACTCAAAATGGATCACCATCTAAATATAAAAGCTAAAGCTATGTGACTTTTAGAAGAAAACACAAGAGAAAATTTTTATAATTTAGAACACAAACGCACCATAAAATAAAAAGTTAAGACAATGAACTTTATGAAAACTTAAAATTTATGTACTTCAAAAGACAGGGTTAAGAAGGTGAAAAAGACAAGCCTCCCATAGACTGGGAGAAAATATTCATAATACATATGTCGAACAAAGAACTCATATTGAGACAAATAAGTAGCTCTTACAACTAAACAAGCAGAAGACAGACGACACAATAAAAAATGAGCTAAAGATTTGAATTGATACAAAAGAACACATACTGTATGATTCTATTTATATGAGATTCTAGACGAAGCAAACACAGATCAGTGGTTCCTGGGTATCAGGGATGAGGGGATTGACTGGAAAAGGGCATGAGAGAATTGTAGGGGTTTCATATCTTGATTGTGGTAGCAGTTACATGGACATCTAATTTAGCCAAAACTCATATAATTGTACACTTAAGGTGGTTACATTTTGTTGTGTGTAAATTATACCTAAGTAACATTTATTTTAATTATGCCTTGTCAAATAAATAATATTGAAGTGTGTATAGCTGACAGAAGTTTAGAAATAAGAATTTTTCAAGAGCTTGACCTGTGATTTCTTAAAGAAACTCCTCTGGGTTGCCCTTCAAAAGAGGAGTATATGTAGTAGGAAGGACTGGCAGAATATTTTGCCTTAGTAGGACTACTTGGACAGGCTCAGATCTTGGGGGAGTATGCACTTAGAAATTCACTAAAAAAAAAATTATGGAACACCTGCTATGCCTCAATTATTTTGTAATACATCAGAGGCCAAGATAGAAATCATATCCTCAAGGTCATATTCTAGTTGTGAAGACAAGGAAATAAACAGGTAATTACAAGGCAACATGACAAACACTTTAATGGGACAGGCAGAGGTGTGTTGGGACTATAGAAGAGTGGCCCCTAACCAAGCCTTAGGAGTGAGGGAGCAATTCTCAGGGTAAGCAACAAGGTAACATATAAGATGAATCCCAAAAGATGAGTAGACAATGAGGTATGGACGTGGGAGTGTCTTCTAGAACAAAGGCAGCAGCACACTTTAAGGTCTTAGATACACAAGTGAGTGAATAAAATGCTCAGAAAAACAGAGCTTAGGTCAGTAGAGCTGCAAGGTCAAGTACAAAGAGGTGAGTGGCAAAAGATAAGGTCAGAGAAGTGGCAGGAGCCAGGTCATGAAGCCTCTTGTTTGTTGCTATAGTGGATCCTGTTGGGTTCCTCCTGACCTTCCAATCTTCCCTGTTATCTCCCTGAGAACTGCCTTCTACCTAGCCATGTGCCAGAAGAGAAGCCCACTGCTCCAGGGTATCTCACGCAGGAACTGGCCTGAGACGCAGTTCTAGCTTAGGAGATATGAGAGGATTTCTTCTGGATGTCTTCAGGGAGAGGCTTCCTCAGTGATAGGAAAACACTATAGAAAGACTGCTTTCCTTTCGTCATCTAAATGCCATGTCTGGATGAGTCATTGCTATATCCATGCTGTTACCAGGCCAAATGATTAAGCCAACAGTGAAGATGTCATAGGAGAGGGAGACAAAAACCCTGGAATCTGGCAACAGCGTTAGGCTTCTGAATCAACCAGTCATGAAGCCTTCTTCTCGTGGAACTTCCTGTTACAAAATTCAATAACTTTCCTCATTCTCAAGTTAGAGTTGAGTTTGCTCATTAAATTTCATTAAAGAACTTCTCATTAAAAATTTTAAACAGACTTCCAACACATTATGGATAAACGATTCAGATGTAGGGCCTTATGTCAGAACTTTTTTCTGATTATAGACATGAAAAATGTGACCCAAAATGGCTTACACAAGAAAAAGGGACTTACTGGATAAGAAAACTGAGCATTTTTAAAATAGGTTTGGAGCTTCAGGAAAGGCTTTCGCCAGCACTTAAGTCTATGACCATGACCTATTTTTTTTCCTTCTGCATTTCTCCATCCATCCAGGCCTCCAGACTGACTCTACTCTCCAGCAGACCTCTTGTGTGAGTTCCCAAGATGGCTGCAGCACTCCTGAGGCTATATCCCTCATGTCTAGCAGGAAATAAGTCCACTTCTCTGATGGTTCAAAAAAGAGTTTCAGAATTGAGTCTCAGTGACTCTGATTGCCCTGCCTTGCATTATTTACTCATCCTTGAGCCAATCACTGCAGCCGGGAAGATGGGATGTGCTGACTGGATTAAAGAAATCAGGACCCTTTCCTAGAGATGGAATGTGGTCAATCTCACCCAAACCGTGAGGTTGGAGATTTCAGAGCAGTGTTAAAAAGGACAAGGGAGGACTGCACAGTAGGGAGTTGATTAACAAGTATCCAGAGAAGCAGGGGACAGACAGAGTTAGGAGTGGCTCCCAGGTCTTTGGCCTGAACATCTTAGACAGAAACGTACAAAGAGAAGGGAGCACTTCAGGGAGATCAGTTAGAATAAGAAATATAGTGAGACGTAGCCACCAACTGGCCATTGATTGTCTTGCATTGAAGCAGCAGTTTCAGTGAAGTAGTGGGAACAGATACCAGGTTGCAGTAGGAAAGGAATCAATGAAGGGAGCAGGTAATGTTAGGGAAACTCCGCATTCTTCGAAGAGATTTAAAACTAGAGGACAGGAGAGAGATAGAAGTAATAGTTAAAGGGGTCCCTGAGGTCAAGGGATTTTTTTTCAAGATTTGAGCATGCTTAAATGCTAAGAATGATAACTGAAGAAAATATGAGAACAAGGTTGAAGCTATAGCAGAGAAATGGGAAAAATTAATTGAGATCCCTAGGAATAATGAGAAGAGGGATCAAGAGTACAGCTAGAATCATTCGTTTTGTAGAGTAAGGGACCTATTCACTTTAATCAACTGGAAAGATGCAAGGGATGGAACGTATTTCTGCACCTGTGAGCCGAGAGTGAATTCAGAAACTAGAGGGAGATTTCATCTGAAGGTTTCTAGTTTCTGAGTGAAATAGATGTTATCTACTGATGGGTATAGAAAAGGAGACCATGAAAGGTTGAAGAGAGTCCCAAAGAAGAATTAGGAAAACACGTGGAACCTTGCCGTTTTGCCCCACATCATCTGGAAGGTATGTAGTCCATTACCATAAAGACCCAGTCTTACTCACAGTAAATCACAAATCAATCAGAGTTCAATGTCTGGGATAATGAATGGTCATGCATCAGATAACAACCTTTTGGTCAACAGACTATGTATAAGATGGTAGTCCCATAAGGTTGTAATGGAGCTGAAAGCTTCCAATCGCCTAGTGACATAGTGATGTAACATATTACTCCCTTGCCCGTGGTGATGCAGGTGTAAACAAACCTACTTTGCTGTTGGTCATATAAAACTATAGAACATACAATTATGTACAGTACATAATACCTGGTAATAATAAAATAACTGTTACTGGTTTATGTATTTACTATACTATAATTTTTATTATTATTTTATCATGTACTCCTTTTACTTATTAAAAAAAGTTAACTGTAAAATAGCCTCAGGCAGGTCCTTTAGGAGGTATTCTAGAAGAAGGCATTGTTATAATAGGAAATGACAGCTCCGTGAGTGGTACTGCCCTTGAAAGGCTTCCAGTGAGACAAGATGTGCAGGTGGAAGACAGTGATATTAATGATGCTGATGCCATGAAGGCCTGGGTTAATATGTTTGTCTGTGTCTTAGTTTTGAATAACAAAGTTTAAAAGATTTTTTAAAAATTAAAAATAGATAAAAGCTTATGAAATAGGGGTACAAAGAAAAAATACTTTTGCACAGCTGTACAATGTGTTTATGTTTTAAATTGTGTTATGAAAGAGTCAAAAAGTTAAAAAAATAAAGTTTATTAAGTAAAAATGTGACAGTAAGCTAAGGTTAATTTATTATTGAAGAAAGAAATGTATTTTAATAAATTTAGTGTGGCCTAAGGGTGCAGTGTTTCTAAAGTCTACAGTAGTGTACAGTAGTGTCCTAGGCCTTCACATTCACTCACCACTCACTCGCTGACTCACCCAGAGTAACTTCCAGTCCTGCAAGCTCCATTCATGGTAAGTGCCCTATACAGGTTTTATACCATATTTTTACTGTATCTTTTTCCTTTCTTTTTTTCTTAAATTAAGACAGGGTCTCACTGTGTTGCCCAGGCTGGAGTGCAGTGGTGTGTTCACAGCTCACTGCAGCCTTGACCTCCTGGACTCAAGCCATCCTCCCACCTCAACCTCCCAAGTAGCTGGGACTACAGGTACACACCACCACACTTGGCTAATTTTTTGTAATTGTGTAGAGATGAGGTTTTGCCATGTTTCCCAGGCTGGTCTTGAACCCTGGGGCTCAAGCGATCCTCCTGCCTCGGGCTCCCAAAGTGCTGGGATTAAAGGCATGAGCCACCACGTCAGTGCTACTGTACCTTCTCTATGCGTAGATATGCTTAGATACACAGGTACTTACCATTGTGTTACAATTGCCTACAGTATTCAGTACAGTTGCATGCTGTGCAAGTCCATAGCCTAGGAGCAATGGGCTGTACTATATAGCCTAGGTGTGCAGTAGGCTGTAGAAGCTAGGTTTATGTAACTACACTCTATGATGTTTGTACAATGATGAAATTACCCAATGATGCATTTCTCAGAACATATTTCCATCTCATGAATATATTTAACTGTTACCTTCCTTCTAAGGTGATTCTTCTAAGTGGATCACCTTCCAATCCACTCAAACTCCATGTCAGATGGAAGCCCAGAAGTCTTTCCTCCCCTTGTCATCCCTTTTATTCTGTGTTCACTCCTCTGCCTTGCTCTCAGGGTCTCCACTCCATCATGCCCTTCTTCAACGGCAGATTGGAGAAACCTTTTTGTCCCTCATATCTGAGCTGGAGAGACCTGTGCTTATGCTTATCCTAGCAGGGCAGTGGTGCCTCAGAAAGGATCACAGAAAGAAAAGCTACTTTCCTTCTTGCTAATGTTGATCACCTCTCACAGTGATAATCAAACTGTGCTATTTTGGCAGTGAGAATTCTACCACAGAACCACTCATGCACCCAAAATGTGTTATTTTGGAAAAGATCCCCTCTCCACCAGAGGTGAGAGTGGGAGGAATGAAGCCTTAAGAAGGACACACATAAAAGGCTCACAAGAAAGCATCAAAGGCCCAGTTGAGATCAGAACCAGGAATTTGGAGAAATGCCTATTTGTGTGTGATCTTTCTCCAAAAAAATTCAGCATCTCTGATGTCGAACAGAAAAGGAGGTTGACAGTATTGGTTTAAAAACAGTTGCTAAAATGATGCGTATGTCTATAAGGTACAAAACAGATTAGAACACCAGAACATAGATTATAACTTCTAACTAACAATACATATGCTGGGAGTGCTTACATCTCAAAATGTTCTATAATAACTACATCTACCTGATGGCATGGAGCTTTGAGACCTCTATTGCCTAATCTTCTCTGTGCTGCAGCAGACCTAGAAATGTTTTCAGAGGTAAATTTTGCCCTTGCCATAAGTATTCCCTTAGCCCTATAACTTGTCAAATCTCAGTTGCAAGAAATAACATCCATGATTGTTGAAAGGCATACGATGCAGACATTTCCTAGAGCTGCTCTGTCCAGCACAATAGCCCCTAGCAACATGTGGCTATTTACACGAATTCAAATAAGAATTGAACTTCTGTTCCTCCGTCCCCTGACCACATGTCAAGGGCTGAACAACCATGTGTAGCTTGTGATTACCATATTGGATGGTGCAGATAGGGAATACTTTCACCATCACAGAATTTTTTTTTTTTTTGAGATGGAGTCTCGCTCTGTGGCCCAGGCTGGAGTGCAGTGGCGCAATCTCGGCTCACTGCAAGCTCCGCCTCCCGGGTTCACGCTATTCTCCTGCCTCAGCCTCCCGAGTAGCTGGGATTACAAACGCCCACCACCACGTCCGGCTAATTTCTTGTATTTTTAGTAGAGAACGGGGTTTCACCATGTTAGTCAGGATGGTCTCGATCTCCTGACCTTGTGATCAGCCCACCTTGGCCTCCCAAAGTGCTGCGATTACAGGCGTGAGCCACTGTGCCTGGCCCACAGGAATTTTTATTAGACATTGCTGCTTAGAGATTCTACCCTTGGGTCAATCCAGGCTCACAGTGAGCTCTACACAAGGGCAGCACTGTTTGGGTCCCTCATAGAATTGTTTTTATGGATTTAGCTTGCAAAGAGGAACATAAGAAAAATCCCTATAAATGCATGATGGTAAGTATCATCTGTACTCTGTGGAGGACGTCATCCACCATGTTACACAGTGTCTTCCGCTCTGAGGATCCCTGGAAGAAATCTTCGTCTCAATGTCCGAGTCAGCTGTGGTTCTCTTAAACATCGATTGTGTCTTGTGGTTACTGTGATTCTTGAAGCTGACTGCATTTCCCTTTTTATCTTCAGGTAAACTCTTAAAGCCCCATTTTCAGCCTTCCTCTCGCAACCAAATAGGCCATCACAGTATGCATTTCTGTGTGTAGGGTGTGTGTGTGTGTGTGTTCCTTGCCCTCCAAAATTTATTTTATGTTTTTAGGCTGCATTTATTTTTTAACTTCCTAAGTCCTTCCTGACATAGAGGCAAAATATAAGTAAACAGATCAAACTGTTACATGCATACATACATACTTGTATGCATACAGTTATGTTTCATTCAAACCCAGATATGTGTTCCTAGGATGAGATCATTAGTAAAAACCCATATCCTTAAAACACAGCCCTTAAATGCTCTAATTCGTCACTTCCAGTATCCTTCTCAGCCACCTAGGACAGTATCCTAAACCATTGCTTTGCTGCCTAACAGATTCACCATAACCGAGGTGTCGGTGTCATGTGACAAATATGCAACCCCGTATTAAAGTGCTAGGCTTCTAGAGGCTTGACGAATCCAACATGTAATTGCTGCTGGCAGGTAACAGGCAGAGCAATGTCTGTCCTGCATTGTGGCTATTTTAATGGTTCCCAGAGTGGTTGCAGTGTGGTTTTATGAGTACCATATATTTTTTTAAATCCTAGTCATTTAGAAGCAAAATGCTATTGCTCTGATTTCAGACTACTGAAACCTAACATGCCCCCCTCACCTCTCTCACTGATTATGCAGCACACACTTTATTCACACAATAAATTAAGCCACAAATAAATACTATGATGAATTATCCAACATAATTAAAGATAGGGATGCCATGGAAAAATTGAATTCAGAATTTCCAAACCAATTTGTTCCTTCTTTGTTTTCACATCTCACCCCAAAAAAATACCCCACTCTGAATGTCTTGCACTTTTCTTTTTATTCATATCAATTAACTATTTTTTTTTTTTTTGAGATGGAATCTCGCTCTGTCGCCAGGCTGGAGTGCAGTGGCACAATCTTGGCTCACTGCAACCTCCGCCTCCCGGGTTCAAGCAATTCTCCTGCCTCAGCCTCCCAAGTAGCAGGGACTACAGGCGCGTGCCAGCACGCCCACCTAATTTTTGTATTTTTAGTAGAGGTGGAGTTCCACCATGTTGGCCAGGATGATCTTGATCTCTTAACCTCATGATCCACCTGCCTCGGCCTCCCAAAGTGCTGGGATTACAGGTGTGAGCCACTGCACCCCGCCAATTAACTCTTTACAGTACTGAATATTTACAAGTCACGTGTCTTTTGCTGAGGAAAAGGCAAAAAAAATGCATTGTCCATACCCTCAATAAATTTATTATCTTTGTTGAGGAGACAGGACGTATGAATGGAAAATGACAGCTTCCAAAACAAGGCAAGTGATTAGTGCTATCGAATGTGTTCAAGAAGGCTTTTGGGACGGGAGACAGGTGGTGTCTCATAGCATGGCCAGCTGGAGCTGCTGTGCAGGAGCAGTGTCTCCTAAAGGCCGGCAGAGGGGAAGAGAAGGGTGCAATTTACGAGAGAGGGAAGGCAAGAGCAAAGATGCAGACGTGGGAAGCACAAGTCCTTTCCGGGGACTGAGTAGGTCAGTTGTGGAAGCGCACTCAAGTGGACATGTAAATGAGCAGTGAAATGACAAAACCAGGCGGGAGGGAGATGGAAGACCAAGCAAGGAACTGTGAAAACCCTGCACACTCAGCAATCCACCCTTGAACAACCAAGCATTATCAATAGGATACCAATTGCTTTTAGTCTCAGAAGGAAAAATAAAAGCCAATTTGCAGACAGTTTTCAGTGCTATAGTAAAAGAAGGTGGGTTTCTGATGGCAGTCATCACCCAGCCCATGGTGATGGATTGTTTTAAATCTTTATCTACATACCATGCTTTCTACTTTTCAAAAACTCTTAGGCATTATTGCTTAATCCTCAGATAAACCCTTGGAGGTAGGGGAAGAAAGCATTTACTATCCTAATGTGGTAAGGACACTGAGTAGGAAAGGATGATAAGCCCTTGACCCCTCCGAGTTTTTATAGGCAATGTGGACATGTGGACAGAAACAGCAGACACTGCCCCTGACTCCTACTTCATTATTTTTCCTTTATACCACACTGCCTTAACTAGCTTCTAATTCACTTTCACACATTTGGAACTCAGAGTCCTTTGTCAGCGACTTTGGGATTTTCTGTTTAAATACCACATTCTAAGAAACACAGTAATTACAGTAGGAGGAAAGTGGGTTATTCAGGACATTCTGATTTCGAGGAGGATAGCTGAAAATTAAGAAAGATTGGTCAGCTTGTCTTTCTTGATTTTTCATGCTTAGGAGACAAGTCTCTTTATTTGGGCTAGTTTGGGTTCTATTCTGCCTGAAGACAACAGGATGGATGGTTTGACATCCCGGGGGCTTTGTGAGCTGCAGTGATTCTGTGATTCTTTCCCCTAACAATTGGCTTGGATGACATTGTCAGGAGTCCAAATCTTATTGAAAGTGCATCAGAGAGAAATGCAACTGGATTGTAAGCGATGTGTATATGTAGAATAACAACGTAAATATTTTATAAACTGCAGCACAACAGAATTAAATACTTTTGCTTGGACAAATGAATTCGATCTTCAAAGCCACTGCAAAGAAGCTTATGTATCAGACACAATAATTTTGCAAATAGCAGAACACTTTGTACTTCCTCCAAAACTCTGCATTTCTCTAAAATCTTAGCACCTTCTCAGCACTGTTGGAAACAGCTTTACCTATTGTCATTAGGAAGAAATCTCCTTTCTTGGCAGCCTGATAGAACATACAACTCATCTATTTCAGCAATTAATTGATTCAGCCATATGCGTTTGTTTCTTCTGAGCTGTTAAGCCTCCACCCTGCCTTGACTCTCTCAGCAGTGTCCAGCTACTTATTCAACTCAGAGCCATGACCCACTTGACTATAACCCAGTTCCCAAAGGTCTCTCCCTGTGATCAATGCCAACACTTATCCCAGGGTTCATTTTCCTACCCTCCCTGTAGACTCTGACCCACTGTGCTCTCAGATCTCTGATGTCAGAAGAGTCTCAGACCAGGAACTACCAGGAAGTTAAGACAGACCAACTTGACTTGGAATCCTCATGTTCTATATAGCCTTCCCAGTGTCTCCTTCCCAAGAACAAGGTCCAATGACCTTGTTCTCATTTCCAAAGTTTTAATCATTTCTGAAAAGATTTTGTATCCAATCCCTCATTCTCGGAAAACACCCTTGCCTTCTGCTTTACAGAGAAAACCAGAATCCACTGGAAGGCAACTCCCACACTTCATTTCTATCCAGCAAACACCTGCTCCCCAGCTATACCTGGGCCTGTTCTTCCCTTCTCTAAGGCCTGTGCCTCCACCTGAGCTTGGATCCTCTGCCCACACACCTTCTCATGAAGCTTCACCATGGATTACCACCAAATTCTCTCCCTTGTACTTTCAAATTCCCTCTTAAGTGGACCCTTCTGGAAGGTTTTTTCCCTACCGTTTTGTAAAAATGCCTGTCTTGAAAAGGAAAGAACATGTATCTACATTACACGTATGTACACATAGCTGTGGGTAATGTAAACGCATACTCGTGCCTATAGTTGGTTACTTCCTGATGTATCTTCCAACACACCCGTGGGCCAGTGTTGAAGAAACTTTGTTAAATATTGAAAATATATAAATTAATATTTATGAAACAGGTTTGAGGTATAGAAAATCCAGTAAACAACAATGTACTAACCCTCAGGTTTAATAAATAAAACATTACCACTACCTTTTAAACCCCCAGGGGTTTCTCTGTGTCTCGACTCCCTCCCTGCTCCCTGCCCAGAGTTTCTCATTTCATTCCCTTCCTTATCAGTATAGTTTTACAACATTCATTTTACAGTCTCACAGAGCATATTTTGTGGACTTTTGAATACACAGATTAAACATCCCTAATCCAAAAATCTGAAATCCCAAATCCAAAATGCTCCAAAATCCAACACTTTTTGAACACCAACATGATATCATAAATGGAAAATTCCCCATGTAAGTAACGCAAACTTTGTTTTATGCACAAAATTATTTAAAATATTGTATAAAGATACTTTCAGACTATGTGTATACAGTATATATGAAACATAAATAAATTTTGTTTTAGACTCGGGTCTCAACCACAAGATATCTCATTATGTATATGCAAATATTCCAAAATTCAAAAAAATCCAAAATCTGAAACAGAGCTGGTCCCAAACATTTTAGATAAGGGATACTCAACCTGTAACAGAATATCCCAAACAGAATATGTTTTGTTTTGTCATGTGTTTTGTCTAGTCAATTTTGTGTTCCTGCAATTCAGTCATGTATTATTGTTATGCAATAATTCAGCTTATGAATATATACAATGTATTTATCCATTCCACTGTTGAGGCATATATGGGTTATTTTCAGTGTGTTTGTGTTGCCATTATCAACAGGGCTAGCATGTCCTTGTGTATATGTGCAAGAGTCGCTTTAAGATCAATACCTAGAATGGAAGATCTGAGCCATCAGGTATAGAGATATTTAGTTTATAAGGTGATGGCAAATGGTTTTCCCAAAGTTATTGAACCTTATGCTCCCACAGCAGTATATAAGACTTAGGGTTGCTCCACATATTCACTATCACTAGCTATTGTCCAAACTTTTAAAAGTTTGCCATTCTGATCAATATGAAATATCTCTTTTTTTTTAGGAATTGTGGCAAAATATACATCTCATAAAATTTGCTATCATAACCATTTTAGGTGTACACTTCAAGGACATCGAGCACATTCACACTGATGTGCAACCATCACAACCACGCATCTCTAGAATGCTTTTCAACTTGCCAAACTGAAACTCTGTACCCATTATACCTCCCCTTCCTCTCTTCCCTCCAGCCCCTGGCAACCACCATTCATTCATTCTACTTTCTGTCTCAATGAATTTGACTACTCTAAGTACCTCACAGAACTGGACTCACAGTATGTTTCATTTTGTGATAGGCTTGTTTCCCTTAACATACTGTCCTCAAGGTTCATCCTTGTTGCAACATGTGTCAGAATTTCCTTCTTCTTTAAGAGTAAATAAAACTCCATCGTATAAATATACCATATTTTGCTAATCCATTCATCCATTGAGGGACACTGGTGTTGCTTCCATCCTAAGGCTACTGTGAATAATGCTGCCATAACATGCGTGTACAAATATCTGTTTGAGATCCTACTTTCAGTTCTTTTGGGTACATATCCAGAAGTGGAATTGCTGGATCATAAGGTAATTCTGTTTAATTTTTTTTGAGGAAATGCCATATTGTTTTGCACAGTGCCCATATCATTTTACATTCTCACAATCAGTGCACAAGGATTCCAGTTTATCCACATCCTTGTCAACATTTGTTATTATCTAGTTTTGTTTGTTTCTTGATACTAGCCATCCTAACGGGAATTAAGTGAAATATCTCATTATATTTTAATTTTTATTTCCCTGACTTTCTGAAATTGAAAATCTTTTCATAATGACCATTTTTTTATTGAATACCTGAAAGTCTTTTCCTGTTTTTATCTTGAGTTGTCTCTTATGCATTAATTTGTAACAGTCCTTTATATTAGCTTGGTGCAAAATCTATTGTGGTTTTTGCCATTACTTTTAATGGCAAAAGTAATGGCAAAAACCGCAGTTACTTTTGCACCAACCTAACATATGCTGGATATTAATTCTCTATCTGTTCTATTCCTATGATTTTTTTCTTCCAGCTTGTGGTTTAATTTCACTTTCTTTATACTGTTTTTTATGAAGAGAAATTCTCAATTTTAAAATAAACAATTTAATGAATATTTTTCTTTACAATTTGCATTTCTTCTGAATTATTTAAGAATCCTTCCCTGCCCATGGCAAAAATAAGTATCTTAAATGGTCTTCTAACTCTTTTATAGTTTTCACTTGAACATTTGAAATATGAAAATTCATCTGCAATGAATTTTGTTTTTGACATGACACAGGGACCCAGTTTCATTTTTAATGCAAATAGGGAAAATAATTCATATTATCCAAATGATTATTTCATTGAAAGACCTTATTTTCCTTATTGATCTACACTGTTGTGCTGCAGTATAAATATATATGTGGGTTTGTTTATGTGTTCTTTTTTCTGTATTAGTGATTTATATTTTTGTATATCTTCACCAATCCTATACTATAATTTCTTAATTACCATAGCTTCATAGTCATTCTGAATCTTTTCTTCTTCAGGAATATTCTGGCTTTATTTGGCCTTTTGCTGGTTCATATACATTGTGCCAAATTCCATCAAAATAAAAACAAAACTGAGGCTAATTGTTTGCATTCAAGGTAAAGGTCAATTTTGAGAAAAGGTCTTCATTAATGTCTTTCAATAAAAGTTTTATAATATTAACATAAAAGTCTTCTATAATTTTATTAGATTTATTTGTAGCTACCTTATTTTTATGCTATTGCAAATGACATGAATTTTAAATATACAACTTCTAACTATTGCTAGGATACAGAAATGCAATTAATTTTTTATGTTGATTTGCACTCAGCAAACTCATTACATTATCTAATTAATTCTAATAATTTGTTTGTAGTCTCATTTGAGTTTTCTAGGTCAGAAATATGGCATCTGCAACTGATAATAGATTTATTCCTTCCTTTGAAATCTTTACACGTCGTATTTCTTTCTCTTGACTTACTGTGCTATCTAGTAGAATGACTAGAAGTAGTGAGCAGGATTGACATTCCTCTATAAAGTACAATCTTTGCCTTAGGAAATTTTTATTATTTTTGTATTTATTTCGATATTCCTTATTAGATAAAGGAAGCTCCCTTCTAACATTATTTTCCTAATAGCTACTAGCATTAATAGATGTTAAATTTTATCACTTTTTGCATCTTTTAAAATAATTATAGTATTTCCCTCATCTTAGTCAGTTTGGGCTGCTGTGACAGAATGACATAGAATAGGTGGTTTAAACAACAAACATTTATTTCTCACAGTTATGGAGACTGGAAGTCCAAATTCAAGGCACTGGTAGAACTGGTGTCTGGTGAGGGCCCTTTTTCTGAATGGCCCCCTTCTTGCTGTATCCTCACATAGAGGAGGGACAGAGACAGAGGAGGCAAGCTCTCTTGTGTCTCTTCTTATAGGGGCACTAATCTTATCAGGAAGATACAACCCGCATGACCTAATTATCTCCTAAAGGCTCCATCTCCAAATACCCTCACATCGGAGACTAGGATTTCAACAGATGAATTGAGAAGGGGAGACACAAACATTCAGTCCATAGCATCTCTCTTTGAATCTGTTAATGTGGTGAATTTATTTTTCTCTATTATTAAGCAACACATGCATTCTTCAGTAAAACCCAACTTTGCTGGTTTTGTTGTACTATTATTTGGTTTAGAATTTTTGTATCTACAGGAGATACATGAGTGAAATTGGCTTGTGATTTTCCTTCCTTAAGAGAGGTATCAAGGTTATGCTAGTTTCATAATAAGAGTTAGGAAATTGTTAGTCTTCCATAAGGTATACTATAAATAGTTTTGTAACATTGGAAGTTTTTTATTAAATTTTGGTAGAATTCATTAGCAAAGTCAACTAAGCCTGATTATTACTTTATGAGAAGATTTTTACCTATGAATTTGATTAACAACTTAAGGTAATAAGATTAATAAGGTGGCTATTTTTGGATTTGTTTTAGACTGCTACTATATATTTTCAAAGAAATCAGATTTTCGGTTTGCTGCACTGAAGTTGCTATTGGTATCTTCTTACTATATATTTAATTATGCACACTTATAGCTACTTCCCCTTATTATTCCAAACATTGTTTATTTGCACCTTCCCTTTCTTTTTATGATCAATTGTCCATCAGATTTGTCAATTTCATTAGACTTTTCAAAGGATCAATTTTACATTTGTCCATCTACTCTACTATATGTATCTTTTCTATTTAATTAATTTCTGCTCTCCAATCCTTCTTGCATCTTATACTTCCCATTAGAGGTAATTTTTCTTCCCAAAGTACATTCTTTAGTGCAGGTCTTCTGGCATTGAACTTACTGTTTTGTTTGAAAATATCTTCACTCCTTATTCTTGAATGTATTCTTGCTATATATAGAACTCTAGGTTAACAGTTATTTTCTTTGGCTTCCACTGTGTCTGCTGGGAAGTCTAATTTTAGTCTTATTGTTGCTTCTTTGAAGGTAATTTGTCTTTTTTCCTTTTGATGTGCTATGTTTGTCTTTAGGTCTCTGAAGTTTTCCTCTAATAAATCCAGGTGTGGTTTACTTTCATTTATTCATCTTGTGTAACTTGTTTGGTATTTCGAATATGTGGACTTACGTCCTTCATGAGCTGTTTTCTCTTCAAATATTGTCCTCATTCTCTCCCTGCTCCTTCTGGAACTATATCCTCTAGATTTCTTTTTTTTTTTTTTTTTTTTTTTGAGATGGAGTCTTGCTGTCGCCCAGGCTGGAGCGCAGTGGCGCAACCTCGGCTCACTGCAGGCTCCGCCCCCCGGGGTTCACGCCATTCTCCTGCCTCAGCCTCCCGAGTAGCTGGGACTACAGGCGCCCGCCACCACGCCCGGCTAATTTTTTGTATTTTTGGTAGAGACGGGGTTTCACCGTGTTAGCCAGGATAGTCTCGATCTCCTGACCTCGTGATCCACCCGCCTCAGCCTCCCAAAGTGCTGGGATTACAGGCGTGAGCCACCGCGCCCGGCCTATATCCTCTAGACTTCTTTACCTCTCTTCCATCATTTTCATCTTTTTGTTTCACTATGTTAATTTTTAATCTATCTTTTGGTTCACAAATTCTCCCTTCATCTAATTGGCTGTTAATTCAATCCATTTAGGTTTATTTCTAGTTATTACGTTTTTCAATTCTAGAAATTCTTTCCAATGTGCCTTTTAAAAAAATATTTCACTTCTTACAATTTCATGCTTTCATATTTTTAATCCAGAAATAAAGCATAGTTCTTTTATAGCCTGTGTCTGATAATTTTCATATCTAAAATATTTATGAATTGGTTCCTGCTGTTTGCCATTTCTGCTGCTTCTCACTCATATTGCCTTGTTTCCCTTTTTATTCTTAATTGTGTTTTACTGTGTACTGTTTGCTATCCTTGCCAAAGGCATTTATGGGAGATTTTTTGAGGTCTAGGATAAAAAGTATCTTCATCCAGTAAGAATTTTTGTTTGTTTATTCTAGGCTCCTGGAAGTACTACTATTCTAGGTAATGTTAACCAAGTTCATTGCTTCAGCTTCCCTGGACCCCCTAGACAACACCAGTCACACTTGCAAATCTCTATAGGCCCATCTTATTTCCACAACCTCCTGAGGATGTTTCTCTTGCCTTTGTTCCTCTGCCCCCTTCAGCATCAGGGCAACTTTCCCCGAGCTTTGGACTTGGAACTAGTTCTTATTCCTCTTATTCTGATGGTGAATCACTTTGGGTCCTCACTTAATGGAGGGGATATTTTCTATCAGACTTCCCACCTTGAGTAAGACTAAATCCTTGAAATAATTCCCTTTTACCCCTCATGTCTCCCAAAACTGAAGCTCAGGTTTGTTAGAATCAAGAATATTTGAGGCAACTTAGGAGCTCTGATTATCTCTCTGATATTTTTACCGATCTTTCTTACTCTCTCATCAGCAATTCTGGCTTTGAAGACACTTTTCTAAAAAATTGCAGCCAAATTTTTAATTGTATTTAAGAGAAGGATTGGTTCACGTACCTAGCACGACACAGAAACTGAAGTTAATCACTATTTCTTTTCTCACTACTGCTCAAAGAACAGAATAAATGAATTATTAGCTGTCCCTTCAGGAAAATTATTGCTCCAAAAATTGATTCTTTAAAGACGACATTTCTCAAAAGAGGAATGAAGACAAAGGAACAAGAGATAGATTAGAAAGTCGCTGTTTTGAAAATTGCCTTATAATATCTCTGTGGTTGATAGATATCAATAGAAGGGAGGAGAGGAAAGAAGGAATGAAGGAATGAACAAAGAAATAAATGAAGAAACGAGGTAAAACTAGATACATTTCTCTACCAAAGTCTAATCAAGATTGTAGGCTTGAACCAAAAGCTATCAGTGACCTTAAGCCATCATTTAGTGCTGAAAGTGAATCCTCATGTCCCAATAAATGGGCCTTATCATATCACAATTCTCTCCTGGTACTCTGACTAAATGTTTTTAAAGTGCTTATGTAAAGCTTATTAAATGTGCTTGCAAATCTAGAATGTTGACCTGAATTACAACAATGGAATGCAAGCAAGATAGATGGGAGAATTTCCTGAAAGTGAGTATTGTTAAACCAGCAAATAAAAATATTTGGTGGAATATCCTTCACATACAGCACTTAAGCTTTACCATGATTTTATGATTCTCTCTCTCTCTCTCTCTCTCTCTCTATATATATATATATATATACACACACACTACAAAATCACACACACACACGCACGCACGCACGCACGGGTCCTTCTGCAGGAAAATGAGAATGGGCAAGACGTCCCTGGTATTTCATTCCAACCTAATGATTCTAGTAATCTAACTCTTTGGAAATCAATAGCTGAACCTCAATTTGGGCCAAAAGGAAATCTTCCTAAGAGACTATGAGATTGTTTTTAATAGCTATAGGTAGTGAAGGAAACCCTTGACATTGTCATCAACTCAAATTTTCCTGTCACTAAGGCTGCTGCTCCAAAATGGCATTTTAAGAGTCTTAAAATAAGTGTCCATTTGAACAAGTATCCAAAATCAGCAAGATTCTCAGGGCTCGTTGGGTCCCTGAGTTTATTTTATGATAATAACATAGTGTCCCCATTGCATATTTTTGCTGGCATAATCTTTGGCAACATCTTCTTCATTCATCATGACTTGTGTCTGCAGTTGCTGGTGGATAGGGTTTTGGCTTTGATCAATGGGTTCTTTTTGCAAAGGGGGCATGGTTGGTCAAGGTGTCTTTGGACATCTGGAACATATCTTCTTTTTTCTTGAGATCAGAAGACTTTACTATCAGAATATTAGAATAATATCATCAGGTGGAAGCAGTGGCTCACACCTGTAATCCCTGCACTTTGGGAGGCCACGGTGGGAGGAGCGCTTGAGGCCAGGAGTTGAAGACTTGCCTGGGCAAATAGCAGGACCCCATCTCTACAAAAAAAAAAAAAAAAAAAAATTAAGTAGCTGGGCATAGTGATGCAGGCCTCTGGTGCTAGCTACTTCGGAGGCTGAGGTGGGAGGATCGCTTGAGCCCAAGAATTCAAGGCTGCAGTGAGCCATGTTGGTACCACTGCACTCCACTCTGGGCAACAGAGCAATACCTTGTCTTAAAAAAAAAAATTCTGTGAATAGGCTTCAAAAATCTTTGGGCATAGGAAACTTTGCACAGACCTATAAAATCAGAATTCATCCCAACACATTGAGATCCACTTTAGAATTTACAACATCTACTATATTAGTGTCCCTGCCCCCCCTCTCTCTTACCCAATCTGGCTGGCATATCAGAGTTGGATTCATGTTCCTGAAGTTCTGAGCAAACCTTTTGCTTAAGAATATCTCTGGGTAGATAATAAAACAGTGGTTACCAGCCATGGGAGTGGGAGGGAGAAAAATAAAGAGATGTGTGTCTGAGAACACAAAGTAGCAGCATGTAGGATGGACAAGTATAGAGGTCTAATTACACGAGGACCGTAGGTAATAAAATTGTGCTGTATGAGGGATTTCTGCTACATGAGTAGATTTTAGCTGCTCTTGACACAAAAAACGGGTTGGAGTAACTCAGTGAGATGACAGATATGCTAATTTGCTTCACTATAGTAACCATTTTACTATCTATATGTAACTCATAACGTCATGCTGTACACCTTAAATATACACGATAACAGTATTTGAAGGAGTATTTCTGTCATCTCCCACTTTTTGAGGTTCCATCTATCCAGTCTTATTCCCCCTTCTGCTGAGCCGCCTCCAAGCACTCCATCATTCAGGTGGGTCCCCTGACTCTCCCACTCTCACACCGTCTTCACCTTCACTGCCCTCCTTTGCCCCTGTGCTCAGAAAGGGACAGGCACTGGCCAAGGACTTCCTTGATCCATCCTTCCTCTGCACCTCTCCACCTCCTACACAGACCCCTGTTGTTCTCGTTACAGCTGTTGGATTGTCTTGTCTAGTTCTTAGTTATTATTCTTATCAGTGCCTGGGAAGCACTAGTCTGCAGAAGAATGAGGTAAATACTGACCACTTCTTGTCTTCTCTTTTCCCATCCCCACTCCCATCCAACAACCACTATTAAATGTTTGAATTCTTTATTTTAATCCTTGCTACATCCCATTTTACTTATGAAGAAAGTAAGATTCAGGAAAGTAAAGAACTTCTCCACTCAGTTGCAGAGCTGAGATTCAAATCCAGGAATATCTGGCTCCAAAACAATTCTACTTTACTACTTTTTGATGATAACAGGATTTTACTCCCCCTATCCTTTCTCTTCTCCTTCTTTCCAAGAACTCCTCATAGATGATTTAGTTATTGCAGATGAAACGTGGTATAGAAGAAAAAGGCAGGCTTTGGAACTGTATAGACCTGAACTGGAATTACATCTTCAAGACTTACAAGTGAACTGACTTTGGAGAAATGACTTAACCTGTCTGCCTTTTGGTTTTCTTATCTCCTAAAATGAGGTCACAGTGCCCTAGAACCCAGTACAAGGCCTGGTATATTATAGACATCCAACAAATACATGTTCATTAATTTCTCCCTCTTTCTTTCCCTTATTATTTTTACCTTCTGTCTCTCATTTTCTCTTTTTAATTATTAGCTTTAATTCTAGCTCAGGTTGATCAAAATTTCAAGTGCTATTAGGGAACAATTTGGGAAATTCGAATACTGAATTTTTTAATAGAGTAGAATGATTGTAAATTTTTACATATGATAATGGTATGATAGCTAAGGTTTTTATTTTTAGAGATGCTTGCAGAAATATTCATGGATGCAGCTGGGCGCGGTGGCTCACACATGTAATCCCAGCACTTTGGGAGGCCAAGGCGGGTGGATCACGAGGTCACGAGATCTAGACCATCCTGGCTAACCCGGTGAAACCCCGTCTCTACTAAAAATACAAAAAAAAAAAAAAAATAGCCGGGCATGGTGGCGGGCGCCTGTAGTCCCAGCTACTCGGGAGGCTGAGGCAGGAGAATGGCGTGAACCCGGGAGGCGGAGCTTGCAGTGAGCCGAGATCGCGCCACTGCACTCCAGCCTGGGCGACAGAGCGAGACTCCGTCTCAAAAAAAGGAAAAAAAAAAATAAGAAAGAAACATTCATGGACGCAATAATATGATATCTAAGATTGGCCTCCATAAAACCCAGTGAGGTTGGGGATTGGGAAACAAAAGACAAAATGGATGAGAACGAAATGAGATTGGCTTTGGGTTGGTAGGTGTTGAAGTTCAGCAGTGAGTGCCTGAGGACCTCTTATGCTACATCTCTACTTCGGCGTATGTTTCAAAATTTCCCAAAAGGAACATTTTCTAAAATGTCCAGCGTAGAAGGCTCAAGCCTTCGGTATCTTCCCCCACCCTCACCGAAGTCCCCCGTCCTCCCCTGGTAACATTCTGGGCAGCTTTCCTGCTTGCTTCCCCAGCACCTCCTGGGCTATTTCAGACTCTGTGCCAGCGGAGCACCACACTGCCTCAGCCCCCGCAGTTGGCACTTGGACAAAAATCTTTTCCTGACCCCAGATGGCATTGCAGCTTCCTCAGTCTGATCCTGTCAGCATATTTTTTCCAGGCACCTGATTCCTGGATGTGGCAGCAATAAAACCAACCGAGATTGTTTGACTGGCCCCCTCTGGAGCGGGTATTTCCCATTCCGATGCCGTCAGCCATCTGAGCATGCTGCTTCCAAGAGCTCCGAAATAACAGCCGGGTAAGAATTTCACAGACTGCAGTGCGTGCTTTTAGACTTGTGGCCAGGGTGTTCCTGAGGGATGAAGAGCCACTGGGGTAGAAGATATACTAATATTAGTGATTATGAATTGCATCGCTGATGCAAATCAACAATTTTAGGGATTGCGTTTTACTGGGAAGCTGGCATGAGCAAGGGAAAGAAAGCAAAGAGGAAGAACACATGGGGTTTCTTTGCTCTGCCGTTTGTCACACCATATGGACTCTTTAGGTTAAATGCGTATAGCAACTCCAGTTTCATTGAAATAAAAAGATAAAGAGCTGAGTTATTGCCGTCTTGGTTATTTCATAAGGAACGAACGAAAAATGGTCAGCAAGGTAGGTCAGGCCATGTCTGCATGGAGGGCTGGACCTGAGACCTCACCGGGTGGTTCCCAGTTAGTGCTCCAGGAAAGACCTTTGAGGCTGTGGGAGTCTTCTGTGCTGTCCTAAATCTAGAGGGTGGGTTATGCGCAAAGCCCCTCCCACTGGGCTGTGGTTTACTTCTCAGGTCAGGTTGCAAGGTAAAATCAAAATGTCAGACTTGGAGAATGAGCATTCCAATTATTTTTTCTAAGGCAGAAATCCACTCTTGTTTCCAATGCTATGCGTCGCTTCGTACTTTCAAAGTACTTCCGGACTGTCTCATTGCAGCCTCATGATCCGTGAGGTTAAGGCAGATTTTATTATTCCTATCTGACATTTGGGAAACAACTAAGGCCAAGAGACATGACGAGAACTGACTTGCCTAAAGCCACACAAGTCTGGTGCTTTCTAGTCTATGTTTTTCTTCCCCACGTTAACATGCGTTACTATGTTCAAGAGCCATCAGGATCTTCAAGGAAATGGGTTGGGGAGAGTGGCTTAGTAATGGGCAGAGTAGGTTCTAGTGGGCCCCACCACTGGGATCTCTCACCTATCAAAATCAGACATTCACCACTGATACTCACATGGGACACAGATGCCAACAATAATGGCGATGGCCTAGGGAACTCTGTCCCTCTGCAGTGCTGAATGGAGCACACACCTTCCTCTCAGCCAGAGAGCACTTGTCCTCCTGTGCAATAAAGCTTCACTGACGACCAAGCATGTTTTAAAATGGGAGTTTGTCTGTGCAAGCTCTCTCTTTGCCTGCCACTATACATGTAAGTATAGTGTAAGTAAGATGTGATTTGCTCCTCCTTGCCTTCCACTGTGATTGTGAGTCCGCCCCAGCCACATGGAACTGCAAGTCCAATTAAACATCTTTCTTTTGTAAAGTGCCCAGTCTCGGGTATGTCTTTATCAGTCGTGTGAAAATGGACTAATACAGTAAATTGGTACTGAGAGTGGGGCGTTGCTGAAAAGATACCTGAAAATGTGGAAGCAGCTTTGGAACTCGGTAACAGGCAGAGGTTGGAATAGTTTGGAGGGCTCAGAAGAAGACAGGAAAATGTGGGAAAGTTTGGAACTCCCTAGAGACTTGTTGAATGACTTTGGCTAAAATGCTGATAATGATATGGACAATGAGATCACTTCAGGCTGAGGTGGTCTCAGGTGAAGATGAGAAACTTCTTGGGAACTGGAGTAAAGGTGACTATTGTTATGTTTTAGCAAAGAGACTGGTGGAATTTTGCCTCTGCCCCAGAGATTTGTGAAACTTTGACCTTGAGAGAAATGATTTAGGGTATCTAGCAGAATAAATTTATAAGCAGCAAAGCATTCAAGATGTGACTTTGGTGCTGTTAAAGGAATTCAGTTTTATAAGAGAAACAGAGCATAAAAGTTCAGAAAATGTGCAGCCTGACAATGTGATAGAAAAGAAAATCCCATTTTCTGAGGAGAAATTCAAGCCAGCTGCCGAAATTTGCATAAGTAACAAGGACCCAAATGTTAATCCCCAAGATAATGGGGAAAATGTCTCCAGGGCATGTCAGAGGTCTTCAAGGCAGCCCCTCCCATCACAGGCCCAGAGGCTTAGGAGGAAAAAATGATGTCATGGTCTGGGCCCAAGGTCCCCTTGCGGTGTGCAGCCTAGGGACTTGGTGCCCTGTGTCCCAGGTGCTCCAGCTGTGGCTGAAAGGGCCCAATGTAGAATTCAGGCCATGGCTTCAGAGGGTGCAAGCATCAAGCCTTGGCAGCCTCCACTTGGTGTTGAGCCTGTAAGTGCACAGAAATCAAGAACTGAGGTTTGGGAACCTCCACCTAGATTTCAGAAGATGTATGGAAATGCCTGGATGTACAGGCAGAAGTTTGCTGTAGGGGCAGGGCCCTCATGGAGAACTTCTGCTGGGGCAGTGCAGAAGAGAAATGTGGGGTTGGAGCCCCCATACAGAATCCCTACTGGGGCACCACCTAATGGAGCTATGAGAAGAGGGCTACCGTCCTCCAGACCCCAGAATGGTAGATCCACTGACAGCTTGCACTGTGCACCTGGAAAAGCCACAGACACTCAATGCCAGCTTGTGAAGGCAGCCAGAAGGAACATTGTACCCTGCAAAGCCACAGGGGCAGAGCTGCCCAAGACTATGAGAACCTATCTCTTGCGTCAGCACGACCTGTATGTGAGACATGGACTCAAAGGAGATCATTTTGGAGCTTTAAGATTTGACTGCCCTGCTGGATTTCAGACTTGCGTGGGCCTTTGGTCCCTTTGTTTTGGCCAATTTCTCCCACTTGGAATGGCTGTATTTACCCAATATCTGTACCCCCATTGTATCTAGGAAGTAACTAACTTGCTTTTGATTTTACAGGTTCATAGGGGGAAGAGACTTGCCTTGTCTTGGATGAGACTTTGGACTGTGGACTTTTGAGTTAATGCTGAAACGAGTTGAGATTTTGGGGGACTGTTGGGAAGGCATGATTGGTTTTGAAATGTGAAGGTATGAGATTTGAGAGGGGCCAGGTATGGAATGATATGGTTTGGCTCTGTGTCCCCACCCAAATCTAATCTTCTAGCTCCCATAATTTCCATGTGTTGTGGGGGGTGACCAGGTGGGAGATGATTGAATCATGGGGATGGGTCTTTCCCACGCTGTTCTGATAATGAATGTGTCTCACAAGATCTGATGGTTTTAAAACGGGAGTTTCTCTGCACGAGTTCTCTCTTTGCCTGCCGCTATCCACATAAAATGTGATTTCCTCCTCCTTTCCTTCCACAATGATTGTGAGGACTCCCCAGCCACGTGGAACTGCAAGTCCAGTTAAACTTCTTTCTTTTGTAAAGTGCCCAGTCTCGGGTATGTCTTTACCAACAGCTTGAAAATGGACTAATACCAGCAGGTTCCTCAATTTCCACAACTTCAAATTGGGAAAAATAATTGCTTCTCCTTCAGCACTCTTGAGGAAGTATATGAGCAAATGCATGCTTACAATGGTGACTGGCACATAGTTAGCCTCTATTGGTGAAATGATTATGATTATGATGATGATTTTTACATGACAGTTGCAGCTAGGGAAATGTTATGCTCCTCAGCAGGCTCTATTTGGTCAACATTAAAACTGGGAAAAATGCACAGTACAAATATATTCCTCCCCACTTTAAAACAGAAAAAAGTTTGGTTAAAAACAAAGAAACCTAAGATGTATTGTTTCAAGGAAATAAAGTAAATTGGAAAGCACCATATAAAGCATATGACCTCTGTATACAAATAGGAATATGTGTATATGTCCACATTGCCTTGCATATGTTTAAAAATGCTTATTGTCGAGTGCTTTTCCATCAGAAGACCCAGTTATCACATGTTGTGGTGGAAAGAACATTGAATTTAGGGCTTCTAGGCCTGGCTTCCAATCAAAGCTCCACCACTTACTTCCTGTCTCATTTTTGCCACTTCACTTGCCTGAGCTGTTGATTTGTGCAATCTTGCTTCCCAAGGTGTTGTGATAAGTTCATGGGTTTTTATTATGATTTGGATATGGTAAAGCCAACAGATCAAGAGACAACTACCACTGAAAAGGTGGTTTGCCATCTCGACAGAGCCCAAGAGAATTGGGCACACCAGGCCACAAGGGGCCAAATGAGGAGCCCCAGCACTGGTCAGCAGGCAGAGGGAGAGGAAGTAACTGTGGCAGTAGACATGACTATGGTTTCTGAAAGAAAGAACAGGTGTAGGAGGGTGAGAAGGTTTAGGACTGGCTAGTTTGAATAATTTCAGAGGGCTCTGGGTGCAATGCCTCTCCCTATTTGCCTGGTCATGGCCGCGGGGCGACTAGGGCAGATGGATAGTAGACTGCAGTGTGAGAGCCCAGTAAAGGAGGTGGCTGGGGATATGGACTCTGGCTTGGTTGGTTTGCATTTGACAGGCATGCTTGTGGGTGAATTCTTTATTATCTCAAAAAAATTGGCTGACCTTGGAAGGGACAGTCCCTCCAGGGTCTGCAAGGCCCCAGATGTCAAAGCATCAGGATACAGAAAATAAAAGATGTGGTTAATATACCATGAAACCACTATGAAAGCCCCTAGCATTACTGCTTACTGAGTATTTATTTACCTGCTTCCCTAGGAATTGTCTCTATGCCAAAGTAAAGAGGACTTAAAATTTGAACACACAATTAAGGGCCAACGATGAATCCATGAACACATATAGAAAGCTCCTAGCACTAAAGTAGTTATCTTGTCTATACACAAGTTACTGCACTGGAAATATCCCCAGAAAAAAAAAAATGTCTTTTGGGCACAACATAGAGCATTTTAAACCAATAACGTCTAATTCTTCATTCACTATTATAAGACATTTACTGAACACTTATGTGCTAGACCAAGTACTTAGCTTTGGGGATAAAGACATTCAGGATGTCTGCTGTGTCCTAAAGGGGCTCACAGTCCCATAGGCCTATATTCTAGCACTCTAACAGTGTATACTAGTGCTCACTGTTTTGTGGAAATACTCAGGAGAAAAATCTATGCTTTGATCCGGACTAGTGAGGCATTGCTATTGCCCATCTGAAGGATGGATCAGAGAATTTTCAAAGTGAAGGATCTATCTGGAGTTGTAGGAACTCAGAGTGCAAAAAGTCCCAGGGTAGAATAGTGGAAAAAGACAAAATAAAACCTAGAGCTAGATAAGGTTTCAAAGTCACTAGGTCCTACACTGGTATTATATCCATCTTTTGATGCTCAGGCAGTGCCCAGAATCATTCAGACTCAGGTGGCAGGCAGAAGCAAGGATGAGATCCAAGCATGTCTCCAACTGGACCTCAGTTTCTTACCCACTATAATGCACTGTTCTGACCTCCACCCCGTTCCCTCCTCTCCCAGTAGTCTAGGACAATGTATTAGATGACATTCAGAAAAGATCACCAGTAGAGGCAGGAAGAAGAATTGTACTCAACAAATGAGAAGCTCCACTGATTGATACACAGAGCAGGTTTGCCAATTGCATGGCCCAGGGTCACCCTCAAGGCCAGACTCCAGGGAGCTAAATATGAGAGGGTGTTTATGTCCTGCTGATCCTTCTCCTTCCTCTTCAGCCACTCTACTAGTAACTTGGCAGTCCTACCTGCCATCTGGGCAACCCAACCATCAATCCTATTAATAAGTTTCATATCTCTTTGAGTCTCCTCTTCTCTGGGTCAAATCATTCCAATTTATCAGCAATGCATCTTGTTGCACGGTTTCCATCAATGTCTGTCTTTTATGGTTGCTCTCTTCTGCACACTTTCATTTTGAGTACCCATTTCGAAGTGTCTTGCACAGATCCACACATACACGATACTCTGGAGGTAATCTATTTAGTATTGGTACTCTCCTCTATTTCCATAATCAAGTTATTTCAGGCTTCAAAGCAATTCTTCTTCATGATATCAGGCTTGTGCATTATAGACTGACTGTCCGTAGATTTTCCCTTCCATTCAATTTCATTTTGGAACCCACAAGGCTGCAATGTAAAGAAATCAGGTTAGACAGAAGGAAAAAATGTTTCAGAGAGGAAAGATTTTTCATACCTGGAATGGGTGTTTAGTTAGTGATGTTCTTTCTTCATCTGGTTGTTACAAAGAAAATGTATCTGTCTCCATGCCCTAGTGTTGGGGATGGCCATGGGGACATGTGGCTGGATCAGATGACTTGTGGACCTTTCCTCCACTCATAAGAAAGACTAAGATAGCATCAAACTATCATCATTTACAGCATGATATTCCAACAAAGTAAAAAAAGAGTAAAATTAATCACCTTGCAAGAAAAAAGAAAAAGCTCCCCAAATGAACAAAACATATCAAGAATCTGGAGAAGGAGGAACGTGTGCTCCCGGGTTGGACTGCCGTGACTGCAACACTCGCGTTTTCTTTACATTGTTCTTCCTTCTAGGAGACGTGGTGCACCGCCCACAAGACACCAGCTCATTTATCTTCTTGTGGTTGTATTTTATTATGGGAAGGACATTTCAAGGGATATTTACAAGTAAGAGAATACATAGCTTCAAATCACTCCTTCCTCCCCACCTGCTAAGCTAGGTTTTACAACATTATCCCTTTCAATCCGAGACTGATAACACGAAAATGAAACCATGGATATAAAATACCTTTCTTTGTGTTTTACCCCAATTTTCCCTCTGTAAAATTTTTCTGCTCTCTTTTCTTAGTGGACTCAATCCCATAATTGGTTGCCTTGGGCTATGTTTTACAGCACCTACCTTAGTCTAAAACAGATTCACAATATCCTCTGGCTGCAGAATACAGAGTGCGGTAGCTTCCCCTGTTAGACATGAGCCCCAGTGGGGTGGGAGTTTGGAATGGGGGATGGTATGGGGAAGCGTTCTGCTGCAATTCAGATAAGCTCATTCTGCTCATATCATGTGGCAGATGTGGCCAGGAAGTCCAAGTGATGTCTCCCACATAGCCCTGCTCCTTCCAGGAAGTGAGCTGCCCCAGGCCTGCTGATGAAGGTTCCCCACACCTGCTTGGAGCCATGCCTTAAGTTTTGCCACTAGAGATTTTTTTCCTTTTTAAGATTTAATAATGGAATGTTAAAAATATGTAAAAATGTAATGAAATAATACAATAGACACTAAAATCAAACATTTTATGATATTCACTTCAAACCTCCTCTCCAAAGAACTCTAAGAGTTCTGCAGAATCTCTGCCTTCCATGTCTTTCCCTCCGTCCCCAGACATACCACTACCGTGAAAGGTTTCTATCATTCCTAAGCATGTCTTTATGCATTTGCTGTATTTATGGTATCATGCTGTACATATCAGTTTGCAACTTGCTTTTCTAAACTCGGTGTGTTTTGGTAATTGAGATGTATCACTATTGATACAGGCTGATCTCATTCATTTATTTCATCTGCTCTATAGTATTTCATTTACTAAACCATATTCACCATTTGTTGTTGTTGATTAGATATAAAGACTATTGGTTTGTGTACTGCTCTCATATCCAATAACCTCGATGAATATTTATTATTTATAATTGTTGGTCTACAGATTATTTTTATCTCTATACTGGCAGTTATCTCATCTGTAATAATGAGAAACTTGTTCTTCCCTTCCAAACCTTCTTCCTTCCTTCCTTCCTTCTTTTCTCTTTCTTTCTTTCTTCCTTTCTTTCCTTCCTTTCTTTCTTCCTTTCTTTCTTTCTTTCTTTCTTCCTTTCTTTCTTTCTTTCTTTCTTCCTTTCCTTCTTTCCTTTCCTTGTGTAAACATCACTTTTAATAGAAGTGGCAATAGCAGGCATCCTTGTCTTGTTTCTAACTTTCAAGATAATGCTTATTAGATCAGACCTTTAAGTAAGATTTTGCTGTGAATTTTTGGTGGCCACTCTCTATCAAGTTAAAGAAATTCTGTTCTATTCTTAGTTTGCTAAGGTTTTTTTTAATCAAGAATGAGTGTTGAATTTTTAAAATACTGTTTCTATATCTCTGAGATGCTAATAGCTTATTACTCTAATGTTGTCAATTACATTGGTAATGCTTTCAATAAACTATTCTTAAATTCCTAGGATATGTAATCTCAGCATTTTGGGAGGCCGAGGCGGGCGGATCACGAGGTCAGGAGATCGAGACCACTGTGAATCCCCGTCTCTACTAAAAATACAAAAAATTAGCCGGGCGTGGTGGTGGGCGCCTGTAGTCCCAGCTACTCAGGAGGCTGAGGCAGGAGAATGGCATGAACCCGGGAGGCGGAGCTTGCAGTGAACCGAGATCGCATCACTGCACTCCAGCCTGGGCTGGAGACTCCGTCTCAAAAAAAAAAAAAAATCCTAGGATAAATTCAACTCAGTCACAATGTATTTTTTAATACATTGATGGATTTGGCTTGAGAATATTTTATTCAGGCCATTTGCATCTATTTATAAGTGAAATTAGTCTATAATTTGCCCATCTTATAACTTAGCTGATTTTGATATCAAGGGTGCACAGTTCTCCCTGTTTGTTCTCTGAGGAGATTTATATAGGATATGAATTATTTCTTCATTGCAGCTTTGGTAGAATTCAGTGTAAAACTATCTGAGTATGGTGTTTTGCTGTTACTTGTTTCATAGGTAACTGTTTAACTACTGACGCACTTTAATAGTTTTAGATCTACTAGGGTGATCCATTGTTTTATTTACTCAATCTTGATAAGTGATATTAATATTTGGCCTAGTTTTTCAAATGTATTGTCATACATTTAATTATAGTTATCTCATAGTGTTAAAATCTATACTGTACATGGAATTAATTCTCAGTTATCATTTCTATGATTTTGTATTTACGTGCTCTTTTATTTCATCAATATCGCTTAAGAATTGCCTATTTTGTTGCTTATTTCAAATAACCAACTTTTTTAGTCATTTCTTTCTATATTTTCTTGTTTTGTTCATTTTACTCTTATCTTTATTATTTTCTCTTTCTACTTCCATTAGATTACTCATTTTTCTTTTATAACTTCTTGAGTTGGACTCTTATTTCATTAATCTCGGCATTTTTACATATTTTATATATATATGACTGGTAAAATAAAAGGAAATTCTGAGGAGCACTTCTTTTAAATGTGTACTACTTATTACATAATAAAATATGTCTTGGATATAAATATAATAACTATCACATCAAACTTCATAGTTCATGGGTGGTATTCCTTATAAAATGACAAGTAGTCAATTAAAAGACAAAAGTCAATCAATTCGCACCTGCTACCTGAAAGAAAGTGGTGATTTAAAACATCTGGAACTTTTTTGAAAAAAGTCAATCAATTTAAAGGAACTAAAAATTATAGTAAATTTGGCTATTGTTCCGTGGTTTGATTGAAAAGACCGAACTCTCTAATTTTGGAGTGCCAGATGCCACACACTTACATTGGGCAAAGGTTGCTAACCATGTTGTTCAAATCTTCTCTATGTTATTATTTTTTGCCTTCTTGATCTATTAGTTTTTAGAAAGGTATGCTTAAATGTATTTGCCAACTCCTCCTTATAATGCTGGCAATAGTTGCATTATATAGTTTTAGTTTTAATTGTTAGGTATAGTTCAGCCCAGAATTATTATATATTATTCATGAATTACTCCTTTAGTAATTAAAGAATGACTTTATCTCCAAAACTGTCTTCCTCTCAGATCTTTTCTGGCTAGTATTCATATGGCCATCCAGGATTTCTCTTAGTTCGTGTTTGCTCGGGGTGCATTTTCCACCCCTTCATTTTCAGCCTTGCTCTGTTGTCGTTACTCTTCTTTCCATCACATTAGGCTGTTCTTTTTCTCGTTCATTCTCCTCCACCAAGGTCTTGGGTTCTGTAATGCTAGTGTGGCCACATCACACATATATCCAAATATCCAGATTGAAACTGGAAGCTTTAAGAGAATTTTCGATATTCATGAAAGCTGTTAGAGCCCCCAGTCTGCACCCGGAGATGGGGGATTTTACAGCGTGAGTGTTGCAGACACCCGCCAGCCTGCAAGTCCATGCACAGCTAGTGTTTGATGGCCAAGAGAGATCCTGGCTCTAAAGCTTAAGCACATGCAGTGCTTCTGCCTACTGATATTTATAGTTCCATGTAGGTGGGGAGGGTGCTCCTCGGAACAGAGAGAAAAGGTCTCAGCCCCAGGGAACCAGCGTAAGTGTGGTTGATCGAGCGCCTTCTTCCAGAAGATGCTTGAGAGATTTTCTCCCAGGTCTCAATTGGTGATCACAGTGCTGGAGATTGAGGCAGAGGATCTCTAGCAATGAGGGGCCCGACCCCAACCCCTGCTGAAGCTGATGATCTGCTTGTGCATTTGGTCTCTGCACGTTGCTCTTCATTCAATGAGCAGACAGAAATCTTTGCTTTGCTTTTTCTAAAACATCCAGACAACATTAAGGGTCCTGAGTCTACAGGCAAGGTCCTACCTTCCTGTCGTGGATCCACAAAAGGAAAACATAAGCCATATTCCATAGGACAGGAAATGTGTGTCTGGTGGAATGAAGATGGGGAGTGCCTTCGATGGTAGGAGGGAGCAGTGACTCAACTCTCCAGGAGGAGCCCTACCAGCGAGGGTTGGGGAATGCTGACTGGACGTTAGTTTCTAGCTGTGGGTCCTAGGGGGCAATGGTCCCCAGAAAGCATGCCTAGGAAGGTGGTGTGTGTGTAGAGAGGGGTGGGCACCATGGTTCGAGCCCTGGATCTACTTTTTTGTATTCGGTCCTCAATTTCTTCGTCTGTAAACAAGAGAAGTACACCAAATCAGAATTTTCCAAAATGCATTCATGTGGCATCACTTTGACATTTTTTTTTACATACCCACGTGCCAACCTTAATGTCACCATCATTTCTCTTCAGATTGACTTTGTTTTACTTACTACTTGCCTTGTCTTAATCAACACCATTTGTAGACTAATGGCTTTGATGCTGTAGTTGTATATTCTTTTTAAGCTACATTTAATTAAACACCCAAGTAATACAGCAGGTCCCCAAATAATGTCATTTCATTCTATGTTGCTTCCCTATAAAGTTGATGAGAAAAAAAAAATACTTCCCAGAAAGGAAGTCTGTGTGGAGTCTGAATGTTCTCCCCATGTCTGCATGGATTTGCTCTGGGCACTCCGGTTTCCTCCCACATCCCAAAGCTGTACCTGTTAGGTGAACTGGTGTGTCCACATGGTCCTAGCGTGACTGCATGTGTGAATGTGCCCTGCACTGGGCTGGTCCTGCCTGGCACCCTGAGCTCTTGAAAGCTCTGGCGACCTGTGATACATAGCTGGAATAACTGGGTAAGTAACTATCTTACTTGTTTTTATTAATCTTTGTTAATTATATGACTAGCTCACATTTATTTCAATGTTTAATATTAGAAGTGTTTGAGTCTTTACTTAGAAATTTGTTGATTCTTTTGAAACCAGAAATATACTGTAGGAGCTTCAGTCTTGTTTATATCAATTATCCTTAAAGGTGCAGTTTCCAGGAACCTACCGATGACAATGACGGTAAGTGAGGACTTACTGTATACATGTTTGAAGTTTATGTAGCTCCTGGAATCTCCTAGCATACCATCAGTGATACAATATATCACGTTTGGTAATTGCTGAATAGTCTCCAAAGTCCCTTCCAGTTCCAAAGAGTCTGTGTTTTCATGAAATAAGCTTTGAATGATATCCCCAAGGCCCCAAAGAAATCAGGAAGGAGGACTAGAGGAACATCGAGCGATGGACTGCAAGATCTATAATAGATGTCCTTTGCTTCTCTGGTCCATCCTTTTTGTTTGTTTCCTGGAAACTCTGTGCAGAGAAGGCTCCAGGTTGCTGAAAGCACAGTCTAAGAGATCCAAAGATCACACTTGCAGTTCCAAACCAGGTTTATAAATAGTCCATCCAAACTAAACATAAAACCATAACCAAAACAGGTGCGGAAATTTGGAGAGCTCAATTTGGTTAATATGTGGGTTTGGCGGCAACATTCATCACTACCAGATTACATACTACTGCGTGTTCTTCCCACTCCAAATGGTACTAATCCTGCACTCTATTTGATGTTGATATTCAGCAAATTAAGAGTTTATATTTTGCACTTCCTTCATGGAGCAGAAATGTCATCCTTACCTTCAGAGAAGTGCTCTATGGGCCTTTCACTTACAGAGTCAGGAACACATGTGGCTTAGAGCCTATGTACATTTCTCCAAGCAAACAAGGCTTTTTGGAGACAAAGATGAATTACTCAGAGGGAGGATCCAGAAAGTTATAATAATATATATAAATTAACCATACCACAGATCCTTTTTAGTTATTCGTTTGGTTTTTGGTCCTCCTGTAGAATTTTGCCTGGTATGAACTTGGACCTCCCATTAGGTAAGGGGCATCTGAGACATTATATCTGGCATGGGGGAAAAAAGCCACCTAGAATCAGGATGTCTGGGTTAGAACTAGAGTCTGGGCTTCGTCTGACTTTGGAAATATCACTTATCTTCATGGTCCTAAATATTTACAGTCCTGTAAACTAGAGCTAATAATCCATGCTTTAGTAAACTCCTAAGCATGTTGGGCTTTTGTTTTATTGTCTGCTCAGTGAATACTGTTTGAGCGCAGGCCTGTGATTCTGAGGTCTGAAAGAAAAGAGACCAAGATCCTGCAGAAACTAGAAGTCACAGGGTGACAATGACAAGGGTATTGGGAATGCAGGCCCAACTCCAGCATCATGGTGGCATCATCAGGCTCTGTGTGCAGGCTGCTTGCAAGGATGCATCTGATCACAGAGTCAGGATGCAGCCTAGGTCATGAGTCTCTTCTCAGAAGGGTGACTGCATAACTTATTGTCCAAACCGGTACACTTTCAATAGCAAAAGCAGGCACTGTAAATCATTATGCCTGAACAGTAAGCATAAACCAGGGCTGTCCTGGTGAACCGAGACAGTGATCGTCCCATCCATAAGTTGCAGATAGTCAAAGGGATTTTTCCTTCACATCTATGAGCTTCCCTACGTAGAGTTAGGTAGAAATGCTAGAAAATCCATGTTGGACAGGCCTGGAAGTCCTGTGGATATGAGGGGATTGGAACCTAGAGTCTACAGGGATCTTAGACCTATTATCTTACAAGTACAATCCAATGCAATGGTCCCGGGAAGCCAGCAAAACCTCTTAAAGTTCTTGAGCTCAGGTCCTAAAAGTCCCCCAATCTGATGCCTGAGTCATTCAGATGAATGAACTATAAATGAACCACAGTGGGGCTACCCTGCAAAGGCTTAATTCATATGAAGTCCCAGATTCACAACCTTTTCCCAATGACAAGGACAGAGCTGACACCAGTACCAGGTGTCTCCACAACGCAGAGTGGAGAGTCCTGCTTCCCCAGGAGAATGCATCATGGCCCTTTTAAAACAGCTATGACTTATCCACACAGTGCTTATTTCAGCCTGTGTCTGTGAGGGAAATCATAGAGGACCTTACAACCCATTCCCCTAATACGAATATGCATTGTGCTCCCAGAAAACTCAGGACATGTGGGCCAGAGACACTGCTGTGAGTTCACCAAACCCAGGGTCCTTTTCCTCCTGGGCACTTCATTTCTAACCTTTCTTGCAGTAGATGGGGCCATATAACTGATTCTGGTCAGTGGAATATAGTCATGAATAGTTTATGTCACTTCTAGAGCTAGTGCCTAAAAATCTTCTGAGAAATCCTACTCTCTTCCTCCCTCCCTCCCCTACCTCCCAGCCACAAGCAGTGGAGAACCATGGCGCTGGGGAATGGTAGGGCCTGGATCCCTGAATGACTACTAGAACATAGCCTCCCCCATGCCCTCCTTCTTTTACCAACTCACATGCAGTTGTGATGTGAGTGAGAAGTACAATTTATCAAGTGAAGCCATTGAGATTTTGGGATCATTTGGTGCAACTCTATCCTGACCAATACAAAATGAAAGCAGTTTTTCAAATTAGCCTGAACCAAAGCAATTAAAGAGGGCATCCTAATGCCAAACAGAAACAATTTGAGGATTGCTCACAATTCTGGACTCTCCAGATCACTGTGCCACTTAAAGGGCAGGAATGGCATAGGGCAAGAGAACGAGTGACCTACTTTCACACCCACGTCACCACAAAGGATGCAACGATTCAAACCCTCCCCAGTTTCCTCAGCTCTTTCAAGTGGAATGAGTTGATGTCTCCCAAACTGTATGGTCTAGACTGGGAAAGAGTCACCCTCATCAGTTACTCCTCCCAACCAGGCAGAGGCGCTGCTCCCAGCCGTCTCTCTCCACCAATCCCAAAAGCAATCCAGGAACTTATACACTGTTGATGGGAATGTAGATTAGTTCAAACCCTATGGAAAACAGTATGGAGACTTCTCAAAGAACCAAAAATAGAACCCCATTTGACACAGCAATCCCAAAGGAAAAGAAATCAAAAAGACACATTTTATCAGAAAGACATCTGCACTTGTATGTTTATCTCAGCACTATTCCCAATAGCAAAGTCATGGAATCCACCTAAATGTCCATCGATGGTGGATTAGATAAAGAAAACATGGTACATATACACTGTGGAATACTATGCAGCTGTAAAAAGAATACAATCAAGTCCTTTGCAACAACATAGATGTAGCTAGAGGCCATTATCCTAAGGGAAATAACTCAGAAACAGAAAATCAAATACTGCATGTTCTCACTTATAAGTGGAAGCTAAACAATTGGGTACATATGGAAATTAAGATGGAAATAAGAGACACTGGGGACTATCAAAATGGGAAGGTTGGGATGGGGGTGAAGGTTGAAAAATTACCTACTAGGTACAATGTTCACTATTTGGGTGAAGGGTATATGTACTAGAAGCCTAAACCTCATTGTTACGTGATATATCCATGTAACACACATGCACATGTACCCGCCAACCTAAAATAAAATTTTTTTAAGAAAAGCCCTTCACTGAATGGTCTGCTTAACACATTGTACTGTTTTCCAACTCTTTAATGAGAAAGTGCTCCCACTTGTCTGATCTAAATTTCTCTTCTGAAAGAAGTCCATTCACTCATAAAAGTCCTCGGAGAGAATGTGCTCAACCTCTCACCTCCAGACATTCGCAGTTACCATCCACCCTGCCTAGACCCCATGGCAGTATCCCCACGCTGCCCCTGTTCTGAGCCCCTGCCCTCCCTCCCCTACCAGCCACTCTGCACCTGGACAGGCAGTAGCACAAGCATGGAGGGAGCCAGGGAAGTAGCTCTGAGCTTTTAGTTACAGCCACTTCCTTGGACGTTGCTTCATGAGTCCAGATGGTGAGCCGGGTAAACAAGAAGTCCCTGTTCTCCATCAGCATGTCAGCGAGCGCCTCACTCTCAGGCATCTGCCGAGCTGGGGGCATGATCTCCGTTTACAGTTTGGCCCTCCTCAGCGTACCAGAAATGTGCCCTTGTGTAAACACTCAGATCCCTTCCTCCAGGGAGGACACATGGACAGGACAGTGAACACCTTGCTCCTAGTGGCCTGGAGAGAATGAAAATATCGCTGTCCTTCTTCCAGCCCTGTCTGCCCCTAGTCACTCCAGCCCACCAATAGCCAAAGAGCCCTCATATGCGGGGAGACACCCAACTGGCTCAGCTGCCAATTTGGCTGAATCTGTATTCCGCTGCTTATTTCATTCCCCTTGGTTCTGCCACTTACTAGCTGTGTGACCATAGGCAAGTCACTTAAACTTTCTGAGCATCAGTTTTCTCAAGTAAATAATAATACCACCTAGCTCACGAAAGTCTCCCTTTGCTGATAAGACTTGAAAAAACAAGTCTCATACAGTGCCTGTGGATGCCAGGGTCTCTCTACAAGCGTTCATTCCTTTCCTTTTACCTGTTCCACCTTTGTGCAATCCCCTACCTGATGCTGTCTCTTGTCCCAATAAAAAGTGTGTAGGCTGGGCACAGTGGCTCACACCTGTAATCCCAGCACTTTGGGGGGCCGATACTGGTGGATCTCTTGAGCTCAGGAGTTCGAGACCAGACTGGCCAACATGGTGAAACCCTGTCTCTACCGAAAATACAAAAATTAGCCAGTTGTGGTGGTACACAACTGACCTCAAGTGAGCCACCCACTTTGGCCTTCCAGAGTGCTGGGATTGCAGGCTACTTAGGAGGCTGAGGTGGGAGGATCACTGGAGCCTAAGAAACAAAGGCTGCACTGAACCGAGATGGTACCCCACTGCACTCCAGCCTGGGTGACAGAGTGAGACCCTGTCTCAAAAAAATAAATAAATTCATTTATTTTTTTAAGGGTGTAAGTGCCCAGTGACTGGAGCAAGTCTGCTTAGAGCAACGTTCTCTGTTCACTGGTGCTCAGTACTCCCCAGCCACCTGCTGGTCCTGAGCTTCTCACCTGTTGGTTCTTGAAACTCCAGTTACTGCTGACTTTGTAACTTTTTTCTTGCATGCGAAGACTCATCATCAACGGTCTGCTCCTGCCTCTGACCTCTGATCTCTGACACTCTCCCTCCACCAACTGGCCTTGCTCTCTCATCAGTACCTGACTGGTGGTCCTTCTCTTCTGTTGCTAATCATCTCCATGTCGGGGCTCCCAATTTATGTCAGTTGAATGATTGAATAAATGGCTGAGTGGATGAGCCAATGAATAGAAGCACCATGCAAACTGAAAAATGATTTGTAATCTTCTAGCAGACACTCTGGACTTGAATCTTCACACTTCATCCATCACTGTATGGGATTTATACTCACTATTAAAAATATTCCAAGACATTGTTTTTCTAGTTCGGGTAGGAGGTTGTGGCTGACACATATTTCTTAGGAGCCAGAGGAAAAATGTTGCTATCCCTTCTCTTCTGAAGGCGGACCAGGCAAAGATCAAATTTTGCCTTCCTAAACAGAGCCTGCATAAACACACGGCCTGGGAACCAAGATGCCGGCTCCTACCCCTCATTCAATTCCTGCGTCTCCAAGTCAGCTGTGGCCTGGGCAAGTTACCTTGCCTTTCTCATCAGCTGTCTGCAAGCTCCCTCCAGGTCTGCGTGAATACACGCCCGGCGATGCCACCAGACTGCACGCAGAGGCGCTGGAGCCAGCTCATGCTGATTTGCTGGAACTCATTGTTAAATGTTCAGGAGTTCTGCAACCCAGTGGACATCATATTGTAGCTTGAAATTAGCCTCAGTGGGAGTAATTTACCACAGGAATTTGCAAATGCTTCTAGTCAGGGCTTTTTTCCACCAGAGGGTCAGTTGCTAAGCATTCACCAACACACCACTGCTTGCACAGGTGTATTTCCTCATCTCCAAGTGCTCTAGGAAGCCAGAATGGCATGGAACCCATAAGCGAGCCTCAACTTCCTTCTCCATGGGAGGATGCTCCATTGCTTTCCACCTCACAGGCTGCACAGCCTCAGAAGTGCGTGGAAGAGAGGGCCTTCCTGCTGCTATGACATGAAGGAATACAGATAGAATCATAAAATCACACCTTCCAGATCTTAGTCACTAAATACAAGCTTGATCTGATCTCATCATTTCCCTGCTCCAAAACCTCTAATAGCTCCCTCACGCCTCCAGAATACAGTTAAACCCTAACCTCCTTCATTTCCTCAGCCAACCCACCTCTCTAGTTTCTTTTCCTTCCACTGTTTTGTGCACCATCTCCTCTTGTGGCTGTTTTCCATATATGCTATCCAGGCAACTCTAATTATTGCCTGCACTCTATTTGTGTCCCCTTTATTGGGTAAGAGCACGCTAACTTTTTCTTCGGGGAGAGTTGAGGGCATTACCTGGATTACAGATCTGGAATGCATGAGAGGTAACCAGGAACTAAAAACGTGCTAGAAGGTATTGCTTCATCCCTGGGGCTCTGGAAGCAGACTTCCTGCATGTGAGGCTCAGCTTCAGCACTTACCTGTTATGTGACCTCAGGCAAGCTACTTAACTTCTCTGAACCTCAGTTTTCTTATGTGCAAAATGCAAATACTAGAAGAACCTACCTCCTGGGGTTAATGTAAGGATTAAATGAGTTATTGCATGTCAAGGACTCAGCCCAATGCCCAGTAAAGAGTTAGCATATAAAAAACATTTGCTGATACTAGTTTCATCATCTTATCTTTATTATTATCAACCTCAGATCATCATCATCATTATTATTCACATAAATATCTTGGGCTGTAAGTAAGTATCTGCCCATGCATCTTTCTGAATTCTTCAGCCCTTAGTGGAAATTTCTTCAGACCAGAAAATCTCAGGAAATAATTCAGTGCCATCCACTCTCATCCTCCAACACTGGTAAAGACGGGTTTTGAAGGCTTCTAGTGCCCAGTTAACAGCTCTGACTTTGCAGGTCCCCCACACTATGATCAGATAAATAAACTAGTAGCCAAGTAAGACACTTGCATTTGAGACATAAAGAGACAAAAGGAATTTTCTACTGATGAGACTTAACCCAGGGCTTTTCCACCCTGCACAGGTTACTATTAGCTCAGCCCTAGTTCTTTTCTGAAACCACCTCCTCCTGGAAGATGCAAACCTTCAGACCTGGAAGCTCAGGTCTAAGCCATCCCATTCCAGGGCCAATCCACTCCAGAGATTGTCAAGGCGGCAGAATTGCCCTGGAGAGCTGGTGGATCATCATAGAGACTTAAAAGGGAGAGGATGACCCAGTGTAAGCAAATGTGATGTGAAAATTGGAAAATGCTATCCACATTCTAATGCAGTTCTATTGCAACCTTTAACACCCTTCATGGGTCCACATGATGTTTGAACTCCCTAGCTTGCCAGCTCCCTTCCCAATCTGACTCATCTCAAAACAGCAGCTTGAGATGTGAAACTGGGTTCAACATAAATTCAGACTCATCTGCACACATCTGAAGGCCCAATGGGGAGAATCTAACACAGCAGGTGATTCATATGAAGCATTGATACCCCCTGAGAATGAACTAATTCTGGAGACTGAACACACTCTCCGTCTAGGAGCAATGGTGCCGCATGAGTGGAAAACAGAGGGATATGGCATGTCACTCAGATTGCCAGCCCCATGGACCTGAGCCTGACTCCTGCTTGGTGCTGTGTAGGGAAAGGGAATGAACTGAGAGGCTGTAAAGAGTTCAGGTCTGCTTTCCCATTCAGAGTGACTTGTGAAATATATATATTTATATTCTGGTCAGCTTCTAGCTCTTCCTTGCAAATACATATATACATTGACTCCACTGGGTGGAGGTTATGGCCAGCCCTGGATGGCCTCTAGAAGCAGTGTCTGTCCCTGCTGATATGGTTTCTTCCCTGTGTGTAGTTTGGGTCCTGCCGAGAGTAGACATCTTACAAGGCACGTTTTTCAGCGCCTCCCAGAATCCTCCAGCTGGCAAAGAGCCCGGTCACTCTGGATTTTGGGTTTGTTAGCCCCAAGTTCGAGGACAATCCTATCCTGCTTGTCAAGAGGTCCTTGGCCTCCTTGGCCTGGGAGGGAATGTAATGCTTTCCCTCATTTCTGGGCTTTTTGTTTGATTGTTTTCTGTTCTTGTTTTGTTTTGTTTTGTTTTTGAGACAGGGTCTTGTTCTGTTGTCCAGGCTGGAGTGCAGTGGCATGATCATAGCTGACTGCAGCCTCAAACTCCTGGGCTCAAGCGATCCTCCTGCCTCAGCCTCCCAAATAGCTGGGACTGCATGTGCACACCACCATACCTGGCTAATTCCACATTTCTAAGCAGAGAGGTTTGTGGCCACTTGAGCTTATTGAAGGAATTCTAGCCTGGGAGCGGGGAACTTGGGTTTCACTTGCTGTCACCAGTTGGCTGTGTGACTCTGGAAAAGTTTCTTCACCTCTCTGGGCTTTAGTTCCCTCTTCCACAAAAATGTGGGGCTTAAATCTGATTATCTCTTTGGCCCCTTCCTGCTTTGATATGCTGAGGTTCTGAACTGCTGATTATTCCAGGGCCTGAACTGATCTGCTGCGGAAGGGGTGAGTGGTCACTTTTTTCCCTAAATTCTCTGCTGGGCTGGAGTGAGAGAAGGTCAGAGAGAAAGTTTCCCCAGGGATGCTTATGCCATGGCACATTTTGCTCTTTTTCTTAATTCATTCAGCAAATATATATTTGGTGCTTCATGTTTGTTGGCACTGAGGGATTTAGCCATAAACAAAATAGACAAAACCCCGTCTTTGTGGAGATCCTGTCGGGAGACAGATAATAAACCACAGGTGGGGAGATCTATGGTGAGATCTATGGCAGGTGGGAGAAATCGCAACTTAGGTGAGGAGGGTGTGGGGGGTGGGTGCTAGCGAGGGGAGTGACCATTTTAAAAAGAGTGGTCAGGAAGGGCCTCACTGATACAGTCACCATTGATAAAGTTAGGGGGTTCTGGAGAGTTCAGAATGAGGGCAGACCTGGCATCCCGGGATTGTTGCGAAGATTGATGTGAACAGGGAAAGAGGGTCCCGCAGCTTTGCCTGAGGCTCTCAGGAAGATGACGGTGGGAGGCTTTGATGTGGGGAGCATAAGTATCTTTCTAGGAGCACACTGCGCTCTCGCCCCTTCCTTGCCTGCTGACGGAGCCAGGGATGCCAGGCTGTCCGGGCCCATCCACTGTGCAGAAGGTGCCCGGGCTATGTCTCAGCTCCCACCCAAGGCACGCAGCCTTACCCAGGGGTCCTGGCACCCCAAAGGGGGCCACACAACAGCATTCCCAGCCTGCCCTTTTCTGAAGGGCAGTGCAGGTGTCGGCTAACGAGCTGGAATTAGACTTCTTCACTCACTGCCTCCTTCCTTCTCACTTCTTGGTACAACTGAAGATTGGCAGGAGGACTCAGAGAGCACCAGGAATCCCCAGTTATTTTCAGAGCAGTTCCAGGCCCTGACCCTGCGGCCTAAGTCCTGCAAGGAGACAGCAAGGAGAAGCATGAGAGGCTCACGCAATGGGGTGGCCGCAGGGCTCCTGCGAGGGCAGTCCCCTGTCTATTCACTGAGAGGAAAGCTCTTTAGCTCTGTTTGGAAGCATTTTCACCAACTCTGTCTGGAATCTTCCACCCAGGCCCTTCTCCCTGACTACTCCATCCTAGTCTTGTGAATCCAGACCCCAAATCCACAGACCTTGGAGTTATACACTAAGGGCTGGACTCAGGAGTGGAAGAAAGAGCAGGTCTAGGGGAGTCTCCGAGGACACCGCAGCCTGTTACTGTCTCTGCCCAAGTCACTCTGAATGGCTCTCCTCTGATTCCTCCTTTTCCTCCTTCTTCTTTCCCTCCTGGGGAGCCCAGGACAAGATCACCGCCTGGCTGTATCCTCCCTGTCGCAGCGGGAGCCTATCCACCCTGGTCTCCATCTTGTGACACACGAGGTCCCCTCTTCACCCAGGACTTCAGCTTTGCCCTCTTGGGGCTGGCTTCAGGCCCAAGGCATGATCCAAAACTTTCCACAGCTCAGTTTGCAGAGACAAGGGAGTGCCATGGAAAGAGGAGATGCAGAAGCCATCTGAACACAGACGTTTAGGAAAAAGGAAGGAAAGTACAGTCAATTAAACCCACTGCCATGTTGGAGGGCAATGTCATTGTGGCCGCTGGGATGGGAAGATAGTCAGGCAGCTCTGGCCCCGAAGCCTGGGGTGACTGGAGGGAGGAGCATGGTGAGTCCCTCGTATGCTCTCCAGCATGAGAAAGCAGCCCACTCTGCCCTGCCTGGGCACCACGCTTCTCCCAACCTTCCCCAGGTCTCTCCTGATACCCTCTCTTCCTCAGGAAGGTGCCAGCACCCCCACTGCTCTGGCCTGTCCCACCTAACTCTCTCTGAAGTCCCTGTGAGAAACACTGAATGATGTGGCCTCCGTAAGTCCTTTAAAAATAGACTGTGGATCCCCTGAAAAAAAAAAAAAAGTCCCTGTCTAAAAATAGCTCTCAGCATCTAGGGGAGAAAAAAAGAAACTGCAGCAAAATTCAACTGGAGCAGTGACTTTCCTGTCTCTGATGTTCCGGGTCAGCTCCAGCACTGGAGAAGGCTGCGAGGGAGACAGGGGAGGAGAGGGTCCTTCAAGGACAGAGGAAGGATCAGAATCTCAATCTGCAGCAAACACCTCTCTCCATTCCCTGACTTGTGGTCATTGGGCCCTGCCTGGTCCAAGCAGCCAGGCAGTGCTCAAGACAGCAGCACGGAGCAGCAGATCCCTGGGTTGGCAATAGGAGCCTTGAAGAGTGGCCGCAGGGATCCAGGGATGGAGAGGCCTCCCAGGCATGGGTGCACCGCCCTGCAGAGGCCCTAAGGATGTGTACTCAGTGGAAGCTGGAGTCAGGACCAGATCTGATGCTGAAAGTACCTGTGAGCCAAATAGCTCGGAATGACTAAGGGGTGAGGGAGATGCTCTCTCTTGAAGAGCCACTGCTTCTGCATTCAACAAAGGTGAAAAGGAACCCTTTTGGGAACTGTCACTCAGAAAAGTCAGAACTCCTATCCAGGACTTGAGTGCAGGAGAAGGGGAGCCCCATGGACTTCTTTGTGTAAGATCCTTTCTGTGGCTGGCAGTGAGAGAATAGCATAGAGACATGATTTTACCTGCTAAAAATGTTTTAAGGAATATGAAAAGGATGCATACATACACACACACACACACACACACACACACACACACACACACACACACGCTTTTCAATTATGAGAGACAGGGTCTGCTTATTTTGCTCATGCCAGAAAACTATCACAGTAAGCTGGAGAAAAGTCAGGCTGCAGCTTAAGAAGGAAGACTCCTGGTCCCTCTGTTTAGCTGTGATGGGGGCTCCCTCCGAACAGTGAGTTGCATGTGTTGGTCACAGGGACAAGTGAATGTTAGTAAGCTAATGAGATCATTTTTTGGAACTATACGCCAAGTCCTCAAACTAAATGTTTATAGCTAATGTTTTGTTATGATAATTTGCCATTGAGGTGTACACCCTCATGCCCACAAACACACACGTTATGGAAATTTGTTCCTCGAATTAATACCTATGCAGCCCACCATGGATTCTGCACGTCCCAACATCACCTGGGCTCATATCTTATCTCCGAAACCATTAGAAGGCCACTGTCATGCCGAGAAAGGGAACAGAGTGGTTTTTAGGGACTGAAATGCAAGTCCCTGCGGGATCACTTGTTAGAGATTAAGCTGTTTCCAAAGCTGTGGTCCTGGGAAAGAGGCTTAATGAGGGAGAAAGAGGCAGGGACGCCACGGACCGGTTAGGCGGCACGTTCCTGCTCAGCAGGCACTGTGGCTGTTATGCTGCCCTCTGTGGCGGTCAGAATATGCGTGTCCCCAGAAGACAGCAGCTGACAGGGCATGCGGCAGCACTCACAAGAGGTCATGACCCATACTTGTTTGCAAGTTCAAGGCAGGTAAAATAACCTCTCAGTCATTTTTGTCTTCTTAGCCCCAAAACCTGCTTTCCTGTCTTTTTCTCCCTTAGGAATTACTCTGCCTCCCCCACCCCAAGGGACCTCATCCTGACCTATGCCACAACATTCAGGGTTGACAGCCACCTGCAAGCTGGCCAGTCCAAACCCCAGGCATGCCTCCCCTTCTCTCCACGACGCTCCTGGGCAGGGAACATCTGGGTCCCGCCAGCCCAGCCCTCCCTTGCTGGCATTTTGCCCAGCTCCTTTCCCTCTCTCCTGAGCTTACTCTATCTGCAAAGCCAGGAGAGCGACCTGTGTTTCTTCTCATACTACAGGTCACCCGCGGCATAAACGGCTTAATGTGGATGTACTTTAAGGAAAGGGAGGAAAACCAAACAACTTAGAAAATCAACCATCCCCCCTCCCTGCCAAGCCTTGGTTCTCGACGGTGTCTGTGCACATCAAGATTGCAGCGATGTGCGGGGGCCTCGGGCACGCAGTGTTGCAGTATTTTCTGAAAGGCTTTGCTCGCTCTCTTCAGTACTTTTCCTCTTCTCACAGCCTGGAGCCTGCAGAGAAATAGCCCTGGTTCCCCCTAGTGGCAGAAGCTCATAGCGCCGACCTGGGACACTTCCCACGATCGTGGTAATTAGCCAGTAGTTTAGTTACAACCACACTCTCATTAACTAACAGCGGGAGAAGAGACTGTCCCTGTTTCCTTGGAGACCTAGCAGCGCGTGCTTCTATTGCATTGACTGTTCCTGTAAGCTCAAAAGCCCCCAGGTTGTTATCGCATAGTGTTTACTGCATTGGATGGAGACCAAGACCTGGTAACACTGTGTTCCCCGCCGGTGCTTCTCAAAGTGTGGTCCTTGACCTATGCATCAGCATCACCTGGGAGCTGGATAGAAATGCAAATTCTCAGGCCTCTTACGCCTACTGAGTCCATAACTCGGGGGTTCAGAGCCCAGGAATCTGCATTTTGACAAGTTCTCCAGCTGATTCTGATCCACAATGAAGAATGAGGACTGACCTAGACAAAGCATGCCCTGGTATTTTGTTCCTATTAATAACCAGAAACAGCTGGGCACAGTGGCTCACACCTGTTATCCCAGCACTTTGGGAGGCCGAGGCAGGCAGATCACCTGAGGTCAAGAGTTTGAGACCAGCCTGACCAACATGGAGAAACCCCATCTCTACTAAAAATATAAAATTAGCCGGGCGTGGTGGCACATGCCTGTAATCCCAGCTACTCAGGAGGCTGGAGATTCGCTTGAACCCGGGAGGCGGAGGTTGCAGTGAGCCAAGATCACGCCATTGCACTCCAGCCTGGGCGACAAGAGGGAAACTGAAAAAAAAAAAAAAAACAGAGACTTTTCCCATTAAAGAGCTAAACAAAAGGAAGTGGAAAGATACTTCTTCCTTGTTCCAAGCAATATGTACCCAATATGATTCCAATCAATAACATTTATGTATTGACTGGAATGAGAAATGCCTTCTCCCAGGTTTGTCTCTAAGGAGATTCCCCTACTCCCCCCATCGTCATCCACTTCGTCATCTAAACCCGCCTTGGAATGGAGTCACTGAAGCATCTCCAAGAGATGAAGCAGTACTTGGAAATTAAAAGCAGTGAGGACTCTGTCACCAGCAGGCGAGGTGGCCTCACAGAGCCCCCTGAGCTGGCACCGGCTGGCACAAGGTAAGCAGGACCAAAAAAGAAACCAGACACCAGGCAAGTGACTGTTGACACAGGAAATGTAAGCCTTAGCCCTGTGCTTGCACTTTTCCAGCCTAGTGCTGTGAAATGCATAAATTACTGTCAACATTGTTGAGCTCAGAAGGGCTCAGCATCACTTTGATGAGTTGACTGGTTCTAAGAGGCCAATCTCATTTTATTTTAACCAGTATTTTTTTTTTAAATGCTTGCTTATGTGGGAGATGGGGGCCGCTTTTAATATGCTTCAGACTGCGGAAAGTAGCAAGTTGGTGACAAATGACCCATAACACAGGAGGAAAAACTGAACGTACCACTGTCTATTGCAGGAGGAAACCTGGAGATCACCTAAATCAACTTCCCGCTTGCCAGAGGGGGAAACCAAGGCCCTGAGTGGAAGACTGACACCAGAGGAAAAAGGGTTGCATACAAGGTCACCTTCCATGTCTCCCCTCCTCACTCCGGGTCCAGTGATCAGGTAGGCGTTCAAAATAATTCAGCCTGATTCTTAGCCTGGTGAGATTCAAGAAAATCTGTAAGCAAGTGGTATTTAATTTGACTTGGAAAATCATTTTTCCAAAGGACACCTGATCCCTTTGCTGTGTTATATCCTGGTCCCTACAGATAATATCCCTCCACAGAGCACACTGAGCCAAAGTTCCCAGGGCGTCCAGCCTCTGCGTGGAGTTTCCAGGAACACTTCCTGCTGCTTCCTCTACGACCTCTTCCTGGAAGTTGCAGGCACCCATAAGCAAGGACTCTCTAAGATGTCCACTTGCTTTCACAGGCCAGGAGATCGGGAGCCTTTGAGGCCTCAGCTCCCCTACATCTACTTGGAATCCCCGAGCAGCCACCTTTACTTCTGCACCCAATACCTCCGGCGGAGTGGGGCAGAAGGGCAGGTGATTGCCCCTTAACTGGTCATCCAGCCACATCTGGACGGCTGGCCGCACCTCTGTCAAAGGGGAAGAGAATCCGGCAGCCCCTTAGGAAGGCAGTGCTGACTCCTAGCCCTGAGTAGGTTCACACCGCAGGCTGGGTTGGTCCTTCCCTGTGAGCTCTTCCAACAGGCATGGCTTACCCCAGGGCAGCACTGAGCGTCTAGGGAGAAATATTAAATACAAGTGGTGATGTCTCCCTCTAGTGGAGAGTAGTCAGAATGCGAATGTGGCTCTGAATCTTCAAGGAAGGCAGGAAGGGCTCTGCTGGAAGCTACAGGGCTGATGTGTGCGGCTCAAAGATTCTCATGCCTCATGACCTGAGGGCCATGTGTGTGGCCCTCAGGTCACACACACAGCTTCTAGAGGAAGCTGTGTGTGTGTTTGTTTGTTTGTTTCATCATGTCCAGCACGTGGAGGCCTTGGCCATAAAGACAATCACTCTTCATCCCATAAAGACAATCAATCACTCTTCATCTCTGACTGTAGCCTCACTGTCAGCCACAGGTGGGCTTGAAGCCAGAGCTCCTGGAGTGCTGCTCCCCTACCTTGGAAGCCTCTTTCAGCCCCGCCTCGCCGTGAACCAACCACCCTCCCTTCCCTGAAGCTTGCTTTCCTCCGTTTGCTAGGGGGTGTGGTATGCAGGTCCACCCACTGACCTCCCATCTCTAAAATGTTCTGACACACAAGGACTCCACAGAGATGACTGAATGAGTTCATGGTTCATTGTTCATCTAAGAGGCAGCCAGGAGAACTGTTCATGGCCTTCTACACTTGGAGGGAGCGCGGCAGCCACACGCACTTTCACGAACATCACCGCACTTTGCTGTCGCGATGACCATCAGATTCACCTTATCCTCACCTCTCCCACTTCGCCCCAGCCACCAGGTTGGCTTTGTGTTCTGAGATTGAGCTAAGAGAGATAGGTCCTTCTCTGCAGCCCACAAAGCCAAAGCAGGCCCAGGGTTCAATCAGGGCTGTTGGCTTGGCCTAGGAGCCCCATGAAACTGAAGCTGAGGAATTCCAGTCTTCCTTAGCAGAAAGGGAAAGTCTGTGTGACCCATCCCATAATAGTGATGATAATAATGATGATGGTTAACACTTAGGCATGCTTCCCGCCAGGCAGGCACAGGAAGCACTGTGCTTACAGCAACTCACTTAATCATCCCAGCAACCCTATGTCACAGGTCATCCCAAAAACCTGCCACTCTTGCCTGGACCCAGAATCACTGTAATAAGAGCCAGAGTCACCTGGTTATTATAACTTCCTGCCACAGAGCATGGATGCTTAACAGGTGTGGAATTTACATGCATCTCCCTAGCCAAGAGGAGAGGGCTTCCATTTTCCAGCATGGACTTAGAAATCGGTTCACCCTTGGTTATTCTCATGACAGTTACTAATCTCAGAATTACTAAGTGGGAAGAGACACTGGAGATGATCTGGTCCATTTCCCCATTTCCCAGGTGAGCTAACTAGGGAATGAAGATGTGGAGTGCTGATGTGAATCCCACAGTGAGGTAGTGGCAGGGCTGCGGCTGCCCCCCAGCTCTCTATGCTTCAGCCCAAAGCTTTTCCACTCTCCCATGCTGTGGCCGCCATGTACTCGAGTGAATTAACAGCCCTGAGGTCTGCCCTTCGACAGCCCAGGAAGCTCCATGGTCATCAGCCAGCCCAGCTGAGCTCTGGAAGCAGAATCTTTCAAATATCAGCCTACAGCACCCAAGAGTGTCCTGGCAAATTGTTTCTCTGTTACCTCACCCTGAAAATAAAGACAAGAGTCACCCCTGGAGAGACACATTCCAAAGACAAGCAGACGCAGAGGGCAGGGCCAGCTGGAGGGCAGCCTGGGCCATCAGCCCTCCTGCTCGCATCATGGTGGGGGGCCATCCCCCATTATCTGTCCACTCTGGAAGAGACCACCCTGGCCCCTCCTCAGGAGCTATGATGGAGGTGTTCTCAGCCTCCTACTGGTTTTTCTTCTTTTCTCCAGAATGGTTTCAGGTCCTTCTGCTGAGGCACTCCACATACCCAGCTTTCCCTTCCCCACCACCTCTATCCCAGAGTATTTGGTGTCCTGCTTCCCATTTTGGAGTAGCTTCCAGCAGATGTCACTTGCCAGCTGGAGTCAGTGCCAGTCATATCCCCAACTTTCCTAGGAGTGGCTAGGTGGAAGGAGCACCTTCCAGATAGTCTGTCTCTACGGCTCTGTCGCCATAGACTTGGTGGCATTTCCCTGGCCCGAGGGTACTTTAGGGTTCTCTAGCTACTTTCTTGTGGGTGCTCTGTCACATGGCCAGCCAAGAAGCAGACCTGGCCTGCTCTAGTGTGAGTGTGGAAAGTGGGAATGTGAAGAAGGTAGTGAATAAAATTGGGGGGTGGGTGTGTGAAGGGCAGGAAGGGTGAGAAACTCAGAATGAATCACAGACACTCAGATGCCTCCCACCCCAACACGGGGTCAGGAAGACAGGCAGGGAGTGCAATGACAGTGTCTCCTCCCACTGGCTTCCTCGAGAGAAAGGTGGAGGCTGGGACATGGGGTCAGGCCCCGCTAGACCTGCTCTGAAACATGGAGGAGGGTCGGCCGGCATCAGAGCCTGCTTCGCTGGCTAGGGTGGCCCCGCAGGCCAGCCTCTGGGAGCTTCTCAGAGGGGTGGTAACCAGCCCCAAGCAGCAGCCAGGAAGAGGGGTCCAGCCTCCAGGGCCCAGTTGCTGGCTCAACTGCCTTTCCCTTCTTCCACCCACCACTCAAGTTCACCACCTTGGAGTCCTCCTGGCCTCCGCTTTCTCTCACGCCCACTCCGCATCCAGTTCCTCCTGTTGGCACGCTCTGCAAAATGATCAGGATCTGTCCGCGTCTCCACCTCCACTGCGACAGCCTAGTCCAAACCATCCTCAGCTCCCTGCTGGATTATTCAAACAGCCTCCTAACTGGCAATTCTGTTACAATTTACGTCCGGTCATATCCCATCTCTGCTCAAAACCCTGGAGGAATGGCCTCTCCTCCAACTCAGAGTATAAGCAAAGACCTGCAAGGCCCCGGCTGATGGGCCCCACTCTCCACCACTCAACTGTCCCTGGCCCCACCTCCTGCTCTCCTGCTGGCTCACTGCCCCCCGCATGCCACAATGCTCTCCTTGCTGTTCCTGGAACATGCCAGCCACACACCCACCTCAGGGCCTTTGCACTTGCTCCTTCTCCGAGAACGTTTCTAATTTCTAACCCTCCCCTGCACTGCACATCTACCTGGCTCCCTTTGGCCTCATTCTGCTGTTAATGCAAACATTACCTTGTAAGTCATACTTTCCTTGTCTCCCTTGCTTTAAGCTGCTGTCCACCCCGCGACACACACACACACACACACACACACACGCACACGCATGCAATCACACACACACACACACGCGATCACTCACACACACACATACTCCTGCTGTATTCTCTAGCCCCCTTGCTTGATTTTCCTCTGTTGCCTATACTCTCCTAGCATACAACATATTTTAATTATTTATTGTATTGTGTGCCTTTCTCCCCAACCAGAACCCAGCCTTCATAGGGGCATGGGCTCTTGTTGCTTTATTCATTTCATTCACCTAGAAAAGTGCTCAGTACATAGTGGGCACTCAATGAACGCTTGCTGAGTGATGAACAAATCAATGCTAGACATGGTTTGGGAAACAGACCCTCACAGGAGATGTCAGAATTGTTGGGTTTATGTAGTCAGAAATTGGGTAGAGTTCATCTAGTAGAGTTACTGGGTTTATTTAGAGAAGCCTGGCAGAGAAAAGGGGTGTGTATATGTTTGTGTGTGTGCGTGTTTTTCAGGGATGTTTGACAGCCACCTTCACTTGTAGTAAATAATGTGTGGGCTCCTGATTATTTGTATGTGTTTTAACCGTATGTATTAACCAGATCCAGCACTTCCTTCATTTATTTCCTCACTCATTCATTCACCACACATTGTATGAGTGACAATTCTGTATCAGGTGCTCTGCTAGACACATGGCGAAGGCTACGGTCCCTGCTGTCCAGACTTCTGCAGCAACGTCATGAAGCCCCAGCACTCAGGACAATCTGGGAGGGTGTGGGCATTAAAGCAACCTGGAGCCTCAGCAACACCTCATTAGGAAACAAAATTCCACACAAGAAAATCATCCTAGTCCTTCATTTTGTCAGGAAGTGGAAAAGATACGTGAATGAGTGACTAGCAGTGGGAATGTCCCCCACCAGAGATCCTAGAAGAGTGCAAGGGCTTGTTTGATTGTTAAGAAGTAGCATTACCCCCTTCCACTGAGGACAGGCCAAGAGAGAACAGCTGTCAGTTGCAAGAACAATGCGGGTGACTAGAAAGAACATCCTTACTGTTACCTGGGAGACCCCGCACACAGCATCATCTGGCCTCTGGGAAGTCCATGTAAAAAAATAACTCTGCCCTTGATATTTGCCCACTCGTGTGTCTATCAGAGGCAGATAACTCTTAGATCATGGGTTACGCATCTTACTTTCTTGCAGAATGTCCCCTATCTGTGGGCCGGCTCATGGCAGAGGGTGATCAAGCCCTCTTCCTGGTGATCTATGTGTGGCCATCACATCCTCCTGTGTAGTGAGGATGCCCAGCAAGCTGCAGGTGCTCTGAATTTTGGATCCCTGCCTACTCTTGTGGAGACCGCTTGGCTTGTCTGCCTAACTTGGCCGTCGACGTTTTCTCATGGCATAATGCACAGCCTCTGAGACTTTGCCTTGTGTTTATTTGCCATTCTTCCACAGCCACCCTTGTCCTGGGGGGGTCTGCAACATACCCATGCACCTCCCGGAATCCCCTGACCACCCCATAGCTGGTCTCTTTGCTCACACCACCAGCTTTCACCCTGTTCCTACAGCTTCACCCCAACATTCTGGGCCCCATCTTTAGGGACAACGGGTCTGGTCTCAACTTTTTCTGGCTTGGTTGCTGCTTGTGGGAGGCCTCCAGAGCGGTGTCAGGCCAGATGCCTGCCAGCGGTGCCAGGCAGGGTTCTCGTCTTCTGAAGAAGTTGAGGGTCCAGCTGCTGTCAGAATTCTATGCATAGATGTCCTTGCTTGCACCACCTGCCAGCATTTTTCCTGCCAGGGAGGAACCAGAACAAAAGGACATGTAGTTAGTGATATGAGGTTGTGTCGCATGAGGGATGGAACTGAGAAACCTGGACACACCAGTGTCCTTCCTCACCCCGCTGGCATTTGCCTAGTGAGCTCCTACCGAGTCCCCATCCTTAGGTGCTCTGGTCTGTTCAAACTGTACCTCCCACTGCCACCCACTGAACTCCAGCAACTAATCAGTGACTATGAGCTTGTACAACCTGAAGCCATTTCTGCCCGTGTTGTCCTTAATACTGCTGTCATTAATACTCCACCTTTAATGGCCCCTGAGTCCCTCTAGAGTCAAGTCCAAGCCATGTGCCTGACTTCCAGGCCCCAGAAGGCACAGTCTCATCTGATCTATCCAGCTGCTCTCACTGCTCCCTGACACCTCCCACCATCCACATGGTCGAGGGGTCCCCCTCTCGGACCCTCAGCCTGCACCAGCGTCAGGCGCGTTCCTCTCTCCCTGAAAGAGTTCCTGCCACCACCTGGCTCCTCCTTACCCCGCCCCTACCATGCCGGAATGTTCTCGAGTCTCCTTCCCACAATGCTGAGTCCAGTCCCTCTAGGCCCGGCTGAACCCCCACCTCCAAGAGCCCCTTTGGCTGTCCCCTGCGTGACTGATCTCTCTGCTGCCTTTACCATCTGGCCCACACTCTATTGCAAAGCCTGTGAGATGTGCTGCCCGAAGTCCTGTGTTTAACATCCGCCTCTGCCGTGGCCTGGGCAAAGTTAAACTCCTCACTTGTCATACCTGACACAATGCGTGTGTCTCTGTGACTACCACAAAGCACTCCAAGGGCAAGCCAGCGTAGCCAAACAAACCAGCAATCATTGTCATTTCTGTTTCTGCACGTGAAACGGAAGCAACGACAACAAGGTGTTTGTGAAACTGCTTTGGAAAAGGTAAATAAGGTTTCCATAAACTCCAGTTGGTATCATGATTGTGCCCATGCAATAGATTTCTGCAGAAGGAAAAGACTTCATATTTGTAATTTAAATCATTTGGGAGCAAGCCCAAAGGTCCATAACATGGAGTAACTTGTAATCTTACTCAAGCACAAATTTAACTGTAAAGCCTGGTGCTCAGGACAGCAGTTTGCCTGGTGACAGTCACTGACTGTCTGGCGTCAGACTCACAAGGACATTGCCCAGAGGCTTCCTGCTGGCTTCGTCAGGGTGCAATAGCTCTTGCAAAGTGGTAAAAAAAAAAAAAAAAAAAAAAAAAAAGAGCAAAAATCTCTGTGTGAAATTCCAGTGGCCATCAGGTGAAAGGTAACACCTTAGCAAATGGTCAAAGTTTTCTTTGGTTGTTTCAAAGGGAAATGAACAGAAAGCTCATTGCTCTTCCCACACACATGTGATTCAGGAAAAGACTGTACAGGCACTTTTGCGTTCATAAATGTGGAGTTGTGTCAGGTGCCTGAACACAAGTTCCAAACGCTACGGGTCATTAGACTCAATTCTCCTGCTATGAATGTAAATTAAACATCATAAGCTTTCTCCCTGGACTGCTCTATGGCGCCACCTACAGCATGTTCTTAGGGAATGCACCGTAATTTTTTATTTTATTTTATTAATTTTTATTTTATTTTTATTTTTTGAGATGGGGTCTCGTTCTGTCGCCAGGCTGGGTGCAATGGCGATCTTGGCTCACTGCAACCTCCGACTCCCGGGGTTCAAATGATTCTCCTGCCTCAGCCTCCCGAGTAGCCGGGATTACAGGCGCCCGCTACCACACCCGGCTAATTTTTGTATTTTTAGCAGAGACGGGGTTTCACCGTGTTGGCCAGGATGGTCTCAATCTCGATCTCCTGACCTCGTGATCCGCCTGCCTCCGCCTCCCAAAGTGCTGGGATTACAGGCGTGAGCCACTGAATGCACCGTAATTTTTATATAAGCCCAAAGAAAACATTACTGGGGAAGTCCATCTGATCTAGAGTTTAAAATGGCTGATTAAAAAGTTGGGATCAACTCGACCAACATGGAGAAACCCCGTCTCTACTAAAAATACAAAATTAGCCGGGCGTGGTGGTGCATGCCTGTAATCCCAGCTACTCGGCAGGCCGAAGCAGGAGAATCGTTTGAACCTGGAAGTCGGAGGTTGCGGTGAGCCGAGATCGAGCCATTGCACTCCAGCCTGGGCAACAAGAGCAAAACTCCATCTCAAAAAACATTTTTTTAAAGTTGGATTTTTTTTTTTTTGCTCCCTCCTGAAACCCTACAAAAATAACAGTGTAGGAAAATTTTACGGAGGAGAGAGGAGGTAAATTACATAGACAAATAAATCAGAATAGTGGATGAAAATATTAAAAGCCAATTTGCAGATGATGGAAAGCCCCTGGAGAAATAGCATTTTACTTGGGAGGGGGCAAGATTTAAAGCCTGAGTCCCTGCTGATGTCAGTGAGATACAACCTGATTTACCCCCAGGAACCTATAAAGGCTCAGGAGTTGAGGGTGTCAGTTGACAGAAGCAGGGTTGAGGGGCAGAGCTAAAAACTGGTTGCAGGTGGACACACCTTTTCAGGTCTCCTTTGCAACCTCACAAAGCCAAGCACCTACTCATCCCACCACCTTGTCAAAAGATGTAAAATTTATTCTGGAGAAACTAGACCAGAAAGGCCTAGACTCAAGGAAAGCTGGCACCATATAAGGCTCTGGAGGAACTGTACTGAAAGCAAGGAGTTAAGTGTGAGGGGAAAGTCCACATGCTGAATGGTGAGACAGTTGGCCACTTCCCCTGCTCTGCTCCCAGGGTAATATCAAACAGGCAGTTGGAGAATATTTTCCTGGAAAAACCAAAGGATTCCAAGAAAAAAAGGCCTGTAGACACTGGAGGCCCCCAGTGAGACAGCCTGATCCCAGCTTCATCACTCTGCAGTAAGCTCACCACTCCACAAGCTCCAAAGACACAGAGATTCCAGTAAGCTTCTTAGTATTTCACTCATGAAAATGAACAGAGATCATCAAATTACAAACATCTCAGGAAAGCCTCTGAAAGGTCAAAACCAAAGACAGAAACTCAGAGAAAACAGAAAATTCCAGAAGCAAGAAAAAAACTTCAGACATATTAAAAAGCCTCAGATAAATAAGATGGACTATTTTATCCATGAAAGAAGAACAGGCTGCTATTAAAAAAAGGAACCACCCAAGAAGAAGGAAATAATTCTTTGGAAATTAAAAATATGACAGCCAAAATCAAAACTTCAACAGAAGAGCTAGAAACTAGGGTTGAGGAACTCTCCCAGAAAGTAAAATGGAAAAGAATAGAGAAAAAATAAGGAAATTTGAGAACCAGCCCAGGGGATCCAGAGTTATAGAAAAAGAGAACAGGCAAAAAGAATGAAAGAATATTATTAAAGAAATAGTTTTTTAAACGTTCAAGAATTGAAAACATGCATTTCCAGACCCAGAGTGCCCAATGAACACTCAAGAAAATGGATAAAGATAGACCTACATCAAGGTATAGCATCATGAAATTTAGAAATTAAGATATCAGATTTTACCAAAAGCATCATTAGAAACTAGAAGACAATGGGGGTGGTTTTCAAACTCAAATGCTATCCTCATCAAAGCAACTACTTGCAGCAGAGAGGCAGAGGGAAATCTTTGGACAATAATAAAGAGGTGTTCCGGCTGGGCGTGGTGGCTCACGTCTGTAATCCCAGCACTTTAAGAGGCCAAGGCAGGTGGATCACGAGGTTAGGAGATCGAGACCATCCTGGCTAACACGATGAAACCCCGTCTCTACTAAAAATTAAAAAAAAAAAAATTAGCTGGGCGTGGTGGCGGGCGCCTGTAGTCTAAGCTACTTGGGAGGCTGAGGGAGGAGAATGGCGTGAACCCAGGAGGCAGAGCTTGCAGTGAGCTGAGATAGCACCATGGCACTCCAGCCTGGGCAACAGAGCGAGACTCCGTCTCAAATTAAAAAAAAAAAAAAAAAAAAAAAAAAGAGGTGTTCCAGGACAGTGGTGAAGCAACAGGCCTAGACCATACTGGAGCAGTGGGACAGAGTGGCCCCAGAAGTCAAGATGAAGGTGAGAGAGAGCCTGGTGCATTTGCATGTAGGAGGAGATTGACATTTCTGGTGGGAAGTTTACTGAACTCCACTCTCCATTTGGGTATCAGTGATAGGTATATAGAAAACTCAACAAGGAAAAAGAAGATGTTCAGTAACTCCAGAAGAAAGCAAAAAGTAGTACAAGAAAGGAAACACAAATACAACACTGGACATTATGTCGCTCGAGGAGGAATACTATTGACACCATCATAATAAAGTAGGATGAACACTGAACTAATAAATATGTCATTTATATTACAGTTGGTTGAGATGGGTATGTGTCTATATTGTGGAGAGTAACGGTGGGCAGTGTAAGAAAGCTAAATCCTTATCTTCCATAGTTGGAAGTCAATTTTCCTAAGACTTAAAAAATAAAAATTAAAAAGCAATGTTAGTATGTTACAGGTCTAGCATCCCTAATCCCAAAATCCAAAATCCAAAATGCTCCAAAGTCTGAAACTTGTTGAGTGCCAACATGAAATAGTGACACCTTTGCTTTCTGGGGGTTCGATGTACACAAACTTTGTTTCATGCACAGAGTTATTTAAAAATTACCTTCAGGCTATGTGTACAAAGTGTATATGAAACATAAATGAATTTTGGTTTAGACTTGGGTACCAACCCCAAGATAACTCATTATGTATATGCAAATATTCCAAAAAAAAAAAAAAAACTCTAAAATTCGAAACATGTCTGGTCCAGGTATGTGAGATAAAGGATCCGCAACCTGTACTGAGAAATCCAGTGACAAATGTAGAAGAAACAGCTAAAGAGTTCCAAGAAATTGTTTCTGAAGGATGCAAGATAGGGATGAGGAAGGCTAGGGCAGGGGATTGTTACTGTTGTTATAAGCCTTATTGAAATGTTTTACCTTTTTACCCTTAGACTAATATTTTAATTTAAAAGAAAAGAAACGACACATGAAAATGGCCCCAAACTGAGTCTCTGGACTGAAGAGGCTGAGTTCTGAGGTTGCCAGATTTAGCAAAAACAAACAAAAAAGGACACCAGGTACATTTAAATTTTACATTTAAATCTTTTAGTACAAGTATGTCCCAAACATTGCACAAATTACTCCTAGTTTATCTAAAATTCACATGTAACAGGCATCCTCTGTTTTTTCTAGGAACCGTGTGCCTAATGTCCAACACCTCCACAACAATGCACGTAACGTGACTGCGGAGCATCCAGAAAGAGAAAAGCTTAACAACCTGCAGAGGGACAGAAGTTCACGTACAAAGCAATCAGAAAAGCGTTGACTTCTTGCAGCAAGGGTGGAAGTTAGGAAACAGCAAAGCAATGCTTTCAAAATTCTAAGAAACCATGATACCCATTCTGGAATTTAACATCCATCCAGTAATTAATAAAGTTTGAGAACTGCATAAAGGCATTTTTAGGCATGAAAGCTCAAAACTGTACTTTCCATTTACCCTTTCTTACCCTACTGAAGGGTTTGTCCCATCCAGAGAAGAAATAAACCAAGAAAGAAGCAACATATAGCCCAGGAAAACGAAGACCCAATGTAGAAGGGAAGGAAAAAGATTCCCAGGACACCAGCTGTACAGGGCAGAGAGAAAGCAGGCAAGACAGTGGGGGAGGGAAGCTTCCGCAATGGAAGGCTCCAGGAGGAAAGGAACTGAATGGTCCAGAGCCTGATGCATCTGATCCCATAGAAAACCATGTTTAGAGGGTTTTTTCCAACTCTGTTGGAAAATCTGGAAAGAATTATAAACAGGAACACTGAAAATTAAGCAGGTGAAGAAAATGAGGCAATTATTAACAAAATGTTTACAAGAGATTAAATGAACATTATAATATACTGCTTGACAATGCAGAAAATAGTCTTTGATAGTGATAATGACAGATACACTGAACACTGATTTAACCAAAAAATTATGGGGGAGGCAAAGAAAGTGGTAGACAACATACATGTACAAAGGCAAGAGGTAATGCCCATCATGCAGAGTCACAGTCCTTATGGTAGCCCAAAGGCCCTATGCAATCTGTGTCACCCTGGCTTACCCCACCCAAATTACTCTCCTCCTCATTCACTTTCCTCCAGCAGTAAAGGCCCCTTTGCTGTTCTGTTCCTCAGTTACCCCATGTCCTCCCACCTCAGGGCCTTTGCACATGCTGTTCCCGTTGCTTAGCATGTCCTTCCCCTAATATCCACAAGGTCCAGTCCTCCCATCCTTCAGGCTCTGTGCTCAGATGCCATCTTCTCAGTAAGGTCACCGCCTTCTCCCACTACGTCATTTAACACTGTACTTCTTCCCTGACATTCCCTACATCACCTCTGCTGTTGTTCACTTTTCTCCATATTATTTATAATCATCTCTATAAAGGGCACCACCTCATTATAATGAGATGGTTATAGTAATATTTTATTTAAACATTTGCTTATTCTCCCTACTGGAAGGAAAGCACCACGAGGACAGGGAATTCTGTTTGCTACATGTATCCATAATTTGTTTGCCGATGCATCCATGGTTAGAACAGAGTGACTGGCACATAGTAGGTGCTTTAGAAAATGAAAAAGTAAATCAAGAAATAGCAACGTCTGCATTTACTGGGAAAAAATAAAGGTCAATCCCAGAAAACGAACTTAAAATAATTGAAAGTGGTCCCCCTGTGGATTGGCTTCATGGTAAGGAAGAGAGAGACATGGGCAAGCTGGTTTTCCTTGGAAGCCTTATACTATTGATATGGTTTTGGATCTGTCTCCACCCAAACTTTATGTCAAATGTAATCTCCAATATTAGAGGTAGGTCCTGGTGGGAGGTGACTGGGTAATGGGGGTGGAGTTCTCATGAATGGTTTGGCACCATGTCCTTGGTGCTGTCCTTGAGATAGCGAGTGAGTTCTCATGATATCTGGTTGTTTTAAAGTATGTGGCACTGCCCACCTCGCTCTCTTGCTTCTGGTTTCGCCACGTGAACTGCCTGCTCCCACTTTGACTTCTACCGTGAGTAAAAGCTCCCTGAAGCCTCCCCAGAAGCAGATGCCTCCATGCTTCCTGTACAACCCACAGAACCGTGAGCCAATTAAACCTCTTTTCTTATAAATTATCCACTCTCAGGTATTTCCTTATAGCAACGTGAGAATGGCCTAACGTAACTATTGTTTCGCTTTTCAAACTGTGTGCATATATTACTTTAATAAAAAGTAAAGAATTTTTGGCCAGGCGCAGTGGCTCACGCCTGTAGTCCCAGCACTTTGGGAGGCCGAGGCAGGCAGATCACAAGGTCAGGAGATTGAGACCATCCTGGCTAACACGGTGAAACCCTGTCTCTACTAAAAATACAAAAAATTAGCCGGGCGTGGTGGCGGGTGCCTGTAGTCCCAGCTACACGGGAGGCTGAGGCAGGAGAATGGTGTGAACCCGGGAGGCGGAGCTTGCAGTGAGCCGAGATCGCGCCACTGCACTCCAGCCTGGGCGACAGAGTGAGACTCCGTCTCAAAAAAAAAAAAAGTAAAGAATTTTTAAAAACATGATCACTGTTTTGCCCTCCACCCAAATCATATTTCATTCCAATGACAAAATGAAGTGACTATTGAATTATCTACTATTTTGTATTATTAATGCCTAGAAGTCATCCTCTTCCTCCCTTTCTGTCTATCCCACCACCTCCAATTGATTCCCAAGTACCAAAGCTTTCACCTTCCCAAAGCTCTCAACCCCATTCACCTCTTTCCATCTCCATCACCATTGCCCTAGTCCCACCTTTCACCTGGCCACGGACACAAGTTTTATAATTGGTCCACCTGCATCCATCCAGTCCCTCCAATCCATTACACTGTGGCCAGACTGATACTTTCACTCACAAATCCGATCATATTACCCCATTTGATATAGTTAGGCTATGTCCCCACTCAAATCTCATGTTGAATTGTAATCCCCAATGTTGGGGGCGGAACCTGGTGGGAAGTGATTGGATCATGGGGGTGGATTTCCCCCTTGCTGTTCTCATGATAGTGAGTTCTCATGAGATCTGATTGTTTGAAAGTGTGTAGCACTTCCCCTTTTGCTCTCTCTCTGTCCTGCCGCCACGTGAAGACATGGTTGCTTCTCATTCACCCTTTCACCATGACTGTAAGTTTCCTGAAGCCTCTCCAGTCATGTTTCCTGTATAGCCTGTGGAACAGTGAGTCAATTAAACCTCTTTTCTTCATAAATTACCAAGTCTCAGATAGCTCTTTATAGCAGTGTGAGAACTACTAAACCATTTCACCACCCCACCACTTGAAACTCACCTAAGGCATTCATCCTGTGGCTCCAAGGCTGAAGATAAAACTCCTCACCTGTGGACCTAGCTCCAGGCTCACCGTGCTCATACTTACCATGTTTCTGTCATCATGGGGTCTTTGGATATATTGTCCCCTCTCCCTGGAATGTGGTTTCTACCTCCTTTGACTATTTAACTCCTGTTAGTTATTCAAATATCAGCTAAAATGTCATTGAGTTAAATGTCCCTAATTTGGACTTTCATAGCAGTTTTGTGGGTATCAGTTCCTAGTAACATATGCGCAGTGGCAATTTTACATTTGGGCTTAATGGATTAACATCTCCTTCCACTCCTCCTCCTCATCAGCAGACACACACACACACACACACACACACACACACACACACACACACACACACGTAAGCTCCATAAAAGGAAGAAATCTTTTGTTTCATTTATCTCTATATCCCCAGTGCCTAGAAGACAGGAGGACCTCAATACATATATGCTGAAAAATTGGTATGAAACACTATTCTTTACTATGGCAATAACCAGTATGTATTGCTTTGGTTTAAATAACATTTTATTCACCTGTCTCATCTCTACCATAAAATTCTACAACTTGGAGATCGCATGTTTTTTCTTTGAATGCCCTGCTTCCCTCTCTCCTCTCTATATTACCAGTCCCCATTTTTAGATATAAAATTTAAATTTCTGGAAATGGAAATTGACTGACAGAAAGTGTGCAAAAGATCATGTGTTGTATGAGTTTCTATGCCGGCAAGCTAACATGGTACAAAACCCTCCTTCACAGTTTGCCTTTTAGACATAATCATCGATGGTATATTTCCAACACTTCACACATGATCTTTAAATACGTTACCTTCCTCTGCACTTCAATACATATTCAATTGACTGAATTCCACTGAACATCTGATAGAGCACTTTAGGTAAATCTAATGATTTTCATCTTGCCTCAAGTCTATTAAGTTTTAACAACTATGCTTTGTGCTGTAGATGTCTCTATTTTCTTCTCACTTTTATAAAATAAGGACAAAAAAACTGCCAAAAATAAGATTAAATCAATCTTATTAAATCTTTATTATTTATTTTATAATCTTAATAAATTGCCAAATTATTATACATACAGCATTATTACACAGAAAAGATGGTGATACTGGCTGGCTGATGGGGCCACCATGAGAATGCTCATCTGTCAGCTAACGCACACGATTCTAAATTCAGCATAAGATGAGGGCATTAGGGGATTCTAAATTTGAACATCCAATGTTGAGCACCACTTGTTTATACTCCTTGTGCAATTAGGTACTGACTGATAATCCAGTATTAATGTCACCCTTTGCTGAGTAAAATGAGTTTAAATTCATCCTTTCTTTTTCTTCCTGCTTATCAGGACTATATGATCAACCAAATATTCTTTAAAGTTCCTTCTAAGGAGTAAGACTATCAGGTTGTCTTCCTTAAATAAGCTCCCCTCAGACACAAGCTGCAATCAACACGGGGAGTCCTAAATTTTTGTGTTCACAATATAATACAATTGAGAATCTTCCTTGTGTGCACTTTAAAAACACCCTATCCTCTGCCTCCAATCAGTCTCTGGCAATAGCTTGCTATTGGGGGACACATCCCTAAATGGGCTCCACTCCCCAGAGCTTGGGCTATGCCACATCAGCAGGGAATTCTGGGACCAGAATCTGAACCATCCTTCTTGCTGACCCAGTGTGTACCACTGACCATCTCAGTCTCATTGGAGTTAGGCTCAACAGATGTTTCCCAAGCATTCTGCCATGTCTGTGATTGATGTGGAACGTGTCATTCCTTAAAACCTTGAGCTTGGTAAAATTTTCTACTTCCCGCAGATTTGTCAACAGAGCCCTGTGCATTCATTCCCAGGAGGTAAAGAAGTGGCATGCAACAAGTTAGGGCTACAGTTTATGCTTTTTAGTAATAGCCATTCTGGCTGGTGTGAGATGGTATCTCATTGTGGGTTTGATTTGCATTTCTCTAATGATGAGTGATATTGAGCTTTTTTCATGTGCTTATTGACCACGTGCATGCCTTCTTTGGAAAAGTGTCTGTTCAGGTCTTTTGCCCACTTTTTGTTGGGGTTGTTACTTACAGGAAAATAGTCCAGACACTCTCAAGCGTCACTTTATCTTTAAGAGGAGATAGATAGATAGATAGATAGATAGATAGATAGATAGATAGATAGATAATAATCATCATCAATGAAATGCAAACAAAATACCATTTTATGCCCAAATCAACTGCTTCTTTCTCCAACTGGAATACTCAGGAGTGACATAAACCCTTTCATATAGAGTTTATCATTTCTTTTCTCTGTTTGCCTCTTACCATAGCCATCCATTATAACTTTTCATGATGGAAGTTTTTTCTCTTCCAAAAGAAAAAGTACACAGTCATTAAAAATAATTCACTGACTTCAGAAAACTATAAAAAAGAAACAAAAAATTGTGAATGTCCCTTCTACCCAGAAAAAAAAGCACTTTGCCTTTGGAGTCACACAAACTTGGTCTTAAGCCAATTGCTTGGTGGCCTCCTCTGATAAATGGGAATTATAATTGAAGCTACTCCATAATGGGAGGATTTAAGACAATGTTAATATAAGGCACAGTGTTCTGTAACTGCTAGCTATGACTATTATTATTAACATACTTCCAGTCTTTTTTCTATGCATGTATACATACATGTCAATGGGCACTTTTTATGTTTCCACAAGGTGGCTTTTGTTTCCTGAATAGTTATTTAGAAAATACATTGCTTTGATAAATAAATATGGTTGACTTTGAACAACTTGGGATTAGGGGTGCCGACCCCTGAGCGGTTGAAAATTTGCATAAAACTTTTGACTCCCCCAAAACTTAACTACTAATAACCTACTGTCGACTAGAAGCCTTGCTGATGACATAAAAAGTCATTTAACACATATTTTGTATGTTATATGTATTATGTAGTATATTCTTACAATAAAGTAAGCTAGAGAAAAGAAAATGTTAGGAAAATAATAAGGAAGAGAAAATATAGTTACTGGTTATTAAGTGGAAGTGTATCATCGTAAAGGTCTTCATCCTCATTGTCTTCACACCGAGTAGGCTGAGGAGAGGAGGAAGAGGAAGGGTTGGTCTTGCTGTTCCCGGGGTGGCAGAAGCAGAAGAAAATCCATGCATAAGTGACTCATGCAGTTTAAACCCATGTTGTTTACAGGTCAACTACATTCAATTTATTAAGATTATAAATCTTTAAACCAAGTCTTCCTTAAGCTTTTGAGTTCAATGCACAAACTTTATTATTCTATGCATAAGCAGAGTTTGCCTGCTTTTTTGTGCATATTATGCCTGAACTCCTGAGAGCCTATGAAAGCAGTCAGAGCAGGAGAATATCTTTAAGGATATGTATTATGGACCAATGTTTGTGTTTCCTCAAAACTCACATGCTGAAGCCCTACACCTCAGGATGCCTGTATTTGAAGATGGACCTCTAAGGAAGTAGTTAAGGTTACATGAGGTCATAAGGGTGGGGCCCTAGTCCCATGGGATTGGTGACCTCATAAAAAGGGGAGAGACACTGGAGCTCTTTCTCACTCTGTGCACAGAGGAAAGGCCATGTGCATCCTCAGTGAGAAGGAAGCCATCTGCAAGCCAGGAAGAGAGCCCTCACCAGAAACCAATTTGCTGACACCTTGATGACGGATTTCTAGCCACCACAGCAGTTAAAAAATAAGTCTCTGTTATTGAAGCCTCCAAGTGTATGGTATTTAGTTATGGCAGATAGGTTATGTGTTCTGTTCAAAATCAGGCAGCAGGTAAACAGCAAATAGACATAACAGAGTTTCTCATTTTTCAGAGGCGACTGAGTAAACTGGACCATCATATCCCATTTCATGTAGGCTACACTTGAAAAGCAATAAGAGGTCAAGAAAAGCAGCTGTCTTCAGTCACTGCTCTGCAAACAGTATCACGCTGTAAACTCCTTGGTAGCCCCCAGTGTGTGTAAGGTGCCATGCTACCACCTCCCAGTATCAAAGGCAGGGAGCAGGGCTCCTAGACAAGCCAGGAGCCACGAGGCTGCAGGCAAAGCTTTAGGTTTGTTTCTGAATAAACCTATTCGTCAAACATCTCCACTCAACTTGATTCCCAGGCAGCTCTGAAATTTTTATGGAGGACATCCCAAGAACAAAAGAGACAGTGTTCCTTACCATCCCCTCCAAACGTCTGAGGAAGGGGTTCTTAAGCTCTGGGAGAGGGTCAAGGGGGTGCCACTCTGGCCATGGCCACAGGAGGTGGAACTTATGAGACCCTGCAGCCGAAGGCAGTCAGATGATGATAACCACCCCATCCCTCCCCACCTTATGCCCTCTTAGTGGGTGTGCTTATTTTCTACTCTCTCAGAGTGGAACACTTGGAGAGCGGTCTCTGCAGTCTAGCGCAGCAGCACCCAAATACAAAGGCTCTCTTCAAACCACCTCTGAGCTGCAGAGCCCACACTCAGGCAGTCTATCCATGCACTCCCAGCAGATGCTCAGTAAGTGACTGTAGCCTCTTCTGCTTGGGTTACCATAAAAGCCTCCCACAGGTAGAGCAACGAGGAGTGTGTGGAGAGCAGTCTGTACCCACACAGGCAATAAAGGGTTGCATTGTCCACAGAGGACATTAAAACAATAATACTGGCCAAAAATTGATTGCTTTTTATTTCCATATGCGTCTGTGAGTAGACAAAAAACACAAACTTCTTCCTCTGCTCTCACACCACAACAATCAGCACAGATTTCTGTGATAAAATCTTTGGGGATTCCTCCCCACCAACATGCAAGCAATTGCAGCAGATACCAGCCAGTGTCCTCCAATTCCATTCTGATGCTGTCTACCTGGAGACAGCATCAGATCCCACAGGTTGAGGGCTCAGCCCCACAAGACTGCCCCCAACTTCCAGTGCCAGTCACAAGCCCCAGGTTGTTTTGCCTGTGCTTCTGAGGGACTGGTTTTATACACTGGAGTTGCCATGACCCCCTCCGTGGGTTTGCTTAATTTGCTAGAGTGGCTCACAGAACTCAGGAAACTTACTTACATTTATGGGTTTATTACAAAGGATAGTGATGAAGAGATGTACAGGGCAAGGTATGGAGAAGAGACACGGAGCTTCTATGCCCTATTGGGGTGTGCCACCTTCTAGGAACCTCAATGTGTTCAGCTATCCAGAAGCTCTTTGAAACCAGTCCTTTTTGGAGTTTTTATGGAGGCTTCATTACATAGGCATGATTGATTTAACCACTGGCCATTGATGATTGCCTTGACCTTCAGCCCCTCACCCCTTGTGGGGGGCAGGATTGAAAGTTCCAGCCCTATAATCCTGCCTTGGTCTTTTCAGTGACCAGCCACTGTCCTGAAGCTATCCAGGGGCTGCCAGCCATCATTAAACTCATTGACATACAAAAAGAAATCACTCTGGAGATCCCTATGCCAGGAAACAGGATGAAGACCAAATATATATTCCGCAATATCACTAGCAATTATAAGCAATGTCAATGATAAAATATTTCTCCTAGGCGAGCCACCCGGGCATGTCTCCCTGCAACTGGCTATATCAGACACTGCTCCCACTGGGTGCCCTCAATGCTAGTCTGTCGCACTCCCATCTTGCTTCAGCCGGAGGCATCATTCCTAAATGTGACCTGAGCATGTCACTTTGATCTAAAACTCCTGCTTGCTCCCATGGCCTTCAGAATGAATCCCACTTCTAAGCAGCTTCATGACTCTTCGCAATCTTGAGTCCAACTTATTTTTCTAGCCTTTCCTGCACCCTTTCTCTCACTCCATATATCCCAAGCTCCTAGCTCCTTGAACACAGCATCCTATTCTTGACCCCCATACCTTTGTTCAAGCCATTTCTTTTATTAAGAATTTTATTTTCAACAATGAAAATTCCAAGTCATCTTCCAAGGCCCTGCTGAAGTGTTAATTCCCCTGGGAAACCCTCCCTGACCCCCTCCAGTGCCAAAGAAGAATTTGTTGTTCTTCCTCACTTACCCAGACCACCTGTTACCTGCCTTCACAGTATCACTTACTGCAGAGTCCACCTGATCTATTCACTGCAGGAAGAGTCCAATCAACAAGAGTGAGGTCTGGTATAAAGACAGTGACTTTTGGCCAGGCGTGGTGGCTTGCGCCTGCAATCCTAGCACTTTGGGAGGCCAAGGCAGGTGGATCACCCGAGGTCAGAGTTCAAGACCAACCTGGCCAACATGGTGAAAGCCCGTCTCTACTAAAAATACAAAAAAAAAAAAAAAATAGCCAGGCATGATGGCAGGCACCTGTAATCCCAGCTACTCAGGAGGCTTAGGCAGGAGAATCACTTGAACCCAGGAGGTGGAGGTTGCAGTGAGCCAAGGTTGTGCCATTGCATTCCAGCCTGGGCAACAAGAGCGAAACTCCGTCAAAAAAAAAAAAAAAAAAAAAAAACAGCGACTTTTTATTCCATAGCTACCTTAGGGGAAGAAGTACAGGCTTCCTGCCTTAAGGGCACCACTTTGCTTTTGGAACAGAAAGAAGGTTCTTTTTGAAGGGGGCCTAGCATGAATGACATGCAGGAGAGGAAACCAGCAGGTCGGGGTACACATATTGGCTTCGGTGCCTTATCTATCAGACAGCTGAGTTGATGTCTTTGTGGGCAGGACTAGGTTGTTCAAGGTAGCCAAGACTCTCCAGGTGGGAGAGAGTTTCCTAACAAGCAACTTTGGGTTGGAGGTTGACTGTTGTCCCATGAGGAAGTCTCCTGGTGGGAGAGTTCCACTCTGGAACTTCTAAGCGCATAGTTAGATGAAATAGCCCTATAGGGAGTGTCTGCTGAAGGGAAGGTAAAGGTTAGAATTACATTTATAAAGGGCTAAGTAGGAAGTGGGAACAGGGAGAAATGGAGGAAAAAAAAGGAAAGAAAAAAATAATTTAAAAAAAATCATTCTTGGCCAGGTGTGGTGGCTCAAGCCCGTAATCCCAGCACTTTGGGAGGCTGAGGCGGGCGGATCACAAGGTCAGGAGATCGAGACCATCCTGGCTAACACGGTGAAACCCCGTCTCTACTAAAAATACAAAAAATTAGCCAGGCGCAGTGGCGGGTGCCTGTAGTCCCAGCTACTCGGGAGGCTGAGGCAGGAGAATGGTGTGAACCCGGGAGGCAGAGCTTGCAGTGAGCAGAGATCGCGCCACTGCACTCCAGCCTGGGCGACAGAGCAAGACTCTGTCTCAAAAAAAAAAAAAAAAAATCATTCTCTGTTTCTTAGAAAAATGGGAGTACTCAGTTTGCATTTATTAGCTTCCCTCCTATATAGACTCCAAGAATGCTAAATTCCCAGTCCCAACAGTTGAACCCAATACATTGGTTAGGCTACATTTTACTAGTTAACAGAGTTGTTGTGCCTTAGGTCAGTCCTCAAAACCAGCTTGCTTTTCAGTCCCTGGTCCCTTGGGTCAGACCGGGCACCTTTCCTTTCTGTCCGTATGATTCTCACTCCATGAAATCAGCTGGGTAAGAGGGCTTAGAACCACTTTTGGGTCTTGTTCTCTCACCCTCCTGAAAGTCAGCTGTAAAAGAGCTTGTCACAGATTTTGGCTCCAAGGTCGATGAGAGTAGGAGACCCCACTTTGGCCTGTAGTCCCAGTTGCGGGTTTCAACTCAGTCTTTTACTGGAGAGCCCTGAATTGCAGGTAGCTGGGTCCTGCTTTAGATACTAATAAAGTGGTACCTTGCTGCCTGCATTGGTCTTTACTGTCAGAACCCACTGGTGATAAGGCATGAACAGCAGGGCAGGATCTGAGCCCTCACATAAGCCCTGAAAGTCTGCCCTAAATCCCCAAGCCCCCGCTTCTACCATTTACCACCATTGTACTTCAGTCAGCTGTTTACTCGTATCTGCCATCTAGACATGACCTTCTTAGAAGATTAAAGTTTTGCTCACCTTTAATTCTCTAGTGCCTCACACATTATAGGCTTAATATCAATGTCTATTTAAAAAAATAAGTGGGTACAAGACACGACGTAAGTTTCTTCTTCTGCACCCTACCGGTTCCCAACCCAGCTGTCACCCCTCACTACTGCCTTTGTGCTCTCAGAACCCCAATTTTGTTCAGGTTTCTGGAAGCCAACACTTCAAAGAAGACAGGCTGGCTGGGCATGGTGGCTCACACCTGTAATCCCAGCACTTTGGGAGGCCAAAGTGGGAGGACTGCTTGAGCCCAGGAGTTTCAGACCAACCTGGGAAACATAGCAAGACCCTGTCTCTACAAAAAATAAAAATAAAAATTTATAGCCAGACATGGTGGGTGTGCCTGTAGTCCCAGCTATTCAGGAGGCCGAGGTGAGAGGAGCCCTTGGGCCTGAGACATCAAGGCTACAGAGAGTCATGATCACGCCACTGCACTCCAGCCTGGGTGACAGAGGAAGACCCTGTCTAAAAAAAAAAAAAAAATTTAATTTAAAAAAGAAGGAGACGAAGAAGGAGAAGGAGAAGAAGAAGAAGACAAGTCCCTCCCAGCCTAGGGATGACTCTAAGTTAATCATGGTAATCCTAGCCGTTGGTCTATTCTGGTTAGGACAGCCCCGCCCTAACCACAGCCTAAGGAAAGGCTCATAGGAGACAGCTGGGGAAGTTTTCCTCATCCTTAGGCTCAACCCTTCCTGCCTTCACACACTGTTGTGTGAGGACATGATGCTTGGAACTGCTGCTGCCATCTGTGAGCATGAGGCAAAAAGCCAAGCAAGTCCTAAGAACAGACTTCTTCAAGCCCTAACATCATTGGCTATGGCAGACCCACTACAAAAAATGCTTCCAATGCTCCACCTGCCCTTGGCAATGTGACCTTGAAGCTCCTCCCACGAAGAGGCAGAGTCTATTTCCTCATTACTGAGTCTTAGTCAACAGCACTGCAGCAGAAGTGACTGCACCAACTCCAAATCTCGTCTCAAGAGGGATACTCCAGGCTGCCCTGCTAGAGACATGGGAGCAACATGGGCAGGATACTGAGGCTCCCTGGCCAACAGCCACACAACCCCCAGCAGCACCACCTGATCAACCTAGAGATGACCACAGATGCATGAGGGATCACAGATGCATGAGGAAGCACAGGTGAGACCAGAAGAGCTGCCCAGCTGAGCCCAGCCAAAATTGCTGACCTGCTTGAATTGGGAGCTATAAAGTAATGGTGGTGTTTCAAACTTTTCGGTTTTTAATTGGTTAGCTATGTCACAATAGCTAACTGATGCATTACGAATCCTGAAGCTGTCCTTCCTCAAGACTCCATTTCATATGAGATAAAAAATATTCTCTTTTTTTAATGCCACTGTTACATGCAGCCTATAGTTCCCTGATATTGTGCTCTGAGGAATAAAAACGATGAGACAGGGCCCTGCCTTCAAGAAAATGGCAGCCCAACTACACTTAAGACGTATTTTCAACTAGGTTGTTGACCCCCCTGAGGTGAGGGTTTGGTGGCACATGTATCTCTAGAAAGGACTCTTACAGTCTAAAAATGTACAGCAACACAAGGTAACCTCTGCTGAGTGCAAAAGGAGTGGTCCAGTCCACATAAAGACTTCATGAAGAGCTGGATATGAGCTAGGTGGTCTTTGAAGGAGATTTAGGATTTCGAGTCATGAGGAGAGAGGGAGGGTTGAGAGAGGCAGGACCCTCTCTGGGTCTAGAAAGATGGATATTCCATAGGGATTTGTTCTGGAGACAGGTGAGTGACTAGGAATTGAATTCTGATGTGGTGATTTAGGGCATGAAGCACATAACAAGGACAAAACAGTGTCTCAATGCAGGCCTGCAAATGTTCATTCTATGAGGTGAAGAATGAACAGAGGGGCCAGAGGTACAAGCCAATGTCCTCTGCAGCCACCCTCAAAAGAGTATCAAAAAGCGTATTGTCTCAGGAGTATCAGGCCACCGCCCCATAACCTCAGATGTGACCAGGCCTGAAGGATCTCCTTCTACCTGTGCGTCCCTGCACCTCTCACTTTATCTTACCCAGTGGGCGCACTGCCGCTGGGGTGGGGTCACAGAGGAGGCCTTGAATCAATGCTGGGTTGTAGGTTGAACAAACTTCACAAGACTAGAAAATAAGTAATAGAGAGGTACTTGTTTTTTTCACATTGCCAGAGTCTCACATTTCCCTCTCTGTCTGAGTTTTCCCAAGCCCACAAGGGATGGTCGTGGGCTGACTGATGACACCCAGGCTCTCGGGGTCTGAAGAAAAGCAAAAGAAAGGCCCCTGTTCTCTGGTCCCAACCACAAACATGAGGGCACTAAATAATTCCACAACTACACCATCTTCAGAATCAGAGCACTAGGAAGGAGAGAGCTATTACTCATTTTGACCAGGAAGCCTTGTTTTATTTAGCAATGAGTATTTGCTAAGCGTATCTTCTACTCAATAGAACACCCTCACCATGTTTCTGTGAGACCAGAGTGATCCCCATTTTATACTGGAGGAACACAAGGTGTATGAGAAATGTGCCCAAGATCTCAATACTAGTGACTCGGAGAGCCAGGGTTTGAGCCCAGATCAGTCTGATACTGAGACCTGTGCTCTCTCTGTATATAGTATGCAAGAACTATCATTTCTTCAAAGTCTGAGCTGAATGGAAGCTCTCATAAGAGATTATTTTCAGAAGCTCCGTGTCTTAGCCAAGGGAGTAAGTGAATTAACACACTGGACTCCAAAATCCAGCTCTGTTATAAAGTAGTCATAGTAGCCACGTGGCCTTGGGCCAATCAAGTCATCACTCAGGACCCCAATTCTTTTTGGCATTTACAAAAGGAGAAAGCGGAGCTGGAGGATGGATCCGACCCCTTCCAGCTCCCATGGCTGGGAGGTTTTCCATCTCTCCCATAGAGAGGCTAGCCCAGACTGAACCAGAACGTTTTTTTCCTGACTAACGGTTTCTAGGAAAGAGGCTCATGCTGGCTGGCTCTCAGGCTCAACCCTGGTCCAATCCACTGTCAGCAGGACGGGGTCAAGCAGGTACTAACTTGGCTGGCTGCTTGTGGGTGATAACGAGTTATTGTGAAGGACTCTTGGGCCCTCTGATAGCTGCCTGACAATGCCCAACCAGAACAGTAAAGATCCACCAAGCCAGCCGCTCCGGGCCACATGCAACTTCAAGGACCACTTTGTGCATCTGCACCAAGGCTCCCTCTGTTTTGAGAAAGGAGAGCTCGTCGGTCCCATATTCCTCCGCAGTCCTTGCAAATCCTCTCACCTGGCAGGAAAGCCACTTAGGGTTGTTGTATAAGAGGAGGAGGCACAGCGGAGACCAGCTTTGTTGGCAGAGAGCTTACCTTTCCTGAAAGTCAGCGCTGAAAGATCAAAAGTCACTGAGGACCCTGCTGACTCCCCCACACCAACTCACAAAACCAACAACCCGTGGTGGGCAGGGCCTGAGAGAGGAAAGTGAACGATATCCTGCAAAAGTCTGCTAGGGGGTGGCTTCGTCTCAGTTGCAAGGCTGCTGAATAGGTAGGTAGGTAAAGGCCATGGGGAGAATCAGCATTTGGAACTCTTCCCTGGGTGCAGCGCCCCTGCCCGCATTGCCTGCAAGGCAAACCCCGCCTTCTCCCGCAGCCTCCCACTCCGCCCAAGCAGCCCAGGGACAGAGGCTGCAGGATTCTGACACAGGAAGTCTACAGTCACTGGGAGCCTCTCCAAGATACAGCCTGTGTGAAGGAAAAGGTCTGGACAAGGAGAGGAACAGTAAAGAGAAACAAAAGTCCTCGGTTTGAATGAGGAGAGATTTTGAGCCCGCAGCGGGTTGCGGGGTGGAGGATGGCGGAAGGGGCAGATGCCGTTACCGGGTTCTGTTTCTCTTTCGCTGGCCACCTTGTTAAGCTCCCATTGGCCAGGTGTCCGGAGTGGGACTCACCACTGCAGGGGGCTCCAGCCCCACACAGCCGCCTCCCAGGAAGGACTCAGGTGGGCTTTCAGGTTATCCGCGGTGGGATGCAGGGGTGAAGGAAGCTTTGGTGGTGGATGTGAGAATTTGGGATGGGGGTGTGGAACTTTACTGGCTCCTGCCATGCAGCGTGCACAGTGCTTTCTGCAGGATGGCATCGAAGGGGCTGGAGCTGGGGGGCAGCACGTCTCTGTCCTCAGACCACGGTGGAGGATGTGGACTGTCCAGGCTCCAAGCTGTCCATCCCTCAGTGCCATGACCTAACCGTTAAGTGGGATGGAGCATGGGAGGGGAACGCAACTGCACCTTTCAGAGAGAGGCCCTCTGAGCAGGAAGAGTGGCTGCAGTAGAAAAGATGTGGCTGAGAAGGGGAAGAAAGAGCCTCGCGAGCATCAGCACTAGGAGAGGCAATTGATTTCATCCTGTGAGTCTCAGGGGAGTGGAGGCTGCCCCTTCCAAAAGAACTGGCAGGACTGGCCATGAGCCAAGTAGGGAACAGCTGCTGCTGACTGAGGGAGAAGCTGTGCAGCCTCGGGCAATTCAGTCAACCTCTCTCGGCCAAGGACAATATAATAATGCCTGCTTTACTGACCTTAGTGAATTGTTACGATGTTCAATGGTGAAAGAGAGTTGTAAAATGTGAAGTGCAATTAAATGTATAGGTGCGATATTATCAGCAGAACTTCTTGGGCTGGAGGTACCCAACTATGGCTGCACACAAGAACCTCTAGAGACTTTTTTTTTTTTAAATCCTGAACTTGGAAACCACCCTAGATCAGTTATTCAAATTAGGGCAGGCAGTGAGCAGAAGGACAGGAAGTGGTACTTTTTTCAAAAGAATCTGGTGATGCTGATATCCTATGAAGGTTGAGACCTGCTACCTAAGACTTCCCCAAAATCCATGAAGGTGATCACTCAGAGCACATGTTTTTTAAAAAGGCATATTCTCAGGCTTCTCCCAGATCTTCTGAATCAAAATTTCAAGGGGTCCTGGCAACCTCTATATTTAGCGAGCAATAAGAGCAATGTGGACACGTTATGCCAGTGAAAAGTTTGTCGATTAGCTCCTTTTCTACTGGATAATCATATCCAGCAATGCTTCTGGACAGCACAGGCAAATCAGCTCAAGGAGGGGAAGCACCCTCCTCAGACGGTAAGTACAGACATGCTTTGGGGGGATGGGGTTACAGTAGACAGCCAAATCCCATCCTATTCCTGCTCCACCGGGGTGAAACTCCAATTATAAAATGACACATTTCCCAGCCAACGTGCCTGGGAACCTTAAGATAAAAAGGAAACGATGATGAGTTATCTATAACTAACAGCATCAATTATGAGTGCTTTATTGTGTCAATAGATTGTTCAGGCTTTCTTGCTTCACACACTGCGGACTCTGTTCCATTCATAAAATTATACAAACACTTGCATATCCATGCACATGCACTCACAAACACAGAGACCCCAAGCTCGTCAAACACACAAATGGGAGGACGAAGAGGATGACAGGAGCCGGTGAACTCTTATCAGGCAACTGCATTACTCCGTTCTAGCATTATTTGCAGGATTCCATGCTACATTAGCGATGTTCCCAGGTAACAGGACCCCAGGGATTCTTCATTTTAGCTCTTTCATCCCACAGGGGCAACACTAGTTTAGCAGATAAGAGCACGACTCTGGAGCCAGACTGCCCAGGCTGAAATCCTACCACCCCACTTACTGGCTGTGTGTGACTCTGGGCAAGCTACTTCTGTGAAATGGAGATAATAACGGGGCAACTGGGACGATTAAATGCGCTGGTACACATAAGCCCTTAGAGACATGCCTGGCAAACAAGATGCTATGTGAGTGTCCGCTGCTATCAGTGATTGTTGTTTCTGTTGTTGTTTTACTATAGGTGAGAAAGGTGATACCTAGAAAATTAATTGCTCACTTTGTTTACATCTCTTGACTCTTTTAGGAGTATAGCCAAGGAAGGAGTCATAAATGTGAACAAATATCTACACTACAAGTGTTCGTTGTAGCACCGTTCATTAGAAGCAACCTGAACGTCCAATAGGAAGTGGGTTACCAAAAGAATGCTGCATCTCCATGACGGCTATGTAGTAATTGCATGAGAAAACTAGAGACATAATATGAAGCTTTTCAGATGAAATGCTGAATGATCTCTATAGATATACAGATACAGACATAGACAAAGTTAGTCTGGGGGAGAAATACAACCAAGTTCCAACACTGAGTGTCTCTATAGAGATACAGATACAGACATAGACAAAGTTAGTCTGGGGGAGAAATACAACCGAGTTCCAACACTGAGTGTCTCTATAGAGATACAGATACAGACATAGACAAAGTTAGTCTGGGGGAGAAATACAACCGAGTTCCAACACTGAGTGTCTCTGGTGGGGGGGTTATGGGATTTTTATTTTCTCCCTTATACTTTTCTAAATTGGGGTAATTTTCGATGATGAGCAGATATTCCTTTTAGAGTCTGAAAATAAAGCGTTCAATTGAAGCAACTTACTCAAGGTCAAACAGCACATTAGGAGCCCACACAGGCTTCCTATCCCTGTCCAGGGACTGTGAGGCTTCGTGAGGCTGCACTAAGAGTAGGAAGGAAAGCTGAGAGGGATGAGAATGATGAACACACACCGAAAAGCAGCAGGACCTTGGTGGAGCTGTGCAGGGCTAAGCCCCAGCTCGGAAGCTTCCCAGGGCAGAGCTGTGAGGGCAGAGCTAGACACTTTTCCATCCCAGAGCCACTTTGCGGCACAGTGAGGTGACCTAGGCACTACAATCGAATGCCTGCCCTTGGGGCTGCTCACTGCTGTCTCCCAGAAATGGAAGAAGCCAGCTTCTACTTTGTCTAAGGATACCAGAGAGTAACACCAACCTTTCTTTCCTTTGTCCTTTCTACAGACTTCTTCCTCTAGTGTGGAATCTGAGACCCAGGGAATACTGGTTCGCATCCCTGCTGGGCTGCACTCCCCTGCTTCTCCTTAATATAGAAATGTCTTTTCTTGCCCAGCATTTTCCCCATCATAATGCCAAGGTGCTTGAAACGGCCAAAACCAAGGAATGTTTATTTTGCAACACCGAAATAAAGAAGGATCTGGAATCACTTAATAACTAGGATAGGCTTCATCTAAGAAAAATAGAAAGGAAGGAGGGAAGGAGGAGGGAAGGGCGAGAGAAAGGAAGGAAGGAGGGAAGGAAGGAAGGAGGAAGGAAGGAAGGAAGGAAGGAGGGAAGGAAGGAAGGAAGGAGGGAAGGAAGGAAAGAAGGAGGGAAGGAAAGAACGAGGGAGAGAGGGAGGGAGGAAAAGAAGGAAAGAAGGAGGAAGGAGGGAAGAGAGAGGGGACGATGGAGGGGAGGAGGGAGGAAAAGACGTAGGGAAGGAAGCAAAGAGAGGGAGGAGGGAGGAGAGGAGGAAAGGAAGGAGGGAGGAAGGAATAGAGGCAGAAAGGAAGAAGAAGGAAGACGTTTATCATTGCTTGACAGTAGATAAAAACTATTGTCTCTCTTTCAAAACTTTGCTACAACCTACTCAGTATATTTTTAAATGTAAGTTCTGATCTTTGTAAAATAATAGACTGGAGTATATGAGCTCTGAAATTCAGTGATTCTACATAAAGTTGAAAACCTAGTAACTCCAACTCTCTTTTTCAAAGATCACTCCAGTGGCAAAAGCCAAGCAATAAAGTCTGTCAAGTTTTCAGGCAGCCAGCTGCACATCTGATTAATACACTTGGGTATCCGCAGAATTTTCAAGCAGAAACCCAGTCGTTGAATCCAATGACCTCACTTTACAGTGAAGACTCTGGTGGGAGAACAATACTAATGGCTACCATTTGCTGAGGGCCAGGCAGGTGACATGTGTAGGGTCACACAGCAGGTTAGTGACAGACCCAGAATTGGATGCAATCCTCACCCACCCCACAGTCCACTTCTTCTGACTTTTAGTGGCTTTAATACCAGAAACTTTTCCTCATGGCTCAAGATGTACAGAAAAGGAATCGGTACAAAGGCAACAACAGGACAAGAGCAATTCCCTCCTTTCTGCTTTTGCCTCTGAGCACAGAAGGGACACCATGGAAGAAGGAATTTCAGCCTGGACCAGTTGGTGAGGAGCAGACAGCAAACCTCAGGCCTTGCTAGATGAGCAGAGGAGGGTCAGAGGTAAGAGCCCTCAGCAGCACCAAAACAAAACAAAACAAAACAAACAAACAAAAAACACCTAGAAGAAAACAGCTTTCCAGGAGACTGAAATCCAAGCACCAGAGGAACCAGGTCCAACTGTGGTGTGTCAGCACCAAAAATGCCTTGGGAGAAAGGACAAATGTCACACTTGAAAACAGTGTTTAGGAAGATGGAAAAGAATACTGAGAAAACCTGGTTACATACAACTCACTGCTGGTATTTGCATCTTTCTCAGATTGTGAGTAAGATTTCATAAATAGGATAGTGAGTAAAGGTTATCATCAATGTTTTCATCAAAAGGTTTTAGTTAGAAAAGTGATCGTAAAAAAATCCATGTTACAATTTTTGATTTGGTTAACAACGTGCATAGGAATTGGCTGTTACAGTGTAAGGCAAAAGCCATGCAGACGACCTCATTTGCCTGGCAGAGTGCATCAGAGCTGTGGACATTTCCTAGCAAGGTAGCTCTAAACCTAACAAATAAGACCAACTCTTACTGTTATTTTCTCAAAGACTTCTATTTAAGAAGACTTATAAGGACTATAGGGAAGAGGATGTGTTTTATCACATTACTCAGTGCCTTATCAAAACCACTTCCGTTTCTGAACAACTCAAGAGGGGTGTGAAGAACTTTAAGAAGGTTGATAAGAAGCCACAGAATGGTCCAACTGAAAAAACCTTTCATGGCTGAGGGTCCATGCACTCAAATCCATTGCAACAAGCTTCAGATCTCTTCGAGTTTTCCAAAATGTATTTGTTGGATGAGTTTTGGGGGTATGTGAGCAGACATTACTATAAAAGGGGGATGGAGATTCTGTGGTAAAAATTTTTAAAAATGTAAGAAGTTGAAAAACACTGGTTTAAAGAAGTGAAATAGTTTTACTGCTGCAGGACTTCTCAGAGCCTTTAATTTCATGTTCAGATGCATTGTGCATCTCCAAGAGGCAGCATTTCTGAAACATAGTGCCTGGGGATTCTTTCTCCATGGAAAGTTGCGTAGGACTGATGTTCTGCAGATCACATTTGAGGAACTCTGGCATGAGTTATTCTAGGTAACATGGTCACTTGAGTATCCATTTCAGCAGAAGACAAAACAGGAGGAAGGAAGTTTAAAGTGCAGCAGGAGATGTGTAACTGAGAAATGAGGAAAACATCCTGACAAAGGGTGCTCAAACACAAGTAGCTTGAAGGAGTCTATATTATGGATTCTCTTTCTCTGGGCATTTTTCAGAATAAGCCTGGAATAATCTAGACATTTTTCTAATACACAGCAAGGCAATTAATTCCATGACTTTTAGAATTCTCTTCCTGCTCAATTATTTCATGTCATCTGTCCTTATTCTCTATTGATATATTAAGTGAGTTCAGCTGACTGGCTTGCAAATTAAAGACATCCCTGAAATGTTGAAGGTAAAGCCAATACATCCTCTGTAAGTTGAGTCTGTTTTCCACAGATTGGTATTATAATTGCAAAGAAAAGTGTTGACCTTACGCATCGGGGAGGAAGCATCCTACCTACACCCTTGTGCATTTCTTCCCGTTCATTCTCCCGCTTACGGCAGCCCACAGGTCAGCCAAGTGAATAGCTGAGTCATGAGATGCTTCCACACTCAGTCATTCAACCTCTCTGTGGATTCCCAAGTTTTCTGGAAGTTCTCGCTGATCTCGGGGATTCTCAATGGGTAAGTCACTTCATTGCTCATGTTCTTTCTTTAGGAATTTAACAAAATCCCTGGATATTCTCTGCTGCTGGCTTTTTTAGCAAGGAAACAGTTTCACTCTAAGAAGGTAGTAAGCCCCTTTACATGAGTCGCCTCTGTTATGACCAAGTATTTGATGATTTAATACCTGAATCATGGTCACTATTTGATCAGGAAGTCCAAATCTACAAAACAAGAGAAACTATTACATAGATGGACATATTTCCCAAAAGACTGATTTATGAGAGCTTTGAGTGGTTTTAACTGTATCTAACGTTTGGACAAGAGACCTTGCTTATGCCTCACTACTCTGTCAAAGTGGGCAAATAAGAAACAGACCATGAAATAATAACTTTTGCTGAATGCTCGCCACATACCAGGCCTGTTAGCATTACCTGCTCTAATTCCACCCATTCACTGGCCACCATGAGGGATGTCTATTAATGGCCCAGTTTTACAGAGGAGAAAACCAAGGCTCAGTGAGGTTCTGAACTCTCCCCGGGTCACACAGGCAGACACCAGTGGGGAACAGCACTGGGAGCTGACTTCCTCAGGGTGGACAGATATCACCTTCTGCCTACATTGTTCACAGATAGACCAAGAGGCTCAGAACCATGTTCTCATGTCTCCTGTCCTGCCTCACCTGACACAGCTACAGGTGTGGGAAAGGCAGTGCTGCCCACCTGCAAATGCATCACTTACAGTCTGCATGCAGTAAGAAAAAGAGAGATTATGATAGATTTTCTTGGAATTCCCCATTTTATTTTATTATTTATTTATTTATTTGAGATGGAGTCTCGCTCTGTCGCCCAGGCAGGAGTGCAGTGGCGCAGTCTCAGCTCACTGCAACCTCCACCTCCCTGGTGCAAGCAATTCACATGCCTCTACCTCCAGGGTAGCCGAGATTACAGAAATCTGCCACCACACCTGGCTAATTTTTGTATTTTTAGTAGAGATGGAGTTTCACCATATTGGCCAGGCTCATCTCGAACTCCTGACCTCAAGTGATTCGCCCGCCTCGGCCTCTCAAAGTGCTGGGATTACAGGCATGAGCCACTGCACCCAGCCGGAATTCCCGTTTTTGAACATACATTTTGAAAAATATCTCCTAGTTCCTAAAATGAAAAAAAAAAAAAGCTTTTTTTCCTTTCAAGTCTGATCAGCAATCCTCATCATTTCCATCATTTCCAATGCCATAGCATTCCTCTTCCTTCCGCTGGAAGAAGGAATTATGATTGCATGAAGTACACTATAAGCTAGTTTAAATTCATTTTTCTACTGACTACATGCTCTCTTTTAACTATATTGTGTAGTTTTTTAAATGTGAAAGGGCTCACTTCTATTAAAAAGCACCTCTGAGAGGAAAATAATTATATTATACATACACAAAACAACAACAACTTTTTGGAAACTCATCTGTTGGAACAAGTGAGGCCTACAAGCATTCAAATGTAAGGCTCATGATGGATTTTATTTAATCCCAACCTGACTGAACATTTCCTGCCCTCCTGGAAAGGGTACATATAAAGCTTAAAAAAAGGAAAACGTTTCTTATCTCCTTCCCAAGGAAATAATGTTGGGCATGGTTCCAAATCTACGGCCATTTAGCTTTCGGCCAATAAGCTTCAAAGACAGAAGATTCCACCTGAGAGCTGAAACCAACTGGGAATAACCCAGGAGAGGCAAGATCGAATCCGGGCACGGCCATGGGCCTCATGACATCGCAGAAGCAACCAGACAGATGCACAGCCCGTGGCTGGGTGGCCAGTCATTATCAGGAAAGCCACACAATGCCACTCATGAATCCCCACTCTGACGCCCACTCAGTCCTAGCCAGCGGGAGTGGAGTAGTGCTCCACAGTCTGACATCACAGAAACAGGAGGCGGTTCTCTAATTGGATACATCTCTGAACGCAGAAGTTTGCCTGATTTCTAATTTTTACCATTTTGGTTGGGAGTTCTGAATTACATCACACATTCCCCTGCCTGCTTAACTGGACACAGAACATGGCATGCTCTTGTTACTCTCCAGTGCCTTCTTCTCTGTGCAGCCTCACAGTCCTGTCTCTCATGGGTAGCTGGAACCGGCTCCTCCCAGCAAGCAGCCTTCATTTCTGCTCTCATTTCTTTTTTGTCCAGCAAACACACATACTCACATCTCCATCTGACCTGCTACTTCTAAGTCAGATAGTTGATTCTGAGCCACTTAGATGAAATCACACAGGAAGGCTCTGAGTATGGCCGCAAGCACCAGTGTCCCCAGGGGTTACCAGGTGACATAAGCCAGGTATCATTTTCCCTAAACATGATACCCTTTCCATCTTTCCTTTTCTAAGCTTTGGTAGAAATGTACATAGAGAGAAATATCTCCCACCTATGAAAAAACATGGCTAGGGGCACAATTAAAACTGACAGACGGGCCGGGCGCGGTGGCTCACACCTGTAATCCCAACACTTTGGGAGGCCAAGGTGGGCGGATCACTTGAGGTCAGGAGTTTGAGATCAGCCTGGCCAACATGGTGAAACCCCCTCTCTCCTAAAAATGCAAAAAATTAGTCAGGCCTGGTGGTGAGCACTAATTCCAGCTATTCAGGAGACTAAGGCAGGAGAATCGCTTGAACCTGGGAGGCAGAGGTTGCGGTGAGCCGAGACCATGCCACTGCACTCCAGCCTGGGAAACAAGAGCGAAACTCCATCTAAAAAAAAAGAAAAATGACAGACGGCCCAGCCTCAGCAGCAGGGACTAAGAAGCGATGGGCACTGGGCAAAGAGAACCCACGTCCTTCTGCAGGGGGCCGCTGTCCCTCAGCTTTTGCTGATGGTGGGTGGAAAGCAAACATGCAGGATCAACAAGCCCAGACCTTTGCTTTTAAGAGAAACCAAAACTTCAGATGTGTGTGTGTGAAATATTCCAGTATTTCTTAATGTTGTGTCCCATGTGGCTCACAAGCCACAAGTGACAGTTGAGGACCTCTTATAAGGTAATCTGCCCAGTTTTAGGGAAGGTGCTCTGTGATTGCAATTTGGAATTGCTGGAGGCATGTAAAACCATAAACCAGGAGATTGCAGATGCAGAAAAAAGAAAAACAAAACACACACACACACACACACACACACACACACACACACACACATCCAAGTGAGTAGAGGGTCTGGTTGGGGAGGGTGTGCCTGGGCACCTGCGTGTGCACACGTATGCTCTCCTGGGTGAACGCGATCCTTCCCCTGAAGCACAGAAAGCAGTCTTCTGCAGGGAACACAGCTATTTTCCCCACCATACCGGACCTCTTTTCTCTTTCCACCAATGCCAAATTGCCTTAAAGCAGCTGGGGAGTGCCTGGCTGATTTATGGCTCAACCACCAGGCCTTCTGGACACGTTCTTCCTCCTCACCCTGGTCCTGTGATTTGTAAAAGATCTCTGTAACTGACAGTCACTTCTCTTTCTCTATCGGGGCAACAAAGTGCAGGGAAGAGTCTAGAAACTGGTTTCTGCCTCCCAAGGCATCAGAAGTCAGCGTTCCTGGGTAAGATGCTGGCCTTCTGCATCCCTTCTTTCCGCTATAAAATTCAGAAGACTCAGATAACCCCTTGACTTCCTGATTTCCAATCTATGACAGTTTCCTTCTGTCCAGTCACTAAATTTAACAGAAAAAATAAAGCCTTAAGAGGTTAAAGAATCCCTTAATCAGTGAGATTAGAAGCCCAGAGCCTGTACATGAGCCTCTCTTTGTCCAGTGCTAAATACCTTTGGTCTGCACTAGCCCTCAGTCATTAGTCCTCCCTTAAAAATCCAGAAGCTGGTCATCTGGTTCTGGGCTTCTCTAGCTAGGCTCACTGCCTCTGTGCCCTGGAAACTCAGGGGAGGGAAAGATAAAAGTTAAAATCACTTAATTCCATTTTCTATGGGCAGCTCTGCTAAGGAGTTTGGTTGGGTAGAAAATGAAGAGTTATTTTTAAGAGTGTGTGTGTGTGTGTGTGTGTGTGTGTGTGTGTGTGTGTGTGTGTTTAGGTAATCCTTACAGTTCCATTTCCCATGGGAAAATATGCTGGAGTTGGAGTTAGAAAATTTGGGTCCCAGGCACAACTCTGCCCCTAATTTCCTGTGTGATCTTCGGCAAATTATTTCACTTCTCTGCATCAGTCTCCTTCTTCCTAAAGAGGCATTCACTGCCCCCTCCATCTGTGACCCTCTGCAATGCTCCAGGGCCTGAGGGAAGGGTTAAGTGAGAATTCTCATTCTAGTTTGGCTGGAAACAAACTTTGTTAAAATATATACATATTACCAGTATATCCATCCTATTCTTCCAAGATATATTCAGATTATATTTCTGTATATTAAATCACACCGTAAGGGCAATTATTTAAAGAAATTCTGCTGTGAATCCTCTGGGCAAAGAGCCTTCTGGTAAAAATAGCTAGCTATCCTGAGTCTATTTTTTATGTCATATTTCATTTAAATGTTTATTTCAGAGAACAAAACTGCAGTTGGCAGGGACCCTGCCTTTCTCTGACGTGCAGGTAGTTTCGGCCCCACTCTCGGATGGGTGTTTGGTGTCTCTAAGGGTCTCTCTGCTGATTGGCAGTGGGAAGAGCCATGCTTTGCTAAGAGTTTATTTCCTGCTAAACTCTTTCACTGGCTGCCTCTTCTGAATCTCACAGCAACTGTGTAAGGCAAGTGATGTTAGCTTCCTTATTTTGCAGATGACGAAACTGAAGCTCGGTGAGGTTAAATGAGGTACAGCTAATAAACAGTGATTCAGACCAATTCTCCAACTCCCATGGCAGGCAAGCCAGCAAGCTCAGAATCCTCAACCATGAGGGCAGCCACGTCACCTTGCCCTGGGATAGGACCTTTGTTAAGAAGCCGTAGTGGCTGTGGCAGTGAGCTGAGGGTGAAGACAGCAATCTGGCCCGTGCCAAGACCCCTAACAAGAGATGTCATAAATGCTCTTTAGGTGGAGTGAAGGCCAGGGGAGACCCACAAGGGCAGGGGAGCTGGCTTCTTCCAACTACGAGGCCTCCTGTCTCCTCCACCTCAAAGAAGGACAGGAAAGCAGAAACACAGCCACGGGAGATTAAGGGGTACCCCCACCTGCAAAGGGGGCCGTGAAGGTGACTGGGGAAAAGAATGCATGCTGACGGTGAGGACCAGGACAGTGGAAGTTTGAAAGCCACTGGAACAGGGTAGGAAAACTCTGGGCCAGGGGCTGGCTTGTGGGTTCTGTCCCTTCTGCTAACTATAAGACCCTGCATTCTTCCCAAGGAAGAAGGCAGGAGCAGGTGTGTGAGGAAAACTCGAATGCAGTGTCAACCACTGAGAATGTTAAAATGGGAGAGGGAGATCAGTGGCAGTACTGAGAAAGGGATCCATAGAAAGATGTTCCACGTATATATGCTACACACATATAGAATATATAGCACCATATGTGTTTGTGTATATACGTGGGTATATGTATAAGCATGCATGTATGTGCCTGTGCATACGTGTGTATATGTTTGTGTGTGCATATACGTGTGTATACATGTGCATATGTATATTCATGTTTCTGTATATATACGTGTGTGTATATGTGGTTTTGTGTGTGCATATGTGTATATATGTGTATGTGTGTGTTTTTGTGTATGTATGTATGTGTATGTATGTATATATATTTATGTGTGTATATACGTATGTGTGTATATGCATATGTGTGTGTGTGTGTGTGTGTGTGTGCACTTTCAGGGACCCATAGGGAACAAAAGCACAGGACACCTGCTGCTGCTCCATCAGAGACAAGCTGGCATGTAAACAGAAGTCTATAAACACATTTAGGAGCTATGGCTTCATTCTTCTTGCCCAATAACAGTTAGACCCTCACTGCATTCCATTCTGTTCCATCTCCCCTGAAGAGGATGAAACACACATTACTGTGTGCCTTTAAAGACATCACAACCCCTCTGAGCTTCAGTTTTCTTATCTGCCAAAGAAAAAAACAAAGCCTAGCCTACCTACTTCATTTCACTGCTGCAGGATGATAATAACAGCTGACATTGTACATTTAAACACTGTACATACATTAATTCATTTAATCCTCAAAACAACCCTATCAGATTGGTACTATTATTATCCTCCATTTGACAGAGAAAGAAACTGAGGCCACAGAACTGTTTCATAACTTGCCCCATGTTACCCAGCAAAGGAGGGATTTGAGCCGCGACGATCAGGCTCCAGCAACTATGCTCTTAAACCCTTTGTTAAATCGCACGATGTCTGAAAGCACTGAACGTGTTTGACAATGTTCTGTAAATGAATAGCACCATTCTTATTCTTGCTAGGACTATTCCCAGTGGGAAGGATGCAACGCAAGGTCAGGATTCCCTAGGTGAGGATAAATCCTGCAACCTCAGATCTGCAGCCCCACTAGCCAGGTGCCACGCTTCCAGTGGCAAGTCCTCCCCGCCCCTCCCAGCTGCAGGACTGTCTTCCTATGTTCTTTTTCAAAGCAGTGTCTCTGCTGCCAAGAGCAGGTTTGTCTGTCTCCTGGAGACAGCGGTTGTCAAGCCCTGAGAGAACAGCAAGCATGTCAAAAATAGCAGCGCCAGCAGACTGCGTGGCTGCAATTTCCTTTTGAAATGTCGCCTTTGCTCTCACCAAAGAGCCAGGGTCTGTCTGCGCTCCTTGCAGCCTGCAGCAGAAGCTGCTTAAGATTCCAAAATGTTTTCCAGGAGGAGGTAAAGTGTATCTGCTGAGGCTCGTGACCGAGGAGTGAGGAATTCTCTTTAGAGTAACAATGATGAGGTTGGAGTTGGATTAAAAAAAAAATTGTAATAAATCCCATCAGGACTAGTCCCCAAACAGGTCAAGTGATAGCCAAGGTTAGACCAGTGCGAATGATACTTCCTGTAGGGTAGGAACCTTTCCTCTTTTGTTCTGAAAATGAGGGAGTCCCTCTCCTATTGTTAATGTGCACCTTCAAACACAGCAGCTGCTTTGATAACCCTTCAAAGGCAGTGGCTGATAGATTTCCACTCCCCCTTTAGGGTACCAGGTGAAGCCAGGGGATGAGGACCAAGAAGACCAAGAGGCAGGGTGAACTATTTTCTCAAGTTCAGAACAAAGGGACATGAAAAACATGACCATTCCCAACCCCACAGAGACTCACTCAAGGCCAGCACAGGAAAGTGGTTCATCAGGAGACCTGGCAAGATGAGAGGCTAAAAGCCCATCTGTCTTTCTTCCCCGCGGCCTATGTCTGGGAAGATCCCTCTCCCTGCCAACTGCCAAGCTCCAGACCCTGTTCTGCCATGAGCTATCTGTGCAACCCAAGGCAAAATATGAAGCGGGATGGAGAGAGGAACTCCTACCACCTAGTAAATGGAATTCTTTTCCTCCCCTAAGTGACTGTGACAAGGTAGGATTGGAGGACACTTTCCTCCCCACTTCCTTCCCATGGCAATAACACACAGTCAAAACCCATGTGAGCCAGGATGGCAGCTCCAGCCAGATTGTCCTGGAAGGACCACGCTCTCTGGGAATCTATCTTGGAATGTATGTTGAGTTGCAGGCAGATAGAAATGCTGCTGCAAGCAAGGGCTCAGCCAGCGGAGAGGAGAAATGACAAGCCACAGGACTGGCTGGTGCATCTGAGGAAAGCACCAAGGAGAGGGAAGGGAGGGTCCAGTGGGCACAAGGCAAAGCAGGCCAAGAGGGGATCAGAGTCTGGGAGAGAATCATTGAAAGGCTCAGTAAGACAAATGAAGGCCGTTACCGTCCACTTCTTTTGTTTACCGGAAGCACCAAAGACTGCTGGGACCTCTTCATAGGGCTGTTAAGCATCAATAACGACTGTAGAGGGACTGTAGGTAGGGGGCCAGGGAAAATAAAACCTTTATGTACCCACAAAAAAAATTTCAAAAAATTCAAAAATAAAATAATAACCATAGTAGATAAATACATAAAACCTTGGGCCCTATGCAATCTCTTAAGGAATTCTGAGTTTACAGGTGCAGGGATTTGGTGGGGTTTTTAGTTTGTGGGAACTTTTCTTGGAGTTTTTTTCTTTTTGCCAGCAAAGTGTAAGTTCCCTGGGCAAGCTCAAGACCGTAGTCCTGTATAATGAATAATGTTCAACATATATATCATAGTTCAGTGCATGCTAATTATGCCCTGCACTTACCCAAAAAATGGCATGACATATCTTTAGAGGAAAAAAAGAAAAAAGAGAAAAGCATGTAACTCTCATAACAATTTGATGTCAAAACGAAGCACACACAGACACACACACACACACACACACACACACACACACACACACACACACACCAGTTCGTGGTATTGTGCATGAATAGCAACGATCGACTGCATATAAGCTCTAAAGTGTCCCCATGTGGCAGAAGAAAAAAACTGTCATTCTATTCTAGATATTGTCTGGTCCATTTTTAGACATGCTAAGCTTCTAGATTTATAGGACCAAACCGTTCTCCCAGCCCAGATGGAAAACTCCCAGATTATTAGACTCGTTGCTTTCTTTTTTTTCACAATTCAATGATTTTGGGGTGCGATTTTTAGAGTTGTATGATTATTACCACAATCCTGCTTCACAGCATTTCTATTATCCCCCAAAACTTATCTGGGGCCAATTGTAATAGCACAACCTTCAACCCCATGGGGGCCCCTCAGGTTGTCCTAGTGTCCTGCTGCAGGTGGGACTTAGCCCATGCTCTAAGACTTCTAGCAAGGAGACCATCAATTCTCCTTGCGGACTGCCTGGTGAATCTTAATCCTCCTTGTCAAGGAGTGTTCCCTGCACCTTGCACCACAGAGATTTATGTCCTTTCCTTTTGTTCTGCCTTCAGTACCCGAGAGAGACAGCCAGATACTAGCAAAACCTTCAAGTGAATTAAGGGCAGTTCTAAAGCCATCCCCTATTTAAGGCTTTTTCCAGGCTAACTCCAACCTTATGCCTGCCTCCTAAGCCCTCTTTTCTCTGTTTATTTGACATTTCTACTGTTCCTCTGTCTTTGACCTCTCTGCCAGCCTCCTAAGCTTGGAGAACCTGAGGTGGTCCAGGGCTACTCAGCAGAGGATTTGTCTGAGACTTCTCAGGGTCATTCTCTCCCTCCCAGCCTGCCTTCTCTCATTTATGCTTGCAGGTTCAGGAAATTTCTGGGAGACATTTTTCTGAGCCCATGGCAGTCTCATCTTGCTTGGCAGGTTCAGGACTTGCCTCCACAGAGGTGAGCATGGTAGGAAAGAATGGCAGAGTGAGAAGTCAGGAAAAAGTGGAATACTCCTGCTGCAGACAGACCTTAGCAAGCACAGCTGTCCTACAGTTCAATGTGCGACCTCGACGTCAACACTCTAGGTGCTCCCAGCCACTGAAAAGGTGGAGAGAGGGAGAAAGATAAGCAGGAAGACACACATAGAAGGAAGAAGATGGTAAAAGAACAGAGGGGGAAAACCAGAAGAAAGAAAACTGGAGAAAGGGGAAAAAAGGCAGAGACAGTAAGAATGAAAAGAAGGAAAGAGAAAAATGCACAGAAAAAGAGATAATTTTTTACAGGGGCCAGCAGCATCAAGGGGACAGAAACAGAGAAAAAGGAAACTGAAGTTAATGGAGTCAAAGAAAAATACACAGAAAAAGCGAGGTAGCCCCTGAGGGAAGGGGAATGAAAACCTTGCCTCTCTCCAGATGCACACGCTTCCCCACTTTCTCTCTCTCCCCACCCCGTTCTAATTTTGCCTGCAGGACTGAGCCAAAACCAAAATTCCCCTCCAGTAGAACCTACCTCACCTGCAAAGAAGGCGAGCTGTCCCTCCTCGCTCCTTGGGGACGAATATCCCGCATCTCAGGCTGAGGCTGGCAGCTCCAGGAAGTCCTCTGGGAGCTCTTTCCGGCTTGAGTCAGGTGTAGTGATGGCTTGGACCCTTCCTGTGAATCACCACCCCAGCTGTCCAGGCAACCCAGAGTGCATATTCTCTTGGTGCTCAAGGCACAAAATCCAAATAAAGAGGCTCAGGGTCCGAGAGGGATCACTTGACAAAATTCTTCACAGAAACTAGGTCGAGCTACAGCCTCTCAGTTTTTCTTCGATGTCTTAAGAAGAAAGATCTTTGAGATTCCTCCCAGGAGCTAGATAGGCCGTTCCCAGAGAGGAAGAAGTTGCAATTCTCCGCCTCTCGTGGAGCTGGGAAGAGCCTGCCTCTGCGGAGATGGGAACTCCATGATACCTAAGACTATGATCACACCTGGTAAGGCCCAGCTTGGCCGCCACTCCAAGAAGTTGTCCCCTCTAAGGGCTCCCCTCGACAGCTTGAAAAAATTAATACTGACGTTGGTTTAACTGGTTGCTTAACATTCAAATTTCTGAAGAATCAGGAGTAAGATGAGGCAGCTTCAATGACTGGGTGGGGAAACTAGGAAGAAAAGTCCAGACAGGAAGCTTTGAGGCCCTGCTTCCTCCACATTTTCCAAAAGTCCCACATCCGTGCCCTGGCACTCCCAGCCCCTAAGCCACGATGTGGGAGGTGCTCCCATTTGAGAAGCTGGGAAGATGTAGTCCCCTGGTCTCCCTTGATGCCCAAAGCAGAAGATAGAGAGAACAGTCTGGAAGGTTGCTACGGCAACCAGAGTCCCTGGTGAGCTGGGCTCTCCACAAACCCTTTCAGGCGTGCTCTGACTTGAAAAGAAAATGTTTTCTCAGGGATGGTGATGAGGGTGATTACATACACATATACAGAGATACATGCATACAGGTCTCAACTTTTACCCTCGGCTGGGAGCTTCCCTTCTGCCTCTGGAATGGGCTTTTCTCTTCTTTCCCCAGATAGCCAGCAGCAATGGGAGAGATTTGGAAAACTAGCACTTTCTGACCTCAGAGCAGGTTTTTGCATCATAAACATCTCTATCTTCTACTGTGTTTCAGGTTTGGAGAAGCCAAGCCCCCAGTCAAGGTGACCTCCAGCCATGGAAGGATCCCCCTGAACATATCTAAAGAGAACTCTCCTTTCTGAAGGGTAAGAAGAAAGGCTGAGGGGCTCAGTCCAAGAGGCCAAGGAGGGATTTAGGGAGCCAATGGTCCATAATGGCCTATTCTCAGGCTTTGGATCCAAAGCAGGAACTCTGGGGGAAGGCCTTGCCTATGGGGGTATGGGGATAACTAAAAATCAAATCCATGACTAAGATTCACACATTTGCATAGCAATGTCCCCAGCTTCCCAGACATTCCCCATGAGGTAGGGAGGGGAAGACAGTAATGTTCCCATTTAATGGGTGGGTAAACTGAGGCACAAAGAGTGACTGTGGACCCAAGTTACCCTGTAAAGTTATGGCAAGATCGAGATTTAGAGCTGGCAGTCACAGAAGCCACACTGCCTCTCAAGCAAACCCTCATAAGGCTGTCCTCTCGTAAGTTGCTCTTCGAGAGAATAATTTTTAAAAAAAAAATTATCATCAAAGAGTCTGAAAGCATAGATATAAAATTAAAAACATGTTAACAGTCCTTTCAGTTTCAGAACTGCACCCAAAAGATCTCAGAACAGTACATCACAGTTTATCAAAGGCAAAAAACAAATGGCAATGTTACTGAGAAACAAAAGGGGAGGTGGGCAGGTGGATAGATGGCAGTGGTCTCACAATGGAAGAAAATGGCTAAATCAAGTGGGAACGCCACCAAGTCACCTTACCAGTGAGAGCAGGTCAAATGCAGCTCCAAGGGGCAGAGCAGGCAAGTGTTTGCTTGACTCAGCAAAAAAGCCTCTTAGAGTGAGGCTGTTGGCAAAGGAATAATGCTTGTTCCTTATTCTAAACCACATATTTCATGCCCATAAAATGGGAAGAAACCCATGCTGCCATCCAATGTGTGCTTTTACCTGTCTAGGGCTTTAAGCTGGAGTTTGCCTGAGGAAGCCTTCAACAGCAATCCTAAATCAAACTCCCAGGAAGCAAGGTAGAGGGCCAGAGAAAATGTGGGGAAAATGAAGGAGAAAAGGCTGCCATCTGCAACACGATTCCTCTGCCCCTTTGAGAAAACAGTATCTGTTTAAGTGGCACCTTGCTTCAGACTGTGGTCAAGCCAGTTGCTTGACTCTGCTCAGACATTCCTCCTGGCTCTGTGGTTCCCTTTCTCCAGTTCTTCTGCTCAGGAAGGCACTTGCACAAAGAGTATTTGGCTCTGAGAAGGAACCTTCCTGGAAGCTGGAGAGTCAGGGGATCAGAGTGGGGAGAACTAAATGTAGACCGAACACCAGTGCCTCTTGTGCTGGGGCACACTTTGAAAAATCCATTGGCCTCTTTGGTCCTGGACTAACCCCGTGTCCTCCAAGTGGTAAAGTTTGATTGTATTCTCTAATTCCATCCAAGTTTAGAAACGAATAACCTATTTTGAGGCTATGCAAATAAAGACTCTACCAAGGGTCATCTGCAGGAGGACCAGTGATTGTTACAGGGCACTGGAATAACAGCAAGTTGAGTACTGCTTCTGTCCTCCAGCTTCTTCCAGTTACCAAGTAGCCTGAAGCTAGGAAACGCACATGACCCAAAGCAAAGAACACTAAGGAGGGAGCGAAGACTCAGATAGGGCTGGTTTCCATCCTGTTGACATTGCTGTTCCTTGAGATATTGTAAGTCCCAGACATGAAAAATCAGTCTTGAGGGAAGGTCAGACATAAATGTATATCTCATTCATATGACAGAAGCTGGGCATGATTGGGTGGCACCGCTGGAATTTCAAAAATGTCACTTAGATGGATTAACCTTGAATGCTGCAGGGATTAAGCAACAAGGTTGATAGTCCAGGTATTTGGTCCTGGATGCCAGGTAGTGGGTGTAGGGGAGAGAGTCAAGAAGTCAACTGAAGCTAGAGTGAGTAGTGGAAATGAGAAGGAAGCCTAAGAGACTGTTAGCTCAGTGCTCCCCTCCTGCAGGCCCTGCCTGCATGGGTCAGACCTCCGTGAGCATTCTTTTCTCTGCATAGGCCCGATGTGGTGTAGGAAGGTAGCTGGGTCTCCGTTCCCGGTTAGCCTCGGGGAAGTCAGGCTTGCCAAGTCCGTTGTCAGTTGCCCTCAGGTCCGGCGCAGGCTGCCCACAAGTGACGTGGGTATACTGGCCTTGCTCCTCCTGCTCCGTCTCCCGGTGGTAGAAGTAGTTGAAGTTGGAGACGATGACGGGCACAGGCAGGGCAATGGTGAGGACCCCAGCGATGGCACACAGCGAGCCCACGATCTTTCCCCCCACAGTCATGGGGTACATGTCCCCGTAACCTACCGTGGTCATTGTAACCACTGCCCACCAGAAGGCATCCGGGATGCTGGGAAAAAGCGAATCGTCATCGTCAGCCTCTGCGAAGTAGACGGCACTGGAGAAGAGGATGACCCCGATGAAGAGGAAGAAGATGAGCAGCCCCAGCTCCCTCATGGAGGCCTGCAAGGTCTTGCCCAGGATCTGCAGCCCCTTGGAGTGGCGGGAGAGCTTGAAGATGCGGAACACCCGGACCAGGCGGATGACTCGGAGGATGGCCAGGGACATGGCCTGCTGCCCATTCTGGCCGCCTCCTCCACTGGCTGGTTGCTGCTCCTGCTGCTGCACCAGCTCAGTGCCCAGGGTGATGAAGTAGGGGAAGATAGCCACCAAGTCAATGATGTTCATGATGTTCCGGAAGAAGGCCGGCTTGCTAGGGCAGGCGGAGAAGCGCACCAGGAGCTCAAAAGTGAACCAGACAATGCACAGCGTCTCCACCAGAAAGAAGGGGTCTGTAAAGAAGGAGCCCCCAAGAGTACTGAGTGAGGAGGAGCCCCCGGTCCCCATTTCCCCAGGGGTGATGCCATGATGAAATGTGTAGGAATCGTCTTCATCCTCCTCTTCCTCCTGACTCCCCCTGGAAACTGGGGAGACTCGACTCACACCACCATTGTTTCCACCTCGACCATCTACACGGAACTGGGGTAAGGTCTCCAGGCAAAAGATGACTATGGAGATGAGAATGACCAACACGGAGACGATGGCGATGCCCCTGGCCGGCCCAGAGCTCTCTGGGTACTCAAAGAGCAGCCACACCTGGCGCTGGAAGGGCTGGGAGGGCAGCGGCTTCTCGTCCTCGCCACCTTCGGGCAGGCAGCCCTCGTCCTCCCGGAAGGCCGCCAGGGCCTCGTCCCCCAGCTGGTAGAAGCGGATCTCCTCCAGGAAAATGTCCAGGGGCACGTTGACCGGCCTCCGCAGGCGGCCCCCAGACTGGTAGTAGTAGAGGATGGCGTCGAAGCTGGGCCGGTTGCGGTCGAAGAAGTACTCGTTCCTCAGGGGGTCGAAGAAGCGGACTCGCCGGCCAGGGTCTCCGAGCAGCGTGTCCGGAAACAGCGACAGGGTGCGCAATTGTGTCTCAAAGCGCAGCCCGGAGATATTGATCACCAGCCGCTCGCTACTACAGCAGCCCCCGCCCCCGCCGGCCTCCGGGAAGTCTCCCGCATCCTGTTGCTCTCCCTCCGGCCCACGGACCTCCCCCGGCGCCGCCAGCGTAAGGGATTTCTCCGATCTCATGCCCCCTCGGAGGTGCGCTCCCCGCCACTAGGACGGCGCCCACGACACAATCTCTGGAGCGCGGCACCCGCTCCCCAGCTCCCGGCTGCGCCCTCTTTAGGGTGGGGCCCGCGCTCCTCCCGGTTCGCGGTCTGACCTGGCCGTTGGGTCCGTGAGCCCTAAAGCCCTGGTCCCTGCAAGGCTGGGTCTGGGGAGGTGACCTGGGCGCTGGGGATTTGGTTCTGCGCTTCCCGTTACCCGCGCCCGGGTGCTAGAGCTTACTGGGATGCCCGGAACCGCACACAGGCGCGTGTGAAATTGGCTGCCCGAAAAGACGCGTGGCTTCGCCCCCAGCGGTGCCTGAGACCCGGCTCCCGGACGCAGAGGTCCGCCCTCCAGCCGGGCTAGCTCTTCCCAGTTCCCACTGCGCTCCTCCAGCCGCTCCGGACCCCCGGCTGCCGCTGGTACCGAAGCGCCAGATGCGCCTCCCTCCGGCTCGGCAAAGACTCCTGGCGGGGCTCGGCCTCCGCCCTGCGTCCACCGCGGGGCTGGGTCCGGCCAAGGTCGCGGTTCCGGCCGCCACAGCCGCCACCTCCTCCCTAGGAGCCGCGCCGCAGGCCTCGCAGAGGGCCCGGGGCTGCCCCGGCGCCCGAGCGCGGGGACCCACCTCCCCACGGCTCAAGGCTTCGCTGCCGCCGCCGCAGCTGCAGCGGCTCGGCTCTCCGCTCTGCCCTTCCTTCCCAACACACACTCTCCAAGTGACGTGGCAGGCCCCGCCTGCTGCCCCCTCCCACCCCACTCCCACATCACACCCCTCGCCCAGCCAGGGGCTGCCGCGAGCCAGGGCGCCATGGAAATAGACGCACACTTGCCTCACCAGTAAGCTTTCCCGCGCTCTCCTGGCACGCCTCTCGCTTTCACACGTTCACATTCGCGCCCCCCTCCACAAGCGCCGGCACCCTAATACCACACCCCCTCCACCCCCGCAGTCGGCTCTTCTCATTTCAATTTACCGAGTTGACCTGCGCAGTGTATTTCATCAATAAGAAGACACACCCCGCCCCACCACACAATACGGAGCACTGTGCATCCACTCATACAGAAATCTAAAGAAAACATTAAATCATACATTCTTCTGTCTTCAGGAAGACCCGTTTGCCAACCTCTCCAATATCTACAGGAAAAAAAAAATAGAGAAAGTATTTTTGAGATGCCTTGAGAGCTTCCGATTTAAATTCCAATATAATTCTCCGTCTACCTTTGCAAGCCTGGGAGGGCGGGGCTGCAACTCTCCCAGAATTGCAAAGGGATGGTAGAGAAAGGGTGGCAAGTCAATCAATGCCTTTCCCATCAGAAGATTTCCAGGGGAGTCCTGAGAGCCTGAGGCAACAACCCCAGTGAGGAAGGACCCAGAAGATGGAAGCACCTCAGAGATACCTCAGCCCAGGGCACAGTGCACCCTGGGGATCCTTTGCTCCCAACCACCCCGAAGGATGCATCTGGAATTTCTGCTTATTGGGTGACCAAAAAAAGGGAGAAGAGGGTGAGTGGAAAAGGGGTATGTAAGAGTGTTGATTGAAAAAATAATAGCTACATTTACTGGGCATTGAATATGTGCCAGCCACATTCTAGGTGCTTTCCCAGAAAGATGTCCTCTCCTTGTAGGCCATGTTACAACAAAGACCCCTTTGGCAGTACTGGAGTAGGGCAAAGTTTGTTGTTAGGGACCAGCTGACTCTTCCCTAACTCTCCAGCAAGAAGGTGATAAGAATGGTTTTCCATCCATTTCTGTCTTTCTTCACGAGACCAGACAAGTTGGGGTCTGGTAGAGGAAGACTCAACTGATCTTTTCAGACTGACACTTCCAGGTAGGGTTGACATTTGCTTCTCTGTGCCTCAGTTTCCTCTTTTCTGGCTGGCTGTAGCCAAAATGAATTGGCTAACAACTACAAAGTGTTTTTGTGTAGCTTCTGGTGCATATTAGATCATTAGTATGCATTCATTGAGGTTAATGATGAGAATGACACATAAAGGTGCTCTCAAACCACAGGATGCATCTGAGAGTTCTTTGTATTGCACGGAGTATTTTAAAACCACAGTGGTTCTCAGCAGCATTCACTCTCAGAGAGTTGGAGGAAGGAGAGAACCAAGGCTCCTGGATGTGTCGGGAAGGGATCAGGTGTTGAGTGGGTAAGAAATGTGCTAGTATTAGAACTCACTGCATGCTCATTCTCCAGTCTTGCTCCTCACCAGTTGAGCCAGGCAACAGCCTCTGCTCCCTTTCTGTGCTTGCACAGCTGATTTCTGGCACCAACGCCCTGTGGGCTTTTTTGATCCCCCAGGATAGAAATCAAAAGAGATCACAGCATACAGTAGCAAAGAGAAAGATTTTATGAAAGCTTATGGACATAAGGGACCAAACACCAAGAAAGGAAGTGGGTTGCTCTCCAAAGTCAAGGTGTGGGTTCCCTTTGTGGAGGTCTGCAGTAAGGGGAAGTCAGGGCATGTAGAGGTGAGGTTTTTCGGGCACATGTACGGTGGCTTAAGATGCTGCTTCATACAACATATGTCTCATTAGCATCTTAAATCTCCACCTGTGGGCATGATTTTTAGTACTAAAATAAGGAAAAGTTCATGATGAGGTGAAAGTTAAGCCTAGCTAGGCACGTAGGGCCTCAGAAAGGTCCTTAGTTCTCTAAAGCAAGGGGTTAATTAATTTGTGGTTAATAGCTTCTTGGGCCTTTGATGCTGACTGGCTGGGAGTTACAGCTTGAGTAAAGGGCTTTTGTTCTTTTTTCTCCAAACCACATCACAACAGGAAAGCAGCCAGCTTGCCCATCTCATGCTTGCCTGTCTCATTTCCACTCCTTTCTCTCACCTTGCATGTTTCCGTGAAGGGAGAGAAAGCAAGTACATGGAGTCATCCAGCGGAGTTTTCTCACTTACAGACTATGTAATTAAGCCATTTAGACTCCACACAAAAGTTGCTCTGTTTAAAAAATCTTTTTGAAAGAAAAGAAAAAAAAGGAAACCAACAGCAAATACACTATAGAAGATACTCTTTACCCCCATCCAGTTATCTGTCACTTTACCCTTATCCAGTTATCTGTCATTATTTTCTGAGTCATAAATTGACTAACCCCTGATTCTTTTTGTTTTTGTTTTCAAATTCATAATGAATGATTCATTTGCAGGTTTGTTTTCATCATTGCCATTTTTATTCACGAGACTGTCAACTAGGTCAGTAATTCTTCAAAACCAATCCTGGCAAAGCATGGGAAGGAACCTTCGTTCTGCAGAAGCGTACACACCCTGATAAGGTGTCAAGAACCTCCGTTTGAGTACCCCTCGGGTTAAGCCTGACTGGGCTGCCGGCCACCCTTCAGGCAGAGCTGATGTTCTGTGATGACCTTCACATCAAGCATGAGGTCGTGCCCCAAGAAGGGTTTCACTGTGCCCAGGGAGGTTCCCCTGAGAAGGACAAGCCATTGGCAAATTCATGAATCAGAGTTCTGTTTTTAGTTCTTTTGTGAAATAGACTCATTTCTTAGCTTAAGAAAAACCCTATGCCTAGATCATTCCCCCCAAGCGTATGTTAAGGATGAGTACAATCACACCTTCAGAAATGCCAGTTCCCAGGTGAAGGAAGACACAGCTCCATCCATAAACACTGCCAAGTGGCTTCCAATGGCAGGGGATTTTTCCCCAGCATTCACCAAGCACCAATTTCATGCCAGCACAGATTTTGTTGTTATTTTTTGTTGTTGTATCCAGATTCAGATGTTTGCCATGGTCATAGCAATCATTCATTTATTTAAAAAGTATATATTGAGCAGCTACTGAGTGCCAGCATGGTGCCAGGTGCTGAGGATTTAGCAGTGATCTATACAAAATATCTGCTTTGATAAGCATACATTTTCATGTAATAAATTACATTATAGACAGAAAATTTTAACAGTAGACAATAAGGAAAATAATTCCATATTGCAGTAAATGCCTTGAGGAGGATAAATGGGATGCCATGTCAGAAATGAACTTGGGGACTCAACTTTGCAAGGGTAGCTGGAAAAGTTCCCTCTGAAGAGGTAGTATTTCAACTGACAATCCAAAGAGGAGAATGGAGCCTGGCACGGTGGCTCATGCCTGTAATCCCAGCACTTTGGGAGGCTGAGGCAGGTGGATCACCTGAGGTTAGGAGTTCAAGACCAGTCTGACCAACATGGCAAAACTCTGTCTCTACTAAAAATGCAAAAATTATCTGGGCATGGTGGAGGGCACGTGTAGTCCCAGCTACTTGGGAGGTTGAGGCAGGAGGATCGCTTTAACCTGGGAGGTGGAGGTTGCAGTGAGCCGAGATTGTACCACTGCACTCCAGCCTGGGTGACAGAGGGAGATTCTGTCTCAAAAATAGATAAGAGAATGGGGCCACAGTGCCAAATGCAGGGAAGAGCATTCCAGACTGACAAGTGCAAAAGCCCTGAGCTAGAAAGGTCATGGGTGTTCAAGGTCAAAAAGAAGGCCGTGCGCTGGGAGGAGAATGGGCAAGGGAAAGGGAGGTGCAAGATAAGATTGAAGAATTAGCAAGGGTACCATCTTATAGGGTGAGGTGTTCAGGTTTTATCTTAAGGGCGGTATGAAGCCAATGATGGTTTTCAAGCAGAGGAGAGACGTGATGTGATTTACTTAGAGGCTGGGAGGGGAATGAATTATGAAGAGGTAGAAGAAGAAATAGAAAGACCAGGAAATTGCAGTCGTCTGGGGAAAAGATGATGGTGACTTGGGCCAGAGAAAGGTAGAGTCAGTAGAGATAGAGTGGAGAGGAGGTGAGGAGAACTGAGGAGGTATGTTTAGATGATAGAATCAGCAGGAATTAGTCATCAATAAAACATGAGAAATAAGCAGCCAATGCCAAGCTCAAGCAACTAGGCAGGTAGGTGTCGCCCTTTACTGAGAAAGGGAAGACAAGGGGTTAAACAAGTTGGGATGCGTCAAGACCTCACCTTTAGATGTTTTACATTGGAGAGGGAAATTATACATGCAAATTAAGACATCAAGGAGGCAGTTATTTATTTAGGTCTGGAATATGAAAAAGAAACTTACGATTTATGAATTTAAGACATCTAGAAATATATACATTCATGGCACCAAGGTCTTCTGCAGAAACAGAATATGGACAACGAGGAGAAATGACCAGGACCAAGTCCTTCACAGCAGTCTTCAATCTACCGGTCAAGGTCAGGAGGAAGGGCAGCCAGCATAGGAGGCTGAGGGGTTGTAGGTGAAGTCAAAGGAAAGCCAAGAGATGGAGAGCTCCTGGAAACCAACAACCAGGACTAGACCCCAGGGGCCCCATCCTCCTGGGCCCACGCTGGCCTTCCAGTGGAACACATGATCTGCAACAGGTCAGGAGTACGTGGGGGGCATCCATGGGAAGAACCACCTAAGAATGGACGTATGTGCCCACAAGATGAGCACAGATAATGTGAAGCATTGTGTGATAACCATTTATATTCTGACCTCTGCCCTAGGTTCTAAAATGTACCTATTCCAGGTATATAAATGACATAAATGATCTGTCTTCCAGGCTTCTTTACATTTTTATTTTGCTGTGTGTGTGTGTGTGTGTGTGTGCACTTGTCATCATTCTGGTAATACGATCCCTGAAGTTTTCCTCTTTCTCTGTGTAACCTCTGAAAATGGTTCTCCTCATGGTCCTGTCACCCACAGGCCCCTGCTCTGAGGACAGGGTGGCGAGTCGTCAGCTCCCTTACCTCTTACTGAGAGAACACAACACTTGTGCACAAGCACGGAACACCCTCCCTAGAATGACCCACCCCACTCTTGAGCTTTCCACTGTGGAATCCAAACCACTCAGAGCCAGTGAGAAGCAGGGGTGATGAGTCTGAGCCCGTGTCCCTCCTCTCACCATCTCACTCTGGGCAAGGCTCTGCCCTCGAGCTTTGGTTCTTCAGCGTGTTCCAAGTGGAAGCTCCTCTGTCCAAACACAGCGTTCTGCCTGGCCCAACTCCCTTCTCTGGTCCCCTCATTCACCCCTTTCCCCAGGGTCTGGGTCATGTTTACTCCTTCTCTTAACCTTCTCCTACTTTTTCTGCTGGAGAGAGAAGACAGCATTGAATCCTGGGGAAGAAGGGGAGAAAAATGGATGACCGGGTAATTCTATACTTTGCAGTCAATTTTTGCTGTTTTCCTTTTGTTCCCCTCCTTCTACACACACACACACACACACACACACACACACCAAAAATTTGGTCATCTGAGAGTTACATTAAAAAGAAGTCAGATATCTTGAACTTCGAGGGTTAATTTCCTGCAGTAGCACCCACTGGTTCCACAAACTCATTGATGTTCCCTGCCAACACTTGATAGCACAACGCTTTGACCTGAAGTTCCCTTCTATTCATTTCGTCTCTGGATGCACTGTGGCCATTTCCCTCCTCCTGGGCTTCCCCTGTGGCCAAGTGGATGGAGTCAGGGGGACAAATGAAAACACATGTGCTATACAAAAGCACTATTTATAATTAGCTGCTTAGTCCAATTTTTAATGAGGACGATGATGTCAGTTACAAAGTAGTGATGGTGATGATGATGTTCCATAATTCAGTAGAGAAAAATCTAACAGCTTTCGCTTGGGTGAAGCTGTATATTAGAAAAGAAATGCATTAGACATCTGTGCCACACCAATCAACAGCCTCAGGAAATTACTATCCATGCCAAGAAATAAATCTATAACGAACTCCTTATCCTTTCGGGGAGGATCCCAAGAGAGCTTGTTAGTATCCTAAGTTTGCAGCCTACATCTTCATCCAATTCTCCTCCTGTGATAGTCATTAATGCTGTTTTCCAAATGTCTCCAGCTCTCTACTTTTCAGGAACATGGAGAATTTTACTGTCTCACTCACTTGTGGCTGTGTGGTACCAGGCAAGTAGTTCTGGACAGTGAGTTATAAGCAGAAGTGGTATGTGTCACTTCTGAACCAAAATATTTAATTCCTCATGGGAAAGCCCCCAGAGCTTTCTTCACGCCAGCCACAATGACCAGCTTTGTTCAAGATGGTGGCTGCTCTGTCAGAGTGAGCTGCATTACAGGGTAAGGTGGCAGGAAGCTTGGCCCCCAGCCGAAGCAATAGTAGCATAAGTGAGAAACAAACCCTTATTGCTCTAATCCTCTGGTATTCAGGGATTGATTTCTTCCCATAGCAGAATCAAGTCTACCCAAACTGAAGTAAGAAGCTGCCAAAAGTAAAAAGTTAAAACCTGTGACATGGCCAGGCATGGTGGCTCACACCTGTAATCCCAGCACTTTGGGAGGCCGTGGTGGGCAGATCACAAGGTCAAGAGATCGAGACTATCCCAGCCAACATGGTGAAACCCAATTTCTAAAAATACAAAAATTAGCTGGGTGTGGTGGTACACACTTGTTGTCCCAGCTACACAGGAGGCTAAGGCAGGAGAATCGCTTGAACCTGGGAGGCGGAGGTTGCAGTGAGCTGAGATTGCACCACGGCACTCCAGCCTGGCAACAGAGTGAGACTCCGTCTCAAAAAAATAAATAAATAAAATTTTAAAAATTAAAAAAATACTTGTGACATTGGTTCTGTGGCCAGATGACAGGTATTGAAGAAATTTTATAGGAGGCCATTGCAGGCAATCCATGTTACAAATGGAAAAATATTCTGAAAACTGTCATCTGTGATAACTTAGAAAGCAGATTATATCCCTAAAATCCTGCATATCTAGGAAGATGGTTGAAAAACAGCTTGTTATATTGTATGGTGGCCACTGCTGGCTGCATCTGACAATGTAGTGCAAGATATTGATGAGTTCAGAAAAGATTTGGCCAGAAAGCAGAGATGAAATGGACAGGAGAGAGTCCAGAAATGTGGGGATTTTCAGTGTAGACAGAGACAGCTGCTTCTCATTCCCCAAAGAAGTAAACAAAACTTAAAAGACCTTTATACAAGAAAGACTGATGAGTGCTTCAGCTCATGCCATGGAACAAATCAAGCACAGGGCAGTCATGTCCATTGTCAGTTCCTCTGAATGGAATAAGTCATTTAGGGCAAAAGTTTAATTGAAGTTATGGCTTCAAAAAATCATTCAAACTGGGCAAACTGGCTCAAGTAAGAGCGAGAGAAAAAACAAGACTAAAGCTGTAACATCCCACAAATAATATATATACCCAAATTATTGCTGTTAGGTTCAAGTTGAGAAGAACCATGGCTCCCCCAGGCAAAATACACTTACCTACTCCCTAAGGAAGATAACCCCAAAGTCCTACCCAGTCCTGGTATCAAGCTGAAATGCTAGGTTCTCTAGCAGTGCGTAGTAGTTTTTATATTAAGGAGTGACATGTGCTAGTCTCTACATCAGTTTTGAATATGGATTTCTGCAATTCAGAGACTTAAAAACCCAAAAGACAAATTATCTGCCTCTATCCCATAGCACGACATACAATGGCTCCTTTAGAATAGGATAACAACTGTAACCATAGGTGTGGTTATTGGCTATCAGTACATAGATCTGCCCGAAACACATAGGAAAAAGCCTAAGAAGATTTTCAGACAGTCATCCTGCCAAAGGAACCATGACCTGAACGAAACCATTCACGACTTTTCAAAATGTAATGTACCGTTGGGCCCCTAAATTATCATGGACAAGAAGCCGGCCAAGAAAGCTGCTCAATATCATCTGCAATTCCCATCTCTGATAGGAGCAAGGAGGGCAACAGAAAGAAGACCCTCCAGAGGGACAATCCATAAGCAGAGAACGGTGGGCTGGGATCTACTCCCAGGCAGCTAAGTGAGGGTCGAATTGTGTTTCACAGGATTTCAGAGTCGTTATGGACCAGTGACTGCTGTGCTTCCCTAGTCTTCCCCCTTTCTGAATGAGAATATTGATTGCAGTTGTCCTACTTCAAATGAATCTTTTCTTGTCTTGTGGGAAAGAAACGATTACTTATCTTTTTGGAGCCTAAGTCTCAGAAAGGAAAGGATCCACATTCACACCTGATGTGGAGACTAGAACATGCCGCTCCCTAAGGTGAAAACTGCCCTGTTACACACCACAAGAGACCCTAGCATTTCAGCTTGATACCAGGACTGGGTAGGACTTTTAGGCTGTCTTCCTTAGGCAGTAAGTAAGTGGATTTTGCCTGGGGGAGACAAACATTTTGTGACCCTAATGGCAGGCAATGGTAGTCATTGCTGCTATTTGACAAACATTTCCAGCTTGTTCACCTCCTGGGTACATGGTAAGATTGTGTCTTTCTTGGTTTTCATGTGATTGAGTGAGAGTCATGTGACTAGTTCTAGCTGATAAGTTGTGCCATGTGTCATATCTGGCCTGCAGCACTTAATTGCCAATGCTCTCTTCCTCTGCCATAATGATCCATAGCACTTGAGAAGGTAGCAACCCCATCAGCCTACAACCCAGATTGAAAGACATAGACCAGAACCCTAGGAATGCCAGGGATGGCTATGTAGTCTGAGCAGTAAATAGTCCTTTGCTATAATCCACTAAGCTTTGTGGGCTGTTTGTTACTGCAGCATAACCCTGTCTCTCCTGACCAATATGCCTACTTGCATTCCTGCTTGGAAGATAAATACAATACAGAGATCATTAATATTCTATTTTCTATGCCTAGAAGAAGAGAATTGAACATGGATCATGAAATTAATTTCAAAAGCCTAACTTTGGCCAACTTTTTCATTCTTACTATTGCTTACTTCTCCTCCTACCACAGCTTTCTACAGAGATCTTCACTTTGTTTATATTAAACTGGTCTGAATTTTTGCTCTTCCTTGTCCATTTTCTGACCTAACTCTACCACTGAAATGATAGCAACCTGTTGTCTAACTCTGGTGTCCTATCTGCATCTCCAATGGGGTCATGGACAGTAGCTAAGTCTTTATGATAAAATGTTGTAACTTTCTTCTGTTTACTAACTTTTCAATAAATATTGACTAAAGATAGTAATAGCTAATGATAAGCATTTTTTGAATGCATACTGCATTCCAAGCACTTTGCTAAGAGGTATGAGGTAGAAGCTTTTCCTAGCCTCCTTTTAAAAATGAGAAAACAGAAGGACAGGAAGTTTAATTTACCAGCTCACAGAGCTAGTGGGTACCTGAGCAGGCTTCAAATGCAGCCATTCTACAAAAAAAAAAAAAATTGTTTTAAGTTATCCAGGCATGGTGGCACATGCCTGTAGTCCCACCCTGGGAAACTGAGGCAGGAGGATGACTTGAACCGAGGAGTTGGAGGCTGCAGTGGGGCTATGATCATGCCACTATACCCTAGCCTGGGTGACACGGTGAGACCCTTCAAAAAATGCGCTCAGTCTTGAGTCCAGAGCCCATGTGGGGAGCTCTCTTTCTTCATGTTCCCAAACTGTGTTCTACACAATTCTAGTTCTCACCATGTTGATAGATATTTACACAGACAAGGCACTCCACCCTGTAGCCTTGTGGTTAGGATTCCAAACTGCCGTGATCTGGGTTCCACTCCCGATCAAAGAACCAGCCACCTAGAGATGTAAATTCTTTAACTCAGAAGAAAAAGAAATTAGTTTGATAAAAAATTGATTTGATATTTATAAACACCCACCCCAATGAAGGGAGTTTAGGAATCTTACACTTTGTCTCAGAGAGCCTCACAATAGACATTAGAATAGTAAAGCCTCTGATACATCCCTTAACATTATGTAACCCAATGTTTCCCAGATGTATTTAACCACAAAACCCTATTCTCACCAAGCCTCACATTCGGAGGCACTTGTGTATTATAGAACATAAGAACATAAGATCATAGAAATCAAGCACTAAGGAGGGATGGTGAACCTCATCTCAAACAACTGCATGATTTTGCTGATGCCAGAATCAGAGTATAAAGTGAGCAAATGACTTTTCCATAGTCTTAATGGCTACAATGACTGAAATCTAGATCTCTTAATTCCCTGTTCAGCAGGATTACTCTACCCCAAAAGGTCATAAATAGCAAATTCTCCCAGGACAAAGCGGCAGGTCAGAGAGAATCACAAGTTTCTCATAGACTCCAAGGATCCTGAGGACAAAGACCCTGTTATTATACCTTCTCCCCCTGGCCTAGCACAATGTCCTTCACAAAGCAGGTGCTCGATAAATGTAAGTTAATGAGTAACAATGAGGGACAGAAGGAGGATCAAGCAACCAAGAAGAAGAGACAAAGGACCAGGTGGCTTATGTGCAGAGAGCACTTGTTACTAAGCAGGTGATATAAGGAATGACACAGGTCCAAAAGGATCTCTCTTCAGCTGCAACACCATCCCCTCTCAAGGCACTGATGGAGTAGAAGCAAATTCTATGCAGCTGCGCATGTGTGCATGAGAGAGAGAGAGGGGAGAGAAAGAGAGAGAAAGAGAGGGAGAAAGAGGGAGAGACAGAATGTGTGTGTGTGTATGTGTGTAGAAGGGAGGAGTGGGTTGATGGAAGGAGAGCTGGACAAGACACACAAAGCCACGTTCAATTGCAGGAATTGCCCCAAATAGCAGGCACAAAGGGAAGGAATACCAAATGCCAGTCCATGGAAGAACAAAAAAGCCATGACTTTCAGGGCATGTTCTGTAAAAATGAGGAAAATATTTTCCTGCCTCTTCTACCACTGGAAGGAAGCATAAGTTCTTTGAATATGATCTCCAAGAGATTGATCTTAAGCCTTTGGCACAGTTAACGAAATTGTAGTTTTAAAATTCATATCTATTGCTTATTTTGGTAGATGTGGAATCCATGGGGTAAAAAGGTATTTTTAGTTCTGAAAACAAACTAAAGGACTTTATGGTTAAGAATGGTCAAGACTAGGATATGGTTCGTGATGGAGACCTTAAGGCAAAGGAAGTTAAATTGCTTTGCATCAAAAAAAATGATTTTCAGTTTTCTCCCAGAGTCAGACATTTGGAAAAGCCTATGGTTGAAAAAGAGAAGAAATTAGAGAAGACTAAATATCTGTTGAATAGGACAGGTCCCCGAAAGAAGATGGGAAGGCAAGGTCTCAAAGACATTACTTGTGAGGCACTATTCCTGGTGGGATGCAGAGACTGGAACAGGGATGTCTGATGTCCACTTTTAGGCTGTTCTCTATTCGGGGCTCAAGTTCCCCTTCCAGTCTGGGAGAAGGAAAGGAAATTGCTTCAGGAAAGGAGGAAAGGGGAGGTTAGGGAAGATCCTAACAGAAAAGGAAGACCCCGCTAGGTCCACTGGCTCACCTTTCCCCCTTTGATGCAATTAGATGGGAGCAGTGTGGTGAGCTGGACAGGCTGGTTGCCTGTTTCCACCCGAAGCATTCATGTCACCCCTGTGAGCACATTCCAGGCAGGTAGCCGCTGCTCCTTGCCTAGTGAGTCTATGTTGTATGTATTTGGGCCTCAAAGATTCTGTTTCCCTTCCTGAGGAGCAAAGGGTGTGATTTTAATGTTCTGGTTCTCCTGCTTTACAGATGTAATGAAATAGCTGGGGCTAAATAATGCAAAACTCCTGGTCCACTGATGGTAACGTCTCTCTTTTTTTAACTACAGTCTCTAATTCACTCAAAGGAACAAATTATGTTTTATGGCCTTTTATAAAATATTCATCCCCTCCTCCTCCAGCACTCTCAGTGGTTCAGGAAGCCTGGAAATGGCCCTGTGTAAGGAGGATCTCATTTCCTCCCAGACACAAATTACAGAGGCTGCCAGACTCCTGATAACAGAGAGGGGTGATGCTGCTGCGATGGGCTGAGAGCACGGACTCCACATAGACCTGCTGGGACGTTTGGGGATTGGGGCCAGCAGCGATGTGAGGCAAGTGAGCAAGTGAAGGGGACCTGTCTTGCCCTTCTTTGGAGCATGTCCATTGCATCCATTTCTTTTTGTAGGTGAAAGCCCGGCCCAAGCCCTTCACAGTCCACCTTCTCCCACGCATCCTCCTCTCTGATATTTGGGTGTTGTTTCCAGCCAAACCCAGGTTTAGGAAACAGTGCAGTAGCCAGAGTCCAGGGAAGGGGAGGATCAGTTTGTGGAGGGTGGGGTGGGAGAGGTTTCAGGGAGAAGAGGGTGAGGTGATGGCTGTTGAAGAGAAGGGAGATTCTCAAATGTACTCCCACTTGCTGTTCATTTACATGTCCCATCCAAATGACCAAGGGACACAGGAATGTAACAACATGAATAATGATCTTCCTGTTTGGGTGTTTTACAGTTTACAAGGAATGTCCACATCTGGAGCCTTGAACACTAACGCTGGAGTCAAAAGCCTGACTTGCGAGCCTGGCCAGGCTGCTGATTCACCTGTGTCACCTCGTTTTCCTGGGCCTCAGTTTCCCCTCTTGCACAGAGAGGGGCTTAGACCAGAGGACTGAGGTCCAATGTAAGTTTTAATCCTGGTTCTATAAGCCTCAGAGCCTGGATGTGTGCTGCCAATTCTAGGCTTATACCATTTCTGAGGGTCTCTGGGCATCTGCCTACTGATTGGTAGAAAGAACCACATTTTACGAAGAACAACAGTGGGAGCAACTCCCTGATGACAGCAGTTTTCCCCTAATTCCTGTCTGGCCTGATACTGCAACAGCAGACATCACAACCAGGCTCTTCCTCCGGGCAGGAGTGGGCTTTATGCACCCCTCCCCGCTGAGCCGGGCCTGATTCTCAGAGGGGACGCGGGGGAGGAAAAGTGCTACCAGCTGCGTTCTACACAGCACAGAGGCATAGAGAGGGAGGACGCAAACACACTCATCATTTCGGTGCTATTTCCCCTCATTTCCCTCTATTCTAAAGTATTCCTGTACCATTCTATATTGGGAAGTGCCATTTCTGAGGATAAGATGAAGGATGGCAGAAGCTGAAGGATCTTATACTAACAGCCAAAATATGGAGAGGTAAAAATTACAGTGGAGGACATTTCCAACTGATTTGTCATCGAAAAATCTCAAAGTACTCTGTATCTACCATTTATTCCCAGAACCCATTAATCAGAAAAGCCTGTATCAATTCATGCAGGCCTTTTATATCATCCTAGTATGCAGGTAAGAATCTGTGAGCCCTGAGCACCTCAGGCTTTATTAACTGCAAAATACACGGAATTCTCCACCCATTTCAGAGATGACTTGAGCAATATTTATGCATGTGGAGAGAATAAAAAGAAGGCTCCTTGAGAGGACTGCCTCTCCTACCCTCACTCTTTCTTGTCATAATTGCCTTCTTTCTTTTGACCATACATACGGCAGACTTGAGAACAATCTGTTCATTTATTTGATAAATACGTATTAAGCATCTTCTGTGCACCAGGTACAGTGTTAGGCCCTGGGTATAGAGTGGGGAACAAAAGAGTCATGGCCTCCGCCCTCAAGGACTGTCTATCTAGTCATACGTACACACACACACACATACATACATTCATATCACTCCTTCCACGTTGTGATGGTTAATACCAAGTGTCAACTTGATTGGACTGAAAGATGGAAAGTATTGATCCTGGGTGTGTCTGTAAGGATGTTGCCAAGGGACATTAACATTTGAGTCAGTAGACTAGGAAAGGCAGACCCACCCTCAATCTGGGCGGGCACCATCCAATCAGCTGCCAGCGCAGCTAGAATATAAAGCAGGCAGAAAAAAAATGTGAAAAGACTAGAGTGGCTTAGCCTCCCAGCCTACATCTTTCTTCCATACTGGATGCTTCCTGCCCTCGAATATTGGACTCCAAGTTCTTTAGCTTTGGGACTCGGACTGGCTTCCTTGTTCCTCAGCTTGCAGACAGCCTATTGTGGAAACTTGTGATCATGTAAGTTAATACTACTTAATAAACTCTCATATCTATCTATATATCCTATATATATATAAAATAGGATATATATATATAAAATAGGATATATATCCTATTATTTCTGTCCCTCTAGAGAACTCTAAGTGATATGCAGGTACATATATATATGGGGAGAGAGAGAGAGAGAGACAGTCCCCAAACAGTCCCCAGCTGTTTCAGTGTTCAGCCATTCAATCCATCCCAGCTGAGGATTCAGACATCATAAAGCGATACAGAACGTTCCCACTATGACTTAATTCCTGAATCACAGATTTGTGAATATAATAATAATAAATTGTTGTTTTAAGCCACTATGTGTTGGGTATGTTGTTATGCGGCAATAGATAACTGGTCCCCTCAGAGAAGTCAAGAACTTGCAGAAAGTCACTCAAATAATAAGTTACGGAGTGGAGATTCAAACCCAGCTGAGCAGTTATAATGAGCAGCCTCCCAGGGAGTGAATACAATGTGAGAGCTCAGAGCAGCCCAATGCTTATCCTACCCATCTGCTTTCCTGAATGCAGAACTAACCTTCTGTGGCTTCCTTTTTCTTTAAACACACACACACACACACAAATGCACACACACATACATGCGCACACACATACATGTGCAAGCATATACACACACATATTCATGCAGATGTACATGGGCATTGTATTACACTATCTCCTCACCCGATGGGCATTCTTACAGGAAAAGGATGTGCATGCAGCCTCTCCCTTGGGGGAGAAGGCATGTGCTTGTCAACTCAAAGGGTCAGCAGACCTTCAGGAGGCCAGGTCTGGCGCATGTAGGCCATGCTATAGCCGTGCTCTGAAGCCCAGAGAATCCAACATAAGGTTCCAATTCGAATTCCATTTCCATGAAAAAACTTCCAGCCTAATCCTCTGGTCCTTCCCAAAGCCAAGAAGGGGCCTTGCTCTAGGGAAGTGCCCCACATCCCCACAAGACAGGTTCTTACTCCCTGGTCAGAAACAGGGAGACCAGGAATGGATAAGTGAGTGCAAGTGGAGGGCTGACCCAATGCTGTCCAGAAATTCTGCAGTTGGCAGTCCCAAATTTGTCAGCTCAGGGATAGGCAGAGGAAGGAGCAAAGCCACATTTTGGGCACAGGAAAGGGAAGTTGCCATTTTTAACCCCTTCTGTGTGTCCAGATTCCATTTCCCACAGCTGCTTAGGGGAAGGTCAAACCACGTGAGCATCCTGGATTCCCTTCACGCCATGGATAGACTGGGAGGGAGCAAAGGGGACTTGAGCCCCAGATTGTAAAAGGAAACATAAAGAGGAGTGTTGAGTAATTTATAAGGTCAGGGACAATGTCATATTCATCACAACAGCCCCATTACCTAACTTGGGTGCCAGGTAGATAATAGATAATCTATGTTTGTTGAATTAATGGAAAAAATGATCCCCATACAACCACCTTGATGTCAAGGTCCTGAAATATTTCAGGAAGTGGCCGGATTGCTCCCAGAATCATGACCATCATCTTCTGAGGAAGAGTGGACACTAAAAGAGTGGGGCTCTCTTGCCCATTGGTAGAGCTCAAGCTGCTGGAAGATTATGTGGAAAGAGCATAGGCTATTGCCCCAGATGTCACCTATCAGCGCGTTACCCTGAGCATGCTCCTTAACCTCTCTGAGTCTCATTTTTAAATGAAGTTATTTTTTTTCCAAATTAACAGGAAAATATTTGAAATATTTCTCACTAAGCATGTACTTCAAAAGTGTTTTGTTCCTTTCCCTTCATCTTGGTTTGCCACCTCTTCAGGTATAAAAATCTTTGACTCTACATTATCTCCGTTCCTTCTCTTCCTTTCCACCCTCTTGCCCTTGCAGTCTGGCATACCTGACAGCTCAGGCTTGCAGATATACTTTGGGACCTGAGCCTCCACTGGAGTGCATCTGAGGTACTGACCAGAAATATCTCAAAGGGGTTTTAAGGAAAACTATCAAAGACTTTGAGATACAGCAGCTTGGGTTTAAATCATATCTCCTTCGCTATAGACAAGTTACTTAACTAATATGGGCTTCCAATTTCTCATCCATTAAAAAAGGGAGTTACAGTGGCATCCTCACCAGCATTATTACAGGGTTGCCACCTTAGGATCTGCCAGGCTGTGCCCTGCACAGGGCAGCTGGTGAGCATGAGGCTGCAATGGGGCCCACACTGCATACCCTACACCGTTGTGTCCCAGTTCAAGGCTCTTTGCTCCCGGAGGAAGGGGTGCTTTGTTCTGATTTGCATGAAGGTATTCTATAGGCAAAAGGTGGCTCTGGAATAGTATGAGAATAAAGTGGGATAAAACAAGAACATCACTTACCCTCATGCATAATAGGAGGAAGCTTTAAAAATATACCCCAAATCTGATTACTTTTTCTCACCACGTTACTGCCGCTCTGGAAGTCTCTTGATTAGTCTCCTGCCAGCAGTGTGCTGCAGCTGACTCATGATGGCTCACAAGAGCTGACTGCTTATATTTTCAGGGCTTTGAAGAGTCCATTGTCGAATTGTTGGTAGTTTGAAACTGGCCATGGTGGGAGCATTTACACCACAGGAATTAGCAGGCATTACAAACCAAGGCCTTTTTCCCCACCTAGAGAGCTGGTTTACCTGCATACCACTCACTTCACCCCCAGCAGACAATTCTCCATGCACAGGCAGAGTGATTTAAACAAACAAACAAACAAAAAAAACACATAAATCCACATGCGTCATTTGCCTGCGTCAAAGACACCTCATTGCACTAAGTATCAAGTCTAAACTCCCAGCCTGGGTCCATACCAGCCCCATGGAATTGGGCTAGTACCTCCCTCTGAGTCCTCATTGACTGACACTTCTCTCCCCTCCTCAGCTTCAGCCATGCTGGCCTTTGGGGAGTTCCTGGACATGGAAAGCTCTCTGTGGCTTCAACCCCTTTTACACTTGTGTCTTCAGCCTGGAGCACTCTTCCTCCAATATACTTGCATCACTTGCTCCCTCACTTCTTTCTGGTCTCCACTTAAATGTCATGTCTTTGGAGAAGCCCTCCCTGATCACTCCATCTAAATAGCATAACCCACCTATCCTCTGCTGCTGTTTTATTCTTCCTCACAGCACTTATCACCCTGCTATAATGTATATTTATTTGCTAACAGCTTTATTGAGATGCAATTCACATACCAGACATTTTGCCCATTTAAAGTATGAAGTTCAATGTTTTTCAACGCATGTGAAGAGTTGTGCAACCTTCACCACAATCTTAGAACATTTTCATCACCTCCAAAAGAAATCCCTTTAGCCCTCACCCACAAAAGCTCCCCCAAACCACCCTCCCCATTTCCCACCAGCCCTAAGCAATAACTTGTTTCTTTCTCTATAGATTTGCCTATTCTGGATGTTTCATATAAATGGAATCACACTATACATGGTCTTTTGTGACTGGTTTTTTTCACTTACTATGATGTTTTCAAGTGTCGTGCCTACTATAGCATGTATCGATATTTCATTCCTTTTCATTGTCAAATAATATTCCATTGTATGGATATGCCACATTTTACTTACCCATTCATCACTTGATAGAAAGTTGAATTGTTTCTACCATTTGCCTTTATGAATAATGTTGTTATGAGCATTCACATACAAGTTTTTGTGTGGACATGTTCTTATATCTCTTGGGTATCTACCTAGGAGTGGAATTTCTCAGTCGTATGGTAATGCTTTCTTTAACTTTCTGAAGAACTGTTTTACATTCCCACCAGCAATGTATTAGGGTTCTAATTTCTCTAAATCCTCACCAATAATTGTTATTTTACTTTTCAAAAGAATTACTACATAGCCATCCTAGTGAGTATGAAGGTGGTATCCTACTGTAGTTTTGATTTGTATTTCCCTGATGATTAATGAATGTTGAGCATTTTTTCATATGTCTGTTGGCCATTTGGATATCTTCTTTTGAAAAATGTCTATTGAGATCCTTTGCTCATTTTTAAAGAGTTATTTATATATTCTAGATACAAGTCCCTAATCAGGTATATGATTTGCTGTATTTTCTCCCATTTGTGTTTTTTTTTTTAATAGACTTTATTTTTTTAGAGTAATTTTGGGTTTACAGAAAAATTGTGAGGTGTCTTTTTGCTTTCTTGATAGTGTCATTTGAAGCACAAAAGTTTTTAAATTTGATGAAGTCTAATTTATCTATTTTTTCTGGTGTCGTAGATAAGAATCCATTGCCAAGTCCAAGGTCCCAAAGATAATGCCTATGTTTCTTTTGTCTGTTTGCTTGTTTGTTTTGTTTTGTTTTGTTTTGTTTTTGAGATGGAGTCTCACTCTGTTGCCCATGCTGGAGTGCAGTGGCGCAATCTCATCTCACTGCAATCTCCACCTCCTAGATTCAGGTGATTCTCCTGCCTCAGCCTCCCAAGTAGCTGGGACTACAGGCATATGCCACTACACCTGGCTAATTTTTGTGATTTTTTTAGTAGAGATGGGGTTTTATCATGTTGGCCAGGCTGCTCTTGAACTCTTGACCTCGAGTGATCCACCTGCCTCGGCCTCCCAAAGTGCTGGGATTACAGGCGTGAGACACCTTGCCCAGTCATGCCTATGTTTCTTTTAAGAGTTTTATAGTTTCAGCCTTTACACCTAGGTCTTGGTTTAGCTTGAGTTTATTTTTATATATGGTATGATGTAGGGGTCTAACTGTGGCTTACCCAGTTGCCCCAGCATATATATTTATTTTTTAATGTACATATTTTCCTGCTCAGGCCATAAGCTCCATGAGGACAGAAATTCTTTTCTGTTTTATTCACTGACGTGTCTATCATTAGCACCTAAAACATTGGCACATGGGGGCACTGCATATTTGTTGAATAAATGAGGAATAATTAACTCGATAAATGTTATTTATTATGATTATCATTGGTTTACCCTTGCTTTCTCCTTCCTTCCTTCCTTCCTTCTTTCTTTCTTTCTTTCCTTCTTTCTTTCTTTCTTTCTCTCTCTCTTTCTTTCTTTCTCTCTCTCTCTCTTTCTTTCTTTCCTTTTGAGACAGGGTCTCTATCTGTTGTCCAGGCTGGAGTGCAGTGGTGCAATCTCAGCTCACTGCAGCCTCAGCCTCCCAGGCTCAGGCAATCCTCCTGAGTAGCTGGGATTACAGGACTGCGCAACACATCTGGCTAATTTTTGCATTTTTTTGTAGAGGCGGAGTTTCGTCGTGTTGCCCAGGCTGGTCTTGCACTCTGGGCTCAAGTGATTCTCCCACCTCGGCCTCTCAAAATGCTGGGATTACTGTAGGCATGAGCCACCATGCCCGGCTCATTATTTTACTCTTTCAACCCCTCTGGGCTTCAACCCTGCAGCTTAAAATTCCTATGACTAGGCCTGGTGCAGTGGCTGACGCCTATAATCCCAGCACTTCCGGAGGCCGAAGCAGGCAGATCATCTGAGGTCAGGAGTTCAAGAGTAGCTTGGTCAACATGGTGAAACCCCATCTCTACTAAAAATACAAAAAAATTAGCCAAGTGTGGTGGCACGTGCCTGTAATCCAAGCTACTCGGGAGGCTGAGGCAGGAGAATCGCTTGAACCCAGGAGGCAGAGGTTGCAGTGAGCCAAGATCATGCCACTGCATTGCAGCCTGGGCAACAGAGCGAGACTCCATCTCAAAAAAAAAAAAAAAAAAATTCCTAGGACTAACCAGTCTCTCCAATGCCTCCTACTGCCACCCTTGGTCCTGGCGTTTGGTTCTTTCTGGTTCTAACTCTGCTCCTCCAACCAACCAAAAGGTCCACTCAGTCCTCCCACCTCCTATGTGAGCCTTCCAAGCTCTCTGTTCCCTCCCAGTTTCCTCTTCTCTCCTCTTCTCTTTCTGGAGCTTCTCACCCGCTAGCCATTCTAGCCTCTGCCCTCCAGGGACCACCCATCCTGCTCAATGAACAGTCACCCTTCTTAGCAGGCCCTTAGTGTTTGCCTAGAGTCTCACTTCCACAAGGTGCTCTCAGGTTTGCCTTAGAGATCCGCATGAGACCCCTATGAGGCAAATCAAGCACTCAGTGTTCTCCCTATCTTACAAATGAGAGCCTGAGTCCCGAAGGCCTTGCTCAGGCTTCTTGCAGGTCCCACAGTTTGTTAGAGGTGGCATTATGCCTAGGACCCAGGTCTTCTGACTCCAGGTCGAGACAACTCCTATGAGCAAAGAGATTTTTGCTTGCATGAGGACAACTCTACCAGACTCTCTGAAATGCCTTCCCAAATTTCTAGTCATCTCCTTGGTCAAAAGAAGCATTTTTTTACAACACCAGTTAACTTTTAACAAATGATTGCTGTGTGCCGGATCCTGTGCTGTTTTACGTACATTATTCTTCTAATCCTCACTGAACTCCAAAGTTCAGAGAAGCTAATGAACTTCTAAAAAATCATGAAGCTAGCAAATGGCAGAGTTGGAATTCAAGCCCAGGTTTTTAACAACCAAACATTACAACTCCCTCCCGTAAGGAAATTCACCTTAATAGGTTCCATTTTACACAAGGAAAAGCAAAACTAGCTAAAAGAAAAAAACATCTACAGAGTTCTTCTTTGCCCCTAATGGTGAAGATGGCTCTGCACTAGTCCTTATCCTCCTCGTTTCTGAAACAGGGACCCTAAGCAGCTCCAGGTACTGAGTCCTGAGTCCTGAGTCTTCTGCACTCAGCTGCATGCCTCCCTTCTTCAACCTATTCCTCCTCCCCCTTTTCTCTAGCTCCTGCACCAGGCCCCAATCTCCAACCTCTCCTTCCCCTCCCACCCACCCCAAGACCAGGCCCCTTTTTGTTTTTATGTTCTCTTTCTGAATCAGAGAAAATCTGCAGCCTTCCCTTCCCCAAGTAGAGCCAGACTAGCCTGTGGCTGGATAAAAGCTCTGAGTCGTGAGCCGCAGTCATTATTTTACTTTAACTTGTCATGTCCCTTCTTCCAAATGATCCCTGTTCATCACTCTCTGCAGCCTGCCCCTCAGCCTGCACACATGTGGCAGCGGCTCTCCTCTGAACCATTCTTGGACATCTTCAGAGAAGGACCTGCCTCCTAGGCCACCATTAGAGCCCCCTCCCCGCCAGCCCCCGGCCTTCTAATCGCAGAGTTCATTACAAAGCCTGTTGCAGCTCTCAACAACTGGGTGCTTAATGGAGATGGATCTGTCCCCCGGGATGGCTCTAAAAGCAGCACACATCAGTTAATAGTTTCTTCCTGCTGTTTTTTCCAAGGCAGGGATTGAACTGGTGAAAGGGAAAAGAAATCATGTCCTTAATATATCTTTGGAAAGTAAATACTTGTTCAAATAAAATAAAATCATCATCCCTGGAACATGCAGGAAGGGAGGCAGAATTTCCTCCATTCCTATTTAGGACCTTATCACCTGGGGTATGGACGGGGACAGGGAAGGCCAAGTAGATTGAGAAGCCTGAGGACCCAAACATTTGGGGTAGGCAAAAACTTACTTGATTATAAAACATTGGCATTAGCAGTCCCCCTACTCTCTGTTCTATTGATTTGCATACTCAGTTGCACAAGCACGTGAATTAGTCTGGGCCTTTCTCTAAGGCCAAATTCTACTTAATGCTCTTTTAGGGGACCTATCTTGCCCTACTTATTTCTCTAAATTATCTTGTCTGATTTAATTCACCCCTCTTCCCCTTTTATCAGTCCTGATTCCACTCCCATTATAATCCTCAATGCAAGGGGGAATTAGTGTGCACAAGTTGGGGATGGCAGAGGGAGGAGGGAAGCAATTAGGAAAAGAAGCAGCAGAGGAGTATAAGCAAGGCAGAGGACCTGCCGGCAGAGCTGGGAGGCAGCGATGCATCTGTCAGACAGAGCTTTTTCCAAGGGTGCCAAGGGCTAATGGACTATATTTTCTTTTGAAGTATTTTTTACTGATACTAATGGGCTATTTCTTACTGAGTACTTTTTCCTGATACACTCTAAAAGAAAACATTGAAGAGAACTGCTCTCACAACCCACAATTTCTATTTCCTCCCTGAAGCATTTGTTGTTCTCTGAGGCACTCTTTGCAAGGCACACACACACAAACACACACACACACAACACATGAAATACTTATGGCATACTAGGCGCTGCTCTAAGTTAGCACCTACTTATCTAATTTAATTCTAAAAACAATTTTATTTTTATAGTTGGAGAGTTGGCCAGACTGACCAGTTTTTCTGTAAACCATTTCCTTTTCTTCCTGGACACATAGCTGGACTACATTTCCCAGCTGCCCTTGCAATTAGGTGCAGTCATGTGAGTGAGTTCTGCACAGTGGATTGAGAGCAAAAGGGATGTGGGTCATTCTTGAGCTGGCCCATACAACTACACAAACTTTAATATTATCCCTCCATTCCTCATCGTTTGGACAAATGAGGAGGGCTCTGGGGACTGTGTCGGCTGAGGGGTTGAGAGAGCCACAGGCGGAGGGATCCCGAGTCTCTGAGCCATAGTTGGAGAAGAGCTATGCAGAAGAACCACCTGACCAGGGACACCCACCTTGGATTGTCACATCAGCAAGACATACATTTTTATTTTGTTAAACTCCTAAAATTTTGGTTACGGTAGTCAGCCTACCCTGACTATTACAACCCCCATTCTATAGACTATGAAATTGAGACTCAAAGAATTTCTATGACTGCCCCTAAGGTCAAATAGCTATTAAATGGCAGAGCTGGGATTCACAGCCAGATTTTCTGGCTAAAACCATTGCTTTTGCCACCATACCACAGCTGTTTCATAATCGCTTCTGCTATTGCTTTCAAGGAAGCAAAAAATCTGCTGAGACACGCAGTCATTTTATACAAATGCATTTACAGTTCATTGAGGCTGTCCTAATTAGTACCTTAATGAAGATGGCCCTGGGGGAAAAGAGACCTAAAGGAGGGAGGTAATCAGGGCCAGATCCTGGACGTAATGTGGGAAGAGATGCTGCAAAGTCACCTTGAAGGACCTCAAAGCAGACTTAGCCAACAGGGGCAATACAGGCTTAGGGAGACTGGCAGCAAGGGTAAAAAATGGGTATACTGTGTTCACATTAGAAAAAGGTAGACTGAGTATCTCTTCTGGCAGGGAGAAAGTCATGAAAATGCAATAAAGAATCTTTGGAAAGCCATTATGCACAGCCAGCACATTAGCCCACCATCACTCCTCTGTTAGAAATCCTTGTCATTTCCCAGTGGCTATAACATAAAATCCACCTCCTTAACTTGCAAACAAGGTTAATCATGATCTTCTACTCTTACCTATCGAGTTTCAACTCCTTCTTAAGGAGGGCAGAGGTAGAGTAGGAAAAGAGTACGTTATGCTCCAGCAATTTGAACTATCTTAAGTCCCAGAGCACACCATGCTGTCCAGGTCTTTGCAAATACTGTTCCCTCTGCATAGCCCTCCATCCCCAGTCCCAGCCTCCATAAAGATGAGGTCAGGTGCCATCCCATTCTCTGGTCTGGGTTTGATGCCTCTCCTCAGTACCCCCATGGTCTCCTCTGCACATCTACATTATATTGCTGGTCAAACGCATTGCAATTGTTCATTCTCATCTCCTACCAGACTATGTACTGTGCATCCTTCATATCCCAGCACTTCACAAGCACATGGAACACAGTGGGAGCTCAATAAATGCTATATGGGTGTGTGGCTAGATGGTTGAATAAACAGAATCCTGAAGAAAAATTACTTGGCACTGTGATAGGTAATGGGCTCTCCCAAAAACGTCCACATATTTCTCCCTGGAACTAGAATGTGTTAAATGTAAAAAGGGAATTAAGGTTGCTGACCAGCTGATCTTAAGATAGGGAGATGACCCTGGATTATCCAGATGGCCGCAAGGTACTCACAGTAATTCATAAAAGATGGAAAAGGGAGGCCAAACAGTCAGTGTCAGAATGATGACATGTAAGAAAGATTTGACAAGCCACTACTGACTTAAAGATGGAAGAAGACCGCAAGCACAGGAAGGCAGGCAGCCTCTATAGGCGGGAAAAGGTAAGAACAAACAAAATGAAACAACGCAAATTCTCTCCCAGGCCTTCCAGAAAGGTGTCAGTCAGCCCTGCATGCCAAGAAGTTTCAAAAGAGAAAACCACTAGTCATTCGTCCACATTAATTGGACATCTATGTGCAGAGAGCTGTGCTAGGGCCTGCAGGCATATAGAGCTGTATCAGAACAAATCCTGACCTTGAGTTCTATCCTTCCAGGAAGTCTGGGGTCTGGAGGGGTGCAGCAGGTAATGACCTGAAACTAAAAGATATGAGAAAGCACGGAAAGAGGGAGGGAGGGAAATGTAGGAAAGAACTGTAACTTGAACATGTGGCTGAGCAGGTGTGTCTCTTGACAAACACAAGCACATGGAAACACTGAAGTAGGCCACTTGCCACGTGACAGCAACAGGGGCCTCCGAAGGCAACCATCCTGTGTGGGCTCCAGATCAGGCTGTCCCAGGAAACCAGAACTCACTACATATGGAAAAGAGCTTCCCAGTGACAAATCTACAGAAGACAAGGGAATGAGACTTAGAGCATGCTAAATCCAGAAGTCACTCTTGTCATTATACAGATGTCATTACACAGATGAAAGAATCAACACACGGAGAGAGGAAACTACCTTTGTTTTGAAGCCAGTCTTCACACAACCGCACATCCTCAGCCCTTGACGCAATCTCTATGGTAGTAGTCATTACAGGTGTCATAGCTAGTGTGTGTGGCCGCCTAATTCCCATTGTACTATCTATTTCTTGAGGCAGGGGATAATCTCACCTGCTTTTTAAAATTCTCTTGAACAGTGATTAATGCATGGTAATTAAAAAATAAATATTTGTTGAATAAATTAATGTAAGATCCAGAGAGGGAAAATCAAATAACAAGAGAATTTTCAAATCATGGTACCAAGTGAGGCCGGAGACTAGGGAATTAGGGTAACCAAGGGTTAAGGCATAAGCAAAAGAACAGCAGGTGAAGCCAGTTCTAAGCAAGATTAGGCAACACACAGGTCACATCCTCACTCCTGTGGTATCAAGGCAGAAGTCTCCACTTCAGCCTCTGATTGGTCGGGGGCCAATCCTTCATAGGGTGTAACTGATTTGGAAGCGTCTACAGGGCACCTGGAGTGTTACCCAAATTCTTTAGCTTAATAAAAACCCTAAACAACATTGTAATCAGGGCTCTTGAGCCGCTTTCTTGAGCCTGCTCCCACTCTGTGGAGTGTACTTTCGCTTCAATAAATCTGTGCTTTTTTGTTGCTTCTTTCATTGCTTCGTTCTTTTGGTGCTTTGTGCATTTTATTCAATTCTTTGCTCAATGTACCAAGAACCTGGAAAACTCACAATCAAGACTTTCCATCCAGTAACATAGGAAAAAGGGATTAGTAGTGATTTTTCTTCAATAAGTATTTATTACTTTATCATCTAAGATAAAGTTATGTTTATTTTTTTATTTTTTTAAAGACAGGGTCTTGTCATGTTGCCCAGGCTGGTCTTGAACTGCTGGGCTCAAGCAATCCACTGGCTTCAGCCTCCCAAAGTGCTGGGATTACAGGCATGAGCCACCATGCCCAGCAAAGAAAGATATGTTTTAATGAAAGTGATCGAAAGGTATGTTTTTCTGTTTCTTTCAAAGCGTATGTTTTTCTATTCTGCAACACTCCTGGAAAACCCATGCTGTAGTCCTCATTTAGGTGCTTACCAGTTGTGTGACCTTGGACTGAAATTAATCACTGAGCGCCTTAGTTTCCTCATCAGGAAAGTGCAAACAATGAGACCTATTTTGTTAGATTGTCTGAAGGATGAAAAATAGCATTTGCACAGCCCCCCAATACCCAGCACATAGTAGATGTTCAATAAATGATAACTCTTATGAGCCTCCCCCTAGGCGGGGATACTTCCCCTTGTACTCAGCTAGGAAACTTTTGACTCCATAATAACAGAGTAGCTCCAGCCTTCCAGGTTCCCTCCTGTTCTACCCTACGTGAGCAGAACTCTTTTCTTCTAATATGCTTCCATCTACCTTCTTTATCAGGTCAGCTGATCCCTCTGCTGTGCTGAGAAGCTGAGGGCAAGCTCCACTCCACACAGAACCCGGCCTAAAAGATATTCACCCACACCATTGCTCTGCAGAGTTATCCTCTAAATTCCGTACTAGAAACTTTTATCTTTCGGCAGGTGACTTGTCTATATACATAAATATGGACTAGTGAATAATGTTGGATTTCTAAAAAAAAATACTAAATTGAAAAATCAGACTGGGCATGAGTCATGCCTGTAATCCCAGCACTTTGGAAGGCCAGGGTGGGAAAACTGCTTGAGGCCAGAAGTTTGAGACCAGCCCGGGCAACACAGCAAGACCCTGCCTCTACGAAAATTTAAAAAAATAAAAAAATTAGCTGAATGTGGTGGCACATGTCTGCAGTCTCAGCTACTCAGGAGGCTGAGGCAGGAGTTTGAGGTTACAGTGAGCCAGTGAGCTATGATTGTGTCACTGCACTCCACCCCGGGTGGCAGACTGAGACCCTGTCCCAAAAAAAAAAAAAAAAAAAAAAAGGCTGGGCGCTGTGGCTCACGCCTATGGTCCCAGCACTTTGGGCGGCTGAGGCGGGCGGATCACGAGGTCAGGAGATCGAGACCATCCTGGCTAACACGGTGAAACTCCATCTCTGCCAAAAACATATAAAAAATTAGCCAGGCGTGGTGGTGGGTGCCTGTAGTCCCAGCTATTCGGGAGGCTGAGGCAGGAGAATGGCGTGAACCTGGGAGGCAGAGCTTGCAGTGAGCTGAGATCACGTCACTGCACTCCAGCCTGGGCCACAGAGCGAGACTCCTTCTCAAAAAAAAAAAAAAGCTATAACAGCATATATAAAGGATGGTCCTAATTTCATGAAATACATAAATATGTTCAGACACATAGGTTCAAATAAAAAATATGAAAGTGAACAGAATTTAGTATTATTACATCCAAGCAGTAAGGTTATGCATGGTTTTACTTATTTATTTTGTGTTTATGTGTTTTGGAAATTTCTACAATACAATGAATGTGGGGTTACTTTTACAGTGAGAAATAAAACAAGTATTATTCATTCATTTGTTTCTGTACGCACTTCTTAGGGAGAAGGCAGAATGGAAAACACTTCCATTGGCTGCTGTGTTTACCCATATGCCCCACAGGGTCCCTGTCCTAGGATTCACCCTCTGTCTTCTTTGCTCTTTCATTCCATCCAGGCAAATTCATTTTGGGCTCCCTTTGCTCCCAGTTCCACATCTCTATTTGCTCATAGCCACATCCCTGGAACAGCTCAGGCCTCTCAAACAGGCAGTGACCACTTTTCACTCACCTCCTTAAACCCCCTCAATGGGAGCCTTCTCCACATCTCCTGCCACCCCTTCCAGCCCCATCCTTGATTCCCAGGGGTCCTGCTTTCTTTTATGTATCATTCAACTTGATTCTGCCAAGTGTGAGATGAGAAAGAATGAAAATTAGGACTGTAGGTGGGAAGAAGGGGAAAAAAAGAAAGAAACCCATAAAATTCAAAGGAAGCACGACTAAATTGGTGGAACTTTGGTATATTTAGGCCAGGCATCCAGCAGCTATAAAGTCTCGAAAGACAACAGAAAGGAGTTCACAGCGTCTTTTTTTTTTTCTCTTTTCTTTGACCCTGGTAGTAGGAGGCAGGTGACTGTGTGTCTGAAAGAGAGTAAACAGGATGCTCCTTGTGTAAGGACACCTACTTTCCAAGGACAAACACCACCACAAGGTCCCCTCCAGACAGGAGGGAGAACACCTAGCCTCCAGGCAAGCAAAAATTCCTCTTTCCTGTCTCCAAAGCCACACCTGCGGAGAGCGTATTTACTTTGGTCTTTCATATTATCTGACTCATGGGTTTAATTAAACTTTCTATCTGGCTATGTGTCTTTTACTACACTTGAAAAAAAAAATCCCAGCTATGGCTTTAGAACTGATTTGCACACCCAGTCTAGAGGCTCATTTATAATCACAAATATCAGATGTCTGATGACAGAGTTAAAGGTATTACTGATTAGAATAACGTTGTAAGAGAATCTCTGTTCCTCTACAAAGTTTTCTTTTTTTAAACTTGGGATGTTTGTCTCTCTTCTTGTTGCTATTTCAGGGAAAAGAACTGCCAAATGGAGTTTTTCCATCTTTGACTTAAAAAGGGGTGTGGGGGGGTAGAAGCTCGTCCTTGTTATAACATGAGTGCCAACAGTTGGCCTGGAATCAGTGTTCACAGCCAGATTTTCAAATTCCAGTAACCAGGAGTCCGTAATGAAAAGACATCCACAAATGCCTCTCTCTGAGGCCTCTGGCCAGGAGGCGTGGGGACCTTTGATCCTGTCTGGAGCCAAGAGACCCTAAGGATGGAGTGGAGACAGGCAGAATGCTGCCAAGAACTCGGCTGGGTGTGCTTTCCCAAAGCACGTCTGAGGTAAAGTCTGTCTGTCCCTGGATTTGCCAGACCACTCCACACCAGGGCCAAAGGCGAGCTGGATTGCAGAACAGGGACCTGTTTGTTGTTCCATATTGCTTTCAGGGAGCAAGTGGCCAGCAAGTCTATTTGCCCAACCTCAGCCACCCTGCCACAGGCATCTTGGCTGCTCTCTGAAGAACCTCCCTTCCTTGCCTTTTGGGTGGAAGTGGCCCTGAATTGCTGTTATTTTTCCAAACTCCTCTGTGCATAAACAAGATGTTTGGAAAAGCTCAGATGGCCACGGATCTGCTGTGTTGGCCACTGACTGTCACTTGCAGGGCAGCACTGGACAGCATCAGCAGATGTGCTTCTGCCTGGCTCTAGACCTTGCCTCAACCACCAAATCCCACACCTACCTTCACCCCACCACCTCTCCCTCTCTTTTTAAGAGAACTTGGCTACAGGGAGTTCAGACTGGTAGGGATGAGGTCGATGAGATGCCTTCAGTAATTTTAAGGGTGTTTCTTATCAGAGATGTAAGGAATCCTCCCTGTTCCCAAAGGGTTCAAGGAAGAAACAGGGAATCCCATAGGTGGGAATCTGCCTCTCCTGACAGAGCTCTTCTCAAGATCCTAAGAGCTGGGGTAGGCTCCAAAGAAGAACCCTATATGGAAAATTGTCTGTCCATGATTAAAGGTCCCCTGGGCAAAGTATTTCTGAGTAAAGACTCCCTGTTGCTTCCTCTGACTGAACACAAAGATGTACACGAGCAGATTAGCCCACAGATCAGTGGGCAGCCAGGGCCGGCTCCGCAGGAGCTAGGTGCATCCTGCACACAAAAGCCCTCCCATCTGAGGGTGAGCAGAGGCGAGGAGAGCCTCCGGAACCCTGCTGCAGGGAGGAGAATGAGAGTAGCAGCAGCCACAGGCTCTTTTCCTGCCTCACTCAGCCACCGCTGGCCTGCCAATCCCCAGGCTTAGCTACAGACATGTTTACACTGATCCACTGCCTGCCATCGCCAGAGGTTCCCATGGCTGTCCAGGGCCCCTGAGCCCACTGCAGCGGCTACTGGAGGCAAGTGTGGCTCCTGCCTACACTATCCCTTTCCTCACTCGTAAGCCCTGCTGTCCACTGACCCTGTGGCAGCTGCACCTCCAGCCACATCCATCCCATAGTGTCCTTCATCCACCGAACTGTCTTTGCTGTTGCCACCCCTGTGGCCCCAAGCCAGTGGTTTCCTGCCCCCTCAGTCCACCTCCACTGTTCCCTATGCCATGCTGGGGAACTCATGAGCGAGCGTTCTAGGCCAGGAAGGCAAACAAGGCCAGGCAGGTAGCCAGTCCCCAGGACAGCAGTCTGCCCAGGACCAGAGTTCCAGCCCTCTCTTTCGTGCGTGACCTAGCGTCTGGCTCCAGCTGGACAAGAGCAGCCCACATGAAACTGACAGAGCCCCAGGTTTTCAAAGCAGAGCACAACAGAGCATTTGTGCCTAGAGCACCTGCACCACAGGATCCATGGCACCTATCCCATATCTGGGACCAAACTCTAGGGAAAGAGTTCCAGTAGACAGGGAAGGGACCCCATGATAAAGGTTGGGGCTGGGGGCTTCAGAAAGAAAGGGGTTCCACAGGTTATGATGCTAGAGTTGGAGCTACTCTTGGATTCCTTTTGTTGTCATTGTTACTGCCATCTGAATTCTTAGATTTCCTCTTTCCCCAGGGATCAGAGGAAGGTGGGAGGTACATGTTGCTCCACTCCATCTTGAGTGAACTCCATCTTCAACAGAACTCTCCTGCCCTGGAGAGAAGCTCTTGAAGATCATAAAGTCACTGGACTAATTGTTGGAGATTGTCACTGTGGTGACTGTGACCCAGGGAGGGCCCACTAGACACTGCGCCTGGGCTGCTGTCTACCCAGCCCTGCCTCTCACAGCCAAGTACTGCACATACATACACAGGCATGAGAAGGTCACAAAGCCTGCGGGGAAACTAATTGTTTCAAAAGCATTTTGAAACACTTGGCTTATTAAGAAATGTTTTCCATTTTTTATTAAAATACCTAAAAGCACCATATTTTTATTAAAAAATACCTGAAGGATTCGTGTTTAATTGTTTAATGGTGAACCCAGAGCAGTAAATTGAAGGAGACAGCCTGGTAGGTTTAAGCAATGTTAGGGTAGGATTTTCAACAATTCCCAACAGATAGTATCTTTGGGGCTCAGGAGTAAAAAAATCAAAACTTTCAGGAATTCTCCAAATCATAAGTTTCTCTTTAAGTATTTCTAAAATTAATTATACTCTTTACTCATTGTTTTGGATATCTAAAAGTTATTTCATAAATAAGAAATATTAAGTTCAATAACATTTATAAAAACTATGGTCTGTAGCAAATATTCAAACTCTGGGACATTCCAGCAAACATTATTGTGTATATTCAGATAATGTAACATTCAGGTACCCTAGTAAGGCTAGCAGCACTAGATAGACTCACAGGTTGAAACTGCCAGTTTAAGAACATATTTCGCTTCCAAAACTTGATATTTCTTACAATATCCTTCATAAGATTTGTATGAATATTTGCATAAAATATACCATGCATAAAAAATACTAACATGTATTTTACTTGCAACAATTACTCAACATTACAAGCAGACAAATCACAAACACATTTATAACATGGCTATTGCTACATATAAGGATGTTAAACTGATTAGATCATGACTGCTTTTCTTTTTCTTTGCACTCCTGTCCTGGTTTTCGAAAATATCAACCTTAATCTTGGACTGTGTCTGTGTTTTCTGCTCTTGCGTTCCATTGGACATCAATGGTTTCATCAAACCAGTAACAGCTCTATGTCGCTTGCAAAACTTTAATTCTCACTGGAGAATTATAAAGCTCTTTTCTGTTTCCCCCATTTTTCAACTGATTTTTCTTTGAATTTGGGATTTGGAAAAAGCAGAATTTCCTGAGCAATGCTAGGAAGGGATTCCCATATGGAAAACCTGGTCAAGATCCACTGCAGACCCATCAGGAAGGCCCACAAGCAGGCTCTCTGGAAAGCAGAGTAGAGAGCTTGATGAGGGGGGAATAGCTGGGACTCAGGGGCTCCAGGACAAAGTCCTTGTGACAACAGTAAAGCACAAGCCCATTTTCATCAATTTAGTCTCAGCTAGAAAATGCCCTGGAAGCAGAACCACCAGCCTCACTCAGCAGTTAATGAAGAACCTTCAAAGAGTGAAAGAAGGTTGACAACTTACTTTGAAAGGACAAGTCCTGACTTAGCTTTTGTGACTTATAAGACAGAGAAGGAAAATACTAACATTAGGGAATGTTGACATATCTGGTTTCATTAGTTAAAGTTAAAACTATACCTACTTCTTATTTTGTTATACAAAGTTGAGTTTCTTCCTAGTTTTTTTTTTTTTTTTGCTATGGAAGCCAAAGAGCTTTCTGGTGATATTGACAGATTTGGTTTTTATAGTTCCAAGGAGATGGTAGATTTGGAATCTTGAGACATAAAATGTTTGTGGGAAAAAATTGTGTTTGTTAAAATTATAACTTCAAGTCATGAGCAGTTGATTTTACCCTTTAATCCTAGTGATAATTAACTCAACCTGACATTACAGACCTCACTCTATTTCATTTAATCTTTATAAAAGGACTTCACAAATTTCTTTAAATTTAGAAAATTAGCTAAAAGGACATTTCCTATTGTTAAAATGTATTACATGTAAAATAAGGGAACTCTGTAAGAGATTAACTTTAAAATTCTAGAATGTCAATGCATTATGGCATGGCTCACAGCTCTGTACCCTTTAGGTCTTACACAGATGAGGAAGTTGCTCCCTCTGAAGAGAGAATCGGGATGCTCAAGCCTCATGTAGGTGATGTTTAGGGCCTGGAGAAGAGAAACAACCAGGCACATGATGGCAGTGACCCCTGAGTCTCCAAGGCCCTGCTCCCTTTGGAAAAGTGCCAGAATCCTAGGGAAGCAGAGGCTGCAATAAAGAGTAGGATAGATCCAAGCTGCATTCCTGGGATTTGTTTGAAGTCTGGCATTGTAGGGAGAAGAACAAGCAAAGCTGCCTTGTAATTTTAGTTTTGGATAGGTGGAATGACAAGAGGAATAAGCCTGTTACTTTAGGGCCAACAAGAGAGGAGCATTTTGTAACAGTAAACTGTGGTTCTTTAAGGCTGGTCTAGTGTGGCTTATTCCCATAAGGGGATAAATTGGGTACGGCCATCTGGAAATTGAGAGGTAATGTGGGATGGGGAGAAAATGGCCATTTGCAAGATGCCCCAGAGATTTTCACTTTCTGAGCCAAAGAAAGGGAATGAATGACGGGTCCACAGTTCCAGATATCCAACTCCTAGAATCAAACATAGACTTCTCTGTTGGAGTTTTGGTGACCTTTCATACTCCAGGGTCATCGACTAGTTTACTCGTCATATTAACTGTTGTTTACAAGGTAACACTGACTTACAGTAGAGCTCCAATGTTCCCAAAAATCAGAAAGAGAGGGGTCAATAAATAATTAACTTGGTTGCCAAGGGAACAGCTTCCTGAGTGGACTGAAGACAGCCGCTGAGACAACCTTCACGTGTCCTGGCCAATGAAGGCTGGAAGTAGACAGTGACCAGATACACATAATTCCATGTACATCTTAGGACAAGGAATGAATAGGTGGTTTTAGGGCCAAGGAAGCAAATCAATACCTTCTTTGTCATAACTAGCAGGCTACCCTCGAGAACAGAGCTGCTGGCGGAAGCTCAGGACCTCTGGGAAGCTGGGGAGCCTAAGCAGCTTTCTGTATCCTCACTGTAAGTGTGAGAGAATCACAGATTTCCCTCAAAGAATAAAGTACACCAAACTTGAATTAAGCTGCTATTGCTTATCATTGCAGTTAAAAGGGAAGAGATTTTTAGTGTCTATCTAGATAGGCGTTGAGTTTGTTTAATTTTTTTTATTTTTAAACAATTCCAGATGTACAGAAAAGTCGCAAACATAGTACAAAGAATTCTTGTAAACAAACCCTTTACTGTTCATCCAGATTCACTTTTCCACATTTGCTTGATCATTCCCAGTTTCATCTATCTATCTATCTAACTATCTCCATCCATCCACTCCTCCATCAAATCTGTCTACTGCTCCATCCATCCATCCATCCTTTCATCATCTATCTATATAAAATCTCAGAGATAATGTCCCTTCCCCTCAACTCCATCCAGTGACTATTTTGTAAAATAAAGAACATTCTCTTATATAGCCAGAGTACAATGATCAAAATCAGGATACAATGCTATTATCTAATCAACAAACCTTCTTCAACTTTCACCTATTGTCTACTGCTGTCCTTTACAATCAAAGGGGGAAAAAGCCCTCAGGTCCAGGATCTAATCCAGGATCACACATTACATTTAGTTATCTCGTTAGTCCCCTTAAATCTGGAACACTTCCTCAGTCTTGTCTTCCATGAGTTGATATTTTTGAAGCATACAGACCATTTCTTTTGAAGAATGTCCCTCAATTTGGGTTTGATTGATGTCTCCTCAAGATTATAGGTTCAGGTTCTGTATTTTGGCAGGAAAACCATAGAAGTGATATTGTGTTCTTCTTGCATTATATCAGGAGGCCCATGATATCCGTTTGTCCGACAACTGATGATGTTAACGCCAATCACTCAATTAAAATTACCGTTATTTATTTTAATACTCAAATTGTCCCAGATTTGGCCAGTGGAAGCCCCTTCAACCTGACCATTGTGGTTTGTGACAGGTCCCCATAATTTTCTGAGCAGTTTATAACTTTCTAAAATAGAAAGATATCCCAGCCCCAGCCCTAAAATTAGCTATTTCTCCAAAGGCTTGTAATTCCTTTCACTGGAAAATATTTAGAAACAAGATCTGCGTGCTGCATGTTAGGTGTGATCAATGTGTGTGTGCATGAGTGAGTGTGTATGTGTTCATTTACAATATGGAAATATAGTTAGGTTCACTTATTTTTGTTTATACTCCATTTTGGGTTTCTATCTTTATTGATTTTATAGATTTATATTTTAAGCATTTGAAACATAACACGGTTCTAGAAGTCAAAACTATAGAAAATATAGTTAGAGAAATGTCACTCTCCCCACATCCCTTCTATCCCGTTCCTATTCCCAATTATTTCTGCCCTATTTCCAACCACCACCACCTATTGTAACCAATCTCATTATTTTCTTATTTATTCTTCTTATGTTTTACTTTGCAGAAATGAACAGATGCAGGTATATTTTTCTCTTATTTCTTACCTAAAAGGTACATAGTATAGATACTATTTTTCTTTTCCCGCTTAACAAAAGATACTGGAAATCACCCCATATCAGTTCAGAGAAAGAGTCTTTGTTCTTTATCATAGCTGCATAGTACTCCATTATATGGAGGTATTCAATTATTCTCTGATGTTCAGCCACATCTTTTTTTTTTTCAACATTTCTCAGTTACAATGAATACTGCAAAGAGTCACTTTGTGCTAAGTATTTTCTTATTTTTAAGGTAAATCTCTAGAGGTGGAATTACTGGCACAAATAGAAAATGTACATACAGTTTCTTTAGATATTGCTAAATATCCCCAGTTTGCCTTATGTATAAGATTGCCTGTTTCTCACAGCCCTTCCAAAAGAATGTGCTGTCTTACTTTTTAATTTTTACCAATTTAAGTGAAAAGTATCTCAATACAGTTTTAATTTGCATTTCTCTAACTACGAATGAGGTTAAACATCTTTTCATATGTTTAAGTATTGTGTCTTTTATCCAACTTTCTATTGGGTACATGCTTTTTCGAAACTTTGCTGTGAACTGCATTTTCCCTTCAATTTGCCAGGCAGAAGCTAGAAGTTATACATTTGCTTAACATTCATCTTGTCCCTTGATTTTTTCATAATAAAATCGTATCTGCAGTAGTTTTAGTTCTTGATATGGCAGTGTTCATAGTGAAATTTTAATCAAGCTATCTATAACCTGTACACTTTTAAAAGTTCATTTTTATAAGTTTTAATTGATTAAATTCTGTACCAAATTATCACTGTCCTGCTTGCCTAAGGCCTGAAGAAAACCTAATGATTCCCCAAATCATTTCCAGGCAGCCCTGACACGGGACTAAGAGAGAAAAGTGGCCCTCTGAAGAAGGGGTTCTGGGAGCACATGCTTGAAGGGTAATCCCACAACACACCACACGCACAGGACCATCCTACCTCCTCTCCCACCATGGTGCCTGGTCCCACCAGCCTCCAAGACCTTGCCAAAAATTGGCAGGCTGAGCTATATCTTCCCAACTCACCAACTAGCAGAAAATATTTATCCAGTGGGCAGCCGTAGAATCCCTGGTTTTAAGATTTTGCCTGCAATCTCTTCTTTGCCCACAACAAGCGATGCCCCTCTGATTCAAGCCTCATCTTCTCCATAATTTGCAAGAGTAGGAGGAGGGAATAGGTAATTAAGTCATTAAATGTTATGACCTACTAAGAGAAAGGCTTTGATGGCCCTGGATTTTCTTACCCTTCTCAACACACTGTCCCCTGGACAGCTGTGATGAGTCGAGGTGCCTTCTCTCCTCCCCTCAGCCTCCAGAATCTCTTTGGTGTGGGAGAGACTGATCATCCAAATAAAACTGCCATGGAAGGATGAATGGAGGAATGTTTAAAAGTCACTTATCTATTTTCTGCATCTCTCAGGACAGTCCAGGCAGGAGGGAGAATTAGTGCTACCTGAAGAGGTGTCATGCTGCCGGCCTGAGGAGGGCCCAGCCTCTCACGTGGAATGGCCCCCGGCAGCCTGGGGAGTCCCCAAGCAGATGAGCTGGGGAGGAGGTGTGGGGCAGATGGCGACAGTAGCTGTCGGGAAGGAAGGCTAAACATCGTGGGCAGAAGTCAAAGATAAACTTCCAACCTCCTCCTTCTCTCCCCACGTAACAGCCAAAAGATGCTGGTTATTTCAAGGAGTTTCCAAGAATGGCATTTGATATATATCACGACCTTCCCAGGGAAGCTGGGGACGAGGCATCAGAGCTTCCTCTCCTCTCTCCAACAGAGACACCCCGGCACACGCACAGGCCCCACCTGAAGTCGCCATAAACAGACATACACATGCTTTCTTTCTCATTGAGAAAGAAGCTGGGAGTGTTAGGAGTAGAAGCCATTCCACTTGCAAGAATTGATGACCCAGATCCAGCACCATCTGAGGATCACTGGCTGTTGGTCTGACCCCAGTCTCTGACAGTGTGCTGGATTTCCCACACTTGCGTGCTACAGGTCTGGAGCACAAGCACGTGGCTACCCAAAAGATCCTTCTTCATCTCCAGACACCGCTTGGTATCTCTGTTTATGACAGCTCCTCCCTGGAGGGGAAGAGAGACAGAGCCAAGGTGCTGAAATGCCTCAGTAATTCATCATCTCTTCTAGCCCTGCTCTCCCTGCTGTGCTCAGCCACATTCTTGAGGGACCCCTCAGTGCTCCACAAGTCATCCAGGGAAGAAAGGGAAGCAGAATGTAGGATGAGATCACCCCGTGCTTCCTCTACCAGCCCCATGGCAAACTGACTAACCAGGCGATGTTGCGCTGGCTTCGTGTGATGCCCTCAGCCTCTCCTGAGATGGAAGCATTGGGTCAGTACTGACTACCATGGAACGAAGGCATCTGTGAGAACCGTGGGCCTTCTCAACTTGGCCCTCCTCTCCACGTCCTCACCCCTGACCCCATGAGACCCATCAGGGTCACCTTCACCTTGTGCTTCTCTCCCTCTTCAGGGAAACTGTGTTGTGGGCCTGGAGCAGGAGCTACAGTCAGGAATCTCAGCCTCTGAGGCAGCTTCCCGCCTCTCCTATTGAGGGGACTTCGCTAAGGTTTATAACTGGGAACATGATAGGCTTTAGTGCTACAAAGTCAGGGCTGAATCCTTGCTCTTCCACATACGAACCGTGTGGGCTTGGGCAAATTACCTAATCTCTCCAAGTCTTCCCCCTTATCTTCATATCTCAGCAACTGACACTCCTGCCATCTGTCCAAACTACCGTCTCTCCTGGTCCTGCCCTCTGCTCCCGGCCCTCTCTCTCCCACGTTCCCTCTCCACCCTTTGCAGGACTCACATGATCTACATTACTGCCTGGGTCAGGCTCTTTCCTTTTTATGCCCTGCACTCTGCTATCATCCTCAGGGTGCATAACATTCATTCTGATGGCTAGTGAAAAACCCTGACCTCACTGTTCCCCTTCAGACAAACTGCCACCAAGTTCTTGAGCACCAAGTGGGACTGACTGCAGCTGTAACATCTCCAAATTTCTGCTTCCTCTCTCACCATCACCTCCCTGCCTCTCATCTCTTCCAATCACAAACTGCCTCTAACAGCCCTTGCTCCCCCCAAAATTTGCCTGTCCCTGGACTCCCCCCAGCCCCAACCACCCTTTCCTCCTCTGGGCACCCATCCAGCATTGGCCATTCAGGGCAACGCTTCAGATTCTGGAACTTCTCCTCCACCACTGCCACCACTCCTCTCTCTTTGCTTCCAGACCACAGAGTGCTTGTGGACAGGGTCTGCCAACTGAGCAGGCCTGGCTCATAAACCTGCCCACAGCAGCCTGGCCCCAGGGCTCAGCTTACTCCTCAGGGTTCCTCTTCCAGGCCTCCTCAGCATGCTTCGTCTGTCAGCCCCCACCTGGCACTCACTTTAACTAAATGTCAAGAACACCACACTCCTATTCAATCTTCCCGTCCCCTGCAAGCCATCAGCGATCCTGAGGACACAGCCTCACAGATGATCTCAAAAGAGCGGCCCCATGCCCGCCTCACCCGCCAGCAGCCCCCCTCTGTTCCCTGAGCCCCAGCCATCCTCGATGCTAGAGAAACACTATTCCTAACATCCATCTTTTATTTCTCCCTCTTTGCAGATTCCTTTTCTACTGCCTTTAAACATGTCCAAATGTCACGATATTAGAAGGACAAAATAAACCCAGACCTTAACTCTACTATCCCTTTCAACAAACATTCAGTTTCTCTCCCTTTCAGAATCAAATTCCCAAGCAACGAGGCAATAGCACACAGTGGTTAAGATTCCGTGTTTGAGTGCTGGGCATTTACTACACTGTGTAGCCCTCAGCAAATAATTGGACTCCTCAGTGCCCCAGTTACTTCATGGGTGAGATGGAGCTAGTGATCACACTTCTCATATAAGACTATGTTTTATAAGAACTAAATGAGAAAATGTTTAACCCAATGCATGGTGCAAATATGTATTCAATAACTCTTGGTCACAATAATTTATTATTGGTCACAATAAATTATTGTGACCAATAATTTATTGTGACCTTTTAGACAAAGTCAGTGGTCTGTTTTCTATTTCCACTCAACTTCCACATGACATGAGCTTTGACAGTGTTCCACACATCCTCTAGTTTCTTTCAAATTGTGTTCATCTGTATCTTACACATTTTTGTTTTGGGTTTGATTTTTTTTGTTGTTTGTTTTTTGTTTTTTTTTTTTTCTTTTGAGACACAGTCTCGCTCTGTTGTCCAGGATAGAGTGCAGTGGCATGATCTTGGCTCCTTGCAACCTCCGCCTCCCGGGTTCAGGTAATTCTCCTGCCTCAGCCTCCCAGGTGGTTGGGATTACAGGCGCCCACCACCACAACCAGCTAATTTTTGTATTTTTAGTAGAGACAGGATTTCACCATGTTGGCCAGGCTGGTCTCAAACTCCTGACCTCAGTTCATGGTCTGCCCGCCTCGGCCTCCCAAAGTGCTGGGGTTATAGGCGTGAGCCACCGTGCCCGGCCATTTTGGTTTTTATTTTGGGGTGCTGCGTGTCAGAGTTTTTAAAAGGATTTCTCTTTTTGTTTCTTTTTCACTTTTACAAAAGTAATAGATGCTTCTTTTTTAACTTGGAAAACATTTTTAAAGTATATAAAATACTTTAAAATAAATGGTCAGGGCTCAGGGCACATGGGCTGCTGGCAGGTGAGGCGGGCATGGAGCAGCTCCTCTGAGATCATCCATGAGGTCATGTCCTCAGGATCGCTGATGGCTTTCAGGGGAGGGGATGATTGACTAGAAGTGTATTTATAGAAAATATATTTTAAAATATTTTATATATAAAGTATATAAAAGCACTCATAACAAGATAATATTGTATATGTGGTCTTTACATCTTGCTTCTTTATATAAATTTAACATTCTATATACATCTTTTCCAATTTTATTAATTTTTTGAAATAGATTTCTTGAGAACATCATTTGAATGGCTATATAATATTCAGTTCAAGAGATGAGCAAAACCTCCCCTGCTGTTGGACATTTAATTTTTCCTTGTGTTTCACTGTGATAAGTATTAAGATATTTTCTACATTAATCCTGGCCTATGTTCTGTACTATTCTTTAAGTAAAGATATTGTCCTAAAAAAGAATCAGTGCCTTAAAAAGGGTTGTAGTTAGTTTGGGTTCTGAGGAGTGTCTGGTTTTCCTACACGTGGGCAAGTTGCTTCTGGAGCCGTGCCAGTCTCCATGCTCACCAGTGGTGTGTGGGAGCACTCCCTCCCCACTTCCTCTTTCCCCAAACTTCCAACCCCTCACCACGAGTGCTCTCCTCCTCCTCACTATTCCTCACTACTCCTCACAGAGACCCTCTTTGTATTGTGAGCTGTTGCTTCACCCCGAAGATGGATGACCTTCTCCAAATGCCCCCTTATTTCAGTGGCACACTATCTTAACGCTGTGCTCCTCAACTTAAAGTCCATGTGTCTGACTAGCCCTTCTCTTCTTGAACTGGGTCCCCACCCCATCACTGGCTCTCTTGTGAGTCACAAGGGTCATAGCCTCCTCTGGTACACCCAAAACACAGAATCATGAAATCAAAGAAAACGAAGGGATGATCTAGTCTCATCTCCCTCTCAATTTTGGAAAATTTCTTTGGTAACTTTTTAGTAAATTAATTTGTAAGTTGTGTCTACAAAGTAAAGTGAGAACCAGAAGAGCCCAACATTCAATCAAGTATCATTTTTCATATCTGAAAGAATTATAGACCTAAGAGGTAAGATGGATGGAAAAGGATTAGATGGAGTGAACCCACTCAACACTAACTTAATATTAGGTAACACACCAGAAATTACACGATCACCTCCCTTTTCAATTTTTGTGGTTCTTGACATAGTGGCCATAGAAATGGACCCAGCCTGTATGTTAGAATGGTTGGCAGAATTTCCCTGGATGTTCTGCCTTCCAGATCTCACAGCCAACCCAAATCTCTTTTCTGTCAGTAGCCTCAGTCAGCTGAGAAGGCGATCATCCAAAATTTTCTTGGCAAGGCAACCTTCAAAATGTTTGGAATGCATAATTATTTATTTAGTAATGGTAGGCTGTTATCATGAAAAGAAAAAACACAAAAAAAAGATATGAAAAAATGAGAATAAAATTTTATCTAAAAATATTATTTCTTTAGAATACATTGTATCTTTAATTCTTACGAGGTTTAGGATAAAGTATAGCTATTAAGGGAATCAAATACATAGTACTTGCCAAAGATTCTGTGTATATTTACTATTTTTAAGTACTTGTATCTAAGAAAATTGGCATCTTACAGATTAATCTTGTGATAGCAATTTTAAAATGTGTATTTGAGTAATTAAATTGGTGACTCGATGGTGAAATTTTACTGACTTTATAAACACTTCTGAAACATTTAAGAGAACTTAAGAATTGAAAAATTTAAAGTCAGGTAATTGAAGTTCTTAAGAAAGGAAATTTAACATATTAAATTTGTAAATACAGCTCATCATGTTTAATGGAATTTAATTTATTAAATTAAAAAATCTTCTTTAAAGGGGATTGTCAAAACTTGTTAGGCTTATAGATAAAATAGTAAAATTTGTAAGCTGAACTTAAAAGCTTAAAGAAAAACCATGATTCTTTGAACACTCCTTTGCACCGAGTACCATGCTAAATGCTTTACACACACTATCTCATTAAATGTTTTAATTTATAACTTGAATACAATGAATATTAATTTTTTAAAACAAAGTAACTTGTTGTAGTTTTCTTCACACGAACAAAAAAGATATGATTAAGGCCATCAAAAACTCATATTTAGCACCCTAGGTCTGCCAGATGCTCAGACATGCTGTGCTTGGTGACTGCCATTGACAGAGAACTCACCACTATGCTCAGCAGCCTATTCTTCTGTAGGAAACCTGAAGCTGTAAGGCCTTTAGTAAGTCCTCCCCTTGCTCCTACATTAAGTCAAAATCTGCCTCCTTAATCTTTATCTGTGGGTCTCAGTTCCGCCCTCCTGCAACATTAAACAAATCTGCTCCCTCTTCCTCACAAAGACAGCATCACCTTTTCTCTATCCATAAGCCTAACAAGCCTTTCAAGCTAATATCTCCAGGCCTGCCAATCTTCCATTTGCTCTGCAACCATTTGTTGAGTGCCTGCCATGTTCTAGGGGTTGTGCCAGATGCTAGAGAAAAAACAGCAAACCCCAGGCCCTGGCCTCCAGCTCACAGCCAAATGATGAAAAGAAAAAAGTGAGCAGACAATTGCAAGAGATGGTGAGACCAGGGCTACAAAAGCACCCCTGAGAGCAATTAGAGGAACCACCCAACCGACTCCTCTGGGGTCACAGAAAGCTTCCCAAGGAAGATGATGTCTAAGGCCAGGGGAACACTTTGTAGTTGGCCTGGTGAAGAAGCGGGAGGGGAGGGAATAATACCTGCAGAAAGGCCTAAGGTCAGAGGGAACCTGGATTTTCACTGAATTACATGTAGTTCCATAGAATTGGAGCTTAAAGTGAGACATCAGAGACTGAGAAGACATTACCCTCCTCCTTCTAATTGATATTGTCTAGTTCAGGGAAGCTTAATCTAGGATGCAAAAAACCTCTGAAACTGTAAGCAAATCTTGCACATAGGTCATATGTATGTTTTCCTGGAGAGAGACTCCATAGCTAGCAATGAATTCTCAAAGGGGTCATTAACTTTGAAAAGTTAGAAACTGTTGAACTAGATTGTCCGTGTGGCACCTGAACCAAGCATAGTACCGCATTCAGAGACACAGTCAGAGACAGAGCAGTAGCTCCCTCCAGGAGGTACTGCCCCTTCCTAATGAATTGGCCCAAGAGTGCAGAAGCTTTTGGAGCAAGCCCATCCATTATAAATTCCCCACAGACTGTTGTCAGCCAAGACCCTCGCGTCATCATCACATGAATTCTGCCAGATTCCCTCCGCCCTGTCCTTGGTCATTTGATATTGAAGTTAAAGGCAGAGCTTCTACATTAGCCTCTGTCAGATTTCAGCATAGTATTCCACACCCTCTGATAATCATTAATAATAAATGGATCACAATGGCTAATGCGTATTGAACACTCTTCTGCTCCAGGCACCACGTGAAATGCTTTACACACGCTATCTCATTTAATCCTCCCAAAAGTCGCATACAGAAGATATTATCATCTCCATCATTTTATAATGAGGAAACTGAGCTTCAGAGAGGGTAAGGAAATTGCTATACTGAGCTAGGACTTGTGCCCAAACTCTCAACCGTTCAGCTACAACAGACTCCAATATTTCTTCTCCTTAACCACCCTGCCTTAGTCAAGAGACTCAGTGTTTCTTACCAGTTCCCTGTTTCCAATATTTTCCCTACACGGGGCCACAAGAAGTAATTCTCCTAAAACACTATCAAATCAAATCTGAACCTTTCATATACCTATCATTTAAAAAACATGTAACTCGCCAGGCACAGTGGCTCACACCTGTAATCCCAGCGCTTTGGGAGGCTGAGTCGGGCGGATCACGAAGTCAGGAATTCAAGACCAGCCATGGTGAAACCCCGTCTCTACCAAAGACACAAAAATTAACTGGGCATGGTGGCATGTGCCTGTAATCCCAGCTACTCAGAAGGCTGAGGCAGGAGAATTGCTTGAACCAGGACCTGGGAGGCAGAGGTTGCAGTGAGCCAAGACTGCAATATTAGGTAACACACCAGAAATTACATGATCACCTCCCTTTTCAATTTTTGTGTTCTTGACATAGTGGCCATAGAAATGGACCCAGACTGTAGGTTAGAATGGTTGGCAGAATTTCCCTGGATGTCCTGCCTTCCAGATCTCACAGCCAACCCAAATCTCTTTTCTGTCAGTAGCCTCAGTCAGCTGAGAAGCCACTGCACTCTAGCCTGGGCTGCAGAGCAAGACTCAGTCTCAAAACAAAACAAAACAAAACAAACAAACCAACAAACAAAAACACATAACTCACCGGTTTAAAATCCCAATATATATGCAGTCTATTCTTAGCTGCCTTGGAGCATGGTTCTAAGGTGGGCTTCTCCGCCTTGCCAGGGTCTGTCAGGCAGCGATCACTAGCACTGGCCTCTGCAATCAGTTGTCCCACATAGAGCTCCCCAGTTAGGTGATAGTAGACATTCTAAAAAAAAAAAAAAAAAAAAAAAAGCAGAGGGCTCACCATAGGCATTGTCAGCCAGCAGGAGACCCTAGCCCGAGGGACAGCAGGAAGAATGATCTTGGGGCCCCTAGACACCCAGTCACACCAAGAGCACTGAACCTTCCTGGACAACATGAAGCAACCTCTGCTTCCTTCTCCTTAGTCTCTCCTTGAATCCAGGGAGAAGGCCAGGCCTAGGAGGGTTCCAACAGAATCATAGCTTACATGGATGAAGAAGCTTGTCTTTGAAGAAAAAACAAAACTGAACTCCAGAATCTGTCACTGCAGGCCTCAGCTATGGGTTTGTTGTCAGAAAACCTTTCAAATTCCTGGTCTGACACTATCTTGCTCAGTGAGCTTGGACAAGTAGGTTATTAATGTGTCTCCATTTTTTCAACTAAGTGCAAATGATATCTATTGTGCATGCCTCAAAAGGTTGCTATGAGGGCAGCATGCAAAGTAAGAAGACAGATGTGAATATTGTCCCTAAAAAAAAAAAAAAATGTCCAGGCCAGGTGCGGCGGCTCCAGCCTATAATCCCAGCACTTTGGGAGGCCAAGGTGGGCGGATCACGAGATCAGGAGATCGAGACCATCCTGGCTAACATGGTGAAACCCCGTCTCTGCTAAAAAAAAAAAAAATACAAAAAATTAGCCGGGCATGGTGGCAGGTGCCTGTAGTCCCAGCTACTAGGGAGGCTGAGGCAGGAGAATGCCGTGAACCCAGAAGGCAGAGCTTGCAGTGAGCTGAGACCGCGCCACTGCACTCCAGCCTGGGCGACAGATCGAGACTCTGTCTCAAAAAAAAAAAAAAAAAAAAAAAAAAAAAAATCCCCTGACTGCACCTTCCACATGGTGCCAGGGCCCTTCCATCCCTTGGAGGAGCGTCTGCTCAGCCTCTATCCTCTCTAGCTCTGCTTCCTTCGCTATAGGAGAAGCACAGGTGGCTTCACCTGTCCACTTTCCCAGGCTTTCCAGTAGCAGTGAGAAGATGGCGGGAGCAGTGGGAGGAGGGGAAAAGGAAGGGACCAGAGGTGATTGTCAATGCAAATATCACCATGCAGAATGAATGTGACAGAGCATAGCTTTTCTACCTATCCTCCCTGTAACTGAAATGGAACTACGTTGCCACGGCTTTCTGAAGAAACTAAGACGTGCTCAGTTACAAGTGCAGGTCTGGATTTCACCCTTACCCAGGATGCTCCGCTCCTGCCTCCCCATCACGTATCACGGAGTCCAGACCCAGCAATGGTTACCAGGGGCTGAGCCACGACAGACTTGCCCAGGCAGGGCCAGGAAGATTGTGGAAGATACCTGTGAGCTGAATTCATGGCAGTAATACATGATGGGGGTGTTGCCTGGAACGGGTCCCTGATCCAAGCAGACATTTTCATCCAATAGGTTTTTCATCTGAAGGGGACAAAACACACGGCAACACTGTTAGAAAGGACAGAGAATGAGGCGCCATCCCTCCCAGGGCCTACATTTTCCCCAACACACCGAGGACACCAGGAACGACCAGCCACAAGGAGCAGAGGGCTGGGATCCCGGCAGGCATTTTCTAAGCACTGGGAAACAGACCAGCGCCGAAGGGAGGCGCTGCTGCGCTGCCCACATCCGGGAAACACCCATCACCTCAGCCCATCACCACACACACAGGGAGGGGCGCCTCTGCGGAGTTCAGGCGGACAAGGCCAATCGCTGCAGCTGCTGGAGAAACGGGGGCGGGGCGGGGGGGAGTCCAGGCAAGAGCTATAGTTTTCAAGGGGAGTAGAAGCAGAGAGAAGGAAAAGAGATGGGGATCGGGGAGCAAGGGACAAAAGGAAACTGAGAGGGTTGAGGGCGAAGAGCTGAGTAGAAAGCTGAGGTAGGAAGGGCGTCTTGGGCAGGACAGGCAATCACGAGATTCAGGCCGCATTGTCTTTCACAGTCAAACATTTAAAATCCAAAGTGCAATTTCATAATACATACTCTTCCATAGCCCACGATGGTGTGGAGTGGCTTCAAGAGTGGATAAACATTTTTCAGGTACCAGTCAAAAGTTTTACATTTCAGTTTTTCCCGGAGTGCCATTCTGGAAGAAACGTCTCCAAAATCTATTCCAGAGTTCTGTAAATAAAACGCCAAGTGTTTCTGTGCTTTGATTCATGAAAGCTCTGTTAAAGCGAACTAAATATGGCCTGAGAAGGACTCCATATTTCTGCATGTGAGTCCTTGTGGACGGACTGCAACCCAACTTAATGGATAGACAAGATTGAAACCCTAACTTAGGACTATGCACCTGTAACAATAGCTGGGTCTTGGCCAATCCCAGCAGCCATACTTCAACCATTCATCCATTGTCCAGTGTTCAAGTGTTCAAATAAGGCAAACACGGAGCTGTAACCAATCCAGCTGTTTCTGTACCTCACTTCCGATGTCTGTACGTCACTTCCCTTTTTTTTGGTCTATAAATCTTCTTCCACCACATGGCTGCGCTGGAGTCTCTGAATCTGCTGTGATTCTGGGTGCTGCCGCATTTGCGAATCATTCATTGCTCAGCTAAACTCCTTTAAATTTAATTTGGCTGAAGTTTTTCTTTTAACAGCTCCTTCACTCCACCAGTGGGTATGGACCACGCATGATGGAACTGAGTCTTTTTCTGATAGCCTGTGAAGTAACCTTGATATTTTATATTTCCAGAGAAAGTGGAAAAACCTTAAACCCTAGAAAATTCTGCTCTTTCAAATTCTGCTCCTTCAAGGCCTGCATAGTGGGGCCGCTCAGGTTTATTTCTCCTCATAAGCTTACGCAGATTGCTCCTCTTTGAGATGATATTTACATCAATAAAACCCAACATACTCCTCATGATATGGCCAGAAAAGGCTTTTGGAAGGAATACTCTAATACCAAGATTTGGAGATTAAAAGAGACTTTTTTAGAAGTGATATTTGTGGGGAATCAATGTAAAATAATACTAAAGAGGCAAATTAGGAAAAGCAGAAACCACTTGTGTATCTGCCCTCTTCCCAGAATTTTCCTTTGGGGCTCATTGTGGATCATCCCATGTAAAAATTTAGATCATCCTTTGACAGTTCAGTATTTTACAGACAATTCTTTGTACAGCTTGGGACAGTCACAATATGACTGTGTGGAAATAAAAAAGCTAGGGATGTCCTGGAGGGTACTTGTTTTCCTATCATACCTTGGTATACTGGGACATCAGAATCAACTCTTACCCATCTCTCTTCAAACAATGATCCAACTGTAAGAGGTTATTGGCAGCTTGGATTAGGAAAGGAAGCATTTTGGTATCTTTAAATGATAAAGAAGGCTCAGGCATTTCTGCACATTTTTACAATCTCCAGACCTAGTGATCCCAGTGTTAACCTGGCTCCTGACCCTAGGAGTCCTTCCAGACTTTCTCTTCTAGGTCCATCCACAGTTACCCACCATCCTGACTCCCTGTCTTTCTGGGGGCTACATTAGAACCCACTACGATGGAGGGATGAGTTTGTCAATGAGATAACTCCTCCCTGTGGGCCAACACAGCTCCACATGCTCTGGCCCGGAGCCAGAGCTCAGGGACACGAGAGAGCACAGCACGACCTTAAGCAGCCAGTGTATAAGATGTGGGCTTAGCTCAGAAGGCCAACCTTGGCTGGGTGCAGGGGCTAACACTTTTAAACTCAACATTTTGGGAGGCCAGGAGTTCCAGACCAGCCTGGGCAAAATAGCAAGACCCTATCTGTACCAAAAAAAAAACTTAAAAAAGAATGCTATCCTCATTCTTGTGCATCCAACAAGATTACAGTGCCTTCTCCTACCACCCCACATCATACCTGCTATGTTTATATCTCTCATTATAAAAGAGAGATGAAGAACATGGAACTTAGAAGCCAGATTTCCTTGGTTTGAATCTTACTCCCTGCATTACCTTAAACAAGTTTCTTCCAACTCTCTGTGCCTCAGCTTCCTCATCTGTAAAATTTAGAATAATAAAAATAAAACCTATCCCCTACATATGTTGTGACGGCTAATAAGTTAATATATAGAAGGGTCCGGAATGCAGTACTGTACTGTTACATAAATGTTAAGAGCCATTATTATCACACCATCAGGACCTTACCCTAATTCTTTAGGGCTGCGATGGCACTTTTGCTTTATCCCTCCCCATTACATAACCGCCACCTCCTCCTCTTTCATTCTTCCGTGCTGCTGTTCAATTCCATGACTCACCTGGAGAGGTATGTTCCAGGCCAAGTAGACCATGTGTTTGTGCTCATCCATCCAGATTTCGGCCACTCGCAGAGCATTGCGCTTCAAGGCAGCGGTGAGATCCAAGGCGTAGGGCTTGTGGTGTCTCTCTAGGTGGGCAATCCGGGAACAGGGCAAAATCTCGACCTTCCCTCCACACTGCCACACCTGCAGAAGAAGACCAAAAAATCACCCGTGCTTCACAGCCAATGAATTGCATAGCTTATTGACACAAGAAGACTACATTTTAGAGCCGTTTTTAAAGAATGTAAGCTCAGTCCTCCCACTCCTGCCTTTATATTGCCTCCTCTAACTTTCTTATCTAAATCATCTTTCCTTAGAAGTCTACTGAACTGCTTCTCTTCTGTCATTCAAACAACTCCTGAATCATACTTCTTTCAGGAAGTCCTCCTACATGGACCAAAGGAGGGGCTGCCTCTGCTCCCTTATCCCCAAGGAAAGTGCCCATGTCCTGAGAGGCACCATGCCCTGAGCCACTCTCACTGCACTAAGTTCCTCATGCCCCTTCTCTGCCTGCATGCTAGACAAAGGGCAATGTGGCAGACAGACGCCAAAGTGACCCCATGATCCCTCCTCCTGGTGTCTACAGCCTTGCCTGATCCCCTCCCCTTGAGTGTGGGCCTGTGACCTGCTTCTAACCAACAGAATATGGCAAGGATGGCAGGATGTGCTTGATTACATGGATCATGAATACACTGCATAAGATTGGAGGGTCCATTTTGCCAAGAGATGCTCTCTTTTGTTGGCTTTGAAGAAGGAAGCTGCCATGCTGTCAGCTAACACATAAAAAGGGAAGACATTAAGAGTGGCTTCCAACTGATACCCAGCATAAAACTGAATGCTTCCTCAGCCTGGAAGACTTCAAGGAACTGAATGCTGCCAACAATAATGTGAGCTTGAAAGCAGATCTTTCCCCAGTGGAGCCCAGATGAGAACCCAACTCTGGCTGACACCTTGATGGCAGCCTTACAGAAGACCCAGCTAAACTGTGCATGGACCTCTGACCCGCAGAAACTGTGAAATAATGAATGCATCTTGCTTTAAAACACTAAGCTGGTGATAACATCGTTATACAGCAATAGATAACTAATTTGCATAACTTGACCAAATGCCTTATGACCCAATTACAAATACTCATTTTTACCATCCTGATGGGTACAAAACATACTAATCAAAACACACATTCTAATATTGAGCTTAGAAAATATTATGTTCATCTCAGTAGCTAATAGGACTATTTAATCATATTGGATCGACGTGATGTCTCCTGTGTCTTCTCTTCACGGTTGCCTAAGTGAGATGCAGTTTCTGGAAGGTAATTAGCCCATAGCAGTGGCTAGCAACCTACCACGCTCATGCCAATGGGAGCACCTGAGATAACAGTGTGTAGCTTAGGCCACGGCGGTTCAGTTAACTTATCAAGAGTGTCCAACTGAGTAGTCAGTCTCATTATCTGACTTTCAAATTGTTTTCATCCTTTTCTTCACTTCTTAAAACCCTAGATTCCCCTTCCTTTGCACCCTATTTGCCAGAACAATGGACTAAAAAAAAAAGAAAAAAAAGCAAGGCTTTGAAATCAGACTGACCTATGTTCAAATTCTGGTTCCATCATTGCACACCTGGCAGCTAGAGTGTTTTGCCTCTAGCTGCCAGGTGTGCAATGATGGAATAAGTTGACCCTCAACTTATTCATCTGCTATAAGGGCACAGCCACTATTTGGGTTTTCACTGGGATTAAATGATGTAACAAGGAATCAGTTATGGCAGCCTCTGAGATAACCTGAAGTGCACATTTTCTTTCATTATCCTTCTCTGGCTCTCCTCATTGGCCCCCAGAATCATGTGGAGGTTACATCCAGCTTGCACTCAGATATTATTATTCTCTCTAGCCAAACATTCAAAAATCCAAATATTACCTTACTCCAATTTTCCTAGCTGATGGAGGTTTTCAACTCACGTGAATTCAGGGAGAAAAATTAACTGTTATCATAAGAAATCTTAAATTCAAGTTAAAAGTCAAGATTGCTGAGGCCAGGTGTGGTGGTTCATGCCTGTAATCCCAGCAATTTGGGAGGCCGAGGCAGGCAGATCACTTGAGGTCAGGAATTTGAGACCAGCCTGGCCAACATGGTGAAACCCTGTCTCTACTACAAATACAAAAATTAGCCTGGTGTGGTGGTGCACACCTGTAATTCCAGCTACTCAGGAGCTGAGGCAGGAGAATCACTTGAACCTGGGAGGTGGAGGTTGCAATGAGCCTAGATTGCGCCACTGCACGCCAGCCTGGGAAACAGAGCAAGACTCTGTCTCAAAAGAAAAAAAAAAAAAGATTGCCGTTTATGAAGTAATGCCCATAATTAGCTTTGCCCAAAAGTTTTCAAACTCTGCTCTCCAAATTTATTCCCACTTGCCAAATTCCTTCCATCATCTCTCTCTCTCTCTCTCTCTCTCTCTCTCTCTCTCTCTCACACACACACACACACACACACACACACACAGAGACATTAAGCTTCTGCTGATAATAATATATTACTTTGTGCCATATGCTGTCCTAACACTTTGCATAAATTTAGTCCTCACCATACAGGTATCTCCCTTTAAGTAACCTGCCCATGTTTACCAGCTAGTAAATGACAGAGCTGCATTGTGAGCCCAGGAAGTTACATGTTCAGTTCTGGCACAGTGTGTGAAATATACAAGGTGCTCAACAAATGCTGTTTTTTCTTTCCTACCCATCATCTCCCTTCTTAACCTTTCCTACCCATCATCTCCATTTACACACATTGATGAGCACCATCCCTGTCATGGCCACTAGATGTCAGAATAAAGCACTCCATGCAGCTCTGATGTTCAAGATCTGCTACTGGAGAAAAATCCTAATAAGTACTTAGATGTTTTAAAAGGCAAATAGTCTCACACAAACCAAGAAGCTGGATATGGGCAGAACTGCTTGATCCAAAAAAAAAGGAAAAGGATGACCCTATATTTTAAGCAAAGTCCATTTTAAAAATCACAAAATATTAAAAGAAAGAATGTCTTGTAGAAACTGAAATGGCAGTGTTCTGTGTGTGTTTGGGAGAATGAAAACAGAGAGACTCAGCCTAGGTGCAGAAGGAGAGAACAAAGCATCAGGAACTCAGAAATAATGAGGGCTTTGGGTCTTAAGTTGAAGAATTGGGGAATTCACCTAAAGCTCTGGTAGGTAAGAAAACCTAGCCACAGTGTAACTAGGGTCATCCTCAAGACTTTGCTAAGTACCGTAAATAAAGTTATTATTTTTGCATTTATATTTTTTGTGTTAGACAGTACCTGTACTCCCAGTGTCTATTCTGATTCTGCTCTATATCTACAGTGATAGAAGAAACATCTGGGCACATAACCCAGTAACTAAAATCTATATTTCCCAGACTCCTTTGCACACAGGTGTGGCCATGTAACTAGGTAATGGCCAACAGAATGTGAAAAGAAATAATATACACAACTTTCAGGTAGTGCTCTTAAAAAGAAAGAGCTTGCTCTCTCTCTTTCCCCCTTTTATCTTCCTACTGGCTAGAATACAAATATGGTGTTGAGTGTGGCAGGACCACCAAATAAAAGTCTTGGCCCCTATCACCCTAGAGCTGCCATATCAATCCTGAACTGCTTATGTTCAAACTGTTATAGGAAAGAGAAATTAATTTCTATCATGTTGAAGCTTCTGTTATTTTAGCCTCTGTCAGAGAAGCTGAATGAGCATTCTAATTAATATCTTTATAAAATTATATCAAATTCATTATTACATTGTGACTGTACCATCATTCTTATGAGGTACATTAAACAAAATGCTTCTCTTCATTTCACAAATGGGAAAACTGATCAGACCACTGCATTTGTCTGTTTTCACACTGCCATAGAGAACTGCCTGAGACTGGGTAACTTATAGGAAAGAGGTTTCATTGACTCACAATTCAGCATGGCTAGGGAAGCCTCAGGAAAATTACAATCATGGCAGAAGGCAAAGGGGAAGCAAGGCACCTTCTTCACAAGGCAGCAGGAAGGAGAATGAACGCAGGAGGAACTACCAAACACTTATAAAACCATCAGATCTTGTGAAAACTCACTCACTATCAGGAGAACCACCTGGGGAAAACCCCCCCGACATGATCCAATGACCTCCACCTGGTCTCTCCTTTGACACATGGGGATTATGGGGATTATAATTTAAGATGAGATATGAGTGCGGACACAAAGCCTAACCACATCAACCACCATCCAAAAAAGGTTAGTTTTCTCTGCCAAAGAATGATTATGGCTTAAGGTATAACCCAGAAAAGACTCAAAATTCATTTGTTAACATTAAATGTGGAGTCCTGAGTGGGTCCTTACTGGGTACAGTACATGGCTATGGGGTCATCAGTTTCAGTTAGAAAGAAATTAAAGACAGTGGAATGAAATAAACTCTAGATGGGAAATTACTTTGTTCCTCCAGACACCACAGTGGATCAGAGATCACCTTGTCACAAGCACAGAATTTCAGGGCTTGGAGGGGGAAAAAAGGTCATCTTATAGAAGCTTAGTCCACAGTGACTTAGCAGAGACAGCATTACAACTCAGGGTCAGTGTTTGTTACAATGCCACCCTGACATTCTTATTATTGTCATTTTTACCGTTAAACATTTATTGAGTGTAAACCATATGTCACTCACCATACTAGGTGCTTAATGCAGCAGGTATGGCTTAGAGGGCTTGTATGTTGCACAAAAACTCTTAAGAGGCAAAGCAGGATTTTGACTTAAGTCTGTCTGTCTCCAACACCTGTGTAATTTCGACTACTTTCCATTGCCTCTTTTAAGAGTTCGGCCTTAGGCTGGAAGATGAAAAAAGATGAACTACCAAGAACAATCACAAACCCCCGGGCCAGCCCCTTCTAATGAGGCCCTGTAGATTACACCAAAAAGGTAAAAGAGATACTGTGGAAATGATATTTTATCCACAAAATCTCTTCTAAATTGATTCTGATTCATGAAATTTATTGGCCCTAATTCTTCACACCATTTCAGGGTTGGCCATGTGACTTACTCTGAAATAGTTTGCTACTTCTAAACCTAGGCCTTACGAGACTTCACATGGTCCCATTTGCCCTCTTACACACCGTAAGAAGAGCTTTCTGTCCTAGGTAGCTGCTATCCCACATTTGCCTGAGCCCCAGAGTGAACACATGTGGAACACGGCCACTCCATCCAAGCCAGCTGGATCTGCAAATCTGTGAGAATTGATTATTGCTGCTTTAAGGCACTGAGTTTGGGTTGATTTATTGCGTGACATTTTTTGGCAAGAGTTAACCAATACACTGACATATCTTGAATCTGCACTTGTAATTTCTCTATTTTTCTTGGTTTGCATCCTGAATTCCCTTATAGAGCACAAAAATTCAGGTTGGGAGAAGTGGTGGAGCAAGATGGTTGACTAGAAGGCTCCACCAATCATCCCCCTGACAAGGATACAAATTTAACCACTATTTACACAAGCAAAGCACCTTCATAAGAACCAAAAATCAGTTAAGCACTCACAGTACTCATATTTTAACTTCATATTGCTGAAAAAGGCACTGAAGAGGTAGAAAGGACAGTAGCGAATCACTGATGCTACCCCTCCCCCATCCCCAGTAGCTGCAGCATGGTGTAGACAGCATTTCTGTGTGTTGGGGGAGGAAGAGCACAGCAATCGTGAGGCACTCAACTCAGTGCTGTCCTGTTAGAGCAGAAAGGAAAACTGAACCAAACTCAGCTGATGCCCACCCAAAGAGGGAGCATTTAAACCAGCCCCAGCCAGAGGGAAATCACTGATCCCAGAAGTAGGACCTTGAGTTCCCACAAACCTTGCCACCAGGCTAAAGTGCTTTGAGTCTCTAAGTAAGCCTGAAAGGCAGTCTAGGCAACTATTAGGGGAATCCTAGTGCTGAACTGGGCCCAGAGACAGTGGATTGGGGGTGGGGAGGCAGGTCACACAACCTACTGAAATATCAATTGGGGCCACTAAGGCAGTACTGGCATGACCCATCCCTAACCCCAGGATGTACAACTTGCAGCTCCAAAACAGACCCCTTCCTTCCACTTGAGGAGAGGAGAGGGAGAAGTGAGGAGGACTTTGACTGCATCTTGGATATCAGCTCAGTTACAGCAGGCTAGGAAATCAGTCAGAGTTGTGTGGTCCCTGGTCCAGGCCCTAGCTCCCAGATGACATTTCTAAACACACCCTGGGCCAGAAGGGAGCTCGCTGCCTTGAAGGGAAGGACCCAGTCCTGGCAGCATTTATCACCTGCTAGGTGAAGAGCCCTGGGACCCTGAACAACTAGCAGCAATACCCAATACTACATTGAGGGCCGTGGGTAAGTCTCTGAGACTTGCTGGCTTTAGGTACCAGCTCGGCCACAGGTGGGTAGAGCACCAAGCAGTCTCTTGGGGGTCCCTGATTCCAGGACTTGACTCTTAGATGGCATTTCTGGACCTGCTCTGGGCCAGAAGGGAGCCCACTTCCCTGATGGGTGAGTCTTAAGCCAGGCAGCATTCATCATAAGCTAACTTGAGAGTCCTTGGGCCCTAAGGGAACATGAGTGGTAGTCTGGCAGGACTCCCTGTGGGTCTGTGGTGGCACTGGCCTCTAACTTTGGAAAGAGGAGGGAAGAGTGGGAAGAAGTGTGTCTTGTGGTTTGAGTGCCAGCTCAGTCAAGCTCAGTCACAATATAATAAAACATGAGGTAGACTTTTAAGGTATTTTACTTTAGTGTCTGACTGCCAGACAGCACCTCTGGACCCACTTGGGACCTGGAGGAACACACGGCCCCGAAAGGAAGGACACAGGCCTGTGTCCTGTGTCCTGGCTTTGCCACCTACTGATTGTAGAGCACCAGGGTCTCAAGGGAACATAGGAAGTACACAGTGAGTGGTTACAGCAGGCCTTGAGTGAGACCCAGTTCTGTGCTACCTTCAGGTCTGACCCAGAGCAGTCACAGTGGCGGTGGTCACGGGGTTGCTTGTGTCACTCCACCCCCAGCTTTAGGTAGCTCAGAACAGAAAGAGAGATAGACTCCATTTGTTTGGGAGACGTAAGGGAAGAGAACAAGGGTCTCTGCCTGGTAATCCACAGGATTCTCCCGGATCTTATCCAAGACCATCAAGGTGGTACTTCTATGAGTCTGGAAGAACCACAGCATTACTGGGCTTGGGGTGCCCCCTAAAGCAGGTACAGCTTAGACCATAACACCCATGTCTTTTTGAATATCTGGAAAGCCTTCCCAAGAAGGATGGGTACAAACAAGCCTAGACAGTAAAGACTACAATAAGTAGTCTTTACTTAGAATAAGTAGACTAACTCTTCAATGCTCAGACACAGAAGAACATTTACAAGTATCAAGATAATTCAGGAAAACATCATCTCACCAAATGAATGAAGGGACCAATCCTAGAGAAACAGAGACAAGGGACCTTTCAGATGGAAAATTCAAAATAGCTGTTTTGAGGAAACTCAAAGAAATTCAAGATAATTAGAGAAGGAATTCAGAATTCTATCAGATAAATTTAACAATGAGATGGAAATAATAAAAAACAATCAAGCAGAAATTCTGGAGCTGATAAATGCAACTGGCATACTGAAGAATGCACCAGTATCTTTTAATAGCAGAATTGGTCAAACAGAAGGGAGAATCAGTAAGCTTGAGGACAGGCTATTTGTAAAATACATAGTCAGAGGAGACAAAAGAAAAAAGAATACAAAGCAATGAAGCACGCCTACAGCATCTAGAAAATAGCCTCAAAAGGAAAAATGTAAGAGTTACAGGCCTGAAAGAGGAGGTAGAGAAAGAGATAGGGGTAGAAAGTTTATTCAAAGGGATAACAACACAGAACTTCCCAAACCTAGAGAAAGATATCAATGTCCAAGTACAAGAATGTTACAGAACACTAAGCAGATTTAACCCAAAGAAAACTACCTCAAGGCATTTAATAATCAAACTCCCAAAGATCAAGGATAAAGAAAGGATGCTAAAAGCAGCAAGAGGACAACGTACAATGCAGCTCCCATACTTTCTGGCAGCAGACTTTTCCATGGAAACCTTACAGGCCAGGAGAGAGTGACATGACATATGTAAAGTGTTGAAGGAAAAAACTTTTACCCTAGAACAACATATACAGTGAAAATATCCTTCAGACATGAAGGAGAAATAAAGACTTTCCCACAAAAACAAAAGCTGAAAGACTTCATCAACACCAGACCAATCCTACAAGAAATGCTAAAGGGAGTACTTCAGTCAGAAAGAAAAGGATGTTAATGAGCCCTAAGTAATCATCTATAGGGATAAAATTCACTGGTGATAGTCAGTACACAGAAAACCACAGAATATTATAACACTGTAACTGTGGTGTATAAACTACTCTTATCCTAAATAGAAAGTCTAAATAATGAATCGATCAACAATAATAACTACAAAACCTTTTCAAGACATAGTACAGTAAGATATAAATAGAAACAACAAAAAGTTAAAAAGTGGGGGGACAAAGTCAAGGTGTAGAGTTTTTATTAGTTTTTTTTTTTTTCAATTGTTTGGTTGTCTGTTTATGCAAATAGTGTTAAGCCATCATCATCTTAAAATAATGGATGATAAGATAGTATTGCAAGCCTCATGAAAACCCCAAACCAAAAAACATACAACAGATACACAAAAAAATAAAAAGCAAGAAACTAAATCATATCAACAGAGAAAATCACCTTCACTAGAGGAAGACAGGAAAGAGAAGAAACAAGAAAGAAAAGACCACAAAACAATCAGAAAACAGATAACAAAATAGCAGAAGTAAGTCCTTTCTTATCAATAATAACATTGAATGTAAATGGACTTAACTCTCCAATCAAGACATAGAGTGGCCAAATGAATGAAAAAACAAGACCCACTGATCTGTTGCCTATAAGAAACATACTTCACCTATAAAAACACGCATAAACTAAAAATAAAGGGATGGAAAAAGATATTCCATACCAATGGAAACCAAAACAAAGCCGAGTAGCTATATTTATATCAGGCAAAATAGATTTCAAGACAAAAACTATAAGAAGAGACAAAGAAGGTCACTATATAATAAAAAAGGGGTCAATTTAGCCAGAGGCTATAACAATTTTAAATATATATGCACCCAACACTGGAGCATCCAGATATATAAAGCAAATATTATTAGAGCTAAATAGAGAGATAGGCCCCAATACAGTAATAGCAGAAGACTTTAACATCCTATTTTCAGCACTGGACAGATCTTCCAGACAGAAAATCAACAAAGAAACATCAGACTTAATCTGTACTATAGACAAAGTGTATCTAATAGATATTTACAGACATTTCATCCAGTGGCTGCGGAATACACTTCTCCTCAGCACATGGATCATTCTCAAGGACAGACCATATGTTAGGTCACAAACAAGTCTTAAAACATTCAAAAAATAAAAATAATCGCATGCATCTTCTCTGACCACAGTGGAATAAAACTAGAAATCAATAACAAGAGAAATTTGGGAAACTATACAGACACATGGAAATTAAACAATATGCTCCTGAATGACCAGTGAGTCAATGAAGAAATTAAGAAGGAAATTGGAAAATTTCTTAAAACAAATGATAATGGAAACACAACATACCAAAACCTATGGAATATAGCAAAAACAGTACTAAGAGGAATGTTTATTCTAAGTGCCTACATCAAAAACAGTAAAAATTTCAAACAATCTAATGATGCATCTTAAAGAACTAGAAAAGCAAGAGGAAACCAAATCCAAAATTGTAGTAGGAAATAACTAATAGATCACATTTGTCCATTTTTCCTTTTGTTGCTATTGCTTTTGGCATCTTTGTCATGAAATCTTTGCCTGTCCCTATGTCCTGAATGGTACTGCCTAGGTTGTCTTCCAGGGTTTTTATAGTTTTGAGTTTTACATTTAAGTTTTAATCCATCTTGAGTTAATTTTTGTATATGGTGTAAGGAAGAGGTCCAGTTTCAATCTTCTGCATATGGCTAGCCAGTTATCCCAGCACCATTTATTGAATAGGGAATCCTTTCCCCATTGCTTGTTTTTGTCAGGTTTGTTGAAGATCAGATAGTTACAGGTGTGTGGTCTTTTTTCTGGGTTCTCTATTCTGTTCCATTGGTCTATGTGTCCGTTTTTGTACTAGTACCATGATGTTTTGGTTGTTGTAGCCCTGTAGTATAGTTTGAAGTAAGGTGGTTATTATTAAAAAGAAGAAAATAACAGATGCTGGCAAGGTTGTGAAGAAAAAGGAATGCTTGTACACTGTTGATGGGAGTGTGAATTAGTTCAGCCATTGTAGAAGGCAGTGTGTTGATTCCTCAAAGATCTAAAGACAGAGATACCATTCAACCCAGCAATCCCTTTACTGGGTATATACCCAAAGGATTATAAATCATACACATGTATGTTCATTGTAGAGCTATTCACAATAGCAAAGACATGAAATCAACCTAAATGCCCATCAATGATAGACTGGATAATGAAAATGTAGTACATACACACCAAGGAATACCGTGCAGCCATAAAAAATGAAATCATGTCCTTTGCAAGGACATGGATGGAGCTGGAGGCCATTATCCTTAGCAAACTAACTCAGGAACAGAAAACCAAATACCACATGTTCTCACTTTTAAGTGGAAGTTAAATGATGAGAACACATGAACACAAAGAGGGGAACAACTCACGCTGAGGCCTTTTGGAGGGTGGAGGGTGGAGGGTGGGAGGAGGGAGAAGATCAGGAAAAATAACTAACGGAGACTAGGCTTAATACCTAGGTGATGAAATAATCTGTACAATAAGCCACCATGACACAAGTTTACTGATATAACAAACCTGCGCTAGTACCCCTGAACTTAAAATGAAAGTTAAAAAATAAAAAAGAAATAATAAAGATCAGAGTAGAAATAAATGAAATTGAAATAAAGAATACAAAAAAATCAATGAAACAAAAAGTTGGTTTTTTGAAAAGTTAAACAAAATTGACAAACCTTTATCCAGACTAAGAAAAAAAGAGAGAATATCTAAATAAATAGAATTGAAAAAGACATTACAACTGATTCTGCATAAATTTAAAGGAACACTAACAGCTCCTATAAGCAACTGTATGCCAACAAGTTGGAAAATCTAGAAGAAATGGACAAATTCCTAGACACATTGAACTTGGTTCAAGATTGAACCAGGAAAAATATCCCAAACCTGAACAGAACAATAACAAGTAATGAGATCAAAGCTGTAATAAAAAGTCTCCCAGTAAAGGAAAACCTGGGACTCAGTGGTTTCACTGTTGATTTCTACCGAATATTTAAAGAAAAACTAGTACCAATCCTACTTAAATTTTTCCAAAAAATACAGGAGGGAACATTTCCAAACTCATTCTATGAGGCCAGTATTACCCTGCTACCAAAACAAGACAAAGACACGTTAAAAAAAAAAAAGAAAAGAAAACTACAGGCCAATATCTCTGATGAATATTGGCACAAAAATCCTCAACAAAATATTAGCAAACTGAATTTGACAATACATTAGAAAGGTCATTCATTATGACCAAGTGGGATTTATCCCTGGGATGCAAGGATTGTTCAACATATGCAGATCAATCAATGTGAAACATCATATTAACAGGATGAAAGACAAAAACCATGTGATCATTTCAATTGACGCTGAAAAGGCATTTGATAAAATCCAACTTCTATTCATGATTTAAAACCCCTCAAAAAACTAAGTATAGAAGAAACATACCTTAACATAACTGAAAGCCTTTCCTCTAAGATCTGGAACATGACAAAGGTGCCCATTTTCACCACTGTTATTCAGTGTACTACTGGAAGTCCTAGCTAGAGCAATTAGACAAGAGAAATAAATAAAGGCATCCAAGTTGGAATGGATGAAGTTCAAGTTACCCTTGTTTGCAGATGACATAATCTTATATTGGAAAAACATAAAGACTCCACCAAAAAACTATTCGAACTGATAAATTCAGTAAAGTTGCAGGATGGACAATCAACATACAAAAATCAGTAGCATTTCTATGCCAATAGTGAACAATCTGAAAAGAAATCTTTAAAAGTAATTCCATTTACAATCACCACAAATAAAATTAAATACCTAGGAATTAAGCAAAGAAGTAAAAAATATCTCTAAAATGAAAACTATAAAACCCTGATGAAAAACATTGAAGAGGACACCAAAAAATGGAAAGATATTCCATGTTCATGGATTGGAAGAATCAATATTATTAAAATGTCCATACTACCCAAAGCAATATACGGATTAAATACAATCCCTATCAAAACACCATTCTTCACATAAATAGAAAAAACAATTCTAAAATTTATGTGGAACTGCAAAAGACCCAGAATAACCAAAACCATGCCTAGCAAAAAGAACAAAACTGGAGGAATCACATTACCTGACTTCAAATTATAATACAGAGCTATAGTAACCAAAACAGCATGGTACGAGCATAAAAACAGACACATAGACCAGTGAACCACAATAAAGAACCCAGAAACAAACCCACACACCTAGAGTGAACTCATTTTTGACAAAGGTGCCAAAAACACACACTGGGGAAAAGACAGTCTCTTCAATAAATGGTGCTGGGAAAACTGGATATTCATATGCAGAAGAATGAAAGTAGGTCTGCATCTCTCACCATATACAAAAATAAAATGAAAATAGATTAAAGACTTAAATCTGAGACCTCAAATTATGAAACCACTACAAGAAAAAAATGAGGAAAATCTCTAGGACACTGGTCTGGGCAAAGATTTCTTCAGCAATACCCCACAAGCACAGGCAACCAATACAAACATTGACAAATGGAATAACATCAAGTTAAAAAGCTTCTGCACCGCAAAAGATACAATCAACAAGGTGAAGAGACAGCCCACAAAATGGGAGAAAATATTTGCAAACTACCCATCTGACTAGGGATTAATAACCAGAATATGCAAGGAGCTTAAACAACTCTATAGGTAAAAATTTAATAATCCAATCAAAAAATGGGCAAAAGATTCGAATAGACATTTCCCAAAAGAAGACATACAAATGGCAAAGAGGCATGTGAAAAGATACTCAACATCACTGATCATCAGAGAAATGCAAATCAAAACTACAGTGAGATATCATCTCACTCCAGTTAAAATGGCTTATATCCAAAAGACAGGCAATAACAATGCTGGAGAGGATGTGGAGAAAAGGGAACCCTCGTCCACTGTTGGTGGGAATGTAGATTAGTACAACCACTATGGAGAACAGTTTGTAGGTTCCTCAGAAAAAAAATAAAAATAGAGCTACCATATGATCCAGCAATCCCACTGCTGGGTATATACCCAAAAGAAAGGAAATCAGTAAATCAAAGAGATATCTGCACTCTTTTGTTTGTTGCAGCACTGTTCACAACAGTCAAGATATGGAAGCAATCTAAGTGTCCATCAACAGATGAATGGATAAAGAAAATGTAGTATGCAATAGAGTATTATTCAGCCATAAAAAAAAAGAATGAGGCCGTCACTTGCAACAACATAGATGGAACTGGAGATCATTATGTTAAGTGAAATAAGCCAGGCACAGAAAGACAAACACTGTATTTCTCACTTACATGTGAAATTTAAAAATCAAAACAATTGAACTCATGGGCATAGAGAGTAGAAGCATGGTTACCAGAGGCCGGGAAGGGTAGTTGGGGGAGAGGGGATGGTTAATGGGTACAAAAATAATAGTCACAAAGAATGAATAAGACAAATAAGACCTACTATTTGATGGCACAATAGGATGACTATAGTTAATAATAATTTAATTTTGCATTTTAAAATAACTAAAAGAATATAATTGGATTATTTGTAACACAAAGGATAAATGCTTGAGGGGATGGATACCCCATTCTCTATGACATGATTATTATTCATTGCATGCCTATATCAAAACATCACATGCACGCCCTAAATATATACACCTGCAATGTACCCACAAAAATTTAAAATTTAATTTGTTTTAAATTTAGGTTGTTCATTTAACCTAAACAAGCATGGGAAGCTGTCAGGGGCAGACAAGAGGCATCACTGCTTAAGTGTGAAGCCAGTATTTTTCCAGACACACAGAAGTTGGTCAGGACTAGCACTGGTTTGAGGATTTATTGTTTCTTTTTCTTTCTTTTTTAATAGATACAAGGTTTCACCATGTTGCCCAGGCTGGCCTTGAACTCCTGGGCTCAAGCAATCTGCCTGCCTCAGCCTCCCAAAGTGCTGGGATTACAGGTGTGAGCCACCGTAACTGGCCGGGTTTGAGGATTTCAGTTATATAATGATAAAAACCTGGCTATTTGTCTTAGATTAGACTATATCTCAGCACAAACTCAGGCTATCACGTCAGCTGCTCTGGCTGTGAGTACAGAAGCAGGCTGGCTGCCCACACGTCTGCATTCCCTAGTCACGCTGCCCACTCCTGTTTTTGCTGTCTTTGGCCTTCTAGAGAATTGTCTGCTCCAAGGTTAAGTTTATCCCAGGAGATGCTTGAAAAATGCCCAGAGTCCTCAAGTGAAATAGGGACATCTATCTATTCAATCCCAACTTGACCCCTTCCCACCCCACCTCCCAGATTATATGGGCTATACCAGGAGTGTCCACTCCAGAAGTCCTATTGCCCCCCGTCCTTGGCCCAGTTGCCTAGAAACATAAGAATGTATCCACCTTTGAGCCAATGACATTCAGCCTTGTTCTAGGATTCCAGGGGTCCTACTACCTTTCTATTATTCCCCTTTCTGCTTTGTCCCATAAAGAAAAGGGAAATGTACCCACCCTCAGGCTAAGCTCCACGTTCTCTCCTCCATAGATGAGCATTCCACCATCCAGAGACCCGATCTCTCCCAGGAAGTGCCTGTTAGCAGCCAGGATGCCCATGATTGAAGGACTCCTACAGAGCACACAGCAAGAGTCACTAATCTCTCCATAAGGAGCGGAGGCGAGGGGTGGGATGCTCAATGATTATTTGGGCTTCAGAACTCTACCTAAGTCTGTTCTTATCATGAAGGCCTTCCCTAAACTCTCAGGCAAGACTAAGTGCATGTAGCTTTCCCTCGCCCACTGCGTTATCATAACCCTTCTCAAAATATATTGAAATTACACCTTTTTCTTCTAGGTATCCTTACTTCATAGTCTGCTAAAGCTTGAAATGGCCCAAATGTTTTCCAAAATTTTAAGTGTTTTGCTTGATTTTTGTCTGAAAGTCCCTAAATATCCCAAAGTGTCTGTGATTTCTTAACTGGGATAACTTATTGGGGTTTTTTCCCTCTATCCCTTGTCCTTCACCTCATCCCCTCCCCTCCTTCCACGTCACCCCAATTACTACCACCAAAGATAAACAAAATCCATTCAGTTCATTCCTGCCTTCCCACATGCTACTCAAGTTCCCTGAATCTCCTCAGACTTACTTCACTGGGGCAGTGACATCATGCAGATCAATCCAGGCTTGTGGCAGTGCATCGTAGCGGCACCAGAGTTCCCAGTTAAACCCATCAACTGCCAGTTCATACTTATCCAGTTTGAAGGTGTCAAAACGAATGTTGTCAAACACAGGAGACACAATCACAGTGCGGTCCTCCTGAATCCGAGCCAAGATTGGCTCTGCCCTAGAACAAGAGTGTGCAGAAAGCCCAGCTTGGATATGAGGACAAGCAGTAGGGGAGAGCAGATAAAGCTGTTCCAAGCACCTTGCCCTGACATTGAGTACCTCCTCCATTTAGGCTGTACTGGGTTGTGAGTAGAACTCTCTAGAGTCCAGAGAATCTCTGTAACCTTTCGGGATAGCTGAAGCTGCTAGAAGCCAACCCGCATCGAGAACAGGTTTGAAATTAGTACCCAGGTAACACCCCCAGGCCGTTGTGAAGCAGCATTCTCAGTATGTATATTACTCCTTGAATTTACGTTATCTCTTGGTTCTCCGTTTCCAAAGTGATGCTTCTTTCCTGTCTGATTCTCCACATTCTCTAAAGAACATAGTTCTCTTTATTTTATTATGTAATTTCATGGCTGGGGAAAAACCTTTAAAATAACCAAAGGCTAATCTCCTCATCTTTACAGTTAAAGACACAATGTCTAGTTAAGTGAAGTGACTTACTCAAATTCACAAAGTATTTGGCAAAGTCAGCATTATGATCCAACTGTCAATACTCTCCACCATGCTACTTCTCTTAGCCAAGCAAAATCCCTGCATAAAAGCATGCTGTTTTGGAGATTCCCTTTATTTAAGGCCTGGTGCTGACTTTCCCTGTGTCCACAGTATCCTGTCTTGTGTTCAGTACATGCACAATATCTCCTCTCTGCCCTTTCCAGAAGAACTAGCCTCTTTGAGCCTTACCACCCAACATTGACTTCAATGTGAGCATCCAAGATGGCGACCACGTCTGCTGTGGCAGCTTCCCAGCCAGTGTTGCGGGCTTGAGCAAGACCTTTCCTTTCAGGATGCCGTATTATTTTCAGTAGTCCTGGATACTTCTGGTTGTAAAGCTTAATCTTCTCATCCAAGTGTACCTTTAGTTCTCCTGTCAATCAAGTGCACACCTATAGAAATTCTGAGTGCAACAATCAACGTGATACAAAAGTTTTATACTATCATATATTAGTGGCTGGACTACCTCCAGCATAAAATGGGCAATTCTAAGAGTCAACTAGAAAATAAGTAGTATTTCCCCTGCACCTGCCTCTCTTCTCCCTTGCACCTGAGGTGTACTGTGATCATTCCTAATGTCCTTTCCCTGACAGTTAAACTATCTTAAAATGATAATACTGCTTACTACGTGTCAGGCACTGTTATAAGTGCTTTTTCACGTTGAGAAGTTCTTGAGAGAATGAGTGGACAGATCTAGCCTAAGGTGCACAGGTTGATGGAAAACACTGCAGGAAGGCCTGGAACATCTTCATAGCTAAACTCTCAAAACTCTGGAGAATCCATAAATGACTAAAATTGTTTTGTTTTAGATATTCCCAGTTGACCTACTTAAGGACCAACTGGGACAGAATGCACAGATTAATCTCTTTGCCAGCTTCTAGCTAGTAAATTTAGCCCAAAAATTATGCAAACAAGATTCACTATTCCTAGATTGTTTACAGGTAGTTTTCTTCCCTCTCTTCCCTCTCTTTTAATAAAGCTTGTCTATGGCTTTGTTCTTGGGCTCAGCCTACCACTGACTTCCTCACGTGTAAGTAAACCACTTGCAGGCAAATCACTTAGCAGTATGCAAAATATCTAACCAAATGACTCTGAGTTACTCATTGATAAAATTAATTCAGTTAATTCTGAAAGTATCTCATGTGGTAGGCACTACAATATCCCCACTTTACAGATAAAGAAACTGAGGCACAAAGAGTTTTAAAAACTTTTCCAAGTCACATATCTAGTAAGTGGCACGCCCTGGATGTGAACCTATGCTGTGTTTAGCCACCAGAACACCGTGTCTCAAGAACTCTGTGAGTACCTGGTTGGGTTTACCAAGTCCTCCCTCCCTCTCCTCTCTCCCCATAGCCAAGGAACGAGATTCTTGCCAGTTCCTCTCTCAAAAGACGAGCATATTTGTGAGACCTAGAGTGATCAAGACCTGGAATCAACACCTAAGTGACTATGGCAGTAAAATTTACCCCATTTTAGATCTGCTGCACTCAAGAGTAATTGTCTCAATTATTGAAGGTGCTAAGCAGGGCCAGTACGTCTAAGGCTGTTTGCTTCCTCTGGGAGTAAGCTGGGGTAGCCAAGGTTGCCAGTCTGTACACTTACCCAGGCACTACTTTTAGTCAGTAATCCACAGGAGGCGCCACTGAACCTGAATATCTAGATTCTAATTCAGTCACTACATCATCCTGTGTCACTTCCCATTGGATGTGTCTGATTCCTCAACCTAGAGAAAAGTACCATAGTGGGCATGGTGGCTCATGCCTGTAATCCCAGCACTTTGGGAGCCTGAGGCAGATCAGTGCTTAAGCCCAGGCGATTGAGGCCAGCCTCGGCAACAGAGTGAGACTGTCTCTTTTTTAGAAAAACAAATATTAAAAATTTCAAGAAAAGTACCAAATAGTCAGGACCCTTCCAACTCCAAATTTTTATGAGCCATAGATTCTGAGTCACCTCCTGAAAAATAATGCCTATCATATAGCACAAAGATTAAGGACGCCTCGACGGGTTTTCTGAAGACAACCTATGCTCCCTTCCCAGCTTTGCCCTCCTACCGGTCTCCTCCCCAAAGCCTGCTATCCCAGGCTGGTCAGCTCAGGGCGCTTCCGGATTCCTCACTTTTGTTCACACCATTCCTTCGGCGCTCCCTAGCTCTCCACCCCGACCCAGTTTCCCAGTCTTCCCTCATTTTCTCTGCTGTCTCAAATCCTATGACGCCTTCAAGTCCCAATCCGAGCCTGCCTCCTCCAGGAACCCTCCTTAGATCACCACACCCCACACCCCCACACCGTGCTTTCTTTTGCTCACTGACGGTTCACTCGGTTTGTCACGTTATTCTTCACACATTAAGGTATCTTTCCACAGATGTGTCTTGCCTCATTAATTAAGAAGGAAACTTGAACTCTCTGACATCCTCCTCCCTGCCCAGTGGCTAGCACATGGTAGAAACTCAACATGTAGTTGTTGATTGTGAAATTTTCCTAAAATTAGGGAGAAAATACAGCATTCCACCTACCTTGATATAATTTTTAAAAAGCTTACATCTCACATAACATTTGAGTGACATTTAACATTTAAGCTCAAAATATTTGAGTGATGTGAATAAAGCTTAACATCTAGGGAAAGACAGAAAGGAGGCAAACCTCTGGCACCAGGTTGTGGCATTTCAAAAGTACTACAAATAACACTGAGATAGGTGAGGAGCAGAACACTAGCTAGCATGTAATGGGAACAGGCTCTCTCCTGAGGCCTTTACACGTATTATTTAATCCCAAAAGTGGTCCTATCAGGTAGGCACCATTATTCCCTGATGTTACAGATGCAGAAACTGAGGTGAGAAGTGGTTGAGTCACTTGCCCCCAAATTCACATGGATAGTGAGTTTCTCTTTCAGTAGACATGGTAGAGACTTCCATTTATTCTCCTGTTTAACATAAAACAGATATTTGAGTTATGCTCAGTGTAGGCTCAATTTGGCTGGTGTTTTCGTGGTTAATGACAGAGACTCTCTAATTCCTGTCCCTGTAACACCAAAGAATGGCTGACAGTCCCCTTTTCTGTGACCATCCAAACAAATCATCTCTGTGAAAAACAAACGTGGGTTTCAGACCTAAATGAGAGGAATGTGTTACAATGGAGTGCAGCTTAGAGCAATAAGAAAGCTTTGGTTTTTCTTTATGTGTCTACCCCGTGTTTGTAATCTTGTATTTTTTTATTGCATTGTTCCACAGGAAAAAATCCTGAATTAAGTCTTATCTACACCCCATGGAACATAGCGTATAGGCCATAGAGTATAGTATTGACTTTTTTTTTTTCCACAGAAAAAGATATCTTTCACAATATTCCAGCTCAACTCTTGTCTTTGCCTCATGAAGACCCTGAGTCCCAAAGAGGTGAGGGGACTTGCCTGACGTTGTCTCAGGCAGGGAGCAGAGCCAGAGTGTTTTCAGAAGTCCAAGGCAGAGGTCTTTCTAATCATGCTCCTATTTTTGGGGCAGAAAACCAGGTGTGCAATTCAGTACCAGTCTCCATGCCCAGAAATGAATGAAACTAGTCTCTTTTCTTTGGTTTTCAGCGGAATTTTGCTCTAAAAATTGTACCTTCTTATTTTTTGTTTAGTTACATTGGAAATAAAAAAAGAGGAAGGTATGCAAAGGATGAATATAAGTATTTTTAGTGTGGAAGTCTAAAAAAGAAGGTTTAAGCAGTCATTTTGTTTGCTCTCTCAGGAAGGTACAATAACCTATCTGGTACTTAAAGATCCTCAGAGAAGGAACATATTCTGCCTCCAATGAGCTGCCACTTCATAGCCCTTATAGTCAAGAAATTCTTCCTTACTGCTAGACCAAACCTCTAAGTTTTTGTAACTTAATTCTACTCTCTTTTATTTGTTGCACAAAATTAATAAAACTAAGAGCCAACAATTGCTGAGAGGCTACCATGTGCAAAATGCGTTACATAATTCATGTATTATAACGGGAACACAGTGGTTAGAACCAGGGCTCTGGACTCTGAAGTTCATGGTCAAATCTCAGTTCTGTCACTTACCAGCTGTAGGATGTTGAACAAGTTCCTTGATCAGTCTATGCCTTAGTTTTGCACATCTACACAATGGGTCAAAAAGTGATTCCTTCCTCATAGGGTTGTTGTAATGATTAAAATAGTTAACATGGCTGGGCACTGTGGCTCACACCTGTAATCCCAGCACTTTGAGAGGCCGAGGCAGGCAAACCATCTGAGATCAGGAGTTCAAGGCCAGCTTGGCCAACATGGTGAAACCCCATCTCTACTAAAAATACAAAAATCAGCTGGGTGTGGTGGCATACTCCTATAATCCCAGGTACTCAGGAGGCTGAGGCAGAAGAATTGCTTGAACCCGGGAGGTGGAGGCTGCAGTGCGCTGAGATCCCACCACTGCACTCCAGCCTGGATGATAAGACTGAAACTCCATCTCAAAAAAAAAAAAAAAAGTTAACACACGTAAGGTGCTTAGAACAAGCAATGTTAGCTGCCATTATGATCTCATTTAATTCTCACTATAGTTCATAAAATGGTTATTATTATCAACATCCATATTTTGTGTACAAGAAAATCAGAATATGAAGACGTTGAGTTACCCAAGGACCTAACACTTACAAAGGAGAAGCCGGGATTATGAACTCAGAAAGTGAGGACTCAGGTCTGTTATCTTCCACATCTCTTCCTTGGGTGGGCTAGACTCGGGGCACGGGCACCCTGTGGGCAAGAGCTGTTGCCACTATGAAGAGTCAGCACCCAAATCTCTCTTTTCTCCAGGCTTAATGACCCAGGGAGAGTGATCTGTTCCTCATAAGGAGCAACTCTAAGTCCCTTCCTGGTATCTGGAGTCCTTCTCTAGACTCTGCTTCAGCCCCCAGGCTTCTTCATGGTGCATAAGAGGGGCACAGGTGGCCGGGCACAGTGGCTCACGCCTGTAATCTCAGCACTTTCAGAGGCCGAGGCGGGCGGATCACGAGGTCAGGAGATCGAGACCATCATGGCTAACATGGTGAAATCTCGTCTCTACTAAAAAAATACAAAAAAATAAGCTGGGTGAGGTGGTAGGTGCCTGTAGTCCCAGCTACTCGGGAGGCTGAGGCAGGAGAATGGCGCGGACCCAGTAGGCAGAGCTTGCAGTGAGCCGAGATCCCACCACTGCACTCTAGCCTGAGTGACAGACCAAGACTCCATCTCAAAAAAAAAAAGAAAAAGAAAAAGAAAAAAAAAAAAAGAGGTACAGGTAGATTTGGAGGTACACGCTCCTGGCCTAACTCCCACCTCTGCCACTGGGTTGCAGCCCAATTTAAGCACACTGTGTGATCTCTTTGTGTCTCAGTTTCCTCATCCATGTAGAGATAATTATCCTCTGTCTTGACTTTGTGAAGATTAAATGTGGCTAGCACAAATAGACCCTTAACAAATGATCTTTTTATTTTCCCTACATGAGAAACCCAAGGTGTCCTAAACTCTAAGCCAAAACCTCTTTCCAGCCAAGCACAGATGATAAGTGGTCATTTTTACAATTATTCTTTGATCACGTTGCTCACCATTTGAGCTGAAATCATCCACCAAGATGATTTCCTTCAACAATCGAGAGGGCGTCCGGTTGATGATACTGGTGATGGCCCGTTGTATAATGGACAGAGCTTCATTCACGAATATGAGAATGACACTGAGGGATGGGAGTTGGGAAGGATATGTCTTCCGAAGACATCTATAAGAGACCATTTTTATAACATATTATTTTTTTTTAATTACTTCAACACTGCTATCCAATCTTTCCTTTCACTCTGTATGATGTTATATCGACCAATTCATCCACCCCTCAAACTCACTGGAAAGCAAAACTCTTAGTGGCTTATCACAGTAGCAAGATTTTATATTCATTTATCCAAAATTCTCCTGTTATGGGGATAAAATCTTTTTTTATTAATCTTTGCTAGATGTTTCCATTGGAACATTCAACATACTTCAAAAGGAATTCCCGTTCCTCTTCTACACCCGGATTAGTTTCCTTGCTGGCAGCCTTCTTCTTGTCATTGCCACAGCCCTTTTCCCATGTTCTCAGACCCCAGTCACCTTTGACACACCCTCTACTTCACCACCAGAGACAGGTGGCAAACTAGCCTATATTTACTAAATGCTTACCATATGGTAGGCACTGGTTTACCCTTTTTATAGCTTTTTTGGGGTTTAGTTGATATATACAAACTGCACATAGGCACGCACCCACAATATCATAATCAAGGTAATAAACGTATCTATCAGCTCCAAAAGTTTTTTCTATATGTTTGCCCATTTTTAATTTCTTTATTATTGAGTTTTGTAAGCATTCTTTATATATTCTAGACTTCTTATCAGATGTATGGTTTGCAAATATTTTCTCCCACTCCATGGGCAGTCTTTGCACTTTCTGGATGGTATTATTTCAGGAAAAACAAAGTTAGTTTTGATAAAGTTCAACTTTTCAATCTTGTTTCACCTATGCTTTTGGTGTCATACCTAAGAAACTCTTGCCAACCCCTATCTCCCAAGATTTGCTGTCATTTTTTTCTAAGAGTTTTATAGTTTTATCTCTTATATTTACATCTATGACCATTTTGTGTAAATATTTGTGTATGGTGTGATGAGGGATCCAACTTTATTATTTTGCATCTAGATATCCACTTGTCTCAGCACCCATTTGTTGAAGAGACTATTCTCTCTCCCATTACATGGTCTTAGCACCCTTGTCAAGAATCAGTTGATCATAAATTTAAGTGTAAATATTTTCCCCCATGTAAAAGGATAGAGGGAGCTAAAGTTGGGTATTTTCATTCCACCATGTAGAAAGCTAAAGCAGGCTAGAGTTGAATGTTCCCCTTCTCCCAGGTAGGTTAGTGTCAGTCCATTTTGTGCAGCTATAACAGTATACCTGAGACTGGGTAACTTATAATGAATAGAAACTTATTGGCTCCTGGTTCTGGAGGCTAGTAAGTCTAATGTCAAGGTGCTGGCCTCTGGTGAGGGGCTTCATGCTGCATTATAACATGGCAGAAGGTATCACACAGCAGAATGAACAAAGAGAGGATGAAAAGAACAAGAGCCCAGTCCCATGATAACAAACCCCCTCTCATGATAATGACGTGCTAAGAGCATTTGCCTATTCACCAGAGCAGAGCCTTCACGACCTAAACACCTCTTCAGGGTCCCACCTCCCCATACTGTCGCAATGGCAAATACATTTTAACATGAGTTTCAGAGAAGACAAACATTCAAACCACAGCAGTTAGGCTATCACAAAACTCCAGCAGGTTAGGCTCTGGTAAAATAGTTTCTCTTTCAGGCAGACCTTGTTAAGAAAAACAGAATAATCTGGCATATTTCAAAATGATTCCTTTTCACCTCTTCTCTCCTCCCTCCCAGAGGCAGGAGGAGATTTTTCTCTGATATTTACTGTGAGGATCTGGTAGAGGTCCTGGGGGTAAAATGTACACAGGTGTAGAAGCTCTCTGACTGGGTCTTCCTGGAGTGTTTAATTCTCAGACTTGTCCACAATTCACCAATTTACAGTTCAGGTTTTCCTATCCTAGCACTGGTTCCCAGGGTTTCTGCTCTGGTAAAGTTGTGATTCTCTGTATCCACCTGTCTGTCTCTCCAATTTTGGGGGAAGCAGTTTGCCCTGCCATGTCACTTCTCTAAAAGAGCTGAGAAGAGTTTATTTTTCCATTTTTTCAGCTTTTTACTTGTTGTTAGGATACAGTGGGGACTTCTAAGCTCCTTAAAAGCCAGACCAGAAAATGAAAGTCGAACTCTTCATTTTTATTATTGTACTTTTTAGTTTTAGAAGGATCATTTGGAACCTCTTTATAATGTATAAGTCTTTATTGATAGTTTCTATTTGATGAGACATTGTCATTATAACCTTCCTTTAATGCTTTAGACATGGCTAACTTTAGTGCTTTGAATATATTTATAATGATGTCTTTGAAGTCATTACCAGATAAGTCCAATATCTGGGCCCCTTCTAAAGTCTGTTGCTTTGTTTTCTCTTGTGCACGAGTTATTACCCTTTCCTGTATCTTTGTATGTCTCATAATTTCTTATTAAAAACTTATCATTTTAGACAAAGCATCTAGTAACTCTGTATATAACCCAGGAGTAGATGTCATTGTAATTTGCTTCGTTGTTTATTTATTCAATTGGTAACCTAGTTAAACTAATTTGCAGAGTCTACAAAATCTATTTCTCCTGCAGTGTTCAGCCTTTAATGCTCATGATCTTGATCTTTTTTTTTTTTTTCTTTTCTCTTCTTGTTTTTCTCTTTTAGCCTGGCTACCCAGGGGTTGCTTCTGGGTCATCATAAGCCACTTATTCATCAGAGATTGGATTTAAACCTCCTTGGTTGATTAGATTCCTTGATATATGTGGCATGGAGGCTGCAATCACAATTCAGGGAGTTTACGTTTTGACCCACATACTGGTAGCTTGGATTTTCTTCTCTGTGGTAACTCCTGAGAGAGCACAGCCTTAGGTATGCACATAGTCTTCCAGATTACCAGGGATGTGCATGATTTTATTTTTAATCCTGGCTTCCTAGTAGTTGCCTCTGAGTCAGAGTAGTTTATTGTTCAAGCAGTATTTGTTCAGAGGTTGGCCCTAAGCCCCTAGTGCTGGTGGGGCTTCAGCTGTTTGCTGATGGATCTGTGTTCTGGTTGGCAAATGATTTTCAGTCTTCCTGTTCCTGAGCAGGTTCAGCCTGGGGCTTGCACACAAACTTCTAGATGACCCAGAGATAAGTGTGATCCAAGGAGGGCTCTTCTTGGCAATCTTTTTCCCTGATTCTTCCTGTTAAATTTCTGGTTGTTCTGCCATTTTGCTTGTTGCTACTAGTATTATGGAGCTATGAGCATACTCTTTAATTTTCTCCACCAAGATCTCTGTTGTTTCAGACAACATCATTGAGCTGGAATTCTTTATCCTCTCTTCTAAATAAGGTCAGTCCCTTAAATACAGCTGGGGAGGTTTTCATCCTGCCTTTCCTCCGAACAGAACTTCTGCACCACTGCACAGAAGCTGGAGGTGGAGACAGAAGCCCACTTCTAGAATGACACCCTGCTCTACAGGTAGACGTGGGCTGGGGGGAAGGAGGTGGCAGCCCCCTGGAGCTCCTGGTCTTCCTAGCTTGTGCATTCTGGTATGGAACTTCCACTCTGACAGCAAGTTGGAGAAGGGGCAACTGGAGCCCCGTGTTCTTGGGACTCATGCACCTGGAGTTGAAATTTCACCCTATGAGTAGAGGCAAAGTAGAAGAAGGGAGTCACAATTGTCTCTCTCAATCACCTCCACTAGGCATAGAGCTTTTGCATTCCTAGTGGAGGAAGGAGAAGGTGTGAAATGTGGGTGGCCTGCCCTTCCTGGGGTGATACCAAGGACCTATGTATGCTAGGACCTGCAGGGACAGGGAGCCCACTTCTTGACCACAGCCACCAGAGCAGATAACCTTGAGAAGTTTCCATAAGACAGTGCTGACGGTGGGTAGGGGGAACAAGTCACGGCTCCAATGCCACAGACTCCTGCTGTTCTGAAGGATATTTAGTAGATTTTCTTGAAAGAATGTTTTTCCATTTGCATATTTCCTTAGGACAGTTTGTAAAAAAAAATTTAAATAATTATAATTTTCTCCAGTCAAATAGTTGTTTTGCTAGGGAAAGAAAATGTTGCACTCAACACTTTGCCATTCTGGAAGGAAGCCTCAATCCACACATTTTTTAAAAACTTCAAGTAGTTGCCAACATACAAATCCAGATTTCTTGTCTCTCTGACAAAGCAAATATTTATCTCACTGCAACCACTTTTCCAGCAGATAGCCCCTGCTCTGTCCAGGGCCAGGGTTGCTGCAGTTACTCACAGCGTAGCTCACTGTTCACCCGTTCACCATCGCCCTCACCCAAAATGCTCACAACATGTATGTTGGCAGGCATTTGAATTGCACCCTCTGAAACTGCAAGGGAATTTTAGGCAAAAGCCAAAATGCAGGTGAATGCCAGGGACACAAAAAAGCACACACTCCTTGGAGAACTGCCCTGCTTAGTAGTAGTGCCAAGAGATATGAGGACGGACAGACCAGAGGGGCTGGACATTGGAAGCTAGGAAGACTGGACTTCATCCTAGAGGGACTAAAGGGTTTTAAGCAAAGGATTGGTATGACCAAATTAACATTTTAAAGAAACCATTCAGGCTGCCATGAGGACAACAGAAGGTAATCAGCCACATGTGGACGCCATAATACAGGTGGGAGGGTGTGAAGACCTCACCTAAGGCCAACCCTGGAGAAAGAAAGAAGCGAAAGGAAGATACTTTCAATCTGATTTCCTCATCTCATTCATTATTCAAATGTGGTGGGCAGGTGGAAGTTGAAGGGGCAATACTAGACCACAAAAAAATTCTCAGATTCTAGCAATACCCGCACACAAATCACTTGGGGATCTTGTTAAAGTGCAGCCTCTCATCAGTAGGTCTGAGCGGGGTCTGAGATCCTGAATTTCTTCCAGGCTCCCAAGTGATACCAATGCTGTAAGAGGGTGGTACAGTAAGAGTAGGAGCAGAGTCTCCAGAAAGACCTGTGTTCACTCGAGTCACAGCTGTCACTTTCTATCTGCATGATCTTTTTGTGCTTCTCTTCCTTTCCTTATTTATAAGACGGTGAGGGTGGTGGTTAGTAGCAGTAGTATTGGTAGTAATAGTAGGAGGAGAAGGAGTAATCCTCACATCATAGTATTATTATGAGGTTCAAATGTGGTAATGTGCATAAGGGCTCAGAGTAAAAGAAGCTCCATAAAGGTTATCTGCTATTCTTACCACTTTGCTGGTTATTTTTGTTCTTGTTGTCATTATTACGTAGACAATGGCAACATTCACTGAGCTAGGAGCAATAAGAGGAGAAAAAGAAGTGGATCAGCTTAGGTTTGGCCATGTGGAGTCTGAGATGCCTCTGAGTCACCCCATGGAATTCCCTGGTAGGTCACTACATATATGGCCCTGGAGCCTCAGAAGAACAGTCTGGATTACAGTCCTGTGGATTCGGGAGTCACTGCCATGTAAGTGGCGAATTCGTAAGTGGATAAAATCACCTTAACTACCAGCAGAAACGAGCCTTGGACTAAAGCCTGAGGATGATGAATATTTAAAGCACAGGCAGAGGAGCCTGGCAGAGATGAACTTTAAATTCTTTAAAGCCTAGTGGCAGTTCTTAATGTCTGGTACGGGATGGTTATACAATAAATCTGTATTTAATTGTGAGTAAGAATAGGTGATTATGTTAAATGGAAGACTGATTAAAATTCTGCTGAACTTCTCTTTCCTCTAATCCACATAATCACATCAGTGACTTCAGATTTTCTCTCCTCTGCCCTGTTTCCTGTGCATCTTTTGCATATTCTTGGCTATATTTGAAATGCTTTCACGACACTTCTCTTATCCGTACCCACATTTTCTTACCCACCGTATATCAATCAAAAGAGGTAGGAAATGTGCCTCCCGTGGTTCCAAAAGAATAATCTCTCCCTCCTCCCTGCATCACCAGTACCTGGCCTGGAATGTGTAGACCAGCACTGTCCAGTAGAATTTTCTGCAATGACGAAATGTTTTATATCTATCCTATACATAACGATAGCTACTAGCCACATGTGCCTATCAAGCACTTATAATACGGCTAATGTAACCAAAACCTAAATGCTTAATTGAATTTTAATTAATTTACATTTAAGTAGCCATATGTGACTAGTAGCTATCATATTGAACATTGCAGCAGAAGATACTGAAAAAGTATTTGTTGGTTGGATGACATCTAGAGGAACAGATCTCTAGCCACTCCTCCCAGCAGAGAATCACAGTGTACCACCTCAAGCAAATAATTTTAATTAATTTACATTTAAGTAGCCATGTGTGACTAGTAGCTATCATACTGAACGGTGCAGCAGAAGATACTGAAAAAGTGTTTGTTGGTTGGATGACATCTAGAGGAACAGATCTCTAGCCACTCCTCCCAGCAGAGAATCACAGTGTACCACCTCAAGCAAATAATTTTAATTAATTTACATTTAAGTAGCCATGTGTGACTAGTAGCTATCATACTGAACGGTGCAGCAGAAGATACTGAAAAAGTGTTTGTTGGTTGGATGACATCTAGAGGAACAGATCTCTAGCCACTCCTCCCAGCAGAGAATCACAGTGTACCACCTCAAGCAAATAATTTTAATTAATTTACATTTAAGTAGCCATGTGTGACTAGTAGCTATCATATTGAACAGTGCAGCAGAAGATACTGAAAAAGTGTTTGTTGGTTGGATGACATCTAGAGGAACAGATCTCTAGCCACTCCTCCCGGCAGAGAATCACAGTGTACCACCTCAAGCAAATAATTTTAATTAATTTACATTTAAGTAGCCATGTGTGACTAGTAGCTATCATATTGAACAGTGCAGCAGAAGATACTGAAAAAGTGTTTGTTGGTTGGATGACATCTAGAGGAACAGATCTCTAGCCACTCCTCCCGGTGGAGAATCACAGTGTACCATCTCAAGCAATGGGAGAGAACAATGGCTTAAGGACATAAGGTAAGTTCTATGTGCTACAGCTGGAAAGATAAACTTTATTCATATCACAATTTTGCCTGAAACTACTGTCGTGTGGAACACATAAACTAATTTGTATACATGCAAACAGGCTTTAACCAATCACAAAATATGTATTCTTACATTGGGATTTTCTAAGGCAAATTATGCCAGCCACATAATTTCCCTTAGAAAATCCCAATGTGAGAATATATATTACATTGGGAGGGCCAGCTTTATGGTATGCAACCTGTGCAGTCACACAGGACCCCACACATAGGTCTCCCCTATTGATTTCATTCATTACTTTTATCATCCTGAAATTCTTAATTATTTTTTAATGAAGGTCCCTCATTTTCATTTTGCACTGGGCTCTGCAAATTGTGCAGGTGGTCCTGTTCACAGCAGGACTAATTAGCCTGGCCAACATGGCATGATGAAGTGAGATTTATTTCAGGGATGCGATGCAAAGATAGTCCAACATACACAAATCTCTATATGTAATAAACCACATTAACAGAATGAAGGACAAAAACTATATGATCATCTCAATAGATGCGAAAAATCACTTAACAAAAACTCAACATTTTTTCATGATAAAAAATCTCAACTAATTAGGTATAGAAGAATTGTACCTTCAATACAATAAAGGTCATATGACAAACCCACAGCTAACATCATACTCAATGAGGAAAAATTGAGAGCTTTTCCTCTAAGGTCAGGAACAAGACAAGAATGCTCGCTCTCACATTTGTATTCAACATGCTTCTAGAAGTCCTAGCGAGAGCAATCAGGCAAGAGAAAGAAATAAAAGGCATCAAAATTGGGAAAGAAGTGTAGATTGTCCCTGTTTGCAGATGACATGATCTATATATATAAAGCCCTAAAGAACCCACTACAAATGGTTAAAACTAATAAACAAATTCAGTAAAGTTGCAAAATCAACATACAAAAATCAGTAGCCTTACTATACACTGACAGCAAACTGTCGAAAAAGGAAATCAAGCAATTCTATATATGATAGCTATACAAACACTTAATACTTATGAATACATTTAACCAAGGAGGTGAAAGATATCTACATAGAAAACTTTAAAATACTGGTGAATGAAATTAAAGAAACACAAATAAATGAAAAATCATCTCAGGCCGGGGGCGGTGGCTCACGCTTGTAATCCCAGCACTTTGGGAGGCCGAGGCAGGCAGATCACAAGGTCAGGAGATAGAGACCATGGTGAAACCCCGTCTCTACTAAAAATACAAAAAATTAGCTGGGCGTGGTGGTGGGCGCCTGTAGTCCCAGCTACTCGGAGAGGCTGAGGCAGGAGAATGGCATGAACCCAGGAGGTGGAGCTTGCAGTGAGCCGAGATTGCTGGGCGACAGAGAGAGACTCCGTCTCAAAAAAAAAAAAAAAAGAAAAGAAAAATCATCTCAGGTTCAGGGGTTGGAAGAATTAATACTGTTAAAATGTTCATGCCTCCCATAGTGATCTACAGATTGAATTCAATCCCTAACAAAATTCTAAAGACCTTTTTTTACAGATAGAAAAAACAACTCTAAAAGTTCTAAATGGAACCATAAATTATCCTGAATAGCCAAAGCAATCTTTAGCCAAAAGAAGAAAGCTGGAGACATTACACTACATGACTTCAAAATATACTATATTAAGCTATGGTAATCAAAACAGCATGATACTGCCATAAAAACAGACATAGAGTAGTGGAACAGAATATAGAACACAGATATAAATCCACACATTTATAAGCAACTGATTTTCAACAAAGATGTCAAGAAAACGCAATGGAAAGAGGACTGCCTCTTCAATAAATGGTTTTGGGAAAACGGAATACCCACGTTTAAAAAGAGTAATACTGAACCCTATCTCACACCATATACAAAATCAACTGAAACTAGATTAAAGACTTAAATATAAAACCCAGAACTGTAAAACTCCTATAAAGAAAATAGAGAAAATTTTCCAGGACATTGGTTTGGGCAATGACTTTTTGGATAAGACCCCAAAGCCACAGGCAACAAAAACAAAAATAGACAAATAGCATTACATCAAACTAAAAATCTTCTACACAGCAAGGAAAAAAATCAAAAGAATGAAGAGACAACCTACAGAATGAGAGGAAATATTTGCAAACCATATATTTAATAAGAAGTTAATATCCAAAATATATAAGGAACAGAAACAACTCAATAACGAGAAAAATAAAAATCAGCAAATGACCTAAGCAAACATTTCTCAAAAGAAGACTATAAATGGCCAAGAGCTTTATGAAAAAAATGTTCCATATATTAACCATCAGGGAAAATGCAAATTAAACTCACATTGCACTATCATCTCACCCTTGTTAGAATGGCTACTATCAAAAAATAAAAGATAACAAGTATTGACGATAATGTGGAAAAAATAGAACCATTGCACAGTTAGTGGGAATGTAAATTAGTACACCCAATAAAGAAAACAGTATAGAGATTCCTCAAATACTAAAAATGGAACTACTGTATGATCTAGCAATCCTATACTGGGTATATCTCCACAGGAAATGAATTAGTATATTGAAGAGAGACTGCACTCCCATTTTCATTGGAGCATTATTCATAATAGTGGAATACTATTCCATAATAGATGGAATACTATTCAGCCACAAAAAAAGAAGGAAATTCTGTCTTTTGTGACAACATGGATAAATGTGGAGTACATTATGTTAAGTAAAATAAGCAAGGAACAGAAATACAAATACTACATGATCTCACTTACAGGTGGAATCTGAAAAAGTTGAATTCACAGAAAGAGAGTAGAATGAAAGGTGGTTACCAGGAGCCAGGGTGGGGGCTGGGCGAAGAGGGGTTAGAGAGATGTTGGTTAAAGGATACAAATTTCAGTTAGATAGGAGGAATAAGTTCAAGAGTTGTATTGTACGACATGGTGACTATTGTCAATAGCAATATGTGGTATTCTTGAAAATTGCTAAGAGACTAGATGTTAAGTATTCTCACTGAAAATAATTGTGAGGTAATGCATATGTTAATTTAGATATATATTAGCCATTCCACGATGTGTATACATTTCAAAACATCATATTGTACATGATAAGATATACAATTTTGCCAATTTAAATAAAATATTTTTAAAAACAGTCACATTTCCAATAGCATCAAAAAGACAAATACCTAGGAATAAATTTAACAAAAGACATAAACAAACTTATACTGTGAAAACTCAAAACATTGTTGAAAGAAATTAAAGACCTAAATAAATGGAAAGATTTCTCACAGCCGTGGATTGGAAGATCTAATTTTTAAATGAAGTCCTCCACAAATCTACAGATCTGCAGAGCTACAGAGTTAATGAAATCCCTGTCAAAATCCTGCTGGTTTCTTTGCAGAAATTGACAAACTAATCCTAAAACTCATATGGAAATTCAAGGTCCCAGAATAGACAAAACAGTCTTGAGAAAGAAGAAGAAAGTTGGAAGATTCACATTTTCAATTTCAAAATGTACTACAAAATTACAATTGTTAAGACAATGTGTTCCTGGCATAAGGATAGGCCTATACAGCAACGAAAGAGGATTGATATCCAGAAATAAACCCTTACATTTATCACCAATTGATTTCAATAAGGGTGGCAGGACAATCTGATGTGGAAAGAGTAGTCTATTCAACCAAGGTAGTAGGATAACTGAATAGCTACACATAAAATAATGAAGTTGGACCCTCCTTGTCACATTATGTACAAAAACTAAAATGGACCAAACACCTAAATTTAAGACTGAAACTATAAAATTCTTAGAAGAAAACATGGGTGTAAACCTTTGCGACCTTGTACCAAGCAAGGTCTCTTAGATATAACACCAAAAGTACAAGCAACCCAGGAGAAAATAGATAAATTGGACATCATTAAGATTTAAAACTCTTGTGTTTCAAAGACGACCATCAAGAAAGTGAACAGACAATCTACACAATGAAAGAAATCATTAACAAGTGATATTTCTGATAGGAATTTGTATCTAGGATATATAAAGTACTCTGCAACTCAATAATAAAAAAAAAAATAAGCCAATTTTTTTTTAAAAGAACGTCTCCAAATAGACATTTCTCCAAAGAAGACATACATATGGCCAATAGCACATGAAAAGATGTCCCACACTATTAGGCCTCAGGGAAATTTAAAACAAAATCACAATGAGATACCACTTCAGACCCACTAGGATGGCTATAGTTAAAAAGAAAAATAATAACAAATGTTAGTGAGTATGTGGAAAAATCAGAACTCTCATATACTGCTTGAGGGAATGTTAAATGATGGAGTCACTTTGGAAAACCACCTGGCAGTTCTTTGAAAGGCTAAATACAGAATTATCATATGGCCCAGCAATTCTACCCATCGGGTACACCTACAAGAAAAGAAGACATTTGTTCACACAAAAACTTATACATGAATGTTCACAGCAGTATTATTCATAATGGTCAAAAAGTGGGAACAATCCAAATGTTCATCACCTGATGAATGGATAAAGGAAATGCGGTAGGTATAATCCAGACAATGAAATATTATTTAACAATAAAAAGGAACGAAGTATTGATATGTGTTATAATGTGAATGATACTTGAAAACACTGTGATAAGTGAAAAATGTTAGTCACAAAAGACCCCATATTACCTGATTCAATTAATACAAAAGGTCCGGAACAGACAAATCCATAGGGATAAAAAGTAGATTAGTGGTGGTTGCCTATGGATGAGGAAGTTGTAGGAAAATGTGGAGGGCCTGCTAAAGCCGTTTCTTTTTAAAGTGATGAAAATGTTTTAAAATTGATTGTGGGAATAGTAAATAACTCTGTGAATATACTGAAAAACATTACATTGCACACTTTAAATGGATAAATTGCATGGTATGTGAATTACATCTCAACAAAGCTGTTTCTAAAAAAGTATTATGAAGGAGGGTGGGAGACACAGAATGAGAAAAAAAAAACAATAGCAAAGGGAAACAGATGGAGAGGGAGAGGGATTGCTCTTCAAATTAGATTTACCAGCAAAGAGGAATTCAAGTAGAGAATTTGAGCAAAGTCCTAGGAAAGGAGGTAGAGCTACTGGCTTTGGTGTGACTTGCGCAAGTCCCTTCTCAGCTTCAGTTTCCTCATCTGTAAAATTATCAGTTAGACCCACCATATCTCTGTTTCTCTGGATCAGAGTTGCAAAGGACCTCTGCTCCTCTGACATTTCTGTTCTTTCCCAAGGGTCTGTAAATATTTGGATCAGTTGGTTATCTTCTCTGAGCTGTCATTATAAAATAAATTGAAAACAACAACTTTGCTCAGCCTGAACCCCTTCCCCAACAATCCCCCACTCCCCCAGCCTTCAATGTTCACTGCTCCCAAAGCTCATCCTCAAATCAAACTGAGGACCCTAGAAGCCCAAGCCTGGTTCATCCCACCTGTAGTCTCGCGTGTCGGGGATGGTGCGATTGAGAGGCAGCTGGTTGCTGAGGTACGCGTTGTAACCAAACTTCCGGAAGAGGTCCTGGGCCGCCTTCTGCTGGGCCTCAGAAAGATCCTCGCCCCATTGCCTGAAAAGCTGTGAGTGTGGGAAGAGTTTCATTTGGGTTTTGTGCTTCTTTGTCTCATTCACCTTGGTTTCCATTGCCTTTAGAAGAGGGCGTACTTCATCTTTCGCCCTCTTCAGTGTGCTGTTCACATTTTCTTGTTGCCTCAGAGCTAATTTCATACTTTCTTCTGCAAATGAAGAGGACAGGGGTGGGAGAGAAAACATTTCAGCCCCTCCTTAGTTACCTGGGTATTCCTTTCCATCCTAATTTCCTCTAACGGTTTACCCACTACATCTTAAAACTTATAAGCTCTTGTCACAGAGGATGTAGTATGTCAGGGAACTTATCCAGCCATGCAAGGCTGTCCCAGCAAAGTATGTACTAGATACGTCTCTCCCTTTAGCCCCATCAAAACTCCTCCATCCCACATCTTCAAAGCTCCTCGAAGAACTGACTATGATCTGAGAAACAGATGGAAAATAAGCTAATGTTTTTCAGAATGAGGCCTGAGAACCACTTACATCAGAATCAATCAGTTGTGATTTTTTTTTTAATGTAGATACCCAGGCTAATCTCCAAATCCACTAAATCAGGATCTGAGAGTTGGGTGGAAATACAGACAGGAGAAATTACAAGAACCTGCTTTTTAATAAAACCAAGGAGTAATTCTTTTTACAGTAAAACTTAAGAAACACTTACTACACCATTAGTGCCTAACAAAGGCAAATCTAACCTAACCACTACCACCATCATCCACCTATGCCCTTGCTTCTCCTGTGCTTGATTTACGAGGAACTTTAAAATTGGAGATGTCCTAGTCTTGCAATTTCCAACTTGCGTGATCGTAAGAATGTCTTCAAAAGCAGGCCGGGCGTGGTGGCTCACGCCTGTAATCCCTGCACTTTGGGAGGCCGAGGTGGGCGGATCACAAGGTTAGGAGTTCAAGACCAGCCTGGCCAACATGGTGAAACCCTGTCTCTACTAAAAATACAAAAATTAGCTGGGTGTGGTGGTGCATGCCTGTAATCTCAGCTACTCGGGAGGCTGAGGCAGGAGAATTGCTTGAACCCGGGAGGTGGAGGTTGCAGTGAGCCGAGATTGTGCCACTGCACTCCAGCCTGGGCAACAGAGCGAGACTCCGTCTCAAAAAAAAAAAAAAAAAAAAGAATGTCTTCAAAAGCTTGTTAAAAATACAGAATCCCAGGCCTCCCCTGAAGATTCTGACTCAATTCTGGGGTAGAGCCTGAGAATCTATATTTTAAACAATTGGTCTATATAAATCTAATTGTCACATTAATTCGGGAAACACTGCCTTAACTCAAAAGAATGAACAGATAGTGATAGACCCAGGCAGAGGATGTTTTATGCAGAAGATGCCCTCCAGGATCCATGACGTCATCTATTATTTACCTCACCTTTCCACCCAGTAAGATTTGTGCTGGAGTATCTTAGCATATGCACCTTGAACTCCCTCAAGCTCAATCTGTGAACTCAGCAAAAAGAGAGAAAAAGTAACCATTTTAGTGTTTAGTGATGATGACATTCTTCAGCACTAAATCCCACCATGGTGATCAAGGCACTCTGACATAGGATCTACTTTGTTTCTACTAATCCTCCCTTAAGCCCACACTAAACTTCAACCAGACTGACAGGATCACGTGTAGCCTGTCCAGCATCTTTCTACAAGTTAGAAGAAGGCATCCTTTTTTTCTGAATGATTGCAACTCAGGGTCAGCAGCTTGGTGAGGGGACAGCCCCATCGTGTGAATTTTCTCCGGGTAGATGCATCTCGTGCCACAGCACATGGCTTGGCAAGCAGAACGTGTGTGCTGGATTTCAGATCCATATACAGCCCCCAAGAGGGAAGCAGGGGAGTCCTGTGACTGGGAGGAGAACATGTTTGTAAAGTGACGTAAGACTGGCCCAAAAAGAAGGAAAAGGAGAAAGAGAATCACCTCTTCAAGTGGTTAAGACAAAAAGAGGATAGTCGAAAAAACTTGGGCAAAAAGTAAATGGTAGGTCTCTCAAAGGAGGCTCATGTGAACACCATGCATACTTGTTCAGGTAGAAAAAAGAAGTGAGAGCATACTGTTTACAGTGTCCCAGATGGAACACTATGGTTATTCATACTTTTCTGTCCTAAGCATACAGGGGCCACAGGGTGGTACTGGGTTCTTCCTACCTCTGAGCTCCTCTGCGTTCTTCCTTGGGGGGATATCTGATTTTCTCTTTCACTCATGGCTATCAGTGGGAGCTGGTTTGGACCTGGCCATCCTAAAGTCAATTTGAGGAAATGCACAATCCGGTAGTATGAATACAGTGTCACTAGGTTATCCCCATAACTTATACTGAAACTTTCCAAGCCCCAAAACAGACACATCCATTGACATTCCCCTAGTGGGGCTTTTATGAACCCTGAGGGAGGTTCCAGAAAACTGGCTTAGAGTCATTGATCCCTCCCTCAATAGGGATATAATTATTATTGTTTGCATTTGCTCTTGGTAGCTTACATGATTCAACTAAGTATCCTTATTGACTTCTGATTTTTTTTTTTTTTTTTTTTTTTTTTTGAGACGGAGTCTCGCTCTGTCACCCGGGCTGGAGTGCAGTGGCACGATCTCAGCTCACTGCAACCTCCACCTCCCAGATTCACGCCATTCTCCTGCCTCAGCTTCCCGAGTAGCTGGGACTACAGGCGCCCGCCACCACGCCCAGCTAATTTTTTGTATTTTTCTAGAGACGGGGTTTCACCGTGTTAGCCAGGATGGTCTCGATCTCCTGACCTCGTGATCCACCCGCCTCGGCCTTCCAAAGTGCTAGGATTACAGGCGTGAGCCACCGCGCCCGGCCGACTTCTGATTTTTTTAAATCTTCCTGGAATCCTGGAGGCAATGAGCAAACAGGATGAAGGGTAATTAAACAGGCTTTTAGTTATAGGAAGCTCTGTGGAAAAAAAAAAAAAAAAAAAGCATTGGTGATCTAGAAACAGGGCCCAGAAGACTTTTTGAGGTTCAACTCAGGTGGTAGTGAGTCTCTGACATCACAACATTTCAGAGCGAATAAAATGTGGGAGCACCAAGAATAACAAGAAAGATCTTTGCAAAAAAGGAAAGAGGAGTAAACCAGATGGCTCTGGCTGGCTCCTCATGGCACATTGTGTCCTAGCTGATGGAAAGAATAGCAGGGCTTTGGGTAGAACTCCTGCCATTTTACGGCTTGAGGAGGCTGAGCCAGTGTGATGAGCCTTGGGGATGGGTGAGACAGTCCTGGTGTGGTCTGGGTGCTCTGCCAAATAGTGAGGGTGGTGCTGGGGTCACCACCCTAGGTACACAGGCATCCTCCTGGTGAAGCTGCACCAAGCATATTTGCATGGGCAATGTCCGACCCACCCAGGTAAGCCAGGGCTTGTGGAGCTGATGATCTTCCCTCTGTTTCATCCACTCTCTTGCCCCGTATCACTCTTCCCTTCATCCCTGTCTGCCTGTCTTTTTCTCTCTCTTTCCTAGACACACCCACTCATTTATTCATCTATGGAATTTCGATGTATGAATAGAAATGAGTAGTGAATGAGACGTTCATGGAAACAGCACTTATGAAACTTGCTTTCCATAAAACTGTACCATAATAAAATATGATGAGTCTTATGAAGGAGGACGTGGAAGGTGCTATGGGTGCCTTAGGACTCCTCCTCTCTCCTTTTATTCTCTCCTTCTCTCCCATCACACTTTCCCTTCTTTTCTTCTTGTCTCCATACAAACTCTTTCACTCTCTCTCCCTGGACTCCCTCACTTCTCTGCTCCTTTCCTGTCCCAGCTCTTTTCTCCTCTCTCATCTCCCTTCTCACTCTCCTCGCTCTTTCCCTGATTTCTTCTCTCCCTTCCTTTTTCTCTTCCTGCCTTTCCTTCCACCCATCTCCCAGCCTCACCCTGAACCCTGACAATGCTCAGTTCTCATTTTAAAAGACACTTTCCCCAACTCCAGCCCCATGTGCACACACCTGGGCAGTCACATCCCTGCCCACACATAAAACACCTCCCTATGGGGTTCCAGCATTTGATCCCTGTTACCTGGGAGCAGGGGGAAATTGCTGCTTCCCTTGCTGAAGTTGGATGCACAGGCACATAAAATTCAGAGGCATTAGACTTCCATGGTGAGCCGGAATCACAAACAAACCCCAGAATGTGTTGAAATCTTACCCTTAAGTTTAAATGAGGAGGTTAAAATTTGGCACAGAGCAGTTTATAGATCACCTTCTGCATCTACTTCACAACCCTATTAGGTCAGGTTGATAACTATCACTATTGTTATCATCATCTCCATTTACAGACCAGGAACCTGAGGCTGAGAGAGAGAAGCACTTGCTCAAAGTCACACAACCACAATGGCACATCAGGATTCGATCTTAGGTCCTCTAACAAAGCCCTCATTAGTTCATGAAAGGAGCACACCGCAAAATGGAAGCGAGGCCCTTGCCCCAGAGATTGCCACCTCTCTTCAACAGCCCCTACCACACATAGGCGTGGGGAAAGGAAAGAGAGATCAGATTGTTACTGTGTCTGTGTAGAAAGAACTAGACATAGGAGACTCCATTTTGTTCTGTACTAAGAAAAATTCTTCTGCCTTGAGATGCTGTTAATCTGTAACCGTACCCCCAACCCCGTGCTCCCTGAAACATGTGCTGTGTCGACTCAGGGTTAAATGGATTAAGGGCTATGCAAGATGTGCTTTGTTAAACAGATGCTTGAAGGCAGCATGCTCGTTAAGAGTCATCACCACTCCCTAATCTCAAGTACCCAGGGACACAAAACACTGCGGAAGGCCACAGGGACCTCTGCCTAGGAAAGCCAGGTATTGTCCAAGGTTTCTCCCCATGTGACCATCTGAAATATGGCCTCGTGGGAAGGGAAAGACCTGACTGTCCCCCAGCCCGACACCCGTAAAGGGTCTGTGCTGAGGAGGATTAGTAAAAGAGGAAGGAACGCCTTTCTGCAGTTGAGACAAGAGGAAGGCATCTGTCTCCTGCCCGTCCCTGGGCAATGGAATGTCTCGGTGTAAAACCCGATTGTATATTCCATCTACTGAGATAGGAGAAAACCGCCTTAGGGCTGGAGGTGGGACATGCGGGCAGCAATACTGCTGTTTAAGGCATTGAGATGTTTATGTGTATGCATATCTAAAGCACAGCACTTAATTCTTTACCTTGTCTATGATGCAGAGACCTTTGTTCACGTGTTTATCTGCTGACCTTCTCTCCACTATTATCCTATGACCCTGACACATCCCCCTCTCCGAGAAACACCCAAGAATGATCAATAAATACTAAGGGAACTCAGAGGCTGGCGGGATCCTCCGTATGCTGAACGCTGGTCCCCTGGGCCCCCTTATTTCTCTCTACATACTTTGTTTCTGTGTCTTTTTCTCTTCCAAAGTCTCTCGTTCCACCTAACGAGAAACACCCACAGGTGTGGAGGTGCAACCCACCCCTTCAATAGGCCTAAGGACAGGTCTATGGCCCTTGGGATTCTTATTCTTCTCGTTGCCTGCACATATGTAGATATAATGATAATGCATGTGCACAAGCCCACACACGCATACACACACACATGCTCACCTCCCCCATACTGCTTGCTCTAATTTCCACTTCTACTCACTTCATTCTCAATACCCATCTCCCATTTGAAGGCACAGAATTCAGTGTCAGATGCTTCAATGAGCGACTGAGATGAAAATGTGACCTCTCACCCATTTTTCCTTCCATATCCCTTTTTCCTAAGTGCCCCAAACACACACACCCACACACACACCTTCCAGGTTAGCATTGTAAACTTACTCAGATCCTGCAATTCCACCTCCAAGTGGGAGAGTCTCTTTATCACTGCCCCGTAGCGTTTATTCAGATGTAAAGGAAGCTCCCTGTGGAGACCACCCGTAAACAGGTTTTGTAAAGTCCCCTTGCTAGAAAATACCAGAAGGAGATTGACAGCAATGGCCAGAGTCAGCCCAATGAAGAGGGCTTTGGGGAGTTTCCTCCAAAACATCATCTTCTTCCTGGGGGTCGTCCACTCCCTGTGGGACTGAGTGTGTCACTGCTGGAGCAGGTTAAGAATCAGAACCAGCCTAGCTTTTGTGGGAAAGAGAGTTCTAGGTGCCAGTTGAGTTGGTCTCCCCTGTGTGAGACACCCATGGGAAGCCACGGGTGGCCTCTGAGGAGCAAAGTCTCCTTATTGCCTTCTTTGTCTTTATGCCCCGAGAGGATAACCGCTCAGCGGCTTTCCACAGGTTGCTCAGCGGCTTTCCACAGGTTGCTCAGGGAGATAACACTCCCTTGAAGCAGAGGAGTATAATCAAACATCTTGGCTCCTCCTGAAACCCACTCCCACCCATTTCAGTCATTAAAGATCTTAAGTAGTTTAGACACACGCCTTTGCTCAAGGAAATTCACAGAAACCGCCACTGTTACACATCTTATCGAATGACTCACTGATTAATCCTTTTCCTCATCCCTTCCTCCCCTTCCCATCTGCCCTAAGAACAAAGAGCTTGTAAACCAATAAATTGGGTGGAGCCCAGAGCTCTGGGCCGTGAGCAAGCCTCCAACGCTCTGGTCCCCTGGACCTGCCTTTTAAACGCTTGTTCTGTCTCTTTCTAACTCCTTTGTCTCCGCCGGACTCGGGGTATCCGCTGGGTGGTGTGGGGCTGGTTTCCCCAACAGCTTTCTCTCCACCCAGCTTCATAGATGACACCCTGCCTGCTAGGCCAGATGTTCTCCGGCCAAGAACACTATTATAGCTGCCTGGCTTCTCCCTGAGCAGCGTCAGGTGTGAGGAGTGCGCATGGCAGCTGCCCAGTGACAGGTAAGTCACCTGGACACACCTTGTACTGTCTCAGAAGTCAGAAGAATGCTTGCTCCTGCAGCTAGCTCAGGCTGCCTGGGTGAGAGGCTTTTCTCTATATATGTTTGTTTGATGTTTAATGTTCTCTCTCCCTGGAAAAACCACCTGGGAGACTCTGATAGGGCATGTGAGGTCTGGTCCTGTGGGTATAAGAAGGGGATAAATAGGATGAAGAAGAAATCACGAAGCAAGAAGTCTCTGTACACTTAGATCCTTGCTTTTTTGGAGAGCTGGGATCTAAGATGTCTTTTTACCTAACTCTACAGGGTTTTGGACATAGTAGGTGTGCAACAAATGCTTGTCCCACAAACTTAAGGACAGACTTTCTTGCTAGTTCCTAGGACTTCACTGCCTAGAAGCAGGTGGAGAAGAGCTGGAGGCGGTGCCCGGGGTTGAGCCTCAGGGGATGACTCCGATTCACTGGTCTCTGTCCTTTGCTTGTCCTCTGCACAACTTCATACACTGGGCTTCTGCCCTGCCCCAGCTTCCAGTAACTCCTTTGCCTCCACACCTCACACTTATAATATGTTTTGGACAAATCACCAGTGATCATCATTGTAGAATAAACACATAAAATTGTTCCCCAAGGCTAAAAGTTCAAAGTTCTCAGTCTACTGTCAATCCCGTCAAAATCACAGCTTCCACCCCGGCCTGGCTCTTTGGACTATTTACTACGTCCCAAACACAGCACATGGTGACATGTGCTGAGGCGGACATGTGGATTAAAGGAAAGTAATGTGGCTTTAGGAAAAACAGGATGAAAATGAACAAAATGAAAAGGAATCACTTCTTCTGTTTCGCAGGGATAGAAAATGTCTCCCAGCCTCCCACTTGCAAATTAGACTCAAAACATAAGAAACGCATGATCCAGCCAGGCGCAGTGGCTCACGCCTGTAATCCCAGCACTTTGGGAGGCCGAGGCAGGTGGATCACCTGAGGTCAGGAGTTCAAGACCAGCCTGGCCAACATGGTGAAACGCCATCTCTACTAAAAATAACAAAATTAGCTGGGCATGGTGGCAGGCACCTGTAATCCGAGCGACTTGGGAGGCAGAGGCAGGAAAATCGCTTGAACCCAGGAGGCGGAGGTTGCAGTGAGTCGAGATCGCGCCACTGCACTCCAGCCTGGGCAACAAGAACAAAACTCCATCTCAAACAACAACAACAACAACTACAAAAAACAAACAAACAAAAAAGCATAACCCTTCTGCTTCTGGGACAAGAAGAAATACCTACATTTATCTTCTCTATTCCTTCCCATCAAGGCAAGTAAAAAGTACACATGATATGTAAAACAAACCTAAGAAGACTCTGAAAGGTAGAGAGAACAGGGCAGGCTGACTAGAGATCTCCAGATATCCTAGCTATTGTAGGAAATAGATTCCAAGTTGCTGGATGCTGGAGCAGTCAACAACTTGGAAATGCAATGGGCAGAGACAATAGAAGCCCCAAGAAAAAGCTGCTTTCTCTAACCAAAGAAACAGGAAATGGGAAGCCTAGCAAGACAGAAGATGTTTAGACAACAACTGCCCTACTCCAGCCAAATGCCACTGAAAACCTTGCAGTGCCATGCCCACCACATCCACAGAGGCCTCGTGGGGAGCCTAGACTTCCAACCTCACCCCAGCTGTGAGGGTTTGCCCCTGCATCCCCCACCTTCCCCTCCAGGGTGTGTCAGTGAAGGTCTCTTGGGGAGCTGGCATTTTTGTCATTGTCCCCACATGATATCAGTAAAGGAACAGTGGCCCTCCCCTTTTCAGCCAGTGTGGTGTCAGCAGAGGGCTAGTGGGGAACCTGAACTCCCTCCCTCACCCATCAGTAATGAGGCAGCCCTCCCCACCAGGTGTCAGTGGAGGCCAAGCATGGAACCTGGGCTTCCTCTCCCACCTGGCAGCGATGAGATGAAATCTCCCTCTCCCCACCAGAACAGTGTATGAAAGGCCTGCTAAAACAGATTTACATAGGATCCAGAGTCTCAAAAAGTTATATTCAGAATGGCCAAGATGCAATAGAAAATCACTTGTCATATCAACAACCAGGAAAATCTCAACTTGGAAGAGCCTATCAACAGACAGCAACACCAGCCGGGCATGGTGGCTCATGCCTGCAATCACAGCACTTTGGGAGGCTGAGGCAGGAGGAGGATGGCTTGATTCCCAGGAGTTTGAGAGCAGCTTGGGCAACATACTGAGACCCTGTTTCTACTAAAAAATAAACTTTTTTTTAAATTGGCATGGCATGGTGGCTCACACCTGTAATCCCAGCACTTTGGGAGGCTGAGGCAGGCAGATCACTTGAGCCCAGGAGTTCAAGACCAGCCTGAGCAACACGGTAAAACCCCATCTCTACAAAAAATTTAAAAAAATCAGCCAGGCATGGTGGCACATGCCTGTGGCCCAAACTACCCAGGATGCTAAGGTGGGAGGATCACCTGAGCCCAGGAGGTTGAAGCTGCAGCGAGCCATGATCGTGCCATTGCACTCCAGCCTGGGTGACAGAGTGAGACTGTGTCTCAAAAAAAAAAAAAAATTAAAGCAGACACAAACACCAAGATGACACAGATGCTGGAATTGTCTGACAAGGATTTAAAAGCAGCCATAGTAACATTGCTTGAACGACTGATTATGAACATGCTTGAAACGAATGAAGAAACAGCAAGGAAATCAGATGTTTTAGCAAAGATATAGAAATCTCAGGAAAGAAATTGAAGACATAAAAAAGAAACAAATGGAAATTTTATAAGTGAAAAATACAATAAACAAAATTTAAAAATCACTGGGTAGGCCTCAACTGTAGAATAAGGACAGAGAAAAGAATCAGTGAACTTGAAGATGGAATAATAGAAAATGCTCAATCTGAAAAACAGAGAGAAAGTAGACTAAAAAAAAATTAAACCTCAAAGGCCGGTGAGATTACAACAACAGATCTAATATTCATGTCATCGGAGCCTTAGAAGGAAAAGACAAAATGTGGGGCTAAATAAGAATGTAAAGAAATAAGGGCTGGCTGGGCACGGTGGCTCAGGCCTGTGATCCCAACACTTTGGGAGGCTGAGGCAGGTGGATCACCTAAAGTCAGGAGTTCGAGACTGTGGGGCCACAGCCTGACCAACATGGTGAAACCCCATCTCTACTAAAATTACAAAAAATTAGCTGGCCGTGGTGGTGCACACCTGTAATCCCAGCTATGGGAGGCTGAAGCAGGGGAATCACTTGAACCCAGGAGGTGGAGGTTGCAATGAGCTGAGATCGCGCCACTGCACTCCAACCTGGGCAAGAAAATCAAAACTCTGTCTCAAAAAAAAAAAAAAAGAAAAGAAAAGAAAAAAGAAATTTCCAAAAGTTGGCAAAAGACACAAACCTACAGATTCAAGATGCTGAGCAAACCCCAAATAGGACAAACTCAAAGAAATTCATGATCATCTGATGCCCAGATGCATTATAATCAAACTTCTAAAAACTAAAGACAAATAAAAATTCTTAAAAGTAGCAAGAGAAAAATGACACTTATAGGGGAAAAACAATTCAAATGATAGAGTTCTCATCAGAAATCAAGAAGACCTGAAGAAAGTATCACAACTTTTCAAGTGCTGGAAGAAAAGAATGGTCAATCCTGAATCCTGTATCCAACAAAAATACCCTTCAGGAATGGAGAAGAAATCAAGACATCTTCAGATAAGAAAACTAGTAGAATTTGTTTCCAGCAGACTTACCTCAAAAGGATGACTACAGAAATTGTTCTAAGTAAAGAAATGACAAAAGAAAGAATCTTGGAACAAGAAAAACAAAAGAACAATGTTAAAATCTGAGTAAATACAAAAGACTTTCCTTTTCCTCTTGAGTTTTCTAAATTACGTTTGGCAACCAAAAATCATAACATTGTCTGCTGTGGTCTGAAAATATATGGAAGAGATATTTAAGACAATTATACTATATATGGGGGAGGGCAAATTAGGGACTTAAATAAGGTAACGTTTCTTCATTTCACGTGGACTGGTAAAATGGTAACACCAGTAGACTGTGTTAAGTTATGTATATACAATGGTGATTACATAGTTCTAAAGTATCTTGAGTGACAGTGTTTGCATGTCTACATGTAATATCTACATGTGATAAAATTGCATAGAACTATATACACACAGTATCAATGTCAATTTTCTGCTTTTGCTATTGCACTATAGTTACATAACTACATATATAATATAGGAGTGTCATCAGCTTCTTTGCTATTTCACTATAGTTACAAATGCAGTTAGATATCTTCGTTCTGGGAATACTAGGTGCCCTCTCATTCATCCAATCACTGCTCAGTTATATAGTTATATATACAGTTATATAAATATAATCGTAGTCATCGGGAAAAACTGGGTGTAAGAGGTATACAGAACTGCTCTGTACAATTCTTGCAAATTTTGTGAATCTGTAATTATTTCCAAATTGTTTTCTTTTAAAACAAAAAGATTCCTACCCTGTATAAAGTGACTGCTGAACTAGATCACTTTCTAAAATTACAAAGTCTTTATTAAAAACACCACAAAAATCGTGGCTACCTCTAGAGTCGGCAGGCATTGGAGGACTGAGGGCTAGAGGTGGGAGGAGACTGCTTTCACTGTGTAATTTTTTAAATATATTCTACATTTTGTGTCTTATTACATGAATTATCCATTAAAAATAAATAAAATAATTTGATCAAACATTGCACCATAATCGGTGCCAGTTTACTGCTGTCTAGAATAGGTCAAAGTTCACTCAGCTAGAGAGGCCAGCAAATACTCCTCTGCAGTCTCGCGTGCACTTGCCCTTCTCCACTAAGACGCTGACGAGACCCCTCTTTCTGGGAACACTGGGTGCCCTCTCATGCATCCAATCACTGATCAGAACACTGGGGCAGTGTTCTTCCAGTGTTTACTTCATAAAATTCACCTGGGTAGCTTGGTAAAAATGCAGATGTCCAGGTTCTAAGCCAAAAGATCCTATTCTGTAGGTCATTAGGAGACCCGGACGCCTGCACTTTTAACAAATCCCTTAAATGAACAGGTTTACACTCTGACCCGAGGGCGCCCGCAAATCCATGGGAGAGGGGCTGATTTACAGTTAGAGTCAATGTGCTTACCACCCTGTAGGAGGCCCCAACTTGCACCAAGGGTCATGAAAGGGCAAGTGACCAATCTGCCTAGGGATGTGGCATCTTGAAAGATTTAGCGTGTGCATGTGTGTGTATGTGTGTGTGTGTCAGTTCCTCCAGCAAAGGGAGCATGTGTAAGGAAGGTTATGGGGACAAGAAAGTAGAAATTTTTTTTTATTATTTTAAAAATAGTAGGGGCCAGGCACGGTGGTTCACACCTGTAATCCCAGCACTTTGGGAGGCTGAGGCGGGCGGATCACAAGGTCAGGAGACTGAGACCATACTGGCTAACACGGTGATACCCCATTTCTACTAAAAATACAAAAAATTAGCCAGGCATAGGGGCACATGCCTGTTGTCCCAGCTACTCAGGAGGCTGAGGCAGGAGAATTGCTTGGACCTGAGAGGCAGAGGTTGCAGTGAGCCAAGATCGCACCATTGCACTCCAGCCTGGGCAACAGAGCAAGACTCCGTCTCCAAAAAAAAAATAAAAAACAGAAAATAGGGCTGAGATCTCACTTTATTGCCCAGGCTGGTCTCAAGCTCCTGAGCTCAAGCAATCTGCCTGCCTCAACCTCCCAAATAGCTGGGATTACAGGCATGAGCTACCACTCCCGGCCACAAATTATTTTAATGAAGATCAAATGGATAAAAGCAGTCAGAACGTGGAGGCGGAGGCGGGGACTGTGATAAGATGATAAGAGCTGTCTACCTCATTTTCGTTTATAATAGCAAATAATAATAAGCTGACCTAAAGTTTCCAACCGCAAGTGAATAGTTAAATAACTAACAGTGCATAATAGTTAAGTAAATTATGCCATCTCCACTCCACAGAATATTAGAATATTATGGACAGCAAGGAGATACTGTTGGAAAAAGTATAGATTTTAGAGCGAGGTAATAATTCTATTACTTACTAGCCAGGTAAACTAAGGCAAGTTATTTCATGTCTCTGAACCTAATTTACCTGATGTGCAATATGGGGATAAATAATACTCTTCTTTGAAGAGCTGTTATGGGATATGGGATAACGTTTGTAACTTGTCTGGCATATTCAATAAACATTAGGTAATTTTCTAAAATTACAAAGTCTTTATTAAAAACACACACGAAGTCAGGCAAGATGGTTCATGCCTGTAATCCCTGCACTTTGAGAGGCTGAGATAGGTGGATCCCTTGAGCTCACGAGTTCGAGACTAGCCTAGACAACATGACAAAAACCCATCTCTAAAAAAAAAAAATACAAAAATGAGCTGGGTGGGAGGAGGTGGAGGGCACCTGTAGTCCCAGCTACTTGGGAGGCTGAGGTGGGAAGATGGCTTGAGCCCAGGAGGTAGACGTTGTGGTGAGCTGAGATTAAACCACTGCACTCCAGCCTGGAGCCAGACGTTGTCTCAAAACACACACACACACACACACACACACACACACACACACACGCATGCAAACACAAAGACAGTGGTTACCTCTAGAGTTGGCGGGGATTGGAGAACTGAGAGATAGAGGTAGGAGGAGACTAATTTTCACTGTGCAATATCACTGATTTTCACTGTGCACTCATTGCTGTGGTTTTTGTTTTAAAATTTTGAAAGCCATATTGCAACATGGAAAACAGCTTATAATAAAATGCTAAGTGAACAAAAAAAGGCTAGAAAATTGTTGAGCTTTCCAAATGGGGACTTACAGGAGTCCTAAATAGTGTCACAGTGCCACTAACAGCCCAAATTTATTGTACCCTTACCACATCTGCTGACATAGGATTCCAAGCTTCTGCAAAGTCTCCTCAAGTACTTCTCAAGGTCCTCAGAGGGGTCTCTGAAGGGGCCCAGCAAGGCTCCAGGTAGCATCTTACAGCTTTCTTTCTCAAGTTCCTCAGCAGTCTTGCCTAAGTTGTCTCTCCACCAAACCCTGCAGCCGCTCACAGCCCATTCCTCTGTGGAATACCCAGGCCCCTACTGCCTCAGAGAATGGGCATCTTAGAAGTGCTCAAAACCATGAGACTGTCTATGACAAAGCTGGAAAAGCTCACCCTACTTTTCATGCTCCACGCAGTTGAGGGTGATAAGCGGCAAAGTCAATGTATCTTATAGTCCATTATCTTACAGTATGTAGTGAAAATGACTTTGAGTGTTTACCCACAGACAGCCATTTTGCTCCCTAGGACACAAACCCAACAAAGAATGGCAGAAATGTTAAGTCAGAGATCATCCAAATGTCACCTGCCACACCTAGTCAGAATCACTTTTCGCTCGGGGGATGAGGACATTGTATTTGACCACACTTGTCTGCCTGATTCCTTTCCTTAGCTTGTTTCTTTCCCAGGAGGCTCCCTAGGTCTTAGTAGACTCCTGGTTGCCTACCCTACCACCCTGCCAGTTGTGCCCATAGATGACTAAGCCCAAGCAATAAGCATAGCTTAGAAACCAGATGGAAACCTCACTCCCACTTCAATGCAAGACTGTGATTACAGCCATGTGTAAAAGAAAACCCAATGCCCAGATTCTTCAATACGAGGAACCAGTGTAACTTTGGAAACATGATTGATTCTAAAATCTGAAGCAGGCAAAATACAAGATGAACCCAAAGCATTTCATAGTACCAGAAAGTAAGGAAAAGCTCAAAAAGCTAAGAGGTGGTGTTGGGGGAAGAGAGACGAAAAAGGAAAGAAAACTAAAACAAGAAAACCAAACAGAAATACAATTTCTAAAAAGACTAGAAGGAAATATGTTGAAATTGCAAGAATGGTCGTCTTATGGTAGTTAGACTATAGGCAATTAATTTTCTTTTTCTATTTTTTATTATTCTGACATGGTCCTATCAGCTTTATAACGGAAACCATTTATAAATTAGTGATATTTTAAAGTAGAATCACTATTCGTGGTAGCCATTTGAAAACAGACAGAGGGGAAAGAAGTGATGAAGGAGGAACCGAAGGTCCAGCTTTTGCACCTGTGTGCTTGGTAGTGCCCATAACAGAGGGAGAGAACAAAGGGGAAGAAGAGAGACGAGAGGAAACACCTAGGTCAACTAGGCACATGTTTCATCGGAAGGCCTCTGAAGATCAGATGTGTCCTGTAAGCAAATGGAAATTTGAGTCTCAAGCACTGGAAAGACATCAAGGACAGGGTAGAAAATTTCCTCAGAGGAAATGAATATAGTTGTGAGAGTAGAAGTGTACTGGAATTAAACATAACAATGGAACATTCAATAACAATGGAAAATTTTATGTTTATGTTGTCTTAAATCCTATTAGGGAAAAAATGGTGATTCGACCATTAATAATGCCTTTCTTTTCTCTCCCTTGCCGCAAAAGCCTCTAGTCAGACAGGAGACGTTTCAGAAAGGATTATTTTTGTTGATCATTATTCTGACCTTTTGTGGGAGAAACTCCTCCTTCATATTTCATCACTAAAATTTCTGCACATTCTATTCTTATTTGGGAATAAGATGTTCTCAAGACATTAAGCTGTATTCTTACTAAATCAGTTATAAATATCTGTACAGAGCCGGGTGTGATGGCAGTCACCCATAGTCCCACCTACTTAGGAAGCTGAGGTAGAAGGAGTTCAAGACCAACCTAGGCAAAATAGCAAGACCCCATCTCTAAAAAATAAAAATTTAAAAAAGACAAGTAATTGTGCAACTTGAGAAGATTCATTCATTTTACAACGAGTAAGATTGATAATGATCGCTAAAAAAAAGCTTATTTATAGATTGTGAGCATGTGATGGAGGGGAAAAAAAGAAATAAATATTTTGTAAGCATCTTGTAAGGGCCATCCAGTGTTAGGTATATCGCACATGTGATTTCATTTGATCTTCATGATCGCCCTGTGATGCAGGAATTATTATTTCATTCCATAGGTAAGGAAACTGAGGACAAGAAGGTTCAATAATATTCACTCTAGATCAGATTGCATCCTTATCTTTTTAGTGTTTTAGGTCATATTTCTTGGGGCTTAGTACAGACAGCCTGTATGTCGTTTTCCTTTTTCATATAAATCCACTTCCTAGTGTCCTTCCTGATCACCTGGGTTGGTTGTCTATATATTTATCATTGTGCTGCTCTATATATGACACAGATGTAAGTGTTTTGACCCCAACTGCTCATCCAGGAGGGGAAAAAGAGATAATATGACCCAGGAAGAAATCATAAGTAAGTTTCCTGAGTAAAAAAGCTTTCAGGCATAACTCAATTTAAACATGGTCTTTTCCACAAAAATCAAGAGGCTTTGACAAATCTCTCCAACCATACCAACAGAGGAAAAATAATCATACCGCAGAATTGGACAGCATGATAATACATAATGCAGCTGCATGTAAAGTATAAAGAGGAAGAACCAATGGTGTAGTCAATATTGTTGCTAAATATTTAACTTTGAGCAATGGCAGAGTGACAGAATTCTTTGTAATTAATGAATCATCCCACAGTACTGATTTTTGAAAAAGGGAATTGACCCAAGGAAAAAGATTATCCTGGAAAACAGGCCAATATAGATTGCAGAACAAGGCAACAGAAGATAACTGGGACCAGAACTAAAATATGGGGTCTGGATTATTTGTCTTGCTGTTGCTGTTGCTGTTGTTGTTGTTTACCATGCCTGCTTATGGGTTTCATTAATGACCTAGCAAGGAAGACTTGGCCACTAGCATCAGAACTACTTTAGAGTAGATACAATTTTTATACAGCCCATACGTGTCCATGTAATTCACTTTCATAAGCCTCAGTTCTTCATATGTTATCTGATGGATAATGATTTGAAGCACTGCCTTACCTACCAGCTGCCACCTGCCAGCCAACAGCCCAGTTTCCATTTCATTGAGGCATTCTAGTGAGACGTTAAATAATTCAAGGTAGAACTAATCAGTTTATACAAAAATTGGAAGAAGCACTTAGGGAAAGATACTTTGGAATTTCAGGCAAGTAAAGGAAAAGTGTTTCTATTCTGTTCCATTTACCTATTTGTCTCTTCTTTTGTCAATACCACACTGCCTTGATCATTGTAGCTTTATAAGAAGTCTGAAGGCCAGGCATGGTGGCTCACGCCTATAATTCCAGCACTTTGGGAGGCTGAGGTGGGTGGATCACTTAAGGTCAGGAGTTCAAGCCCAGCCTGGCCAACATGGAGAAACCCTGTCTCTACTTAAAAAAATACAAAAAAATTTAGCTGGGTGTGGTTGCACATACTTGTAATCCCAGTTACTGGGGAGGCTGATGCAAGAGAATTGCTTGAACTTGTGGGGCGGAGGCTGCAGTGAGCTGAGATTGCACCATTGCACTCCAGCCTGGGCGACAGGGCAAGACTCCGTCTCAAAAAAAAAAAAAAAAAAAAAAAACGGAGTCTGGAATTCAGGTAGTCTGAGCCCTTCCATTTTTTTTTCTCCTTAAGTATTGTGTTAGCTAGTCTGGATCTTTTGCTTCTCCATATAAACTTTAGAATTAATTTCTCGATATTCACAAAATAAATTGCTGGGATTTTTATTGGGATTGCATTAAATCTATAGATCAAGTTGGAAAGAATGCAAATCTTGACAGTACTGAATCTTCCTATCCATTAACTTAAAATATCTCTCCATTTGTTTAGTTGTTCTTTGATTTGTCTCATCAGAGGTTGTAGTTTCCCTCACATAAATCTTGTATGTATTTCACTGGATTTATACCTAAGTATTTCTTTCTTGGGGTATGATAACATAAATGGTGTTATGATTTCAAATTCCAATTGTTCATTGCTGATATATAGGAAAGTGGTTGAGTTTTGTATATTAACCTTGTATCCTACAAACTTGCTATAATCATTTTTTTAAATTCTATTTTATTATTTTTAAGAGTACTGTAAAAGTCCAATTGGATTAGAGAACGTTAGGGAAAAATTGTGTTTTTTGTTTGACTTTTTTTATTATTATTATTATACTTTAAGTTTTAGGGTACATGTGCACAATGTGCAGGTTAGTTACATATGTATACATGTGCCATGCTGGTGTGCTGCACCCATTAACTCGTCATTTAGCATTAGGGATATCTCCTAATGCTATCCGTCCCCCCTCCCCCCTCCCCCCTCCCCCTCCCCCCACCCCACAACAGTCCCCAGACTGTATAATCACTTCTTAGTTCCAAGAGGTTTCTGTTGGTTCTTTGGGATTTTTCTACAAAGACAGCTATACCATCTGTGAGCAAAGACAATTTTATTTCTCCTTTCCTGTGCTCCTTTTATTTCTTGCTCTTTTTTATTGCTTTACTTCCAGTACAAAGTTAAAAAGAAGTGGTGAGAGGAGACATCCTTTTCTTGTTTCTGATCTCAATTGAAAACCTAGTTTCTCGCCAGTAGGTATAATGTTAGCTGTAGTTTTTTGGAGACGTTCTTTATTAAGTTGAGGAAGTTCCCCTCTAATCACAGTTTGGTAAGTGCTTTTATCATGAATGAGTGTTGGAATTTTGTCAAATGCTCTTTCTGTATCTATCAATATGATCATGTGATTTTTCTGCTTTAACCAGTTGATGTATGGATTATATTACTGATTTCCTAACGTTGAGCCAGCCTTGCATACCGGGAATAAATCCCGTTTGGTTGTAGTGTTTAATTCTCTTCTTACATTGTTGGCTTCAATATCCTAACATTTTGCTGAGAATTTTTGCATTTATGCTCATGAGAGATATTGGTCTGTACTTTTCTTATAAAGTCTTTGTCTGATTTTGGTATTAAAGTAATGCTAGCTGCAAATAATGAGCTAGGAAGTATTTCGTCTGCTTCTGTCTTCTGAAAGAGACTATGGAGAATTAGCATAATTTCTTCCTTTAATTTTTGGTAGAATTCACCAGCAAATTGATCTGAGCCTTGTGCTTTCTATTTTGGAAGAATATTGATTATGGATTCCATTTCTTAAATAGATATAGGCTTATTCAGATTGTCTGTTTCTTCTTGTATGTTTTTGCAGATTGTTTTTCAAAAACTTGGTCATTGAAAGCTCATTGTTGTTTGTATTAAAAAAACAAAACAAATAATCAAAAATGTTGGTCCATTTTATCTAGATTGTCAAATTTGTGGGCTAGTTATTCCTAGAAATAAAGTATTTCTTTATTTCTTTTTTTTTTAATGTCCGTGTATCTGTAAAGGATGTCCCTTCTTTCATTTCTGATTTTAGTAATTTGTATCCTGTCTCTTTTTGTTTGTTTTGTTTGTTTGTTCTCACTAGAGGCTTATTGACTTAATCGATCTTTTCAAAGAATCAGCTTTGGGTTCACTGTTTTTCCTCTTGATACCTTGTTTTCAATTTCATTGATTTCTTTTCTAATTTTTATCATTTCTTTTCTTCTGCTTGCTTTGGACTTAATTTGCTCTTCTTTTTCTAGTTAAGCTCAGATTACTGATTTTAGATCTTCTTTTTTGGTATACACATTCTATACTATAAATTTTCCTTTAAACATTGCTTTCACTGCATTTCATAAATGTTGACGTTGTATTTTCATTTTCATTTAGTTCAAAGCATTTTAAAATTTATCTTGAGATCTCTTTTTTGACCTTTGCGTTATTTGGAAGTGTTTTGTTTAATCTCCACGTTTTTAGATTTTGCAGATACCCTTCTAGCTTAATTTTATTGTGGTCTGAGAGCGTATATTATATGATTTCTATTCTTTCAAACTTGTTAAGGCGGGTTTTATTGTCCAGAATGTGGTCTACCTTGGTGAATGTTCCATGTGAGCTTGAAAAGAATCTGTATCTTCTGTTCTCGGATGAAGTGTTCTATACATGTCAACTACATTCAGTTGGTTGATGGTATTATTGAGTTCAACTTATGTCCTGACTGATTGCCTGCTGAATCTATTACTGATAGAGTGATGCAGAAGTCTCCAACTATAACAGTGAATACATCTGTGTCCTCTTTCAGTTCTTTCAGTTTTTGTCTCACATATTTGATGCTGTGTTATTAGGTGCATATACAGTAAGCATTGTTACATCTTCCTAAAGTATCGACCTCTTTATCATGCCCCCGTTATCAAAATACTCCCTTAATTTTTGTTTGTCTGAGAAAGTATTTATTTCTCCTTTACTTTTGAAGGACAGTTTCACAAAATACAGAATTCTAGGCAGATGGGTTTTTTTTTTTTTCTCTCAACACATTAAATATTTCACTTCACTCTCTTCTTGCCTCCATGGCCTCTGAGGTGAAGTCAAATGTAATTCTTATGTTTGCCCTTCTATAAATAAGGTCTTTTTTAATCCTCCTGGCTTGTTTCAATATTTTTTCTTTATCTTTGATTTTCTGGAGATTAAGTATGAAATACCTAGGTGTAGATTTTGGCTCTTTTCCTGCTTTGTACTCTCTGAGTATCCTGAATCTGTGGTTTGGTGTCTGACATTAATTTGGGGATATTCCAAGTTATTATTGCTTCAGGCATTTCTTCTATTCCATTCTCTCTTTATTCTCATTCTGGTATGTTCATTACACATACATTACGCCTTTTATAATTGTCCCACAGTTTTTGAATATTCTGTTCTTTTTTTAAATCTTTTTCTCTTTGTCTTTTAGTTATAGAAGTTTCTATTGATATATCCTGAAGCTCAGGTTTTTTTCTCATCCAAGTCCAGTCTACTAATAACCCCCTCAAAGGCATTATTCATTTCTGTAACAGTGTTTTTGATCTATAGCATATCTTTTTATTCTTTCTTAGAATTTTGATCTCTCTGTTTATATATTAGTCATCTATTTTTGCATGCTGTCTACTTTGATCATTAGTGAAATTACCATATTAATCATAGTTATTTTAAATTCCTAGTCTGAAAATTTCAACATCCTTGCCATACCTCAGTCTGGTGCTAATGTTTGCCTTCTCACCTCAAACTGTGTTTTTTGCCTTTTTAAATTTAATTTTATTTTACCCCATAGGTGGGACAGGATGACTAGAGGTGGCTGGAGTTGGATATCTCTCTCCCCCCAGGTCTGACAAAACTCCTGGGTCAGGTTAGGCTCAGGCTTGTTAAGAAGAATAGAGTGGTCTAGCTTACTTCAAAATGTCTACTTTTCTCCCACTCCGGCCAGAGCCTAAGGGGATGTTTGAGATTCACTGTGAGAACCTGGTTCAGCTCCTGGAGGTAAAACTCATAAAAGTGTAAGTGGCCCCCTAATACCTGACAGCCCTGGAGATTTTAACTCTCAGACTTGTCCACACTGAGTCTCTAGCAATTTCCTATCCCAGCACAGGCCCCCTCATAGTTTTCTGCTTGTGGGTTTCTATTCTGATAAGTTGTGATCCTCTGTACCTGCCTGTCTCTCCCATTTTGGGGCAGTGGTTTGCCCTGTGGCCTCAAATTTCTGAGAGATCTAAGAAGAGCTGTTGATTTTCAGTTTCCAGTTTGTTCAGTTTTTTTTTTTTTTTTTTTTTTTTTTTGAGATGGAGACTTGCTCATGTCGCCCATGCTGGAGTGCAGTGGCACGATCTTGGCTCACTGCAACCTCTGCCTCCCGGGTTCAAGTGCTTCTCCTGCCTCAGCCTCCCGAGTAGCTGGGATTACAGGCGCCCACCACCACACCAGGCTAATTTTTGAATTTTTAGTAGAGATGGGGTTTTGCCATGTTGCCCAGGCTGGTCTCGAACTCCTGACCTCGTGATCTGCCCACCTCTGCCTCCCAAAGTGCTGGGATTACAGGCGTGAGCCACCGCACCTGGCCTGTTCAGCTTTTTACTGATTGTTAGGATAGAGTGATGACCCTTAAGCTTCTTACATGTTGAACCAGAAATTATACATCCAATCTGTTTTGGAAAATAAAATTTTGTTGGAATACATAAATGAATGAGTAGTTGTGACAGAGTCCTTCTGACCCACGAAGCCGAAAATATTTACTATCTGGTCTGCCACAGAAAACGTTTGCTCACCCCTGGGCTACATTAGATAAAAAGGCAAGGCTCAACTATATTCTGCTTACAATAGACTTTTTTTAATTTTATCTTTTCTTTCCAACTTTCATTTCAGGTTCAAGGGTGCATGTGCAGGTTTGTAATATGGGTAAATTGCATGTCACAGGGGTTTGGAGTGCGGATTATTTTGTCACCCAGATAATAAGCATGGTACCCAATAGGTAGTTCTTTGATCCTCACCAAGAGACTCATCTTAAATATAAGACACAAGTGTGTCAAAAGTAAAAGATTTGAAAAAGAAATACCAAAAAAAAAAAAAAAAAAAAAACAACTCACTAAGGGTAAGAAAATTGGTGTGGTTATATTAATATCAGACAAGAAAGACTTCAAACAAGGAGTATTATCAGAGATAAAGAAGTAATTTTTATAATAATAAAAGGACCAATTAGTCAATAGGACATAAAAATCTTAAATGTATACATACCTTGATAACCTTCAGGCCACATTTGACAATTTACTTAAAAGAGTCTCTCTCTTTTTTTTTTTTTTTCAGATGGAATCTCCCTCTCTCACCCAGGCTGGAGTGCAATGGCACAATCAGCTCACTGCAACCTCCACCTCCCGGGTTCAAGTGATTCTTCTGCCTCAGCCTCCCGAGTAGCTGGGACTACAGGTGCGCGCCACCACGCCCAGCTAATTTTTGTATTCTTAGTAGAGATGGGGTTTCACCATATTGGCCAGGCTGGTCTCGAACTCCTGACCTCATGATCTGCCCTCCTCGGCCTCGCAAAGTGCTGGGATTACAGGCGTGAGCCACCACGCTCGGCCAACAGTCTTTCAAAGTAACTGACCTTGGGAAGGTCTTATGGTGACATTCTGTCCTTGAATAAAGAATCTTACTATGAGTTCCTCAAATTATTGATGCAATGATTGATACATAACCTACTGGCATTGAAAAGGATGCTGATTTATTGCTGAATCATGAAGTTTTACTGATGGTCTTGCATGTAGACATTTTAACCTGTATGTTGTAATGTGTATTCAATGATTGCAATCTTTGTATTGAACCCTCCAATGAAAAAGGACAAGTTTGGTATAAGGAGTCCCCCTCCCTGCTCCTAAACTTTTCTATAAAAGCCTTCCAATTTGTAACAGACTCCAGAACATGTGTAACTTTGTTGGTGTGTTTTCCCAAGTCAGTCCTTACATTTGGCTTCCAATAAACCTTTATCAAATTATTTCTGCTGGCTGGGCACAGTGGCCCATGCCTGTAATCCCAGCACTTTGGGAGGCTGGGGCAGGAAGATTGCTTGAGCCCACGGGTTTGAGATCCGCCTGGACGACATAGTGAGACCCCATCTCTATTAAAAATAAAAAATAAAATAAATAAAATAACTTCTGTCTCAACAGCCTTCATTTCAGTCAACAACCACATAACAGATCATCAAAATACATAAAGCAAAAACTGACAGAACTAAAGTTAAATATACATATCTACAATTATGTAGAGAATAACAAACAAAAAAATAGAACAAAAAGTAAGTATATTTATTAGTTTCCTATTGCTGAGTAACAAATCATCACACAGTTGGTGGCTTAAAACAACACAGTTTTGAATGTCAGAAGTCTGGGCAGTCTCAGCTGGGTTCTCTGCTGAATGTTTATGGAGGCCAGAATCAAGGTGTCAGCTGGCCTGGGGTTTTATCTGTAGTCCCGGGGAAGAATTTGCTTACAACGTCATTCAGGTTGTTGGCAGAATGTAGTTCCTTGCAGTTATAGAACTGAGGTCCCCAGTTCCTTGCTGGTTGTCAGCCAGGGCTGCTCTCAGCTCCTAGAAGCTACCTGCATTCCTTGCCACCTGGCCCCCTCCCTCATCAAAGCCTGCAACTGTACATTACATCCTCCTCATGCTCAGGGCCCCTCTGACTTCCTCTTCAGCTACTAGTCAGAGAAAACTATTTGCTTTTAAAGGGCTCATACGAATGTAGCAAGTCTACTCAGACAATCTACTTATCTTAAGGTCAACTTAGTAATCTTAATTGTATCTGCAAAATCCTATTTTGCCATATAACATAATATAATCATGAGAGTAACATCAGGGAGTGGGGATCATAAGGCCCATCTTAGAATTCTGTCTACCACAGTGATGATATAGAAGATCTGAACAACATAATCAACATGGCTTAACTGGTGTTTCCAGAACAGTCATTCATAAAGTTAAGCATAGACCTACACTATCATCCAGCTATTCCTCTCCTAAATAATAAAGACTTTTATATGAATATTAATAAGATTGCATAATTAACAAAATAGAAGATTCTAATGATACAATTAAAGCATGTGTCTTTTCAGAATGAGAAAAATAAAGGCAATGAGAAACTCCAGAAAAAAAAAAATTCCTTTTCTGAAATCACTGAAGAAGTGCGAGAGAGCCGGAGAGGCTGCTAAATAAATGAAACAATTTCCTGGTGTTTGCCTTCTCTTTCTCCTTCCTTGGAACCCTGAGCTCTTAGCTATAGACTTTGGACCAGGGATAGCCCAGATAGGACTCCAGTTTCATCCAATGCTGGGATGGTGTACATCATCAGGGCAGGAAGAGGAATTGTGAGAGCAGCATCCACAGATAACAAGGGGCTCCATGCATGTGCGGTGGTGGTGGTGGTGGTGGTGGTGGTGGTGGTGGTGGTGGTGGTGGTGGTGGTGGTGGTGGTGGTGGTGGTGGAGTGAGTGAAGATTGCTATTTCTGTGAAGGGCTGGAGGCAGCCTGGGCTGTGGATGCTTCTGCGGCAGCTGTTGCTATTGCTGTGACTTCTGTTAGACATTCCTAATGTTGCCACAATGAGCTCATTTGGGAGGCAGGGAGAGAAATGTGTTCAAAAACTTATTTTGAGGTTTTGTCATACTTCTATCTCTCTGGGAATAGACTCCCATCCATGCCTCTGAGGCTTTAACATATACATTTTCTCACACCTTCTCAGGACGATAGCCAAAGTAAGAAACAGCCCATCGTGCATATTTGTTAGGCGTGTGTGTATATGTACAGAGTTGGTATCTTGGCTTGATTGCGAATGTAGCTGATTTATTCAGACAAGTGATGGTGTGACCCTCCAAACTGGTGGAGCGGCTCTGCTAAAGGCTCTCTGCTTCAGGGCTGAGGCGGATCCTGGGACAGAGCCTGACCCTCCTTCCCAGTGTTCCTTCTCCCACCCCAACACAGCTGCAGATGAAGGCTTTCTGGCCATCCTTCCCTTTCCTGGGCAGTTTGCCATTAGGAAACTCTGCTGCCAGTAACTAAGACTAGTTCTACCTTTCCAAGGAGCTTGGCTTTTTATCCCTAGTGCTCTAAGCCAGTGGTTTTTCCCATCATGCTCTGAGAAGCTCTAAGGACTCCATACGGATGCAGTGGGGATGATGTAAGGGTCAGAAGGAGAACAAGGAGTCAGCAGAGCACTAAGGCTAACGTTCAAAATGTTTATTAACTAATGTGCTACATGGGAAAAAAAATCCCTTATTGTCATTTAAATTTGCATTCTTTGGTCACTAATTAGGTTTGCCTTTTTCAAACTTATTAGTCAAATACCTTTCTGCTTTTTGAATATTTCCATGTTCCACAGGTACCCTCAAAGTTTTGATTTTATCTTCTTCCCCTTGTAAATCTGCTTCTTTTCCAGTGTTCCACGCCTTGGTCAATGGTACCACCAGCCAGCGAGGTTCCCAAGCCAAGAACTTCGGAAGCATCCGTGATTCTTCATCTTCCACATCCACTTTATCACCGGAAGCACGCATTCAACTTTCTAAACATCCCTCAGACTGACCCACATCTTTCTATCCACTTTTCACATCTTGCTTGAATGACTTCCCCAGGCCCAGCCAGTCTCCCGCCTCCAGCTCCGCCCCCTTCTGACTCCCTTTATGTGGTACAATCAGAGAGCCCTTCCCAAAGCACAAATCTGCTTTCACTGCTTTGCTTCAAGCCCTTTCGTGGCTCCTATTTCCAGCTGGATGAGGTCCAAGCCTCTTAACGTGCTGTACGTGTACATGCCTGACCCCCGCTACTTGACCAGCCAAGTTTCTTCATAGCGCTGTGTCTTTGTTCCTCCTGCCTAGAATGTCCTTCCCCTTTTCTCTCGCTTCATGGTGTGCCAAACTCCTATCCTGTGAGATCCAGCTTACACGTCAGCTTCCCCGTGATGCTTTTCCTAACTCCCTATTCAGCCAGTGAAGTGCTCCCTGCGTTCCCATGTGGCTTGTATCTCTGTAAAAGCTCCACAGAGCTGTTTTAATTTATCCGTTAATGTACATGTCTTCCCCACTAGACTTTTGCTCCTTAAAGTATCTCCTTCATCTCTGCTTTGCATAACCTAACAGAGTTCAACACATAGGAGTGTCTTAATAAATGCTGAATAAAATAATTAATAAACAAATGAAACAATACAGCAAACTGTTGATTCTCCAAAATGTTTTCTTGAAGAAAATGTGTTCTTCCTTTCTGAGCCCAATTCTATGACTTCTCATTTCATCCAAGATCTTGATCCATCAGGTACCAAGGTAGACTTTAGGTATACAACACTGGACATTAAAAACACTATAAAGCTACAATAATTAAAATAGAATTCAACTTGACACAAAGTAGTCTGTGAAACAGTAGAGCTCCAAACCAGACCTAAATAGTGACAAAATTAGGTACATAACAATAGCCAACATATATGTGGCATTTAGTCATGTTTCAGGCATGCTTCAAAGTGCTCTAGATACATTATTTCATTCAATTCTCACGACCATCGTGTGAGTAGACACTATTAAAACCATTTTACAGATAAGCAAACTGAGGCACAGAGGGGTTAAGAAAAACTTGCCCAAGATCACCAATCCAGCAGTTGTTGAAGTTAGGATTTAAAACCAGGCAGGCTGGTTCCAGAATTCATGCATTTAACCTTTCTCCTATGACATAGATGGTATCATGCATTATTGACTAAAGAAAAGGTTATTTGGTAAGCAACAGAAAAAGGAAAGGAAATCACAGATTCACTATATACTCTGTCCTGAAATAAAATTCAGATGTTTTAGAGTTAAACATTTAAAAAAAAGAAAATATGAGTAAGTATTAACTTGATATTGGAAAAGAGAAGAATACTGGAAGAATCCACAAATGAAAATCTTTAATAGATACATCTTTAATAGATCTCAATAGATAAAAATGTAAACTTCTATATATTAAAAATCAAGTAATCACCTAGAAAAAAAGTGTAACAAAAGTGTGATATTGTAAAATATATATTAATATGTGGTCTTTGGATTTATTTCCTGGCCTATAACTCCTAAAATCCTCAGAATCTTCAAAGCGATGTTTTTTTTGTGTTTGTTTGTTTTTGAGACAAGGTCTGGCTCTGTCACCCAGGTTGAAGTGCAGTGACATGATCTCGGCTCACTGCAACCTCCTCCCTCTCAGCCTCCCAAGTAGCTGGGACTACAGGCACACACCAGCATGCCCACGTAATTTTTAGTAGAGACGGAGTTTTGCTATGTTGCCCAAGCTGGTCTTGAACTCCTGAGCTCAAGCAATCTGCCTACCTCGGCCTCCTAAAGTGCTGGGATTGCAGGCATGAGCCACTGCACCTGGCACAAAGTGATGTCTTTTTGTGTGCTCATGAGTTGACTGAGGGTTGGCATCCCCTGAGTGGCTTCAGGCTGGGGGCTGGTCACTGAAAACACCAAGTAGGATTAGAGGGTTAGAGTTTTAGCCCCATCCCTTGATCGCCGACGAAGGAAAAGGGGTTTAAGGTTAAACTGATAACTAACGGCCAATGACTTAATCAATCATGCCTATGTAATGAAGTCCCTATAAAAATGCGAAAAGACATGGTTCAGAGAGTTTTCTGGCGTAAACCAAAATGTATCTGAGACAGGTCTCAATCCATTTAGAAGTTTATTTTGCCAAAGGTAAGGACGTGCCCAGAAAAAAGGAACACAAATCCACAGAAACAATCTGTGGTCCATGCCTTTTTCCAAAGACGATTTTGAAGCCTTCAATATTTAAAGGAGAAAAGCAGGCTGAAGAGGAAAGAGGGAAGGTATGATCACATTACTGAATCCACATGTTGTAAGAGAAACGGTACAGGTAGCGGAATAGTCAATTATGTGTTTGTCTCACATTCAGTCAATCGGCACTTAAGGTGAACACAGAGTAGCTACCTGTGGAGATATTTAACATTTTATCTGTAGCTATCTGCTTAGGAACAAAAGGAAAGACAGTTTTTGCACAATCAGGTTTTAGCTTTTTTCCTTTTTGCATAGGGAATTGGGGTCCTGAGATTTTCTTTTCTTTTTTTTTTTTTTCTTTTGAGATGGAGTCTCGCTCTGTTGCTCAGGCTGGAGTGCAGTGGCGTGATCTTGGGTCAATGCAAGCTCCGCCTCCCAAATTCATGCCGTTCTCCTGCCTCAGCCTCCCGAGTAGCTGGGACTACAGGTACCCGCCACCACGCCCGGCTAATTTTTTTGTATTTTTAGTAGAGACGGGGTTTCACCGTGTTAGCCAGGATGATCTCGATCTCATGACCTCGTGATCTGCCCGCCTCGGCCTCCCAAAGTGCCAGGATCACAGGTGTGAGTCACTGCACCCGGCCTGAGATTTTATTTTCTTTTCATATTGGATTGCTGAACATGTGGAGGTTCCTGGAGGGCGGCACATCCAGAGACAGCATGGACACTGCGCATCTCTTCCCCCATACCTTACCCTATGCATCTCCATCTGTATCCTTTGTAGTTTCTTTTATAATAAACTGGTAAAAGTGTTTCCCTGAGTTCTTTGAGCTGCTCTAGCAAATTAAACGAACTCATGGAGAAGGTCGTGGGATCCTCGATTTGTAGCCAATCGGTCAGGAGCACAGATAGAAAAACTTAGGGCTTGGGATGGACATTGGAAGTGGGGGGCAGTCTTATGGGACTGAGTCCTCAATCTGTGGGATCTTACGCTATCTCAGGTGGATGGTGTCAGAATTAAATTGAAGGACACCCAGCTGGTGTCCACCGCAGAATGTCCCCAACCCCGACACACACACACACACACACACACACACACACACACACACACACACACAAATTTAATCACAGAGGTCTTATGTGTTGATTGTTGTGGTGTGAAAGCAGTCTAAATTTTTCCACATTCAATATGTCATAGGATTAATAGTCTTGCTATGTAAAATGTCACATGCCAGTTAAAGAAAGATGATCATCTCAATAAGAAAATATGCAAATAATCTTTATAAGAAGTATAATGACCAATAAACATAAGAAAGTTAATAATTCATGATCAAAGTAAGGCATATTGAATAAAAAATAAAATGCCCTTTACACCCTATTAAATAGAAAAAAATTTAAAGGAATATATTTAGCAGTAGCAATGATGGGCTTTAATTGGCAGGTATATACATTATCCAATCTTTCTTGAGGCCAGTTTCTCAGTGGTTAACTAGAACCTTAAAGATGTTAACTCCCTTTAGCCCAGTAATTCCATTTCTTGAGGAAATAATCACAAATCTGGGCAAAGTGTACAGCATGTCCTTTGCAGAATTACTTATGGTGTTGATGAGAAAACACTGTTGGTCACACCATGCTGGATCATCATCTCCAAACTGGGCAAAAGTAATTTGAAGATTTATATCATGCTAATTTACCTGCTTTCCTGGAACAAATTTTTATCCAGGAGTGGGAATAATTTATACCACTTGTGTTCAGGTCCTGGGGACCTTGATGCAGTACAGATGGTCCTGAACTTACTATATGATTTGACTCACAATTGTTCACAATTTACAATGGTGCAAAAGCAATACGCATTCAGTAGAAGCTGTACTTTGAGTACCCATACAACCATTCTGGTGTTCACTTTCAGTGCAGTATTCAATGAATTACACGAGATGTTTAACACTTTATGATAAAACAGGCTTTGTGCTGGTAATTTTGCCCAACAGTAGGCTAATGTAAGTGTTCTGAGCATGTTTAAGGTAGACTAGGCCAAGCAATTATGTTCTGTAGGCTAAGTATATTAAGTGCATTCTCAACTTACAATATTTTCAATTTCTGATGGATTTACTGGGACATAACCCCATTGTAAGTCAGGGGAGCATTTGTATTAATTTTGCCATTTTCTTCAAAAGCAAAGGAACCAAGTGGCCTCATGCAGAAAGGATATGAGGTGGCCATGCCAAGACCCTGGAGCCCTGAGAGTTTCTAGATTATTCTCCAACATCCTCAGCATATCTCTACTTGTATCCCATTTCAAGGGCTCTTCTTTCCCCTTGGACTCAGCATTGATGGTCTCCAAATCTGTACCTTCAGAACTAACTTTAGCCACAATGCCAGCTGTGAACTTTGAAACCCCTCCTCTCTGATTCCCCAGAATCACAAGTCCACATGTCTAAAATGAACATCATTATCCCTATTGAACTAAATTCCCTTTCTGATCCTCATTCCAACTCTGGCCCTGCTCAGGAGTTTTTACTTCATTATGAGAGAATCATTTAGCAAATTTAAATAAGGAAATAAAAATTCAAGCTCTTATGTTAAGGAGAAAATTCAGACAATGATGAGAGTCAGAATGAGTAGAGATCAAGGTAAAGAGACCAATTAGGAGGTCTTCTCTGGAGTAGTGTCAATTTCTTAATTAGCTTGGAATCCCCAACACCTAACACAACATCTAAAATGTCATGAGAGTTCACCAAAGTGAATCAAATAGGAAATTCTGCGATAATCAATGAAGGCAATTGAACCGGCATCGCAGAAAGATTTATCAGTGATTAGCATGTAATATAGTCTTCTTTTTTATTTCAGAGCATATAATTATGAGCACCACAAGACATACCGTTTAGAGCTCTGGACTTTGATGTTTTGCCACATATCAGCTATGCAACTATAGGTAAATCTACCAACTTCTCCTTACCTGTAAGGATATATTTGGCAGGAGGTCAACAATTTTTTAGATAAAGGAAGGAATGCTTCATGTCATGAAACATATTAAGGAAGCTCAAGAGTGTGGAAGCTCTGTTTTTTGTCCACCCTCTGATTCCACCAGCTTTCCTAATAATTTATTCGTGGTGGTTTTTTTTTTTTTTTTTTTTGAGACAGAGTTTTGATCTTGTTGCCCAGGCTGGAGTGCAATGGCGCAATCTCTGCTCACCCCAACCTCCACCTCCCAGGTTCAAGTGATTCTCCTGCCTCAGCCTTCCCAAGTAGCTGGGATTATAGGCATGCGCCACCAAGCCCGGCTAATTTTGTACTTTTAGTAGAGATGGGGTTTCTCCGTGTGGGTCAGGCTGGTCTCAAACTCCTGACCTCAGGTGATCTGCCCACCTTGGCCTCCCAAAGTGCTGGGATTACAGGCATGAGCCACCATGCCCGGCCTCATGGTTTTGTTTTTATTTTGGTTTACAACCATTAGATTCAGACTCTCCTAGAGAAAGAATCTAAGTATTAGGCTTCAAAACCTAGTAATCACTGATAAAAGTCATTTGGATGAGAAAGAAAAGAAACTTTTATCTGAGGAATGTGAGCCTCCTCTAAATTACCTGGCTCAGAGGGCCCTTGAAATGAGACAGCAGTCATGTCCCACTCACCCACCTTGAGCTAAGTAATCACCTCTTGAAGCTGCCTGCTGTATGGACTCTAGACTGACTAACACAAGTAGCTCATACCCTGTAATTCAACAATGCATAGCCAATCACTAACCAATGTTATTTCTATAAACCAATGAGAATTCCTGACAAACAACTTTGTATCAGCTCACTCCTTGTTCCCCATTTTGCCTTTAAAAAGCCTGCTTTGAAAAAAAAAAAGCCAAATGGAGCTCACACCCAAGGTTACTTGGAGAACGTGGCGGGTTATGGAAGCTTCTTTGTAAATCCACCCATCCCACTCCGTTAAAGGATCTCCCAACTCACATTTCTTGTGACCTCCCATGGCTCAGATGTGGACTGGCTCCAGGCAACATTGTAAAGCAAGCCCTTTAGATGCCTCCTCCACTTCTCACCGCTCTCAGCAAAACTGCACTGGACAGTAAATCTGGGTCTGGTCCTGCTGTTGCCATTTACTCTCTGGCACTTGGCATATGTGTGGCTGTCCTGTAAAATGGCATGACAATATCTACCTCACAAGGCTGTGGTGAGAATGAGAAAATACACGAGGAGTACTTGGTCCACTTCAGGTCAGCATACAGCACTTCTTAGATCCAGATGTCCTGTTTCCCTGACCCAACAAGGTGGCCAATGGAACAGATCCCACCACAGGTGAGTTTTCTTAGGCACACTTTTTTTTTTTTTTTCAATTAGTTGCCAATATTGAAACATAAAGAAGTTTCACATATTGACAAAAATGAGATTTTTCAGCTTCCCTTGAAAAAGTGGAGATCTGGCAACACTGGCCAGCGCCCTCCCCTGGTAACAACCACCTGGAGTGGGCAGCTCCGCCTGCCTAGTTCACCACCGTCCCTTTGGTTAAAGGATAATTTTGAAACGAAGGTAAAAATTGCAGCTCTCAAACAGATGCAAAAGAAGAGCACATGCCAAAAATTTTATTTCATTTTTCAGTGAGGAATGTCCAAGGAGAATCCAAAGATCAAAATTACTGAAATAAATGTGCTAATAGAAGCAAAACTGGGGAAGGAGGTCGGGTGAATCTACGCTAAGACACAATGTACACGTCTATAGACAAGAATTATTTTGCTCTGCTATCAGTTACCTACAGCTTACAGAGTTGCAAGATAGCTCCCATAGAATCAAAATCAAACAGCCAGGAAGGAAGGGTCTTTGTCCAGAGTCTAGATTCCAGACAATGCATAGTTTTCCACTGAAGTACAATGGGATCTCCCCCTACACTTCCATTTCCAAGTCCTATTTATGGACTGTCTAGCCCCAGAAAAGATGTGTTTTTCCCCAATCAGATGCTATAAAGCTGTCACTTCTCTTGTTTTTTATTGTTTATTCAGTTATAAAATGTCGAGGGGAAACTAGATAATCTCGATTCCCTTACGATTCCTTAATTCAAATTTCTTACTACTGCTTCCACCCAGTTCCCCGCTACATCCATAAATCATTCATCATTATTTAGCCATTCAGGTCCTTATCAGTGAGGTATAGCTAGTTTTAATTTGTGCTAAGGTGTTAATGGGCAATGTTTTATTAATATGATACTTCATCCTCAACATCTACTTCTACAACTTCAGTTACCATCTCAAACCATCACTCTCCTGAAAGTAGAACCAGATTCAGCTTTAAACACCTGCTGTCAAGAAGGCCCAGACATCTGTCAGCAAAGACCCTTGCCTGGTAAGACTGCCCTTCTCACCCCTGGCCCAGTCTTGGAGAGAGGATAACCACTGCTGGTAAACTGGGGGTGGAGATAAATGAAAATACAGAAGAGTAGCCAGCCACAGGGTCTTCTTGGATCCCAGCTGTGGGGCAGAGAGGAAATTTAACGCTTTAATTATTACACAACACTGGGCATCCTAATTATCAAATTGAGCCTATTATAACTTGAGATTTTATTATAGAATTAAAATTATTACCTGAACAAGACCAGAACAATTTGGGGTCCGATGGAGTTTTCATCTAAGTGTAAAGAAAGACTTCCCACCTCATTCATTCATTTATTCAACAGATGTCTGGGACTGTTTTAGGTGCTGTGGACATAGCAGTGATTATGACAGATAAAAAGTTCTGCTTCAAGTGCTTTATTTTTTTAAAGAGATGGGGTTTCACTCTGTTGCCCAGGCTGGTCTCAAACTCCTGGGCTCAAGTGATCCTCCCACCTCAGCCTCCCAAAGTGCTGGGATTACAGGCGCGAGCCACTGCACCCGGCCTAGTACAGAGGTTTTAAAGGAAAGCCTAGTCACTAAAAATAAAATTCTGGCCGGGTGTGGTGGCTCATGCCAAGCAGATGTTAGTGCCATGCTTGTACAGCCTACAGAACAGTGAGCCAAATAAACCCCTTTTCTTTATTAATTACCCAGCTTCAGGTACTCCTTTATGGCAATACAAAATGGACTCACACACATGCTATCGTATACTACTGCTATCATATACTATGCTATCATATACTATTACTTGTCAGCCCACACAATCCCACCTATGCTCTGGATTCTGGCCCTTCCATTCCCTCTAGGGCTAGGCACCACAAGTTATACCCTCCCTCTCTGCCAACAACATCATCATCTGCTCGCATTAGGGTACTAAAAGATTTCCCCCATCAAGATGGCCTTCATGCTCCCCTCAGCCTGACTGCACTTCAGACAGGCTTCTTCCTAACACGATTAGGCCATTCTTGTATTGCTATAAAGAAATATCTGAGTCTAGGTAATGTATAAAGAAAAGAGGTTTAATTGGCTCATGGTTCTGCAGGCTGTACAGGAAGCGTCACATAGGCATCTGCTTCTGGGGAGGCTTCAGGAAGCTTCCAGTCATGGCAGTAGGTGAAAAGGGAGCAAGCACCTCACATGGTAGGAGTAGGAACAAGGGGTGAGGAGAGTTGCCTCACACTTTTAAATGACCAGATCTTGTAAGAACTCACTATCTTGAGGATTGTACCAAGAGAATGGTACTAAATCATTCATGATAAATCTACTCCATGATCTAATCGCCTCCCACTAGGCCCCAACTCCAACACTGGAGATTACATTGCAACATGAGATTTGGGTGGGGACATCCAAACCACATCACCAATATTAGGCACCTGACTTCCCTTAGAGCATCAGAAAACTTAAAATTATAAATTATTTGAGTTCCCCTTTGAGACATACATCTTCCCTCAGCCTCTTGCCAGTTTTACAACCCAGGACTGTCTTTCTCAAGGACCCAGGGGAACCATTCTCTGAAATGTAACCTCAAAAGGAGATAGCACTCCTTTCTCCCACTTGCTGTGGGATGTGCCTAACTTTGGTGGGCACCTTGCTCCAAGCTGCAGGACTACTTCCTGTCATAAGGATGAGATGTTTACTCTTCCTTTGGATAAAGCCAATCAGCAAACACAGATGACCCATGACCCCCCCCCCCATCCTGGCCCTCACAGGATCCACATGGCTTCTTGTTCTCAGTACTTCTACACTCTCACACAGCCCTCAAAAACCCCACCACCCTCTGCTTCCAGGGAGGTGAGTTCAGACTTTCTTCTAGTCTCTTCTCTATTGTAAATAGCCCCTTTCCTTCTCTCACAAGAATCTTTTCAAGTTTAAGTCTCTCCTTACTTCATTCTCTTGGATTTTCCTTCACAGGAAGGGTTTCTTCAAATACGCCCTCCATTCCACTATACCTCCCATTCACTCCAAGACCTTCTAGAGTGTAACTCTGGGAATGTCTTCCTCCTGAGCATCCTTAAATCCTTTCTGGAACAAGGCATCAGTTTTGTAGCCAGAAAGATCCAGGTTGGAAAACCAATTCAGCTACTTACTAATGGGGCAATTTACCTTCTATAAGTCCCTGTTTCCAGCATTTGGGAAATAGGAATCCCTCCTTCTCAGGAACGGCAGCTATTTTATTAAGTCAGGAAACAAATGTATGGACTCAGATGGGCATGATATTCCCTACTTAAATGATAATGGCTCACATTTACTTAGTTCTTATTATGTGCAGGGCTCAGCATTTTACATGCATGATCTCATTTAATTCCTCATCACTATCCCATCATGTAGTTATTACTATCACCCCCATTTTATAAACAAGAAAACTGAGGCTGACAAAGAGAGGTCAAGTGACTTGTCCAATCTCACAACTAAGAAGTAGTGGAACTCATATTCGAAGCCAAATCTGTATGGAACTCAACTGCTCTGCATCACCTCCAAGGTAAAGGTTAAACTCGCTTGTGCCCCTCCCAACTCACGGACTCTGCCTCCCACTCATAACCACCCACTCATTCATGCCCCACTGCAATTGCTCATGCTGTTCTCTTCCACAGCATGAATGACTGCTTCCTCCTCACCCCGGTCCAACACACACATTTCAGCAGGTTAACATCAAGATGCAGCTTTAAAAATCCGTTTTCTATGGAGTTTTTGCTAATCCTTCCAGAGACCTTTCTTTATCTTCTCAGAGATCTTTGCATATATTCCCATATATGCTTCCATCATGTACCTTTATTATTATTATTATTATTATTTATTTTAGACAGAGTCTCCCTCTGTCTCCCAGGCTGGAGTGCAGTGGTGTGATCTCAGCTCACTGCAACCTCTGCCTCCCAGGTTTCAGTGATTCTCCTGCCTCAGTCTCCCTCCTGGGCTGGGACTATATACAGGTGGGCCCCACCATGCCTGGCTGATTTTTTGTATTTTTTAGTAGAGACGGGGTTTCACCATATTGGCCAGGCTGGTCTTGAACTCCTAACCTCATGATCCACCCCCATCAGCCTCCCAAAGTGCTGGGATTACAGGCAAGAGCCACCGCGCCCAGCCCATAGAACTTATTTTTGTCATTAGGATGAAGAATGTGAGATGATCTTAAGGCCTAGCAAAGCTGTGGGAAATACACAGGAGGGCCAAGGAAGAACATGAACGGAATTTAAAGTAGAATCAGAAGGTAAACAGATTTGCTGAATCACAAAGGTTTAATGATAAATGTAGGTAAATGAGGAAGAAAACATGATAATGGGATGGGTTTACAGTCTTGCAGGCTCAAATCAACTGTGAGAATCAGGTAATGTGCAACCTGAATCCCTAGAAAGGTGTGGCTTGAAGTCTCTATGGGGACAGCCCCTATAAATGGAGACTCAGCCCATGCCTCCTTATGAAGAGAATCACCCTGGATATGAGTGTCCTAGATCTTATGCCCAGCTCCCAGTTACTTGTCATATGCAACCTCCATACACTGAGAGGGTGACATCCACTAGCTTAGGATGGTAAAATTGTTTCCTTAGTCAATGCTACGGCTTCAGTGTTTGTGTGGGGGGCGCCTCCGCCCAGCCAGCCGACCAGTCCGGGAGGTGGGGGGCGCTTCTGCCCGGCCGCCCCTACTGGGAAGTGAGGAGCCCCTCTGCCCGGCCACCACCACGTCTGGGAGGTGTACCCAACAGCTCATTGAGAACGGGCCATGATGACGATGGTGGTTTTGCGGAATAGAAAAGGGGGAAATGTGGGGAAAAGATAGAGAAATCACATTGTTGCTGTGTCTGTGTAGAAAGAAGTAGACATGGGAGACTTCACTTTGTTCTGTACTAAGAAAAATTCTTCTGCCTTGGGATGCTGTTGATCTATGATCTTACCCCCAACCCTGTGCTCTCTGAAACATGTGCTGTGTCCACTCAGGGTTAAATGGATTAAGGGCGGTGCAAGATGTACTTTGTTAAACAGATGCTTGAAGGCAGCATGCTCGTTAAGAGTCATCACCACTCCCTAATCTCAAGTACCCAGGGACACAAACACTGCGGAAGGCCGCAGGGTCCTCTGCCTAGGAAAACCAGAGACCTTTGTTCACTTGTTTATCTGCTGACCTTCCCTCCACTATTGTCCTATGACCCTGCCAAATCCCCCTCTGCGAGAAACACCCAAGAATGATCAATAAAAATAAAAAAATAAAAAATAAAAAATAAAAGAAATATACAGCATCCTGAGATGATACAAGTTAGAGATGAGAAATAGCATTGCTAGAAAATGAAGATAATTACAGTTAAGACAGAAGAAGTAAGACCTGGTGTTCAATAGATCAGTAGGGTAACTAGAGTTAATACTAATCTACTGTACATTTCAAAATAGCTAGAAGAGAGTAATTTGAATGTTACTAGCATAAAGGTAAATGTTTAAGGTGATGGATATCCCAATTACACTGATTGATTATATGAATATATCAAATTACCACATATACCCTGACAATATTTACATCTATTATGTATCAATAAGTTTTTTTTTAAGAATCAAAAAAAGGAAAGAAAGTGTAGATATTCTAAGAGAGGACACTGTGCATTATAGAATTATAGTTCCTTTTCAAATTAAATCCACCCATCTCTGTGCCTAATGGCTGGCTTATGGCCAGGAGGGGTGTCATCCAAAATAACAGACAGCATCTGAAGAAAAAACGTGAAGTTGGGTTTGTGTTCCTTTCCCTAGTACGCTGATTCTGACATACTAGTGTACAGGAGAATAAACTAGAATGTTTAATAAAACTAAAATTCCTGGGCCCTCCTTCCTGAGACTCTGATTCAGTAGGTCTGGGGTGGGGTCAGCAACCTGGATTAATAACAGGGATCACACTGAACTCTGATACAGCTCTTCTGTATGGCAGTGCTTCTCATACTGTAATGTGCATACAAATCTCCTGGAGACCTTGCTAAAATGCAGATTCTGATTCAACACGCCTGGGACAGGACAAAACCTAGGATTCTGCCTTTTTTTTTTTTTTTTTCTGAGACAGGATCTTCAGTCCAAGCTGAAGTGCAGTGGCACTATCATAGCTCACTGTAACCTTGAACTCCCAGGCTCAAGCAATCATCATACCTTAGCCTCCCGAATAACTGAGACTACAGGTGCGTGCCACCATGCCCTACTAACTTTTTGAAATTTTTCTGTAGAGACAAGGTCTTGCCATATTGCCTAGGCTGGTCTCAAACTCCTGGCCTCAAGCGACCGTCCCACCACAGCAACTCAAAAGCGTTGGGATTACAGGTGTGAGCCACTGTGCCCAGCCCGGGTTCTGCATTTCTAACAAGCCCCAAGATGATCCCAATGCTGGTGATCTATGGACCACACTTGGAGTAGCTCACTGTTGACCGTTTTGGGATAAAAAGATTCTGATGCAGGCAGAAAGGGCAGGTGGAGAACTTACCTTCAACACTGATATACCTTTCTCTCTGTAAGGAGACGGGCATTCCCTCATCAAACAGCGTTTTTACTGACATCCCTGTCCCAAATATAGATCAGGAGGCTGAAGTCCAGTGAAACACAATGACCAACCCTGGGTCACCTAGGATGGTGGTATGTTGGCTTCACCACAAATTGTGGGAGTTTTAAATCACACTGTACTGGTGGGATTTGCCAACACTAAACCAAATGTTCATCTGGGTCTTGGCTGCAATTTTAAGAACTTCATTAGAAGGTCATAATTCCTAAGTGCTGGCACTGCTGGCATAGAAGCTGAAGCATCTCCTTTGCATGTGAAGAGAATCTATCTCCACCTATGTGTCTGAAATAATCCAGATGTGGTACTAAGGGCATCGGGCTGGCCTCAGATAGCTCAGATCCAAGAAGACTGTGGAATTACTGCAAGGGGTTTGAGAATCTATGGACAATGTTTTTCTATATATGTACTACTATTTTTAAAAGGCATATGGACATTATTAAAATAAATTTTAAAAACACCTTCAGTGTAAACACATTCAGGTTAGGGGATACTGTATGCTCTCTCATTTAATGGAAATTAAAAAACAATCACATATCACTTGGGGTCTTTACAATACTTTGACATTAAAAAGGGTCCTTGTCTTCTAGAACGTATGCTAGAAGTGGTTTGTCATAGGAAAATTCAAACTCTCTGGCATTTCAGAGAATAAATAGTATATATATCATTATTAAATATGTTTAACAAAAATCATGCTCAAGTTCTAAGTGACTACATTTCTCATTTTGTAAATCAAGGAAGAAAATACTGCAGAATTCAACCTGAAATGTTTTAATAGTGGAACTGTGTACAGGATCCTCTAAAGAGACCGCCTGGCTGGGTGCTCAAACCACATGGGCCGACCCAAAAGACGCCAAAACCAAGAGCTGCTCAGGAGGCACTAAATGTTGACGGTCTTGGCCGGCTTCACATCCTCAATTTCAGCAGACAGCCAGCGGTAAGTGCGATGACGCCGCAGCACCTCAATGGCCTTGAGTTCCAGTGGTGTTGCCTGAATACCAAGGTCTTCTAAGCCAGGCAGGTGAGGCAATTTCATGTCTGTGATGTGCATCTTTGGATAAACAAAGGACCACAGACAATGCTGAAAACTGGCTGAGAACAAAGTGCTATCCTAGCAGGCACTTAAACATTCAAGCTGGCATGAGTCCTATTATTGAGACTTAATTGCTTTCAAAGAATATGTGGCAATTTTCGATTCATGCAAATCACTATAAAAGCAGAACACACAAAGAGGGCTTAAGACAAAAGAGGGCGAGATCACCAAGTATCAGATCGAGGTCCCCAGTGGCAGCCGCGAGCACAGGATGTTGGCACTACATGAGCCATTCTATATACAGATTTCAACAGAAATAAATCTAGGGCAGGGAAGCACAAGTCACCACACTTGCCAGGGGAGGCTGAACAGGAGGGTTTAGGAATAAAATCAGGGCTTAAGCAGAGCTGGTCCATTCCTCAGTCCTCTCACGCCCCTGTTTTCTGAGCACGGGCGTTCTGACTCAGTTTTAACTTTGAATTTAGGAGATAACACAACATTTGTTCCTTGCCCATTAAAAAAAAAAAAAAACAAGTAACTTTTTTTGCTCCAGCTGTACTCAACCTGGTTGACTAATGCTCACTGTAGAGCTAGAAAACCAAACCCATCTTGTTTATAGGGAAAGATAATGAACTGTAAAGTTTGCAAACATCCCAGATTATTATTCAAAACCACATAAATAGAATCCATTTGCACCTAGAGCAGCAGCAATCCCTCATCCTACCCACCTGAAAGTCTGCAATTCTTTTACCAGAGGGCTGTAAGCCAGTCTGCAAACCAAATCCAAAACCTACTCAGGCCACTGTATCAACACTTTCTCAAGTATAAACGTAAGAGACACTTTAGTGTAAGATAAACTGAAGTGTCTGACAACCAGCGATCCTGCCTGATCTTTCATAGACCATGTCTGAAGAAAGTATGTGAGTTGCCCACTTCCACATGTTCCCTAAGCACTACTTTCTCATCTTCTCTACACTTTAGCTTTCAGGCAGCATTCAGGGGACAATTTGGCTACTTCTTGCCAATATATGGTCCATAGGTCTTCCAAGGTAGATGTGGTATTGGTATAGTATTTTTATTTTATTTTGCATCCTCCCTAGAAGCAAATGCACAGGCACATGACATGAGGTCTGAGAACTGACCATTGGATGTGGCAGCAAGGAGACTGGAGATTGTGGATAACCTTGAAAAGAGCAATTTTAGGGGAGAAATGGGAATAAAAGCCTGACTGGAGTAGGTTAAAGAAAGAAGGAAGAAACTGTCAACAGTTTCTTCAGGACGTTAGGAGGAAGTTAGGAGGAGTTAGGATGTGAAGGGACACAACAGGAAAGTAGCTGGAAGAGTGATGGGAGGAAGAGAGGCTTTGGCAGGGGAGCTATTAGGCAATTTTGTGTGTTGACAGGAGTGATCAAGCAGAGAAAGAAACACTGATAATGACGGACAGAAAGTAGGGAGGAGCCGCCCCCTGGAGCAGGGCAGGTGGATGAGCTTCAGCGCTAGTAGAGGGGCTGACTGCAGACAGCAAGAACAGCAAACAGACAAGGGCCGGGAAACAAGCAAGCAGGCAAAGCAAAATAAGTCTAACGCCTCATCATCTGCCCAGGCAGACGCTTTCCACACATGTACTCACCCGCTCCACTTTATCCCTTGTTATCCAGGGCTCAAATGGGCTTATTTCAAAGACTCTTGCTACCCATCTGGAAAGAGAAATACATATAGCACATGTGATAAGCATCTCTCTGCCCAAGATGTAAGCTAGCCTATGAGAACTGCAGGAAGACAGACCGCTGTAGAGCAGTCTGAACTGATTTTTTTTTTTTAAGAAAATAACCACCTCGACCTGTGAGGCTACCTCTGCTTTTTGGTCCATCTCCTCTCAAGCCAACCCAGTCGGCTGCTGTAACTGCTGGTACACTTTGTTCTCCTCCAAAGAAACAACAGATCTTAAACTTAAAATGAAATAAAACCAACAAACAACAAAGCAAACAGAAAAACTCCAGTATTTAATCAAGTCTGTGAAATTCAATTTAATCTAAACCTCAGATATTCAAATATGCTGCCTTTACAGAAGCAGGGCAAGCTGAATGGTGTGTAAAATATACAACGTAACCCCTGAAAGCTGGGGCCCTTGAGGAAAAAAAAAAAAATCCAAAAGCAAGGAGAAGGCTAAAATCTACGGTTCAAATCAGGACGACAATATAAAACCCAAAACGGAAAAGGCCACCTATCTTCATTACTGCCATCTCTTCACTGCTAATGAAAATTGAAGGGCTCCTTACGTGCCACTTGAGCTCCCATCATCAGTTACCTCAGGGCAGTGACTTTTTCTTTTCTTTCCTTGTTTTTGTTCCACAGACAGGGTCTCACTATGTTGTCCAGGCCGGACTCACACTCCCAGGCTCAAGTGATCCTCCCACTTCAGCCTCCCAAGTAGCTGGGACTACAGGTGTACACCACTGTGCCCAGTAGCAGTGGGTTTTCAACTAGCATCTGAGGAACACTAGGAATTTGCTGGGGCCCCACAGAGTCCTGGGGGGCCAAGGGTTTGGGAGTACATGCGTTGAGTATCACCCATCACTGCAACCAGACCAGCTCTTTTATTGGATTTACCCAGCAGGACTTGACGTAAAACTTCAGTGAGCACAGGGTTCCACAGCCGTTTAAAGGCTTGAAAAACAACATTCTAATGCATAGTATAAATAAATGAAAAAGGAAGCTGGCTGGAATTTCTCCAGCAACATATAAAGCCTCAGATTCCTCAACGGCAGAAAAAAATAATTTATTGGGCTAACATAGCTTAATAAAAACACTCATTACAAACCTCTAACTCTCTGTGCCCTCATTCTATGCTAACAGATCACTTCAGGTCTCTATTCTAGTGTCCTCAGTGGGCCATGTCATGGGCATACATAAGCCAACTCTAACTCAATTTTATATACAACCATGAAAGTGCCTCACTGCAATCTGGCTTATATCCCTTTCACGGCACTGAAGCCACGGTCACAATGGTCATTTGTAGACATTTTTTGGTCCTTTATCTTATTTGACTTTTCTGTAAGACTTCATTCTACCAATATTAACAGAGTGCCTAATGTGTACCAGGCATTGTTCTAGGGGCTTGAGATACATGTGAATGAACAGCAATGTTCCCCTTCTTAAAACATCGATTCTCTCCTGAAAACACTCCATTCCCTTTGGTATCTAGAATTCCAAACTCTCATTTCCCACTTAAATGCCTGATCACTTTTTGGCCTTCTTGTAAGTTTCTCTTACTCTGTGGCCTCCTCTTCCACTCACTCCACATACTCTCCTTACTTACTTTATAGATAACTGAGTATTAAAGGAGACAAAGTGAATAGTCTGAAAGGTGTAACACTCAATAAATATCGTTATCACCCTGCATTCTAGTGGTCTATTTTTCTGGTACCCCTGTTAGACCATAAGATTTTTGAGTTTTTGTTGTAACATTCTGACCATAAGATTTTTGAGTGTTTGTTGTAACCTTCTGAGTACCTAGTACATTATCTAAGACATAGTAGGCATTCAATAAACATTTGTTGAATGAATGGATGAAAACCCAAATGAAGATCAGTTTGTGGCACAATGGATGTGACAGTCTCCTTAACCAGACCACTAGGGTGTGACATGGTAAGTTCAAGATTTTATTTTATTTGGTTCAAATCAGGACAATATAAAACCTAGGACGAGAAAGGAGCTCCCATCAACAGTTACCTCAGGGCAGTAGGTTTTTCTTTTCTTTCTTTTTTTTTTTTTTGTTCCAGAGACAGGGTCTCACTATGTTGTCCAGGCTGGATTCAAACTCCTGAACTCAAGTGATCCTCCCACCTCAGCCTCCCAAGTAGCTGGGACTATAGGTGTGCACCACTGTGCGCAGTAGCAGTCACCTAGGCTGGAGTGCAGTGGCACAATCTCAGCTCACTGGAAGCCTTGAACTCCCAAGCTCAAGCAATTCTCTTGCATCACCCCACCTCCACCCCAGTAGGTGGGACTACAGGCAGATGCCACCACATCCAGCTAATTTGGTATGTTTTGTAGAGATGGGGCTTCGCTATATTGCCCAGGCTGGTCTCAAACTCCTGGGCTCAAGCAATCTGCCCTCCTTGGCCTCCCAAAGTACTGGGATTATAGGCATGAGCCACCACTCCCAGCCAAGTCAAAGATATTTAACCCACAAAGAGAAGAAGTAAACTAAGAAGCAGGGAAAGAAGAGAAGGCAACCACAAATCCAAGTCTGAATTAGCCTGACTCCTTTCCCCAATAGCATGATCAGGTTGATTTAATAATGAGCGACATGAAACACAGGGGAACCTGACTGCCCCTTACATATGTGCCTAGCAAGATATTTCTCCAAAATTAAACTCGATGGTTTTAAATTGGAGAAAGTGAAGAACTGCATCTTCACTTTTGGGAAGTGGGAAGATTCACTTTTGGGAATTGGGAAGATTTAATGTTCCAATATATTTTTTTTTAACCAACACTAATCTATTTCTGCTTCTTCTCTATGCTAATGTCATAACACTAGGAGATCTGGAGACCAGCCCTTCACACACCCTATAACCCTAAGGGAGAACATTAGGAACAAGTGTGTGGAGCTGGCTTTTTCAGAAGTCACACAAAAGGAGCACTCTACTTACCGATAGGCAAAAAGCGGCAAGGGGAATGGGAGGAACAATCTGTGAGCCACAGCAAAGATGTACTTCACCAGGTGGAAAAGGAGGTACCGACTGGGACTATAAAAAGACAATACACAGTTCTTTCAATTACACGCTTCTCACAAAGTTTCCTTTATAACAAAATAACATTTTCCTTATAAAAAAGGAAACATATATGCACTGTAGTAGATACAGAATAGCACAAAGAAAAATCACCCATAATCCCATTATGAAAGATAGTTAATATATTTGATCTATATCCTTCTCATCCCCTTACATATATACATTATTCTGCTTTTAATAAATACACAATCCATTCTATTCCGTAATGTCTTTTTCATTTAACATTACATCATAATCGTCTTTCCACATCATTATTTTATTGCATGTTTCATGACAACATATTACACTGCATGTAATCACAATTATTTTATCAATTGCCAGTTTTGAGATATTTATGCTATTAAAATTTTTTTCTTTTATAATGTTTTAATGAACATTCTTGTAATAAATATTTGTACTTATCCATGATTACGCATTTAGAATATATTTGTAGAAGTGGAACTGGGTCAATGTAGACTTTAAAATTTTAAGGCTTTTATTGAATACTTCTAAACTGCTTTTCAAAATGGTTCTATCAATTTATATAAAATGTTAAGTATATAACATTTTAGATAATTATATAAATTATAATTATATATATGTAATTATATATAAGAATGCCCCCTCCACCCGAAATGAGTTGTCATAAGAAAATAAAATTTTTGCCAATCTGCTAGGTTAAAAAAAAAAAGGTATCTCATGTTTTAATTATTATGTCTTTAATATGAGAGATCATTTCTTCACGAATTTTTGGTCATTTATACATCTATCTTTTCTTTCCTCCTGGAGTCCCTGTCTATAAAAATAATTTGTAAGAATTCTCTATATTTTAGTGATATTGTTGGAAATACCTTTTATTGTTTGTATTTTAACTTTTAGTGTTATTTACAGTGTTTTGTGCACATAAAATTTTAACTGTTTAATTTAACCAAAACTACTGATTTTCTTTATGGCTTGGATTCATAGTTAGAAAATTCCTCTGCAGTGACATAAATTTCTACATATTTTGTCTAAACCTTATAAAAAAGATTTTTTTTTTACTATAAAGTTCCTTCTGTGACGTATTTTTGTACATTATATAAGGTAAACATGTAATTATATTTTTCCCAAGATGTAAGCCAATTGCTTCAATGCTACTTACAGAATCATTTACTGTACTGCCTCTTTCCCTATACTGAAATGTCACCCTTATCACATACTATATCCTTACATATAATGGGACTGTTTCTGAACGTTCCGCTCTATTCCATTAATCTGAATAGTTCTGTACGATTTTAACCTAGCATTAATAAGTATCAGTGCTTATAATGCATTTTAATATTTCTTTACCCATTTCCTAATTCATTTGCATGCTTCATGACAGTAAATCTGTGACAACCAAGAGCTGAGTGAAGGTAATTCAGTGAGAACCTCATTATTCTGACATACTTTACTAAAAAACATGAAACTATCAGCCAGGAGAAATATCAGACAAAGGCCTTAGCAGGGTTCTTCAAATTCCAGAGGGATTTGTAAGGATCATTACAGGACATATAATACATGCTACGCCAAGAGCAACTTGAATTTTTACGATGACAAACAAAACTGGTATCATGGGTTAACTAACTCTACATAATAGGTTTCCTTTTCAGCTGTTCTGAAGCACTTTGTGTTCCATCAAGTGCAACCGGAACACTAGTTTAAGTGCCCTTCCTCACAGCCAAAGGTACATTGAAGCCCGCATCCTCCCAGCTTAGATTTCAAGGCTCAGCATCACAGTTATTCCTCTGCAAATATCCTCAGCAAAATCTTGTCTCCCAGGCCCCTACCCACTATACTTGCTAAGCAAAACTCACTCTGGTTGACCCAAACATGTGCCTTCTCTGAGCCTGAAACCCCAGAAGGACAAAACTGTAGACGAAATACAATTGAACTGATTGACTTCACCTTATTTTTTTATCAGTAATTTCCAATGGAACACTCAGTTCTGCTTGGCAATCCCACATGTTCTCCTAGGAAATGCTCTTTCCTGTTCTCCCAGGGCATACTTTCTATCTTCTGTCCTCAAATTTTCCACACACTTTTCTGACCCACTCCATCCTGCCTTTTAGCTAACCTCACATTCCAACAAGAAAAGATACTCCTAACATTCCCACAGCCAAACCTACCTGCATCTGCATATATCCTTGAATTCTTTTCCTTGTTAAAGTTGAAGAAATGTTTGCCTTTTACAAAGGTCAAACCCTCATTTGCACTCTGTATCCAACTCCTCTCAATTCCTGAAGGACTTTGCTCCTTTTCTGTCGGCCTCATCTCCTGAGTCATGAAGTGACATCTCTTTCCTGGACCATTCTTACCAATTTATAAACAAGATGTACCATCTTCCAAATCCAGGGTGGTACCTCCCTTGACAAGACATTCATGTTTCATAGCCTTCTCTTTACCCGTTTCCTTTGCTCCCTTTTACAGGGAAACTTCTCCAAATAGTTACCTAACTGTTGCCTCCACTTCCTATCCTGCCATTCAAATCTCACTGCAATCCAATCTGCCCTTTGCCTAATGTTCAAATGAGGTCATTAAGGTGACCATGAATCTCTATGCTGTCACTCACTCAACCTCCTGGCAGCATCCAATATAGTTGCCAACTTCCTCCTTCTGGTTTTCTTTCCAATTAACTGGACTTTCCTTTTCGGTCATTTATTTTAATTATTTTGCTTAATTATTACTTATGCATCTCATCACTAATCTATAAGCTCCACAAAGGCAGAAATCTTACCCATGCTATTCACTATTGTGGTATAATTTACATACATTAAAATTCATCCATTTTAAGCATATAATTCAATGATTTTTCATACATTTACCAAGTTGTACAATCATTACCATAATCCAGTTTTAGAATATTTTTCCTTACTCTAGTAAGATCCTCCACAGCCATTTAATCCTGGATTTTACTCCCAGGCTCAGGCAATCACTAATCTACTTACATTTGCCTTTTATAGATACTTCATATAAACGGAATCACACAACATGTGATCTTCTGTATCTAGCTTCTTTCATTTACCATGTTTTTGAGGTTCACACATGTAACATGTCAATATTTCATTCCTTTTATTGTTGAACTTCTATTATATGAGAATGCTACTATATTTTATTTCTCCTTTCATCAGTTAATGAATATGTGGGATGTTTCCAATTTTTAGCATTTATGATAACGCTGCTATGAAAATTCAAGTGCAAATCTTTGTGTAGACACATTTTCATTTCTTTTGGGTAAATATCTAGGAGTAAAATTGATAGGCCATATGGTAAATTTATGCTAACTTTTTAAGAAGATGCCAAACTGTTTTCTAAAGTGGCTATACAATTTTACACCCCTACCAGCAATGTATGAAGGTTCTCATTACTCCATGTCTTCCTCAACATTTGTTATTTTCTCTCTGTGAACTGGTATCTCATAATGGTTTTGATTTGCATTTTCTGTAATGACTAATGATATGGAGCATCTTTTCATATGTTTTTTAGTGATTAAGTACATCTGCTGGGCTGATATGCCTATTCATGTCTTTTGCTCATATTAAAAAATGGATCATCTTCTCATTGAGTTCTAAGATTTCTTTGTATATTCTAGATAGTAGTCCTCTATCAGATATGTAATTAACAAATATTTTCCCCCAATCTGTGACTTGTTTTTTCATTTTCTTAATGGTGTCTTTTGAAACACAAGAGCTTTAATTTTGGTGAAGTCTAATGTATCCATTTATTTTTTATTTTATGAAATAGGCTTTTGATGCCATAGGTAAAAATCTTCTAGAATCCAAGGTCTAGAAGATTTTCTATTTTCCTTCCAAAATTATTATAGTTTTATAACTCTTTTATTTATTTTTTTACATTTTTACCAATTGAAATTTTTTTTTTAATTATACTTTAACTTCTGGGGTACATGTGCAGAACGTACAGGTTTGTTACATAGGTATACATGTGCCATGGTGGTTTGCTGCACCCATCAACCTGCCATCTACATTAGGTATTTCTCCTAATGCTATCCCTCCTCTAGCCTCCCACCTCCAGCAGGCCCCAGTGTGTGATGTTCACCTCCCTGTTTCCATGTGTTCAACTCCCACTTATAAGTGAGAACATATGGTGTTTGGTTTTCTGTTCTTGTGTTAGTTTGCTGAGAATGATGGTTTCCAGCTTCATCCATGTCCCTGCAAAGGACATGAACTCATCCTTTTCTGTATACTGGCTGCATAGTATTCCATGGTGTATATGTGGCACATTTTCTTAATCCAGTCTATCATTGATGGGCATCTGGGTTGGTTCCAAGTCTTTGCTATTGTGAACAGTGCCGTAATAAACATACGTGTGCATGTGGCTTTATACTAGAATAATTTATAATCCTTTGGGTATATATACTCAGTAATGGGATTACTGGGTCAAATGGTATTTCTACTTCGAGATCCTTGAGGAATTGCCACACTGTCTTCCACAATGGTTTACACTTCCACCAACAGTGGAAAAGCGTCACTATTTCTCCACATCCTCTCCAGCATCTGTTGTTTCCTGACATTTTAATGATTGCCATCCTAACTGGCATGAGATGGTATCTCACTGTGGTTTTGATTTGCACTTCTCTAATGACCAGTGACGATGAGCTTTTTTCATATGTTTGTTGAGCTGCATAAATGTCTTCTTTTGAGAAGTGTCTGCTCATATCTTTCGCTCACTTTTTGATGAAGTTTTTTTCTTGTAAATCTGTTTAAGTTCTTTGTAGATTCTGGATATTAGCCCTTTTTCAGAAGGATAGATTGCAAAAATTTTCTCCCATTCTGTAGGTTGCCTGTTCACTCTGATGATAGTTTCTTTTGCTGTGCAGAAGCTCTTTAGATTAATTAGATCCCATTTGTCTATTTTGGCTTTTGTTGCCATTGCTTTTGGTGTTTTAATTACGAAGTCTTTGCCCATGCCTATGTCCTGAATGGTATTGCCTAGCTTTTCTTCTAAGGTTTTTATGGTTTTAGGTCTTACGTTTAAGTCTTTAATCCATCTTGAGTTAATTTTTGTATCAGGTGTAAGGAAAGGATCCAGTTTCAGCTTTCTGCATATGGCTAGCCAGTTTTCCCAACACCATTTATTAAACGGAGAATCATTTCCTCATTGCTTGTTTTTGTCAGATTTGTCAAAGATCAGATGGTTGTAAATGTGTGGCATTATTTCTGAGCCCTCTGTTCTGTCCCATTGGTCTATATACCTGTTTTGGTACCAGTACCGTGCTGTTTTGGTTACTGTAGCCTTGTAGTATAGTTTGAAGTCAGGTAGCATGATGCCTCCAGCTTTGTTCTTTTTGCTTAGGATTGTCTTGGCTATGTGGGCTCTTTTTTGGTTCCATATGAAATTTAAAGTAGTATTTTTCCAATTCTGTGAAGAAAGTCAATGGAAGTTTGATGGGGATAGCACTGAATCTACAAATTACTTTGGGCAATATGGCCATTTTCATTGTATTGATTCTTTCTATCCATGATCATGGAATGTTTTTCCATTTGTTTGTTTGTGTCCTCTCTTATTTACTTGAGCAGTGGTTGGTAGTTCTCCTTGAATAGGTCCTTCACATCCCTTGTTAAGTTGGATTCCTAGATATTTTATTCTCTTTGTAGCAATTGTGAATGAAAGTTCACTCATGATTTGGTTCACTCATGGTTTGTCTGTTATTGGTGTATGGGAATGCTTGTGATTTTTGCACATTGATTTTGTATCCTGATACTTTGCTGAAGTTGCTTACCAGCTAAGGAGATTTGGGGCTGAGACAATGGAGTTTTCTAAATATACAATCATGTCATCTGCAAACAGAGACAATTTGACTTCCTCTTTTCCTAATTGAATACCCTTTATTTCTTTCTCTTGCCTAATTGTCCCAGCCAGAACTTCCAACACTACGTTGAACACGAGTGGTGACAGAGGGCATCCTTGTCTTGTGCCGATTTTCAAAGGGAATGCTTCCAGTTTTCGCCCAATCAGTATGATATTGGCTGTGGGTTTGTCATAAATAGCTCTTATTATTTTGAGATATATTCCATCAACACCTAGTTTATTGAGGGTTCTTAGCATGAAGGGCTGTTGAATTTTGTCGAAGGCCTTCTGCATCTATTGAAATATTCATGTAGTTTTTGTCATTGGTTCTGTTTATGTGATGGATTACATTTATTGATTTGCATATGTTGAACCAGCCTTTTATCCCCGGATGAAGCCAACTTTATCGTGCTGGATAAGTTTTTTGATGTGCTGCTGGATTTTATTGAGGATTTTCGATTCAATGTTCATCAGGGACATTGGCCTGAAATTTTCTTTTTTTGCTGTCTCTGCCAGGTTTTGGTATTAGGATGATGCTGGCCTCATAAAATGAATTAGGGAGGATTCCCTCTTTTTCTATTGATTGGAATAGTTTCAGAAGGAATGGTACCAGCTCCTCTTTGTACCTCTGGAATAATTCAGCTGTGAATCCATCTGGTCCTGGACTTTTTTTGGTTGATAAGCTATTAATTGCTGCCTCAATTTCAGAACTTGTTATAGGTCTATTAAGGGATTCAATTTCTTCCTGGTTTAGTCTTGGGAGGGGGTATGTGTCCAGGAACCTATCCATTTCTTCTAGATTTTCTAGTTTACTGGTATAGAGGTGTTTATAGTATTCTCTGATGGTACTTAGTATTTCTGTGGGATCAGTGGTGATATCCCCTTTATCATTTTTTATTGCATCTATTTGATTCTTCTCTCTTTTCTTCTTTATTAGTCTGGCTAGCAGTCTATCTATGTTGTTGAAAAAAACCAGCTCCTGGATTCATTGATTTTTTGAAGGGTTTTTCCTGTCTCTATCTCCTTCGGTTCTGCTCTGATCTTAGCTATTTCTTGCCTTCTGCTAGCTTTTAAATTTGTTTGTTCCTGCTTCTCTAGTTCTTTTAAATGTGATGTTAGAGTGTCAATTTTAGATCATTCCTGCTTTCTCTTGTGGGCATTTAGTGCTATAAATTTCCCTCTACACACTGTTTTAAATGTGCTCCAGAGATTCTGGAATGTTGTGTCTTTGTTCTCATCGGTTTCAAAGAACATCTTTATTTCTGCCTTCATTTCATTATTTAGCCCGTAGTCATTCAGGAGCAGGTTGTTCAGTTTCCATGTAGTTGTGCAGTTTTGAGTGAGTTTCTTAATCCTGAGTTCTAATTTGATTGTCCTGTGGTCTGAGAGACTGTTATGATTTCTGTTCTTTCGCATTTGCTGAGAACTGTTTTACTTTCAATTATGTGGTCAATTTTAGAAGAAGTGCAATGTGGTGCTGAGAAGAAATTATATTCTGTTGATTTGGGGTGGAGAGTTCTGTAGACGTCTATTAGGTCCACTTGGTCCAGAGCTGAGTTCAAGTCCTGGATATCCTTGTTAATTTTCTGTCTCGTTGATCTTTCTAATATTGACAGTGGGGTGTTAAAGTCTCCCACTATTATTGTGTGGGAGTCTAAGTCTCTTTGTAGGTCTCCAAGAACTTGCTTTTTGAATCTGGGTGCTCCTGTATTGGGAGCATATATATTCAGGATAGTTAGCTCTTCTTGTTGCATTGATCCCTTTACCATTATGTAATGCCCTTGTCTCTTTTGATCTTTGTTGGTTTAAAGTCTGTTTTATCAGAGTAGGATTGCAACTCCTGCCTTTTTTTGCTTTCCATTTGCTTGGTAAATATTCCTCCATCCCTTTATTTTGAGCCTATGTGTGTCTTTGCATGTGAAATGGGTCTCCTGAATACAGCAAACTGATGAGTCTTGACCCTTTCTCCAATTTGCCAGTCTGTGTCTTTTAATTGGAGCATTTAGCCAATGCAAGGAAGCCATTTAAGGTTAATATTGTTATGTGTGAATTTGATCCTGCCATTATGATGCTAGCTGGTTATTTTGCCCGTTAGTTGATGCAGTTTCTTCATAGCGTCAATGGTCTTAAGAATTTGGTATGTTTTTGCAGTGGCTGGTATCAGTTGATCCTTTCCATGTTTAGTGCTTCCTTCAGGAGCTCTTGTAAGGCAGGCCTGGTGGTGATGCAATCTCTCAGCATTTGCTTGTCTGTAAAGGATTTTATTTCTCCTTCACTTATGAAGCTTAGTTTGGCCAGATGTGAAATTCTAGGTTGAAAATTCTTTTCTTTAAGAATGTTGAATGTTGGCCCCCATTCTCTTCTGGCTTGTAGGGTTTCTGCTGAGAGATCCACTGTTAGTCTGATGGGCTTCCCTTTGTGGGTAACCTGACCTTTTTCTCTGGCTGCCCTTAATATTTTTTCCTTCATTTCAGCCTTGGTGAATGTGACAATTATGTGTCTTGTGGTTGCTCTTCTCGAGGAGTATCTTTGTGGTGTTCTCTGTATTTCCTGAATTTGAATGTTGGCCTGCCTTGCTAGTTGGGGAAGTTCTCCTGGAGTTTTCCAACTTGGCTCCTGGTTCCATTCTCCCCATCACTTTCAGTTACACCAACCAAATGTAGATTTGGTCTTTTCACACAGGCCCATATTTCTTGGAAGTTTTGTTCATTTCTTTTCACTCTTTTGTCTCTTATCTTGTCTTTTCACTTTATTTCGTTGAGTTAATCTTCAATCTCTGATATGCTTTCTTCCACCTGATCGATTCGGCTATTGATACTTGTGTATGCTTCACAAAGTTCTCGTGCTGTGTTTTTCAGCTCCATCAGGTCATTTATGTTGTTCTCTAAACTGGTTATTCTAGTTAGCAATTCATCTAACCTTTTCTCAAGGTTCTTAGCTTCCTTGCATTGGGTTAGAACATGCCTACTTCTGTCAAATCGTCAAACTCATTCTCCATCCAGTTTTGTTTCCTTGCTGGCAAGGAGTTGTAATCCTTTGGAGGAAAAGAGGCTTTCTGGTTTTTGGAATTTTCAGCCTTTCTGCCCTAGTTTCTCCCCATCTTCATGGATTTATCTACCTTTGGTCTTTGAAGTCAGTGACCTTCGGCTGGGGTCTCTGAGTGGACGTCCTTTTTGTTGATGTTGATACTATTCTTTTCTGTTTGTTAGTTTTCCTTCTAACAGGCCCCTCTGCTGCAGGTCTGCTGGAGGTCCACACCAGACCCTGTTTGCCTGGGTATCACTAGCAGAGGCTGCAGAACAGCAAAGATTGTTGCCTGTTCCTTCCTCTGGAAGCTTCGTCCCAGAGGGGCACCTGCCAGATGCCAACCAGATCTCCCTTGTATGAGGTGTCTGTTGGCCCCTACAGGGATGTATCTCCCAGTCAGGATACACGGGGGCAGGGATCCACTTGAGGAGGCAGTCTGTCCCTTATCAGAGCTCAAATGCTGTGCTGGGAGATCTGCTGCTTTCTTCAGAGCTGCCAGGCAGGGATGTTAAAAGTCTGCTGAAGCTGCACCCCCAACTGCCCCTTCCCCCAGATGCTCTGTCCCAGGATGGTGGGGGTTTTATCTATAAGTCCCTGACTTGGGCTACTGCCTTTTTTTCAGAGATGCCTGGCCCAGAGAGGAGGGAATCTGGAGAGGCAGTCTGGCCACAGTGTCTTCCTGAGCTGCAGTGGGCTCTGCCCAGTTTGAACTTCCTGGTGGCTTTGTTTACTGTGAGGGGAAAACCACCTACTCAAATCTCAGCAATGGTGGACGCCCCTCCCTCCCAAGCTCATACGTCCCAGGTTGAACTCAGACTGCTGAGCTAGGAGCGAGAATTTCAAGCCAGTAGATCTTAGCTTGCTGGGCTCTGTGGGGGTGGGACCCGCTGAGCCAGATCACTTGGCTCCCTGGCTTCAGCCCACTTTCCAGGGGAGTGAAAGGTTCTGTCTCACTGGCGTTCCAGGTGCCACTGGGATATGGAAAAAAAACTCCTGCGGCTAGCCCAGTGTCTGCCCAAACGGCTGCCCAGTTTGGTGCTGGAAAACCAGGGCCCTGGTGGCATGGGCACCTTAGTGAATCTCCTGGTCTGCGGATTGCAAAGACCATGGGAAAAGCGCAGTATCTGGGCCAGAGTGCATGGTACAGTCCCTAATGGCTTCCCTTGGCTAGGAGAGGGAGTTCCCCGACCCCTTATGCTTCCCGGGTGAAGCGACACCCCACCCTGTTTTGGCTCACCCTCCTTGGGCTGCACCCACCGTCCAACCAGTCCCAATGAGATGAACCAGGCACCTCAGTTGGAAATGCAGAAATCACTCGCCTTCTGTGTCAATCTTGCTGGCAGCTGCAGACTGCAGCTGTTCCTATTCAGCCATCTTGCCACCAATCCTTGTTTTATAACTCTTACACTGAAGTCTCTGAATTATTTTAATTTTTTCATGTACAGAGCAAGGTAGGAGTCGAAGTTCATCTTTTTTTTAATGTGGATATCCCAAAACCATTTGTTGAAAAGACTATCCTTTCCCCTTTGAAATGCCATAGCACCTTTTTCAAAAATCAATTGTCCATAAAGATTTATTTCTGAACTATCAATTCTGGTTAATTCATCTATACGTCAATTCTTATGTCAGTACCATACTATCTTGATAATTATAGCTATTAGGTTTTGAAATTATGAAACTTAATGGTTTTGTCTATTGTGGGTCTTTGCATTACCATATAAATTTAGAATCAATTTATCAACTTCTGCAAAAAAGTCTGTTGGAATTTCGATAGAATTAAGTTGAATTTGTCAATCAATTTGAAGGAAATTATCATTTTAATCATACTGACTCATTCAATCCATGAACATGGTATGTCATTACTTATTAGGTATAATATAATAAATTTAATTGTTAAATTTATACTTAAATATTCTATTATTTTTTATGCTGCTGTGAATAAAATTCTTTTCTTAATTTTATTTTCACATTGTTCATTTACTAGTATATATTGATTTTTCTATGCTGATCTTATACATCGTGATTTTGCTGAATGTGTTTATTCATCATCACAGTTGTGTGTAATGTTGTATGAGTGTGTATCAATAGGTATTTTATGAATGAATGGCAAATAGAATGGACCAACATAATATAATTCATAATTACAAAAAACCTAGGAGGAAAATTATAGTCTTATGCCACTGCCTTAGCCTCAAAATATCAGAGAAAGAAGCAAAGTTTTTTCCTGGGGCTGAAGAGATGAGAAATGTGTAGATACCTATCTACAATTTCAAGAGGAAAAATATCTACACTGCAATGTCTAGTATTATTTTTCCCATCGTTACGCCAAACAAGAATGACTTACTGGAGCCCAGACAAAAGGATAATGGCTGGGCAAAGGTAAAAAGGAAAATGTGCAACTCATCCAGAGCTAGAGCAAGTAAAGTTCACAAAGCCATTTCCGCTCATTTATTCCCTGAAATCCTAGTCCATGTACCTCTTCACTGGAACTAATGTCTTTTGTGTAGTATTTTATGAAACCTGTATTGAATATATTGAATTGTAATTCTTATCTAGACTATATAACTGATTGCATGCTAATGTACCAAACTGGGAACTGAAAAGGAGAAATATATTTTGCAGCTGCTAGTTGACATGGAAAACCAAGACTTTCACACTGAAAAAAATTATGTATTAAATAATAATAGTGGAACATAACAATGTATAGATTCAGAATTCTGGGAGTATATTCTATGCCTCTTGGCTTAAAGAGAACAGTGTCATTTTCCTCTAGAGGCAAACATTTCTTATGAATTAGGCTATCCCTTAATTACTGAGCCAGATCCTTAACTTTCATAGATGTCAAGTGTCACTAGTTTGCTTCACAGAATCACAGGGTTATGAACCACTTACCAGGTGAATTTGATACCTCTCAACTTGGCAAATGAAGTCTTAGTTTTTGACTTTTAGTTAATTCAGCAAAAAAATTCCTAAGCTTAGCTGTCACATGATTTAGTAATTTCAGGTAAGCCACATAGCTTAACTGTACCCCTTTTTTCTGAAAGCAAATTTTAGCAAAGAGCATAAAAGAAATAATCAATCTCGCACAGCACTAGTAATTGTGCTATAAACCACCCGTTTTTCAGCCTCTGGAGGCATTGTGATACTCCATCAAAATTAATGTGGTTTTATAACCATACTTACTCCCTAAAAGTGTTTTGTTTGTGTTTTAGAATTTACAGCAATATCCTTTTATATATTAAAAACATCACTGGAGTAGTACAAAACCATCCCTAAGGGTCACTGGACTAAGTATATGTAATAGTCTAGGGCAGTGGTTCTCAGACCTTGGTAACAGAAGAATCATTCATTAAAGTAGATTCCAGGTTCCCTCAAATTCTGATTTAATGCAAGCAATGAGGAGATTTTGATATTGTAAAAGTGCAACAAATAAATCTGTTAGTAACTAATTTAGATATTGATTCCTTCATTATAATAGCACAATTTAAAATTCAAACTCTAAGCACTTACCCAACGAAAGCAAAGGATTTCCCATTGGCATCAGGATCCTTAACTGCATTAACAATTCCTTTGGATACATCTACGACCTGTAAGAAATTATAATATATGTCTAAGTAATTGTTGAAAAAGAGACAGAATGGGAGATGGAGAGATAGAAAGAAAGGAAAGAAGAGAAAAAGGAAGGAAGGAAGGAAGGAGAAAGGAGGAAGGCCACACTGATCTCAACAAAGAAAATGTGAAGTTAAAATAATGGCATTATCTATTCCCAGAAAGCTTCTTAAAAGAATGAGCCTTCTCAAGAGCTCAAATAATCACCGCTATCCAAGTATTTTCCAAGTACGCATAATCCAAGGCTCATCCAAGTATTTTCTGTAGTAGGAATGCACTTACCTTCAGATAGCTTGAGGCCCCTCTGATTTGCTTTTGCCCACAACTTGCCAAGCTCATCTCTTACCATTCCCAACTCTCTTATTAACCATCACAAGCTATTAGGCTTAACCACATGGAATTGCTAATATTCTACCATTTTGATTTTCAAAAACAGTAATAGTAATAGTGATTTTGGCCCCCAGGGGACATTTGACAACTGTCTAGAGTCATTTTCAGTTGTCACAACTGAAGGGTGGTGTGACTGGCGTCTAGTGGCTAGAAGCCAGGAATGCTGCCCAACACCCTTTAACAACCCCCATAACGAAGAATTATCTGGCTCAAAATGTCAATAGTGCCACTACTGAGAAAACTTGGTTCAATCTAACATGGAATCCAACATGCTCTTTCACCTCTGGGCCCCTGTATATACTGTTCCCTCTGCATGCAATACTCTTCCCCAACTCCTTTCATCAGGCTTACCTTTAGTCATCTTTAAGGTTTTACCCTAAATGCCCTTCCTTTTGAAATGCCCAAGTCTAGATTAGGTGCCCTTCTGATGTAATTACATAAAACCCTCTCCTTATCATAGCACTCATCACGTTGTACAATAACTGCTTTATTTATCTGCCTCAGACTGAAAGCAATTTGAGAACAGCAATTTGTGTCTATCTAGTTAATATCTTTATTTCCCTAGTGACATGTGACATGTATGATGTGTCTAGCACATTATGAGTTCAATAACTTTTTCTTAAATGAACAAGTGAAGACACAGAGAAGGCATGTACCTCTTAAGTAAACTAAGAGGCAGCTAGCTGACACAAGTTGACAAAGAAAATGACAGAGTTACTAAATTAGGACAAAACCAGAAACTTGATCACTCAAATCTGAATTCATCAAAAATCCCTTTCTGACCCCCTTCATCCAAGTACTTACATATACTGGTTGTTTAACTGTCTTCCAGCCCAAGGAACCAAGGGGTATAGGACCAAACCGATGCATACCTAGCGGAAGAAAGAATGAGAACTATACTGAGAAGGCTTAAATTGCTGTAAGATCCAACAGTCTTAAGATTAACATAATTATTGTGCATAATAGAAATAATATAATGAATGTAGCTGACTCTGAGGAAGTGAATGCACTTACAAAAGGCAGTCATTAGTTTTTCAGATAATAAACTCGGAAAATAAAAAGGCCAAATGTTTAAAACCATGAAGAGCAAAGAAAAGAGGTCAAATGTCTAGACAACTAGTCTGCTCTGCAATGCTAAATGCATCGCTACGACCAAGACTGGACTCTAGCTGCACCCATTCTAAGGAGAAACATGGAACTCTTCCTCCTTATGATACTCATCTGTTGATATGGCAGATGAGCTGTCTATCTAGTTAATATCTAGATGAGTTCTGCTGCTGTATCAACAGATGAGTGATACAGCACAGATAACCCAGAAAAAGGGCCTGATGGAAATATTAGTTGATATATGGTGCTGGCACAATTATTCTGCTATTTGAAAAAAAGGTGAGATAATGTCTTAGTTCTCACCATAAACTAAAACAAATCCCAAGTAGTTTAAATGTTAGGTTAAAAAAGTTTTTTTTGTTTTGTTTGTTTGTTTTTCTTTTTTTTTTAAACCATTTAAGAGTAGAAATTAGGCCGGGCACAGTGGCTCATGCCTGTAATCCCAGCACTTTGGGAGGCCAAGATGGGCGGATCACAAGGTCAGGAGTTTGAGACCAGCCTGGCCAATGTGGTGAAACCCCATCTCTACTAAAAATACAAAAATTAGCTGGGCGTGGTGGCACACACCTGTAGTCCCAGCTACTTGGGAGGCTGAGGCCAGAGAATCGCTTGAACCTGGGAGGCAGAGGTTGCAGTGAGCCGAGATCACGCCACCGCACTCCAGCCTGGGTGTCAGAGTGCGACTCTGTCTCAAAAAAAAAAAAAAAAAGAGTAGAAATTATTCACAATAGTACAATAAAGAATAAAATACTTAAAAATAAACTTTATCAAAGTGGCAAAAGACACATATGCTGAAAACCACAAAACATTGCTGAAAGAAATTAAAGGCACAATTAAATGGAAAGGCATCCCAAGTTCATGGAATGGAAGACTTAATATTGTTAGGATGTTGCTATGGTTTAAATATGTTCCCTCCAAAGTTCAGATGTTGCCAATGTGATAGGAACTAAGAGATAATTAGGCCATGAGGGTGCTCCCTCATGAATAGGATTAAGGCCCTCATAAAGGAGGCTTCATGAAGCATTCAGCTAGCTTGCTCTTCTCCTCTTCTGCCATGTGGGGACATAGCATTTGTCCCTTTCACCCTTCCACCTTCCACCATGTGAGCACACAGCAAGAAGGCCCTCACCAGATGACAGCACCTGGATCTTGAGATTCCCAGCCTCCAGAACTGTTGGAAATAAATTTCTCTTCTTTATAAATTACTCAACGTTTGTTGTACCCCAAAATGGACTAAGACATATGTCAATTCTACCCAAAGCAATCTCAGATTTAATGCAATCCCTATCAAAATCCCAATGGCTTTTTATTTTTGCAAAAATATAGAAAACTCCATCCTAAAATTCATATGACATTTAAAGGGATTCCTTTAAATAGCCAAAACAATCTTGAAAAAGAACAAATTTTTGGAAGTCTCACACACTTTCTGATTTCAAAACTTACTACAAAGGCACAGTAATCAAAACAGTGTAGTGATCAAAACAGTGGCGTAAAGAAAAACATACAGAGCAATGGAATAGAGAAAAATAACTCTTGCATATATGGTCAAATGATTTCTGACAAAAGCACCAAGACCATTCAATGGGGAAAGATAATCTTTTCAACATACTGGATAACCACATGCAAAAGAATAAAATTGGACCCTTACCTCATACCATATACAAAAACTAAGTCAAAATGGATCAAAGACCTAAACCTAAGAGCTAAAACTCTAAAACTCTTAGACAAAAACAAAAGGAGAAAGCTTCATGGCATTGGACTTGGCAACGACTCCTTAGATACAATACTAAAAGCACAGGCAACAAAAGTAAAAATAGATAAGCCTGACTACATCAAAATTAAAACTTCTGTGCATCAAAGAACACAATTAACAGAGTGAAGAGACAAACTAAAAAATGAGAGAAAATTTTACAAATCACATATCTGATAAGTATTTAATGTTCTGAATAAATAAAAAAACTCCTACAACTCAATAACAAAAAATAAACAACCCAATTTTAAAAATTAGCCAAGGACATGAACAGACATTTCTCCAAATAATAAAGTAGCCAAAAAGCACATGAAAAGATGCTCAACATCACTAATCATTAGGAAAACATAAATCAAAACCACATTGTTGCCAGGCGTGGTGGCCCATGCCTATAATCCTAGAACTTTGGGAGGCTGGGGCAAAAAGACTGCTTGAGGCCAGGAGTTTGAGTCCAGCCCGGGCAAGAGAGCAAGACCTGTCTCTACAAAAATATATATATTTTTTAAGCCAGGTGTGGTGGTACACACCTCTAGTCCCACCTATGTAGGAAACTGAGGCAAGAGGATCCCCTGAGCCCAGGAGTTCAAGGCTGCAGTGAGCTGTGATTGTATCACTGCCTAGGTGACAGAGCAAGACCCAATCTCAAAAACAAAAACAAAAAAACCACACACAATGAAATACCACCTTAGAACTATTAGGATGGCTATTATAAAAAAAAAAAAAAACAGAAAATAACAAATATTGACAAAGATCTGGAGAAAGTGGAAACCTTGTGCACTGTTGGTGGCAATGTAAAATGGTGCAGCCACTGTGGAATACACTATGGTGGCTTGTCGAAAAAGTAAAAATAGATATACCATATGCTACAGAATTCCACTTCTCAGTACATACACCAAATAACTGAAATCAGGGATATTTCGTACATCCATGGTCATTGCAGCATTATTCACAATAGCCAAAAGTGGGAAGAAATCCAAGTATCCATTGATGGATGGCTTATTAAACAAAATGTGGTATAGACATATCACAGAATATTATTCAGCCTTCAGTAGGAAGGAAATCACATCACGTGGTACAACAGGAATGCACCTTGAGCATATTATGCTAAGTCAAATAAGCCAGCTACGAAAAGACAAATACTGTATGATTCCACTTATATGAGGTGGTCAAATTCATAGAAACCAAAAGCAGAATGGTAGTTGCCAGGGGCTGGGGGGAAGGAGGGAACAGAGAGTTGTTTAAGGGGTACAGAATTTCAGTTTTACAAGATGAAAAAGTTCTGGGGATTGGTTGTACAACAATGTAAATATCTTAATACTACTGAACTGTACTCTTACAAATAGTTAAAAGGGTCTTAATCTTGTCTTAGTCTCAAGACTCTAAACTCCAAAGTCGCATCCAAATATTATCTAAATCAGATATAGGTAAGACTCAAGGTGTGGGTCATCCTGAGGCAAAATTCCTAACTATGAACATGTGAAACCAGACAAGTTATGTGCTTCCAAAATACAGCCGTGAGACAGGCATAAGATAGACATTCCTATTCTAAAAGGAAGACGTAAGAAAGAAAGGGTAACAACTCCCAAGTAAGTCCAAAACTTAGCAAGGTAAATTCTATTAGATTTTAGAATCTAATAAAAACACACACACAATGAAACACCACCTATTAGGGTGGCTACTAAAAATCAATAATCTTCTTTGCCTAGATGCATTGCCTTCTAGATTCACAGAGGTGGTGGTCTCACCTTCAGGACCCACTGAAGCGGTAGTTCTAACTTCTAGGACCTACTGGGGCAGCAGCCCCACCCCAATAGCTCTCCTGGGCAGAGGGTCAACACCTCAAAGGTTCCAGGGGGCTGTAGCCCCAAGGATCAGGCAGCTGTACCTCCAAGACTCTGGGTGGTCCCACCTCCAAGGCCTCTGACAAAGGCCATGTGGTGTTTAAACTGAGGCAATGGCCCCATCCTTTGAAACCAAAGAGATAGTTCTAAACATCTCTGAACCCCTTTTGGGGTCATTCTTCCCTTTTCTTGAAGAATAGCTCAAATTCACAGCCAAATAGCTCTGTGGTCTGGTCCTGTAGGATATCAGAAGTCAGACAGGCTTCTTTCATTCTGCCCCTTCTAGTTCAAACTGGTGGTGACTTTGCTGATGTAATCTCATCTCTATTCCTGGCTTCTGCCAAGATAGCTTGTTAGTTGGTGAGTCGCATCCACAATCTCTTCATCAAATGGTTGTTCAGCCACACTCTTAGTGTTCTCTTCAAAACAAGCTTTCTCATTTTTTGCAATATGGATAAGCTGAGAATTTTCCAAATCTTCAGGTTCCGGTTCCTTTTTGCTTAACAAGTCCTTCTTCATTTCCTCTTTCTCTCTTTTTCTATTCTGTTGTAAGCAGTCGGGAGGAACCAAGGCATTTCTTCAATACTTTGTACTTAGAAATCTTCTCAGCTGAATAAACAATTTCATCACTCACAAGTTCTACCTTCCACTAGAACACACACAGATCAGCCAATTTCTTTGCCATTTTATTATATGGATCACCTTTCCTCCAGTTTCCAATGACATCTTACTCATTTCCATCTGAGACCTTACAAAAATCACCCTTAACGTCCATATTTCTACCAGGTACCTCAAAACTCTTCTAGCCTCTACCTTTACATAGTTCCAAAGGCACGTTCACATTTTTAGGTATTTGCTACAGCAGCACCCCACTTCTTGGTACCAAAATCTATTTTGGTCTGCTCAGGCTACCATAACAAAATACCATAGACTGGGTGGCTTGTACAATAAAAATGTATTTTCTCACAGTTCTGGAGGCTGGCAAATTCAAGATCAAAGTGCCAGCCAGTTTGGTTCCTGATAAGGGCTCTCTTCCTGGCTTGTAGACAGCAGATTTCTTGCTGTGTCCTCACATATGGCCTTTCCTCAGTATGTGCACACAGGGAGAGAGAGATCTCTCTTTTTGCCTCTTCTTATAAGGTCACCAATCCTACTGAATTACGACCTCACCCTTATGGCCTCATTTAACCTCAATTTCCTCCAAAAGTCCTAACTCCAAATAAATTCACAATGGTGTTAAGGCTTCAACATACGAATTATGAGGGGGCGCAATTTAGCCCATAGCAGATGGGAAATTTTATACTATGTATATTTTGCCACAATTTTTTTTAAGTAGAAATTATTACAGATGTTAGGTGGACACAAGCAACAGGGGGAAAAACAAGATAGAAACATCTAAATTGGATAAACCAATATCCAATACAATGGAATATACACAATGGAATACTATTTAGCTATATAAAGAAATGAGCTATCAAGCTATGAAAAGAAATGAAAGAACCTTAAATGCATATTGCTAAGTGAAAGAAGTCCACCTAAAAAGGCTACATACTGCAATGATTCTAACCATATATGTAATATCCTGGAAAAGGCAAAACTATAGAGACAATAAAAAGATCAGTGGTTGTCTGGGGTTAGGGGTGGGTAGGAGGGTAAGAATCAATACATATAACACAGGGGATTTTAGGATAGAGAAACTATTCCATGTGATATTCGAATATTTGCCAAGGTCACAGAGTTAGCTGGGCCAAGACTTAAACTCAAGTCTCTGACTCCCAAGTTCATGCTCTTTCCATTAATCTAAGTTGCTTCTTTTGATATGGAATATAACAAAGACTACATTGACTATGAAAATATAAACTTAGGGGAGGAAAAGGCAACTGGGAAAGAAAAAATATATCCTTAGTCTGTCAATCAGAGAAAACTGTTAGCTTGAGCAGCTTCAACTTGGTTAATCAGTATCCCTCTCTTCTACCATTAAGAAAGAATACGTACTTGCAAAAGAATTAAGGAATCTATCCTCTCTTCCAAAGATGTCCGACGGCTTTACGATAATGGCTTCCGGAAATGCATCTCTCACTACTTTCTCTCCAACAGCCTAAACAATAACCAAACAAACCTGTTTTGAGTTTAGAGACAAGTGAATAAAGCATCCATTCTTTCCACTATTAAGACATGACTTGTATTTCAAAGGCGATATTTTCCTCCAGATAAAGGTAATCATGTAATTCATAAAACTCAGTTACACAGAACTTTTAAAAAATATAATCCACAAAAATGTCCTGCACCTTACAGATTGGGTTGGGTCTCTTCCAATTTTTTTATTTTAAGGGAAGCTTACATTGAAGAAGGAGAAAAATCAAAGTAGAATTTCTTCAGCCTCCATTTTTCCTTCTATTTACAGATTCTCTGGTTTGTGTCAACCATCTAGCAGCCTGTTAGAAAAAGGACAGTATGGTGGCAGCAGGCTGCAATAATGGAAGTGTCACCAGTACCTACATATCCAAAGGAGGTTGGGGATAGAGTCACTAATCCTCCTAATCTCAATTGCTGTACCATCCTTACTTGTTATCATCTACTAGCCTCCTAGGCAAGTCTTCTTGTTCGATGAAGATATCAGCACCTAATTCAGTCTTCCTTTCTACTTCCACCACCACTGGAGGTGACATGATGTCCAAGTGGGCTTGGACTTCTCAGGTTCTTGAGCTGCTCAACTCCAACGACCTCCTCTTCCTTCCACCTCTACCACTCTTAACTTGGTTACACCACCTACTGTATCAACATCTGGAATTGCTCTTCTTCTGAGGTATTAAATGAAGACATCCTGCTCTTGGATGTCCATTTCCTACAATTTCCAGCCTGCTTGTTCTTTGTTCATCTGCTCCTGGGATACCTGTTTCTCAACCTTCTCAAGAACTCTAGTGCACTGATTCTGCTTCCCCTGTATCAACTCTTCCGACTGTTCCTGTCCTTCCCTCTGAATTCCAGATTAGGTTCCATAGACCATCTTCTCATCACTCTCTTGCCAATATTGTAAACTACCTTGTCCCTTTGTCCTTTACTCTAGCCACCAGGCAAAATTCTAATCCTAGAAGAACTCCATTGGCCTCCCTTGGGCCATGCACTCCCACTGTCTTGAGCAGCTGGCAGGAAAATAAATCAATAAAAACCATGAATTGGTACCACTATAAATTCATGCCTCCAATTTTAACCAGGCCCTCAACATTTCCCAAAAACCGTGTTTTCCTCTAATTAACTTACTTTCCCATGAGACAATTTGAAACATTTTCTACTGTATTCAAATTTCAGACATCCCTTTCTTTTCTCTTCCTTCCAGTAAATGACTCTGCCTTCTAATAAAAGAGAAAATGTAAGACAGTAGAGGAAAAACCACCTCAAGTTCTCACCACTAAATCTACAAACCCCGGTATATAAAGCACAATTTTCTCCTCCTCTCTTACCTGATGGGAGGAACAGTGCCACTTTCAATGCTTTAGAGCTCATGTCCTTTCACTTTTTCAGGAACCTGTCCAATTTACTCTCTCTTCCACATCCTCAGCCTCACTCTTTTTACCAGCATCTCCCTACCAGCATGTAAACAATGTAGATCCTCTACCTTAAAAAAAAACATACCAACTCCACATCCCCCTCCAGCTTCTATCCTCTCAGTCTTTCATCTTCCTCTTGCCAGTCAAGCTACCTGAAAATGTACCTACCCTTACCATTCCCACTTCCTCAGTTCCAACTCACTCTTCACGCACCCGCATTCTGGATTCTGCTCCAACCACTGCACTCAATCTATTCTTGATAAGATCACCAATGACCTCCATGTCAGTAGATCCAAGGAGACTTTACAGTTAACATTTGCTTGACTTCTCAATGGCATTCATAAGTATTCACTTCCTCCTGTGAGACTGTCTGGCCATGGCTTCCCTAGCACTGTACTCTCCTGGTTTCCCTTCCGCCTTATCATGTCCTGCTTAGTCTTTCTGTTTGATTGGTTTGGGTTTCTGCAGGTGCCTCCTTCTCTACCAGATTACTAACCATTGGTATGTTCTGGGCCCAATCTGAAACTACCTTCTCAATCTTCAGCCATCTTATCCTCTCTCATCACTTAAATTAACAACAAATGCTGGTAACTCCCACATTTCTGTCTCCAACCCAGACCTCTCTTCTGACCTCCAGGATCAGAAACCCTATATACCAGTTACTTGGAAGATTGACACACATCTGAAATGCACCTGAAACGTGAGTCCAAAACTCAATCATCTTCCATTCTCTCAAGTAAAATAGTGCTCCTCAATCTTTGCTGCACTCAGAATTACCTAGACAGAGTTAAAAAATACTGGTGCTGAAGTTGCAACCCCAGAAATTGTTTTAATTGGTCTGGAGCGCAGCCTAGGCATCAGAATTTTTAAAAGCTCCCTCAGTGGTTTTAATGTGCAACTAAGGCTAAGACTCACTGCCCTACAGCCTAGTCCCTCCCAAGCATTTCCCATCTTATTCAACAGTACTATCATCTACCCAGTGGCTTCAGCCAGAGGGCTGGACATCTTTGACTCTTCTCTCTTCCTCACCATTGACACCTCCCATTCCCTTCCAGTCATGAAATTCTGATGATTTTATGAATGTTTGGGCAGAGGCAGGCACAAGCATTCTCTCTCTTATTTTCTCTCTATTTACTACCGTAGCCACAGTGCTTAACACAATATGTGACACACAGTAGGTGCTTAATGAATAGTTTATCCAGTAAACTAATGTGGTGAGTCAAAAACTTGGAACCATTATCAAGGAACTCTCTTGTCCTTATCAGTATGACTCCAAACAGGCTTCCATATGGCAGAATCCAAATGTTAAGCGCACGGCCAGACACTGATATCCCTTCTGCGTCCCTGATAATGAACACGTTTCACTTAGGCTACAGACTGACTCCAAACTACAGTGGTCAGTCTCTAGGTATGGCATTTCTGGGAGTAAAAGGAGCATAAGCACTGTGTGAATAGGCATCTTCCCTGGCAAATATTAATCCCTGTCATTCTGAGCCTTCACATTGCCCCTTTAAGAGTGGCACAAAACCACTGCAGTGCAAGGGGTGAGAAAGAAAGATGGTCCTTTAACCATGGTAGATGACACAGGTATGATTCCTTTGGCAGAAATCTGTGATGGTTTCTGTATAATTCAATGATGCCCCAAAGAAACTTTAAGTATCTGAATGCCAACAGTAACATGGTCTAGCCAACTCCGAAGCCCCATAGCACAGTTCCCTGCAAACAGAAGGCAATCAATCAAAACGTCAAAACATCACACACACCCCTAGTTCTGGATGCAGGGAATCAGAAAACCTTTTAATTCTACATATGTCTGTGATAAACCCTTCTCACTGAAATCATGTTTCAAATGGCCCAAGAAACTCTGGCTCTGTGAACCACTTCCCAGATCAATTTGTTACTTACCTTATTTCTCAAATATCTAGAAGAGCTTTTAATATTCGCATTCAGATGTGAAACATGAATGAATTTTTCAACTCCAGCTTCCTTGGACAGTTGAGCAATTGCTTGGGGAATCTTCACAAAAACATCCTCAAAATCAAAGTTTCTGGAAGATAAAAAATAAAAGGATTGGTTAAGAACTCCACACACAGGATCTCAAAGCTTTACGTGATAAGATGGTTTTCATAACAGTACTGAAATTCACACTACTTAAACTTTTAAACAGCAATGATTTAACTTAAAGCTAAATTTGGCCAGGTGTGGTGGCTCATGCCTGTAATCCCAGCACTTTGGGAGGCCAAGGCGGGTGAATCATTTGAGCCCAGGAGTTCAAGACCAGCCTGCACAAAACAGTAAAACCCTGTCTCTATTTCTAAAAAAAGAAAAAAAATTTTTAATTTTTTTAAGCTAAAATTATTTTTTTAAAAAAGTTGACAGCTCTGCTGTCATTACTCTACACAATTTAAGGACTACTTTAAGTTAGAAATCCAGTATACTTCATGTTCTGCATTATCAGGGAATCCTGAGGCTGAGGCCCTTTAAAGAAACCTGGCCGTACTGGCTGCTGAAGTGTTAGGAATCACTTCTTACCCCGGGACTTTGTTTCCCGCAAGGGAAAAAAAAGAAACTAAAAACAAGTCAGTCAACAATTTCATTCGGTAACGTTAACTAAATGTTTACTCTGTACAATACACTATGTTAATCATTAGGGGGGATAAAAAGTTGAATAAGACCCCCAAGTCATCAAAGAATTTATAAAATATTTGATGAGAAGACACATATTAAAAAACTAAGTCAAATTTTAACACTATAAAAAGAGGTGTAAACAAAGTGTTGTGGACTATAGGATTGAAACATTATTTGTTAATAAACAATCCATACAAAGAACTGTTCAAATTAGTCCTCACGCCACCTCCAATTAACAATGCAGAAAAGACATCTAGAACACTGTCTACACAAGAAAAACCAAAGTTCAGCTTGCTAAACAGCAGAACAGGCAAAATCCTATTTCTTAACCCCATCCCATAGGGACTGATCCAAGTACAGGACCAACAGCAGCCACACCAATACCACCTACTGGCTTTTTATGGGCAGTATATCACACTGCTGACTTATACCAGACTTAATGTCAGCTACATCTCCTCAGGGGTGTCACTGGGTATGCAAGTGGTTGTTCAACCAACCCTTATTCACTAATTGAAAATGTCACTGTGATAGCTGGCACATAAAAGGTGCCCAGCGAAGGTCCATTAAACCCTAAGAAAGACTTAAGCAAAGAAGAAACAAGAGTCAAAGACTTACTTGGTTTCCCAGTCTCGTCCAATAAGATTGATGACCACATTGCTGTGTTGTACTACTCGTCGGATAGAATCTTTATCTCTCGCGTCCCATTCCTATAATAGCAGAAAGCAATCGGATGAAAACATAGGGGTATACCTCAGCACTCAACACTTCTGCAGCCTCCTCAATGCAAGTTTCAAAATGGGCCATCTGCTGTAGTCATAATATAGTGCCATTTCATCCAAGCTCCATTTATTACAACAGAAATGACATCTCAGACTCCCTGCTGATTCCCTCACTCTTTCCGAGACAAACAGGTAACAGTACACTTTACTCAGGTAATCAAATGACAGAGCTAAAAAGGAGGCTATTGATTTTTAATGGAGCATATTAGTTTTTGTCCACCCAACTACTCCTTACTAAGTTTGAAAAGAAACCCAGGAAACCAAGTCTCCAATCCTGAAATACAGACAAAGAAGCAAGGATCATTAGGGAGATAGACTTTCCCTTCTTGACAGCAACCACTTACAGACTGAAGATAGGAAGAGTGTCTTTTAAAGACTAGTGTTAGTTGGGGCCATTCATGACTATTTTCTTATTTCTTTTTAATTCTTTCCTCTTTTATAACCCCAGATCTAGTAATTTCTCCATTAACAACATAAAAACAAGAGTCAAAGAGAACTACCTAAAACTTCAGGGTGAGCCAAGGGCAGGTTTCTATAAGCATTTCAATGGAAGATAACAAGTAATAAGAATTTCTTAGCACCAAATAATAAGTGCACATGCATGAGTCAGTGCAATAGGAAGGAGACAGAGCAAGAAGGGAAAAGAGAAAGAAAGTGGGGATGAAAGAGAAAGAGAGAGAACTAGGATGTCTGTTTAATTTAGGAAAGAGAAAACAAACTATAAAATCAGATTCAAGAACAAAAAGATGAAGCCCCAGCAGGAAGAACCAGTTAGGACTGATGATAGAAAGTGGGTTAAAAGACACAGTCTAAACAGTGGCTTTGGAGTCAAACAGACAGGAATGCAAATCCCAGTTTGCCATATACTAACTTTGTACAAATTATCTCTTCAAACCCCATGTAAAATTAGAAAACACAACTTACCTCACGAGGTTATTATGACGATTAAGTGAAATATACATAAAATCTACAGCAGTGAGTGATGTAATAAAAGGAAACCAAATTTTCAGGGCTAAGGCCCAAGGGCACACAGTCAGGTGGGCAAACCAAGTGGACATTCAGACAGCAGATGCAAACAAAGACTAAAGCGGGGAAATCAGCACCTCACACCCCAAATAGTCCTTCTCGAAAATAAACACATAAACAAACACTAAACATACAAGTCTCTGAGTTCCCTGTGGTCTTGGTCATCCAAACGTGCTCAGAGCACAGGTCAATGCTAGACATTCAGGAAATAAATCTCTGCAGAAATAATGGAATAGATGTCATTTGGTTTAATTCCAATGGTTCAAAAGTTTTCACCTATCACTTTTTAAATACTTCAATTTTGAGGCTCTGACAAGGTGACCAACAAACTTGAGGGACAAAGAACTAGGAATAAGCTAAGATTCTGTAACTTTAATACCAAGAATATACTTAATAGTAAGATTTTGGAGAAGAAAAACATTTTGGAAATAAGAAATTTCTGATACAAGTATTATACTTAGCTTGTGAACACTGAGTCAAGAATAAATGAAAATGTGAAAATGAAATGAAAATAAATCAAAATTTAAAGGGATTACAAATAATCTGTATGAATATTACCAGAGATAGTAAGAAAGTTTAGCAAGTATTTTTTAAAAGGGAAAATGTATAACTCCATTCCTTACAGGACAACACAAGTAGGAAGTCAGCTATAAGATCAGTAGATTTAAGCATCAAGGCCCAGACAGTATCGCAATCAATAGCTTGGCTGCAGGCATTTGGGGCAGCACAACTCTTTGTGGAAAGAGACTGTCCTGTGCTCCGTAGGATATTTAGCATCCCTGTGCCTGTACCTAATAACCAGGACAGCTCCCCAATCACTGTGACAATCAAAGAGTTCCATTAATCACTCCCTTAATGGCCCTCCTCTACCCTCTTTCCCCTGCCTCACCGCATTGGCAACTACTGCCCTAAAGAACCTGTAGATTAAAGGACGACAAAGGGAATGCTCAGAAAGGACTGTTCTAAGTTAAATCTATACTAAACAACCAAGTTATAAAACACCCTATTTGTGATTTTTTTATGTTTATAGAGCACTATTCAATAGAAATATAACATGAGGCACATAGGTAAAAAAGAAACAAGTAAAATTCATTTTAATAATACATTTTATTTAACCTAATATATCCAAAATATTATTTTAATATGTAACAAATATAAAAAATTGTTAATGATGAATCGTATATTGTTTTCTTCATACTGAGTCTTTGAAATCTAGTGTATATTTTATACGTACAGCATATCTCAATTCAGACTAGCCACATTTCATGTGCTCAGTAGCCACATGTGGCCAGTGGCTACCACACTGGACAGCACAGGTCTAGAGCAGGGATTGATAAACTATAGTCCATAGGCCAAATTCAGCCTGCAGCCTCATTTTGTAAATAAAATTTTACTGAAATGCAGCCATGCCCATTTGTGTACATATTGTCTATGGCTACTTCCAGTTACAAGGGCAGAGCTGAGTAATTATGACAAAGACTCTACGACCTGCAAAGCCAGAAGTATTTACTCTCTGTCCCTTCAAAGAAAAAGTTTGCCAACTGCCAATCTAGAGCTTGCATGACAAAGGAGATGCCGGAACCTAGCTGAAAGAATGACCTGGGAACAGAGGATGCCTTTGGTCCATTCTGGGAAGAAATTACTGCTTTATTATACTGCCTATCACTCCTAAAAATGACCTTAGTAATTTATATTTGTCAACTTCATTCAGTCATAAAGGCCCTTACCAGAAACAGAAGCTGGCCCAGGTCACCCATGGGACGAAGGTGCATGATGTCATATTTATCACACCGATAGGGTATGATTACCTGTGACCCCATGCGTCCTAAAAGAGAATGGATTGAAAAAAGGATCAACATTAACATAATGTGGATATATTATACAATTGTGACTTGGTAAATATTTAAATTCTAGTATGGTATGTGAATTGATATTATATTTGACAAAAAGAATATTTTGCCATGCTAAAGATGCCATAGCTTTTCAGAGTCCCTTATTCCTATCCTAATAATTCCTATATAGGAGCATGAGTGTGCTCTTCATGTCACAACAAATAAAAATTACATACATCCAAGACAGGAGTAATTCATAATACTGTTAAAATGAAGAGAAACATAGCTCATGCTTCTCATCAGGCAATCCTGATCAATGGCAATGGAGCATATGAACTTAAGGAACTTTACTTACCAAGGTGGTTGACAACATATCGCCCCAGGAATCCTGTTGCTCCAAACACAGTGGCCACAATCCCACTGACTGAGGAACGTCCACCTTTCCCATGAGGCATGAGGGCATGATGAAGCTGGCGACAGGGTGGGCCGTGACACACAGATGTGGCTATTGCAGTAATGGCAGAACCTTAAACAAAACCCCAAAGTATACAAGCATGGCAAATATTAATATTTTTAAAACTGTCAACACAAATAGCTCCTTTCTCTAAAAACTTGTAACATTATTTTGCAATCAGTACTTTAGCAATTTAAGTATCAAGGGCAATAATAAACACAAACTACTACGACACAGAATCCAGAGGACATGAGGAAATATACTCCCTACCCTATACAATGTAACTTACCTAAGAAGATAAGTCACATTTTTTAAAAAACATATTAAACAGTCACAAAGTAGGAAAGCATAAGCCTATACGGTAAAAGGAACTGAGAATATGTAATAAATGAGCAATAAATCACATTACCATGAGGAAGTATTCCTGGATAAAATGTTTTGAGAAAGGTCTTAAAAGAGGAAAAAAAAAAGAAAGGACAGAATCCCATGAGGAACACATCACAATGCAGAGGTAGAATGAATAAGCCTACAGCACAGGGCAACAGCAAAAGACTCTCCTGGAACAGAATCTGAAACTGGTGACTAATGAAAAATAAGGTTGATGATACTGGTCGGAAGCAGATGATTATTAGTACAGAACATTAAAAAAAAAAAAAAAGAATGCAGTTCAATAGTTCAGACTTACTATAAAACCACTGAAGAACATCACAAATAATGATAAAAGGAGTGAAGTGCTTGAGAAAAGATATTCTGACTTTTAGAAAGTTTAACAGCAAGAGACTTGTCAAACATTCCACCATTTCTTTTTCATTGACTGAGGTTCTTGGTACTAGAATGAACCCTCAAAGTTCATGTACCAATGCTTACATCTTCTCTACAGCATGTGTGCAAAGAAATCATCTGGCTTTTGCCTGAACACCTGTGGAGTTGGGAAACTCACTACTTCCTGTAGCTGCCCATTCTGCTTTGAGCCATTCTAACAGAAAGAAAGTTCTACCACAAGGGGAATCAGTGACTGCTTCCCAGAAGTTTTTATCCCTGTGTTCCTCCAGAATGACAAAGAACAAGTCTAATCCCTCTTCTACAATTAAGTGTAGCAATTATAGCCCCACTAAATATTTTCTTCTCCAGGTTAAACATTCCCTGTCCTGTCAAATATTCTTCATATGGCAGGAATGAGAATCTCTTTTGGATACATTCCAGTTTTCAAGTTATTGCTAACTCCTTAGAATAGAATTTTAGAGTTAGCTGCTCAACTTTCATGTAAGTAGAAACAAAAAGGTTTAAAGTGCTAACGCACTTCTGCTCCAATCAACAAACTTCGGAGCTTAGCATTCGTGCTTTGTACACTTGGGAGAGGTGAAAGACACAAACAGGACTTTCTTTAGAAAATCTGTGTTTGTTTCTAGGGATGACTTTCAGGTGGCATTCTGCCCAAAGGTCATTGTTCTTCCCTATCCAAAAGTATTGAATTGGAGAAATAGCCTAGCTCACTGATAGTGACAGAAATTAAAAGTAAACATCATGGACCACACATCATAATAACAAAATAATAACATCATATTAACAGCTACCTTTACAGAGCTCTTGGCAGGTGTCCAGCATTATTCTAAGTGCTGCATAGGTATTATCTTTTTTAATGCTATCTTTATCACCACTTTATGGATAAGGTTAGTGACTAGCCCAAAGCACTAGTAAAGGAGATTAAAAAGCAGTCCCATGAGGTAGGAGAAAAACTCAGAAGGAAACAGAATCTAAAAACCCAAAATAAGAAACTGTTTCAAGGAGAGAATGGTTAACTTTACCAAATGCTGAAAGTGAAGTAGGAAGAGGACAGAGGACCACAGAAGCTGGAGGATGTGGCTGTAGGTGGCATAAATAAGAGCAATTTTATTGGATTAGTGGGACTGAAAGCCAGACTGGAGCAAACAAGAGAGGCTGTGAGGCAAGGAAGTAGATGAGGAGTATACACAATCCTTCTGAAAAAGGAGAAATGGAACTAGAGAAAACAAGGACAGGAATAGGTTTGTTTGTTTGTTTTAAATATGAGTTAACATTTATGTGCTGATGGAAATGACATGATTTCCATGGTAGAGGTAGAAAATTACTGATTCAGGAAAGGGAATGAATAGTTGAGAGAGGATAAGATTGAATGCAAAGTGAAGGAACTGGCCACAGATTGGAACAGAAGGAGCTCACCCACTGTAACAAGAGAAAAGGCAAAGAATTATCACATATCAACTATTAGAGTTTATGGTGGGAAAATGACTGTTCTCATCTGATTCCTTTGATTTCTCTGTAAAGCTGAGAATGAGACAAAAGCACATGTTAGAGGTTTTAGGAAACTCGCTATGTTAAGTAATGATTATGGAGACAAGGAAACCAAATTTCCTAGAAAAATGTAGCACTGAAAATCTACTTGAGATTTGTATTCATGAATTTAAAATAAGGCCAGTTAGTCTGAAGTTTTCCCTAGCCCCGTTCTCCATTGCTCAGTGGCAGGCAGCAAATTACGTGGAAAGTTTTGTTTAATCAGGGTCAATGTTTTTTACGACAATGGGAGTTGGGCTGGGGAGTTGAGGATGCATAAAAGGGAATGATAAGAGTGAAGAGTAAGGAAATGAGGACATAGGATAAGACAGGCAAAAGATGGCAGAGTCAATGAACTGGGAAGAATTACTTGAGTTGAGGAATTAATACCTCAAAGGACTGTTAAGAGGATTAAACATACATAAACCACGTAGCACATTACCTAGAGCACATTAAGCATTCTATGAATAATAGTTGCTTTTATTACTTTGAAATTTCTCAGAAGGTAATGTCACACTAACCTCACATGGCTATTGTTTTTTTTTAATAATTATGGGCCAAGAATTATTCTAGAAACTGTGACTATCACAGTAAAATACAAAACCCTGGCTTCATGAAGCTCACAGTTTAAAGGGTTAATGAGAATAACATATGGGCAAGCATCTGTCACAGTGCCTTGCAAATACTAGGTGCTCAATAAATATAAATTATTACTCTCTTTGGTTCCAGCCTCTCCACTTTCTTCCATTTATTATGAGTACTATTAGAAGAATGATATTCTTTATTAATTATATATTCATTATATTTCTCTGCTTAAAAACCTACATTAGTTTCCTACTGCAATACCCAAACCAATAGTCCAGACATATTTGCTTGCACACTGCATTAATTTTTTTAAGTATTTATTTAAAAAATTATATGCACGTTCTATGTAGTACCAATATGATATACACATTATAAATCATACATTACTTAGAATAGTGTGTGGCATACAGTTTAAACTACATAAGTGTTAGCTATTATTACTATAGAAAGCAATTTTTAGGAGTTCTAATTTATATTTCCACAACTTATTAGGTCCTCTTGCACAACTCCCTTTGGAGACTACCGATCTAAACTCTGCTTGGCTTTCAAAGGTCTCCATTGTCTGATCCCATCTAACACATTCAACCTCCTTTTCCACTATCCCAGATATTCAGGTAGTCATTTCACTGCCTCTTGAATACCTCATGACTCCATTCTCACCCACTTGTCTTTGCCAGAGGACTTTCCAGATCATAACAGCCCTAAAGAGACCAGTGGGAGCACTACAATTCTCCACTGGTCTTCCAATCATCCCTCAGTACCTCAAATGATACTAATCTTTCCCTTTTATGATTTCCTGTGATACTTAATAGTCTTGCCACACTTAACTATATATAGTTGTCTTACACAGTTCTGTCCTATAGTGTGTGGATTATGTTACATACTAGACTTGCCTCTACAGAATTTACTCAAAAACTTACTTTACCAGACAATAACGCAGAGTGGTTAAGAACACAAGCTATGGTGTCAGTCAGAGGAAAGTAAGTTAAAAGAGGAAAATTAATAAAAATACCTAGAACTGGAGATTGCAGATAGCAGGTACTCAATAAATAGTGATTACCATTCACAATCTACATTACGTCATACAATTGTAATAGTTTAACAAGAACCAGCAAATGTCTTTGCAAAGACATTGTGACTACAAAACCATCCACTATAAGTGATGTGCACCACCACCTTCCCAGTGGTATGCAGGAGTTCTACCCAAGATGGAAAACAAAAAAAAAAGGATCCTCTAAACACTCCTAATTCTTGCCTCAGGCTGAACATCAAGCCTATCTGTGGTGCTTTTAAAAATTTAAGGTGCAAGGAGCTAATCTCACAAATTCTGACTCAATAGCTCTACACTCAGTCCTCATTTCTAATTTTTATAAAGCTTTACGAGTGATTCTGACATGAGCCAATTTTGAAAGCAAATGATATTCTGTAACGACTAAAATACACTAAGAAAAATACAACTTTGGGGGTTTGATTGGAATATGTTTGTGGAAGAGTAGAGGGTGAAAGGACAATGATGAAGTGTAACCGTATTTCTAATTTCCTTGCTTTTTAGTGAGTGGAAGGACAAATGTATGTTTTCAGTTTGAGGAGTGGGAGCAGATCCAATCAGAACAGAAGAGAAACTAAATAATGCTAACAAATTCTAACATAGCCTTCATTCTTCACTTTCCTTTCCACCAAGCTCCTGATTCTTCTCTCCTCAAACATCACTCTCTCCCCCAGACCCCAACGCACTTTGCCGAACACATTCTACATCCGTAGAGACGCTTTTGGGTAAAAGGATGCTTTTACAAATATTAGCTCATTTAATCTTATCAGAGACTCCCTGGTATTGTAATATTATCATTTCCATTGTGCTCATATGAATTGAGACCCATTAAGGGTTTGCACAAGGTCATAAAATCAATCTAAGAAAACCTCTCGCCACTAGCCTTTTTTCCCTCCCTTACACATTTCTCCCCCCGCCCCATACAAATATTTCTCATAACCCTAAACCCTTACAACCATATCAGAATTCTGATTCTCTCGATCCCTAACGTGTCCCCCGCATTCTCCTCTTCGCTTACAGCTGCTTAAGATCTTTTGTCCCCTCCCAAGGTGGTGCACAATTGAATATGTGAGCCGGGGAAGCGGAAAGCGAAAGGAGAAACCAGACTGAGGCAGCTCCAAACCTAGAGAAACCAGAGTGTGCCTAGGAAGTTGGCGTGACCGCTGCAGCACGGTGCCACTTCCAAAACCTTAAATCCCCGTCTCGGAATCCCGACCAGGGGCCGCCGTTCCCGGTAACACTTACGTGACATTGACAGGACCCGGACAACCCGGGATTGTGCGGCAGCCGCCATCTTTTCCCACAATCCCCCACGACAGCACTCCCGGCTGACTACGGCTGCTAAGCTGGGTCAAAACTTACCTTTCTCGCCTGTCTGCGCAAGCGCTAACCAAGAAACGACGGTTTCGGGTAGATTGTTGGTTAAGAAGAAAGCTGGGAAAGTGAAGGAGAGGGGGAAGAAAGGAAGTGAAAAGACTTTGGCTGTTGGAATCTCAGATCTGGAATAGGCTGTATAGGCTATTTATAATCTCTAATTGCCGAGGAACCTGAAGTTCAGAGTTAACCAGTGACTGACTCAGGACATGCAAAATGGCAAGACCCGAGGTAGAAGAGCTCACCTTTCCTGACTCTCAGTTTCCTGTTCCCTGAAAATGTAAGCTAAGCTGGCAGCCCTGGTGAGTCCGGAGGAAGAAGGAGGCGTAGCCCTCCGCGCTCAGGAGATCCAGGGCCCAGGAGAGAGAAAAGGGGGGACAAGAACGAGGGGAAAAGTGGAGAAGAGAAACCAAAATAGGGTGTGTCCCAAGTAAATAAATGTGCGTCGAGCCCGCCAAGCACATTCTCTCATAGGGACCCTTGCGCCTGCTGTTCGCGTTTCCTGGAATGCACACTCAGGTGTCTGCACCAGCTCAAGTCTCTGCTCAAAAGTGACCTCTTCGGATAAAACTTCTCTGACCATCCTATCCAAGGTGGTAATTATTCCACCAATTTTTGGTTTAAGTTTATATACCAAAGCACTTATCACCAACTAGCATATGAATCTAGGAGTTCTTAACCAGAAGTGTGATTCATGAGTGGGCTTCGGGAAATCTGTGAACTTCCTGAAATATTATGCAAATTTAGTGGCCATGTGTGCCATCTGAACATCTGTCTAAGGAGAAACTGCAGATGGCTCTCTCTAGCGCAATGGCTTGTAATTTTTTCTTTAACTGTGGTCACCTTTGAGAATCTGCATTGTTCTACAAAGAGCCATCTAGAAACTGAGGAAATTCCAGGTTAGACTAAGCGCTTGGATTTTAAAATACTTTATTCTGGTCAACCTCTCCAGATTGCTGGGTAGGAGATGGCAACCAGTGATCCTGTGAAACATACCTTAGGCTTATCAGAAAACCACCTAGTTTGGGGAGGGCGGGTTCTTTCTAGACTTGGTAATCCTTCCAGTGCTTTGTTTTTTCAGGAAAAGTATGTGTTTCTGGGATAGACAAAAAGGCCTGTGATGAGTAGGGATGTAGAAGTTGCTTATTACTAGGCTTGAAATCTTGGCTGTTTCCACTCTATCTTGCCCCTACTGTTTACTGAAGTGTCGCCTAACAAATTGAATTGGAAGAGAGAAAAAAACCTTGAATTTCATCGGAGAAGCTTAGTAGTAACGCTACACTGTCATATTTCTTGGCCTTATCCTATGTTCACTTAACACAATTTGCTAATACTTGATTTTGGGACCAATATGGATACTAACATACTTTCCTTGTTCGGATCAACAGATCCTGACTGTCATCAGCAACCTGCTTACTCCTGTATAACACTGCCAATTATATAATTTAAAATCTCTAAGTTAAACACTGCCTCATGTTCTCAGTTCTAGTTTCAAGGTTGCATGGTGTAATTAAAAGAACACTGACTTTTTTTTTTTTCAGAGATGGGGTCTTACTGTATTGCCCAGGCTTGTCTCAAATTCCTGGGCTCAAGACCTCCTCTCACCTTGGCCTCCAAAAGTGCTGGGATTACAGGCATGAGTCACTGTGCCCAACTGAAAGAACACCGATTTTTAACACCTAGAATACTAGATCCCATCCCCAGTTTTGTCATTCGTTAGCTGTGACCTGGACAAGTTTCTACACTTGTCTAACAGGGTAAATAAAACCTACCCTGGTACCTCAAAAGGTTATTATGAGAATCGGGTGGCGTAATGGATGCAAAGATGCTTTGTCACCCGTAAAGTGCTATATGTAGGTCCATGCAGTACTATTCAAATACCACTGAAGTATCAAAATCATAGAATGTTAGAGCTGGAAGAGATTTTAGGAGCTCAGCAAGCCCCATTATTTCAAAGACGAAGAGGCCAGGTGCGGTGGCTCATGCCTGTAATCCCAGCACTTTGGGAGGTCGAGGCAGGCGGATCACTTGAGGTCAGGAGTTCGAGACCAGCTTGGCCAACATAGTGAAACCCAGCCTCTACTAAAAATACAAAAATTAGCCGTGTGTGGTGGTGTGCACCTGTAATCCCAGTTACTCGGGAGACTGAGGCACAAGAATCACTTGAACCTGGGAAGCGGAGGTTGCAGTGAGCCGAGATCGTGCCACTGTACTCCAGCCTGGGCGAGAGTTGAGACTCTGTCTCAAAAAAAAGAAAAAAGAAACTGAGATATTTTGACAAATATAATTTGACTAGTAGGTGCACTTTCTGTGAAAAGAATACAAAAGCTCTTGAGACAATATAAAAGATCATCAATGGATAAATAACTTTTTTTTTTTTCAAGTCTCACTCTGTCACCCAGGCTGGAGTGCAATGGTGCTATCTCTGCTCACTGCAACTTCCGCCTCCCAGGTTCAAGCAATTCTCCTGCCTCAGTCTCCCGAGTAGCTGGCATTACAAGCGTGTACCACCATGCCTGGCTAATTTTTTGTATTTTTAGTAGAGACAGGGTTCTGCCATGTTGGCCAGGCTGGTCCTGAACTCCTGACCTCTAGTGATCCGCCTGCCTCAGCCTCCCAAAGTGCTGGCATTACAGACGTGAGCCACTGTGCCCAGCGATAAATAACTTTTTTGAAGGAACCCTGTGATAAACCAGCCGCTTTTGAATCTGTTGCAATTTTCATCATTATCTCGTGGCCATGCTTGGAATTTCTTTTTGCTCCATGGAAACTATATACTAGTCCTATATTTAATCATTAATTACAGAGTAGCTGAGGTAACATTTTCAGAGAATGTAGTAATAAAGCATAGAAAGAGTAGCTAACCAAATGCCTCTTGGTGTGATTTTTCCCACTACAGTTTCTCAGGTCAGGCATTGCAAATGATAAAATAGGGTTATTGTATCTCTGAAGATCTAAGACAAATTATAACCCAGAGATGGTCAGTTTAGGCAAAATATCCTAAAAATAATTTTTTTACAGAAGGCAAGATGCTTATAAATAAAAAGAGTCCTGGCTGGATCTGACAAAATGAAGTGATTCCATGGGATATGCATAAAATTTAGACCCTCAATTCTTTTATTTCTCATTCTCCTCTGCCGTCCTCTAGATTTGTTAATACATAATACTTACTCTGCTGCTTTAAGTGGAATCCATTGGCAAAATGTCCCCTTCCCGTATTCCCCCACCTATATTAAACACTCTAAAGCAGAGGTCCCCAACCCTCAGGCCATGGACCGGTACCAGTCCATGGTCTTTTAGAACCTGGCCACACAGCAGGTAAATGGTGAGCAAGTGAGCAAAGCTGAGCTCCACCTCCTGTCAGATCAGTGGTGGCATTAGATTCTCATAGGAGCTTGAACCCTATTGTGGAAAGTGTACGTTGTGCACTCCTTATGAGAATCTAGTGCCTGATGATCTGTCGCTGTCTCCCACCATCCCCAGATGAGACCATCTAGTTGCAGGAAGACAGGACTCCCACTGATTCTATATTATGGCATAATAGTAGAAATAGAGTGCACAACAAATGTAATGTGCTTGAATCATCCAGAAACCATACTCCCACCCCACTCCCATCCGTGGAAAAATTGTCTTTCACAAAACTGGTCCCTGGTGTGAAAAAGTTTGGGGACCACTGCTCTAAAGAGAGAATTAATCAGAATAAAGCCCAGTCCTTCTAAACTAAACATCAGCCCCTTGGAGTATATCTTCACCCCTCCTCTTTGTCCTGTTGACCATTCATTTTCTGGTAGCCTCACTACTGTTGCTATAGAGACAGTGATATCACCAATTGTGATTCTGATGTCACTCTCCAGTCCCAGCAAGGGGGAGGTACATGGAAGGCCACAGGAAGAAACAAGATCTTGAGCTGAGCAAGAACATCCCAGCATCTTCATTGACTTTAAAAGTATATTCTGGAGTCTTCCGTGGTTCACTATTCCAGTACTACAGAGGTAGGTAATCTTACTGGACTGATAAAACAGCCCATTTTCTGATCCTCTGTGGTTGGAAGGGAGAATTCAATGACAAGTGATAGGAAAATTGTTATGTTCAACCTAGCGTTGTTCTTCTGTCCAGCTGATTTTTTTTTTGTTTGAGATGGAGTCTCACTCTGTTGCCCAACTGGAGTGCAGTGCTGCAATCTCGGCTCACTGCAACCTCCACCTCCTGGATTCAAGTGATTCCTCTGCCTCAGACTCCCGAGTAGCTGAGATTACAGGCATCCACCATCTCACCTGGCTAATTTTTTGTATTTCTAGTAGAGACAGGTTTTCGCCATGTTGGCCAGGCTGGTCTCAAACTCCTGACCTCAAGTGATCCCCTCCACTTCGGCCTCCCAAAGTAATGGGATTACAGGTGTGAGTCGCCATGCCTGGCCTGCTCAGCCAATTTTAATTTTACCTGTGAGTCCTCTGGAAATAAGTGAACCTCTCCTTCAGCAGCTTTAAAGTCAAACCTACCATCTTTGCTGCTGACATTGTGATTTGGTTACAGATTTGACAAGATCTCCTCAGCTATCCTTTTGGAGACATGAGGGGCCTTACTTCCTGCTTCCCCATTTGATAGAGTAGAAGCTTGACTACCTACTGACTTTTCCTAGTCATTGTGTGGCCATTCCTAAATTTATTTTCTTTCCAGTGCCCCAAGAGCAAAATAGAACTGGTATAACCCCGAGTCCAATTCTCATACACTTTTATCTTCTCACTGTTATTTCTGAAGTCTTGGTTAGACAACAGAACTGGGAAAGGGCAGGATATCTATAGCTATGTGGTGAAAGTATCTATACTAACAGGGACTAGAAGAAGAAGCTCTTACTTAGGGAAGGTAAAAATAAAGACTTTCCACCGGAAAGCTTAACAATGAATGGTGCCATTGAGACACACACACACACAAATCTTTATTTAAAGAAAATCGATTGAAATTCTTATTTAATCAGCAACCAAGTTTATTGAGCTTCTACGATGTAGCAGGCACTTACAGAAAGGAAGGCAGTAAAAGAAAACGGATATGAGAAACATACTGTTCCCTCTCAAAACTAGTAATAAAACCTGGTTGAATGAACCTCAAAACTCGATCAAGTACTTAGCAACCCTGCAAGAACTTTGCTTATGCTTTCGCTTCTGCAATCTGAGTTTTTACATGAGTTTAGGAACCTTGGGTAAACAGGAGCCTCTCACTTAAAATGGATACAGGAGAAAACTGCCTTGAGATAGAGCTATGGTCTAGGATATAACGACCATAACCAAGCCCCTATGTTGCTTATGCCTTTCATGACTGGCATTCAGGTTTGCACTCCTCCTCAACTTGAAGTAATCATCACATTGACATTTTTGAGAAACATTTTAGTCCAATCCTTCTACTTGCCATGGGAAAATTTCACAGCTGCCAGAATGTTATCAGGGCTGGAATATCTAAAGGAATATATCTGCTGATTCTAGTATTTCCTTTCTGAGCCTCAATATCCTAATCTATAAGCTGAGAGTATTAGAAAACATGGTTTCTGAGGTCCATTTATCTTTAATAGATAACACAAAGTATCATTTTCTCTTTTTTTTTTCTACCCTAACTCCAGGATATTATTTACCAGCTTTTAAACTTATAGCAATTTATGAATCCATTCACTGACTTCATTAAACTCTTTAGATCTTCCTTCTTTTCCACTTTTATTATGAGAAACATTGATTTAGAAATCTGAATGTCATTATCATTAATAAGTTTTAAAGTACCTCTTTATAGATGCTGTCATCTAGGACAGACAGGAAGTTTTAAAAGTCCAAAACAAGCTTCATGATGCAGCTAAACCCACTCATAGGACCTAGAAAATAGAATTAAAACATTAGAATATATTTAAGTGAAGTGTTTGCTGAATATATTTGACTAGTAGTTATGCTTTCATGAAAAAAATACAAAAGCACTTTTAAGATGTTGATTTATTTGTACTAGTGGAATAGGAAGGTCTGTTAGTAAATCACTGAGTAAGTCTGTGCGGTGAACGTATCTCCCAAAGGAGTCAAGCTTCAAGGCGTCTTGAATATATGGATTACCGCCATAGTAACCGCCATAGTAAATTTGAGCAAGCCGTCTGTTTTTTTGTCCTTGGATTCTCCAATCCAAAAGGAAAAATGAACTATCTGAAAATGGGCAGGTGGTGCATATTCATTCTTCCAGCAGATAATTATTGAGCTCCAATTTTAAGATACTAGCTACTATAAGGCATACCAAGATGAATAGGAAAATGCCTCTCCCCTTATGAAGTCATCCAGTAAAGAAAATGAAATACATGGGAGCAATTAAACTACTAGATAGAATGTACACATTGAAACAAAATATGATGGAAACTTCAATGAGGGAGCAATCACATTCATTAGGTATCTAGAAAATATTTCATGGATGGGGTAGCCCTTGACCTGGGCTAAAAAGTAAGGGTAGAATTTAGAGAGCCATTACTGGGGGGCTGGGTGGATATTCAAGAAGAGAGTACAGTGCCCTAATGTCTTCCACTGAAATGTCTTAGTAGAACTAAAACAAGGAAGTTAATTAATCTGGAAGATATCTATGAACTCCCTTTATAACTTGAGGGTGTGTATTTCTCTCAAGTCCTCAAAGATGCTTGCAAAGTGTTTTGAGTTCCATAAATTCAGGGTGCTTATTCTTCATTCCAGCTATTTTTCTTCCAACTTCCTATTCAAGCAAATTTAAAATTAAGCTAAAAATTTTTAGGGTCTTCGTTGTTTAAAAAGACTGTATAGCAATGATTTGAAAGTGAGGAATAACAATAGTCATTTAAGAAATCATTGGCCCAAAAGTGCAACCTTTTTGTCATCTTGGAACTGCTAGACTGCATCAAGAATAAGATGTGTGCTCATGAAATTTGAATGTCATTTTGAGCTCATTACTTAAATGCACATGTGAAAAATAATAAGTCAAAAACATTATTGGGTAATAAGAGCAATACGTTCCATCTGTAAAATTAGTCATTTTTATCTGTGTCTTTCCATTGCAGATTCCTTATATTACATGGCAGGAGGGGGGTAAACTGAGGGATAGTGAAGACAACAATAAATTAATCAAGAGCTTTCCTCATATCTCAGAACCTATCCTCTGTAAGAGTAAGTGATCACATAATTTCTGTACTTTTTGTACATAATTGTCAGCATTTTAATTTTATATAGCTTGAATAAAGCAATAGATCCTATTGATTTTGTCACAATTTTCTACTAGGAGTAACTCATTTGGATGAAATATACACAGAAGATTAAGAGATTGTGTTTCTGGCTCTCACTTGTACTATCAATAATCTAGGACAAACTGCTTCCAAGTCTTCCAATTCTTTGGCCAAATAATAGTAGCATTCATTGTTTTCTTTATAGTAACGATGCAAGCATAAGAACATTTCTATGTGTGTATGTTTATGCAGAGGACATTATAGAGTTTAACTTCAAGGCATTAACAACTTCCTTGTTAAGATAACAAAACATTAACATAAGATACCAAAGAAAATTAGGAAATCTGGCCGGGTGCAGTGGCCCACACCTGCAGGCCAAGGCTGGCGGATCACTTGAGGTCAGGAGTTCGAGACCAGCCTGGCCAACATGGTGAAACCCTGTCCCTACTAAAAATACAAAAATTAGCCAGATGTGGAGCGCCTGGTGTAGTCCCAACTACTTGGGAGGCTGAGGCAGGTAATCATCACATGAACATTTTTGAGGAACATTTTAATCCAATCCTTCTATTGGCCATTGGCCATGGGAAAACTTCACAGCTTCCAGGATGTTAGCAGGGCTGGAATATCTAAAGGAATTAGATACTCCCTGGGAAGGCGGAGGTTGCGGTGAGCATCCTGGGAGGCAGATGTTGCAGTGAGCCGAGATCGCGCCTGTACACTCCAACCTGGCCAACAGAGTGAGACTTTGTCACCAAAAAAAAAAAAAAAAAAAAAAAAAAAGGAAGTTAGAAAATCTGTCTCAGAGAAAATTTTTAAAGAAATGGGTAAATAATTATCTTTCTGGACCTACCCAGTCTTTTTCACAGAGTCTGTCCAGATAAGCCCTGGTCTAGGAATTCTCAATTCTTGATGTGTTTTAGAATCACTCAGGGAGCATTTAAGAATGTTAAGAATGCCTAAGTTTCCCCAACCCAAAACCATTGAAATAAGATTTTCGGGGGGTAGTAACTTGGATTCAGTATCTTTACACAGTTCTCTTGGTGATGCTCATGTCTAATTAGGATGGAGAACTCATTGTTTACCTAAGGAATCCATTGTATTTGAGTGCCTGGAAGATTAAAATAAACTGCTTCCTTAGCTCAGTAATCTGAGTTAGTGATTCCTGTGTGAAAATGAGTACAAATCCTTGTAGGAGCAAAGAATAAGTAGCTCTTAAAAGATCTTGTATTTTCTTTGTAATGATTATCTAAAACACCCTGTATAACAAAAATGACATATCCACTTATATAAGTTTCAATGATGTATTTAATCTTTCTTTAATCTGTGTTGGTTTTATTTTGAGGAAGGACGTCTACCCTCACCACAGTCCAAAGTCCTTTAAAACAAATATTTCCAGTTAACCAGATGTTCATGCCTTAATACTGCTTCACTTATTTCAAGCAATTCTTCATAAAACACAATTTCACTATAAAAAATTAGGATAAGCTGTTGAGCTTGATTATAACAGTATTTTAAACAAGTATTTTGTTGGAATCAAAGCACAGAGATATTCTATTTCATAAAGATGTCTGAGGCATTGGGGAGGAGAAATGGGCTATCTTATTCCACCTTGATAATTGAGAAGTATAGATCTGAGCAGAGTTTTTTTTGTTTGTTTTTAAATTTTTTAACGCCACCAACCCAAATGTCCATCAATGATAGACTGGATTAAGAAAATGTGGCACATAGGCTGGGCACGGTGGCTCATGCCTGTAATCCCAGCACTTTGGGAGGCCGAGGCGGGTGGATCACGAGGTCAGGAGATCAAGACCATCCTGGCTAACACGGTGAAACCCCGTCTCTACTAAAAATACAAAAAATTAGCTGGGCGTTGTGGCAGGTGCCTGTAGTCCCAGCTACTTGGGAGGCTGAGGCAGGAGAATGGCGTGAACCCAGGAGGCGGAGCTTGCAGTGAGCCGAGATGGTGCCACTGCAGTTCGGCCTGGGCGAAAGAGCGAGACTCTGTCTCAAAAAAAAAAAAAAAAAAAAGACAAGAAAATGTGGCACATATCCATCATGGAATACTATGCAGCCATAAAAAAAGATGAGTTCATGTCCTTTGTAGTGACAGGGATGAAGCTGGAAACCATCATTCTGAGCAAACTATCGCAAGGACAGAAAACCAAACACTGCATGTTCTCACTCATAGGTGGGAATTGAACAATGAGAACACTTAGACACAGGGCGGGGAACATCACACACCGGGGCCTGTTGTGGGGTGGGGGGATGGGGGAGGGACAGCATTAGGAGAAATACCTAATGTAAATGATGAGCTAATGGGGGCAGCAAACCAAGACAGCACACGTATACATATGTAACAAACCTGCACGTTGTGCACATGTGCCCTAGAACTTAAAAGTATAATTTTAAAAAAGAAAAAATTAAATTAAATTAAATATTACTGCACCCCCCAAAAGAAAAAAATTTTTTAACGCCAACCGAGCCTAAGGGATGAAGAGGGAAGGAGGGGTGAGCTGAGCAAAGAATATAAGAAGGGAAACTTCAGTGTGAAAGCCTGGGAATGGAAGTCTGGCATAGAAAAAGAGGGCAAAGAGAAGGTTCTCATACTTTTAGATGATCAGTGGATAACTCTCAGTCATCATGAGAGTTGGCCATGTTTTCAAAGACTAGCAAGTAAGATTCGGTGTTGTGGAAAGTGTGTGAGACTAAGGCCAAAGCCCAAAGGAGTACATATAATAGGTATGTACATATAATACTCATTTGCAAGGAGAATCAATGAAAGCAGCAGGTATAAGCAATATGTTTAAGAAAAATGACTGCAAATGGAAAAAGAGAGAAATAGTAGCTAGAGGGAAGCTTGGGGTGGAAGAAGACAATTAAAATGAATCTCAGTTTTCTGGCTTAGAAGACCAGGTAAATGGTGGTGCCATTACTGAGATTAGGGAATAGAGCAAAGTATTGGGAAGGTTGTGAACGAATTCACATCAACAAGGAAATCACTGCGTCCATAGACAAAGGCCTTTTGAATGGCGCACATGACATCTCTTTTGTCCTGACTGATACTCAGAAATTTAGCTGAACCATAGAGGCTGAGAATTCCCCCAGGATCCTTGGCTAATGAGGAGGGATTGGTCTTAAGAAAGAGCTACCAGACTTACTGCTGGTATGAGTAAGTAACAGCTTTAGAAATTAATTAAAAATGAAACAATTACTTAAAAGCTAAGTTGGTGGGGCAAGAACAGACAAAGGAGCAGTAAATTAATTCTATTTTGGTCACCTTGAGTTTTGAGTGTCTACTGAAAATCCTGTGAGTGCAGGGGGAGGGTCGTCAAGCAAGGACATAAAGGGGCGGGACATGGCTGCCTAGGTTCATTCATTTAACAAAGATGTGTTAAGCACCTGTCGCAGATACCAGGCACCAGCTTCTTCCTTAGAGTTACAAATATGTTTAAGAAATATTCCTTCCATTGAGAGCTGAGGATGAAGCTATTCAGGGTGGAGTGGTTCTGAAGTGGCTGTTGGGGAAGGTCTCTATTGAAGGCATTGTTCATCTTTCCCGTGCTTTAGCCCTTTACCACATTTCTTCTTACTTTCATAAAATCTGCCCTTGTGATGACCCTTTCTCATTTTTTTCCCCTGCTTCCAGATGTCAGAAAAGGTTGACTGGTTACAAAGCCAAAATGGAGTATGCAAAGTTGATGTCTATTCTCCTGGAGACAACCAAGCCCAGGACTGGAAAATGGTAAGGGTCAACCTCTTGATAAACACTAGGTTAAGAATATGGGGGCTGTCATTAAGAGTAGCCTTATTCTCTCCACCATACCACCAACCTCTTATTTTTCAAGGTGGGATTCTTGAGGCAGGTGGGAAATCAGCCCTTATAGAACAAAACATTCCCATTTATAGTTTTCTGGAAAAAATTCCCATCCTATGGTATTTAATATGCTATAACTAATGAAATATGTATGTACATATAAGCTGTATAACATATATCATGTATGTATATATAAATATATATGTATATGTCAGCTGTATATTACAGCTATAAAATTTTAATTTTCAAACAGAGAGGAATTGGAGATAAATGTCTCCAAGGCTTATAGAAAATATTTTCTAAAGTGTAGGATGCCTTAAAATTCTCAGAACTATAAACTCTCATCTAAGTAACATTGTCATCCTGCCTTCATCATTCAACAAACATGTATTAAATGCTTACTTAATATCAGGCAATGTATCGTCAGGGTCTAGTCAGAAGATAGAAACCGTACCAGTAACTTAACATTTAAAAATTATTTATTAATAAAACGTAGTTAACTACTAAAAGGCATAAAAGAGGACTCTAGGAATCCCAGAAATAACAAATGCAGAAAGCAGCTACTACCCCCAGGCTGAGAATTACATAAACAAGGAAGAAACTAAGTAAATACTCACAAGAGCTCGCTCTCCCTCAACCAAAGCTGCTTCCCATCTCTTTGGAGAGAATGTGGCTGCCATAGGAAACTTGCCAGAGGGAAGCCCTTTCCTCCTGCTCTGACCATGCAGTGTCCCCCAGTACCCTCTGTCGACAATGCCAACCGCAAAGGAGAAATGTTTAGGGTTTAGCTCTGGTATCACAAAGCAAGGCAAAGAAGGGTGGATTTGGAGTGAGAGACAGTAAGTCAATAACTGGCACAGACACTGTCCTGACTGTCAGGGTCAGAGATATAAAAATAAATTAGAATTCTCTCCTTTTAAGGATCTCATAATCTAATGGAATCACTATTATTAATAGACTCTATCCTATTACATCATTTATCAGACTGGGCACAGTGGCTCACACCTGTAATCCTAACACCTTGGGAGGCCAAGGTGGGAGGATTGCTTGAGCCCAGGAGTTGGAGACCAGCCCAGGCAACACGGCAAAACTCTGTCTTTACTAAAAAAAGAATTAGCCAGAGTGGTTGCACACGTCTGTAGTCACAGCAACTTGAGAGGCTGAGGCAGGAGAATCACTTGAGCCCAGGAGTTTGAGGTCGTAGTGAGCTGTGACCATGCCACTGAGCTCCAGCCTGGGCAACAGTGAGACCTTGTCTCAAAATAAAAAAAAAGTTAACATTTATCAAACATTTATTTGCATGTAATCAAATGCAAATGACCCATCTTCTTCTATTTGTCCAAATCTGGTCGATCTATATAAAGTTTTAAAAAGAAAATATTAACAAATCTACATAAGACATTAGACATAAAGATAATAAATATTCAATTACTATAGAGTAAGGGCCAACCAAAACTGCTTCAACTAGATCTTTGATTTACTTCTGCCCTTTCATTTGGAGAAACAAAAGGCAGATCAGTTTCAATGTTAAATCAAATGAACTTAGTGATTTTTTACTAAGTGAGAAACAAAAAGGTATATAACAGTTACTGCCCCTCTGAACCTTATCATTCATTTTGGAAAATAAAAAGTACACATATCAAAGTAGAAATGTCGGTGAGGGTAGCAGCCCAAAGAGCAGATGCCACGGCCACCACCACCGCCATAGACACACTCTCGTCCTACGGGCCATGCCTGGGGCTTCAGCCCACAGCTCCGCTTGCCGCGTCTGAGGTTTCTTTACCTCCAGAAAGAAGAAAATTGACCGCTTGAATTCTGGAAGTTCATTGAAGAGTCTGAAATTAGGGACTTATTTCAAATGTGAACATGGCTAATCGAGGCGCAAGCAAGACCCTATGGCTCAAATACTGGAAATAAAATATGCCAGTTCAATATGCCAGTATTTCTGGGAGAGTCTGCTGTTGGCAAATCAAGCCTAGTGCTTCGTTTTGTGAAAGGCCCATTTCATGAATTTCAAGAGAGTACCATTGGGGTAACTCTCAAAGTGATAAAAGCTGTTTCTTTGTGAAATATGGGCCCAAAAAGAAAACCAACTGCTAGTGTTGGTGATGGAAGTGAAGAAAAAATGGAGAGATCTAAGAGTGGTGGTTCTTAGCCAGAAAATAGACGTTTTGGATAAATTAAAGTGGTTTTACAGATTCAGCTGATTTTCTAACCCAAAATGTGTGTCTTGATGACACTACAGTATAGTTTGAAATACAGGATACAGCTGGTCAAGAATGATACCGTAGCCTAGCACCAATGTACTACAGAGGAGCACAAGCAGCCATAGCTGTATATGATACCACAAATGAGGAGTCCTTTGCAAGAGCAAAAAATTGGGTTAAAGAACTTCAGAGGCAAGCATGTCCTGATATTGTAATAGCTTTATCAGGAAACAAGGCTGACCTAGCAAATAAAAGAGCAGTAGATTTCCAGGAAGCACAGTCCTATGCAGATGACAATAGTTTATTATTCATGAAGACATCAGCTAAACATCAGTGAATGTAAATGAAATGTTCGTGGCAATAGCTAAAAAATTGCCAAAGAATGAACCACAAAATCCAGAAGCAAATTCTGCCAGAAAAAGAGGAGTAGCCCTTACTGAACCCACACAACCAAACAGGAGTCAGTGTTGTAGTAACTCAACCTCCAGTTTGCACTAGCTAGAATAGTCTTCTGCTTCTTAAATGTTAATAACAATGGAATTGGACCATTTAACCAGCCCAGTATGACTTCCAAAAGAGACTTATGATAGAGTCAAGTTTCTAATGCAGAATTATTTTAAGTGTTTTGAACTTAATTTTTAATAACATGCATGGGTCCCTCTTACTAATGTTTCAGCAATAGGGAAAAATGAGAACTGTGTGTATACTTGTTTCATTGGAAGGTTAGGGGGAATAATTTCTCATCGCTAGCAATATAGACAAATGACTATCTGGACCCACACAGTTAACCAGCCCATTTCTCCACACTGGTGCAGTAGTCACCTGTGGAAAAAAAAATAGAATTTACTAATTTGGGCTTTTCAAAAAACATTCTTTTTGTAGAAGGAGATTCTAAAGTTATTTATGCTTAGCCATAGTATTCAGGCAAATGTTCATTTCTCCTGGTATCAGTATTTTAAATGAACATTCCATATTTTAATAAATGAACCACAAGAAAATAATCCCACATATAAAAGGTGGGGGCTGGAAAGAGCGTTAATGGCATCTAAATTATAGCCAGTCCTGTGTGTGTGTGTTTTTTTTTAATGGGGTAAAAAAAAAAATCAAATGCAATCCCATCTTGTTTTAGGAATTTGAGAACTAATAAATGCATCTTAATAGATAGTGTTCCTTTCAAACATGTGAGTTCTTTAACAAAAATGAAATAAACCAGGTGTCTGTGATATCTAATTAATCACTGCTGGCCATTACATAGGTTTTGTTGTTTGGTGCAGGGAGGGGACTTTTGTTCGCTTGTGACACAATGTAGTCAATGCACTAGCAATTGTGTATATTTAAACTTGATTATTTTAAATTCGATCTTCAGCTGTACTGTCAATAGGGTACTGCATTATAGTCTCCATATATGTATTACTTTTCTGTAATATTTAAGAGTTGCTTAAAAGTATACAAAATGTACAGTTACTAAAACAGCCAATGATTTCTCTCTCCCCTTTTGACAGGAAGGGGCTTCAGTTGTTCCTCCATGGCTAGAACCATAACGAGCAATGTACCCGTAATTTGCAACATAAAGTATTGCAATATGTTAGTAACAATCTTGTAGCCTTGTTTTCCAACCTTCATTTTATTTTGATCAATTCGGTATATTGCACTATTTTAGGTATTTTCCTTATATGAGAGCTACCATATGTGTGTCAGAGATGATTTAATCTGTTTAAGTGTTGGACTGTTAGGAGAACTTGTACATCTACAATAATTCAGAATTAGAAAAATGGGTCACCAGTGTTTAGTTTTATATTGAGGTGCTCAGGTTTGAATAAAGTGGTATAAAAAGCAAAAAAAAAAAAAAAAGAATATAGATATGTCACTTGAAATCTCTGAATAACTGTTGGACTAATGAAAAACAGTTCATGATTATTTGTCAAATGTATTTTCTAGACAATAATTGCTATAGGTGTTTAAAGAATTGATCATTTCAAAATGGGAGGTGGTCAGAGAAAATTTTATAAGGTATGTTTAATTGAGACAAAGGTGGAGAAGAGAAATAGAACAGGAAGGTAGATAGCTGACTTAAAACTACTGAAGCAAAAGATGCTGAGCAGAGAAAATAAAACCCATGACCTCTTCTTATATTCTCCTTCATGGACATGAAAACTTGCCCCAGGATTCAGAAATACTGAGATAATTTGGCATCTTCCTTCCCTAATTGCTCAGAATACTATAGTTGTGTAAGAAGAGGAAGGTTGCAAGAGGGCAAGGGGGTTTGAAGAGATGGATGTTTGGTTATAGACTGCATTGATAAGAAATGAATGTGGGTACTTAGTCTTTCAGTCACTACAGTTGGATTAACCCCTTTTGCAAAATCCCTGTGGATAGAGGGGAGTAATAGACATAAGGCACACACGTTTTAGGTTTAAAAATATATAGACATTAAAAACCCATAAACACAGCAACTTAACACAATTCTGTGGACTCCATTGTAAATCTCTATTCTACGCTGTAGGTTTGGTTTTTTATTTTTATTTTTTTAAATTTTATTTATCTTTTAAAATATATTTTTTGTAGAGATGGATTTTCGCCATGTTGCCCAGGCTGGTCTCAAACTCCTGAGCTCAAGTGAGATCTGCCCTCCTCAGCCTCCCAAAGTGATGGGACTGCAGGCAACTGCACCCAACAGGTTTGGGTTTTTTGTTTTTTTTTTTTTTAATTGAAAAGGGTAAAAGAATAAACTCCACAGCTGCACTATAGTAAGGCTTTCCTGTACTGTTACAGCTCAATAGTATGGAAACACACCTATTTGCAAGTTAATGTGCTTATTCGTAAATAACTAGGTAGTAATATATTATCATTTTCAAAAACCCCATTAAAAAGTGGGCAAAGGGGGCCGGGCATGGTGGCTCACGCCTGTAATCCCAGCACTTTGGGAGGCCGAGGCAGGCGGATCACGAGGTCAGGAGATCGAGACCATCCTGGCTAACATGGTGAAACCCCATCTCTACTAAAAATATAAAAAATTAGCCGGGCGTGATGGCGGGCACCTGTAGTCCCAGCTACTCGGGAGGCTGAGGCTGGAGAATGTCATGAACTCGGGAGGCAGAGCTTGCAGTGAGCTGAGATCGCACGACTGCACTCCAGCCTGGGTGACAGAGCAAGACTCTGTATCAAAACAAAAACAAAAACAAAAACAAACAAACAAAAAGCCCTCTGTTATTTACTGTCCTGAGATTAGGAAGTCAAGCCTAAGAAACACTCTCCACCAGGTTTCACCTGCAGTCCCTAGGAAAACAAGCAGGTATACACTTAGACTTCTCTGAAACTCTTGTTCCTAATTATAGTCTCAACCATTAATATTAATCATAACTGCTAACCCAAAGTTAACAGTTATGATTATGAAAGAATATACACTCTTTCTATATCACAAAAAAACTAGGGTGAGGGGTATATAATTGGGAACATCACACACCAGCTGAAACGCAGATGAGTAGAACTCACGACTACACATGACGACGACTTCCTACAGTCACATACACCCCTTATACCACCTCTCTAAGTGGAGAAGATGAACAGACTCATTAACAGATTTAAAGAGGTAGCCTCTTTATAAGTGATAAAAATAATAAGCAAAAGCATATATACTTTACGCTTAGCCATCAATGTCTCAGTGTTCCATCTTACTTAGAAATGATTTACATATCCAGTGAATATGCATTAACTCAATGTAATACCACTCCAGTGTTTTCAGTTATATAAAGATGTTGGAAACTTATCATTAGGCTGACATACTATAAAACATAATAACTGTTGAAATAAAGTTTGTCAGAATGATTATTCAACTTGGTTAAATGCAAATTTACATTTTTCATAATCTTAAACATTAAATAGAAGTAATGTGGCTTTTTTGGATCTGTAAACCTGTATGAGTTTATGAAAAGCATATCAAAGTAAAATAAAAGCATACAATTGTATAATATCTAACACTGATAAATAAGAAAAGGTATAGCTGTTTTTATTAAACCAAAATTATTAAACTAGTATTATTTGCCAAAGATTTACCTAATTTATGTGAATTTGGGTTTCTAAAATGTTTCTGAGTTAGGTTCTGTAAAAATACTTTGTTTTCTTAGCATTCCCTTTGAGTATTTTAAGTATTAGGAGCTTGATTTCCTTATTTTCTGGGGATACAAGAATATGTAATTTACGTGTGTGTTTGTGTGCGTGTGTGTGTGTGAGCATGCACCAATCAGAATAAACTTCCTTTAAGAGACTTCATAGTATAACACATTAATACTCTCTGGGGGAAGACATTGCTGCTTACATCTAACATTTTTTGAATTACAGACACATAGTGATACAGACACTGATAGAGACAGTTTATAGCTTCAATTCTAAACTTTCAGCCCCACTTTGTGGCAAAAATAAACCATAAACATAAAACTCACCTGTCCGGACATCAAGGAGCACTTCTCCTTCCATGTGAGCACAAACGTCTTAGTTGGTGAGCTTAAGATGGACAAAAAATGCTGTCAGAACAGATTTTCTGTTGCCTCACACCCAGCAGAGAATATAACTCTATAAATCATTAATCCATAAAAGAGATTACCAAATGGTCAGACATAAAATCAAATTTCCAATCATTGCTGCCACCAATTGGCCATAAACAAACCGAAGTGAGAACCAAAAACAAAATTAGTAGAGAGGAAAATTAAAACTAGAAAAACCGAATGTCTGCAAACTTCTATTGCTACTCTGGAGGCTGAGAAAAGACACACCTAGTGCACCTGTTTCATGAGGACATTTATCTCCATTAGATGGATCTATTGGGCATCTTGGTGGAAGACTTCCAAAACCATTAAAAGATAATTTTCAAAGAAGGGCAAAATAATGACTCCCATACATATATAAAAATGAATATCTGTTAAAGATTTTATTTAACTCATTAACAAGGAACTGGTGAGGTTCAAAAGACACATATAGCTTGGAAATATTGAAGTGAACGTGCCATTGGAGGCAAACTGACCTTCTCTACAGTGGAAGAGGCAGTCAGTCGACCCTCCCCTTATAGGTGTCTAGACAAGAATTATATTGCATTGATGTCAGTTGTCTATAGTTAACAGAGTTGTAAAATAGCTCCAAGGGAATGAGAATCAGATAATGTGGAAGGGTATGCTATAGATGATGTGTGATTTTCCACTAAAGCACAAAATATCCCATAAAGTAGCTATTATTCTAATTAGGAGAACCATTTGGGAGAATTTTGAACCAAGCACAATGGATCTTAACTCCGACATGATAACAAGCCACTTAAACCAGTCCTGCAGACAACTAGCACAACTGCTTTTCTTTTCTTTTCTTTTCTTTCCAAGTAATCAAAGCACAGCAGGATATTGTAGACGTGGAGCGCCCAGATTTTAGAATCAGAATTGCATCTGAATACGAAACTCCACCATGGACTAGCTGTGAGATGCCTGGCAAACTATTTAACTTCTCTAAGTCTCTGTTTTCTTACCTGTGAAACTGGAAGAGTAAAACCTATCTTACTAGGCGAATATGAGGATTAAACAAAATAGTGCCTATAAAGCATTTAGCACAGAGCCTGGCAAACATTACGAGTACTTCACAAATAGTAACTAGTAACTATATGACACTTGGTAATAAAAATACCGAATTGTTCTTTAAAGGTGGGTAATATCTGTGGTCATTCCCAGATAGACATATGAACTCCAATAATTACAGTGATTCTTTACATTTGATAATAAATAGGAGACTTTCATATATATTATGTTATTTTATCCTGTGTTTCAGAGTTTTTCCCACATGCAGATTGTACAATTTACAAACATATAAACATGTTCATATGCTTATCACAGCTAGCGTCCATCAAAGAATCTAATAAATTGCCAATACATATTAACTCCTGAATTATAAATCGGATTGTTAAATGATGTCAGTCCATTGGAAGCCATTTAACATATCCAGATAGTGTTTGTGCAGCCTGGCAAAGTGATTAATTATCCACAATTTTCCCTGAATTTTCTCATTTTTTTGGAAACTATACTTGTAATAAGATCGAAATAAAAACAGGTAAACCATAGAAAATAGCAATTAATATTAAAACAAGAAAAAATCTGATTCAGTTCAACTGCTAACTCTTCTATCTAGCTGATGACTGTCAGATCTGTTTTTTAACTTTTATTTTAAGTTCAGGGGTACATGTGCAGGTTTGTTACATAGGTAAACGTGTGTCATGGGAGTAGTTGTACAGATTATTTAATCACCCAGGTATTAAGCCTAGTACCCATTAGTTATTTTTCCTTGTCCTCTCCCTCCTCCCTACCTCCACTCTCCAAAAGGCCCCAGTGTGTGTTGTTCCCCTCTATGTGTCCATGTGTTCTCATCATTTAGCTCCCACTTATAAGTATGAACATGTGGTATTTGGTTTTCTGTTCATGAATCAACATAAATGCCCATCAATGATCAACTGGGTAAGGAAAATGTGGTATGTATACACCATGGAATACTATGCAGCCATAAAAAAAGAATGATATCACGTCCTTTACAGGGACATGGATGGAGCTGGAAGTCATTATCCTTGGCAGACTATCCAATCTTAAAGATATATGTCATTAGAAGCAACATAGTATACTAGCTGAGAGCATGGGCTGTGGAGTCAGACTGCCAGGGCTGGAATTTCTGCTCCATCAATGGTTAGCTGTATTATTTCAAGTAAGTTACAGACTTAACCTCTCACTTCTTCAATTTCCTCCTCTGTAAAAAGAAGATAATAAGAGAGCTAAATCTCAGGTTTAGTATGAGAAATAATTAAATGAGATAATAGACTTTAAATACTTGGAACAATGTCTGATACACAGTGAGTACTTAATAAATGGTTACTTTTATTGCCAAGATGGAGCAAGCTTGAGAGGGCTGATGACATTTGTAACTGAACTTTGAGGTTGTCTTGAATATCCCATATCTTTACTTTGTTATAGTCAGATGAATCCTTGTCTATTTTTAAGGACACCTCCACGGATCCTGTCAGAGTGCTCAGCTGGCTCCGCAGAGACCTGGAGAAGAGTACAGCAGAGTTCCAAGATGTTCGGTTCAAACCCGGAGAATCATTTGGTGGGGAAACGTCCAACTCAGGAGACCCACACAAAGGTTTCTCTGTAGACTATTACAACACCACCACCAAGGGCACTCCAGAAAGATTGCATTTTGAGATGACTCACAAAGAGATTCCTTGCCAGGGCCCCAGGGCCCAACTTGGCAACGGGAGTTCAGTAGATGAAGTTTCCTTCTATGCTAACCGCCTCACGAATCTAGTCATAGCCATGGCCCGCAAAGAGATCAATGAGAAGATCGATGGCTCTGAAAACAAATGTGTCTATCAGTCATTGTACATGGGGAATGAACCCACACCCACCAAAAGCCTCAGTAAGATAGCATCAGAGCTTGTGAATGAGACCGTCTCTGCATGTTCCAGGAATGCTGCCCCAGACAAGGCTCCTGGCTCTGGAGACAGAGTCTCGGGATCATCACAAAGTCCCCCAAATTTGAAATACAAGTCCACTTTGAAGATCAAGGAGAGCACCAAAGAAAGACAGGGTCCAGATGACAAGCCTCCTTCTAAGAAGTCTTTCTTCTATAAGGAAGTGTTTGAATCTCGTAATGGAGATTATGCCAGAGAGGGTGGAAGGTTCTTTCCTCGGGAGAGAAAGAGGTTTCGAGGGCAGGAAAGGCCTGATGACTTTACGGCTTCTGTTAGTGAAGGGATCATGACCTATGCTAACAGTGTGGTATCTGATATGATGGTCTCCATCATGAAGACACTGAAGATCCAAGTGAAAGACACAACCATTGCCACCATCCTACTGAAGAAGGTTCTGCTCAAGCATGCAAAAGAGGTGGTCTCGGATCTCATCGACTCCTTCTTGAGGAATCTCCACAGCGTCACAGGGACCCTCATGACTGACACACAGTTTGTCTCGGCTGTGAAAAGAACTGTCTTCTCTCATGGAAGCCAAAAGGCCACAGATATCATGGATGCCATGCTAAGGAAGCTGTACAATGTAATGTTTGCCAAGAAAGTCCCTGAGCATGTCAGGAAAGCCCAAGACAAGGCTGAGAGTTATTCCCTCATCTCCATGAAAGGAATGGGTGATCCTAAAAACCGAAATGTGAACTTTGCCATGAAATCTGAAACTAAATTGAGAGAAAAAATGTATTCTGAACCCAAATCAGAGGAGGAGACTTGTGCGAAAACTCTGGGTGAGCACATTATCAAAGAGGGGCTTACCTTGTGGCATAAAACTCAGCAGAAAGAATGTAAATCTCTAGGTTTCCAGCATGCAGCATTTGAAGCTCCCAACACACAGCGTAAGCCTGCATCAGACATTTCCTTTGAGTACCCTGAAGATATTGGCAACCTCAGCCTTCCTCCATATCCTCCAGAGAAACCTGAGAATTTTATGTATGATTCAGACTCCTGGGCCGAGGACCTGATCGTGTCTGCCCTGCTTCTGATTCAATATCACCTGGCCCAGGGAGGAAGAAGGGATGCACGGAGCTTCGTTGAAGCTGCTGGCACCACCAACTTTCCTGCCAATGAACCTCCTGTAGCTCCCGATGAATCTTGCCTTAAGTCTGCTCCCATTGTAGGTGACCAAGAACAAGCAGAAAAGAAGGACCTAAGGAGTGTTTTCTTTAATTTCATCCGGAACTTACTTAGTGAGACCATTTTCAAGCGTGACCAGAGCCCTGAACCCAAGGTGCCGGAACAGCCAGTTAAGGAAGATAGGAAGTTGTGTGAAAGACCGTTGGCGTCTTCTCCCCCCAGGCTATATGAGGATGATGAGACCCCTGGTGCCCTTTCTGGGCTGACCAAGATGGCTGTCAGCCAGATAGATGGCCACATGAGTGGGCAGATGGTAGAACATCTGATGAACTCAGTGATGAAGCTGTGTGTCATCATTGCTAAGTCCTGTGATGCTTCGTTGGCAGAGCTGGGAGATGACAAGTCTGGAGATGCCAGTAGGCTAACTTCGGCCTTCCCAGATAGTTTATATGAGTGCTTACCAGCCAAGGGCACAGGGTCAGCAGAAGCTGTCCTGCAGAATGCCTATCAAGCTATCCATAATGAAATGAGAGGCACATCAGGACAGCCCCCTGAAGGGTGTGCAGCACCCACGGTGATTGTCAGCAATCACAACCTAACGGACACAGTTCAGAACAAGCAACTCCAAGCCGTCCTTCAATGGGTAGCTGCCTCTGAGCTCAATGTCCCTATTTTGTATTTTGCTGGTGATGATGAAGGGATCCAGGAGAAGGTAAGAAACAAAGGCAGAGGAATTTGGAAGCTTTATTAAGATTTAACTAGGGCTTTAAGTTCTGGTTTCTTTCTGAATGGGAAGATAGCCACAGAGAAGGTAAAATGGGAACAGTGGGATTTGAAGATCATGCCTCCTGGCAGAGATAATGGATAAAGTAAAATTAGATTTTGCCCAATCCAAGGCGTATCAAAGGGGAACAGGGGGATAAATGATATGTTTCTGTTTTCTGCGTTTAGGAGTAGGAGTGTACAGATGAGGAACCTCCAAGAGACCTAGTGAAAGAATCAGATTAAGGTCTGGGCTCTAGGCTGAGTTTTGGATAGGACAGCATTGCTCAAAGGATGAGATGAAGCTGGAAAGTAGCCCTGGGATGTGTTAGGGAAGAGGCAGAGTCTGAATTTATGACCTTTTCAAACATGCCATTACTGTCTTAGCTGGTTGTCTAGGTGGCGTTGGGGATTTGAAAGGATTCAGTGGATAACACCCCTCTTCCCCCTACCCTAAGCTCTGAATCAGTTGACAAGTAAGACTAAAGCATAAGGTAGATGGGAAATCAACTTATCACTGTTATTACTGATAAAGGTAAACGTGCCTGATAAGTTCTTGTCCTCCACCCAAGGTGCCCAGTAAGCATCAGAACTGCGCGCCAAAGGGAGGGTTTGAGTCTGGAGAACACGCACACTTACCCCAGATGCTTCACACTGAAGTGCGGGAATTAAAAAGACCATCCCTACAACCTTCTCTTCTCTCTCCTCTCTGCCTTCTCGCTCGCTTGCTCTCTCTCTCTCTCTCTCTCTCTCATTTTCTCTTCCTCAGTGCTTTTGATTGTCTCCTCTTGATTGAGAAAAGTGGACCAACTGCTGTTAATCATTAAGTAGCAAAGGGTGGCACAAGAGGCTAGAATTATTTAGAAAATTTCATCATCATAGGAATCAGAAGATAAGGAAAAACAGGCTTTCTCTGCTTAATTAAGTGGTATTTACATGGTATTAGCAACGCTTGCAACTGGGTCGCTATATTTATCTGATGACTGGGAAAACACACGATTACAGAGCATCCAGATTAGGCTATATCAAGCCTAAACAAGAAACTGTATGGTCTTTGACTTTGGTCTTAAAAAGACTACACGTGCTACTTAAAGTGTAGTCTGTGGACCTACAACATTGGCATCACCTGGGAGCTTTTTAGAAGTGCAGAATCTCACACTTCCCTCCAGACCTACTGAATCAGAATCTTCATCTTAGCAAAATACCCAGGTGAGTTGTGTGCACATTCAAGTTAGGCTAGAAGACAGTGTGAACTTCCAATATTAGATCTATTCCTAAGGGTCGTTGGCAAGCTCTGTCTCCACGCAGGGTTTCCAATCCGTGAAACAGACAACTATTTTACAGTATATAGCAATTAGTAGAGGTGGGGAGTGGGAGGCTATATGCTGAAGAAAATTTAAACTGATGAAAAAAATCTAAAAGTAAGCATAGCTTTCAGGTGTGTAATGTGTGAGAAAGCCTTTTGTAGCCATCTTTGAAATCAAACCCCTCATATATAACATACATAATACATTCTGGCTTTAGACTTTTTTTGTATTGGAATGTGTTGTTTTAGATTATTTTAAATTGAAACATGTATCTAAAATAGGACAATAGACTTGCAGTCCCCCACTTTTATATACACACACACACACACCTTTGTCTACTCTAAAGATAAAGCCAGTCATCTATTTTATTGACTCCCTCTAAGAGTAGAAGGAATGAGAAGCAGCATGTTCAAACTTCAACTAATAAATAGACGCACTGAATATTAGTATATTTTTAAGAACAGGGATGACATAGACACCAAAGAAACTACCTAAAAATGACTTTTTGAAAAGAGATTAATGTATGCAAATATTCTCATACTGATTCAGGTGATTGAACCTGCTGTCACTGGGATGTCTGTGAGCCCGATGTCTTTAAATACATTTGTATTTATTTTTGAATAAATAATATGTGTGCATAGTTCAAAATTCAAAAGTACAAAAGGATGCATGGTGAAAATTAAGGGTTGTTTTCTCATTTGTGTGCTCCATCCCATTGCCTTCCCTGGAGAAAAAAATTGTTTGGATCAATTTCTTATTTATCCTTCCAGCAATACACACACACACACACACACACACACACACACACACACACACACACACGTAAAGTCACAAATTATTATTTTTTATATATATATCCTCTTCTGCAACATATAGAGTTGCCACATTCTTTTTAATGGCTTTATATATTTTATAATATATGAAGCCATTTCATATATCATATATGTTTTATATATGTTTTATATATTTAACCCCTCCCTTATGTATGGATATTTCAGTTGCCACTATTCTGCACTGTAAGCAATGCTACACTGAATATCCTTGAATATACATAATTTTGCACAGATTCAAATGTATTCACATGTGCTATACACCTAGGAAAGGAACTTCAAGGTCACTGAGAATATTATTTGTGTAATTTGATACATGTTTCCAAATTGCCTTCCATAGAGCTTGTACCAATTAACACACCTATTAAAACAGTGTAAGAGGACTATTTCCTCACACTTTAACCAACAGTGCATGCTAAAATTTTTAATTTGCTAAGTTGCTTTACTTTTTGTCTTATTAGGAATAAGGGTGAGTATCTTTGCATATAAGACCATTTGAATTTCCTCTTCTGTGGATTAATTTGTCATAACTTCTGCCCATTTTTCTTTTTTTAACTTATTTTAGGTTCAGGGGTATATGTGCTTGTTTGTTATATAGGTAAACTCATGTCACACGGGTTTGTTGTACAGCTTATTTTGTCACCCAGGTACTAAGCCTAGTACTGACCCAATAGTTATTTTTTTCTGAGTGTCTTCTTCCTCCCACCCTTCACCCTCAAGTGTCTGTTGTTCCCTCTTTGTGTCCATGTGTTCTCATCATTTAACTCCCACTTCTGATAACACGCTGCATTTCATTTTCTGTTCCTGAGTTAATTTGCCAATGGCAATGGCCTCCAACTGCATCCATGTTCCTGCAAAGGAAATGGCTGTGTTCTTTTTTATGACTGCATAATATTCCATGGTGTATATGTACCACATTTTCTTTATCCCATCTGCCATTGATGGGCACTTAGGTTATCTCCATGTCTTTGTTATTGTGAATAGTGTTGCAGTGAACATCCACGTGCATGTGTCTTTATGGTAAAACAATTTATATTCCTTTGGATATACACCCAGTAATGGGATTGCTGGGTTGAACAGTAGTTCTGTTTTTAGCTCTTTGAGGAATTGCCACACTGCTTTTGACAATGGTTGAGCTAATTTACACTCCCACCAACAGTGTATAAGTGTTGCCTTTTCTCCACATCCTTGCCATTACTTTTAATAATAGCCATTCTAACTGGTGTGAGATGGTATCTCATTATGGTTTGGATTTGCGTTTATCTAGTGACCAGTGATATTAAGCTTGTTTTTATATGCTTGTTGGCCACACGTATGTCTTCTTTTGCAAAGAGTCTGTTTGTGTCCTTTGCCCACTTTTTAATGGGGTTGTTTTTTTCTTGCAAATTTGTTTCAGTTCCTTATAGCTGAACATTAGACCTTTGTCAGATGCATAGTTTGCAAATATTTCCTTCCATTATGTAGGTTGTCTGTTTACTCTATTAATAGTTTCTATTGATGTGCAGAAGCTCTTAAATTTAATTAGATCCCATTTGTCAAGCTTTGCTCTTGTTGCAGTTGCTTTTGGTGTATTCATCATGAAATCTTTGCCGGTTCCTATGTCCAGAATGGTATTGTCTAGGTGTTCTTCTAGGGTTTTTACAGTTTTTAATCTTACATTTAACTCTTTAATCCATGTTGAGTTGATTTTTGTATATGGTGTAAGGAAGGGGTCCAGTTTCAATCTTCTGTATATGGCTAGCCAGTTATCCCAGCACCTATTGAATTAGGGAATCCTTCCCCATTGCTTGTTTTTGTCAGCTTTGTCAAAGATCAGATGGTTGTAGCTGTGTGGCCTTATTTTTGGGCTCTCTATTCTGTTCCATTGGTCTGTATGTCTGTTTTTGTACCAGTACCATGCTGTTTTGGTTACTGTGGTCCTGGAGTATAGTTTGAAGTTGAGTAATGTGATGCCTCTAGCTTTGTTCTTTTCACCTAGGAGTGCCTTGGCTGTTGGCAGGCTCTTTTTTGGTTCCATATGAATTTTAAAATAGTTTTTTCTAGTTCTATGAAGAATTTCATTGGTAGTTTAATAGGAATAGCATTGAACATTTAAGTTGCTTTGGGCAATATGACCATTTTAACAATATTGACTCTTTCTATCCATGAGAATGGAATATTTTTCCATTTGTTTGTGTCATTTCCGATTTCTTCGAGCAGTGTTTTGTAATTCTCATTGTAGAGATTTTCACCTCCCTAGTTAGCTGTATTCCTAGGTATTCTTTTTATGTTCTGCCCATTTTCTTATTGCATTGTAGGCCTTTTTCTTATTGATCTATAAGAGTTTTATATATTACAAGGAATCAACCTTTATGATATTAAATACAAATGTTTCCTTTGCCATTGGTCCTTTGATTGGTGTTTTGTTGTTGTTGTTGTTGTAGTTTGTTTCTGCCATACAAATGTCATCAAATATGAGACATTTTTCTTTTATTTTTGCTGGGTTTTATGTTATATTTTGGAAAACATTCTCCACTTTACGATATTAGCAAAACTTTCCCATGTTTTTTTCTAGTCCACTCATGCATTGCTTAGTCATGGGGATATGCTCTGAGAAGTGTGTCATTAAGCGATTTCCTCATTGTGTGAACATAATAGACGGTACTTACACAAACCTAGCTGGTATAGCCTACTACATATCTAGCTTATATTGTATAGCCTATTGCTCCTAGGCTACACACTTATATACAGCATGTTACTGTACTGAATACTGTAAGCAATTATAACACCACAGTATGTGTGGATCTAAACATATCTAAATATAGAAAAGGTACAGTAAAAATATGGTTTGAAAGATAAAAAATGGTACATCTGTATAGGTCACTTACCATGAATGGAGCTCACAGGACTAGAAGTTGCTCTGGATGAGTGAGTGACTGAGTGGTGAGTGAATGCGAAGGCCTAGGACATTACTGTTCACTACTGTAGACTTCATAAAAACTGTATATTTAGGCTACAATAAATATTTTAAAATATTTTTCTTTCTTCAATAATAAATTAGCAGCTTACTGTAACATTTTTATGTTACAAAGTTTTGATTTTTTTTAACTTTTTGGCTCTTTTGTAATAACAGCTTAAAACACGTTGTACAGTTATACAAAAATATTTTCTTTATATTCTTTTTTATAAGCTTTTTTCTATTTAATTTTTTTATTTTTTATTAAAAATGAAGATACAAACACACATATTGACCTAGGCCCACACAGGGTCAGGATCATCAATACCATTGCCTTCCACCTCTGCATGTTCTCCCATTAGAAGGTCTTCAGGGTAAGTAACACTCATGGAGCTATTATGTCCTATGATGACAATGCCTTTGTCCTGAAGGACCTGCCTGAGGCTGTTTTACAATTAATTTTTTTAATAAGTAGAAGGAGTAGACTAAAATAATACCAAAAGTATAGTACAGTGATACAGAAATCAGTAATGTAGTCATTTATTATCATTATGAAGTACTATCCACTATATGTAATAGTGTGTGCTAGACTTTTATATAACTGGCAGCACGGTAGGTTTGTTTACAGCAGCATCCCCCCAAACAAGTGAGTAATGTGTTGTGCTCTGTTACGATAACTATGATATCACTAGAAAATAGGAGTTTTTCAGGTCCAGTATAAGCATATGGAACCACCATCATATGTACAGTCTGTGGTTCACTGAAACATCATTATGCAGTGTATGACTGTACTTTTATGATTTTTAAAATATATTTAAGACTTTAATACATTTTGAATTCATTTTTATATAAGGTATGAAGTAGGGTTACAATCTCTCTTTTTTTTTTTTTTTTTTTTTGAGACAGTCTCGCTCTGTCACCCAGGCTGGAGTGTAGTGGCACGATCGTGGCTCACTGCAACCTCCGCCCCCCAGGTTCAAGCGATTCTCCTGTCTCAGCCTCCCAAGTAGCTGGGATTACAGGTGCACTGTAATTTTTGTACTTTTAGTAGAGACGGGGTTTCACCATCTTGGCCAGGCTGGTCTTGAACTCCTGACCTCATGATTCACCTGCCTCGGCCTCCCAAAGTGCTGGGATTACAGGCGTGAGCCACCGCGTCTGGCCACAATCTCTTATTTTTTTCCTATTCTTTTTCTAAACTTTCTATTCTGTGCCATTGAATTGTCCATCTACTCTTGTACCAATAGCATCTATTTTAATTACTGTAATTCTATAATATTTTTGAATATCCGATAGGACTGGAGACTCTTTATTTCTCTGCCTCAGAATTTTATAGGCTATTCATGTTTACATTTCCCAGTTTTCATCCCCTATCCATGGGCAACCATTAACCTTTCCATCATTATAAATTTGCCTTTCCTTGACATTTTATGCAATGGAGCCATAAAGTATGTGGTCTTTTACATCAGGCTCTTTACACTTAGTGTAAGGTTTTTGTGGTTCATCTGTGTTGTAGCATGTATCAGTAGTTTATTTCTTTTTATTGCTGAATAGTACCTCATTATGTAGATATACTACATTTTGTTTGTCCATCTATCAGATAATAGATATTTAGATGGTTTCCATTTTTGCTATTATGAGTAATGCGACTATGAGCATTCACATACAAGTCTGTGTGGTTATATGTTTTCATTTCTCTTGGGCAGATAATGAGGAGCATTAATGTAATGCAGCATGTTACAATAAGTGTAATTCAATAAATCTAATTTATTTTCTTTCCTTTTTTCTTATGTTTTTTTGTTGTTGTTGTTGTTTTTGAGACAGGGTCTCCCTCTCTTGCCCAGGCTGGAGTGCAGTGGCATAATCATAGTCACTGCAGCCTCAAACTCCCTAGGCTTAAGCGATCCTCCCACCTCAGCCTCCCGAGTAGCTGGGACTACAGGCATCCCCCACCATGCCCAGTTAATTGTATTTTGTTTTAGAGATGGGGTCTTGTCATGTTGCCCAGGCTGGTCTCAAGCTCCAGGGCTCAAGTGATCTGAACACCTCAGCCTCCCAAAGTGCCAGGAAAACAGGCATGAGCCACCATGCCTGACCGGTTAAGTGTAATTTCTTAAGAAATTGCCAAACTATTTCCTGAAGTGGTTGTAGCATTTTACATTTTCACCAGTAATTTGCACAGGTTTCAGTTTCTCCACATCCTGGTCAATATTATTCTTTCATTTGTTGTAATAATTATAGTGGTATCTCATTGTGCATTTCATTTGGCCTACATACATTAAAATGATGAGAAATATTGAGCACGTTATTCCGTTATGTGCTCATTAGCCATTCATATATATTCTTTAGTGAGATACCTATGCAATCCTTTCACCCATAATTTGGTTGGATTGTTTTCTTCTTGATTAGAATTATAAGAGCTCTTTTATGTATTCTGGATACAAGTCCTTTATCTGATATATTTTTGCAAATATTTTCTCTCAGTTTGTGGCTTATCTTTTTATTTAATGGAGTCTTTTGAAGAGCAAAATGAAGTCTAACTAGATGACAGCCGATTTATCACGTTTTACTTTTATGTCTTGTGATTTTAGTGTCATAACAAATGTTTGCCTACCCAGTGGTTCTCAACCAGGAGCAATTTTGCCCCCCAGGGGACATTTGGCAATGTCTGGAGACGTATTTGGCTGTCACAACAGAGAAAGGGGTTACCACTGGAGTCAAACAGGTAGAGGCCAAGGATACTGGTAAACAACATGCAATGAGCAAAATAGCCCCACAACAAACCCAGAAGGCCAGGAGTGCTGAGAACTAGAAACCTTGACCTATGCAAGGCCATGAAGATTTTCTCCTTGTTTTTGCCTACATGCTTGATAATTTTAGCTCTTATGTTTAGGTCTATGATCTACTTTGAGTTAATTTGTGTGAGGTAGGAGTCCAAATTCAATATCTTGCATATAGATATGAAGCTTATCTTGGCACCATTCGTTGAAAAGACCACTGGGAATCTGGCCCCTCTGAATTATCCATCTCCTTTATTAAAAAATCCTATTGACCATAAATGTTAGATTCAAGTCTTCTTTTGATTGGCATTTTCATGGTACATCTTTTCTTATAATTTTAACTTATTATATTTGAAGTGAGGTTTTTGGTAGGCAGCATACACTTGGGTTATATTTTTTGTCCATTCTGACATTTGATGTTTAGATATGTTAATCATTTATGCTTAGCCCAATTTATGGATATGTTTGAAGTTTACCATTTTATTATTTGTTGCTTCTCTTTTTTCTTCCTGTTTTCCCTTTGCTGCCTTCTCTTGGACTATTTGAACATGTTTTAGTATTCCATTTTAATTTATCTATTGCATTTTTGACTATATCTTTGTGTGTAGTTTTTTTAGTGGTTAATCTAGGGATTACAATGTACATACCAACTTCTCAGAATCCATGTAGCATCAATAGTTTACCACTTAAGCTGGAAGGTAGAAATATTACTACCATATAAGGTTCCTTTATCCTTCTCCCTTTATAGTTGAGTTGCTTTATGTATTTAATCTACATACTTTGAAAAAGCCCTCAATGTTACTTTTGCTTTCAACCTTAAAACACTTTTTTTTTTTTTTTTTGAGACAGAATCTCACTCTGTTGCTCAGGCTGGAGTGCAGTGGCGTGATCTCGGCTCATTGCAACCTCAGCCTCCTGGGTTCAAGCAATTCTCTTGCCTCCGCCTCTCGAGTAGCTGGGATTACAGGCACGTGCCATGACACCCAGTTATTTTCGTATTTTTAGTAGAGATGGGGTTTTGCCATATTGGCCAGGCTGGTCTCAAACTCCTGACTTCAGGTGATCTTCCTGCCTCAGCCTCCCAAAGTACTGGGATTACAGGCGTGAGCCACTGCTCCCGGCCCTTAAAATATATTTTAAAGAACTGAAGAGGATAGCCTACTATTTATACTGAGAGTTTTACTGTTTGTGTTGCTCTTCATTCATTCTTAATGTTCCCAGTTTCCTTCTGATATCATCGTCCTTCTCTCTGAAGAACTTCCTTTAGCAATTCTTTTAGAACACATTTTCTGGCAATGAATTCTCTCAGTTTTATTTAATCTGACAATGTCTTTACTTGACTTTCATTCTTGAGTTATAATTTCTGCTGGATATAGAATTCTAATTTGGCAAGTTTTTTTCTCTTAGCAGTTAAAAGACGTGACACTTTCTTCTGTCCTCTATGGTTTCTGATGAGAAATTGGCTGTCATTTGACTTGCAGTTCCCCTATAAATGGTTTTCTCTGGATGCTTTTAAGATTTTTTTCTTTTTCTTTAATTTTCAGTGATTTAGTTATGGTAGGTCTTGGAGTTAATTTCTTTGGGTTTGGGTTTGGGTTTATTTTATTTTAGGTACCCTGAGCTTTTTGAATGTATAGGTTTAAAACTTTTTGGCAAATTAGGAATACTCTCATCTATTATTTCTTCAGATATGTTTTGCATCATCGCTTTTCTCTTCTTTGGTATTCTAATAACATAAATGTTAAAGTTTTTGGTATTGCCCACAAGTCCTTGGGCTCTGTTTATTTTTTAAATGTTTTTTGAAATAAGTTTAATCAATTTCATATGTTGTTCAGCATGGATAATTTTTATTGATCTACCTTCAAGTTTACTGACTTTCCTCTCTCATTTACATTCTGCTATTTAGCCCATCTGACAGGTTTTTATTTTATATTTTGTAGGTAAGTTTTAGTTCTAAAATTTCCATTTGGTTCTTCTGTTTCAGTTTCTCACATGGATATTTCTCTTTCTGAAGAGGCTCTCAATATTTGGTGTGTTTATTTGCCTGCCCTTTGTTGTAAAAAGTCAAGAGCAAAATGAACAAAATAAAAATCTGATTACTTGAGAGAGTTTGTTGCCCTTAGGATTCCAGATAAATGACAGCGTTGTATTTATATTAGAATGGTTGCTTAACTTTCTCATTTTGTACTTGGAAAAAGAGCTAAAGATAGGCTCCAATACCTGCAATGAATTTTGGTTCTGCTAATTACTAGCAGTTAATTCTGACAAATCTCTGTACTTCTCTGGGAAACATTTTCATGAGGGTTGAATTGATCTCTGAGGTGCCTTTTTGCTCTAACATTTTAGGATTCTGTGGTCTATGGGGCATGGAAAGCAGCATCCACATTTGTCCACTGGACATTTTCCATCCTGCCCTGTTGGTCTTAGGACAATGATGGAGACTTTTATGATATTAGGGTGAGCTTAGAACCTTAGAATTCTTAGAGAGCAAGATCATGGGCAGGTGGGTGTTAACATCTCTTCTTTAAACTAAGAATGAAGTCACCAACCTCCTTCTGTTAAACAGGCCAGCAAACTTTAAAGTCTGTGTTGCAGTTTCCCAAGGTCTGCCTGGCCTCTCTGCTCCAGCCTTGGCAGGCTCCATCTGGCCTGCCATGAGATGCTGTGCCTCACCACTGGTGTTTTCTTTCCTTTCACAGCTACTTCAGCTCTCAGCTGCTGCTGTGGACAAAGGATGCAGTGTGGGCGAGGTTCTGCAGTCGGTGCTGCGCTATGAGAAGGAGCGCCAGCTGAATGAGGCGGTGGGGAATGTCACACCGCTGCAGCTGCTGGACTGGCTGATGGTGAACCTGTAATCGGCAACCCCACTGCTTTCCCCTCTTCTGGCAGTGGGGCCGGCCCTTATCCCCGCCCTTCTTTCTCACTTCCACATCTCCCCCTCTATATCCTCACAGAGCCCTAACATTATCTTCACACCACTCTCATCAAAGACATGTCATCTTGTGCTAGCCACTGGATTTTGCAGATTTTCCTGTCCATGCAAGCAAGGACGTAAAATTAAAAAATTACAATTAAAGGGCTCCACATGTTTTGTTTCCTTGGGATCCAATGGGACAATCAGGTAAAGAAATCCCAGGAGTGAAAAAAATAACCAGATGAATGGTAGAGGTACAACAGAGCTGGACTGAGAGGCCCTGCTGAAGGTCACTCAGCCTGTCCCCTGTCTGTGTCACAATTTGCAGCTTCCTTATTTAAACTATTCTCTTAAAATAAGCCACAGTTTATCAAGAATTCATTTTAACCTTTTATAACCATGAAAATCAGAAGATACTTTTGAATTATTCAATCAAAATCATCCTGATTACAATGTTGAAGACCTGGCTTCTTATTCTCTGTAGAGCTGCAGAACAGTGTCCACCTCCAACTTCATCCATGGTTGAAGATCGTTTCAAGAATGTTCCCAAGGATCTGAGTTCTATTGCTGGTTTTGTGGCTTTCTGGCTATAGAAACTGGGATAAGTTACCTGTTCTAACACTGCTCTGACTTAATGTCCATATCACCCCACTTAAGAAATATTTTCTGTTCTTACCCTGGATTTTCTGTGGAATTTTCTATCTTGACTCCTCTTTCTGTCTAGAAACTTCTCCATTGGCTTCTAATTTTCTTTCTGTATCTCTGGGTCTCTTGGAGGACCTCCTCAACTCTGGCAACTCCTTATATATTTGTCTTTCCTGGGACTTTCTCTCAACCCTCTGCTATTCTAACTCAAGATTTTTCCTGGGAGATTACATCCAAATCCATTGCTTCAATGACCTGGTGTCCCCCTTCATAAAATATTATGCAACAATTAAAATGAAAACTGTACTGGGGGGAGGTTATTCCAAATGGCAAGCAAAAAAGAAAACTATTTTTATATACTCTATGTTGTTTCTGATGTTATGATCTTAAGTTTCACGTAAAATTCTATCTGTCCTATGACAACCACATAAAAATTATGTATTTGTGTAGATGAGGATTAGAAAGGGAAGTAAGAAGACATACTTAGATTTGGCGTATGGTAGATGAGTGAACATGTCCTGCTTGTTTACTTAGCTTCCCTTCCTTTGGGAAACCTTCCATCCCTTGCTCTAGTCTAGAGAAGCATCAGTCACAGTGCCTTCACCATCACTGTGGGCTTGGGGCCCAGACTGGCCAAGCATCCCAGTATCCCAGTCACAATTTCTGTGTCACAATCATTTTGGAGACTCCCTGTTAGCAAGGAAGCCTGTATCTTTTTGACTGGATGTTGGCGGTTAACTTCTGAGCAGGGCCTGACATCAGGATGAAGTTAACCATAGTGAGAAGCAAGGCTAATAGATGAAGAGGGAGTCTGAGCCCTACAACCTCATTTGAATTCCTGGATCCTGCTGCGCCTGAAACTACATCTACCTTTTCTGATGCCCCAATTATGTAAGTCAATAAGTGTCTTCCGTTGTTTAAACTGCTTTTGAATTCAGCTTCTATCATTTTCAAACAAAAATCCTGACATAGGTTGGCAGTCATGGGCAAGAAGAAAAAAAATTTCTTTTGTTTGGAGTTCCATTAATGATGCTGTAACACTGAGAGTTCAAAACTACCCGCCCCCTCTACACACACAGATGCATATGGAATGAGTTTAAGTGCAAGGACATCCTCCCCCATCCCTCATAAGAGGAGTCATGCCAATTGGCCATGTTAATAGAGTTTTTTAACATAAAGTTTTATGTATTTAAAAAAAACAGTCTGAAGTATTGTACAATATAAGTGCTGTCTTAATACAAATCACTGGTGGAAAGGAGCAGGACATACCCTCAGCAAAGGTCATACAATAGGGGGTAAAACGTTTGTGTTCTTGAGGGAGAAGTTTTTGCTCTGTCCTGGGGAGGTCATGGACACCTCCGCCCCGACAGCTGCCTCTGACTTCTTGGGAGCGTCTACCAGTTGAGGCAGCTGAACAGTGTCAGCTCCGTGCTGGAGACAGTCCTGCTGATCACCTGAATGCTGAACATGCTTCGTGGGGCTATCTTTTGTTTTCTCTGTAGTCTCTTTGGTGATCTCATCTGCTAAAGGAGAGAGAAGACAGAAGGGAACAAGATTCAAATGTGGATTATATGTTAATTGTCCTTTAGGTTGTACATCACTTAGTGGAAACGATGACCGTGATGATATAAAAACAGTTCATTTGTAAAGCACCTCCAATGTGCCGGGCATTATTCTAAGCACTGTACATTTACTAATTCGTCTGATCATTTCAGCGACCCTGGAGAACAGGCTTTATTCTCATTCTCATAAATGGAGATACTGAGCTACAGAGAGGTTAAGTCCACACCTGATAAGTGGTAGAACCAGAATTTAATCCCCAGGTAACCTGACTCTTGTGACCATGTACCTAACCACTAGGCTATATTGCATATAAAAATTTGCATAATGCCATAATCTGGCACTGACAGAAATTCTAAAGGTAATTATAGGGCATAAAGGGGTGGACGCAGTTAATGAAAAAGGGAGGAGGAGAAAGGAAATTGATTATAGGAGAAAAATGGAAAATCCTAATAAGGGGCAAAAAAGATCCAGGCTAATGCCAAATTTCCCTGAAAAGGAAAATCCCAAAGGTAAGAAATGGCAGGCTAGTCATGATGTAGCCACAAGAATTATCCCAGGTTGAGGTTAGAGAAATTGACATGCAAATCCTTCAGAAATGCTTAAACAGCATATTAAACAGAATATTAAAAACAAAGATTTTAATTTCCAGACTACAGAACTGGGGCTTCAAAAATATCACAAGGAGATTTACAGAATTCTAGAATATTAATTCCCGGACTGTGGGACTAGGACTGGTTATTTGACAGGCTGTACCTTTTCTGCTCGAGTGATGACAGCCTTGAACCTTGTCCTTCCTTGTCTCAGAGGGGAAAAAGGAATTGGATTTCCTCAGGGTCTGGGGCCTGGGCTGTGGCTTGAGGTTCCGAGACTGATGAATCCAAGCATGCTTGAGGGCCTGGTCCGGGGTCATGCGAAGAGAAGGTTCCCATCTGCACCCCAACAAAGCCCCACATGGGTTATTGTTTTATTTCCTTTTAATATATTAAAACATTTTTAAAACCCAATAAAGATTTTTATTTAAGCTATGTTGATATCTCAAAGATATATAATCATAGAACAGAGATTATGGCATATAACTTAAAAGTACCTGGAAACAACTAATGGAAATAATCTTTTTAGAAGATGTGTATAACAAGCCAGGGAATATATATTACAGTCCAAGTCTTCCAGCATTCCTAGAAATTTCCTTATAAGAAATATTATTTTACAAAAGCTTAATCAATAGGATTTAGGGTTTGGTAAGCTAAGAATATTAAAACAAAGATTTCAATTTCCAGACTACAGAATTGGGGCTTCAAAAATATTGCAAGGAGATTTACAGAATTCTAGAATATTAAGATTTGCAAGGGGACTTGGATATAATCCAATCAAACTTGTAATACAGTAGCAGAATACATTGACTGAACTACCATCATGGAATCACCCTGCAATTCTTGAGTAATTTCAGTGACAAGATACTAACTCACAGAACCATCTATTCCAATTCTGAAAAAACTCCGATTCTTTAAAAGTTCTTGACTTTTATTGTGCCAAAACTGGTTTGCTTCCCAGTAACTTTTACCCAGGTCCTAATTCATCAACACATTACCATCACACAAAATAACTATCCTAATTTTATGGTTCAGTCCTTCAACCATCTGAAAATATTTACATCGCTACTAACTAATGATCATATGATATGGTTTTCACCATCTGACCACCTTCTGAAATAAGGATATTTTAGCAGTTGTCTAACTGGTGTCCATCATGGTGGGAATAGCTTCTATAACTGCAGGGAGACAGTATTAACATTCTAGACTCATTAAGGTCCTAAAACAGCTCAAACTCTCATTTCTGTGTCAAATGAATTGCTGTTAAACAACATCTCTCCTTTCCTGGACTTCTGGAGTTCGCCTACAAAGTCTAGACACGGGGCTTTACATTTATGCCTATTGAACTTGGCTCAAAACTTTTAGTCTCAAAGATTTTCTAATTAGCAATATATATATATAAGATAACAGTCCCCATCAGCCTGACTGCCTCTTGCAAGTTATGAGTAATCAGTCCTTTGCACTAAAGAAGAAAATAATGCCTTCCTTGGTGCTGAGCTGTGTTCTGGATGGTTGAGGTTTCTGGATAACCCATCTGTCTCAGCAGTTGGTTTCTGTCATTTGTTAAGGTAGGGGTAAAGATGGGGTACAGGATCCTTCCCTACCTTGATTATTCTGATGAGTGAATAGCATGACCCCCTACGATGGGAATACTTTCATCATTACCTCATGGTTCACCCTCTGAGCTAGTACTGAAATTCCAGAGAGCACAGATGCCAGAAGAGTATTTTGATAACATCACTCCATCCAACTGGAAGAATAAGAGACTGTAATGATATGGTCTTCTAAAAATACTAAATTATAGGACTGATAGAACTGGAAGGGAGCTTAGGAATACCGTATTTTATAGGAAAGAACACTGAGGCCCAGAAAAAAGTGATGACTTGCCAAGTATCACATGGATAATCTACTTGCCACTCTGTGGAGATAGATTTACCTCTTTAATAGTCGTAAAATAATAAGAATAGCTAACGTTTTCTAAACACCTTTTAAACTGGGTGCTGTGCTGGGTACTACGACTTAAGTACAGATCTAATTTCTAAGATTCAAAATATGCATATAGATTATAAAAAGTTGTACATAATAAATGGTTTACAGCTCACCTTCCCCCTAATTCCCTAATATAAGACGATTTGGGTACTAAATCCTAGGGGGAGGGGGACAGGCCCTGAAACCAGTTTACACTGGATGTGTATGCAAATCATTACAACAAGCAGTCAGGGGGTTGGCTTCAGCTCACAGAGCAGAAGACATTTAGGACTGGCAAACAATCTCACTGCCAGGCAGTTTGAGGCCAGGAAGATGACAAACTCTACCATACGCTGTGTATTCCAGGGCAGGTCACTTAATCTCTTTGAACCCCAACCTCCATACGTGCAAAACAGAGCAAATCATCTGCCCTGACAACCACACAGTAGGGAGAGATGTCTGATGAAACAACAGATGTGGAAGCAATTTGTAGACTTTAAAGCTCTATTGTTAGCATTTCTTGTTACTTTTATAACTATCTCCCAGCCTTAGTCTTTCACCAGCAAACGTGTGTCAAAGTACAGCATTTAAGAGGAAACCCAGAAGCAGAGATGTCCCAACAAACTCACACCAAACACCTTCTGAGAAAGTCCAGGAAGCTGGTGTCATAGGTTTTCAGCACCATCGTGAGGTCCTTGGAATCTGGGTATCTTTTTTTCCCCCTGTTGTTGGTTATATTTTTAGGAAAACCTTTGGAATCTGTAGAGATAGAACATTCTGTATTTAGTTTCAGGTGTAAATCTTTAGTGGTCACATGATGCTGCTGCTTAGAGTGGCCTCTGTAGCTCTTTTGCTCTCTGTCTTACACACTCGCCTCATGCCACACCCCAATAAACACACACACACACACTCAGTTTGAAATAACCATGTGTAGATTACCCAAGGAATGCAATTTACTTTAAAAATTGATTTTTTCCTACTATTCAGTATGTTCTGAACTTCCTTCCCACTGCCTCCTCTCCAAATCAAAGAAATAATTTAAATGGCTTAACACCAACCAAGATAAAATAATAATGCTAATGATAATAATGACAATGGTAAAGTAAATGTTAAGTGACAAGGTCCTGTGAAATTGTACAAATATCCATTTCCTTTTGGATCATGGCCTTAGCCCTCCCACTTCATCCTACATTGTCCTTTTTACCAATGACCAAAGAAGAATCAAGCTCACAGTCTTATCAATAACAAAGCTCCTAAAGTCATGATCATGTAATTGTTTTTTCTCACTCTGGCCCTCATCAGTCATTCCCTCCATCCCCTTCTTACTACCTGAGCCACCTGGGCCACCTAAGTATAATATCTTACCAGCCTTGAGACAACACCATTTTGCTGCTAATTAGGGGTATTAACTAGGAGTCGCCCGGGGCAGAGGAGCAGTTGGCAGCCCAAACCTGGGAAAGGAACAGTCAAGAACTGAAGTGGACAACCGTGTTTCCCAAACTTATTTTGTCATAAGAATCACAAGGAGCCGTCATTAAAAACGTCGAATCCTGGGTCCTATCGCAATCTTCCCATAGCATAGCTTATAGAAGAGAATCACAGGAATTCGCTTTTTTGCCAAGTCCCCAAATGATTCTTACATTTGGATAGAGTTTGGAAAACACTGACGAAGATGCAGTTCTCAGCAACATTCCTTCTTTCACAGGAAGTGAAGACATGGATATTGCTGCCAAAACCCCATCACCATCCTAAAGCCTAGTGCTGATGGTAGAAATAAGGAACTCTATGAAGTAGACATGCCTATGTCTTTAGTACGTTCCTACGAAGGTGCTCTGTGTTCCCTTCCTGCTAGTCCCCACCTAGATGCTATCTCATGAGTTCAGAGTTACAGGCTCAAGATATGTCTTCCCACAGTGACTCTGCCTAATCCAAAAGGCTGAATTATTAAGTTGTGGGTAGAAAAAGTATATTTGGGATCCAAAGACCAGTTCGCGTGCTCCATGTGTAAATTATACTGGGGAGCCAGCCAGATCCTTTGCCTACCGCCAGATTGCTCGGTTAATGTGTGGTCACCATTCTATGGCAACCAGGACACTGCCCTGCTCAGAGGCAAGGTCTCCAAAGCTCCAGCCATGATTACCAGATGATGTTTAAAAGAATTAACCATTGGAATGAATGGCATGGAACCAACTAATCAGAATGGAAGACAGCCCTGGCACTGGAGTAGGATCATAGAGAACTTCTGCTTGCTTGGCCTTCAGCTTTTAGGTTTTTGGATCATGGAGAGTTTAAGGAGTCCTGGGAGAGGGCCAGGGAGCCTGCAGTTGTAGCAGGGCTCAGGGCTGTGGCTTTTTACCAAATGGTACAGAAATAGACAAATTATAACCCCCACATGGCTGAATCAGTTCATACTGACCAGCATGACCCAAACCCTTTTATCCTAAAGGATCTCCCCACGAGAGTGTTTTGGACCTTCCTACTGATGGAGCAAGTTGTGAACAGAAATTGTGTGATTTGCATACATATTCAGAAGCTGCTCGCAGTTGAAAATCAGAGGTGGGAGGGCCAGGAATGTCTGGGATTGTGTGGTCAGAGGGAGTCCATGAACCGACCTGACAACAATGGCTGGTCAGAAATGTCACTCCAGGTAGCATGGAGTCCCTGTCTGTGGAGTTCCCTTTTCCTCCTATTTGGCTTTGCTCCACTTTGCTGACCTTCAGCCCACTCTGGCTGTTTCTATCTGGGACTCTTAGCTTCCTGTGGTTCTTTAAAGGGATTTTAGGTATGAGATTTGCTGCATCTTTTTGGTGCGTGTACGTTGAAAGCCCTGCCTCAGTTGATACCTTGTCGACCCATCCTTCCATCTTGTATAGGACCACTTAAATAGAAAGGCGGAGGATCATAAAAATCCAGAATTCTGGGAATTATGAGGAGAGGGGCAGCCTGGACTGTGGACGAAGTTTACTCCCAACAATCAGACAGATGACACGTACATAACTACCAGCCACAACACATCAAAGCAAAACTAAGTCCTTGCTTAACCATTGGCAATGAACCTGGCACAGTAAGGTCTGGAGGATAAGAAGAATTTTAGCAGGGGAAACAATAATGCAGCAATGGAATTTTCCACTATTCTTGAAATGAAGCTTCTGCTCTTTGATTTCCCTGCACAGTGCATAGTGTGAGAGGGCAAGTTGCTTGGGAGAGTGGGGAGAACTTCCGGGAGAGGATGCAGTTACAATATTTTGAGGTTGCAATATTTGCTGATAGCTCTTCTGAGCAGGGACCTGGCTATTCTCCTCCTCCTGAGCATTTTTACTGTCAAGACCCTGTTCCCACTGTGACTCCCCCATCCCATCTCCAACATGCTATCCGATTCCCCTGCTCATTATCTTTTACTTCTCTGAAAGACGCTCTTAATCACAGCCCTTTGGTATGTGGCCAGGGGAAAAGAATGAAATGAGCCTTAAGGTATGGCAGGTGTCTTCAAGGCCTGTGACACCTCATGAGACACACTAGGACTTACCAAAGAATGTCTGTCTCCTGGAGGCTGTCTGAATGAAGCCGGCTGGCGGCAGACCCAGCACCTTAATAAGGATAATTCAATTGGTTCATTCTTTGTGGGAGCACAGATTCAAAGGCTGAGGGGTGGAGCGTACTTTGGCCAAGCTTTGCCTTCTACAGATAAGGATTCAAAGCATTAAGTAATAACATCTGGTCAGTAGCAGAGCAAACCCAGAGCCTGGGCCTTTTAACTCCTAATCCAGGGCTGGTTTCATATCCTAAGAATCAACACTGGCCATGTTATTCTACACAAACATCAGCACCAACTAGGGGTGGGCCACCACCCTTGATAGCAGCCAGATGTCATTGTCAAAGCAAATAAACTAGTACACATGCTGCCATGTCAGAATTAAAGAATGATATATCCCACCATGGAGCACTGGAAAGGGAGAAGAAAAGATGAAAATCACCGGATGAGCATCAGACAATTATAAGACAAAATACCTTCTTGAAAAGAAAAGTGTAGCACCTACTTGTTCATCTTTTCCTACTGCAACTTAGAGGGGCACACAGAGATAAGGAAATTACAGTGTGGGTCACCTGCCCTTGCTGCTCGGTTCCCACCCATAATCCATCCATTATCCTGCTCTTCTGTTCCTCAGACCCTTTGACACTGAGGTCAAGAGGAAGCTGAGTCAGTTCTGGGGCTGTAGGAAATTTGAAACATAGGCCCCGTTCTCTTTGGTATTGGAAGCAGGAGTGGTCTGGGGATGCTTTATAAAATCATTCATTATCAACCTTAGAAGCCATCTTCTCTGCTCCCCTCATTTTATAGTCCAGAGCTGGGAAATGCCTAGTCAAAAAGACAGAGCCAGGACTAAGACCCCAGGTTTAATGACTCGCAGGCCAGTGTTCATTCCACCACAGCTATTTTTACCTAAGTTATTTTAATATTTTATTATTAGTTTCGATCATGAAATGAAATTATCTATGTTTAGTCATTCTCAAGGCTATATGTGTTTCTCTGTAACTTTGAGACAATCTGGAAAATAGAAATTTGGCAAAGATAGATAGATACAGATACATAGATAGATAGATAGATAGATAGATAGATAGCCAGCCAGCCAGCTAGCTTGGTGTTTGCACACAAAATATCTTTGTTCACTGGGAAAATCCTAAAATGTAAAATTTAAAATTTTTAAAGTTATTTTTCTATTTTGTCTAATTTATTTCCAAAACAAGATGGCTTTCAAGTGAAAGCATAATAGATATAATTAATAATCATATCATGAGTCTTGGTCAAGCCTTGCTATTAGGAGATAGTTTTCCCAGAAAACTGTCATTTCCCATAATGAATGACTAATGCCTGAACAATACACATACTTTGAAGTCAAATAATTTCCAATTCTTTGTTTTCAACATTTTAATCGGGTTGTCAGCTGACAGGCTGGTAAACATAATTTTAGATGACAGATCACCATTTGATTCTTACACAGAACTCAAAAGGAGTCACCGAATTAGACGACATTAATTAGAACAGGCTTCCTCACTGGGTTCACATCTACACCACCAAGCAATTGGAATCACATTGATCCCGAGCCCGGGCATTCTAGCAAGAAGCATTATTCACCTATGGGTATAGGCATTAATTTGGAAAAAAAAAAAAAAAAAAAAAAAAAACCCAGCTCTATTCATTTTTCTAAGAGCTGTATGCCCAATAAGATTTCACATTTTATTTTCAATAATTATCAAAATTTGCACACCAGATATATTTTAATGGTAACTTACCAGAAAGAAATTTTTACACATGAGGCTTACGGTATCAGGAAATTTTTAAAGCTATAATGATTGATAGAAGTTTCTAAACATAAACGTATATTAAATTAGAATAAAATTCCATAGAGGAAGTAGAAAAAAGAGTAGAAACAAAAGGGAAAAAAGAACAAAGTAAAATCATGGCACAACTCTTAAGAACCTGTTCACATACTATCAGATAGATTTTAATGGGTGTCATGTCCGTCTGGTTTTGCATTCTTTTGGATATTTTTGAAAGAGCGGTGTAATTTTATTTTAAAATGTCACTATTTACAATATGATGGAAATGACATCCTCTGCAACTATTTAAATTTATGATAAAACGTTAGATGTCGACTTGACAAGTACAAGGGAGTACACAATTTCAAAACTCCTTTTAGGGAATACTCAACAACAACAACAACAACAAGGTATGCAGGCCATGGTCCTGGGCGAGTCTGGTGCAGCCCCGTGTCTGAGGGCCAAGCCCACGGTCTCCGTGGGAGCCGACCGCCAGCCCTCCGCGTACCTCCATGATGCAGGCCAGCTGCTCCACCTCATTCTCCCCGGGGAACAGGGGGTAGCCCGTGTACAACTCCGCCGTGATGCAGCCCAGGCTCCACATGTCAATGGCCACGTCGTAGGGGTGGCCCAGGATCACTTCTGGGGATCGGTAGAACCGGCTTTGGATGTACGTGTATACTGCGGAGGCAAAGTAAGAGAAACCTCGTGGGACAAACTTCTTACCCTCCAGAACGCTCTCCCCCAGGACAACTTCTCAGTTAGACTGCGCCCCCGCTGGCAGTGAAAGGGAAGTGCAGCTGGCCAGCACTTAGAACTCCCATTACACCATCACAGCATCAAATCCGCCAGCAACCTGATTATAAAGGAGGTGTGACTGTCCCTGCTTTATTGATAACGAACTCCAACGTGGGCACTGTCGTAGGAAAGTGAATCTAAGTGAGCCAAGTTTATAACAAACAAACAAAACATAAGACAAATATAAGACTAAGTTTTCAAACTGTCAGATTGATTTGGGGTAGACAGCTTCTGAGTCTTGTGACTTGGCAAGAGAGTTATCAAGTTAGAAAGGGAGCATATCAAGTTAGAAAGGGAGCATGCAAAGTCTGTATTCAATATAGCATGTGCACTTATTGTATAGAAAGAAAATTCTCAACAGGTGAGGATGAACAGACTGAAGTCGAAGAAATGGAACACGGTAGTTATTTCCGCATAACTGGGGTTTCTGGTTACCTGGGGAGGGGCAGGGATTCTGTAACCACTTTTCTGTTGTTTAAATTGGTTATTGTCAGAACATAATTCTGTGATTTAAAACAAAATAGAGATTTAATAAAAATAATGTTTATATCCTGCCTGCTTCCCAAATGTGTTTGTGGTACTTTGCAAAGTACACATGCACAGAGTATTTTAGAACATGGATTTAATGGTATTTACATTATGTTTAGTATGTGCCAGGCACGATTCCAAGTACTTTTATAGATAAGCCCTTTCAACCCTTACATTAATTCTGTGAAGCAAGTAGTATTATTGCCTCCAATTTAAAGAAGAGAAAACTGAGGCATACAGAGGTTAAAATGTCAAGGTTACTCAGCTATAAGTGACAGAGCTGGGATTTGAGAGTAGGCAGTTTAATTCTAGCATCAATATTAGATACTGCCTCACAGTTAAAATAAAGATAAAAAAGATGTCAGAAAATATGCAAAGGGGGAAATGACTGCTAGAAACCAAGGATAAAATAATTACGAATTCAGTTCCGAGCATCTTGGCAGCCAAGATAAATGAAAACTGAAAAGTTACACAGCTTTCAACATCTGAGAAGGGAAAACATACAAGTTCTTTGTGGGAAGCATTACTTTTTAGCTGGAATTTCTTATAGGATTCATACATAAAGACACAAAGGTTTTATGTCCTCAAAAATTGATCTGCCAGAGAGGCCCAGATGGAGGACACAGAGGCATGCTGTTGCCATGGCAGTGTGGTCCTGGCTGCTGCGGAGGCAGGTGCCAGGGTCTCCCTTGCCTCGATGTGAAGAGCTTAGAAAGCGGAGGAGAGGAGAACTCCCCTGGCCGTCTCTGTGACCCCAGCCGCCGCATTTTACACAGACAGGAGGGAAACAGAGGGAGAGAAGGGAAGGACGGTGTGGAGTAGAAATATTAATGGTGGGAGAGAGGAAAATGAATGAAAATAAAGAGACTGATTCAAAAGAAAGTGAAGAATACAAAGATGAATCTGAAAAGGACCTGGAGGGGTTAACTAATGAAAATGAAAAAAGTGATGCCAGCATAATAGAGATGGCTTGTGAGAAGGAAGAGAATATTAACCAAGACTTAAAAGAGAATGAAACAGTAATAGAACACAGCAAACAGCTTTCTGATCCTGACAAATCTTTGCAGGATGAGGTCTCACCAAGAAGAAATGACTTCATTTCGGTACCGAGTATTCAACCTTTGGATCCCATATCAGATTCAGATAGTGAAAACTCTTTCCAGGAGTCCAAACTAGAAAGCCAGAAAGACTTGGAGGAGGAAGAGGATGAGGAAGTAAGGTGATACATTATGGAGAAAATTGTACAAGCTAACAAGCTTCTATAGAATCAAGAACCCGTGAATGATAAAAGGGAGTGAAAATTTAAGCTCAAGGACAAATTAGTTGATCTGGAAGTTCCTCCACTAAAAGACACTAATACTTACAAAAGTTATTTTGAAAATGAAAGAAATATATTTGGGAAACTGTCACAGTGATGTATTTCCAATGATTTGGGACAAGAAAATATGCTCCTGTCACTTATTAATGGAAGCTGTGAAATAAACAAGGATAGGACAATACTGGTAGAGAGAGATGGAAAATTTGAACTTCTGAATTTACAAGACATTGAAGAGTCAGGGGTATTTGCCTCCCATTAATAATGCAAATAGTACAGAAAATGACCCTCAGCAGGTGTTACCCAGATCTTCCAACTCCTGTGTCAGTGGCATCAAGAAAGAAGATTCTGCAGCAAAGATTGATGTTGTCACTCACTCATCAACAGGAGAGCCGTTGGCTTATATCCCTCCACTTATAAGTTGGCTTATATCCCACCACTCAACCGCAAGACTTGTCCAAGCTCTGCTGCCATCTCAGATCGAAGTAAAGGGAATGGGAAATCTAATCAGGACAGTCTGCACATATCTCATCAGTGACCTCAACATACTGTCTTTCCCCTTGACAGAAAGAACTACAAAACGAGAACAAAAGAGAGAAAAGCTGAAAAGAGAGGAAGAGCAACAGAAAATAGAAGAAGAGGAAGAAAAAAAGAGGGAGAATGGCATAGTATTTAAAGCATGGTTGCAAAAGAAAAGAGAGCAGGTCTTAGAAATGAGGAGAATTCAGCAAGCAAAGCAGATTGAAGACATGAACAGCAGAGTAAGTAAAACTTTTCTGAAAAATAAGTTCATACAGATATGAAAGCTGAACTTAATTACAAAAGGGAGTCTGGATATCAGCCTATGAAAGAAGTAGAAAAGTGGTTCAAGAACTACCCTTGAGAAAGATGCAACATGCAGATAACTTTCCAATTAGGTTCTAAGAGGCCTTGTGAAAATAAAATGATTCCTATTTTGTTCAGACTTTGAAGGAACAGAAAATAGAAAATGATCAATTCATTTTTTCAAGATGCAACTTTGGTATTCAAACAGGACAAAGATACACACACACACACACACACACACACACACACACAAACCCTACAGACTGGTCTCACTTAAGACTAGACATATGGAAATCTTATGTAAATCTTTAGCAAATTAAAGACACCAAATTATTTAATTTAAAAAAATTTTAAAAATTGAAAATCCAAGAGAAAATTTTGAAAATCATCCATATCCTTACTAAAAAAAAGATATATATGTAAAGTAAAAGTTGAAAATTCAACCCTAAGCTCTTCCAGGCTCATCTCCAGTGATAACCACTTTTAACAGTGTGGTGCAAATCCTTTTATATCTTCTTTATATTTATACATTTACATGTCAAAAGTTTCATTATTCAGTTTTTTTTCCACTTACTTCATCATGGACATCTGTCTAGGCCATTACATTTAAATCTCTCTTTTCAAATAGCTGCGTGGTATTACAGCGTTAATTTATTAAACCCTTCTTCATTTGTAGATGTTTAGGTTGGTTCCAATGTTGTGCTAGCTAACAGTGCAGTAGTGAAGATGTACATTCTATGAGAACATCTGTAATCTGTAGGAGAGGTTCTTCAGAGGGGAATTTATAATTTTTGAAGGTTTAGAGTGAAATGTTTGGTTACAGATGCAAAAGTATCCTCCCAAAAGATAATATGAATTCACAGTTCCTCCAACAGTGTGTGAGAGTGAATGGCTAACACTGTATGTGGTGCATTGACTTATTTTTTTCTTCAAACTAATAATATACATGCTTGTATATGAGCATGTGTGAGACACAATAAGAAATAGATATAGGACTTTACCCCTAGTTTTTGGAACAGAGCTCCTAAAACCTTTTTAATTTCTTGAGTGATAGGGGTTCTACATGTATCTCTTGTTCTAATAATTGACCTTTTATCCTGGCTTCTGACACAGAGCTCCTAATCCTTTGGAACTTCTTAGGTGATAGGACTCTCTTTGTTCTAATGAGATGACTCTTGGTGGGCTCCTGAATAGGGGCTGGTTGCCAGAAAGACTAAGCCATGATTAGAAACTTGGAACTTTCAGTTCTAACTCCTTTCTTCTAGGAAGGGGGAAGGGGCTAGAGATTGAGTTAATAACTTCAATGACTATGTGATGACGCCTTCATAAAAATCCCCAAGCTGCAGGATTCAGAGAGCTTCCAGGGTATGGGAAACGTGGTGTTGGGAGGGTGGCGTGCCCCCAAGAGGGCATGGAAGCTTCACACCCCTTCTCAATACTTTGCCTTGTGTATCTCTTCATCTGTGTCTTTTATTATATTCTTTATTAATAAACTTGTATATGTGTTTCCCTGAAAAAAAATTGATCCACCAAATATTTGGAAACATCCATCTAGTAGTCCCGTCTTCAGCCTCAGGAAGCTTCCTCTGACAGCCCTTGCCACCTTAAAAGCTGGTCCCAAAGTCCCTGTGTTGTATATCTTTAACACAGCCTGTGTATATCTCTAATCATTGTATTCACCATATTATTTTTATCTTTCTGTCTCTTACATTAGATAGTAAGCAACCTGAGGACAGGGAATGTTCACTAATTGTTCCTGGTACCCAGGACAGTGACTGACACAAAACAGATCACAAATGTCTGTTGAATGGTACGTGTTCTCTATAGCGAACCTGATAGAAGCCGAAAGAACACAATATTAAATAAAGTTCAGTAAACGCTGTGAAAATGTACTCCAGAGCTACTTTTTTGGATCCTAGCTTGAAAAAGAATAAAACCTAGAGGATCTGGGGCAGTGAATTCCAAACTTCAGAATGACTGTGGTTTCTGAAGCGCAGACTTCTAGCTACTTCCCAGAAATTTGAATTAGGAACAAACTACAATTTTTCAGAGCCCCAAAGCAATTCAGATACACAGTTAGTTAGTTTTGGGGCTCACTGTTCTAGGATAATTCCATATCTACAGAATATGAGAGCTTGAAAGCACCCTTCTAGTATTTGGATACAACTTTCTCAAATTGTAGATGAGGCAACTTGGGCTCAGAGAAGCGAAGCACCTTGTTCAAAATCATACTGGTAGTGGTGACAGCTGAGCGCAGCCTAGAAGGCAGGTGACCTTGTATGTGAAGGGAGAGAAATTGCAATAGGAAAACTCAGATGATGGGACTGACATGGGGCTCACCTTTCTGGTGTTCATAACAGCTTGATCCAAAGTCAATGACTTTAACAGAGGCTTGGCCCTTTTGGTATAGCACTATATTTTCCTAGAGAGAAGAAAAGACATATGTCAAGCTACAGTAATGCGGCCCTAGGCCCTCTACTTACCTAAATGCTCCTCATCCTTCAGGGCCCAGTTCAAATATGACCACCTCCATGGGCATCCTCCCACATCCTCTCCAAAATCCCATCATCCTCCGCTCTGACTTTCCATTTGACTTGTGGTCGGCGTTTCTCATTCAGACCTCATAGTCACTGCTTTGCACAGTTTCTTTTGCATATATTTGTCACTTTCCCCCTATTGATTCTGCAACTCCTGAAGATAGTGACTTTGTTTTTATCTTCTTTGGCACCTGGTTCTAGGCCTTGCTTGCACGGCCTTAGAAATGCCATTGACTGAATTTGTTCGACATTCCCACGAAATGCCCTCCCTTGATATACTGCCATGACAGTAGAGCACCAAAAAAAAAAAAAAAAAAAAAAGTCAAAGGCAATTATTTGATTGGAGTTTGTGATTGTTACACGGCCTGGGGAATAGAATGGGTATTTCCAGAGTGTGTCCATGGCAGGACGGAGATGGTACTCACGGGCTTGAGATCACAGTGAATGATTTTCTCTACCGAAAGCATCTGCAAGCACTTCAAAACAGAGAGAGTGAAGCGCCGAACTATGGACAGACTGAAGCCTTGAAAGTTGTTATTCTTCATCAACTCATACAAGTTGATTCTGGAAAAGAGGGGAAAAGTGATGCATATGGGTGTAAAAAAACATATAAGGCTGAGTTTGAACCTGCAAACAATCTTGTATCACCTGGTTTCCGTCTAGTAGCAGGCAAGCCTCAGGCCAGGAGGCAAGGCTTTCATGCCCTTATAGACTCAGCTTTCCCACTGAATCGTGGTGGGCGCAGGGTGAAACTGTGTCAGACTCTCAGATGTCCCCTCATTTCTGATGTGACAAGGCCACTGAAGCACTTTGTTATGCAGGCGGGTTAAGAGGTTGGCCCAAACTTCTGAAATAGTCATAGTTCCTCAGGCCCTTGGGAGGGAACCAGGAAGCCCACCAGTCACTCAAACAAGCAGCCACTCCTGCCCAGGCCTAATAAGGGCTGTCTAAGGACATGAGGTTCCTGACAAGTAAGGAACAAGAGAGTGGGCAGATGGGGGCTGAGGCCAAAGGGAGCCCCTGCTCCACCCAAAGTGTGGCTGTTTGGTCCCACCTAACTGCTCCTTTGAGAAATGAAAGCTCGCTTTTGCCAGAGAATCTTAAATTCTCTAGGGTGGCAGAAGCCTACTATATTATATGAAGTCTACAGACTTACGAATGTTAGAAACTAATATTAATACAATGCATTGACAAAGAAACATTTATTTGTGAGCTGCCAGTTGCAACCTCTGTGCAAGCTGTGAGATGGGGAGAGAAGGGAAAGAGCATGACTCCAAAATGGCTCTGCAGCAAACTTCTGCTGGTTCCTCCTCATCTTCCATTTCTAAGATCATCTAGCTTTGGTAGTATTTAGCAAGCCACTCATTCTTAATGTTTTTTTAGAGATGGGGTCTTGCTCTGTTGTCCAGGCTGGTCTCAAACTTTCGGACTCAAGTGACCTCCCAACTTGGCCTCCGAAAATGCTGAGATTACAGGTGTGAGTCACCATACCCAGCCAGAGCCATTCATTCTTTTTTTGTTTGTTTGAGACAGAGTCTTGCTCTGTTGACCAGGCTGGAGTGCAGTGGCACAATCTCAGCTCACTGCAACCTCTGCCTCCCACATTTAAGTGATTCTCCTGCCTCAGCCTCTCAAGTAGCTGGGATTACAGGCACGCACCACCACGCCCGGCTATTTTTAGTAGAGATGGGGTTTTTAGTAGAGATGTGTTTTTAGTAGAGATGGGGTTTCACCACGTTGGCCAGGCTGGTCTGGTACTCCTGACCTCAAGTGATCCACCCACCTCGGCCTCCCAAAGTGCTGGGATTACAGGCATGAGCCACCATGCCCGGCCACCATTCATTCTTGAGGGCTGCAATGGAGATGTGAGTCTTGGCTCTGGCCCCATCCTGACTAGTCACCTGGGCAACTCCCTCATCTCTCTGGGCTTTGGACTCCCCCTGCACAGCCCTGGCCCTCTGACCTCCCAGAGCTCTTTTAAGCACAATGACATTCTAACTGTGCACTGTGATTCATGGCCAAGAAAGGCAGACCGAGCTGTCCATTTGGCCACAGAGAAGATAATTTACCTCTGCATATCAGAGACTCGACCACGCTTTGTAATAACCAGAAATGGTGAGGAGAGTGTCACCTTACCTGCTAATTCAAATGTAGCTGGTTCCTAGAATTTCATCGTCAGCAATGGTGTCATGGGGGCAGTGAGCTACCAGCTCGCTAAATCCAGTAACACTCTGAGAGCTCACCCCTGATTATTCTCCTTTGCTAAATGCATTCGGGGTTTCTAGTTTTATATAAATTGCATCAGATGGTCTTCCCAGAGAGAAAAATAATCAAAGTAGCATGCCTTGTCAGCTCCAATATTCAGCCAGGCCACGCCAATCTATTGAAGTCAGGCTCTGCTCTCTTACCAAAAATATCTGCTCTTGTCCTTATTTACTCAAAATCAAAACCCATTTCCCACTCTGAGCAGCCAGCTGCCTGTTCCTTTGGGTTTCAGCCTCTGCACGACCAGGCCAGAAAGCCAATGAGTGGGGAAAATGACTGCAAACAAAGAAATGTCCTTTTTGACTATTTCAGTTTAGCTCTTAAGGAAAGAGGCCTTGTTTTGGTCATGTCACCTGGCTCAGTACCCAGCACCAGGGAAGTACATCATGGGTATGCTGGCAGGTGACAGGCATACCAAGATGGCCTGCTTTCATCCCAACCTCCTTGCTCCTGGGCATTCTGGATAACTGAGTGACTGTCATGTCCATTCTAGTTACTAAATATTCACATCCAGAGAAATCTAGTGTTCTGACCTCAAAAACTATCACTTAGGTAACTTTTCCAGAGAAAATGAGTTAAGAAGAAAAGGCAGCTGACCCCAGGAGCTCAAAGGTGATGCAGAAGTGATTGCGAAAGTAGAAAAAGTCCTTCATATGCACCACATTGTAGGTGTTGTCTTTGTCCTTCTTTCTGAGAGCTTCCAGGATCTTCAGCTCCATCAGGGCCTGCTGGTGAAACCTAAGGTGATTGGGAGTGGCCGGCAGGGTGGGAAATGGGGATAGAAACATCAGTGTCAGGTCCCGCTGCAGCAGTCAGCCCCTCCCCATGACCCCAACAAGACTGTCTAGTGGCAGGAAGCACTAAAAATACCACACTCTCACCTCCTCTTTGCCCCCTCATGGAATCAGACGGGTAGAAAGAGAAAAGGGAAGACAAAAGGGAAGATTGGAGGGAGAGGCACAGTCAGGAAGGGCTGGCATTCTGCAGGGGCCACAGTCACGCAGTCCCTCCTCTGTGGCCTATGTCATCCCCAAGCCACACCTCTTCTTGTTCCTGATGATTTTCAGGGCCACCAGCTCATTGTTTTTGTGATCCAAGCACTTGGCCACCTGTCCAAAGGACCCCTTCCCGATTGTCTCCAGAACTTCATAGCGGTAGGCAATGTGATCATGCAGGACCTGTGGAAGCCAGGCCGGAGGTGAAGAGCAAAGCCATGGGCTCCCAGGCCTTCCTGGTACATGGCCCTGGCATTCCCATCCCCAGATTATGGCTCACTCCTGGAGGAATTTTCTAACTACACTGGGCACTTGTGCGACTCTCGCCCTCATCTCATTGCGACTATGATGAGGAGCTTGTTGCCTGGATTCTGGGCCACCCATGTGGTGCCAGGGAAAGTCCCACAGGCTTGATCCATGTCAAGCAGCACAAAGGACATTGGATGGTTTTAGGAAACTTGGGATCTAGTCCCAGTATTGTAGTTCTAGTTCTAGTCCTCTAGTTTTCTGCATGTTTTAGGACCTATAAAGTAAGAGGGTTGGAAAAAGCGGCCCTGAAAGTCCCTTTCAGTTTGGACATTTTATGAGTCTTGAAGTTAAGCAGCATCTCTGGTTTGGGGGAAGTTTTATTTCTGACCCCTGATGTGTCTCTATCAATTAGAGAAGGCGTTAGGTCTCCTCTCTGCCTCTTCCTGGCCAAATTTGGTTCTCCTTTGGGCTTACTGGGATTTAATCCTATCCTGGAGTTAGCAGTACAGAACTTGGACCTTTCTTGGTGAAGAGAAATATTTCAAGAGCCAGAATCACCCATGTCTCTCCCTATGCTGGAAACTAGGGAGCAGGGGGTTAATCAAAACCACAGGAAATTTTCTATTAAAAATACTTCAGCTTTAGACAAGCAATTTATCCATTCTGAGCTGCAGTGCTATTGTCTGTGAACTGAAGATGCTGGATGAGATTATCTCTAAGGTCCTCAAGCTCTGTGGGTCTCTAATTTCTAGTGTTACACTCATGAGTTTGGGAGAGGTGAAGGATTAAGTGTTTGTGCACAAGTCCTGAGGATGTGTTTGAGAATGTGTGCCAGGGGTCTGTTCATACAGGAGGAATCAAGACTGAATTTGAACACGTACAACTTTCCTGATCTATGCATGTAGGTTAGTCTACTTGTAAGGGTCTGTCATGAGAATGTATGGGAAAAGGACAGGGACAGGATCCACACACATGTTGCTATAAAATTACATATGTGTTTTCTTAGCATTTGTGCTTGCCTTCTGCATGCTACCACTTTGTGTCATAATTGTTCGTTCGCAAGTCAACTTTGACATTGATTATGGTTACTTGAAGCAAAAACCATTTTGTATTCATTTATGATAGCTTCCTTTATATTTCCAGAGTCTAGTAGATGCCCAACTTTATGACAGATTATCAATACATAGGCATTCAATTAACATTTGCTGACAAAATTAAGTGAGAATGCAGCTATGTTGCTTGCTTGGGAATTTGGCTGTGTGCAGTATGTATTTGTGTGTGTACTGGAATGCAATAAGGATGGTGATTCTGAGCTTACGGAGAACACACATTGTCCCTTTCTTCCCCACAACGCCCTCACCAAAAAAAAAAAAGGCTTTTCTAAGATTTGAGACTGAAGAACTGAGTTCCAATGAATTAACTTAAAAGTAGTACTGACACCCTTAGGGAATTCCCCAGAGACCCTAGGCTCAGCTAGGGTGGAGCAGAGGAGGGAGCAGGGAGGGAGGGGTTGAGGAGGTCTAGCTGAATCAGAGTTAAGATTTATACTGGAGATTCCCAGCCAGGCGCAGTGGCTCACACCTGTGATCCCAGCCTTTTGGGAGGCCAAGACGGATGGATCGCCTGAGGTCAGGAGTTTGAGGCCAGCCTGGCCAACACGGTTTAACCCTGCCTCTACTAAAAATACAAAAATCAGCCAGGCGTGGTGGCGGGCGCCTGTAATCCCTGCTACTCTGGAGGCTGAAGCAAGAGAATCACCTGAACCCAGGAGGTGGAGGTTGCAGTGAGCCGTGATCACACCACTGCACTCCAGCCTGGGCAACTCCATCTCAAAAAACATATATACATATTTATATTGGAGATTCCTAACCAAAGATCCACTAACCCCCTATAATTTTATGTATGCGCAGGTTGTCTTTTCTGAGATGAGGACCTATAGCTTTTATCAGGCTCCCAAAGGGATGCTTGACCGAAAATATTGAAAACCCGGGCTCTAGAAGGCAGCTGTGTGACAGAAACGAAATCCTTGCTTCTCAAAGTGTGGTCCAAGCATCAACAGCACAGGCATCACCTGGAAGCTTAGGCCCCAGCCCCAGACCTGCTGGATAAGAACCTGCATTTTAACGAGCTCCTCCAAGTGGTTTGTGTTCACAGTAATGCTAGACAAACACAGCCCTAAATGCTGTTAATAAAATCTGCCTCTTCTATGAGCCATCAGACTCATCCTGTATCTTAAATCCAAGTTGCAATGAAATGTTCCGAAGAGGAAATTCCTGACAGCCCACAGCCTAGTGGACTAAGCAGCACACATCCCAACATGCTCAGCCCTGGGAATCACTGCTCAGCTTTCACCTTAAGGCTGGGAAGAGGCACTGTCCTGGGGAAGCCAAGGGCTACAGTCAGAAGAGGGGGAGGAAGAGGAGCTGCTGGGATTGTTTTTTAAAAAACAGAATGAAATTAAGCTCTATGCACCAGGGTCTACAGTGACAAAAGCTTTTTTGTCTGTGGGGGAAGTGACATCTACTATAAAATAGAAAAGAGTCCATGTATGGGCTTGTATTGAAGAGACAAAAAAGGGAATGTTGGGAAAACTGCTCCTTATTTCAGTCTGGCCTTTTCCAGTGGGCTATGCAGGGAAGGAGCCTGTGGGAGCTCACCCAGGATGCAAACCGGCTACCCCAACTATGCTTGGGGGAAAATTAGTCTTCCATTAGTAGAGTATTTTGCATACTAAATTGCATGCTTCCCCATTTTCAAACATGGTATTTCCTTGGTTTGGCACTACCAGAATACTTCAGGATATCTAGTCTCCAACGTATCAGCCCCAAATACTACAAAATACCGTTGCTTTTTTCCTTTCTAGACTACCTCTTGTCCCTGGGCCCCTGCAGGTTCCCATGGCCCCCACCCCCATCACCTTCAGATAGAAGCCATGCTCATCATCAAAACTCGTCTTGCTAAATTTCTCAGGAGCCGTGTCGAGCTTCTTGGCTTCAAGACCCAGGAACCACAGCTCCGCGTAGCCCAGGATTTCACTTTGTTCATATGGAGACAGCTGGTTCTTAAAAAGCTTTAGGGCCTCTGTGTGAAAAACACTACAATTGTGAGTTCAGTTGAGGCAGCATGGGATTTGCCCCGGATGCAGACGATGGCATCCCTTCCAGGTCACGAGCCATCAGCCTGTTCCCCAGCTGGGTGGCTCACTGAGGACCCTGCATCTGGCATCTCACAAGATGGAAGTATGACAAGAATAAATGTCAAGGTCTTGTATTTATTTCAACAAATCGAGAAAGGAACACAAGGACAGGGGAACAGAGAGCTCAGTTCCCAAACACCTGGGGGTTAGAGCAGCGCAGGTAAAAATTCCAGGAGTCAAATTAGTGTCGACAATAGTATATAGTTTAGGTGGCAAGTTGCCCAAGTTAACGTGGAATTAAGCTATAATTAGTCCGTCTTGAGAGGCTTTGAGAACTGTAATGTCTGCAGGGCCAGACAGGTAACATAAAGGCAACATTAAAGGCCCAGGAGGCTTCACGCTCAAATCTGCAGCTGGATCAGGAAGGACCTCAGATTGCAAGAAGAGATTATGAGTTAGGACTTCCCTACACCAGCCAGATCACATTGGCGCTCTCGTGCGTGGTCAGGGGTAAAATTCACAGTAACTGATGAACTAGAGCATTCTCAGAGAAAAGAAACTAGGATTAGGATAGGGGGCACCATATTATTTGACAAACTGCTGAAGCACTAGAGAGGGAACTGCAAGGAAAAAGAAAAAGACTTATAGGGAACAAGACTTCTGTTTTCATATATGTGAAGGGCAGTCAAGTATAAGCTGAATAAGGCATGTTCTTTGCCCAGAGGACAGAGCCAAGGCATAAGATAGCAGGGGGGCAGATGGCAGCTCTGTGAAGGCAGAACTAGCTCAGGACTGAAATGACCTCTTCATGCATAGTTCCCGGAGTTGTTTAAGAACAACAAGCACCAATTTCAGTTTCTAAGCTGTGGTAGAAGAGCTGTAAAGTGTCTGATGATGGCACACATAGTGGATGCTCGGTGGATTTGGGCTCTCTTCCTTTGCATCCTAATAGGTTATGAGTCTCTGAATCCCATTAAAAGTCTAGCTACTGGCCAAAAACCCATGTGTAATCTTTCAGGCCTGACCACAAGGCAATCCACAAAGGCTTCACCTGGCAAGCCTCACGGGCAAAGCTGCCCTCCCTGCACCAGAGCTGGTGCACAGCCAATGCATTGCAATCTCTGGAGGAAGCTACAGCCAAGGACTGAGACCCCTGGCTGGCCATGCTCTTCTACATGTCTGCATTTCTAATCAAGATCCCCCTACAGAGGCTCCTCTCCAACACCTCCTTATCAAGAGGAAGGAGCAAGCTTCAGCACCCTTTGCTCTGCTCTCAGTATTCAGTACCTTTCCACTCCTGGCTCTTCCACTCTCTCAGTGCCTTCCCGCTGGCCCCTGGGTCCATAAAATGACAGGAGCCTTGTGTCTGGGCTCCTTAGGCAAATGAGACACTTCCTTCTGTCTGCATTGGTACATCCCGCCCTTGCCCAGAGCCACTCCTTGGGGGAAATTCAGCCTCCTATTCAGCCTCTTGCTTATACTACCACAGTCAGAGGTTCAACGCTTAACTTCTACTTTCCTCTTGGCTGGCTGCCTTCTTTGACTACTCTGACACCTGGCAGCTTAGCTCACTCCAGCGCAGCTTAGCTCTTAACACCCCGACCTTCCATAAGCACCTCCCCACCCTGCTACTGCCCCAAAGGCATACCTGCCGCTGTCAGAGTCACCTTTTGCTTCTTTGGTGACTTCTCCTCTGCCTTGGGATCCTGGGTTTTAATGCTAGGGTGGAAAGGTATTTCTGAAGCCTTGAGCTCTGAGGCCGGCATCTGATTGTGAGCTTGATTCTCCTGTCCAGGAAAAGAGGTTTGCAATAAATAACTACTTAGGACTCTCCTGGGGGCCATAAACCATTTATTTAACCAAAGACACCCACCTTCAGCCAGGCTCTTTACCTACCTCTCCAGGGAGAAAACAGCGATTAAGAGACAGAAGGTTCTCCCTACCTCTCTCCCAAAGGAAGCATCTGTCTGACTGACACTATTCCTGGGGAGACCCCTGTACCTTACCGTATGCTGCTGACAACCCCAGCAACATCTCACTATGGGAAGAGATGGGAACAGTTTTTCACTGCTGCTCTTAAGAAGGTGAGCTCCCAACAAGACAAAGTGACTTGCCCAGGAGCACATGGACTTATGTGTGTGTGACGCCTCTTTCAGTTGGCACCTTCGCACCTATTATCTTATTTGGTCCCTACACAAAAGAAGTAGGAGGACATGGGAGGAAACTAATATTTTGTATGGTTCCACCTTTTATGTACCAGCACTTCATTTTTCCTCAATGAATCCTCCTGACAGCTCTAGAGAGGGCCCATTTTGTAGCTAAGAAAAGGTCAAGGACTTATTTGCTCAAGCTTATAGTCATTGTAAAGAATGAGAACAGGACTAGAACCCACCTCTTCAGCAGCTACTGTGCTTTTCCCCACTATCCTGGGCCTTTCTAAAACTGGCTTTGGACTAAAACCAGGTCTTTCACCTGCCTTCTCAGGGTCCAGTCCGTCTGCACTCACCTGATACAGCAGGGATGACTTCAGCAGGACTTTCTTGCTAATGTGTGGGAAGCTTACCGTATTCTTCTTCCCCTTGGTGTCCACAAAGGGGAGTGAAGTAACACTGGTGTTCTGTAGAAGGAGAAATTGCATGTGTTACAAAAGCCTTAGGCAAGAAAACGTCTCCAGGGGTCATTTCTTCCAGCCTCCCTTCCCAATTCCCCAACAAGAATGAGCCTAACCCCAATCTGGACCTAAACCTATTCTTAAAGTTCTTGGCAAGAAATGCAGATTCCAGAGCAGCAGAGTCAACAAACACATGGGCTCTGGGTTTGAGTCCCTGCTCTACTACTTACTAGCTGCAGGCTTTCAACAGCTCACACTGACTCTTTCTCGAAACCTCAATTATTTCATCACTACCATGGGAACAAAAATGGGGCCTACCTCATAAGGCTTTTGTGAGGTAAATGAGTCAATATATAGAGAGTATTCTGTAAGTGCTGGCCATTATTATTATTACTCCAATATCTTACCACCCTAACGCAGGGAAGTTCTTCCTGTTATATCACACAAATCTTCCTCAGTGCAACATAAGCTTCAATTTCCTCTATGACTACATTATTGACTTGACCTACTCACTTGGATCCCTGCCTCCTGCACTGACTGATTGACTGATTAATCAGGAGAGAGGTCAGAAGAGCTAAAATTTGGAAACAACCTAAGTGTCCATCAACAGATGAATGAATAAAGAAAATGTGATACTTAAACACAATGGAATACTATTCAGTCATAAAAAAGGATGAGAACCTGTCATTTGCAAGAATATGGATAGAACTAGAGATCATTATGCTAAGTGAAATAAGCCAGGCACAGAAAGAGAAATATCACATGTTCTCACTTATTTATGGGATCTAAAAATCCAAACAATTTAATTAAGGGAGACAGAGATTAAAAGGATGGTTATCAGAGGCTGGGAAGGGTAGTGGTCAGGGGAGAGGTGGGGATGGTTAATGGGTACAAAAACGTACACTGAATAAGACCTCATGTTTGATAGCACAACAGGGTGACTATAATCAATAGTAATTTAATTGTATTTTATTGTATGTAACACAAAGGATAAATGCCTGAGGGGACAAATACCCCATTTTCCATGATGTGATTATTACACATTGCATATCTACATCAAAACATCTCATGTATCCCATAAATATATGTACCTACTATATACCCACAAAAATTAAAATAAAAACATTTTTAAAAATCATGTGGAGGAGATGGGGCGTGGTGATGTGGAGATGGGGTGTGGTGACGTGGATAGAGTGCTGTCATCATGTTATGATACATTTTATGATAAATTGGCCAAAACTGTCTGTTCAAAGCTACCCTGGCCACCCACCTCTCCTCATTCTCTCCTAGAGAAAAGGAGCTGACCATCACTCCCTACCTTATGAAAGACTTGGGTCATTCTGGAGTTCTTGATATTGGAAGGTGGCTTCTGGATCTGAACCGAAAGTTTACTTCCAACCTGGATCAAGTGGAAGAAAATAGGAACAATGCTTGGCATGGCTTTATCCCACACTGTATATTTTTGTTACATTACAATAAACAAACTATGCTTGAGGCCAGCTCTCCTGAATCCTTAGCTGGGAAGAGCCAAGAGAGGCTCCAATAAGTACTCAATGAATGTATGAATGGATGATTATCCAAACAAATGATCTTTCCCAAAGTGTTCATCCTGGATGGGCTTGGCCTATGGTTTTCATGCTTTAAAAAAAATCAATATGGCCTTTTCTTCCAACAAAATCTTAACTAGAGACCCTGCTTACGGTAAGGAGTAACAGCTGAGCTGCTCTTGCTCTTTAGAAAAGAAAATGGCCATTGCCTTGCCTGGAAGTCTTTTCGCCCTGAGTGTGGCTCTGAAGGTGGCATAGTGGAACCCACCCAGTGGAACACAGGCACCCAGCCTGGACACCAGTGCCCTGATCAGAAGAGACTTCACGCCTAGAAGGGTGAGGAGAAGAAGACCAAAATACTAGAGCAGTGTGTCCCAGAGGGCGGCAAGCACCCCGCAGAGGAAGAGGACGTAATGTGTACAGTACGCAGATAAAGAGCTATCTAATGGGTATGGATTTACTGTAATATCCATTTGAAAAACTGTAACAAGCACATTGAACTTGTAACGTTGTGGTTGTTATTATGTAGGATGAGATTAAAATTTAAGTTAAAAAAAAAAGTAAGGCCAGGCATGGTGTCTCACACCTGTAATCCCAGTGCTTTGAGAGGCTGAGGTGGGACGATCACTTGAGGCCAAGATTTCCAGGTTACAGTGAGCTATGATCGTGCCACTGCACTCCAGCCTGAGCAACAGATAGAGACCTTGTCTCTACAAAAAACAATAATAAAACAAAACAGAGTGTGAGGACTATGTAGGCGTAGGCATGGCAAAAACTGTAAAGCTGGCCCTCAAATGACTGAAGTTTAGCAAACAACAGGCTAGAGCTTGAATCGAAGTTCTGGTCTTTGAAGCCAAACCAGGGTTCCTCCTTCTTCCAGACCTCCCCTATGGAGTTGAAGGATGTTTATCCAAAGCTGACACACAGCTGGTATCAGACCCACTTCTGTAAACATTTGGCCACACTGAAATAACAACTGGGTACAACACTTAATATCATCCAGCACAGCTAAGTCCTGCACAGCACAGTAATGATGAGGACTATTTGGGACAGTCAATCTTGACCTCCTGCAATAGGGAGGTAGTCTGAGGGAGAGAGGGTTGCATAGAACATGGGGCATGGTCTCAGACCACGTTAATTCGCTAATGTGCTACATTTAGGATTCCACTATTGAATGGAAAATGGTATCTGAGCAAATATTGCAATTGCAAATCTCAGAGTCTCAATTTCTCATCAAGTAGGTTTGTGGGGATGAATATTCATTAGCATCGTCAATAACAGGCTGACATTGAGGATGCGGTAGGGAGACTGGACAGATAAATGAAAGGTACATTAACAGAATACAGCCCAAACTAAATACGAAACAAAGGGCATGAACAGTGAGTATCAACAAAGAAGGAAAAGATCACTGTGAATGCAATCGGCCCAGGAGGATGGTGGTAGAGGGGGCGCTCTTCTGAATGGGTGAGGCTTGGTCTGGGCTTTAACCGAGAGGACGGGTAGAGAGCATGCTTGCTCAGTGAAACAACACCACCCAGGCACGCTCCAGGGCTCTTCCCTGCTCATGCTGGGTAAGCAGGAACAGGGGGTTGACCACAGGGCATGGAAAGCACTGAAAGACTAAGACGCTTGGTCTTTATCCCGTGGGCAACAGTGAACCACTAACAATTTGTATAGCTGGCAGTTACATGTGCAAAGCAGTATTTCAGAAAGACCCCATCAGCAGCAATGTGATAAAATAATGCTCATGGGTATGGACTCTAAAATCACACTCTTTCATTTTGATTCCTGGTTCCACTACTGATTGTTTGAACCTGGGCAAGTTATTAGCCTATCTTCATGTAATGTGGTGATAATATTAGTACCAACCTCAAAACACTGTGAGGATTAAGGGAGTTAATATGTGTAAAGTGCTTTGCACATGCCAAAGTTGTCTGCTAGAGTTCATTTTCCTTATTTGCAAAATGGAGAGAGCGATCTTTGCTCATTTCCCATGAACAGGAAAACCATGGACTCAGAGCTTAGCTGACAGAGCAAAGGGGTGTGTGTGTGTGTCTGTGTGTGTGTGTGTGTGTGTGTGTGTACGCAGCCCAGGAGTTTAGCAGCCCCAGGTGACCAAGTGACCCCGAGGACTGGTGGCCTCTACATCTCTGCACACTTGTACTCCATTCTCAAATACCCACAGGTCACACAAGTTTATGAACTTGCTGATTGTTGGCTGTCTTTCAGCAGCTTCCCCAAGAGGCACACAGTGCCCCATAAAAACACTTAATTCGACCAAGGGATCGCTGGGAGGCAAAAGGAAGCGGGTGTGCTCTCCCGTATTCACAGCTGCAAGACAGGATTTTTTTTGAAGAAAGTGAGCTTTCATGACATTGTTATATCTAAGCCAATAAAACAGGAATCTCCTTAGTAGTCCTGAGCTCTGTATCTAAATCTAGAATCTCCTATGTAACAAAAGATTTTATTCACAGGGGTCCAGAGCAGGGGGGTGCTTCCTGTGCAGTCTAAGACCTGGGCCCTGCCTCTAGAGGGGACAGGAGATCAGAAGAAAGGGCATCAGTGAAAGCCAACGAGGCTCTTTTCTTGTTTCTAGAGAAGGTGTCTTGCCCTGTTACCCAGGCTGCAGCCTCAACCTCCCAGCCTCAAGCAATCCTCCCACCTCAGCCTCCCAAGTAGCTGGGACTACAGGTGCATGCCACCAAGCCCAGCTAATTTTTATTTTTATTTTTATTTTTGGTAGAGACAGGATCTTGCTGTTTTCCCAGGCTGGTCTCAAACTCCTGAGCTCAAGCAATCCTCCTGCCTTGGCCTCCCAGTGTTGGGATTACAGGCGTGAACCATCATGCCCCCAGCTAAAGCTCTTTTCAGTTCTCGTTTTTGTGACCATCACAGCTCTCAGAAGACTTCTAAACAGCCAGAACTAAATTATGAAGTTTCTTTATCTTCCAAACTTTTTGTATGAATATGTACTGCTTTTATCATTAAAAATACCATTTTGAAAAATTATTATTATACTTTAAGTTTTAGGGTACATGTGCACAACGTGCAGGTTTGTTACATATGTATACATTTGCCATGTTGGTGTGCTGCACCCATTAACTCATCATTTACATTAGGTATATCTCCTAATGTTATCCCTCCCCGCTCCCCCCACCCCACAACAGTCCCCGGTGTGTGATGTTCCCCTTCCTGTGTCCATGTGTTCTCATTGTTCAATTCCCACCTGTGAGTGAGAACATGCGGTGTTTGGTTTTTTGTCCTTGTGATAGTTTGCTGAGAATGATGGTTTCCAGCTTCATCCATGTCCCTACAAAGGACATGAACTCATCATTTTTTATGGCTGCATAGTATACCATTGTTTAAAAGCAAAAGATATTACAGCAGATAACTATAAATGGTTCCATGCAATGCAAGGGAGGAGAAGGCAATAATAAGTGCAGCAGCACTCTCTCCATGAGACCCTTGAGAGAGTGGAATAGGCTCTAGAAGGAGGCATCAAGGAAACTACGCTGGGAGAGCTTCAGTCTATGGAAACAGCAATTGTGGGAATCAAGAGAAGGGACAGGAGATGCTGGGCTCACAAGTAGGCTGAGGCCACTAAGATTCACACGTAGGCCCACACTTGAGTCGGGATTCCCTGGGGTCTCCCGCTGTGCTTGTCATCACTAAGAGATAAACCCATAGGATCTGAACACTGCGGTGACATGCCACAGGCAGGCTGATGGCGGGTGAGGGGTGCTCCAGTCTCAAGTCCTGACCCAGGGCCCCTCCTCTGCCGTCTTGTGAGTCTGTGTTTTGAGCTAGCTAAGCACTTGGGTTCTCACACTTCTTTTGTTTTCTCAGAAGAAAAAAAAAGCAAACTCCATCCTCATGTTTCAGCTAGCTCACCCTTCTCCAATAGAAACTGAGTTCAGCTTAAAAGCTGATTAGAGGCCAGGCGCGGTGGCTCACGCCTGTAATCCCAGCACTTTGGGAGGCCGAGGTGGGTGGATCACGAGGTCAGGAGATCAAGACCATCCTGGCTAACATAATGAAACCCCGTCTCTACTAAAAACACAAAAAATTAGCCGGGCGTGGTGGTGGGCGCCTGTAGTCCCAGCTACTCGGGAGGCTGAGGCAGGAGAATGGCATGAACCCAGGAGGCAGAGCTTGCAGTGAGCCAAGATCGCACCAGTGTACTCCAGCCTGGGCGACAGAGCAAGACTCTGCCTCAAAAAAAAAAAAAAAAAAAAAGGCTGATTAGAAAAGGAAGGGGGAAACTTGAAACCAGTTTACTCACCCTGCCCCCTACTCTGCACCTGGCATTTATGCAAAATAACTACAAAGGTGCCAAACTGTTCCTTCCAGTTACTCAGTCCTGTGATCCTGCTCTTCTTCTTGCCTCAAAGATTCTTCCGGCAACACCTGCCTCCTGCTTCCGCAAGCCGGAAGGATGCACAGAATCACTGAGTTGCAGTGGACCTTGGAGATGCATTCATTCTTAACGCATTTACTGAACATATCTATGTGCCTACCGAGCAGTGTGCCAAGCACAGATCACACAGTCCAGCCTCCCTAGCAGTAGAGCCCAGAAACCTGTATTTTAAGCTTCCCCAAGTGAGTTCTGTGCAGGCAGATTTGGGAGCCACATTCTAATATAATCCCCTCTTTTGGAACTAGTCTCTCCCACCTCTGAACTTTTGTTTTTCTTTGTGTCATTGATGTTTATGTATCCTTTCTAACTTTTTACAAATTTTTCTCATCTTCCCCCAGGAAATTCCATGGCAACAAACATTAGGCTTTCCACAATGTGCCAGCCCTGGAACTTCAAGACCAGTCCCACTGGCTGGGTCATCGGGCGGGGCGGTCCCACAGAACCTGCCCTGCGTGTCAGTGTCCATGCCATCATTACAAGAACGTAAAGTGAGCTGGGACCAGCTCCAGAGCCAATCTTGGATTTGCTGCGTGTCTCAGGAGGGAGTAGAATTTCACTAAGTGTCATCTTCCCTGACACTACTTCTTTGTATGATGTCACAGGGAAGTGCCTCAATTGCAAATTCATATTACTGAACACAAGCTGACAACCATCTCACTTTCAAAAGTGAGAGTCAAGGCTGGGCGCAGTGGCTGACACCTGTAATCCCAGCACTTTGGGAGGCCGAGGCAGGTGGACCACCTGAGGTCGGGAGTTGCAGACCAGCCTGGCAAACATGGTGAAACCCTGTCTCTACTAAAAACACAAAAATTAGTCGGGCGTGGTGGCAGGCGCCTGTAGTCTCAGCAAAGGTGCTGTGACTGAAGTACAGAGCACGGGGTAGCGAGTGGCTTACAAATATTAATACAAGAGGGAATGGTCACAGAGGCTTCCTGGAAAAAGTGCTGCTATGGCTGAGGCCCAAATGCGGGTGAACGATGGGGACGTGGACTGGGTCACATGGCGTTGGGGTGGGTGATGGGAGAACATTCCAAGCAGAAACAGAGCAGGAGCAAAAGTGCTGAGATGTAGAACAGTGCCATGTTTGAAAATGGCAAGACTTGCAATGGCAGGAGCCAAAAGGCAGGGGTAGAAGCTGAGGAATGAGAATTGCTTGAACCTGGGAGGTGGAGGTTGCAGTGAGCTGAGATGGTGCCACTGCACTCTAGCCTCGGTCATGGAGCAAGACTCTGTCTCTTTTTCAAACTTCAAATTGTTACGATTTCTTACTGTGAGTGGCATAATTATGTGAGAATAAAGATACCCCTTCACCATTCTTTGCCCACCACATCCCTAGTTCAGGCACCTATTGCAATGGTCTCCTAAGCAGTTTTCCTGCCTCTCCGCATTCCATCCCATCCTCTACCCTTCCTCCTGAGTGGCCTCAGAAATTAAACATGAGCATCTGATCACATTAGTAAGTTGCCTCCATCTCCTAGCAACTTACCAGGGAGCAGAAGTCCTGGCTCACAAAGCGCCCCCAGCCTCAACCCTTGTCATGGCCCTACCCCTGCCTTTTGGCTCCTGCCACTGCAAGTCTTGCCATTTTCAAACACCGCACTGTTCCACATCTCAGCACTTTCACTCCTGCTCTGTTTCTGCTCGGAATGTTCTCCCATCACCCACCCCACCGCCATGTCATCCAGTCCATGTCCCCATCGTTCACCCGCATTTGGGCCCCAGCCATAGCAGCACTTTCTCCAGGAAGCCTCTGTGACCACTCCCTCTTGTATTAATATTTGTAAGCCACTCGCTACCCTGTGCTCTGTACTCTATTACAGCACCTGCAAAGGCTTGTTAGACAAGGTTGTTTTACTGGTTTCTTCTTCTGGTATATAAGACTCTTTTTTATTTTATTTTATTTCATTTCATCTCATTTCATTTCATTTTATTTGAGATGGAGTTTCGCTCTTATTGCTGGAGTGCAGTGGCGCCATCTCGGCTCACCGCAACCTCCGCCTCCCAGGTTCAAGCGATTCTCCAGCCTCAGCCTCCCGAGTAGCTGGGATTACAGGCACGCGCCACCACGCCTGGCTAATTTTGTATTTTTAGTAGAGATGGGGTTTCTCTATGTTGGTCAGGCTGGTCTCGAACTCCCGACCTCAGGTGAAACCTCCCACCTCAGCCTCCCAGAGTGCTGGGATTACAGGCGTGAGCCACTGCTCCTGGCCAAGACTCTTTAATAAAAGACCTGGGTCTTATCTCAAAGCCTAACATGATAAGCATTACAGATAGAGCATCCCTAGCCTGAAATGCTCCACTTTTGAGTGCCGACAATGACACCACTCACGTGCACAAACTTTGTTTCATGCACAAAGTTATTTAAAATACTGTATAAAGGTGCCTCAGGCCACATGCATAAAGTGTATATGCAACATAAATGAATTTTGTGTTTAGAATTGGGTCCCATCCCCAAAATATCTCATTATGTATATGCAAATATGCTTAAATCTAAAAAAATCTGAAACTCAAAACACTTTTGGTCCCAAGAATTTCGGATAAGAGATGCTCAACCTGTAGTAGGCACTTAAATATTTGCTAAAGGAGGAGGAAAAGAAGGTGAGAGGGAAGGACAGGAGAGAGGCAGGGAGGGAGCAGGATGTTTCAGGACCCAGCACTTGTCCTGAAAGATCTGAGACAACTCTAGGCTGTCCAGGGAGACAACTGAGCTTTGACTTCAGTCCTTCCCTCTCCTGGTGGTCAGTCCATCCTTGCCCTGTTCTAGCCTCATTCCTCGTTCTTAGTGGCTTCTATTCCCACCAGGAAAGTGCTCCCATGCTCCCCGGCCCTTCTTTTGGAAGGAAAGCCTCTAATCAGCGAATTCACACAAGAGAATCTTCTCTGCTCATGCCCCCTCTCAAAGGCAGCTGCAATTTCAAAGAGAATGCCTGGAAAAGGAAGCGCTTTCTTCCAAATAAATGAATTGCTACTCAAAGGAAACAAGAGATGGTTCATGGTAGGAAAGAAGAACCTGTCTGGCAGAAGCCTGTTCCCATTACAAACCGCACTGACCTGACTATGTAATCTCTGTGTCAGAGTGGATGAAAGAGGTACCCTGAGGGGTGGAATTCCCAGTCCCATGTCCCACTTCAGTGTCTTGTCCCTAGGTGCTCTGCCTTCCCCTCTATTCTGTATTCTCATCATGTCAGGCCCTGACCCCCAGCAAGCACAGGCTCTCTCACCTTGGGTATCAAGCTCAGTTTACCCAAGGACCACAGGGGAGTATTATGTCCTGCCCTCTCACACCAAGACCCAAAGGATAATAGGACTGGTCCCTATTTAGGGCTAGTTAGAGCAGAACTCTAGAAGCACTGGCTCATCTTATTACCTTGGACCGAACGCTGGATGTCCTCACCTGGACTGTTCAGGGAAGATAGCAACTGGACTCTCTGCAGGCCTCAGGCCACCCAGCCTTTTCGGAAAGGCACACCTCCATCACACCATCCCGCCTCAGTCATACTTCACAGGCGATTTTCCTGTTTTCTCAGCTGACTCCTCCTTGTCTCTTCCTGTTTCCCATTTAAAAAAAAAAAAATCCCTAAGTGCCTGGTGGTTGGATGGGCAAATGAAGCTCAGCTTCTGTGATATCAGCTCACAACTTCTTCCTTACAGGCTCTGTCATCCCTTCCCAGAGGCCAGAACTACCAGGAGTTAAAAATAAATGCATTCATGCAGGGAGGGGGTGTGACCAGGAGAAAGAAACAAACTCTTTGGGGATTTTCTGCAGAATGCAACTAGTTAGACAATTAGGCTCAGCAGAGCATCACAAAGAACTGGGAGGGAGGGAGGTGGCTGGGCTCCTAAGGGTCCCCAGCTAAGGGATTAAGCTACCCTGGCTGCTACAGACCTTGAACAAATCACAGCATCTCTCCCACTGCCATTTGAAGCTAAGGGTCTGCCCTTTAAGTCCCTTTGCTGTGCATGAGGGAGCCCAGGATGCCTAGATGGGGAGGAGCCGCCTCCAAATCACACCAACAGCCACAGCTGCACCCCTGAGACCCATTAGTGGGACGAACGTGGCCAGCCTCTTGGGAGGACCAGATTTTCATCTCGTTGATGTAGTAGCCTCCCTGGGGTCCTACCCACCAGCTCTGTCCCTAGTAGAGGTGGAAAGAGGAGGCCCTGCCATCCTTGAGGAAGGGCAAGAGCCTGGGGGTCCAGATAGCTGGAGTCAATTTCTAATGCATTCAGTGCAGGGCCTTGGGGAGATACTTTGTTTTCTGGACTTCTGTTAAATGCACCTTGGTAAATCATGATAATGAATGTGACCTTAGGGCATGTGTAGTATAATGCCCTCATTTTACAGATGGAGAAAGGGAGGCAAACATTATCCAAGTGACTTGTCCAAGATAACACAATTAACAGCAGCAAGCCCGTCTAGAACGTAAGCCCTCTAGCGTCATTTTACTGTCTCATGCTGCCACCCAGTGATCTCCTCTGACCTCTTTGTGTTCTGCCAGGAAACCGGGTGACAAGGGATTATAAAGAACTTCCCCTCCAAAGGTCGCTAATTAAAAGTAAGATCATGCTTTTATTCTGATAGTGCCTGAATTCAGCTGACAATAGAGACATTCAGAAAGCAAGCATTTATTCTATAAATTAGACACTAAATTTCCTATAATATAAAGTGGATTTATGCATCATGTAGGAGGGTTTGAGTAGATAATTTCTAAGGCTCTATTTCTATCGATTTAGATAGAATGCCTTTGCATGCTTTTGTATATGTTATTTCTTCTGCCTGAAATGCCCTCCCTCCAGTCCACATGCAGCCTCCTTGCTTAACTCCAGGGGGAGTGATTCATTTAGATGAAAATATGAATAAAGAGCCCTGTAACTCATGCCATGTGACAGTACTAAAGTGACCGGCATGTCAGTGAAGCATGAAATGGTACGCTGGGCATTAGCCAATGGCTTAAGAAAACTTTGTCTAGACTCTCAGAGAACTGTTTCTACCTGCATGAGAGCACTCCCATGCCTCAGTGTCACTTGGCCATTGTGTGTTTTATTTTTTATTTTTATTTATTTATCATTATTATTATCATGATTATTATTATCATTTTGAGACGGCATCTCGCTCTGTCACCAGGCTGGAGTGCAGTGGTACAATCTCGGCTCACTGCAACCTCCGCCTCCCAGGTTCAAATGATTCTCCTGCCTCAGCCTCTCAAGTAGCTGGGACTACAGGGCACGCCACCACGCTCAGCTAATTTTTGTATTTTTAGTAGAGACGGGGTTTCACCATGTTGGCCAGGATGGTCTCAATCTCTTCACCTCATGATCCACCCACCTCGGCCTCCCAAAGTGCTGGAATTACAGGCATGAGCCACTGCACCCGGCCCATTTGCAGTTTATGTCACACTAGACTGTGAAAGAAGGAGATGTGCATGTCTATTTTTGTATCCCAGCACCAAAAACAATGCTTGGCTCTCAATAATCACGTATGGGATGATTTGTAAAAGAGTTCATCAGTCAAGGGTCATTAGGCCTCACAGGATAGAGAAAAGTACACAGACCTCAGAGTCAGACAGATTTTGACTGGCATTCCTATGCTGCCACTCGCTGGCTGTGTGGCCTTGGCAAACCATTCATACTCTCTCAGACTCAGGCTTTTCCACAAAACAAGACTAGTAAAAAGTTAAAAGATACAAGACAACAAGGTGCTGTGGGTGAGAATTAGCAAAAACTATAAACACCAGAATCAGATCACCCCCAATATTTCCAAATAGTTATATTTCCAAATATAATATCCAAGTATTGGAATTATCAGGTAAAACTTATAAATTAACTACGCATAACTTGCTTAAAGAAATTAAAGAGCCTAAAAATGTGAGTAAAGTGTAAGACTCCATGCAAATAACAGAACAGATTTAAAAATGAACAAATTAGAATTTTCAAAACTAAAAAATATAACAGTTGAAATTAAAAACCAAATGAATGGGCTTAATAACATATTATACATAGCCAGAGGGAGTATGAATGAACTGGAAAAGACAGGTTTGAAGAAATTAACCAGCAATTTCTTCAAAGAGATAAAAAATCTGGTCAGAGATTATAGACGTAGAGGATAAAACAAGGTTTAACATACATTTAATTTGAGTTTCAGAAGAAAAGAAAGAGTATGAAAGAGATAATGACAAAATGGCTAGAAGTATTTTTCAGAACTGATGAAAGGCAAAATTATAAAACTTTTAGAAGGCAATACCTGTATAACTTCAGAGTAGGGAATGATTTATTAAGACAAAAAGTGCATACCATAAATTTACCTGCTTTTAATTAATTACTTCTGTTTATCTAAAAACAACATAAAGAAAGTAAAAAGAAAACCCAAGATTGTATAAAAGCTGCAGGATAAAAGACATTAATACACAAAAGTCAATTGCTCTCTTATATACAGAAATGAACCATTGGAATTTGAAATTAAAAGTGCAATACCATTTACATTAACACTCCCAAGAAACTGAAATACTTAACTATAAATATGACAAAATGTGTATGAGATCTATCTGAGAAAAACTACAAAACTCTGGTTGAAGAAATCAAAGAGGATCTAAATAAATTGAGATATTTTCCATGTTCATGATAGGAAGACTAAATATCATGAAGATATTAGTTCTTCCCAACTTAATCTGTAGATTCAACACAATCCCAATCAGAATCCTAGCAAGTTATTTTATGGACATCAACAAACTGATTCTAAAATTCATGTGGAAAATGAAAAGACCTAGAATAGCCAACACAAAACCAAAGAACAGCAAAGTTAGAGGACTGATGACCCAACCTCAAGACTTACTATAAAGCTACAGCGATCAAGACAGTGTGGCACTGAAGAAAGAACAGACAAATAGTTCAATGGAACAAATAGAGGCCCCATAAATAGACCCACACAAACATAGTCAACTGATCATTGACAAAGGAGCAAAATCAATTCAATGGAGAAAGGCATCTCTTCAACAAATAGTACTAAGCCCAGCATGGTGGTGCACACCTGTAGTCCCAATTACTCAAGGAGGCTGAGGCCAGAGGATCACTTGAGGTCATGAGTTTGAGACCAGCCTGGGAAATGTAGCAAGACTTATTAAAAACAAACAAAAACAGTGCTGGCACAATTGGACATCCACAAAAAAAAATTAATCTAGACACAGAATTTATACCTTCCACAAAGATTAACTCAAAATGGCTCATAGACCTAAATAGAAATCACGAAACTATAAAACTTCTAGAAGGTGACATAGAAGAAAATCTAGGTGACCTTCAGTTCAGTAATGACTTTTTAACTACAATAAAAAAGCACGATCATGACGGAAAAAAATGGATACGCTGGGCTTCATTAAAATTAAAACTTCTTTGCAAAAGACTTTGTTAAGAAAACGAAAAGAGAAACCATAGACTGGTAGAAAATATGTGCAAAACACATATCTGAGAAGGGATTGTGTCTAAGTATACAAAGTACTCTTAAAATTCAACAATAAGAAAGCAATCCAATTAAAAATTAGCAAAATATCTGAATAAACACCAGCTCTCCAAATAAGATATATAGATGTCAAATATGCATATGAAAAGATGCTCAATATTATGTTATTAGGCAATTGCAAATTAAAACAATGAGATGCCACTACACACCTACTAGAACGTCCAAAACCGCATTTTGACAACACCAAATGCTGGCAAGGAGGTGGCATAACAAGAATTCTTATTCATTGTTGGTGGGAAGGCAGAATGGTACAGCTTGTTTGGAAGACAGTGTAGCAGTTTCTTATGAAGCTAAATATAGCCTTAACATACAATCCAGCAATCATGCTCCTTGGTTCACCCAAATGAACTAAAAAAATGTATGTCCACATAAAAACCTGCACATGAATGCTTATAGCAGATTTATTTATAACTGCTAAAAAATTGGAAACAACCAAATTGTCCTTCAGTCAGTGAATGGATAAGCAAACTGGTACACCCATACAGTGCAGTATTATTCACTGATAAAAGGAAATAAGCTCTCAAGCCATGAAAAGACATGGAGGACATTACTGCTAAATGAAAAAAGCCATCTGAGAAGGCAATATACTGCATGATTCCAACTATACAATATTCTAGAAAAGGCAAAACTAAGGAGACAGTATAAAGAGTGGTTGCCAGGGGTTTTGTTGTTGGGGGGAAAGGATGAATAGATGGACAATGGGGTATTTTTAGGTCAGTGAAACTATCCGGTATCATCCTATAATAGTAGACAAATGACATTATGCCTTTGTCAGACTCCTAGAATGTACAACACAAAGGAGGAACTCTAATGTAAACTATGAACATCAGCTAATAATAATGTATCAATCTTCGTTCATCAATTGTGCCAACTATACATGAATGTAAAATGTCAATAATAGGAGAAACTGTAAAGAGGAATGGGTTATATGGAAAGTGTACTTCTCTGCTCAATTTTTCTGGGAACCTAAAACTGCTCTTTAAAAATTAAATAAATAAAAAACAGACAAGCCAACAACTAGGAGAAGCTGTTTGCAGCACATACAACTGACAAAGGATGAGTAGACAGAATATGTAAAATATTCTGTAAATCAATAAAAAAGGACAAACAGCACAACAGAAAAATTCTTAAACAATAAAGGCATGACCAAGTATTTCAAAGAAGAGGAAACACAAATAGCCAATAAATACATTAAAAACGGTTCAATCTCATTAACAGTCATCATCAAAATGCACATTAAAATACAATAAATTGGCTGGGCACGGTGGCTCATGCCTGTAATCCCAGCACTTTGGGAGGTCGGGGCGGGTGGATCACGAGGTCAGGAGATCAAGACCATCCTGGCCAACATAGTGAAACCCCGTCTCTACTAAAAGTACAAAAAAATTAGCTGGTAGTGGCGGCATGCATCTGTAGTCCCAACTACTCAAGAGGCTGAGGCAGGAAAATTGCTTGATCCCGAGAGGCAGAGGTTGCAGTGAGCCGAGATCGCACCACTGCACTCCAGCCTGGGCAATAGAGCGAGACTCCGTTTCGAAAACACACACACACACACACACACAGTAAGTTATTGTTAGTAAATTGGCAAGCTAAAAAGTCACACAATATCAGGTAATAAAAAGTATGTGGAAGACTGAAATGTGTGCACACTACTGGTGACAAGGTACATTTGCACCAATGTTTTGGAAAACAGTTTGTCATTATCTGGTAACGTCAAGCATTCACATATCCTGTTACCCAGCGGTTCCCCTCCTGGGAATACATCTTAGAAATGCCTATACAGACACACTAAGAAACGTGCACAAGAATGCTCATAGCAGCATCATTTTCAATAGCAAACATGGCCGGGCACATTGGCTCACGCCTATGATCCCTGCACTTTGGGATGCCGAGGCTGGTGGATCACTCGAGGTCAGGAGTTTGAGAGACCAGTCTGGCCAACAAGGTGAAACCCCATTTCTACTAAAAATACACAAATTAGTTGGGCATGGTGGCGTGCACCTGTAATCCCAGCTACTGGGGAGGCTGAGGCACAAGAATCACTTGAACTGGGGAGGCGGAGGCTGCAGTGAGCCGAGATCGCACCACTGCGCTCCAACCTGGGTGACAAAGCAAGACTGTGTCTAAAAAAAACTTTTCAATAAAAAATAAATAGCAAACGCACAAGAAAAAACAAAATGTCCATTAATTGTAAAACTGATAAAAAATGTAGTGTTCCCGTATAATGAAACATGGTAGTTAAGTTAATTGAGAACCAGTGTTCCTAGAACAGAGGTGATATTCATAGTATTTAAAGACTCGGGGCACAGGTAATGATCAATCAGCAGAGGCCTAATCAATCCCAGTGAAAGCGGCCAAATGTTATACCAATGTACGCTGGCTTCGCACTGAGCATAAAAAGCAGTCTGCAGAAGAACACTCAACAGTATGATTCCATATATATTTTTAAAAAACATGCAAAATGAGCCAATACATAGTTTAGAAGGTTTAGAAACAGATAAAGAAAATTAGTGGAATAATAGATGTAAAACTCAAGAGAGTAGTTATCTCAGACGGGACAATGAACAGGACGAGATACCATGGGGAGGGACACACATGGGACTGCTTTCTTTCCTTTTTTTTTTTTTTTTTTTTTTTAAGATGGAGTCTCGCTCTGTCGCCCAGGCCAGGGTGCAGTGGCGCGATCTCGGCGCACTGCAACCTCCGCCTCCCAGGTTCAAGCAATTCTCCTGCCTCAGCCTCCCGAGCAGCTGGGATTACAGGCACCCGCCACCACGCACGGCTAATTTTTTGTATTTTTAGTAGAGATGCGGTTTCACCGTGTTAGCCAGGATGGTCTCCATCTCCTGACCTTGTGATCCACCCGCCTTGGCCTCCCAAAGTGCTGGAATTACAGGCGTGAGCCACTGCGCGGGGCCTGGGACTGCTTTCTTAAAACCTTGTGTTGGGTACACACAAGGGTGATCATTGTATCATTCTTTATACCTTACACATATTTCTTTAATATTATTTTATATATACTCAACACAATAATAAAAATTATTTCTTGAAAAGCATTCATGAATTACAGAATAAAATCTGAATCCTGATTTCAGCTTTTATTCCCAGAATGACTTCAGGTGCCTGGCTACATAAATCTCTTTGGATCTCAGTTTCCTCCTCTGTAAAATGGAGGTAATGACCCCCTCAACACTGTTGAAAGAAGCAAACAAACACTGCTATAACACACACCGGGAGGGCAGGGATTGCATTCCGAATATCTCCTTATCCCCACCTTCAACGTCGAACTGATACTCTATTTGTCATGGCCTGAAGAAGCTTTCAATAGAAGTGACTATTGCTCTGATTAATTCTTGTACTCAGAGACATGCCCCCACCCGCCAATTCCTGCTCACTTCACATTCCTTTGACAGAAACCAAAGGTAATTTCAAATCTTTGTTCTCCTTTCTTTGATTGGAAATTAAAGCACCAATGAACACGCAGAACAAAGGAACTGGTACTTACCATGTAGATCTCAGAAAGAGTGGGGCCCTAGGAAAGAATGGGGAAAACTATGTAAAACTCTCCTTCAGGACCCCAAATCCATTCCAAATGTAGACATTATATAGAAGTAAATGCCTATCTTCATTGAGCCACTGATTCTAGATTGGCTGCTTACGATTATATTTTAAACGTTTTAATGTTAACTTGCAATGATCATTACAAGTTCTTCTAGTTCGAGTCTTCCATTTGCATTTAACAGGTGAATGCATTACCATAAATAATAGTGTGCCAACCTAAAAACCTAGACAGAACTAGCAATTCACATCTCTGCTGTTTGCTGTCTCTTCAGCTTGAACTGATTTCCATTCCTTTGCCCAACACCAAATGGTCGGATCAGGATTTTGTTTTGTTCCTGCTTTTCGTATAGGAAGTGCTGATGAGACATGGAAATGAGACAATGAATGACCGTCGGATATCCTCTTCCACTGTGTGACACTCACTGATAAGCCCGTCTCTTGCAGGAAGCCCCTTTCTGTTAAATGGAGAGACAGAGGGAAGATAAAAGCAACCAATACTTATCGGGCTTCCAACATGTGCCAGCCGGAGAGCTCACATTCTCTTACCTCCCTTAATACCCCTGCAATCAGGGGATGTAGGAATAATTATTCCAGTTTCACAAACAGCAAAATGTCAGAGATTTAATGACCTGAGGTCTCACACCTGGTGATGAAATGGACACCTGTCCCCACATGATAGAAAAGAACTTTTTAAAACATGTCCATAGGCCAGGCACGGTGGCTCACGCCTGTAATCCCAGTACTTTGGGAGGCCAAGGCGGATGGATCACGAGGTCAGGAGATCGAGACCATCCTGGCTAACATGGTGAAACTCCGTCTCTACTAAAAATACAACAACAACAACAACAAAAATTAGCCAGGTGTGGTGGCGGGCGCCTGTAGTCCCAGCTACTCCGGAGGCTGAGGCAGGAGAATGGCGTGAACCCGGGAGGTGGAGCTTGCAGTGAGCCAAGATCGCGCCACTGCACTCCAGCCTGGGCGACAGAGCCAGACTCTGTCACAAACAAACAAAAAAAAGTCCATGACCCCTAAAGATTCTGATTTCAGTAGTCTTTAAAACTTCCCTGGGTGTTCCCAATATACAACCCAGGCTAAGAAACCACTGGTCTATTCAGTTCCAACTCTTTAACTGCCAGTGAAAATGAAGGTGAGTCATTACCATTCTCAGCATTTAGTCAAAACATCTGGTCTTCCTACAAAGAATCCCAATTTTAAGCTTTATGAGAGTTTTACGGCCTGTTTTGTTCTCCACTGCATCCCTAGTCCCTAGAACAATGTCTGAGATGAGTAGACAGCACATACTTGTAGAGGAAATAAATGAATAAACACACTCCTAGTTTTTATTCCACAAGCACACATCAAGTGCTAGTCTGTGGGAGGCACTGACCTAAGTTCTGGGGAGTTGGCACTGAGCCAGTCCAGTAAAACCTTTGCCATTGTGCAGTGTCCATTCTAGAGCAGCACTGTCCAATAGAAACATTATGTGAGTCATGAGTATAATTTTAAATTTTCTGGTAGCCACATTAAAGAGGTAAAAAGAAATAGATGAAATTAATTTTAATAATATGTTTTATTTAACACATTATATTCAAAATACTATTTTAACATATAAACATATAAAATTATTTTACAACTTTATTGAGGTATTAATTGGCATACGATAAAATATAAACTACAATACGATATAAATAAAATAAAATACAATAAAATACGACAAAATATAAACCCAACTATAAAAATTACTAATACATCATTTTACATTTATTGTTTTCACACCGAGTCTTTGGACTCTGGTGTGTATCTGACACTCACAGCACACCCCCAGTAGGATACATGCCAAGGGCCACCATATTGGACAGCACAGTTCTGGAGGGCAAGACAGACAATAAACAAGTAAACAAACAGATGTGTAATTAGAAATGGTGGGGAAGGAACGCCTCTCTAAGGAGGTGGCATTCAGCAAATGAATGATTGAAAGGATCTAAGAAATTAACAGAGAAAAAGTAGCTGTGCTTCTGGTGCTGAAATAGAAATGTGTCTTCAGTATGATTCTGGATGTGCTTTGTAGCATCTTGTAGTTGTCGGGGAGATCGTAATGTAATATCCTAAATTAACAGCTTCCCTCCCTAGGACTCTCTCCCAGGTTCTCTTCCTGGCATAGCCTAAGCTGTGATCCTGGAGCTCAGCTAGCTCCTCGAGTCCCAGAAACCAGCTGAGGCAATGCTGAGATGCAGAAAAGCCAGATGTCCTCCAGCCTACTGCTTGAGATGACTGAGGACCAAAGGGCCTCTGTTTCCCCTGCCGGCAGTTACGACAAATACAACACACAGCATTTTCCTGAGAGTCCTCTGATCCTTGCCAGCTAAGCAGAAAGGACAGGGAAGCTCCACTGGCATCAAGGTTTTACCCTGTGTTAGCCAAATGAATAGGGCATTCTGAAAAGAACTCCAGATTACTAGAGAGAGCGCCACACTATTGTCTTAAAGCCCAGTGAAATCACATTTTAAACTTTCCCTTGGCTGAAATGTTACCAAAATCCAAATTAAAATATGTGAATACTTGATTGTTATATCACACTTATAATCTATAATTTTAAATATTGTGAAAAACATAAATAATTATTAATTTATTTAAATAAGTTGTCCTCTCAACACCTGCTTGGGGCAGTAGACATGGTGAGATCCACAGCTCCCTCTTCTTAAGTGTTTTTTTAGATGAAGGGATTATAAGTCATACAATTCATTTTCTTTCTCCAATTAGTATCACAACTGTCCACTGAAACCCAATACTTCACGTGCAGAAGCCAGTTACTGAGTTGTTTGCATTTCCTTACTTAAACCTATTAAATTCAACTGGATGAGAAGTCCATTGAGGAAAGCCAATCGACGTTGAAAAGACATTTATTTAAGACCCATCAGAACAACTAGCAATACAAACACAGTAGTTTTAAGTTTCAAGAGTATTTTTAAATGTCATTGTGAATTTGCCAGTAATTACTATAAAATACGACATAATCAAATCAATTTTGAATGTGACTTTTTTTTTAAATTTTATTTATTTTGAGACAGGGTTTTCTTCTGTTGACCAGGCTGGATGCAGTGGCGCAAGCACGGCTCACTGCAGCCTCAACCTCCTGGGCTCAAGCGATCCTACTACCTCAGGCTCCCAAGTAGCTGGGACTACAGGCGTGCACTACCACACCCAGCTAATTTGTTATTATCATTATTATTATTATTATTATTATTATTATTATTATTATTTATAGCGACAGGGTCTTGCTATGTTACCCAGGCTGGTCTCAAACTCCCAGGCTCAAGTGATCCTCCTACCTCAGCCTCCCAAAGTGCTAAGATTACAGGTGTGAATCCTCATGCCCCGGACTTATTTTATTTTTGACAATTCCCGTCATCGTAACTGCAACAGAGTTTGCTTTCTTTGAAATTAATCAAAATGTATAAGGAACTTTACGGAACAACCCTTAACAGAGCTATCCTCATGCAACAGAGAGGCGTGGAAGAGAGTGGTTAAGAATACGGATTTGGTCGGGTGTGGTGGCTCACACCTGTAATCCCAGCAGTTTGGAAGGCTGAAGTGGGAGGATTGCTGGAGCCCAGGAGTTTGAGACCAGCCTGGGCAACATAGCGAGACCCTGTCTCTACTTTCAAATTTTTTTTAAATAACAATTGAAAAAGAATATGGGTTTGAATTCCGTCCTCCACTCACTGGCATTATGACCCTGGGCTAATTGGCCTTGCTTGTATATTAATTTCCCCCTCTGTAAAATTGGGGATAATAATAGCACTTGCTGCTAAGGCGCATGTGTGAGTCACCTCGGCACTCAATAAATGTGTGCTCAAGTAGCTTAAAAAAGTGCAAGTTGCAAACCTCATGATGATTTTGCTAAAATAAAATCATAACCAATACTGTTCTGTTTGCATCATAGTTTAACATTTGAAAAGAATGCCATCTTTATTATATTAGCATGTTTTGCTGGAGATTTATTATTTCAAATATTTTACAGTAATTTTTATTTTATCAAAATAAGTTTGTTTTAGGTATTAAAAATTGCACCTATAAATTGCAAAATAAACGTGTTTTGTTATACGTGGTAGTGGCACGGGTAGTGGGGTGGAGCAAAGGACTTTGTATTAGGGTCCATTTGTATGAGTTATAATCCCAAGGGGGACAACACTAGAGTTAAATCAGGAACAGCGCTTGGAAGAGGAAACCTAAAGTCATAATTTTAAGTAAATATATGTGATTTATAGGAGGACGATTTTTGCTAGGCCTTGGGTTAGGCTGCTGAACTCCAGTTCTGCCAAACAGTGATGCAGGCAGGATTCAGAAGTCAAACCTGAATGCTTTGGGCTGAAGTTTGCTGTGAAACTTTCAGGACAAAGACCCCAAACAATATGATCTTTTGAACAAACTAAGAAATTCAAACTGAGTGGTGTTAGATTTTTAAAATACACCTGATTTGGAAGTTGATCCCATAGATGGTTATCACAAAGTCATCCCATCACAATTTTAACTTCAGTGCAGTGGCATTTTACTAGTTTTTGAGGCAGAGTGAAAGGAAAGACACCATGTCTGTATTAGAAAAAAAGTAGGTCTTGGCCAGGCGTGGTGGCTCACGCCTGTAATCCCAGCCCTTTGGGAGGCCGAGGCGGGCAGATCACTTGAGGTCGGGAGTTCGAGACCAGCCTGATCAACATGAAGAAACCCCATCTCCTCTAAAAATACAAAAATTAGCCAGCCGTGGTGGTGCATGCTTGTAATCCCAGCTACTTGGGAGGCTGAGGCAGGAGAATCGCTTGAACCCAGGAGGTGGAGGTTGCAGTGAGCTGAGATTGCACCATTTCACTCCAGCCTGGGCAACAAGAGTGAAACTCCGTCTCAAAGAAAAAAAAAAAAGAAAAAAAGCAGATCTTTTCTGGAAACGTTCTTCAACTATTCCAGGTAACTTCCAGTAGGATCTCACATATATACAGCAGAATAAAAGATACCATGGATGCACTCACCCAGGGCCTTCTGGAATACAGCTTACCTGTTAGATTAAGGCCTTGCCCTTCTGCTGATTTTCCCTCCACACCCACCCAGATTTGGCCCTGCCAATCAGCATGATCCTCCACACCTTTGCCTTTGCGCTGTACCCAGAGGTGCTTGGGGCACAACCATCAGCACTGGGTCCTGAGTCCCTAGGACCTCGCAATGATACCTCTCTTCCCCAGTGAAAATTCAAGGATCTTTACCTTCGCAGAGGTGAACTTTTGTTTCTTTCTTGCTTTCAAAACCAGGAAGGGAGTCAAATCACATTTCCTTGGCTTTTTAGCATCCATTTGAGTCCTGCATGAGGGAAAGTAAAAAATAAATTGGCAGGAGGAGTCAAATCTAAGTAATGGCCCACACACTCAGGGACAGAAGAAAGCAGGCAGGTTTGAAGAAAAGAAGGCAACAGGCCTAAAAGCAGGAGCAGGGTCCCTGCTTCTCCCTTGCTTCCCTTCTGATGGTCACATGAGGTCAGGAGGTCAGACAGAAGCCAGGGAAGGAGGAAGAGATAATCAGGTGATTAGCAGTTTAGACAACCAAAGGGGAAAAAAACCATTTCCCCTACTTAACTGGAAAGTAAACCTCATGCTTTTGCCACAAACATAATATCCCCTTACAGGATGGGCGTATTCATGGGCTACTTAGATAGTTTAATGCCTATAGAAAAAGAAAAGGGGAACAATTGGTAGAAACACTTCCTCTAACTCTCATTTGGCCATGTTTGCATCTTCTTCATTCACAGCACAGTTCTATTAATAATTGACTTACTGCAAGACAAAAAAAACCTTGCACACATTTATGGAATCTAGTGTAAGCAGTAATTTCTATAAGTGGAAGGTGAGTCTCAGAGGGGTCTCAGGACACTTACATTCCCTGTTACATTAGCAGAGTACAGCTGAAACCGCTTGCTCTGTGTCCTTTGCAAGTCCCTTTTCGGCTTCTAGCTTTAGCCAAGAGCCAGAGGAATCAAGAATACAAGAAACAAGGGCAGAACAGGAACCAATGCAAATATTATGACAGCTTCTGCAAATCACTCCACTGGCAGGCTCTTGCAGACACCATATAAATGATGATGGCACCACAACTTTGAAAGTATTCAGAGGATTAAAGAAAAGTCATGCTAACATTTCTTGCAGTATAACTATTGAAAAATCAGAACTTGTCCATAATGGGAAGTTAACAATTCATGGCACACATATGTTTTATGAAATATAATGCAGCCATTTAAAAAATAAGATAGATCTTTATATGTGCCCATAATGTATTGAGCAAAAACAGTAGAACATGTGTGTAATATAATTCTATATTTATTTAACAGAAAACAAAATGCTTGCATGTCTTTATACAGGCATATTGAAAGATCTAGAAGAAATGAACTGTAATAGTGACCTCTTCTCAGTAGGGCTGGGGGAGGTAAGTAGGAACATTAACTTTAACATACACACACATACAGACAATATGAAAAAATCCTGCACAAAAGCAAACAAAAATTACCAGTAACTTCTCTGCTTAAGATCATAGTTTCACTTCTTCCTTCTCTTCCTTTCTTTCTATAAACATTTGCTGAGACAATTTCACTGATAAACCAGACATGGTCTCTGCCCTCAAAGAAAACTCCTTATCCAGGAAAGGAGGTACATAGAAGAAAGTAGATCATGACAATGCATGTGATCGATGTATTAATACAGCCTTCTGCAACCAGCTCCCAGAGCATGTTTCCAGGTGTTGACTAAGTCAGCTGGAGGAGCTGAGGAAGCCTTCACGCTTGAGCAGGGTAGAACCATCTCTGAAGAATGAGCAGAGCAGGCAGGAGTGTCAAGGGCAGATGGAGGAGGACACACAAAGAACATAAATATGAAAGAACATTGTTTTTTCCAGAAATTTTGAGCACTGTCCTTGGACATTGCCGATGGAGGGCCAGGGAGGTAGATTAGGTTGTAAAGGGGCACGTAGTCCAAGTTAGAGTCTTGGAGCCTGCGTGGCTATGCTAAACCTGGGCTGAAGATCAGATTTGTATTCTGGTACCATTTCTCTGGCAATATCACGAAGCACGATTTGGAGGAACTAGGAAGGCATTTTGGGTGTCTAGATAAGAGTGAATGAGAGCCTCAACCAAGGCACTGACAGTGGGGATAGAAGTATGAACTTGGGAAAGATTTGGGAGACAGAACAGGTAGAATTGTGGCCATCAACTGGACATGGGATTTGTAAAATCGCAACATTGGGCAAAAATGAACACAAAAATTTTTCCTGCCAAGACTCTGTATCGAGTGTTGCCTTCCTTTACTTCACAGAGATGTAGGAGACTATGAAAGTACATGTGGGATGGGCATGGTGGCTCACGCCTGTAATCCCAGCACTTTGGGAGGCCGTGGCGGGTGGATCATCTGAGGTCAGGAATTCAAGACCAGCCTGGCCAACATGGTGAAACTCCATCTCTACTAAAAATACAAAAGAAGTTAGCTGTGTGTGGTGCCTCACGCCTGTAATCCCAGCTACTCGGGAGGATGAGGCAGGAGAATCTCCTGAATCCGGAAGGCAGAGGTTGCAGTGAGCGGAGATTGCACCACTGCACTCCAGCCTGGGCAACAGAGCAAGACTCCATCTTAAAAAAAAAAAAAAAAGTAAATGTGAAATCTTCCAAACAGCTGGAGCCCTTTCCTCTGTTCAGCTCTGACAGCGCTGGAGGCAGAGAAGGAGCAAACACTGAAGGAAACGCTGAGGAATCATGGAGCCTCGTCACAATGCCACCTAACACACAGTGCCATGATTTTGAATGAGCCATTTGTCCTCTCTGTGCTATTTCCTCATCTGCAAAATAATGAGACTGGAGACTGGAGCAGGTGACTTCTAAAGTCCCTTTGGGGTCTAAATTTCTTTAATTCTACAAAAATACTGACAGACTGAAAAAAAAATCTCTTGTGACTTATTCCAACTTTGCCATCCCTTGGATAATTCTGTGATTATTAAAGACTATTTTGTGCCTTTCTTTTTTTATGCATGAACTCTGGCTTCCAACAGTACAACTTAACCCTTGCTCAAAGCTTTGCAAATGCTACCTTTTTATCCTCAAAATATGTGGTGAGCTATGTGGAAAAGAATTAAACTGCTTTTTATATTTCGTTTGTATCTTGTTACATGAAGGATTGAAGATAACTAATAAACTCAGCTCAGAGCTAGAGTGAATGTTCCTTTGAGAACTGAAACCAAAAGTTTGGCCATTCTCATTTCATCTTACATGCAGATCGGAGTTCTCCTTCCCCTTCCTCTCTTTCCTCGAGCGTTCAATCGTGTGTTTGCCTAAGAAACCATTTTTTCACTTGGTCAAGAGCTTTAGTGTCATTTAATTATCTTAGGTGCATATATTTTTTGTCTCATATTGATTGTTAGTCTTTTGGAGACATAGATGGTGATCCTGCATTTTTAAAAAATTCCTTTTGGGGTAAGGACAGTGACTTGTCTGTTGAAAACTTGGTACAAATTTGCTGAGGGAAGAGAAATCTAAAATAGATTAATTCATCAAAAAATTCCAGAGCATCAACTGTGTGCCAGCTACTGGGCTAAGCATGGAGGATTCAAAGATAAATAAAACAGAAGCCTTGTTTTCAAGGAGTTCGAAGACTCAAGGTTAAGGCAGATCCACAGAGGTGCCAGCCTTACTGCACTGCATAGTATTTTATATTAATATATACACATCATCTGTGTATAGAGTACTTCAATATCCAGAAAGGAAACAAGTCTTTTGAGATTTACCTGTTATGATTTTAGGATTTCTACTGCAATTGCCAGTAGCTTGATCTTTATGCCCTGGGGGCTGTCTTTGGGGCAGAAAGTATGGCAGTGCAGGGTTTGCAGGGATTCCGTTTGCATTCTGTGAACAGGTGATAATGTTTTTAATGAACTTAAGTTACATTCATTTTTTAATTGATATATAATAGATGTATATTTATATTTATATAATATATAATCAAGTCAGGGCTTCAAATTATTCTCTACTAGCTATTTTGAAATATACAATAGATTATTGTTTACTATTGTCATTCTACTGATTTATTAAACACTAGGTCTTATTTCTTCTATCTAAATGTATTTTAAGTCACACTCATTTCTGCCAGAGAATTCCTTGGACCCTCTGCATATATCCCTGAGACTCTTGAGGGTTCACTGACTCCCAGACTCTAAAGAGCTAGAAGAGGTTTTGGAGACCATGTCATCCATTTTCCCACCCTGGGGAAGAATCCTCTTTCTATGGTATTCCTGGCAATCACTCTGTCTATGCTGGAATATTTCTATGACAGAGTGCACTGTTTTTCTAGGCAACCCATTTCACACTCAACTGTTAATTTACATAGGGTTGGTACTTGATATTTCTTGGAAGAATAAACTATATTGAGCAAAATTTCCTCCACTGATCCTTGCTATCCTCTGCAGAGTACCAAGGAACAAATCTATCTCTTTTCTACTCAAGAGTTCTTGAATGTTCAAAAGTTGAGTAGAAAAAAGCTTTCTCTCCCTTGCATCTCCTCATCTCCAGGCATTCTGTGAAGTTTTTTCAAACCTCTCTTCATGTGATGGCACACCCAGGCCTGACAGAGAGAGCCTGCCTTGTGGTTGTTCCTATTTTCCAGTTCTTTGTGATCTCAAAGTAGCTACAGTTTCTAGAGTCTGGATTATGTTCTACTCATTGCTAAGTCAGGCAGCACGACCATATTCTTTGATGTGGTCATTGCATTTCTATGAATGCAGCCTCCACCAGCATTTGCTCTTTGGGGAGCCATCACAACACACTCACGATGGGCTTAGAGTCAGCTAAAACCACTAAATCCCAGCACTGGGTCCTCCACACGCTTGAGGACTATGCATTCTAGCCAAGTTGCAGGCAACAATATGTGGAGTTGGAGAGGGCAAAGTCAGGGAAGAGTGGCTGGCATATTGCTAGAGAGTCCCTTCCGATTTACCTCTGCTTTCTCCATAAGGACCAAAACAAACAAGAGAAACAACAGATTTAAGTAACAGAAACAATAAGGTAGAGTGCATGTTTGAAGAATTTCTTCGAACTCCTAGGTTTTACATACCGACCACATGTAGGTGATCAAATCGCTCAAGCAAGACAAAGGACATTTTCATTTGTTGTTTCCACGGTTTGAACTTTTCCACTAAATGGCCTCCTGCTTTTGCCGAGTCTCCACTTAAGCCTGGACAGTGAAGCTTGAATTAATATTGGTGATGCTGTCCGTTGCTTAAGACATGTCAGAGGGGTCACGGTTTTCCTAAGCTTTGAGGGGCTGCTGGACATTTCAAATGCAGCAAATGTCACAGAATAGCCTTTAAAAACCCTCAAATTGTGCATTGTTCATCTCTTTTTTAAGGAAAGATTTGCTAATATTGGGAATTTCCTGAGTGGCAGCTCTGGGTGTGTGATCTACACACACCTTCGCGCGCTTTTGTGTCAGGGGCTGGGCCCTGGTTGAGCACAGAGGTGCCCGGGCATATGGGCTGGGTGGGAACATGAGTAATGCCTGCCAGAGCCTCATCCACGCGAGGCGTGTGGTCGTGGACCCACTTACGACTACCAAGAGGACATGCAGTAAAGAAGAGAAAGAAAGGGAGGAAGAAAGTCTGGCGTCCCAGTGAGGGCTGGAAGCACAGTTCCAGGATAGGTCTGCTGAGTTCCTCAGAACCCCTCGCTCCCTGTCCTGCACTCAGCTGGAGTCGCCGATGCGACAGCATCTTAACATGGAAGTATACTGACGTCGGATTCCGGGGATGCAGCTGCTGCAAAAACTACAACTGTATTTTCTTGTCCGCGCACCACAGCCCGCCTCTCTCTGACCCACATTCCCCGGTCAGCTCTTGCATTCTGCACGCTTTTCATTCTCCCCCCACGACCCCGTCGACCAGAAGCTTCGTCGCCTGCCTCGTACTCGCGCCTGACTGCTCGTGAAGTACGAGCCTCCGCGGCCCTTACTTTGTTCCGGTGCGGATAGGCGGCGGGAGGAGCTGCATGAGGCCGGCGCTGACCGCCCGCCGCTGCGGGAGGCTGTGAGAGCCCGGCAGAGGGCAAGGGACGGCCACGCCCTCCTCCCGTCGCTATAGAAACGGCTCCCGCCCTTTTTATGACTCCAGAGCTGGAAGGGCTTTCTCAGGCTGTGGTCCCAAACCACCTTGCAGAGTAGCAGCCTGAAGAACATACTCCTCGTCCTCCTACTCGCATTCTCTTGCCCCAGTTCTTTAAAGTATAGGGCAAGAATTGAACAAAATCCCAGCATAAAGAACTTAAAGTTGGTTGCCCAGACCGGACACATGAAATTATCCCTACTCTCTCCCCTTCTTCAAGCGAAGCATGTGGTTATCAGAATTACATCACAGAAGTTCTGGCCGGGCGCGGTGGTTTTACACCTGCAATCCCAGCACTTTGGGAGGCCTAGGCAGACCACTTGAGGTCTGGAGTTCGAGACCAAACTGCTCAAAGTAGTGAGACCCCCCCGCCCCTGTCTCTATTTAGACATTTTTTTCTGTAATCCCAGCACTTTGAGAGGCCAAGGCGGGTGGATCACGAGGCCAAGAGATCAAGACCATCCTGGCCAACATGGTGAAACCCCGTCTCTACTAAAAATACAAAAATAAGCGGGGCGTGGTGGTGCGTGCCTGTAGTCCCAGCTACTTGGGAGGCTGAGGCAGGAGAATCGCTGGAACCCGGGAGGCGGAGGTTGCAGTGAGCCGAGATCGCGCCACTGCACTCCAGCCTGGCGACAGAACGAGACTGCATCTCAAAAAAAAAAAAAAAAAAGAAAAAAAGAAAAAGAAAAAGAAAAAAAGTAAGTACATAGCAAAAGTTCTGGGTAAAATCCATATATCAGCTGAACACTTTTTGAGTGCTTACTCTGCACCAGATTGTAGAAAGCATGAAAAGGGAAATTTGTAATTGAGTGGCAGTAGGTTGACCTGGAGGTGCACAGTCTGGTCCAGGCAGAAAAGACATTCAAATGAAGCTTTCTGAAAGAGCTGAGTTGAATCTGAGTCTTCAAGGACAGGCAGTAGTTGTCTACGTAAAGGAGGCAAGTCCTATTCTGAAGGCCAGAGCCATAGAAAAGCTTGGTACCATTGTGCCAGCACCCAGTTTAGTGGGGCAGGGATCAAAGTTGCACGTGGGCAGAGACAAGGTTGAAGCAGCAGGAAAGGGGGAGTCAGACACCAAGTAGGCTATGAACTCGACCAGGGTAAGGTGTGTATGTGCAGACTGCAGAGGGGTGTTCATGCTGACTTTATTTTATAAAACCCTCTGTGGCAATAACAATGGAAGTAGGCCCGAGTAGGTTAAGAATCAAGGCAAGGATGCCTGTTAGAAATAGTGAGTGATGATGTTTCAGAGTAAGGGAGAGCACATGGAAGAGTAGTTTTGAGAAATTTAGGAAATGGAGTAAGACTTGGTGACTGGATGTGAAAGTCGAGAGAAGACTCAATCCCAGGATGACACCTTTGGCACCTGCAGTGATGGTGGTGCCATTCATTTACCAACAGAAAACACAGGAGAGATGTCAGGGGTAGGAGGAGACGTTGAATTTAACAACTGATCTGCTACATCAAATTGTCAGTGGACCATCCACAGGTTCTGTTGTCAAGAGCATGGTATAGGGTACAGACCCTGACTTGGCAGTCACTGTCACATAAGTGACCCCTGGAGTTTGCATAGAACATGAAACTGGTAAGACAAGTAGGTAAAGGTGACACAACAGATTAGAAAGCTGCAAAATAATGAAGAGTAGGCATGGAGATGGGAAGAAATGACAAAGAAATGTGTCACATGAGCCAAGGAAATCAAATGTTTTCATCAGAGTATAATGAATAGGGTGTATAAGATTAGGTGAGAAAATTGTACACTGGGTTTGGCAACATAAAGGTATCAGTGCTTTCAGCCAGGCTGGTTTTAACATACTTTGAGGTAATTTTCAAATCCCCTGATAAACTATAAAGAACACGGCAAAAACAGGTTATTGAGCTGGTGCCAGATGATTAATCAATTATATCAGTACCTAATATACAGTAGGCTCTTATGTTTATTGTTGATCTACACCAAATAGAGTACCTCAGTGCTATGTAACTGGAAAATATGTTTTTAAAAAGGGGACAGGTGGGGCAGGTTAGGGGGCTGGTATATGACACTATAAAAATATACGTTAGATAAAAGAAGTGTACAACAGCAATAGACAAATGCTCACTTTAATCACAATTCTAAATTAATTATTTTCACATTAATATAGATATTTCCATAAACCAAGAAAAACTGAGTTATTATACATTTTTTAACAGCTAACATGATTTGAAAATTTTTTATTAAAAATTGATCAGAAGCTAGTTGAAATTCTCAATGTAAATATAAAATATTCATTACAATTGTTTTTCAAAGTAAATTCAGATCTAAGCTTCCTGAAAAGCTGTACTATCTCATATCATAATAGGGATGACTAAGTACTTGACAACTACTTTCTAAAGAACTTAACAAAAAGTGACTACTTGAAGATTACATTTACAACAGAAAGGCTAACATTCTCTGCGGAGCTCTCATTTTATCATGAAATGTGGACAATCAGGAACACGTGGATGAGTGGTATCAAGAAAAAGGGCATTTCAAAATATTTCCACTTTTATTAAAGGTTTTGACAATGAAGATTTCATAAAATGTCTTTAAATACTATTTTCTAGAGAATAACCATCTAAATCGGAGACATATGCCATAAAACTGCAACCATTTTAGTGTGTAAAATAATTCTAAGTTTGTACTATAAAAAGATTTGGCTAAAATACAAAACATCTTTGCGATAAAACTGACAACGTAGCTTAAGTAGCTTATAAGATTTCAGAAATGTCTTCTGAAAGAAATAAGAATGTTTTCCTCTGCCAGATAAAACTGAACAGTTAAAGTTAAGGTGCTATAAACTAGACAAAGCTAGAAAGGCACATCATGTAACTAGAAAAGAACAGCATGTGATGTGGACTTCATGTCGAACTGATAGAAAAACAGAATACGCTCTTCACAAGGAAAGGTATGAGAAGATAATTCTTATAAACAAACTTCTCATTGAAGTCTTGAAGAGTTTTACAGAGAACATAATCATAAAATGGCTAGAGGTCATTTATAGGACATGGTAATGGATTCCTTTATATTACAATACCTGCCTCAAATATAAACACAAATCAAATATAAACACCCTTGTAAAGCTGTGATTCTCCCAACCAAACATTCCTCCTGTACCACACTCAGGTGCTAGTGGCATTTGGATGCAAAGGTTTAACTCGTGCTAATCTGGACAAGCCAAGGCGGAGACTCTGATTGGGAGACTTCACAGACACTACCACCAGTGGGCTGCTGCTACTTCTGCTACCTCCAGATGCCGCTGAAAGGAAACATATGATGTGATGCTGATGATGTCAGAAATCTCTTAACAAAGATTAATTTATAAAATAAGCAGCAAAAAAAAGGTAGTTAAGCATTATTCTGCTTTCCAGTGTCTATCAAGCAATAAACTAGATCAAAAGAACAGAATGTTCTAAAGAGCAGAAATTAATACAGTATTGCCTATTTCCAAACATCCCAGAAGCCAAGGTAATGACACTAAAACCTCACCATGAAAGCTGAAAAAGGAAGGCTGGGAACAAATAATGCTAGTTGTAAAGGCATACAAAAATGCATATAATTATAATTTCTAAAGTAATAGAAAAAGCAAATGCATTTTTAAGGTCCTGCAATTTTTACAAGTAGTCCTTGAAGAGTCTATTTTTCAATTATTAAATACCTTTAAAAATGGCAAATATTGTTATTTATTTATACTAGTTTCATTATACTATTATCCTAATGTCGCAATTATTTCCATCTATTTCAAAATTATCCACATGAATGTTCACAGTTGATGGTGACTGTAGTTGCTCGCCTACACAACAGTATTATAAATTTAAAATAAATAATTATACCTGCTACCCTATAACTCAGACTATACTGCTTTATTGTTTTCTAGTTTGAAAGGTATAAAATAGTATTTTATTTTAATTTACACTTCCTTAATTACCAGTGAGACTGAAACTCTTCATATTTTCTTGTTGTATTAATAGTTCTTGGGGACACTGTTATATTTATGCCTCTGGCTAATTTTACTTTTGGGGTCTTGGTGGTCTTCTCCAGTTGTATAAGATAGGTAACAAACTGGCAATCTGAGGGCCAAATCTAGCTCTCAGATATATTGTTTTGGTTCACATGGTGCTAACAACAACAACAAAAAAAATCAACTTACAAAAATTAGCAGATTTCATATTAAAATCTGGATTTCTGGCTTCTCTTGAAAACAGCAATCAGATCTAGAAATACCAAGCCCATAATCTTGCATGGAAACAATACGATGGAGCTGAGTAGCAGCTGCTTCCTTCAAAAGGGTACGCGCTCCTGAGTCCAACAAAATTCCTACCCACGCAAGTCTACTGCATGGGCCCAATTCACTCGTTTACATCACTTGCCTGACTGTCACATGCTGACTTGATAAGCACTTTGTGCTTGATGACATTAACTCTTTATCCATCATTCCACTGTTTCCTTGTATTTTTTTAATTATGCTACTTTTAAATTTCTATAGTTATATCACTCCATTTAAATTTCCTTCATTGGGGAAGCATTAATTATTTTTAGAAATATACTAAGTATTACTCTTTGAATGATATGACATCAAGTAATTAATCTTCCCTCCTTTCCTTCTCCAAAAAGTTTTTAAGTCCTCATTAAAAATCTTAGAAGTTGTAAACCAGAATGGACTTTAAAGATTACAGTTGTTCCCAATATTTCACATGATGAAATGAAGACTCTGTAAGTTAAGTAATCATGCAGCCTCACAGCTCACGCCTAAATCTATGAATAGTAGTCAGCAGGGGAGTGAGCACTGTGGACCAATCAAGAGAGGCCCCTCAAAAGAAAAACAGGAGTAGAATTGGAAGGGCTCAGGCAAGGAGAGGGGACACATGAAGAAAGACACACCAGGCAGAGGAGGATTAAGAGAGGCCCTGAGAGAGGCATACATACAACATGTTTGAGAGACAAAAAGTGTTTCAATTTCACTGAAGTGGACGGTTCATGCAGGTGGATGACAGAAAGTAAAGACAGGACTGGTTAGGAAAGGCAGCAACAATTTGGGCCTGGATTAGGGTTTTAGTAATGTCAAGAAGGGTGAAGGTCAAAGAATTCTTGAAGGATCCATGAGACTTGGCTGTGGAGCAAAAGAAAACAGAGAAGTGAAATTTGTGAAAGCAAGAGGTTGAGTTTGCTAGGGCATTTGTTAAATGCTAGAATTGCCACATATAGATCCCAAGGCTTCAGTCAGACTGTGGAGGTCAGCAGGTCCTGAGCAAAAGATTTGCTGCCAGAAATACATACTTCAGGAATCTCAAATGTTTACACCCTTTAACACTGTAATTTTCCTACTAGAAATTTTATCCTAGGAAAATAATCAGTAATATGCCCAGAGATTTCTAAAATAAGGACATTTGCACTTATTGCAATCTTATTTATAGCACTGAAAAAATAATAAACCTGGATGTCCAATAATAAGGAATGGTTAAATAAATGAATATATGCAGCAACCAGGAACTTTGGTTTTGAAGAATATGTAATAATATGGGGAAATGCTCACACATGATGTTTGTAACTAGGAAAAAAATTTACCAGTGATAATTTTCCAAGCTCCTGTCCTTGATGATAAATATGCCATACCTGGTGGGACCCATTTAGGTTTCTTGCTTTCAGCTGAAGGACTGCGTATTTCTAATGGTTTCCTAGTGGTATCTGAAGACAGAGAAACCTTTTTTGGCAAGGACTGAGATTCTGATTTGACGGCAGCTGGAGCAGAGTCCACCGAAGTCACTTATTTGAAAAATATACGTAAAAATGTTTGTCATGCAGGAAGAAAAAGTAAGTCTAGCATATATGTGTAAAAATTATAAAGTTACATAATCATATAAAAAATAAACTTATTAATCAACAAACATTTATTGAGAGCCTAAGAATAGCCATCTTTTATGAGCATTAATATGCCAGGCAGTGTGGTAGGCATATCACACACATTACCTCTAACTCTTTACAACAACTCCAATACAGATATTACTATCCCCACTCTCAGAGAAGGAAACAGAGACGTTAAGCAATCTGCCTGTAGTCTGACAGCTAGTAAGCATCTAAGCTTAGAAACCAGATTTTCCTCCAAAATCCCATCCTTGTAACTAACCATTACACAATAGTGTCTCGTGAGTATGTGTCAGTGAGATTATGTGTCAGGCTCTAGGGTTAGAAACATGGCTCCTGCTCCCAAGGACTTTAAGGTTTAGTCACTAGACTTCAGTGGGAAGAACAGGAAAGTAAAGATGTGTAAAATGCAGTGTGGTAAGGGATATGGCAGACTCTAAAGGTATGCCAAGTAGAAAAGGAAACTGCAATCTGGGGGTATGTGTTTTAAAGTTAGAAGGAGGTGAGTGAGGATGGTCTGAACCAAATCAAGATTGAAGAGTAAAGGTGAATTGAGAGAAGCTTTCCAGGCAGAGGGAGTACAGTGTGCAAAGATGGAGGATGCACCAAGTTCCAGAATCAGTAGTACTGACTGGTTCAGTGTACGGCTGGAGCAGAAATCTCAAGGGTAGGAAATGTGAGAGATAGACACTGGGTGTAGATCACTTATGAAGAGCTTTGCAGACCATGTACAAGAGTCTGGCTAGTCACAGTCATGCACATATTTTTCTCAGGAGTGATTTGTATTTTAAAAACATCTTTCTGGTGGTAGTGTAGGAGAAGTAGGCTACTTAGAAGGTTATTATGGTAATCAGGTAAGAGGAAATGGGGGCCTGCTAAGGTGGAGAATAGAAGGAAAACAGCACATTAGATATGTTTTGGCAAAAATAGGTGGGAGGCAGCAATGGAGATGAAGAAATAATCCATGACTTGCAGGTTCCTGTCATGGGCACACTTTGATGGTGCCATTTATCTAGAGAATAAACACAAGCCTGGAAGTATGTTTTGGTTCTATTTATTTATTTTTTTGGTGGTGGGGAGGGAGGAGAGGTGGCATTAAGTTCACTTTCAGACAGTGCTTGTTTTGAGATACCTAGGGGTATTTCAACACATATAAACATGAACATTTTCACCGTATACTCTTCCTAATGTTAACATCTGCATCCTCTAGATCAGCACTGTCTGATGGAACTTTCTGTGATTATAGAAATGTTTTGTGTTTTGTGCTGTCCAATATGGTAGCCGCTAGCCATATACAGTTACTGTGCACTTGAAATGTGGCTTGCAAAACTGAGGAACTGATTTTTAAATTTTACTTAATTTTAATTAATTCAAATGTAATATAGCCACACATGGCTAGAGGTTACCATATTGGACAGCATAGCTCTCAACATTTTTTCTATCAAGGGAAAATTATAACATGTGCTAGACACAATTCGCAAAGTTTACCCAATACATTACTAGTAGGACTAAAAATATAATCCATTTTTCCTAATTCCTAGTCCTATCACTTAATGGTTAAATTTCATTTCTAATATTATATATTAAATCTCAGTTGTGAAGCAACTTGCTCCAAGGGATAGAGAAAAGATTTTAAATGGTAAACTCCAACTTGGGAACTGAAGTTTTATTTTTAGTTATTAGTGTGTCTTGGTGAAGAAGCATAAACAAACATCTAAAGAAAATACAAAATATATTCATGGTGTTAATAACTTTTTCCTATTATAGCTTGTAGTAGGCAGAATACTGGCTCCTCAGATGTCTACATCGTCATTGCCAGAACATGTGAATATGTTACCTTACATGGCAAAGGGACTTTGCAGATGTAATTAAGAATCTTAGATGGGGAAATTACACTGAATTATCTGGAGGGGCCCAATGTAATCACAGGGTCCTTATAAGTAAACGTGAGCAGGAAGAAAGTCAGAGTCGAGTAACATGATGTGAGAAAGTCCCTGCCATTGCTCTCTGAAGGTGGAAGGGGCCACAAGCCAAGAAATGCACCCTCAAGGAGCTAGAAAAGACAAGAACGTGGTTTGTCTCCTAGAGCCTCCACAAAGGACCACAGTTTTGCTGACTACTTGATTTTAGCCCAGTGAGAACCACTTTCGACTTCTGATACTCAGAATTTCTGGAACCCAGATGAAGTCATCAATTAAAAAAAAAACACTCTAATTAAAAAACCTCATTAATTCAAAATACAGGAGAGAGAAGAATATAACTCAATCAGTACTTAATTCTCATTTAATTCTTAGTAAGTACTCAGCAACAGGCTACTGAAGGTGACAGCAGCTCCTATGAATAAATGGAAAGACTAAATAATGGAACTTTTAATATCAATAGCATATATATTAAATAAACCAAGACATAAAAATGATTATCAAGAAATAAAACAAACTCAGTTAATGACAGTTATATTTTGCAATAACCTATCATATACTATGAACTCAAAAATATCCTAACTTCTTTTACACAAGAAACAGGTATTCCATGTTCGAGTCACCATAAATTTTAAACGTTTTATCATAAAAGTAGTTTCTAATGGAATTTGTTTTGGGGAAATAAAAAAAAAAAAAGGGCCCTAAACATGTGGCAAAAGAGCTCTCAAATCAGACTAAGTAAAGCACAAAAGCAAAAAATTAGAATTATGCAAACTTCCTTGTTTTGTCTGGAGAAAATATGGTCCAAGATACAGCTTAGACTCTGAATGGACAAACATGGGTTCAAATTCTAGCCCTTCACCTATTAGATGTAAGATTTCCAACAAATTATTTAACCTCTCTGACACTCAGTTTTTCACTGTAGAATGCAGGTGACAACAGCTAACCACAGACGGCAGCCATGAGTACCAAAGTGAGGTCATATACAGTAAGTGCTAGCATACGTAGTGGAGTCAGCATTCTTGTCCGCTTTTCTCCCTTCCCCACCCCACCTTCCTTTTACATATTTTAACAAGAAATGGACGTTAGGAAAATGTTAAAGAGAACAAAGGCAAAAATAAGAAAAATACGGCAAACAAACCACATACATTTCCTTTATAAAATTAAGTGTTTTGGACCAAGCTTACCCAAAGCATTACATTTGGATTTAGATTTCTTCTCTTTCTTTTCTACTGGGGATTTTACCTTCACTTCTTTCTTTTTAATTTCTTTAACTTTACTTTTTCTCATAGAGAAGTCTTCGTCATTATCCTCACTCTCACAAAAATCAGAATCATCCTCAGAATCTTCACCTAAAACAGAAGATTATATAGTTCATCTTTGCTCTAAAAAGTGAGGATTCTGTTGCCTTAACTTTATCCACAGCTTTCAGATTCTTATGCACCTTTGTGCTGCACTGTTTCCAGTAGCAGAACACTGCAGTGGTTGCCATTGTGGGTGCCTGGGTTTGCATCCTCAGACAGGTCACTAACTTCACTGAGCCTCAGTTTCCTCACCTAGAAAATGGGGATAACTGTAAACCTCCATCAAAGGGTTGTTGCGTGGATTAAATGAGTTAATATATATATAATGCATTTAGAATAACATCTGCAATATACTGAGCAAAATAAAATTGTTTGCTATTACCACCATCACTATAAATTTCCCATCAGTAATCTTTACTTCAGATTTTACCATTTTAACTCAGTGACTTTTGAAAAGAATGGTAGGGTATGACAATAGCTAGTCTTTCAAAACAGTGACATTTATGGTAATAGTGAGCCTTCCCTTAATCACATAAACTTCAACATTCTGGAACAGACCAAATGAGAATTGAGATAACCATACACAACAATCTTAGCAGATAATCCTAGAGCTGATTTCATTTGGGACAAACCTTTATTTCTCAAAAATGCTTTTCTGCACTTCGTGGCAAAATATAAGCCAGTGATCTAATTTTGAAAGTGCTACAGCTGCTCTAGAAAAAAGCATTTCCTAACCTGATAGTTAAGCAATGATCTTTCTATTTTTTGAGGGGGTTAGGATCAGAAAACCATGCCTTGTAGATAAACTCTGAAAACTAAGTGTAAATAGGGTTAGTCCTATATTAATATAAAACTTTTTTACATTTTTAATATTATGGACATGCTTATTGCAGAAAATGCTTAAATCAAAAAATGTACAAATAAAATGAAAAATAAACAGTACATGCTGATTGTAGAAAATACAGACCATACAAAACTTTATTAAAGAAAATCTACTCTGTAATCTCACCACTCAGAGATAACCACTATTGTCCCCACATACTAATATCTACCTATCTATAAGAAATATTATATGTAAAATACAATCATATAAAATTTTCAAACCTATACCACAGTAGACAGTAATAAACCACCACTCAGATTCAACAATTATCAACATTTTGCTCCATTTGTTTCATCTATCTCGCTCTTCTTCTTCTATTCCCTTTTGTAGTATATTAAAATAAAATCAAGGCATCACATCATTACATTCCTACATACTTCAGAATGTATCTCTAAAAAACATAAGCATTTTCTCATACAACAATGCCATTATTACATCTAGCAATACCAACACTAGTTTCTTGGTATCATCTTCTATTCAGTCTATATTAATCTCTTTTAATATAGAGCAGTATCTTCTCCCTGTCCTCCCTTGTGTCTGACTTGCTGAAGCAGTTGAGTCAATTGTCCTGTAGAATGTCCTAAATTCTGGATTTGTCTGTTTTCTAGCTCATGGTGTCATTTAACTTAATCTTGCTTTTTTTTTTTTTTTTTGAGATGGAGCCTCACTCTGTCGCCCAGGCTGGAGTGCAGTGGCACAATCCTGGCTCACTGCAACCTCTGTCTCCCAGGTTCAAGCAATTCTCCTGCTTCAGCCTCCCAAGTAGCTGGGATTACAGGCACACAACACCACGCCCAGCTAATTTTTGTGTTTTAGTAGAGAAGGGGTTTCACCATGTTGGCCAGGCTGGTCTCGAACTCCTGACTTCAACTGATCCACCCACCTCAGCCTCCCAAAGTGCTGGGATTACAGGTGTGAGCCACTGTGCCCGGCCATATTCTTGCATTTTATGTGAGCTGGAATTCTGCTCTCAAGGCTTGAGTGGATTCAGGCTCGCTTTTTTTGGTGGTGGGGGGAGGAGGGACGGCAAGAATATACTTCATAAGTATATTCTTTGTACTTCATATTACATCACATCAGAAATCATATAATGTGTGGTTGTCCCTCTCTTAGGTGGTTCAGGTGATGCCAGCCTGAATTCAACATTGTAAAGATCCTTATCAACCTTCCATTGATGACCTTTACCTAAATCAACAATGTCATTTATGGGCTGGGCACAGTGGTTCACCTCTGTAATCCCAACACTTTGGTAGGCCAAAGCAGGTGGATCACATGAGGTCAGGAGTTCAAGACCACCCTGGCCAACATGCTGAAACTCCATCTCTACTAAAAATACAGAAATTAGTTAGGCATGGTGGCGCATGCCTGTAGTCCCAGCTACTTGGGAGGCTGAGACACAAGAATTGCTTGAACCTGTGAGGCGGAGGCCATGGTCAGCCAAGATCGTGCCACTACACTCCCGCCTGGGCGACAGAGCGAGATTCCATCTCAAAAAACAAAACGAAACAAAAACAAAAAACAATGTCATTATGATCTTCAAATTGCAATGTCCTTATTCTATCATTGTTCCCACACACAATGTTAAAGATAATCAACTCACATGTTCACATAACGGTTCCCGTGCTATAGAGAATCAGCCCAGAAAGGCCAGCAGGTCCCATGAGGGCTGTTAGAAATGCAGCCTGCAAATTCAAGCAATCCTAAGAAGCTCTCCGCTCAAAGAAGGCAAGGGGTAGAGGAACTTTCTCCAAACTTTCCAAATATATTATCTACAACAAAACTTTCTGTGTATCCAATAGTTCTGATACTGCATGTGTTCAGTAACTTAGAAGTCTGAAGGATTCTCTTCTTGGCTCAAGAGGATAAACAGTAGGCCCTGGCAACATTTCTGTGTAACAAGCTTGTTCAGAAATGGGGTCCAACTAATCTTCGTCAGTCAATTGAGAAAGCAATTTAAATAAAATTAGAGATGGGGAGTTGGAATTCCCAAAATTCCAAGTCATTCGCATCCCATAGAGGAAAATCTGGAAGGCCCAAACACTTCAGTTACGGATTTTGGGAACTGTTAGAGAAAAGACTTATCTTCTCTGCAATTTTCTCTTTTCTTTCCCTAATGAAGGTCACACATGGTCCTTTCTATTCTCATCCAGGACAAGCGAATGCAGGGGGAAAACTGAAATGTCACTTTGGGGCTGCTTCCACTTCTTGGCTATTATGAATAATGCTGCTATGAACACGGGTATGCAAATGTCTCCCTGAGATCCTGCTTTCAATCGTTTTGGATACATACTCAGAAGTGGATTGCTAGATCATATAGTATAGGCTGAGTATCCCTTATCTGAGGTGCTTGGGACCAGACATGTTTCAGGGTTCAGATTTTCTTTGGGTTTTGGAACATCTGCATTATACCAGTTGGGCATTCCAATTCCAGAAATCCAAAATGCTCAAATGAGTATTTCCTTTAAGCATCACATTGGCGCTCAAAGAGTGTCTTTGCATTTTCCTGTCTCCCAGGCCCTCCCAAAGTAAAACAAATGCAAAACAGTCTTTTTTCATGTATTTCCGTTGTTCCAGAAGGACAGGAGCTGTTTGTTTTTTTCACTATTGTATCCCTAGTATCTAGAATATAATGCACATAAAAAGCATTCAAATATTAGTCGAATAAGTGACGATGAGCAAATCTGTTATTGTTTGTTGATAGTATATCAAAATCTAAAATATGGTATCTTGATTTGGCCTACATTTATGAATTTATGAATTTAAATTTTTAATTAATATGTTATAATGTTCTGTCAAGGTCACTACACTTTCCATTTGCCCAATTTCTAAATGAGTCTAAAAACCATCATAATAAAATATAGATTTCATATCACTTCTGCCTCAGAATAATTCATGGATTTCTACTACCTCCAGGAAAAAAAAGCCTACACTTCTTCCAGTGGGTCTGAGACCCTCCCTGATTAGTACCAGCCTCCCTCTCGAGCCTCTTCCATGTTCATCCCAGCAAGCCTCAGTTAGAGACAAATAGAGCATTTGTCTATTCCACAGGTAATGCCTTTCTGTTAGTCAGAAATGCTACTTTACACCTTTAGTTTGTTGAAACGCTACTCATTTTTCAAGGCATAGCTTAAAGGTTAACTCGTAGAAAAAACTTTTTCCCCAAATGCTATCACTGAATTGAACTGTTCTGTGTGTCCCTGAAGTTTGCACACCCCAAAGGTTTAACACAGTGCTTTGCACAATTAATAGCTTCCAAGAACTTTTTTGACTGAATTCCCATAGAATTAATTTCGAAGTAGAATAAAACCTACCAGGTGCAAAGTCTGGTTCAGTGTCATTAGCACTATCACCATCACTGCCTTCCAGAAGAATCTTCCTCTGCTGTGCTGCAGCTTTAGATGCTGCTTTTCTTTTCCCTTGAACACCACCAACATCATCTTCCACAGTAATCTTATCCAAATCTTCAGGAGAGGCATAAAAATCAATGGAAAACTTTCTGTGACAACTGATATTTCAAGAACTGCAGACCAGACTCTATTACAGCTATTGTTTTTATTTGCCCAGGTTCATCCCTCCCATGCTTCCAGTAATAGACTATTAGCCCAATCTGGGTCAACCATGGTACATCAGTGCCCTGGGAACACCTCTAGTTTTAGGGATAAATCCAAGACCCAAACAGAGATAATCTTTCCCCCAAAATTTTCAAACTAGAATTGGGAATATGCAGCCCCTTTCTTCAAAGGTCAGTTGCTCCAACTAGAAGCCACGGGTAGTTATGACCCTTCAGGGAAGAATGTGTGTCTGCAGTACGACAGAATGAGACTAAAACACAAAGAAATAAAGGCCATGACATCAAGAGAGTCTTGACAAATTTAAAGAACTTGCTTCTAGCCACAATTTCAGCAATTTAAACAAAAGTCAGAGAAACAGCATTGTTGATGAGAAAAATTATTAATATAAAAAACTTACCTAAATAATCACTGGCTACACTGCAATTAGAGATATGAGGAGACTTATTCATTGTTTCTATTTTACTACTGCCATGTTTTTCAATGCCTAAATATAAGGAATAAGAAAGAAAATTCAGATATATCTTAATCAATGTCTAGATATAGGAAAATTAGTACTAAAATGTAATAGCATTTAGATATAAATAAATGATCCCAAACTCCAACTGGCACAATAATTTTATTCAGAGAGGTTAACATATGGTTAGAAGTCTGGGCTCTGAAATCTAACATGTTTAAATTCAGGCTCTACCATGTAAACTGGCTATATGACCATGGGCAAGTTGCTTATCCTAAGACTGAATTTCCTCATCTATAATGTGGAGATAAAAATAGTGTCTTACCCAGTGGTATTACAGAAGACCAAATGTGGATCTCACATAGGAATTGCTTATTATTGTGCCTAATATACAGGAAATGGTCAATAAACTATCAATTCTGTGTAGGCAAATCCATGCTTTTACTAACGTTAAGAACTCTCCAATCGTTATAATAACCTTAAAATGACCCAAAGCATTCTAAGAGGACTTTAAGACATAATAATTGGTACTATTAAATTCCAATGCTATAAGGTGCATTATTTAATAAGAAATGGTATAATATTAATACTTCTAAGGAACTCCCCTTATACATTCTACAATGTCTTAAAAGAGAGAGATGAATTTCAGTGCCTCCATTTTAAATGTAATTCATGATAATTCTCTTTTGATGTTTCTTTGATTCTTGGTTACTAAAAGTCTTCCTAATCAAACTTTCATTTCTTTTTAAAGAGGAGGCAGCCAGATAAGGTGGCTCTCGCCTGTAATCCCAGCACTTTGGGAGGCTGAGGCAGGAGGATTGCTTGAGGCTGGGAGTTTGAGGGCAGCATGCGCAACATAGTGAGACCCCTCTCTACAAAATAAAAAATTAGCCAGGCATGGCGGCACATGCCTGTAGTCCCGGCTACTCAGGAGGCTGAGGCAGGAGGACTGCTTGAGCCTAGGAGGTCAAGGTTGTATTGAGCCATGATCATGCCACTGTATTCCTGCCTGGATGACAGAGAGAGACCCTGTCTCAAATAAATAAATAAATAAGGAGGCAGTACTGATTTAAGAAACAAAGAAAAAAGCTCCATGTATACCCCTAAATAAGATAATAAGCTAAAATATCCCCCAACATAAAAACTTTAAGCCAAAAAGCATTTTAGCAGTAGAGTATCTTTTTCAGGAATAATGATTTCTGCCTCTCTAGAATATTAATATATTGCCAGAAAAATCAAAGGAGAAAATCAACAGAGAAATCCAAAAGCCATTCTCTTAAGTCTACTGAACTTGCTAACCAAATTAATACCTTTGACCTTTGTAAGTAATAAAAATTACCATAATTAGGGTATGTTTAACTGATCTGGAAAAAATGGAGATGGATTGTTAGGACTGTACAGATCAAATCATTTGATGAAGAAATTAAATGTTCACTGTACAACAACATATAATTCGAACACTGAGGCTCACAGTCCGTGCCCTCAAGCTTATTCTGGGTGTTAAGCAGAGATGTATGTCTGTTTGTATGAGATTTAGGCAGCTGAATTAAGAACTAAATCCAATCGTATTCTCTGCAAATGGGTCTATTTATAGTGCAAAGTATTCACATTTTACCTGTTTCCTCTGTGAAGGCCCACCCAAACAAATAATCACAAAAGCATTAAGAAGGTTTTAAAGCTAAATATACAGAAAATAAAGTTACTTTTATCTTGAGAGTTCTGCACATTAGTGGTGACTGTTGGAAGTTCCTTCACTGATAAAGCTAGTGCAACTTCTAAGTCTCTCTGGTAGAGCTTGTCATCTAAAGCCATCCTAAAATAGATACACAAGTAATAATGAGTTCTTCAAAATATCAATCTCAACTAAAGAGCAAAGTTTGAGATTTCTCCAAATTACTATTCAAGAGTTGCTAACTTCGCAAAAATGTTTTTAAACAATCATCATTAATAGACCTTTGATGATAAGATAAGACTCCTAAAATGTCACAGTATCATGTTACATACAGAATAAGAGGTTTGAAATAGGAGGACCATGTGCCTCTTTGCAATGACTGTTCCCTTTCATTGTAATGTGTCACCTTACTACCAGCTGTGTCCAGGTGGGAAACACCCTACTCAACCCAAAACAGACTTGGTTCAAACATCACTTCCACTTAAAACTCTTCCTTGACCTCACCCACTCCCCTTTAGCAGATTTTATAGCTCTTACATTAAATTAAAATTATTATCATTTTTTTACATCTCTTCCTCCCAATCCAGACTTTAACAAATATTTTACCAAGCACTTACTTTGTACAAGGCACTGCACTAGCTGGAATACTAAAAGTACCTTCAGGGAGTCTGCAATTAAAGGAGGAGGGTGGGGAAACAAGACATGCTAATAATTATCCTATAAAAGGCAGACTATAAAGTCCTATTCAAGCTGCTCAAAAGTGCTATGGAGTATAAGAGGAAGAAAACGTCAAAGACAGATAAGGAAAAGTTACATAAAGGAAGAAGCACTGAGATGTACCTTAAAGAATTTATTTTTTTAGAATAACAGTTTTCTTAAGATATAATTCACATATCATAAAGTTTACCTTTTAAAGTAAACAATTCAGCAGTTTTTAGTACATTCACAGAGCTGTAAAACCACCAACACTACCTAATTTCAGAACATCTTTATTACCCCAAAAAGAAACCCCATACCCATTAGCATTCACTTCCTGTTTACCCCTCTCCCCTCCTAGCAACCATTAATCTGCTTTCCGTTTCTATGGATTTGCCTATTCTGGACATTTCATGCAAATGAAATCATGTAATATGTGACCTGTATATCTGGCTTCTTTCACTCAGAATGATGTTTCCAAGGTTCATCCATATTGCAGTATATATCAGTTATCAGTTGTCATTTCTTTCTATGGCTGAAAAATATTCCATTTTGTGGAAACCACATTTTACTTATCCATTCATTAGCAGATAGACATTTAGATTGCCTCCATTTTTTTTTAGCTATTATGAATAATGTTGCTGTGAACATTCATGTATGGGTTTTTGTGTGGGCATATGTTTTCATTTCTCTTGGATACATACATAGGCTGGGTCATGTAATAACTCTGTTTAACATTTTGAGGAACTGCTAAACCATTTTCCAATTTAGCTGCACCATTTTACTTTCCCACCAGCAATATATGAGGGTTCAAATTTCTCCACATTCCTTGTCTTTTGTATTAAGTCATCTAGTGGGTGTGAAGTATTATCTCATTCTGATTTTGATTTGCATTGCCCTCACAGCTAATGATATTGAGCATCTTTTCATGTGTTTATTGGTTATTTGTTTATCTTCTCTGGAGAAAGTCTATTGAAATCTTTTGCACATTTTAAATTGTGTTGTTAGTCTTTTTACTGTTGAGTTTTACGAGTTCTGTGTATACTCTGGATACAGTCCCTTATCAGTTATCTGATTTACAAATATTTTCTCCCACGTGTGGGTTCCTTTTTCTATATATTTAAAATGTAATACAAGAAACTCACAAACAAAAACCAAAAAAAAGAAAAGCAAAAAAGAGCATGACATGAGGTAAGTTTCTCCAGGCTAACTCACTTTTCATAGAGAAACTTGTGGCAGTAAAACATTATATATGCCATGTTCCATTTGTTAATATTCCCCTTCCGCCCATCTCTTCTCCATACTGCAAGTTTTGGGTCTCTAAGGACTTCCTTCACTCCTTTCTGCCTCTTGATACTATCTAATGGAATTCCACGGTTAGTCTAGAAACTATGGGAACTTCTCACTGCTGGATAAATCTTAACAACATGGGGAGAAGACATCTTTTTCTGCAAGAAAATACATGGTTTTATATTTTAAAAACTGTCCTCATATTAAGTCATCTTGTGTCTTAATCATCTTAAGTCATCTAATGTCATTTTTAACAAAGTAGTCTCGTATGATTTGAGGAATTCAGAGATAAGTGCTGGGTCCTGTCAAAACCAGTCATAACTTCTGAATTCTACAATCATTATTGTCTTAATATTTAATGATACTTCCTTGAATGTTTGTGAATTTCTTTAAGTCAGAAAGCCAGAAAAAAATAGTACGTCCTGTTTTCTGACTGCACCTAGTAAAATAAGACCTATGACTCTGCCCAAGTTCTAATTTAAATCAAGGGTTCGAATCTGTGTCTCTTTAAAATTAACACATCTAATGTCATATATTTACTGCATGTCTTACCTCTCACCTTTTTTTAGGGGTTTTCTCTTGTACTGGGATTTCTTCTTTCCGGAGATTGTTCAAGTTAGGTTTTGGTTTATCTTGTTTTAACTCCTTTGGTGCTGTTCTGGATTTCTTGTTTAAAGGTACAGTTGCAGAAACAAAATCATCTATTCATGTGTGAATTAAAACCAAAAGAAAAATATTATTTTCTTCATAAATGAAAATCATTACCATGTGTGTTCAAGTTTTTATAGGCTAGGCAAATTGTTTAATTTCCACAATTTAAAAATCATTGTTAGTATTTTGTTTATCTTTACTCTCATTTATCTATTTCGACTTTTGTTTTTGTGCCCTTTATATTTAAAAATATCAGTCTATCAAAAACCAATTCACTAAAAACTGCAAAAGCAATTAAGACAGCATATAAGTGTCAAAGAAAAAATGATTAAAAACCTGTAAAACCATTAGAAAAATTGGTAGAATTTAATCACATTGAAAAGTGGAAATAAATTATTTTTATGGGAACTTCACAATGTAGCCAAATATCTTTTTTCAAAGCCCATTACTTGGGCCAGGCACAGTGGCTCACACTTGTAATCCCAGCACTTTGGGAGGCCAAGGCGGGCAGATCACCTGAAGTCACGAGTTCAAGACCAGCCTGGCCAAAGTGGTGAAACCCTGTCTCTACTAAAAAATACAAAAATTAGCCAGGCATGGTGGCGGACACCTATAATCCCAGCTACTCAGGAGGTGAGGTGGGAGAATCGCTTGAACCTGGGAGGCAGAGGTTGCAGTGAGCCAAGATCGCGCTGTTGCACTCTAGCCTAGGTGCAAGAGTGAGACTCCGTCTCAAAAAAAAGAGAAAAAAAAGCCCATTACCTATTCCTAGTACATTAACCATGCTAGAGGAAATAAGCATTATGGGGGGAAGAGAAAGTAGCTCCTATTTGAGGATTTTTACAATAGTAGTATTTTCTCTTTCCATTACCATAATGATCTTCCTAAGATCCTACCAAAGTAACTTCTTATTTTCTTGCAAAAGGATGTTCTTTTCCAGTCCATTACTGTTTCTCACAGGTTTTTCTGTCTTACCAATCCTCTGAACTGTTGTAGTTCTACTCTTGACTGTCAACGTAAAACTACTGCTGTGGCTTTTCCACATGTATACAACACATATATGCATACTTTCAGGGTCTATGCAGTCTTCATCACATACTCAGCAAGCACTAATACTTGTTGTCTCTTATATGCTTCCCCATGTAAAAATAAGATAACTTAGGACTCCCCCCACCTACTACTACACACCTGGCAATTTATAAGTATCTGATGACAGACTGATGACAAAAAAAAAAAAAAAGCTAGATGTTATACTCTACACTCTTTTTCCCAAGTGGTAGATACAGTTAAGGCTGTGCTCAAGGCAAAAACAGATTCCTTCAAACCGAAGACTTACTAAATATTTGACTTACAGAAAACTCTAGTGGTCTAAGAAAGAAATATTAAATCCACTTCAACATATAACATAATCTAATGCAATGTTCCTCAAACTTTTCAATCATAGCAGAGTCAAGTAAACATATGACTAATGCTTAAAAGGCATAACATAAGCCTAACCTTTCTTCAAGGTCTTGTTTTATAGTACAATTAATAGGGATTTTATATAATATGCTGTAACATCTTTGTATCTCAAAAAGACAGTGTTTTCCTTCTTCAGGGATGGAATAGGAGACAAACCTCTATGTTGCAACTATGGACTTTAGAGTAGTTTAGATCTAAAGAGACTTTTCACCTGGCCTGTTCATTTATCACCTACTAACATAATTTTTATCAGTATAATTATCAGCATAATTATCCCAAATGATTAGAAAACTATCTTTCCAGACCTACCTCATATGCATTTGGGCAATTTAGTCAGTGTTTGAGCTATATATGTCATATAAATTCCGAGGAAATGAGTTTCCAAATCTTTAGAACAAAAATAAGAAGCTTTACTTACCATCACTGTCAGAGTGGTCAAACTGTGAGTAATTGACTGGTTTCTTATGTCTATGACCAAAACAGAATTTTTTCATTAACACAAATGTCAATTTCTCACCACTATTACTTAAGGCTATTAATGAATATTATTTATTTATTTAATATTATTCATTTATTAATAAATAATGAATAAACGAAATAAATAAAAATGTGTTAAATGAAATGTGTTTCAATAAATGAAAATGTGTTTGGGTTCAAGTAAGAATATTTAACTCTAAAACATGATTTGCATTTTACCGCGGGGATTTATCATTAGCTAAAATAGTTACAACTATACCTGATATACCTGGGTATTGTTGGCTTTTCAATTATATGATAAAGGAAAAAAATTCAGGTAACTTACAAAGAATAATCTACATAATTAACATTTATAATTGCTATACTGTTTAATTGCTGTTGGGCATTTGTAAGTTCCCGTTGTACGTGTTCTTCTGTTTTGTGTGTGCATTCTATCTTCCTTACTAGATTATAAATTTCTTGACACTAAAAGCTACTTTCTTTTCAATCTCTCCACCATACCAAATAACATTTTTATGCAACGGACACTTAAAAATGGTGAGTGACCTTGTTCCTACCACCTGAGATGAGTATCCCTTATCTGAAATGCTTGGAACCAGAAATGTTTTGAATTTTGGATTTTTTCAGATTTTGGAATATCTGCATTATATACTTACCAGCTGAGCATCCCAAATCTGAAAATCTAAAATCTGAAGTGCTCCAATGAACATTTCCTTTGAGTGCCATGTAGGTACTGCAAAAGTTTCAAATTTTGGAGCATTTCAAATTTGGGATGCTCAACTTGTACTACTTCAGAGGGCATTAGAAGAAAATGATATTCAAAGTGAAAAAAATAATTTTTTCCTCCCTCCTCTAGGCACTAAATAAAATGTTTTTCTAGTTTTTATTTCTATATTTTTGTCAAATGGCTAAATGTGAATAACCTAATTTGTCAGCTGGTTGTTCTTTCAAGTAAAAAGAATGTTCTATGAAAAAGAGGTAGTAAGCTCAGCTCACAACTCAGACAATCTCACAAGTGCTTTTCCTTGAGATAACTATCACGCATCAGTATACAGAAGTGCTTTATGTGTACTTCCTGTTTCCTCACGCAAACTATTAAAAAGTGCACTCATATTACTCTCTTACTCTTCAGAGTTAAAGAAGTTAGAGCTGAATAAAATGTGAAAACCCCTTTATAAATTCTGAACTTGAATAATAGTAAAATAAAATCAATAGCCTATTTTTAATTAGTATACTTAAGGGTTAAGCTATGATGAATATAATAATTTCCACTACTTCATCAAGCATATTCTTAACTGAAATGATTTTTTTTTTTTTTTTTACTTTTAAGAGTATGGCAGTAAACATTGCAAAGACTAGTAGTACAATTTAGTGCCACTGCCTTAATTGTTCTGAGGTGCCAGCAGTTTTATCGGGGTCACTGCAGTGCAAATGACAAAGCAGCGAAAAAGGCAAATCATATCTTAGTATTGTTATGAAAGGAGTTTTGACCTCATAGACCTCTAGAGAAGTTTCCAGGGACCCACAGAGGTCTGTAGACCATACTTTAACAACTGCTGTTCCTTACAAAGGGATTATGACTCCACTGCCTGGATGCTTAAAACCCATTTCAAATTCAGCATGTTCGAAACAGAAATCTTGATCCCTCACACCTCCTAACCTTCCTTTTCCTAGTCTTCCCTATCTTAATACAAAGATCATCCATCCTGTAGCTCAGACCAAAACTATTGTGGAGTCATCTCTGATTCTTTCTTTCCCTTACCTGTACATCTACTTCATCAGCAAGTTCTGTCCACAGTGCCTCCGAAATACATCCCAAATTCATCTGTTCCATTCCATGCCCACTAATAATACCCTATCCCAAACCGCTCTCCAATGATATAATACCTGATTTTCCTGCTCCCGTTCTGGTCACCCTATCCATCATTTATTCTCCACCAACAGCCAGTGACCTTTATAAAAGCAAACTTAGATTCCTCTCCCCTACTTAAAACCCTCCACTGACTTCCCATTGACTTAAAATAAAACCTAAACTCCTTTCTAAGACTTACAAGACCCTATCTGTTCTGGCACCTGCCTATTTCTCTGGCCTAATCCCCCTACGATTCTCCCCACTGCTTGTTAATCCTATAGCATTAGACTGTCCCTAAAATATGGTCAAGTATGGGGCCTTGGCTCCTATTCCCTCTACCCTGATTCATGACTCAGTGCATGCATTATCGCCTCAGAGTCACATATTAACTACTATATTTAAAGTAGTGCTTTCCTCTTTCGCACTCTCATATTTCGAGGCTTATTTTCGGCCCCCTAACCTCACCTCCCACTGGAATGTAACCTCCAGCACCTCGTACACTAAAGAAGTGAATATATTCAATAACTTTATTAAATGAATGGCTAACTATAGGCTTCCATGGCACTCAACTGTGTAAATAGAAGAATCGTTTCTAATACCACGATGGAAAGCACAGAGGATCTTGAGTGAGATGACTTAGGTTTGAGTATTGCCCTGCCACTTACTGGGCTGTATGACTCAGATAACTTACCCTCTATACGTAGAAATGTTAAATCAATACAACAGGAATGCTTACTCTTTCTATATCAAATAACTACAGTGATAAACAAATAAAATAACACATAATTGGGCGCTCGGTGAAATGTAAAGCGCTGTTCAAACGCTAACAAGGTCTTGGTAAAAGAAACGGCGACGGTTGTGAAGGGAGGCAAAGAGAAGGAAAAAGCTACGATGCTAGGATACTTCTGAGCAACGGGTGGCTCTCACTGGAGACTGGGTTCTTGATAACCGTCCATCCTAACCCCACCATCGCTGCCCTCCGGTCTTACTCGATCCTTTCCCCTTAGTCTCATGTCTTTTCCCTTAGTTTTCCTCCCACCCCCGACGAATGTCAGGAACTACCCACCTCACAGGCCGCACCATGGTCCCTTTCAAGGCTTGGTATTTACAGTTCTCAAATTCTTGTTGGCTTCAGCGGCGGTTTCAATTCCCGCCCAAAACCAGACTTCGGAGCCCTCCGCCCCCTGTTACCAGTCGTCCAATCATCACCAGCCATGCTTGCGGCGGCGCACGCGCTGTGGGGAAAGCGAATTTGCTCCCGCCCTCCCCAAGGCACCGCTTTTCCGTATCCGGTCCACCAGAGCCGAGTTTGTGCTTTGTCCCTGCACTTTCGTCACAACGGCGGATTTGCCCTGTCTCTGAAATACAGAATAACAATAGAAATACACCTTATTGCACCTTTCAAATTGTTAAATTGAAACAGGTTGGGACATAGGGGCACTTGGACTGAGAAATTTTCTACAAGATGCCAGGAAATAGAAAAGGATGTGGCGAATCTACGTTCGCGGATCCGCGGTGTGGAAAAAGTATGTCGGCAAGTCAGCTGGTTTCCCAGTGCAGGACGCGCTGACAGCTCGAGTGAGCGGACTGCCCAGGACTTCGGAACTAGACGAGGTGAGCCCAGAACCGAGTGAGGATGCCCTTTCAGACTGACAACCGTTACAGAGGGATTAGTCCCCTCACCCGGCTGAAGTTTCTCAGCTCGACCGTCTGTCTTCCTTTTCCCTGATTAATGTGAGCCTCAGAGCCTCCGCTCTGTTGGCTGTGTGTGTTCGGTCCAGACCTTCCATCCCATTTTCTTATGGGAAACCTTCCTGGATTTCACGGTTGCTAAAACTGAACCCAGGCTTCAGGATAGACCATTAGTCTAAAAAAAGAGCGAGAGGAGAAAGAACTAAAGTTATCAGTTTCTTGAAACACAAGTCTAAATGTTGAACCAGAGCTTTTGTGTCTGCCTTCTCTTTTTTTTTTCAACATTCCTGATTCATTCATATTTTTGCATTTATCAGTGGTTGATTCTTTTTTATTGCTGTGTAGTATTTATCTCATAAAATAAACAAGTTTACTATTCTCCTACTAATACGCATTTTGGTTGTTTCCAGTTTGGGGTATTATAAATAAAACTTATATGAGCATTCTTCTGGGTGTACTTTAGCGAACATATGCGTGTGTGTGTATTTGGATATATACTTAGGAATGAAATTTCTACATCATAGAATATACCTTTATGTAGTTTTGGTAGTTTTCTAACATTATAAAAATTTGTATTGCTTTACGTTTAATTTTAATTCTTTCTGAGTAAAACAAATACCCTATCTCTTTGCATTATGGTGAAATAGACGAAGATTTTTGTGTATAGCCTACATACAGATTTGAAAATATAGTCTGGATAATTCAACTTAGCCCCGCCCCACGACATGTACAAAAGTCCTTTGAGTTTTTTTTATATTTCAGGTGATATCTTTTTAAATAACCGTATGAATAATTTTTTGTTCTTTATTTTTCCAGTGAGCACCATAAAATAAAAACGCCATACAATCCAACAATTATTTATTAGTTCTTGCCATTCGCAACATCCTGCCTAATACATGGAATACAAGACAGTATTCCTTCCACTTCAAGAAGACTGTTTTCTAGCCAAGAGTAAGAAATAGAGCGTGATAAGTGCCATGATTCAAATAAGTCTAGGCTAATATGAGAGCCTGTCGGGACCCAATCCAGTTTTAGGGAGTTGGATAAGTCTTCCTAGAGGCTTAACTGAGACCTGAAGAATTAGCAATTGTTATCCAATGAAATTAAGATCAGTAAGAGTGCTCTAGGCAAAGGAAAAGGCATTCAAAAAGATTCGGCATGGAAGGAGAAGTTTGGTGTTGACAGAAGTTCAGAATGGCTGGAAAATAAAATTTGTGAATTTGTGTATTAGGAAGGAGAGGTGCAGTTTCTGAGAGAAGAGTGGAAATATAAGCAGGGGTGTTGTAAACTGGGATAAAGAGTTTGCATTTTATCCTGAGAGCAATGGAATGTCATAGAAAGTTTTTAAGCGGATGAACAACATGATCAGATAAGTATATTCCTTTTTTAAAAAGGAAGATTACTATAACTTCAGTGTAGAAAATAATGTAAGAACTGATTTGATGGGAGAAAGCCTAGCCATAGGAAGTCCAGTTACAAGGCTGATGAATAAATAAATCTTTAATTGATGTTGATTCTTACTGCCTTTAACTAGATTTTCTTCTTCCTTAGTAGTGTCTAGTTTGCCTTTGGGGTGTGGGCCGGAAGTGGAGGTCCTGTACTCTCTCTTTTCTGTGTATCTTCTTCCCACATGGAAATCTTTCTAACACTTTCTTACTCCCCTTCCCCCAGTCGGATCTCATGACCACAACCTCTAAGTTCTCCAGGATCACTCCTTGGTCCCTGATCTGCTTCTTTGACTTTCTTTTTACCAACGGTTTCTTAAGCTTTGTATTTCCCCACCCATGAACTCTCCCTAAGAATTCTCTCTGCTCTTCTCTCCATGGTCCTTCCCTATTATTGAGAACCCTGCCTTGGAATATAAAGTACTTTATGGCCATAATTTTTTTTCTTAAATCAAGTTTAAAACAAAGTGTCTTTTTTTTTTTTTTTAAAGAAGCACTTTGTTTTCATCATGAAGATGGAAGTACAGGGATAAACACTTGGGAAAAACTAGAATAATTGGCTCATAGACAAAATCTCTTGAATGGTGGAATGTTTTCTTAGAAATGGGACAGCAATAATGAAACATAATTTCTTTATGGACTTATAACCTACTGCTTTTTTGTTAGTTCTGTAGAAATCCTGTCAAAGAATATGAAGAAAAACAGAGAAAGATTCTGCAATAGAGAGAGAGAATTTGTATATAAATTTAAAGTAGGAAGTCAGTGCTTAGAACTGAGAGTGCCACTCAAATTTCCTGTTCAAGAGAATGCCAGTCATTTGCATGGACGTCTGATGCTGCTGCACAGTTTACCGTGCTTTATAGAAAAAGGTGAGGACTGTTTTTTTTTTTAAGTAACACCACTTTATTAGTTTCAATAGTCTGTCATTGGAAGTTTCATATTAGAAAGCATAAACCTAAGAAGCTTTGGAAACAGCCATAACATAGGAACTGATTCCAAGAATAAAAACATTTCTCCAGAGCTTTCTTTTATTGAGTGTTTTTTCCTATAAGTGGTAGTTGTTTATAAAATATAAAAATTAGATTTTATAATGAAAAATTAGCTACAAAGTTTGGAATTAGAGGAGCTCTTCTGAATTTAGTTGGGTGAAGTTATAAGGCAGTTTAGCTATCGCTAATTGTGCTAATAGAATTATAGTGCTAAATTGGTTGCCCTTTTAATAATCTGGTCATTAATTTCTGAGATGCCATAGAACAGAAAGTGTACTAATTTTTGAATAGTCTTTGCTTACCTAAATTAGTTTTATAAAGTTAGATGTATTAAACCATTTTTAAAGGTCTGTGCTCTATCTCACAGTCTAGGAAAAATTTAAAATTCAGAATATGTTAGATCACAGGTTAGAGTTATAAGAGAACCTAGAAACTTTATAGCCCAATCACATTGTACAAACAAGGAAACTGGAACATAAAGAGGTTAAATTATTTACCCTAGGCAGTGGTTCTTGAAATATGGTTTCTAATCATTTAGCAGCAACAGCATCACCTGCAAGCTTGTTAGACATGCAAATTCTCGGGCTGCATCCCATTTCTGCTGAATCAGAAACTAGGGTAGCATGTGGCAGTCTGTTTAAATAAGGCCTCCAGGGGTTTCTAATGCACACTTAAGATTGTGAACCACAGTCTAAAGTCGCGAACATAGTGATAATAATAGAGCCAAAGCCAGAACACAGGTGTCCTAACTTCTCTCTCAGTGCTCTTCCGTTATATCATTCTCTAAGTGGTGTCTGTAAAACTGAAATCGGTCAGTCATCTAAGTTAAATGTGTTAATAAGCTAGTCATTTAACTTCTCTTTCAAAGGATGTAACAATGTACCCTTTAAAGTTACATGGAAAACTCTTTTTAATGTAAATACAGTAATGTTCAGACCTTCAAAATCTGTAGCATTTTCTTTATGTCCTTATACCCACTTGGCTTCAAACTGAAATATCAGGCTTAAGAAAGTAACATTACTTTATTAGTATCAAGGGAATACGTAAGAGTTAAGACTTTTGACCTTTCTCTATGCAATAGCCTGTAATAGTAAAGGAAAATAATCATGAAATTAGTTAAATGATCCCCTAAGCTGATTTCATTTTAGTTGGAGATTCTATTAAGAGTATCAGCTTGATAAAATAAAATTTCATGTCTGGGCAAGGTGGCTCACACCTGTAATCCCAGCACTTTGGGAGGCTAAGGCAGGTGAATCACTTGAGCTGACGAGTTCAAGACCAGCCTGGGCAACATGGTGAGACCTATCTTTACCAAAAATACAAAAATTAGCCATGCATGGTGGCATGCACCTGTGGTCCCAGCTACTCGGGAGGCTGAGGTGGGAGGATCACTGGAGTCCGGGAATTCAGGGCTGCAGTGAACTGTGATCATGCCACTGCACTCCAGCCTGTGTAACAGAGAGAGAGACCCCATCTCTAAATAAAAAATAAAAATTTAACAATAAGATTTCACATTGGAATTCTCAGCCAAGTAAAATGTTCCCTATTTATACCTGGATTTTGCTGACGATGGTGTTTGATGTCCCTGTAACAGACTTAAAAGAAGCTCTGACTCAGTTTATAGAAGAAGAATCCCTCAGCGATTATGATAGAGATGCTGAAGCATCCCTGGCAGCTGTGAAATCAGGTGAAGTAGATTTACATCAGCTGGCGAGTACATGGGCCAAAGCTTATGCTGAGGTAAGAAAATAGGTCAGATTGTAAATTTCAAGGATATTCTGGATTTTGGTGAAAATTTTTAAAATGCTGTGGTAATCCTGAAATCGTTATAAGATCCTTTTTCTCCACATACAATATTCTATAATGTATATGTTGCTGCTTCTGTGCTTCCTATATCAGGGTGAGCACATAAGACAAAATGCTATTTATGTAATACCTTTGTAAAACAAGAGGCTACTTGCATATATCTCACCAGCACAGGGTCTCCAGATTTAGTAATTAAAAATATAGGACACCCAGTTAAGTTAGAATTTCAGATAAATGAATATTTTTTAGTATATCAACATATTACATGGAACATATTTATACTAAAAAAAATTGTTCACTATTTATCTGAAATTCTAATTTAAGTGAGTGTTCTGTGTTTTATCTGGCAACCCTAAATCAGCAACAGCATTCATGTAACCTTTGGTTTACTTTTATAAACTTATCTTCATTATTGTTGTGTAGTCACATCATATCATTTTCTATTTAAATAATATACCCTGTTTCATAAAGTCTAAGATGCCATTAGGTATATCACAAATGATTTTATTTACTAAGAAAGAGCACTGCAAATTAAACTATGAGAGAATGCCAAGATGACATCAAGTATAAGAGGCAAAGAAAAGACTCAAAAATATCCATTGTATTTATCAAGTAATCTTGTCTGTGGCAAGATCAGTTTCGGTAAGTTGGTGGTGGTGGAAATGAGATTTCACTGACTCTAAGCATGTGGGAGTGTGGAAATAGGAAGAATTAGTATACTAACTGAAGAAGTTCGAATATAAAGAGGTGAAGGATGGGGCACTGGCTAAATGGGAACACAAGGTCAGAGGTTTGTTTGTTTGTTTTTTAAGGCGGCAAAGTTTAGGACTAGAAGGGATAGAATCCAGAACTCAAATGGAGAATTAATCATAACTGGGAAGACAGATGCTTCTCCACTTACAGCCAAAGAGAAGCAGGAAAGGTTGGATATAAATTCAGATAATTTTATTAATTTGGTAGCAGGAAGTTGAGAATATTCTCTTCTGAGTGTTTCAACTTTAAGGAAAGACAGGTTATTTGTTTAGATGAGGCAGTAGGTATAAAAAGATTGTTGGATATTTAAGGAGAAAACCGAGCAGCGAATGATAGGATTGCCAGGCATCATTGAGGCCAAGATTAAGAGTGGCACCAGTTTGTCACCATAAACTTTATAGAGTTTTGTGATTTTTCTGCTACAGCTCTCTAAAGCCCGACTGCAGGCATAGAGAAGAGGAATAAGATGAGGGTTTTGTTAGGTGGGTAATATAAGGTACATCAGTCAAGGGAGTTGAGGATATCGGCAAGACAGTGGTTGAATGCTAGATCACAAAATGTAAGCTACATAGGGAAAGAAGTGAAGCTAAGTGGCAGTTGATGGCTGATTTAAAAAAAAATGAAAACATTGAGAAACTTATGAAGTGGAGGTCCTGATGAGGTTAAATATCAATTACCTGGGGATTATTGAGCGAGAAATCTTGGGTGGAGGTTGTAGTCAGAGACTAGAATGTTTGAATACTGACGGACTGAGTTTCTGGTGAGGATACTAAATGGATGGCTGAGGTGGTGTGGAGAACTAGTAAATGTTGCAGGTAAACGATGACTATCTGGGCTGGTGGTACAGGGGTAAAAGAATTTACCAAGACAGTTGTAGATAAAGAAAGGTAGGTTTATTAGAGAAAGTAGGAAAATATGTTGCGAGGAGGCAATGGGCAGGCCAACAGAAGAGAAGCTGACTTCAAGGAAACAAAGGCTTGCTGGAGATTTTATAGGACAGCGTTTATGCTGTATGCTGTACAGTGCTGTGTGCAGTACTGATAACCCCAAGACTGCAGTGAGCTGCAGTCTTGCAGCTATCTTGCAGGTGTCTGGTGAAAGGTGAGTGCAGGAGGGCTACGTGGCCTGGACCAGGGGTGTCCAATCTTTTGGCTTCCCTGGGCCACACTGGAAGAAGAATTGTCTTCGGCCACACATAAAATACATTAACATGAGGGATAGCTGATGAGCTAAAAAAAAAAAAAAAAAAAAATTCACAATTTATGAATTTGTGTTGGGCGGCATTCAAAGCCATCCTGTGCCACAGGTTGGACAAGCTTGGTCTGGACCATGAGGAAAGGCAGACTTATAGCTTATCTGCTTTCTCTTTTTGCTTTCCCCTGGTCCTGCCAGCCTGATTCCTTTTCCCTAATTGGGACTCCACAGTAAAGATTGTAGAGTTCGGGAAAGTAAGAAGGCAGTGCCTTGGATGGGTTTCCACATGGATATCCAAGTAACCCAGGTTGATGGCAGGATGTGGGGCAGAGAGGAATTCTTTGAACTTGGTGCCAAAGCTTTACAGGAATGAGGGTGAGTGACAGACAGGTAGGTTGTTAGATAATGATGGCCATGAAAGATAAGGGGTGCTGAATGGTTTGAACCTCAAAGAAGTCAGGCGTTATGCCTGAAAGTGGAGGTGGAGAAATAATGGCCTGGACATTGAATCGCTTTCTCTCTGCAGTCACTTCCTCAGTGCCCCATTCCTCTCAGCCGTCCCAGTCCCCTTTCTAGTAGCATCTGTCCTGAGGGAGTGGCGTAAATTAGGTCAAGGAAAAACCTATGCTTAGTTCTTCTCACGTAGGTATCTTCTACCTATTCATAAAGCTTCCCCTAGGCTGAGTTTAAAATTAATGCTGCAGATTTTTGTAGTTAGATGATCTGGTAGTGGGGCTACTGAACATCTGGTGTTGTGTGTGGCCAAGCACATCCCTACAGTCTTACAGTAGCTCCTCCCTACAAAATTTCAACTTTGCCCTGAAGTGAATTTTAAACAGAAGTTAAGTCCCATAGGCTGGTTATAATTCCTACAGCAGTCGCACGTCTAAAGATGAACAGTTATCAGAACAGTTTTGGAGTTTCAGAGGCATAGAGTAGATGAAATCGTAGTTCTAGGTTCAGCTAGTCTCCTGCCTTTTGATGTGGCAACTGATTGAAGTGAAAGAGAACAAATTAGAAAAGTTTTCCTGTTGACTGACTGAGTTCAAGATAGCTGTTTATGTGATGTGTTTGTTTGTTTTAAGGTAAATTATTACTCTTAAGTCATATTATAAATTCCAGTTTTTAATATTTTCGTGGGTAAGAAAAGGGAAGAATTTAGTTTTTTTTTTTACAGGTATCTTTTGCAAAGATCTATAATGGAAAAAACATCAAAATCTTTGTTTTATTTCCACTTAATGCCATTAAGTCATATGATCTTTGACTTCTCAGTGTATCAGTTTCCTCCGATGAGTTGAGGAGGCAGCCCTTGGGATAGGCATCTGTACCTCCCTGGATGTATTCGTGTGTGCTGAGGGCATTCCCATTTTGTTTCTCCCTGTTTCTGCTTTTCTTGTCTATCAGCGTTTACTCAGTCCCTTCATCATTTTAATAGCTACCATTTTTATATCCTTAAAAGCCTGCTGATATTTTAAAAAGAAAATGTAACACTAGAAAAGGTCAAACTAAATGCATAATTACACATTTATCTTGATATAGGTATGCATGAATTTGGCTTTCATTCGCAGGTGACCACATAGGTCACCTTATTTTCTAAATATGTAACCTACTTTAACAGTATTTTTTTAATAATGAAAAGTTTTCTCTGATTATGTAACTAATGCATGCAAGTTATTTTACCATACAGTATGTTAGAATATAAATAAAGGCTATCAGAAATCCCACTGTCCTGAAATAGCCACCATTAGCATTTTGTTGATCATCTGTGTGTGTGTGATTTCACAGAAATGAGGTCACAGCATAAGCTTTTATTGTGGACACTTCCTATCCCTTCCTCCACATTAGTACCTCCTTCTCATTTCTGCTTCCGGGTAACTTATATTAAGAACTTAGTCTGTATCTCTCCACATTTTTTTTTTCTGTGCTTAGACAATCCTGTATAATACACACACATATATTTACACACACATATATATATAAGAGGGTCTTTCTGTCATTGAAGTGCAAAAATGGAATCATACATACTTTTCTAGTAGTGTGTTAAATAAAAATACTAGATCATGATTTAAGATTGTCTGTATATTATCTTGTAGACCACGTTAGAGCATGCAAGGCCTGAAGAACCCAGCTGGGATGAAGATTTTGCAGATGTGTACCATGACTTAATTCATTCTCCTGCCTCTGAAACTCTCTTAAATTTGGAACATAATTACTTTGTTAGTATCTCAGAACTGATTGGTGAAAGAGATGTGGAGCTGAAAAAATTACGAGAGAGGTATTTCAAATTTCTTGCATTATCAGAATTAAATGTTACGTTGTCAAATAGATGGCCTGCAGAACAACTTGTTTTTATTTTTTACAAAAAGGATAAGATAGAAAAAAAAACTTCAATATTAGAAATTAATTTTCTTGTATGTTTAAATGTGTAACTACAACTGGGAGGGTCCTCATAGGTTTATATACCTTCTGAGTGGTTTAACTAAGTAAATGATACTGGTGGGCCTTATATATTCTTATCTCTAATAAGAGGAATAGATTACTTCTGTTGAAGGTTTGTTTTGTTCCAGGCACTGTGCAAACTGCTTTGGATGCCCTATCTCATTTGATCTTTACCATAACCCTACTATTATTTCCATTTTACAGATGAAGAAGTTTTTGCTTAAATAAGTAACTTGTCCAAGGGCATGCTGGAATTTGAAACCAGGAAACCTGACTTCAGAACTGTTAACCACTGTACCATTCTGTCTCCCTATTCAGAACCTCTGTATTGCCCTGCTCTAACTATGACCATGGCTCTTTCAGTTCATTTTGTACGCTCAAGTACCTTAGAAAAAAATAATAACACTAGTATTGTTCCAAGAAATTGTAATTAGATTTGAATTCCTGCTGTATGGATTACTTAACACAGTATACAAACAATGCTTTTATTATTTATCTTTTCTTCAGAGTATGTAAAAAACTTCTAGCATTATTTATTTTAAAGTAATAAGTGGCTTCCCTGACTGCTTTCTAGTAACTCTATATAAATTGTGATAGGAATTCAGGATGTGTCCTTCTAGATAATCCATTGTAATTTAGCAGAATCTAATAATATTTATTATCTTAAAAACACTTATTTAAGACATTGGGTGTATATGCCATTAAGATAATAGTTTTAGTGTTGCTTTGATTGTGAGAGTATATTAGGACTAAATCACTTTTGTTTGTGTGTGTGTGTGTGTGTGTGTGTGTGTGTGTGTGTGTGTGTAACTGATTTAATAGTCCCAAAGGAGTAAATTTAAAAAGATGTGCTGGTTTGTTCCTGGTTCTCATTAGCTTCCCATTAGAATACAGTAAGGCTAGCAAGATGAGAATAATCTTTGGAGCATTGTCATGGTTAAGAAAATTTTAAGTACAGAAAAATAATAAGGAAATGTATTTAATAATTGTTCCTGAGGGATACTCTCTTCTGTGTACTAAATTAGCATATTTATTATATTGCATAGATTTGTAAATTTTCATAACAATTGTACTCCTCTGGACCACTTATTCTCATACTTTGTAAAATATTAGAATGATCTCTTTGTCAAAAAGAACATGCTGTTTTGAGATATTTGTCACTGTTTATAGGTTTGGTTTGTTGACCAGCTGTATTGGGGCAGTTTATTCCTTTTTGATGAGATACCTGCAGTGAGTGGTTGCCACTAGGTATATAGTTGAAACATATTTCCCTGGGGAAGACAAAATTTTTTTCTAGTTCTTTATTATGTAGCCCATAAAATTGTGAATATAGTTTAAAAAGAAGAACAAAATATAGAATTAGGTTTTTAAAAATACGTAAAAGTAGAATTACCTAATACTAATTAATTACTTTCTGTTGAACTTCATTTGTTTGATTTTTCCTCCTAGGCCTTCAAATAATATAACCTTCAAGTCATCCTGAATCTGTTATTAGCCGTCAGGTTTTCTGTGACTATACTCATTCTGCCTCTTTGGGTATATTGATAAATTCCCATTTTGGCTCCCTATACTTCCATTCCTAGTACTTTCATTGAGCTGTTGAGTGACTCTAACTTGCAGCATAGTTTGCTGCCTCTACCCCCTAGAAAACTATATATCTAGCCATTAATAGTCTATAATGCTTCCTTATTCTAAATCTGAAGATTTGTGTTCTACATGATTCTTCATCTTTTGGGAAGTTCAATTAACGTGCTAATTACCTGCATTTACTGGTATTCATACTTTTTTTTTTCATGGAATAGTTTTTTAGTAGAGGTTTGTTTTGACTTATTTTATTGTTTGAAATCATATTTGGCCATATTTCTTGATGGGGTTTGGCCTTCTTTTTTCTTTCTAAACATATAAATAATACTTGAATTCATCTAGTTTTAAAAGTTTTGTAATTTATTTTTAACCTGTCCAAACCGCTAGCTTGAAAAAGAAAAATAAGCTGTATTCCTCTGGTAGGTAATATTTATTGCAAAGGTGAACAGTATGACTTAAGGTAAGTTGAAATTCACTAGTGTCTGTGGAGGTTGACCCGAAATTTTGGTGCTTAATTTATTTATCCATTTCATGAGCAGAAGTGACACATTTTCTTATTTCATTTTAATGCCATTGTACATCTTTAAAAGACAGTTTCTCGGCACAGCATCAATAATACAAGTTATAATGATTTTTTTTCTTAAAGTATCTTCAAGATAATATATAGGTTGCCAGAGTTGTCACATCTCACATACTGAGCCAGGCTATATTTAGTATTTCATCTGAGACGTAATAAAATTTTCTTCTATCTTAATCATAGAAAAAATATATTGTATCATCAACTATATGATTAGCTAGTTGCCTTTTGGACATATTTAGGATGAAATAAATGTTCATGAAATTTTATTTGTTGAATTTCTGTCTGTCTTTTTCTTCACAAGAGATGTGCTCTTTTTTTAAGCAAACCAGATTCTAGATATTTCTTTAAACTTTAAAAATGGCAATGATACCTTTTATCCACTAGAGGGAACATGTGTAATGTAAAATAGTAATATATATTTATATCTGTTTGTATTTATAAATGGTTAGCAGTTATTTCTGTTTCTAAATAAGAATCTCACTTGCAAGCATAATTTTCATTTGACCCATAATAGTTATTAAAAGTTAATGGAGTCATCTGCCTTAGAACTAAGTGGGATTTAAGTGATATTGAATATTTACTACCAGAAGGTATATATAGAAATGTATATATGTGTAACTTGCTTGAATTTAATTTATCATATATATATATCTTAATCAGTGTTATAAATAAGTATAAATTCACCCTTTTTTTTTTTTTGAGATGGAGTCTTGCTCTGTTGCCCAGGCTGAAGTACAGTGACACGATCTCAGCTCACTGCAACCTCAGTCTCCTGGGTTCAAGCAATTCTCCTACCTCAGCCTCCCAAGTAGCTGGGATTACAGGCGCCCGCTACCATGCCCAGCTAATTTTTGCATTTTTAGTAGAGATGGAGTTTCATCACGTTGGCCAGGCTGGTCTTGAACTCCTGACCTCAGGTGATCCGCCCACCTCGGCCTCCCAAAGTGCTGGGAGTACAGGCATGAGCCATCGCGCCTGGCCAAAAATTCACTCTTAAGAGCAATTTACCTGAATTAACTAGGATGATAAAATCCTCTTAGTTTATATCTGTGTTTTGTTCTTTCCCAGTTTGTTAGAAATTTGTTTTAGAACAAACTTTTTGCATACATTTGTATTAGAAGATAATCTTTAATTTCAATTTTTTAAGTGAACTTATTTATTAAAATATAACATACACACAGAAAAGGCAACAAACTGTGGGTGTACAGCTCATTAAACTTTCACAAATTAAGCACGACCATGTAACCATTGCCCAGATCAAGAAATAGAATATTTCCAGCATTACAGAGTCCTCTTTCATGCCCTTCTAGTCCTTTACCCTTTCCCTCATAAATAACCATTATCTGTACTTCTAACACCATTGGTTAATTTTTCCTGTAGGAAAAACCATTTTTAATTTTTGCACATTATTTCTTTGGATAAATGCAGAAGGTGTGACTAACATCTTCAGACTGTATTTTACGTCTCTCTGTAAATTTTATGACTTAATAGTAATTTGACTCAGGATCTAATTGTCTGCTTCTGGATATAATGTAAACTAACTTTCAGAGGTTGAAGTCACTTTAGTTCATATACAAATAGAAAATCCATTTAAGCTGAAATTGCAGAGCCTCTTCTTTGAGGAAATTTGCAGGTGAAAAGGGGTCCAGAGTTTTTAACATTAGCCATGGTAATTGAAAGGTAACTTAGATTTTGACTGCATTCGTCTGTGCAATACATTTAGATGAAAATTTAGCTGCACAAATGATGTTGATATTATATGACACTATCATCGTTATTGGCTAGTCTCCATTTCCAAGGATTCTAAAGTACTTTCCAGTTACAATTCTCATTCCTGGACACATTTCTATAAAATAAATTTTTTATTTTCACTTTATAGAGATTGTTTGATGAATCTGAAGGATCATATACCTTGAAAGTTTGATGAATATCCCTGATTTGTTTATTTGTGTTTTAGACAAGGTATTGAAATGGAAAAAGTCATGCAGGAATTGGGAAAATCACTGACAGATCAAGATGTAAATTCACTGGCTGCTCAGCATTTTGAATCCCAGCAAGTAAGTGAAATACAGTGACTTTTAGGTATGCAGTTGCATTTTCTTTTGTTTTTTTGTTTGTTTGTTTTTGTTAAAAAAATTAACCAGTTGGTATACTGTTTCTTTTAGGACCTAGAAAATAAATGGTCGAATGAATTAAAACAATCAACTGCCATCCAAAAACAAGAGTATCAAGAATGGGTAATAAAACTTCACCAAGACCTAAAAAACCCCAACAACAGCTCCCTTAGGTATTAACTATGTATTGTTCTTATTCATATAGTAGTCCATTGTTAGTAATGTTTATATTTACTACAAAGTTAAACCTTTTAGCTGTATGTCTTTTTAATTTGCTAGTGAAAGTTCAAGACAATTTTATGCTGTGCTTTTACCACCTTTTGCATTATAGGCTTTATGTGGATTATTTGGGGGGCAATGGTTATTGGTTAGTTTGAAATAGAACTTTAGTTTTATGTTCTAGATACATACACCTAAATACTTAAATACTATCTTTATTTCTTTAGTTTCCACTCCATGCAGTAAACATTGGTTGAATGCCAAACACTCTCTAAGCAGAAAAACAAACAAAAAAAACCCCTGCCTATATGGAGCTTATATTCTAGAAAGAGAGACTGATCTATAAATAAAATAATACTGCATAGAGTGGTATGTGCAGTAACAGAAGCATGTAGAAGGTACAGAAATAGCATGGAGGATTTCTCATAAATTATAACTTGTATGGCATCTCTTGGCCTAGATAAATTGTATTTCACATATTCCCTTAGAGCTTGACCATACCTATGTTATTTCCTGGCTATGTATCTGTTATGTTTGAGAATTAATATTTTTCAAATCCTAAAGTATATTCAGTTGGAAATATACTGAGTACGGTATAATAATCCTATTTCCAGCATATGCCAGTGTATGCTATAAATATTTTTAAATAGCATTTTATTTGTATAATGTCAGTCTCATGTCTTTTTTTTTTTTCGTTGTGTACCCAGTTCCTTGCCAAGTGTTTAGCTCTTGACACTAGCACATAAGACATGCTCAGTAAAAATTTATGGGATGAATGGATGGACAGATGGATAGGTTATTGTTAAAGTCTTTACCTGACATCTCTATCATCTCTTATCTAAATATTACAGTTTTTCATTTGCCTTACTGTTTTCCCCAAACTGTTCGTTGCAGCCTGCTATGAACCATTCTACATCCCTTATTTTCCAACGAGCCTTTTAAAAATAACAATAGGAAAAAAATCAGGGTGCATCATATGTGAAGCTTTCTATAAATGAATGTGTATATTGAGCCAAAATGTAAAATATATACTGTATATTGTAGTCAGAAACATTGAAAGCCACTGATTTAAGGAAGCTGTGAAAGCCCTTTGCTGTGAAAGTTATCCCTTTATGATCATGCTACTGCACTCCAGCCTGGGTAACAAGAGTGAGAAACTCTTAAAAAAAAAAAAGTTATCTCTTACTTTGCTGCTAGAGTTTCAGAAATTCAATCTTTAGAATCAATTTCTTTTTTTTTAAATTTTTTTATTATACTTTAAGTTCTAGGGTACATGTGCACAACGTGCAGGTTTGTTACATATGTATACATGCACCATGTTGGTGTGCTGCACCCATTAACTTGTCATTTACATTAGGTGTATCTCCTAATGCTATCCCTTCCCCCTCCCCCAACCCCACGACGGGTCCTGGTGTGTGATGTTCCCCGCCCTGTGTCCAAGTGTTCTCATTGTTCAATTCTCACCTATGAGTGAGAACATGCGGTGTTTGGTTTTTTGTCCTTGTGATAGTTGGCTGAGAATGATGGTTTCCAGCTTCATCCATATCCCTACAAAGGACATGAACTCATCCTTTTTTATGGCTGCGTAGTATTCCATGGTGTATATGTGCCACATTTTCTTAATCCAGTCTATCATTGATGGACATTTGGGTTGGTTCCAAGTCTTTGCTATGGTGAATAGTGCCGCAATAAACGTACATGTGCATGTGTCTTTATAGCACATGATTTATAATCCTTTGGGTATATACCCAGTAATGGGATGGCCGGGTCAAATGGTATTTCTAGTTCTAGATCCTTGAGGAATAGCCACACTGTCTTCCACAATGGTTGAACTAGTTTACAGTCCCACCAACAGTGTAAAAGTGTAGAATCAATTTCATTTGTGTAAATATTGGCCTGTAGCTGATGCTGCTTTTAAAAATCAAGTATTCCTAGGAAATAATGTTTTTATTGTGACTTTGTTACTTTGCTTTTCTTTTTGATAGATGTTTCTTTGGGCAGGAGAGATCTCTTTTCAACACAACTATATATGGAACCCTTATATGTGATTGATAAAAGTGGTATTTTAAAATTTATTTTTGCTTTATTTTTCTTTAAAGTCAGGTCAGTTGAGGAATAAATTACATAAAGTTAAAATTCTTCTCTTTTAGGTGTACAGTTTGATGAATTTTGACAAACTTAGTCATAAAATCATCACCACAATCAAAATACAGAATTTCCCTTTTTGGTAGTTTTATTTCATTGTAGTTTGATTTTTCTAGAATGTAACATAAATGGAATCAAACTGTATGTAGCAATTTGTATCTTGCTTCTTTCATGTGGCATAATACTTTTGAGACTCATTGGAGTTGTTGTGTTTATTAGTGGTTCTTTTTATTACTCAGTACTATTCTATCATCCATTTGTTTATCCATTTACTCAGTGATGGACATGTTGGATATTTCCAGATTTTAGCAATTATAAAGCTGTTGTAAACTTTCATGAACAGGTCTTGTGTAGACATGTGTTTTGATTTCTCTTTCATAAATATGCAATCCCTCTCCCCTAGGAATGGGATTGCTTGGTCATATGGTAAGTGTACATTTAACTTCAGAAGAAACTGCCAGACTATTTTCCAAAGTGACTGTACAATTTTGCGTTCCCACCACCAATGTATGAGGGTTCCAGGTGTTCCATATCTTCATCAGCACTCAATATTGCTATTTAGACATTCTAGTAAGTTTTGCAGTGATAGCTCGTAATTTTACTTTGCATTTCCCTGATGCCTAATTATGTTAACATTTTTTCATGTGCTGGAAAAATGTGTCTTCTTATTGAGTTGTGAGAGTTCTTTATATATTCTGGATACAAGTCCATCATCAAATAATGTATTTTACAAATACTTTCTCCCACTCTGTGGCTTGTCGTTTCATTTTCTTAATAGTGTCAGTCAGAGAGTGAAGTTTTTCATTTTAGTTAAGTGCAGTTTATCAGTTAAAGACTTTATTTCTTCAAAGTAGTTTTAGGTTCACAGCAAAACTGAGAGGAAGGTACTAAGATTTACCGCCTGACCTACAAATGCATAGTCTTCCCCATTATCAGCATCCCCCAGCAAGATGGTACCTTTGTTATGATCAAGAACATATATTGACATCATAATCATTCAAAGTCCATAGTTTATTTTAGGGCTCACTCTTGCCATTGTATATTCTGTCAGTTTGGACAAATGTATAGGACGTGTATCTGCTATTATAGTACCATACAGAGTAGTTTTGTTACTCAAAAATCCTCTGTGCTCTGCCAATTTATCTATTTTTAAATGGTTTCTATCTTGCCTAAGATACCTTTGCCTAATGGAAGATCACAAAGATTTTATCCTGTGTTTTTTCTTCTAGAAGTTTTATTGTTTTAGGTTTCACATATAGGTCATGATATATATTGTTTCACACAGATATATGTATATGACATATATCCACCAACCTATATATTTATGCATGTATGTTGGTCTATAGTTTGTTTGTTTGTTTGTTTTTCTTACAACGTCTTCATTTGGTTTTGGTGTCAGGTTAATGGGGGCATTGTAAAATGAGTTGATCTGTGGTCATCGGTCTGATACGATGTTTTGATTTCTAGAATTTCCAATTGTTTTCGCTCTTTGCTAAAATTCCTTGTGTGTTGTCTACCTTTCCACTAGATCTTTTAACATGTTGGTTATAGTTTTTTGAAAGTCCCTTTCTTTTCGTCCCAATATCTGGATCCTTTCTAAATCTGTTTCTGTTGATTGCTTTATCTCGACAGTGGGTTGGGTTTTTTTCTTGCTTTTCTGGTTGTCTCTTCTTTTTTCTTCTCCTCCCCGGCCCCGAGACAGAGTCTTTCTCTGTCTCCCAGGCTGGAGTACAATGCCTACAATGCCGCGATCTTGGCTCATTGCAACCTCCACCTCCTGCGTTCAAGCAATTCTCCTGCCTCAGCCTCCTAAGTAGCTGGGATTACAGGCGTATGCCACCACACCTGGCTAATTTTTGTATTTTTAGTAGAGACAGTGTTTCACCATGTTGGCCAGGCTGGTCTTGAACTCCTGATCTCGTGATTCGCCCACCTCGGCCTCCCAAAGTGCTGGGATTACAGGCATGAGCCACCGCACCCAGCCTATTTTTCTTCTTTTCTTTTTTTTAACTGATTACTGGATATTGTGGGTATTAGAAGAGACTGAGGTTAATAGTATTTATGTCCAGAAATGAACAATATTAATGTGAAGGTTGTGTACATCTTATCAGCAGTTGAGGTAGGTTTGGTTTCCTTTTTTTTCCCCTTTGCGTTAGACTTTATTTATTAGCTTATTCACTGGAACAATGCTTGGAGAAATCTGAAAATGCATGGCAAGTTTGTTAGAGATCTTGCTTTCATATAATTTGTAGACTTTATGGCTTTATTTTTAAAAAACTTTTAATTTTTTTATTTCAGTAGGTTTTTGGGGAATAGGTGGTGTTTGGTTACACAAATAAGTTCTTGAGTGGTGATTCTAAGATTTTGGTGCATCCATCACCCGAGCAATGTACACTGTACCCAATGTGTAGTCTTTTACCCCACTTTTATCCCAGCTTGGTTTCGTGTCTGTCAGTACCTTCAATGTACCACCGGCTTCATTTTCTACTGGTGCTACTTTGTGCTTAGAACGGCACTTGGGGGTCCAGGAGGATTTTTCTCTGTCTCTCTGCTCCATCCCTTGCTTTCAGCAGCCTTCGCATGCCAGAGCTGCAGAGTGGAGTCTGCCTCCATACTTTTGCTCTGCCTCCCAGCAGTAGGCTTGTTACTTGTTACTTGAATCTAGGCTCATAGTTGGGGGTCCGGAAGGTCACTTTGTTCAACTCTTCTCCATCTTTGTTGTCTTTGTCCACTCCCGGTTTGGTCAAGCCTCGTGTATCTTGATTCTCAGCATTTCTGCCTGTGCCCTTGAGAAGGCTCTCTTGTCTCCTGCCCTCAGTGTTTTCTGGAAATACCTGATGGAGGCCAGTGGAAAAGAGTTTGCAAGTTCATGTGCCTGTGGCTCCGACCTATTCTAACTTGATATGCTAGCCCACTTGGCCTTCAAGAATCTGTTAAAATTTTAGCTGCTTTCTTTTTACCCCCTTGTATGACAGCATCCTATTTCAGCTATGCTGTAACAAAGATGAAACTCCTTATGTGTCCTGTCTGTCCTTGGAGGTATATGTCACGGTTTGGAATTCAGTTTACTAGGTTGCCTTATGATCACAAATCTTTGATGGACTCCAGAAAAGTATGATTTTGTAGATCAGCAGTCCTCTGAGCCTTTTTGGCACCGAGGACCAGTTTCACAGAAGACAGTTTTTTCCAGGAGAGCTGGAGAGGGTTTGGGGATGAAACTGTTCCACAAGGAGCACACAACCTCGATCGCTTGCATGCGCAGTTCACAATACAGTTCACGCTCCTATGAGAACCTAATGCTGCCGCTGAGCGGATGGGAGGTGGAGCTCAGGTGGTAATGCTCACTCGCCTGCTGCTCACTTCCTGCTGTGCGGCCCGGTTCCTAACAGGCCTGTACGGGGAATTGGGGTCCCCTGCTGTAGATTATCTGGCTAGATTTAAATTTACCGTATTTACTAATGAAGTCAGTCATTGAGTCTAATGGGGCTGTTGGGATTAGCCCCAAAAATTTAGTCAGGGAAATGGATGACTCGTACAGACTTGTATCATCCTCAGCATATACCACTGTTGGAATTGAACGGTGATACGGTTATTGCTCTTTTGTGGAAGTCTTCTCAGGAACTATAAAGAGGAGAGCAAAAAGAAAGGCAGTTTAGTGGGAGGAGAATGTTGGAGGTAAAAAAGAAAACAAACAAGAAATGGTAAAAGTAAAGGGTGTGTATACATCAAAATGAACTTCATCTTTTTTATTATCTACTTTATTTGACTTTAAATTTTTATTGCTATCACTTCATCTATTTTCTGATTTTGCCTAGGGCTAGCCCTGGTATAGGATGTATTATATATTTTAAAATACAATGTGATTTTAAAGTAATAAGTTAATCGCTTCATTTAATCATTCTCTTAGGCTGCTAAAAGTGTTAAATGGCAATATATTAATTGACATTATAATGATTGAAAATAATAATCTGCTTTATTTATTGTGAGGAAATGAAAGAACAAGTGGGAATTTTAGAACCTGTTGGTGCTTACCTGTCTTACTTGTCACCATGGATTAAGGATGAGTTTAGGAAAAAATTAAGCAAGACTTTCAGCTGTTCAGTTTTCTCTCATTATAAAGCTTTCCTTTAAGAAAAGTTTTTGACAAACATAAAAGTATATCAATAATTTTATTACTTTTAGTGAGGAAATTAAAGTTCAGCCAAGTCAGTTCAGAGAATCTGTAGAAGCAATTGGAAGGATTTATGAGGAACAGAGAAAGTTAGAAGAAAGTTTTACCATTCACTTAGGTAAGTGTGTTAATTTTTTTGCAGTTATAATTTATTGTAACTTCTGAAACTATTTTTTAATTATTATTTTTTTAAAATAATAGAGAAAAGGTTTCGCTATGTTGCCCAGGCTGGTCTTGAACCCCTGGGCTCAAGCAATCCACCCACCTTGGCCTCCCAAAGTGCTAGGATTACAGGCATGAGTCACCGTGCCTGACCGCTGCAACTTTTTTTATATGCTGTAAGAGAAAAATTCCTAACATGTGAGTAGAGTGTACCTATGTTATTTTTAATTCCAAATTATGTTTTACTTTAAGAAAGACTATATTTTATTGGCTTTAAGTTTTGTATATTTATATAATGTTTTTTGCAGATAGATTAAACTGAAAAAGTCATTAAAATGGGAAGTTGCAAGGCCCATTTTTAATTATTTTGTGGTACAGATTTATCTGGATTCTTGCCATAGAGATTTGCATCTTGTTATACTGGACTTTCTGTAGCTGCTTAAGTATCTTTCCTGGACTATTGCCTACCCCCAGGAGCCCAGTTGAAGACCATGCATAATTTGAGATTGCTGAGAGCAGATATGCTGGACTTCTGTAAGCATAAAAGAAATCATCGAAGTGGTGTGAAACTTCATCGGCTCCAAACAGCTCTGTCACTTTATTCTACATCTCTCTGTGGCCTGGTTTTACTAGTAGATAATCGAATTAATTCATATAGTGGTATTAAAAGAGGTAAGTTAACATCATACACATTTATTTTGTTAAATTTCATCCTGTAACACCATTCTTACAAAGAAAGGAATTACAGGGAAAATGAAAAAAAATTTTAATCACCTTGACATCCAAGTAGACCAAACAAACATACCCAGCCATAGTTATTTTATTTCAAACTGTAGCATCGATAGAGTGCTTCATATTTATTTTTCTTAAAATGCTATTATAAATAATGTTTTTATAGAATTCTCATTACGAGGTAAAACAAAAAGAGCAATCACATGTTTTCAGTTTAGAAGCAAATTCTGGCTTGGTGATTTTTAGCTCATCCATTTGTCTCTCTCTCTCTCTCTCTCTCTCTCTCTGTCTATATATATATATATATATATATTTTAATAACCTACCTCTTAAATTTGCTAGGTAAAATTCTACCTTCCCTCTTAGTACAATTCACTTTTTATGATTATTTCTAAATTTGTAAATATATAAAATGTAGAATATATAAAATATATGAAACGTATACTTGTTTTTGAAAGAAGCTTAAATAGAATTTATTTCCCCTCATAAATATAAGAACCTTCTTATATTTTGTAGCACCTTTTGGGGTGGATTATGATGAAAGTATTATTTAAAGAAGACCTGGAATTACATTAACAAAGAAATGTCAATATAATTAACTCTTTTGAGTGTTAGAGAGGTTAAGTCTCTAATCAAAACAAAATTGCTGTGCCCTAACTTAAGGCATAATTATTTAAAAGACAAGTATAAGAAATCTTATTAAGAAAAATAAGTATTATTTTCTTTTTCTACTAAATCTCATTGTAAGTAAATACTAAATATTTGATAGTTCGCATTTAGAAGTTTGTAAATGTTTTGGGTCCCTTAGATTTTGCCACAGTTTGCCAAGAATGCACTGACTTCCATTTCCCCCGAATTGAAGAGCAATTAGAAGTTGTCCAACAGGTGGTACTTTATGCTAGAACCCAGCGCAGGAGTAAATTGAAAGAATCACTTGGTGGGTAAAACTCACTTTTATTATATTCTGTCTATAATCACTGTAATAGTATGTGGATCAGTATTAAGATCATATAGAAAATTATGTTGGTGGAAGATAGGAAATTAAAAACAAAATTAAGATTTTTTTAAGTTTTTTCTATTTAGAAAGAACATCAAAATGTATTTTTGGTTTTTTGGGGTTTTTTTTCCTTCAACTTTTACTTTAAGTTCCAGGGTGCATGTACAGGATGCGCAGGTTTGTTACATAGGTAAACGTGTGCCATGGCGGTTTGCTGCACAGATCAACCCATCGCCTAGGTATTAAGCCCATCGTCTATTACCTATTCTTCCTGATGTTCTTCCCTTCTCCTAACAAGCCCGAGTGTGTGTTGTTCCCCACAATGCGTCCGTGTGTTCTGATCATTCAGCTCCCATTTATAAGTGAGAGCATGTGGTGTTTGGTCTTCTGTTCCTGCATTAGTTTGCTGAGGATAATGGTTTCCAGCTCCATCCATGTCCCTGCAAAGGATATGATCTCATTCCCTTTTATACCATGTATTCCATGATGTATATGTGCCACATTTTCTTTATCCAGTCTATCATTGATGGGCATTCAGGTTGATTCCACGTCTTTGCTATTGTGAATAGTACTGCGAAGACCATGCGTGTGCATGTATCTTTATATAGAATGATTTCTATTCCTTTGGATATATACCCAGATCTTCAGAAGCTTGGACTCTGTGCCTAATTTTCTTTTTTAAGAGGATGATTTTCTTCAAGGTTCTGAGTGAAAACTATTGTTAAATTTCAGTACTATAGTTATACTTGAAGTAGGCACTCAGTGGAAAGTTGGTGATCTTTTGATCCAAGTTCTATATCTTTAAAGTGGACGTAATTATTACTACAGAGGGGATTGGAAACGTAGACTAAAAGGTAGCACAAAATACACACCTTTTTATGTCATATCTTTGACTGTCTTAAGTAGCATGAAGTCAGTTAAATGAATTATTTTTGGTTCTTTTAAAAAAAAATCACTGTATCCTTGAATGACTGCTTTTTCTATATTTATCCATAACATAACATTCTTTCTATTTAGGAAATTTACAGGAAAAAATTTTTTAATTTATTGAGATGTATTTGATAATTAAAGATTGTATATATTTGAGGTATACAATTTGACGATTCAATGTACACAGATATTGTAAAATAATTACTTCAAACGAATTAGCATATTTATTACCTCAGATAGTTACCACTTTTCTGTGTCCGTGGTGAGAACACTTAAGATCTGTCCTCTTAATGAATTTCAAGTATACACTAGAATATTGTTAAATATAATCACATTGTCATACATTAGATTTCCAGAACTAACCATCTGTGTGGCTGAAACTTTGTACCCCTTGACCAAAATCTCCCCATTTCCCCCCGCCCCAGCCCTGGTAAGCACCTTCTACTCTATCAGTGTGAGTTCAACTATTTTAGGTTCCATGTATAAGTGAGATGATATAATATTTGTTTTTCTGTGTCTGGCTTACTTCACTTAGCATCCTCCAGGATGCTTAGTGTCCTCCAGGTCAATCCATGTTGTTACAAATGGCAGGATTTTCTTGTTTAAGGCTGAATAATATTCCTTTGTGTGTCTGTTTGTGTATGTGTGTACATTTAGGTGTGTTTTTAGTATCTTGATTATTGTGACTAATGCCAAAATGAAGTCTTTAAGAAACTAATTTCATTTCCTTCGGATATATACACTAAAGTGGAGTTGCCGGATCATAAGATAGTTCTGTTTTTAATTTTTTAAGAAACCTCCATCCTGGAAATGGTTTTTAAAGCTATTGAAAAAGTTAATGGCATCTTTCTTCAGAAGCTTTCTATCTACACATAGGAAGAGGATTAAGGGAAGGCAGGTAAAAGAAAAATTTCTGGCTCAAATCGCAGAGTAATTCAGCTGTTTTTTAATTGAAAAATGAAAGTTTATTTTATTCTTTATTTATTTATTATTATACTTTAAGTTTTAGGGTACATGTGCACAATGTGTAGGTTAGTTACATATGTATACATGTGCCATGCTGGTGTGCTGCACCCACTAACTCGTCATCTAGCATTAAGTATATTGGTTTCTTTGTAAATTAAATTGGTACCATAGGTTTGTTTAGTTAGGACCTAAATATTTTTTATTTTATTTTATTTTATTATACTTTAAGTTTTAGGGTACATGTGCACATTGTGCAGGTTAGTTACATATGTATACATGTGCCATGCTGGCACGCTGCACCCACTAACTCGTCATCTAGCATTAGGTATATCTCCCAATGCTATCCCTCCCCCCACCCCACCACAGTCCCCAGAGTGTGATATTCCCCTTCCTGTGTCCATGTGATCTCATTGTTCAATTCCCACCTATGAGTGAGAATATGCGGTGTTTGGTTTTTTGTTCTTGCGATAGTTTACTGAGAATGATGATTTCCAATTTCATCCATGTCCCTACAAAGGACATGAACTCATCATTTTTTATGGCTGCATAGTATTCCATGGTGTATATGTGCCACATTTTCTTAATCTAGTCTATCACTGTTGGACATTTGGGTTGGTTCCAAGTCTTCGTATTGTGAATAATGCCGCAGTAAACATACGTGTGCATGTGTCTTTATAGCAGCATGATTTATAGTCCTTTGGGTATATACCCAGTAATGGGATGGCTGGGTCAAATGGTATTTCTAAGTTCTAGATACCTGAGGAATCGCCACACTGACTTCCACAGTGGTTGAACTAGTTTACAGTCCCACCAACAGTGTAAAAGTGTTCCTATTTCTCCACATCCTCTCCAGCACCTGTTGTTTCCTGACTTTTTAATGATTGCCATTTTAACTGGTGTGAGATGGTATCTCATTGTGGTTTTGATTTGCATTTCTCTGATGGCCAGTAATGATGAGCATTTTTTCATGTGTTTTTTGGCTGCATAAATGTCTTCTTTTGAGAAGTGTCTGTTCATGTCCTTTGCCCACTTTTTGATGGGGTTGTTTGTTTTTTTCTTGTAAATTTGTTTGAGTTCATTGTAGATTCTGGATATTAGCCCTTTGTCAGATGAGTAGGTTGTGAAAATTTTCTCCCATTTTGTAGGTTGCCTGTTCACTCTGATGGTAGTTTCTTTTGCTGTGCAGAAGCTCTTTGGTTTAATTAGATCCCATTTGTCAATTTTGGCTTTTGTTGCCATTGCTTTTGGTGTTTTGGACATGAAGTCCTTGCCCATGCCTATGTCCTGAATGGTAATGCCTAGGTTTTTTTCTAGGGTTTTTATGGTTTTAGGTCTAACGTTTAAATCTTTAATCCATCTTGAATTGATTTTTATATAAGGTGTAAGGACGGGATCCAGTTTCAGCTTTCTACATATGGCTAGCCAGTTTTCCCAGCACCATTTATTAAGTAGGGAATCCTTTCCCCATTGCTTGTTTTTCTCAGGTTTGTCAAAGATCAGATAATTGTAGATATGTGGCGTTATTTCTGAGGGCTCTGTTCTGTTCCATTGATCTATATCTCTGTTTTGGTACCAGTACCATGCTGTTTTGGTTACTGTAGCCTTGTAGTATAGTTTGAAGTCAGGTAGTGTGATGCCTCCAGCTTTGTTCTTTTGGCTTAGGATTGACTTGGCGATGCGGGCTCTTTTTTGGTTCCATATGAACTTTAAAGTAGTTTTTTCCAATTCTGTGAAGAAAGTCATTGGTAGCTTGTGATGCGGATGGCACTGAATCTGTAAATTACCTTGGGCAGTATGGCCATTTTCACGATATTGATTCTTCCTACCCATGAGCATGGAATGTTCTTCCATTTGTTTGTATCCTCTTTTATTTCCTTGAGCAGTGGTTTGTAGTTCTCCTTGAAGAGGTCCTTCACATCCCTTGTAAGTTGGATTCCTAGGTATTTTATTCTCTTTGAAGCAATTGTGAATGGGAGTTCACTCATGATTTGGCTCTCTGTTTGTCTGTTGTTGGTGTATAAGAATGCTTGTGATTTTTGTACATTGATTTTGTATCCTGAGACTTTGCTGAAGTTGCTTATCAGCTTAAGGAGATTTTGGGCTGAGACAATGGGGTTTTCTAGATATACAATCATGTCATCTGCAAACAGGGACAATTTGACTTCCTCTTTTCCTAATTGAATACCCTTTATTTCCTTCTCCTGCCTAATTGCCCTGGCCAGAACTTCCAACACTATGTTGAATAGGAGTGGTGAGAGAGGGCATCCCTGTCTTGTGCCAGTTTTCAAAGGGAATGCTTCCAGTTTTTGCCCATTCAGTATGATATTGGCTGTGGGTTTGTCATAGATAGCTCTTATTATTTTGAAATACGTCCCATCAATACCTAATTTATTGAGAGTTTTTAGCATGAAGGGTTGTTGAATTTTGTCAAAGGCTTTTTCTGCATCTATTGAGATAATCATGTGGTTTTTGTCTTTGGCTTTGTTTATATGCTGGATTACATTTATTGATTTGCGTATATTGAATCAGCCTTGCATCCCAGGGATGAAGCCCACTTGATCATGGTGGATAAGCTTTTTGATGTGCTGCTGGATTCGTTTTGCCAGTATTTTATTGAGGATTTTTGCATCAATGTTCATCAAGGATATTGGTCTAAAATTTGCTTTTTTGGTTGTGTCTCTGCCTGGCTTTGGTATCAGAATGATGCTGGCCTCATAAAATGAGTTAGGGAGGATTCCCTCTTTTCCTATTGATTGGAATAGTTTCAGAAGGAATGGTACCAGTTCCTCCTTGTACCTCTGGTAGAATTCGGCTGTGAATCCATCTGGTCCTGGACTCTTTTTGGTTGGTAAGCTATTGATTATTGCCACAATTTCAGATCCTGTTATTGGTCTATTCAGAGATTCAACTTCTTCCTGGTTTAGTCTTGGGAGAGTGTATGTGTCGAGGAATTTATCCATTTCTTCTAGATTTTCTAGTTTATTTGCGTAGAGGTGTTTGTAGTATTCTCTGATGGTAGTTTGTATTTCTGTGGGATCGGTGGTGATATCCCATTTATCATTTTTTATTGTGTCTATTTGATTCTTCTCTCTTTTTTTCTTTATTAGTCTTGCTAGCGGTCTATCAATTTTGTTGATCCTTTCAAAAAACCAGCTCCTGGATTCATTGATTTTTTGAAGGGTTTTTTGTGTCTCTATTTCCTTCAGTTCTGCTCTGATTTTAGTTATTTCTTGCCTTCTGCTAGCTTTTGAATGTGTTTGCTCTTGCTTTTCTAGTTCTTTTAATTGTGATGTTAGGTTGTCAATTTTGGATCTTTCCTGCTTTCTCTTGTGGGCATTTAGTGCTATAAATTTCCCTCTACACACTGCTTTGAATGCGTCCCAGAGATTCTGGTATGTTGTGTCTTTGTTCTCGTTGGTTTCAAAGAACATTTTTATTTCTGCCTTCATTTTGTTATGTACCCAGTAGTCATTCAGGAGCAGGTTGTTCAGTTTCCATGTAGTTGAGCGGCTTTGAGTGAGATTCTTAATCCTGAGTTCTAGTTTGATTGCACTGTGGTCTGAGAGATAGTTTGTTATAATTTCTGTTCTTTTACATTTGCTGAGGAGAGCTTTACTTCCAACTATGTGGTCAATTTTGGAATAGGTGTGGTGTGGTGCTAAAAAAATGTATATTCTGTTGATTTGGGGTGGAGAGTTCTGTAGATGTCTATTAGGTCCACTTGGTGCAGAGCTGAGTTCAGTTCCTGCGTATCCTTGTTGACTTTCTGTCTCGTTGATCTGTCTAATGTTGACAGTGGGGTGTTAAAGTCTCCCATTATTAATGTGTGGGAGTCTAAGTCTCTTTGTAGGTCACTCAGGACTTGCTTTATGAATCTGGGTGCTCCTGTATTGAGTGCATATATATTTAGGATAGTTAGCTCTTCTTGTTGAATTGATCCCTTTACCATTATGTAATGGCCTTCTTTGTCTCTTTTGATCTTTGTTGGTTTAAAGTCTGTTTTATCAGAGACTAGGATTGCAACCCCTGCCTTTTTTTGTTTTCCATTTGCTTGGTAGATCTTCCTCCATCCTTTTATTTTGAGCCTATGTGTGTCTCTGCACCTGAGATGGGTTTCCTGAATACAGCACACTGATGGGTCTTGACTCTTTATCCAATTTGCCAGTCTGTGTCTTTTAATTGGAGAATTTAGTCCATTTAAAGTTAATATTGTTATGTGTGAATTTGATCCTGTCATTATGATGTTAGCTGGTGATTTTGCTCGTTAGTTGATGCAGTTTCTTCCTAGTCTTGATGGTCTTTACATTTTGGCATGATTTTGCAGCGGCTGGTACCGGTTGTTCCTTTCCATGTTTAGCGCTTCCTTCAGGAGCTCTTTTAGGGCAGGCCTGGTGGTGACAAAATCTCTCAGCATTTGCTTGTCTGTAAAGTATTTTATTTCTCCTTCACTTACGAAGCTTAGTTTGGCTGGATATGAAATTCTGGGTTGAAGATTCTTTTCTTTAAGAATGTTGAATATTGGCCCCCACTCTCTTCTGGCTTGTAGGGTTTCTGCCGAGAGATCTGCTGTTAGTCTGATGGGCTTCCCTTTGAGGGTAACCCGACCTTTCTCTCTGGCTGCCCTTAACATTTTTTCCTTCATTTCAACTTTGGTGAATCTGACAATTATGTGTCTTGGAGTTGCTCTTCTCGAGGAGTATCTTTGTGGCGTTCTCTGTATTTCCTGAATCTGAACGTTGGCCTGCCTTGCTAGATTGGGGAAGTTCTCCTGGATAATATCCTGCAGAGTGTTTTCCAACTTGGTTCCATTCTCCCCATCACTTTCAGGTACACCAATCAGACATAGATTTGGTCTTTTCACATAGTCTCATATTTCTTGGAGGCTTTGCTCATTTCTTTTTATTCTTTTTTCTCTAAACTTCCCTTCTTGCTTCATTTCATTCATTTCATCTTCCATTGCTGATACCCTTTCTTCCAGTTGATCGCATCGGCTCCTGAGGCTTCTGCATTCTTCACGTAGATCTCGAGCCTTGGTTTTCAGCTCCATCAGCTCCTTTAAGCACTTCTCTGTATTGGTTATTCTAGTTATACATTCTTCTAAATTTTTTTCAAAGTTTTCAACTTCTTTGCCTTTGGTTTGAATGTCCTCCCGTAGCTCAGAGTAATTTGATCGTCTGAAGCCTTCTCTCAGCTCGTCAAAGTCATTCTCCATCCAGCTTTGTTCCATTGCTGGTGAGGAACTGCGTTCCTTTGGAGGAGGAGAGACGCTCTGCGTTTTAGAGTTTCCAGTTTTTCTGTTCTGTTTTTTCCCCATCTTTGTGGTTTTATCTACTTTTGGTCTTTGATGATGGTGATGTACAGATGGGTTTTTGGTGTGGATGTCCTTTCTGTTTGTTAGTTTTCCTTCTAACAGACAGGACCCTCAGCTGCAGATGTGTTGGAATACCCTGCCGTGTGAGGTGTCAGTGTACCCCTGCCGGGGGGTGCCTCCCAGTTAGGCTGCTCGGGGGTCAGGGGTCAGGGACCCACTTGAGGAGGCAGTCTGCCCGTTCTCAGATCTCCAGCCGCGTGCTGGGAGAACCAGTGCTCTCTTCAAAGCTGTCAGACAGGGACATTTAAGTCTGCAGAGGTTGCTGCTGTCTTTTTGTTTGTCTGTGCCCTGCCCCCAGAGGTGGAGCCTACAGAGGCAGGCAGGCCTCCTTGAGCTGTGGTGGGCTCTGCCCAGTTGGAGCTTCCCGGCTGCTTTGTTTACCTAATCAAGCCCGGGCAATGGCGGGCGCCCCTCCCCCAGCCTCGCTGCCGCCTTGCAGTTGGATCTCAGACTGCTGTGCTAGCAATCAGCGAGACTCCGTGGGCGTAGGACCCTCCGAGCCAGGTGTGGGATATAATCTCGTGGTGCGCCGTTTTTTAAGCGGGTCTGAAAAACGCAATATTCGGGTGGGAGTGACTCGATTTTCCAGGTGCGTCCGTCACCCCTTTCTTTGACTCAGAAAGGGAACTCCCTGACCCCTTGCGCTTCCCAAGTGAGGCAATGCCTCGCCCTGCTTCGGCTCGCGCACCCACTGACCTGCGCCCACTGTCTGGCACTCCCTAGTGAGATGAACCCGGTACCTCAGATGGAAATGCAGAAATCACCCGTCTTCTGCGTCGCTCATGCTGGGAGCTGTAGACCGGAGCTGTTCCTATTTGGCCATCTTGGCTCCTCCCCCCAGGACCTAAATATTAGGGTAATAGTCATTTCAAATATTTTTTAAGTTGTGTTTTTCTTATATTTCATGTATCATAGATGTAAAATCACAAACATCCTCTTGTCTGGCTTGAATGCATACACAGTATTTTATTATTTCTCCTTTTTTTTTTTGAGACAGAGTCTCACTCTGTCATCTAGGCTGGAATGCAGTGGCACGATCTCAGTCCCTGCAACCTCTGCCTCTTGGGCTCAAGCAATTCTCGTGCCTCAGCCTCCTGAGTAGCTGGGATTACAGATGTGTACCACCGTGCCTGGCTAATTTTTGTATTTTTAATAGAGACGGGGTTTTGCCATGTTGGCCAGACTGTTCTCAAACTCCTGGCCTCATGTGATCTGCCCACCTTGGCCTCCCAAAGTGCTGGGATTACAGGCATGAGCCACTGCACCTGGCAAGTATTTAATTATTTCTTATAAAAACCTGATATTGGTGCCCAGGAAATAAAATGTGGTAAGCTTTAAAATTGGGGCTGTTTGTACCTTTAAATCTGTGTTTGGTACTTTTGAATGCTTTTTTCTTTCTTTTCTTTGTTTGCACCTGCTGTGTTTAAAGAAACCATTGTAGTATTTTAGGTGCATATATTTTCTGTTGTACAGTAGCAGAGAGATATTATATCTTTGCTTGATATAAGGAAGACCTTTCTGAAGGGTCTTTGTTCCCATCTCCCATCTTCCTCTCTCCCAGAAATTACAGAATTCTTTCCTTTCTCCCGTAGCTAGAATGTGGCTATCTAGTCATAACTTGACTAGCATAACTTGACTAGGGTTCACTGCAGTTTCTTTATCTATTCAATAAACTTGTAAAAAATAGTTTATATGTTTTTAATCATTTTTTAAATAGGTAAAACACTCTCAAAATTCACAATTCAAACTGTACAAAAGAGCATACAGTGAAAGTGTCCCTAACTCTGTTCCCAGCCATCCAGTTTCCCTCTTCAGAGGTACCCAGTGCTATCTCACATGTACCTTCCAGACAGATGTTTATGTATGTGTAAGCAAGTGTATGTGTGTACTTATTTTCCTTTTTTACATAAATGGCAGCTTTCTACATAACACTATTCTGTACTCTGCCTTTTTCACTGAGTAATTTATCTTGGAGGTCATTTCGTATCAGTCCATAAAGACCATCCTCATACTTTTATGCTGTTGCATAGTAGTCTGTTGCAGGATATCCTGTTATTAATCAGTCTCCTCCTAATAGACATTTGATCTATTGCTTATTTTTTGTTACTATAAGTAGTAATGACTACTAATTGTAAATAACCTTGCATATGAATAATTGTGCATGTGTGTGAGCAGTAAGCATATCTACAGAAGAGATTCCTAAAGATAATTCCTGGGTTAAAGGACACATACGTTTATAATTTTCCGTAGTATTGGCGATTACTCTGTATAGTATTTCTACCAGTTTATATTCCCACTAAAGGGAGGTTTTGCTGTGGCAATATGTGTTATATATAACAGAGCCAGCTGAGTATTAGAAAATCCCTATAGAAGTATATCCTAACAAAACCTTTCAGAAAATCTCGGTATACCCTCTTATTCTTCTACCAATTGTTATTACTTTTATCAACCCTCGCAAAAAGAACTCATATCCATATTACGTAAAAATAGCTTCCTTCTTCTCGTACAAACTAGCAATAATGTGATCAGAAACATTTTAACCTTATTCTTAGTAGTGACTAAAAGCATGAAGATTGAGATCATGACAGGTGTGGAAGGAGGAGGAGGATTCTAAGTATATTTATGAGAGATAGAAAGTGTGCAGTCAATGACAGGAAGTTTTTAAACCACATACGGCTAAGGCAGTGCGTGTATATCATGATTTTATTTTGTTCTTGTTCAAGCAACTACTTTGTGGTTTCAGTGAGTCAGTGATGCAAGTAGGTTTATAAAAGACTTTCTTAAAGCTGCATGTTGTTATAGAAGGACTTTGTGAAAATACCTTCTCCATCTTTTTCTGTGCACGCCTACATGTGTGTTCTGCATGTTTACATCCTGATATGCAATTACTTGTTTATTCTAAGACATTCCATTATTTTTCTTACTATGGTTGTTATATTAACATCTTCATATTTCTGTGGTCCATGATAAAAAGCCAAAAATGTTTATACACATTTATATACATTTAAAAAAAATAAAACTAGCCATCTTCTTACTATTACTAAACAAGGTATTGCCATGAAAACATGGAAAGGGAAATGGACTATGAACTGTTCTCTCTCGTTTACTTAACAGAGATTCTATTTGTTCATACTCCATGTGAACAAGATTAGAGTCCTTCTTTATTGTTCCTTATAATCTATGCTACGATTAGACATCTATTCAAAGCCTATCAAATCACATGGCTCTATATTAGAAACGATAATTCATTAAATATGGATTCTAGCATCAAAGCCTTCTATCTCTCTGACTCTTGATTTATAAAATATGTGCATTTACAAAGTACAGTGTTATAAATCAATTTATCAAAGTCACTGGATAAAAATATTGTTACTTTTATTCAGATCTCTTTTAAAACTATAATATTTTGATATTTGCTGTTTACTTGTTTGAAGGTCTGTTTTCATGTGATTTTCTGATGCTAAAGGCCATTCCAAAATAGATTCCAAAATAGTTTTTAATTGGAATAAATATGCAATCTCTTAAAGATAGCTACTTTGAAGGCTAATATTCAGTTTGCATTTGTGAGTTCTGATGGAATTCTTATAAACTTTAGATGTCTCTTTTATTAAAATATATATGTAAAATAATTTGCATTCAGTCTTTATAATGTATATTCAATCATAATGTTTATTTTATTTATTCTTCTAAGAAATAGCGTGCCTTCAAAAAAGAAGAAAAACTGTTAAATATCTGAAAAAAAAGCTGTTTCATTTGAAACAGTTTCACCTATCTGTTATAATTGTATATAGCGTCAGGTAAGAAATAAATTTTAGGAATGGGGTGAATATACAGTGATTCCTGGTCCCACTAGCCATTTATTTGTAGCCCTGAACAAGTTATATCAACAACAGTGACTCAGATTCTAAAAATAAAGATGGCCACACCACAACTATCTAATGAAGTTATTTTATATGTGGTTAACTTGGTGCCCTGAACCTCCCAGATGAAAAATAGGATACTGGCATGTCTAATATGGGTAATACCATAGGACTTATAATCTGAGTATGTGAATTAAAGACCTGGCTCCACTACTTATCTGTGCATGCTTGGTTAAGTTAGTTAACCCATCCAAGCCTCTGTCTCCTCATACATAAAATGGACATAGTAGTAGGACTTACCTCCCAGGGCTGTGGTTATAGAGGTTTTGTAAGAATTAAATGACATCATCCATGTAAAGCATATAGCAGAATGCCTGGCACATAGATGCCCTTAGTGAATTTTTGCTGTTGTTGTGATTCTTTTGGGAGCAGTCATAGTAACATATTCTCATATGTTGTTATGTTCTTTCATATTGCATTGTCTTATGAATAGATTCTGGAAACCAAAATGGAGGAAATGATGATAAGACTAAGAATGCTGAGAGGAACTATTTAAATGTTTTACCTGGTAAGTATTTCTTTTTATTTTAAATTACTGTTTTCTTATACCAAAAGATGTTTTATAATGCACACCATAGGAATTTATGTTTTAAATCTATGATTTTAGTATATGTCATTATATCACTTTGAAACAACACTTTGTACCTATATAATACACTTTCACAGACGTTTTCCAGTGTTAAACTTAATTATTTTGTTGGTTTGTTTTGAGACGAAGCCTCGTTCTGTCGCCCAGGCTGGAGCACAGTGGTGCGATCTCAGTTCACTGCAACCTCTGCCACCCGGGTTCAAGCGATTCTCCTGCCTCAGCCTCCTGAGTAGCTGGGACTACAGGCCCACGCCACCGTACCCGGCTACTTTTTTTGTATTTTTTGTAGAGATGGTATTTCACCATGTTGGCCGGGCTGGTCTTGAACTCCTGACCTCAAGTGATCCACCTGCTTCAGCCTCCCAAAGTACTGGGATTACAAGCGTGAGCCACCATGCCCGGCCTAAAAATTATTAATATTATACTAGTACTCACTTTTTTCTAGATCCATAAAAGAAAAATTGCTCAAGAAGTTGCATAAGTTTTATCATTGTTTGCTATTGCAAATTTTCTCTTATACACTATTTCTTAGCTTCTTGAGAAATAAACCAAAAAATTAGTTTTACTCTGAAATATAAACTATACACTTCTCAGCCTTATAGCTAAAATCAAGTGATATATGAACAGTAGTGCACAGAGATATAAACAGTTGAACTTAAATATAAAGAAAATGGATCATCTCATTTATTTTATTTTCATTTCCTCTTACGTTTTTCTGCTTTCCATTTTTCTCCTTTATTATTCTTGAATATGTTGTTTAACAACTGAAAATTCAGTCTCTCAATCCTCTTTCTGATTGAATTCACTCTGATGACCCTTAGTGTTTGTATCACAGAACATAACAAGGACTATTTGTACACTTTATACAATTTTTTAACTAAATGGTACATTTTACAGTTTCAGAAATAGCCATCTCTTGATGGTTTTTTATTCTCCTTTAAGGTAATTTTCTCACATTTTCTTCCCCAGATCTTTGACATGTAGATCACATTAACCTACACACGAAACCGCCGTCACTCAGTGGGAACACATTACATTTAACCTAAGCCAATATTGTACCCATTGCTGGTATTCATCTTGTCAGGCCCCGTCTGTTAGCCTGTGGCCATCAGCCTCGAAATTTCCTCCCACCTTCAGTTATCCCATCTTAGTGGATAATGTTAGCATCACCACATGCTGTTTCCTCCACTGTGTGGAACAGGAGACCATCCTCCTCTTCATCTAAAAATACCTTCAGTGAAGGATCTATTGTATTTCTCTTCATGGATCCACAATTTAAATCATCCAGATTTTGTGGCTTTCTTAAAATTTGCCAATCTTATTACTACTCTGGAAGAACTAATATCTGTTTTTTTTTAAACATAACTCTTTGTTGCTATATGTGTTTCCTTAGTCTTTTTTGGAAAAAGCCTATAGGTTGTTTAACAACTGGAAGTTCAGTCTCTCAGTCCTGTTTCTGATTGAATTCACTCTGATGACCCTTAGTAGTGTTTGTATCACAGAACATAACAAGGACTCTCTTATTTGTATACTTTATCTCTGTATTACAACCAAATCAGGAGGATGTATCATAAGTCTGAGATAGAAAAGGAATATTAAAGTATTCAGTTAGAGATAATAGCATCTTAATTTCCATTTAAAGTATACCTACACAACCAGGATGTTTACAGTAGATGAAAAAAATCTAAATCAAAAATTAATTTAATTTTTAAATTGCAAAGAAAAACAGTTTTATTTATATACTTGTAAGCCAGTCATAGTTTACTTAATAATGATCTAAGTATTTACAGTTTATGTCATCTAATTCTCATAATAACCTTGTAAGGAAAGCAATCAGCATTATTTTTCCCATCTCATACACTAAGTAACAGAGGATCAATAAGTTGAATTGATTTGCCCAAGATCACTCAGCCAATGTGCTAGAAATCACATCTTCTTAACATCCAATCTGGTCCTTTTTCTACTATATCATATTAATTTGATTACTACTGCCAGCCCCATGGCCCCCATTTTATTAATGGGTAAAATTAGGCCAAGAAACAAGTCATTTAAGGTCAAAGAAAGCAGTGCCAATTTGGGGATTAGGAGCACCTGACTTGTTCACTAAGTCATCCTGCTACACTCCTGGATCATGGCCCATATCTCAAGCTATGACTTCCATCATCTGAATTATCAGTAGCGGTTTAGAAGGTAATACACTTCACTGGGCCAGAAGGATATTGTCTTATCATATAGTTCACTGAGTTTCTGATAAGCAGTCTGTGTCTTTTGTTGCCTTCCTAGAAAATTATAACTACACTATTCCTCACGAATTTTCTTTTTTACTGTCACTTTATCCAGTTTATTGTGATATATCTGTTGCTGTCCTTTCTTTAATTTCCTTCTCTGTTTATCTAATTCCTTTATCTTGTTCAAGTTAAAATAAAAAATAAAAAGACCTTTGCCTGGGACCTGTCAGAGGCATCTGTGGATACAGCTGATGCACAGCGGCAACTAGAAATGTTAACCATAGGGCTAAAGTATATTAAGTATTTTAAGTATACTGTATGTTTATAAGTAGATCCTAAGATAATGATGTTGCTGCAAGGGCGAGCAGAATTTGTGAGGGCAAAGGTTAAGAGTGGAAGAGTAGAGATACGCAGACCTTTCCTAGAAGGACTTATCAGAATTTCCAGTGAGGTGTATGTATTGGTAAGAACATATCCTTTCTATGTTTTCTATTTTATTTCTTTATATTGATAGGAACTACAGAAAATACAAGCTGATGAGATTTTTCTTGGCTTGTAGAGCTACACAGAAAAAAGAGTGATGGTAGGAAGCATGGATTTTAATGTTTGAGAAAGACTGCTCCAGCGTTCAGCCTTAAATACTCATTCATTCAACAAATACTTATCGAGTACCTTCTACGTGCCAGGTGCTGTTCTACTTGCTAAAGATAGAACATTTAACAAAATAAAATCCCTATAATTATGGCATGTACACAGTGGTCTCTTTAACATAATATGTACATAAAAGAATTTCAGTGCTAAGAAGAAAATAAAACCGAATAAGGTGAAAGAGTAAAGGGTGGAGGAGACCACTAGTACATAGGATAGTCAAGGAAGACCTTTCTGAGGAGGTGACTTTTGATCTGAGATGTGATTGATGAAAAGAAGTCAGCCCTGTGAGAATCTTGGAGAAGAGTCCTCCAGGCAGCAGCCCTGAATTGGAAACAAGCTCTGCATGTTTGAAGAACTAAACAAAAGCATATGTAACTGGAGTGAGGAAAGAGTGAGACAAGATGATGTTGGAGAGAGACGCAGGGTCCAAGTCATCTTGGCCTTCTAGACTAGTGGTCCCCAACGTTTTTGGCACCAGCACCAGGGACCAGTTTCATGGAAGACAGTTTTCCACAGACCGGGGGTTGGGGAGGTTTGAGGATGATTGAAGTGCATTACATTTATTGTGTACTTTATTTCTATTATTATTACATTTCAATATTTAATGAAATAATTACACAAGTCACTGTAATATAGAATCAGTGGGAGCCCTGAGCTTGTTTTCCTGCAACTGGATGATCCCATCTAGGGGTGATGGGAGACAGTGACAGATCATCAGGCATTAGAATCTCATAAGGAGCACGCAACCTAGATCCCTCGCATGCACAGTTCACAATAGGGTTCGTGCTCCTGTGAGAATCTAATGCTGCCACTGATCTGACAGGAGGCGGAACTCAGGCAGTAATGTGAGCAGTGAGGAGCGGCTGTAAATACAGATGAAGCTTCACTTGCTTGCTGGCTGCTCACCTCCCACTATGCAGCCCGGTTCCTAACAGGTGATGGACGGTGCCAGTCCATGAGGGACCCTTGTTCTAGACCACGATAAAGAGTAGGGATTTTAAGTAGGGGAGAGATATAATATGATATATATTTAAGTCATAACTGCATGAAGAATTGGTATGTAGGTGGACAAGTAGGGAGTAAGGAGATCGATTAAGAGAATGTTACAAAAACCTAGGTGAGAAATTACAGTAGCATGAACTGGGGTGACACCAATGAAAGTGGAATACTCAGATGTGGGCTGTTCTGGAGATAGAACTGAAAATAGTTGGTGGTAGATTGGATTGTGGATGGGGTGATAGGCATTGAGGGAAAGCAAAGGAATTAAGGACACCTATCTTTGTGTCCTGGGCAACTAACTGGACAGATTGGTCTCATAAGTTGAGATGAGGAACAGCAGATTTAGGGCACGTAAAAAACAAGTAACCTTTTTTACATGTTAAATTTGACATTTTAGGCTGGGCACGGTGGCCCACGCCTGTAATCCCAGCACTTTGGGAGGCCAAGGCGGGCGGATCATGAGGTCAGGAGATGGAGGCCATCCTAGCCAACATGGTGAAACCCCATCTCTACTAAAAATACAAAAATTAGCTGGGCATGATGGCACATGCCTGTAATCCCAGCTACTCGAGAGGCTGAGGCAGGAGAATTGCTTGAACCAGGGAGTCGGAGGTTGCAGTGAGCCAAGATGGTGCCACTGCACTCCAGCTTGGTGACAGAGTAAGACTCCATGTCAAAATTAATTAATTAATTAATTAATTTGACATCTTGGGCATGTACATCAAAATAAAGATGAGTACTCATTTGATTTATTTACTACTTGGTGGTCACTTCATACCAATTTATGAACCTATTGCATAATTGGCTATTGTCTCTTATTTTCATTACCTTCTCTCTGAGAATTGAAGAGCAGTAATCACAGTTGCTTCCTGAATCCAGTAAATGTTTGGGATACACCCCTACTAGTTCAACACATTGATTGCCCATTACACTTACTTATAAAGCCCATTGATGAATGTGACTTACTTAGGCATTTGGTAATCATGATTGTATTTATTGTTCACAGGGGAATTTTATATTACACGGCATTCTAATCTCTCAGAAATCCATGTTGCTTTCCATCTCTGTGTGGATGACCATGTGAAATCGGGAAACATCACTGCTCGTGATCCTGCCATTATGGGACTCCGAAATATACTCAAAGTTTGCTGTACCCATGACATCACAACAATAAGCATTCCTCTCTTGCTGGTACATGATATGTCAGAGGTAAGCAGATAGAAAAATCCTGTAATTTTATGATTTACATAATCATAATATTGATTTAACCCCCAATATTATATAATAATCCACTTTACATTTTTTTAAACTAATGGATTTTTGCATCTCCGATCTGGTTAGTAGAATCGAGTGAAATATAATACAAATTGGTGAATAATCCTTAACCATTTATGTTCAGAGAGCTATAGCATTGTCCTATAGTAAATAAACTAGAAAATCCAAATAATACTTAGCTTTGGATAAGGCATGTGCCCCTACACCTCTTTCTCCTCCTTTTTTTCCTCCTCTTCCCTGTCTTCCTTCTCCCCTACCCCCTCTTCTTACCCCTCTTTCTTCTTTTTGGCTTAAGTAGCATTAGATTTACATACACATAGATTTGGCTTAGGCTGCCATGAAAATTAGTCTGCATTTTCTGAGTTTGCATTAATAGGTATTGGGAAGAGATGCTAGATGACAGGAAGAAGCCAGCCTTAGTTTAACATTTGTCTCAAGGGTTCCTTTTAGCTAATACAGTTCTGCAATTAGGATGTAGCATGATCATTCTTCCATTTTGTTACGGACTATAATTTAATTTTTAACAGTCTTTTTCCATGAATGGTTTTCCTCTTTCTTCCTTCACCCACATAGAAACTGGTTAGAAGGCATACATTGTAGAAATAATATAAAGACTAAAATTCAGCTTTACATAGTCTGGAGAAACAAATGAGCCTCAAGCCAAACAGGTCCAGACAAGTCATAGGAGAGCCAGTGCTCAACTTGGTGATGAAGGGCTACTATCAGCAACTCTGTGCCTGCTTATTTTGAGGAGGCATTTTTTAAAAAGCAGAGTTGGCACCTGTAGTCCCAGCTACTCCCAGGACTGAGGCAGGAAGATTGTTTTAGCCCAGAGTTCAAGACCAGCCTGAGCAACATGGTGAAACTGTATCTCTTAAATAAATCACTGACTGGGAAGCAGAGATTGTGATTGTCAGGAAAGAAGTTTGATTATTGATTATAAATAGCTATTTACCAAAAGAAAAATGCTATATTGTAAAGGACAGTGTAAAAGATTTTATGTTTTACTTTTTAGACTAAGTCCCTACTTAGATTCATTATATTACAGGGGCCTCATTTTAAATTTCATATCCTGTATAACAGGGCTCCCAAACTGCCAGGCCAAGAACCTGCCACACAGCAGGAGGTGAGCATTGAAGGGCAAGCATTACTGCCTGAGCTCTGCCTCCTGTCAGATCAGCAGCCACATTAGACTGTCATAGGAGCGTGAACCCTATTGTGAACTGCGTGTGCGAGGGAGCTAGGTTGCGTGCTCCTTTTGAGAATCTAATGCCTGATGATCTGAGGTGGAACAGTTTCATCCTGAAACCATCCCTGCTATCCCCACCCTCACCCCCAACTCCAGTCTGTGGAAAAATTGACTTCCGTGAAACTGGTTCCTGGTGCCAAAAAGGTTGGGGCCTGCTGCTATATAAACACAAAAAAATAATTCTTGTCCTTCCGAGACAGGGTGATTTTCAGTGATTTCCCATTTATAATCTATGCTGGTATAGTTTTACCAGGCACGTTGTTGTTTTGATTAGGAGAATCCTGGTACTATCCTATGAAAGCTTCATCAGACTTACTAATTTCTCATTCCATTCACTTCTGTAGCCTCAGTCATACCTAATATGGTATCAAGAGAGATGGACAAACATTTTTTTCCCTACTGTAGCTTTATAAAGTTTTAGTTCCATCAGGAATTTTTAGCTATTGTTAAATCATCATCACTAACTAGTCTATCTATAAAAGGGTCTTTGGGGAGTAACAAAGTTTATGATGAATTCCTACCACAAGAAATTCATCCAAACATTCCTGCAGCTGGACTCCTGGTTAGCCAGTTTATAAAAATGGTTATATGTAGGTGGGAAACAGCCTCAAAAACAGTGTTTCCAAAAGTCACTAAGTTCAGATTTTCTTCCAGACATCTGATACTACTAGCATTCCCTCTCCCACAATGTTACAAAAGTTACATGTTTTAAATTGGGAAGGCCAGCTGCAGAACATTAAGTTTGTTTCCAAAGTGTCCAATTTAATTCACAAAAGTATATTGAGCTATGATTCTCCCATTTGTTGTATTTAAACATCCATTCAGGTCAAGAAGTTTACTCTATAAACTCAGACAACACTACACAGGATATAGAGGTAATATTGTTTTAGCTTTGGTGCAAGCATCCCGAAGCATTTTCAGGTGTCATTTTCCTCTTCTAACAGAATTGTTAGACACTCAGTTACCATGTTTTAGTGTGTGCAAGAAAATGAAGATGACTGAAACAGCCCATGTCCTATGTCAGATAAAAGAGCTATAGAAATTAATTGCAGTTTAAAAAGAATAAAGGAAAAATAACCTATCAGCAAGAAGAAAGACGTATCAGTTTTATCTCAATAGATCTTTGTGATCTGAAGATACTGTCTTATTGGAGTCAGTCTTATGGAATGAGGAGCTGCAAGCCAAGAATACTGAATTCTCAACTTCCTTTTATTTTTGCTGTTAACTTGTTGAATAATTTGGGGCTTACCAAATTATTTAGTTTTGTAACTGTTGGTTACTAATGAAGATTTTGTTGTTTGTTTTTAACTTCTTTATTGGAGTATAACACACGTATAGAAAGGTACACATAGGTACGCAGCTCAACTTTTCATAGACTGAACACCCATATATAACATATATGCAGATGATGAAATGGAACATGACCAGCACCCAGCAGCCACCTCCCTTTTAGTCAGTTAAACCACACTCCCTCCTCAAGGGTAGCCACTGTTTTCATCTCAAAAATTATGGATTAGTTGGGCTTGCTTTTGCTGTTTATCTTATATCTGGCTTCTTTCGTTCAATATTATGTTTGTGAGATCTATCCATAATATTGTGCATGGTTATAGATTGTTCATTGTTATTGTTATATATTATTGTGTGACTAGACCACAGTTATTTATACATTCTACTATTTGTGGACATTTGGGTAGTTTCTCCAGATTTTTATTGTTATGAGTAGTATTGCTATGAACATTCCAACAGACATCTTTTGACATTTCTGTTGAGAATTAGCTTGTCAAAATACTTAGGGATAGAATTGTTAGGTCTCAGGGTATATTTATGTTTAGCTTTGGTAGATATGCCAAATAGTTTTTCAAAGTGGTTGTACCTATGCTGTTATATTGAATGCGAAAAATAAGAAATAAAGCCAAACTATTTCTCATCTTCTGCTAAGGACTGTGAAACTTATTAACACAAGTGTTTCAAGTACCTCAGAGGCACATACTTGAGAAGTAAAGAATAATCTTGGATATTCCCCATTGGAGCATAAACTCAGATAATAATTCTTATATCTGAATTCCAAGACATACAGTGAAGACTTCAAAAGAACATACTGGCTAACTCTGCAGTTCAGCCTTACCCTAATGAGAGGATTCAAGTTGAGTAACAGTGAGCTTTAGATAGAAGGCGTTGTCTCAGTTATAGTCAGAACTGAGATTTCAATTTCATTTTCATAGGTTTAGAATCTTCTTTGCACATGTCATCTAAAGTGTGACAGTAGGGCCCAATTTTTGGCCAGTTATAAAGTCTATAGTGTTTCACCTGATCCTTCCAGCTTCATTGGATTTCTCTAACAGTGCATTCTCACAGGCATGTTACTAAGATTTAGTCACTTTTCCATTATTTAGAACTTATGATCAAAAACTTTCTGTACTGTTACCTGGCCCACTATGTTGTCTATACCATCTATTATATCATATATACTAAGATTTGTTTCCAGAAGTGAGCTCCTTGTGAAACTGCTGACCACAACTCATGGTGACATTGAATAAGTCATTCTTCTCATGACCTTATTGAATTCTAAAGCTCACAGTTTACTTTTTCTAAGTACCCAAAGCCATTCTTTTTAGGTGCTGGTTTTAATCAGAGACAAAAGGACAGGATTAAAAAACCTTGCAAGCATCTATCTTAAGCTAACGGTGGAGTCTCTATGGAGGCACATGGAAGATTTGAAAACAACTCAGACGTATGTGTGTGTGTGTTTGTGTGCGTGCACATGCATATACAGGTAGCTGTCTAGTTTCCTCTTAGAGTCATACGCTGCTAAGTGGCATTAAGTTAAAGTATACTGAATATGAGAGTTTATATCATCTGAGAATTAAATTTATTTTTAAAATATGTCCGTCACTTCAAAGATTTGCTAGGGTCCTGTCACAAATTGGTATTTTGGTATATTCTCTAAATAGCATTGATGAAATTTTGTCATTAATTCATACCAAATTCTGAAAAGTGTGAAGTTCTTAATTTGTATCACAAATACTTGCTCTAGACCATGCTATTAATCACACATATACACAAAGCAAGAAAGCAGGGTATTAATGAGGAAAACGTGATGACCTTTGGACAAGTGGGACAACGAACTTCATTACTCTTCCCCTACCTACTTTTGGTCATACCATTTAACCCATCCCTATTTTAACTTGCGTTACAATCTTTCATTATTACCATTAGTATCCTAATTTTAATGCATTGGAATAATATGTATTCTATTTGTGGGTATTCAAAACTAGCCCTTCAATAAGCTCTATGCTTACAGTTCACATTAGTTGTCCTCCTGTGACTAGTGGTGCTTAGACTTGACCTTAGCCTGAAATAATTCAAGGCTAATCATAGATGTCAGTAAATTCTGGATTATAAGAAAAGTTACTGTCAGAAAATGCTTTTTTATATTTAAAAATGAGTGCTTCATTAAAACAGTATAAATAGTACTAATTCCTTGATTCTGATTACTATCATAGTATTTCAAAAAATGATTGGTTTTAGAGTAATATTTTAAGATGATACAAATAGTTATACAATAGTATTTATTCCTACATGTGGGTTCTTGAATAAAATGTTTAACGTAAGTGAATAAGTAGGTCCTTAATGAAATTAGATGCCGTGAATGAGAATCAGCAGAAACAACTGAACATAAAAACAGATGCACAAAGACTTGAAGCACTGGAATTATAAAACACAGACCATACAATAGTTGATTACTGTGTTTAAAGAACTGAAGACAAGCTTGAAATGCCTTCAAGTAAAAAGATGTTATGAAAAGTGATCTGGCAACTATAAAACATTGCTGAGAGATATTTTAAAAGACCTAAATAAATGGAAATATATCCCGTACTCATGGATTGGAACACTCAATATTGTCAAGATAATAGTTCTAAAATTGATCTATAGATTTAAATCTCAATTGGAATTCTTATAAGGTAATTTTGAGATTTTGACAAGCTAATTCTAAAATGTATATGGAAATGCACAGGACCTGAAACAGCCAAAACAATTTTGAAAAAGAACAAAGTTAAAGAACTTACACTAACTAATTTCAGAACCTGCTATGAAGTTACAGTAATCAGTGCAATGTGATATTGGCAAAAGAATAGACTGTGGATCAGAAAACAGAATAAAGCATCCAGACATAAATCCATACATATATGGTCATTTGATCTCCAGCAAAGATGCCAAGGCAATGCAGTGGGAGAAAGGATAATCTTTTCAGTGTTGTTGAAACAACTGGGTATTCGTATAGAAAAGACAATCGTAACCCTTACATTATATCATATATAAAAATTAATTTAAAATGGATCAGACCTAAACAAAAGAGCTAATATTATAATGCTTCTAGAGGAAAACATAAAAGAAAATCCTGATGACATCAGGTTAAGCAGGTTAAAATTTGTTAGGCCACAAAGGCATAAGCCATAAAAGACGAACGTAATAAATTATATTTTAAAATTCAAAACTTTAGCTCATCAAAAGATGCTATTAAGAAAATGAAAATTCAAGCCTCAGGCTGTCACATAAGCAATTCGCTGTACCTCTCTGAGCATCTTTTTTTTTTAAATTTATAAAGGTTATTTTTGTTAGATTATTTATATTGTAAAGTTCCATGTAAACATAAGACATTATTATTGTAGTTTTTAGAGCCATCAGCATTGCTCCGTAGCGGTAGACATTTATTTATTTATTTATTTTTTGAGACGGAGTCCTGCTCTGTTACCCAGGCTGGAGTACAGTGGCGTGATCTCAGCTCACTGCAACCTCCGTCTTGCAGGTTCAAGCAATTCTCCTGCCTCATCCTCCCAAGTAGCTGGGATTACAGGCGCCCACCATCATGCCCAGCTAATTTTTGTATTTTTAGTAGAGACGGGGTTTCACCACGTTGGCCAGGCTGGTCTCGAACTTCTGACCTCAGATGATCCGCCTGCCTCGGCCTCCCAAAGTGCTGGGATTACAGGTGTGAGCCACCACTCCCGGCCAGCTGTAGACATTTCTTAGTCACCTCGTTCTCTCTGTACATCATCTTTTCACTAGGAGGAAGTAATACAAAAAAACCAAACACTTGTCCCTCCATGCATGTGTGTACTCCATAAGACCACTGTAGCTCTTTTGTAGCAGCCTTTGCAGTTAGAAGGAAATACTCTTCTTTCTGTGAACTTTGAAGCCAAAGTGTTATAACTTAAAGTGGAATATCAGAAAATTCTAGTGAATTTTTAGAAGCTTCCAGAACCTAACCCAAGAGGATTCTTTACTTTTTAGCCAACTAAAAAACTAGACCTTTCTTTAATCAATCTTAAAACAAAGTGTCTTGGACACAAATTTAAAAGTAGCTTCCTATTAAACCCTATTTCTGGCTACAGAGAAAGTCACATTCTTTTTAAATGTCCATGGATAAAAGCTAATTCACTCAACCTATGTTTTTGAGCATGTGTATTGCTCAGTATTATAGAAGGCATTGTAAAGGTAATAAGGGTGAATAAAAAGTGGCTTCTACCTTCAGAGAGCACACAACTTAATCAAGAAGAGAAAGAATAAATCCCATTCTTCTGCCCATTCCTCTGCCCTCCTCCCCAAAAACGACAGGATAAAAATGTGAGCATTGAGATAAAAGAACAGTAAAGTACTTTGGGAGTTCAGAAAATGGAGACATATTTGTAGCTGGAAAAATAGGAAATACTGTATGGAGGAGATGGCAATTAAGCTGGACATTGAAAAATGAAGATCAGGTTCAATAGATGGAATTACCGAGAAGGGCATTGTAGGTAGAAGAAACAGATTGAGGAAAAATGGAGGGAGGTGGGTGACAGGCATTGCAGACCATGTTTAGGCAAATGTGAGCAGATATACTTGAATGAAACCTTCATTTTTAAAAATTTAAAAGTCACAGAAGCTTAAAGTAGCTTTGGCTTTAAAGTATGTAGCCTTAAATAGTAAAAGAAAGGCTTACATATTATGTGTGAGACAGTAGGAAGCAATTGTAAGTTCTTAAAACAGGAGTATAATATGATCAGAAATGTACTTAAAATAGCCAAAATTAGTGGTTTAGAGGGGAAACACTAGAATTCAGGACACTAGATAGGAAGCCATAGTGGTAACTAGCCTTGAGGTCACAAAGACCTTCAGAGATAGGTGAAGAACTGGAATAATTTGATGCTATATCAGCCCCAGGGCAGAGGGGGGGAAATGTCATGAAGAAAAGGAGTGGTCCTAAGGTATGTGAATTACAACAATAGGTAAACGGCAATTAGAATAAGACTGAGAAAAGGTTTGGTAATTAATAATCATTGATGATGTCACGTAAAGAATTTTCAGTTGAGTGATGGGATGGAAGCCTACTTACAAAAGATGAAAGACTGAGTAGTTGGTAAGGAAGACATTATTTGCCTTTTTATTCTTATTCTTGCACGGGTGTCCAGTGAGTTTTTCAGAAGCTACGTGCTGTGTGATAATATAACAGATTGAATGCAGAGACAGATATCAGAATCCAGATATCTTCTGTTAGGCTAGGCCTTAATGAGATTTGCAGAAATTTAAAACATTATTACACTTACTAAAATTTTTTTTGTTTTAGAAAATAGTTATTTTTCATTAAAATGTTATTTATATTAACATGAATGGGTTTATTATTTTTAAATTAATGTTTTCTTAGTTTTAATTCTGAATGCAATAAATATCAAGAGATATAATCTACATAAAGAAAAGCTCATTGGAATCCTCAGTGATTTAAAAAAAAATTTTTTTAGAGCAAGGGTCTCACTCTGTTGCCCAGGTGGACTTGAACTCTTGGACTCAAGCAATCCTCCTGCTTCAACCTCTCAAGTAGCTGGGACTACAAATGTGCACTGTTGCACCAGGCTAATATTTAAGAGTGCAAAAGATCCTGAGACCCGCAAAGTTTGAGAATCACAATAGTGAAATAATCTACATGTTTTATAGTTATAATTATGAAGATTTAGGGAAAAACAATTCTGGTGTTTGTGAAGGGGGACAGATTTTTAAATGGCATACGCGCTAATCATACTGTGGAAGATTATCAGTGTTTTGGTTATAGACTAACAGTGACACTTACGTCCATATTTGACTGAAGATTAGAAAGTAACATAGAAAAATGAATGCATTTGTTTTGTTAGGTGGCTGGGATGGGGCATTTGTTTATTTCCACTCATTTGTAATAATGTATTATACAGTAAAAACATTTTATTGCTTATGCAAATATACAGTGCAATAGAATTATTCATGCTAACATTGAGAGTAGTAGGTAGAGTTCCTATGTCATTTATATTTGTCTTTAGAATTATCCAGAAAAATTAAGGATATATATATTTTTTAACTGTATTTAGGGGGCTAACTAAATTAGTTTGTATTCCACAAGTATAGTCTAACAGCTGGAAGAAGCTGCATGCCTAAAAACTAGAGGAAATCCAGTTGGGATTAGCAAACAGTTACCTAAATCTGTTCACAACATGGATAGTCAACACTATAGATAAAGATCTGACTTTATTTTTTATACAAAGTTCTATCAAAAACATATCTTATGTTTTGTTTCTGTTTTTAGGAAATGACTATACCCTGGTGCTTAAGGAGAGCGGAACTTGTGTTCAAGTGTGTCAAAGGTGAGCATAATCTTCTCTCTGACAACCACCACCTGTATTTCCTCCCAAACATTGAAAGTAGAGCAACCCAGAAGAGAGAATGTGAAAGATACCCCTGTAATCTAGTGCCTCAGTTAGATAGTTTAGCAAGCAAATATTTCATAATAGACTTTTTTAGTTTTATTTTTCTAGTCACAAAATAAGTCTCCAGCCCCTTTGAAATACAAGGCTATTTGGACATTATTTACATTTTGTTCTGCTGCCAGCTTGCTATTACCTTTATTCTCTTAAAAAGAAAAAAAATAGAGCCACATATTTATTAACTTTTAATAAACTATCTTGGCTTCATTGTATGGAGACTAAATTTGATTTGAGAAATCATAAATAAGAGCATGTTGACAAAACTCTGTTAAACCTCTCTGGCATGAAGAATTAGGAATTGCAAACATTTATCTGTCCTTTAGGTGTAGCCTATCCTACGAGCAAATGGCTACCTAAAAAGTCAAGACATGAAGCCCCACAGTGAAAATTCAGTTAATTTCAGTAAGTGACTGGTAGGTTTGAAGGCCAGAACTTGTCATGCAGCAACATCTGTTTTTCTATTTTAGGTTTCATGATGGAAATGGCTTCATGGGATGGAGGAATTTCTAGGACAGTGCAATTTCTAGTACCACAGGTATGTTATCTGAATAGATCTCACCCCAATTTAATCTCTTTTATTAGATTTCTCACAGATACAGCTAGGCATCCTGCCCTAAAATCCCAAAAACAACACAAAAGGCTAATCGCTTTCTGTTTTTTAAGGAGAGAAGTATTTGGATGTGATAAAGGCACTTAGTGTATTGTCAAAGATATTAGCATCTACCACTCAAGGGATTTGTTACTTAACCCCTGAACAAAACTTGACTCATCATTCCTTTGTTTTTCTCCACATTTGTATTATATAGATTATAAAGGGTTCTTAAATAAGGACATTAGCAGATAATGATTCTGTATTCTGTGAAGAACTTAGCAAAATTAGTGGTTTTTTATTACTGATTACACTAGTGTTATCTAGAGGTTTTTCTATTACTCAAACGTATTATTTGACAGAAATGACATAAGTTCTCAGAAGATGGAGCCGGAAAACCAGCCCTTGTCCATGGCCATGCAGTTACATCGGCCATGAAAGATAATTTTCACCTACTGCACTCACATATTCCTAGTAGAACTAGGTCCATATTTTAAAATACTTCTAAAATTATTTTTAAAATCAATGATGATTTAACAAGTGCAATTATTATTTTTTCGTCTTACAGAGTATTTCTGAAGAAATGTTTTATCAACTTAGTAACATGCTTCCCCAGATCTTCCGAGTATCATCAACACTCACTCTGACATCCAAGCACTAAACCCTTATAGATTGACATGCTGGCAGAAGATGATTGTTAAACTCTCCAGGAACTTGTGCTATGCTGGGAATCTGTCAAGCAAAAGATGCCCAGAAAGAGAACTTGCAGCTCAATCCACAAATCAAGATACATGTGTGTGAAACCATTCCAAAAATTTATATACTGCACAAACTGGTGATCAACCCCTAACTTAAACACTTAAAGTCTCTTTATGAATTTCTCTTTTTTTCTTCTCTGTGTTACCTGTGAATATTAGTAATCTAAAACTTTTTATTTATCACACATGGACACTTGGGAAAGGAAACTTGATTATATTTACATGGAGGCATTTGACTTTTTCAAGAGGCTTGACTCGTCTCAGGTGCAATCCTTAATTAAACATACAAACAAAATTTTCCTTTTACTTTCTTTGCCAAAACAAAATGTAAAAGCACTGAAATATACATTGCAAGTACAAATTTCCTGTGAAAATCTTTTTATAGAAACACAAATGTATAAGACAAATGTGCTTGTTCTTTTAAATTCTCCTGTTTCAGAATCTCTTTTTAATCTACTCCTAAGGATGTACAAGTTAGAGTCAGAAGACGTTTTGGATTTTTTCCCTCTCTCTCATCCTCCCGCTGTGCCCTTGCACTTGCATATTAATAACATTTCATGGACTGGGAAATAGTGTTCTTTTTTGCAAGCTTGATGTCAAGTTAGTCTAAACCAGCACCTGGCAGTATTTTAGTGCTCATCAACATTGTGACAATCACACAAGGAAGATCATTTCTACATTTCTGTCCTCCCTGCGTTCTCAGCTTGCTTAACCATTCCTCTACCTCTTGCATTTTTTTGCGGATAAATGTATCCCCATTTCTGCTTCTCTGTTTCCCCTCCTTTTCCATTGTTTTTCCTTATGGTACTACTTTCTCAGGTGCTACATATCATATATTTGTCCCATCTATAACATATTTAAATGCTATAAGTAGTAACTCCATTAAACAAAGGCATTTACAAAAGCACACAGGTGTTTAGAAAAGCAATAGTTTCATCAATTCCAAGTTATGTGGATATTGTAACTGGCCACAAGAATGAAATGGAGGGCATTTGGTGTCATAAGATGGCATGTCTTGATGACAAGAAACAAAACGCCCTTCATTAATATGCCTCAGTGTAATAACTATTATAGAAACTGTTGGCAAGCAGAGTGCTTTCCTATAACAGAATGTGTCTTAATTTTCTACTCGAGGGAAAGGTTTGTCCAGGTAACAACACTAAAGACAACCCTAAGAACACCCACTCCAGCAGTATGTCCATTAGACACTAAAACTCTCCAAATTATTTGTCAGGGAGCCTGGCGATTCTGCCAAGAAGGCAGGTGTTTTGCCCTTAGAGCCTATACAGTTCTCTTGGAGAAATTGTCTTTCAGGCACCACTGTTAATCACTGAGACTGATTCTAATGCAAAGCAGGGAAGACAGAGGCAGAAACCAGGAGAGTGGTAGATCAGTGCAGCCCAGATATCGGAATGGAGGAGCAAAGTTTCATTCACGGATGTTTGTTGAATGCTGCTGCCCAACTCTTCCTTTGTCACCTCTAGGCTATTCCACTAAGTTACTTATAAACTGGTGGCTTTAACTGAGGGCTGTGTAAAGGTACTATTTGGCATGTGAAGTCAGGATAAATTTATCGAATGTCCGTTTTCCACATGCAACTGTGTTACAGAAGTAGTAAAATTGGAAGAATCATGTTTATGGTGTTACCACTGATGGAAACACACAAACACCAAGCTAATAATAAATATATAACTTAAAAAGCTAATTATATGCACTGAAATGGTGGGAATTTTAGTGATGCAGTAATTGAGGAGTCTGGAGTTTTGTATTTGGACCAAGAATTATGAGATGAGGATCTTTTTCTGAGTGTTCTAAAGGGCTTCTTGAGGGGGAGTGGTTTAAAGCACTTCATGAATGATGTGAAGAAGGTACCTTGGGCTGAGACAGCATTCTAGGTACAGATGGCACTCTGTTCAACCAACTGTGGATGGAAAATATTCTGAAAAAAAATACAATAAAAATTTTAAAAATACAATATAACATCTGTTTACATGGCATTTACATTGTATTTGGTATAAGTAATGTATAGACGGATTAAGTATATGGGAGGCTGTGTGTAGGTTGTATGCAATTACTACACCACTTTATATGAGACTGGAGCATCCAGGGATATTGATATTGGCAGGGGGTCTGGAACCAGTCTCCTGCAGATACCAAGGGACAACTGAGTAAGGCGCAGATAGGAGCAGAAGCAGAATGGAGGCAGTGGTAAATGGCCAGTAAGTTGAGAGGAGCTGACCACGAGAGTCTTTGAGGATGGGGAGATTAGCACAAACATTGACATTGGTGAGGATTGTGAGTTAGAAGTTTTCTATTTGTATAAACAGTTACATATTCCTAAATGGCCCTCAAGGCCTTAAGAGTGTGCTTTGGAAATCAGGCAGAGGCACTGAACCTGAGGTCTCCATTCTGTGCTGCTCTTTCCCCCCCTTCCCCCATTTCTGCTCTCGAAGCACCACACAAGCAAAGCCATTGATCTAGAAGTGTGGCACCAGCTGTTTCTCAGCATGACAGTGTGACCAGAATGGAAGAAATGCATGAAAAAGAATTTCAGCGGGAAGAAACTGAGCTTGCCTGGGAGTTGGCAGATCTCTTATTGGCACAGTACACACCATCATTTGTGTTACTTCAGTTGGATCCTGGCTAATTCTCACAAGAAGAAAACATGTTTCACAAAAGAAAGATGAAATCACAGAAACATTTCTTTTCTAGAGGCTCTAAGGGAGAATTCACAGAACTGTAGAAAGAACCCACTAAAGTTAGAGACGAGCCTCAGGCCTATTTTTCAGTTTCTTTTTATTTTCTATTTTTCAGTTTCTAGGTGAAAATGGCTGCTTTTCTGTGACTTAAGTTTTTCCATTTATATGAAGTGGGACTGATTTGCTCAGTAGGAGTAATAGAAGTATAAAAATCATAAATGTGAAGCAAAAAGAATACAACACCTATTTGGAAAAAGTACCATGTTTTCAGGACCTTTTAAATCAGTGATTTTCTATCCTTTGTTCAAGAATCTTTCATTATCCATCACATCTTTGCCCGAAATGTTTTGAGAACATAAACAATTGGAATTATTTGAGCAATCTTTTTTACTAAATCAAAGACAGGTATGTCTGGAGAGAAGCTTCTGATTAGCAAATGGTACATAGTATTATCACCTACAATTATCACTGTGCATTCTCATGCCTAGTATTACCACATAAAATGCATAGAATTATCATTGTGTAATTCCAGGCAAACTTGCAAAAACAAAGCCTTGGTGTTTGACTTAACCTGTGGGACATCATCCAAGTGAAATGTATTTTTTGAGAGATTCTTTATAGCTCAATATCTTAAAGGATCACTAATTCCAGGAACCCCAAGCTGGGAACCACAACCTTGGGCAGAAATATTTACATGAGAATATGTTACAAAGGGACGGCAGAGATCAAGAAAACATAAATAGCAGATTGACCCTGAGAATCTCGTTCAATAAACAGCCAGTGTTTACTGAGTTTCTTCTATACACAAAGGCATAGTGCAAGCAAGATTCAGCCCCTAGAAGGTTATACAAAGGCAATGGGACTTGTAAAGACAGAAGACTTGGCGGGCTTTTCTGTAATCTGTGATGCTGATGATCTCTAATAACTAAAATAAAATTTCAGCTAAAGCAGGGGAAAGGAGGAGTAACCTCCTGAGGTGCCTGCAGGACCAATATGTGCTTATAATGTCCTATTTAAATATACACAGATAAAATTACCATATACTTCAGTTCTCTCTTGCGGTTCATTTCCTGTTTTCCTACAGGAAAATGGTTCTGGATATGTCCAAATCGAAGACATATGAGGCTTTCTCATATATCCAAATCTAAGGCTGGCTGAACTTCATACTATATACAGTCAATCCTCATTAGTTGAAGATACCATATTTATGCAATCACCTATTCACTAAAATTTATTTGTAACTCCGAAATTGTTAAAGACATTTACAAAAGCATACAGTCATTTACAAAGACAATAGATTCATCACCCCAAAGTCACGTAGATGTTGTAACTGGCCAATAGAATAAAAAGCAGGGCCTTTGGCAGCACTTTCAGGTTATCTGTGGACATGTTCAGAGCACCAAAATGTTTGAGTCGCCCAACACATATGTTCCCAGCTCAGATGGAGCAAGGTGATGCTCTGCTGCCTTATTTTAGCTTTCATAGTGCAAATAAATGTCCCTTTCATGGGTCTGTTTAGCACCATGTTTTTTTTTCCATTGCTTTGTGGTGATTTTGTTGTTCAAAATGGTCCAAGTGTAGTGCTCAAGTGCTATCTGGTGTTCCCAAGTGCAAGAAGGTTGTGATGTCCCTGATGAAGACAACGCATGTCTAGATAAGCTCTGTCCAGGTAGGCAATGTAGTGCTGTTGGTCAAAAGTTCAATGATAATGAATCAGTGATGGGTATTAAATAAGGTGTCTTTCAACAGTAGCACACATAAAACAAGATTATATCTTGATGGGCTGATGAGACTGTTGTGGTCAGAGCCTTGCAGGAATTTAACTCTCTGTCTCCCTTGGGAGCAATGATTTAGTATTCACTAATTCAGGGTTCACAGCATCTTTATCGAACATAACTACTGTGAACTGTGAGAGTCGACTGTATGTGTCTTCTCTCACCGGCAAGAGGGTGCAAGAGCTATTCGTAGATATTTTTGGTGCATAGAGAATGAAACCTGGAACACGTTACCAAAGAAGCAAACAGATCCTTTCTTGACATGTTCAGGAATTAAGCAGAAACTGTACTGTCATCTGTCATACGTTAGGTGTGACATCTGCAGGAGGAGAATGTACTGATGCATGTCTCCTCCTTTCTCCCTAGCCTTCTCTCCTTTTCTTTCTTTATAATAAATTCTCATTTCCTGGTATCAGCTCATCTGTGCTCAAAAGTCTCTACTCTGAGCAACAATATAACATCAGAGATCAGGAACATAGTCTCTAAAGTTAAGCCTGATTCAAATGCTGACTCCTCAGTTTATTTGCTGTGGCTTGTTACATCGGGCATATTACCTAATCCCGTTAAGCATGTTTCCTCATCTGTAAGCTAGGGAAAATTAATAATAGTATCTACCTCATTGAGTGGTTGGAAGGATTGCATAAGAAGGGCACATTACCTGGCATATAGTCATCCTATAAATATTTGCTGCTATTATCCTTCCTTCCTTCATTCCTTCCTGTCTCCTCCTTCCTTTCTTCCTGTCTGACCTTTCTCCTTCTTCCCTTTCTTCCTTTCACTAGATAGAAGGGATGCTAAGTCACTTAAGACACCGTGTCCTCAAGAAGCTTACAGCCCAATTGAGTTGGTAGGAAAACACACAGTAACCACAGTACCAGCTAGCATATACTAGAGGTATACAGTCAGTGCAGAAAAAAGCATACACAGAGTGCTATGGAAGTCAAAATAGAAACATTAGCATACGTTGGGCCAAGAGAGATGTTGAGCCTCTTGAAAGCAGACTGCTTATCCCTGCCTTTCTCTGGCACTGAGTGAGTATCCTCTGAACCCTCATTATTCTCAACAGGTGAAGCACAAATCCTCCTGGCAGATGGGAAGAATGCCACCTGTGCCAGCAATGGCAACAACTTCAGATACAAAGGATCTGAATGTCAGGAGGAAGTCACAGGGTAGGTGACTAACCCTGTATTTGAGTAGAGCAGGAAGGACTATCATATTTTTTATATGAAGTGAATCTAGATTTTAGAAATAACAATAGTATGAAGTACTTATGGAATTTAAAGTCTCCTACCCACATAGCAGCTGAATGAACAACTTGCCCCTGTAATGCTTTCCTGGTTCAACTCTTAGGACTCTCTTGTCAGCAAGCTGATCATGTGTTTGCTGTCTTGCAGATGAGCAACTGAGGCAAGAGGATTAGATGCTAGGAAGGTGTAGAGGAGATGTCCTGGGATGAGAGAAGAGGATCAGAACTCAGAAATCACTAATCTACTTAGTCTACTTTATGTGTGTGGTGATGGGGATGGGGGAGGGGCACTAGGATAAATACTTTTTCTTTTTAAAAATCATCTTGGCTGTCTTGGCTAGTGTAGCACATTGACTCTGCTATCTGAATTTCCTTTTATCGTGAAATACTTCAAAGATAAAAAGAAGTTAGAGAAATTATAACAAATAACCATGTACCTACTACTTGTTTTTGTTCAAGCTTAAAATTTTGCCACCTTTGCTTTAGGGCTGTCTTTTTTATCACATAAAAGATCACAGATGCAGGTTCTCTTTTGCTCCTGTAGCTTTAGCCTCTCCTTGTATCAGCTACTTCTGAGGAACAAACCACTCCAAAACTTAGTGGCTGAAACAATAAGCATTTATTCTTTATGATTCTACGGGTGGTCACCTCAGCAGTTCTGGTCTCGCCTGGGCTCATTTTTGAGTCTTTGGTCAGTGGTGGGTCGAGTAGGCCACTCTGATTATCTGGGCTAGGCGTTGTCACATGTTTGGGGGTTGGCTGGCTGTAGGCTGGTATAAATGACCTCTGCTGGCACAGCTGGACTTTTCTTCACTGTGAGCCATCCTCCGTGAGGCTAGCCCAGACGTGTTTACATAGTGGTAGTAGAGCTGGAAAAGAGGATTGACACACCATCACTTCCACTACATTCTGTCGTCGATTAAATCTGGTCACACAGCCATCCCAGACTCAAGAGGTGGGGTAATAGACTCCTTATTTTGATGAGAAGTGCTAAAAAGTCACATTGAAAAGAGCATGAACACAGGATGAGGAGAAGAACTGGGAATATTTTTGTCTTCAATGTGTCATAGTCTCTCCTTGGCAGTAACCGCTATCTTGACTTTGTTGTTATTCATTCTTACAGGTTAATTTATAGTTTTAATGCATATCCACAGAGTGTAGCCATAAGATGTATATAGTATTGTACTGAAAGCTTTATCTTCTACAGATCATTCAACATTTGCATTTTTAAGAATCCAATATCATGCTTTTGGGATTTAATCACGCTAATATACATATAGCTACTTTACTAATTTTGGCTGTAGTATATTTGAAGACTGAATTATATGCCTATAGTCCAATTTATGTATTTACTCATTCTCCTATTTATTGACAGTGAGGTTGCTTTCACTTTTGTGTCACTTCATACTGTGCCACAGCAACTACATTCTTGTACATGTATCATTGTGTACATATGTTACAGTTTTTCCATGGTTTATATCTCTGAAAAGAGTTTCTGGATTATCGACATCTTAAAATTTAAGAAATTCCAAATTTAACTCCATAGTTGTACCAAATTTTCCTTCTAATGGCATGTGTGAACACTCCTTTTTCTTCATATAGACTGGGCAGAAATTTTTGGAAATTTTAATTCTTACCATTCTGATAAGTATAAAATAGTATCTCGTTACTGTTTTATTTTGCATTTCCCTGGTTAGTGGCGATGTTGAGCAGCATGGCACATTTGTTGGTCATTTGGATTTCGCTTTTCTTTTTTCTTTCTTTCTTTTTTTTTTTTTTTTTTTTGACAGAGTCTTGCTCTGTCACCCAGGCTGGAGTGTAGTGGCACAGTCTTGGCTCACTGCAACCTCCATCTCCCAGGTTCAAGTGATTCTCGTGCCTCAGCTTCCCGAGTAGCTGGGATTGCAGGTGTGCACCACCACGCCCAGCTAATTTTTGTATTTTTAGTAGAGACGGGGTTTCGCCATGTTGACCAGGCTGGTCTTGAACTCCTGACCTCAGGTAATCCGCCCTCCTCAGCCTCCCAAAGTGCTGGGATTACAGGCGTGAGCCACCACTCCCTGCGTGGATTTCCCTTTTCATGAGTTGTCTGTTTGAATCCTTTGTCCATTTTCTTCTCTTCCATTGTTTTCCCTTTCCTTATTGAATTTGCAGACATTCTTTCTATATTCCAAATATTAAACTTTTTTTTTGAGATGGAATCTCACGCTGTTAACCAGGCTGGAGTGCAATGGTGTGATCTTGGCTCACTGCAGCCTCCCCTTCTTGGGTTCAAACGATTCTCCTGCCTCAGCCTCCCAAGTAGCTTGGATTATAGGTACTCGCCACCACGCCCAGCTATTTTTTGTATTTTTAGTAGAGACAGGTTTTCACCATGTTGGCCAGGCTGGTCTTGAACTCCTGACCTCATGACCCACCCACCTCAGCCTCCCAAAGTGCTAGGATTACAGGCTTGAGCCACCACGCCCGGCCCCAAATATTAAACTTTTATTAGGTATTCTTGAAAACCTCTTTTCTTTTCCCAGGCTGTGGTTTGTTGTTTTACTTTTTATTATGTTTTATTTTCGCAGAGGTCTTAAATTTTGATGTGACATATCAATCTTTTCCTTTATGGTTTAAACTTCTTATATCTCACTTGAGATACTGTTTCTTACCCCTAGTATCGTAGCTAAATACTCATATATTTTCTCCTGTGAGTTTTAACACTTTGCTTTTTCTTATTTGGGCCTTTAATCCATTTGAGATTCACTTTTGAATATTGTGAGGTAAGCATCCAATTTTATTAGGGGTGTAGACAGAAACAGGTAGAAGACAGTAACAAAACATGACTAAAACTTTCCCAACATTGATGGACATGAATCTTCAGATTCAGGAAGCAGGTTGACATCTAAGCAGAAAAAGAAAAATAAATCTACAGCTAGACCCTTTGTGGTAAAATTGCAGAACACCTAAAACAAAGGTAAATCTTAAAAGTCTCTAAAAAAATTTTTAAGAATCAAATAAAGAGAGATTTGCATGACAATTTTAAAGACTACAAATTTTCAACAGCAACAATAAGCACCAGAAAATAATAAGCATTAAGAGAAAATAACTGCCAATTTAAAATTTTGTAACCAACTAACCTGTCATTTAAGCCCTACCCATCACTTTCATTACTAGCTGTGACTAGGACAAATTATTTTATCTCTTTGAATCTCAGTTAATTTGCCCATAAAGTATGATTAATACATTTTCCTCTCTCTAATTCATAAAGCCACACAAGAAAAAAATAAGAATGCTTTACAAATTATCAAGTTACAAAACGATATAGTTTACTTTGATCGTTGAGAGTAGGTTCATATTTGAATGTGACAATCTTCATATTTTTTGGGGGATGAGGCAGAGCATGGAAAGTTGGATGCATGGACGAAAGGAAGAATATAATTATGCATTAAATGAATATTTATTGAGCATCTTTTGTGTACCATGCATTGTTTTAGATACTGGAAACATTGCATAATACTGAATAAGACAGATAATCTCATCCTCTGTCGAGCAGAAGAGACATTAAAATCAATGAACAACTATATATGAAATTATAGATTATTATGGGTCCTGTGAGAAAATAACAAGGGGAATATAATGGATATGCAAATAAGACAAAGCTTTTAGGAGGAAATTATATTTAAACTAAGACCTGAAAAATCGGTAGCAATTAGCCAGATAAAGAGTAGAGGAAGATGCTTTCCCAGGCTGAGGAAACAAAACAAAACACAAACAAAACCAAAAAGCAGGAGTTACAGGATGAACACAACTGAGTGTGGGAAACTAAAGCCCTGGATTTCTGTCTAGAAAGCTGAAAATGGGAGACACAAGGTAAATACAAGGAAAATTATAGAAAGGGAGAGTTTGAAAGCCAACCCATAGAGTTGTTTATGAACTCCTGGGCTTACACTAGAGATGTGCCAGCATGAATCTAATTCTAAACTTCATACCAAAGCTTTTGAGAGCTTAGACTACACCCAGGTTTTAGACTGTCTACTGAGTGACACACATGCAAGACAAATTCAGATAACACTGCAAAGTCTTTGAAAATGGGAATGACATTGAAACCATAACCCACAAGAGGTCGGTCTGAATGTGTGGCCTGAAACAGACTGGTTGATTGTCTGCTAGAGAAAAATATCAACATTCTCCATAGGACTGAAAACCTAGAGTCTCATAACAATAGTAAAAATGACCTGAATACAAACTAAAATTACTTGCCTTACAAAGAATCAGAAAAAATCTCAACTCTGAAAAAACAATCAATAGACAGTAATTCTGAGATGGCAGATGTTGGGATTATAATACAAAGACTTTAAAACAGCCATTATAAAAGCCCTTTTAAAATTCATTTGAAATGTGTAAAACAATAGAAATTCTTAGCAAAGAAATAGATCTAAAGAAGAACCAAATGGAAATTTTAGAGATAAAAAATATAATCTCCAAAATTAAAAAAAACACTCACTGGATAGGAACAGAAACACAATCAAGATGACAAAGAGAAGAGTCAATGGCCAGTGAACTTGGAAATAGATCAATAAAAAATTTCCACGTTGAATACACAGAGGAAAAAAAATGAAAAAATGATCTGAGCCTCATGGGCTGAATGGGAAAAACAAAAAGTTCTAAATTCATGACATTGGAGTCCCAAAAGAAGAGAAAAGATGTAGTGATGAGAAAACATATATTTGAAGAAATATTGGCTGAAATTTCTCCAAATTTAGTGAATAATCAAAATACTGAAAACTAAAGACAAAGAAAATAATCTTGAAAGCAGCCAGAGAAACCCAATGCATTACTCATAAGGAAACACCAATTTGAACGACTGCAGATTTCTCATCTAAACTTGTGGAAGCCAGAAGGAGGTGGAACAATTTTAAAGCGCTAAAAGACTGTCAATCTAGAATTCTATATCCAGTACAAAAATTCTTCAGGAATGAAGGGGAAATAAAGACATTCTCCAAGAAAGAAAAACTAAGAGAATTTGTTGCCAGCGAACCTGCTAAAGGAAGTATTGCTAGAGGAATTTCTTCAGACAAAAGGAAAATGACTTTCAGGATAAAAATTGGAACATGAGGAATGAAGGAAAAGGAATAGAAACGGTAAATGCCTGAGTAAATACAATATTTTCCTCTTGGGTTCTTTAAAGTATGTTTGATTATTGAAAGCAAAAATTATAACATTATCTAATGAGATTTTCAAGATATTTATGCAAAGAACACCTAGAACATAAATGGAAACCTATATGGTGACAAGGTTTCTACATTCCACTGAAGTGGTAATATTGAGTCTAAGTAGACTGGGGAAAAACAATATTGTGAGACAAGAAAGACTGAAACATTCATGTAAATGAGAGAAGTCTAATAGTATCATTGAGCTATTGGGTCACTACTGCTTCTTTCTCATCTTAGAAAAATTCCAAATGGAAAGTTTGCCTGAAGTACCATCCCTCTCACACAGTCCCACAGCTGATCACCAAATCCTCATCTTTCAAATCTGTTCATTTATTTCCATCCCATTGGTGCCTTCATAATTGAAGAAATAATTGGTGCCATTATTTCTTGCCTATATGCCATCTTTCAAACTGGTTTCTCCAACTCCAGTTTTGCCTCTTCTTCTTTCTTAATCTCACCATAATTATCTAAAATTCAAATATTATCATGCTGTGTTCCTGCTTCAAACATGTCAGTTGCTCCTATGTTGCTTTTAAAATAAAGAGTGAACTCTTTGGTCTGTCTCCTGATTACCTCTCCAACTCCTTCCCCCAAGCAATATTCTCTAGACCAGCATAGTAACTATTTTAGGATTTGAGGACCATGTGTTGTCCATTGCAACTACTCAGTTCTGTGGCTGTAGTGCAACAGCAGCCATAGATAATATGCAAATGGCTGAGTGGGATTGTGTTTAAATAAAACTTTAATCACAAAAACAGATGGCTTGCTGGATTTGGCTCATGGGCTATTATATGATGATCCCCTGCTTTACACAACTGAACTACCTCCAGATCTGTGTAGATGACATTTTCTTTCATTTCTTGAGTACTGCATAATCTACTCTCTGAAATATCTCCCTCCTTGATCTGGTTACCTTCAATTCACCACCAGGCCTCAATTTGGATGCCACTTCTTTAAGGAATTAAAGAGCCTTTATCCCTCTACCACCATTGTTGCACTTACCACACTAATATATTTATCTTTTCATTTGTCTGGCTTTCCCTATTTGTCTATAATCTTTTCAAGGGCAGAAACTGCCATGTCTACACTTTAATCTCTAGTGCCTAGCAGAGTACTACTACCAGGCACATAGCGCCCTCAATAAAACTTACATTTCCCATTGAGTGAGTAGAAGCCCACTAGCCCTCGGGCTGACCCAGCCCTAGTCTTAAAACTTTAGGGTTGGCAAAACACTGGCTGACAGTGTAGTTGTATCTCCATGGAAGCTGTGATCTGTTTTGGGTAAGTCATCCCTTTCCTTTGGCCTGGACTTTTCTCCCAGGGCAGTAGAGGTCCAAAATTAAGGACCAACCACTATATCTCTTCTTGGGCAGCACCCATCCCATCCACCAGGCAGCTCAGAGCCCTCAGCTCTGTCTGACCCCACTTCCGACAAGCACTCTCAGCCACTGACTTTAAAAATAAGCCCTGGGGGGGAAATTGCTACATCTCTTTCCAAATACTGTTACAAATGCCAAAAGTGGTGGACAATGAACCATTTGTGGTTAAGGGTGGAGCAACCACCATTCAGCCAGGCATCCTGGGGACTCTCTCCGCCAGTTCAGTGTCCTCCCTTTTCAGTGCACCACCAATAAAATGTCAAAGGCACAACTCTGTCTGCCAAGACATCAGGTAATTAAGCAGCTGAAGGGTCTAACTCACTCAGGGGTCAACCATATGTCCTGTTCTGAACTTGTGCTAAATCTCAAATAGAGATGTAGACCCTTTCTGCAGCACCTTACAGTCAAGTTGAAGAAACAAGACAAGCACATATGAACCATTTAGAAATTAGTAAAAATGCAGTTTATACATTCACTTTTCAAAGTGTATACTCAGTACCAGGCACTGTGCAGGATGCTGAGTTATAGAGATGAAAAAGAAGGGTCTCTTCATTCAAGGAACTGTCGTTATACTAAAATTTATGCCAAAGCTGGAATACTATAAAAGCAAACAGTGTTTAGAGTCCGAAGAAATTAACAAAGACTAGTTTTCAGAAAAGTAGGGCTCGAACTGATCTTGAGGAAAGTATGAGATAGAGATGAGCGGAGGAGAAAAGGATTTTAGTTAAGAGAAACGACATGACCAGAGATGTGGAGGAGGACTGGGTGTGGAGAGTGGAAAGGACAGCTGAATAGTGGGAGATGAAATTAGACTGGAGAGATAATGAAGGATCATATTGTGGATCTTGAAGATCCAGAATTTAACTCCAAAGGGGGAGATGATAAAATACCTTTCCTCTTTTTCAAAATTAGGCTTTAATTCACACCATCAAACCCATCCTTTTAAAGTGTAAAATTCAGTGGTTTTTAGTATATTCACAAAGTTATGTAACCATCACCATGATCTAATTCCAGAACAGATAACATCTTTCTGAATATTTCTGAACAGAGAGTTCATGGGATAAAATTGTTTTTCAAGCAGATTACCCTAGCTACAAGAGCAGGAATGATTATGTGTGATATAGAATTGGACATGGAAGCAAGCTAACAGACTCAGAGGCTTGGGGACCCGGGCCAGAATCGGTCACAGTGCCACCTCCTTTCCATGATATTCTCACCTCATCCATGAAGTGGGATAATTTATTGAAATAATAATCTGTATCTTTTTCTCCTTGTATTTTTCCTCACTCATGCCAAGAGCACGGCCAGACGTTTGTGTTCCCTAGCCTAAGCAGTACTGGAAGCTAATCTAAAATCCTCTCCTGACTTCTGTTTTAGGAATTCTGAACTCAGTGTTGGGATTATATTTGGGGAGAGGAGAAAGGGGACTATTTGGGAGCAGTGGAAGCTGAAGCTGAGAGAGCAGAGATTCCCCCAAACTGGTTGTATGTCACAGTGGTTAATAGAACAGATTCTGGTGCTTGACTATCTGGAATTGAGCCTTGACCTTGGGCATGTCACTGAACTTCTATCTGGGTTTCCTTGAAATGGGGATAATGAGAATCAATGATCTTGTTCTGAGGACTAAATGAATGAACATACATGAAATACTTATAACACTGCCTGTCATATAAGGAGAGCTATATAAGGGTTTGCTTGTTACTATTAATAAATCAGAGAAAAATAAATCATTGGCACAGGGTGGTGGAGTGTTGTCCTGTAAGGACTATTGGGTGGAAACAAGAGTAGGAAAAGATTTACGAGTAATGAAGAGAAAAACCTGAAAAATAGAGGGAATATTAAGGATGCAAGACTTTTAAAAATTAATTGTTATTGACAAAAATTATACTATTTATGGCTTACAAATGTTTTGATAGATGTATACATGGTGGAAATGCTAAATCAAGCTAATTAACATATTTATTACCTCATATACTTACTTTTTTGTCATAAGAACATTTAAAATTGACTCTGTTAGCTATTGCAAGTATGCAAGATGTTTTCATTAACTGTAGCCACCATGTTGTACAGTAGACCTCCTGAACTTATTCCTTCTGTCTAATTGAACATCGGCCTAATTCCCCCCCTAATTTCTCCAACATCTACCTAATTCTTCCCCTTCATCCAGCCCTCGGTAACCACCATTCTACTCCCTGCTTCTATGAGTTCGACTTGTTAAGGTTCCACATATGAATGACATCATGCAGTATTTGCCTTTCGGTGCTTTGCTTATTTCACTCAGCATAATGTCCTCCAGTTTCATCCATGTTGTTGCAAATGGAAGGACTGCTGTCTATTTTAAGGCTGAATAGTATTCCATGGTGAATACAGGAATATATATTCCTATATTCCTCACAATTCTATGTTATGGCTGAATAGTATTCCATTGTGAATATGGGAGTATATATTCTTATATTCCTTGCATTTTATTGTGTACAAGGATTCTCTTTTCTCCACATCTTCACCAACATTTGTTATCCTATCTTTCTGATACATAATAGACATCCTAACAGGTGTCGGGTGACATCTCATTGTCAATTTCTGATGTCATTTCTGATGACATTTCTCATGTCATTTCTGATGATTACTGATGTTGAGCATTTTTTTCATCTACTCGGCCATTTATATGTCTTATGTCTTTTTTTTCTTTTAGAAAAAGCTACTCAAGTCCTTTTTAAATTAGATTACTTGTGTTCTTGTTATCTAGTTGTTTGAGTTCACTGTATATTTTGCATACTACCTATCAGGTGTATGATCCCCAAATATTTTCTCCCATTCTGTGGATTTTTTCTTTATTCTGTTGATTGTTTCCTGTGCTGCATGTAAACTTTTAGTTTGATGAAAGCCCATTTTTCTATTTTTGTTTCTGTTGCCTGTGCTTTTGGGGTCATATCCATAAAATCTTTGCTAGGCCAATGTCAAGAAGATTTTTGGGTCTTACATTTAAGCATTTAATCCATTTCAAGTTGATTTTTATATATGGGGTGAGATAGGGGTTCAATTTCATTCTTTTGCATGTGGATATTAAGTTTTCCCCACAGCATTTTGTGAATAGACTGTCCTTTCTGGGTTGTATGTTCTTGGCACCTTTGTGGAAGATAGGTTCATCGTAAATCCATGGACTTATTTCTGGGCTCTCTGTTCTGTTCCATGGGTCTATAATGTCTATCTTTGTAGCAGTACCAAGCATTTTTCATTACTATGGCTTTATAGTAGATTTTGAGTTCAAGCAGTGTGATTCCTCCAGCTTTGTTCCTTGTGCTCAATCAAAAGTGGTGATTGAGGTCTTTTGGTGATAAGGGTCTTTTGTGCTTCCATGTAAGTTTTAGAACTCTTTTTTGATATTTCTATGGGGAATGCCACTGGAATTTTGATAGGGATTGCATTGAGTCTCAGATCACTATGGGTAGTATGGACATTTTAACAATATTAATTCTTCCAATCCATGAACACAGGATATCTTTTCATTTATTCATGTCTTCTTAAATTTCTTTCATCAATATTTTATAGTTTTCAGTGTACAGATCTTTCACCTGTTTGATTAAATTTATGTCTAAGTATTTAATTGTTTACATTATACACATTTTTTGATATTATTGTAAATAAAATTGTTTTCTTGATTCCCTTTTTTGATATTAGTGTGTAGAAATGCTACTGCTTTTTTATCTTGATTTTGTATCCCACAACTTTTCTAAATCATTTGTTAGTCCTAAGTTTTTTGGTGGAGCTTTTAGGGTTTTCTATATATGAGATTGTGTCATCTGCAAATGGAAACAGTTTAATTTCTTAGAATGAAAGACTTAAGGCAGATAACCATTTAGACATAATAGAGAAAGGACAGGAAAGTAAAAAGAGATGATCATAAATAGGGATAGAGAAATACATTATTTGACAGAGAATACATAGGGAAATAGATATGAAATAACAAGATTGAGAAGTAAATATATCACACAATGAAAATATAATAGAGTGAGAAGTAAATATATCACACAATGAAAATATAATAGAGCTAGAAGATAGTGGCAAAAACAAGCTGATGAAACTGAGAGAGATCAACTAATGTAGATAGATGATAAGCTCAGAATGATACATAAAAAATAGTGCTAAATGCTAAATGGAAAAAATTCATAATGGGAAGATAAAACGGAGGGTGGAGGTAAGAACTAGGTCGGGGGGATTAAATGGCTTCAGTCTGTGGGATGGGGGAGACTGCTGTCCTAGCCCTGCCCCTTCCTCTCTGCTCACCCCACCCCCACTAGCTCAGCTCTGTCTTCTCCAACTTCTAGGCCATGTTGTCCTCTTCCTTCAGTTAGGAACACTCTGTTCTGAACAGTTCAGAAATCTGTTTTCTTCTGTCTGGTTTTCTAATGGTTTTGTGTATGCAATTCTTTGTCTTTATTCCAGAAGACTGTGTCCCCAGTGAGAGTGGATCTACCACTCCACTCTTAGTATCCTACTCAGTGTGAGGCTAAGAGAAAATGTGTTGCGAGACAGTCCTGGTATAGAAGTTGGACCAGTAGGGGCACAACAATCTCCAAATGCCACTGTCATCACCTGTAGAACATCACCAGTCACTCCTGGAAGGGTCCCCTCTAAAAGCATAAAATAGCAGAAACTTGTCCAGCCTGCCTTTGCACAGAAAAAAAAAATATATGCAGTATGTGAAATATATTCCCTTCTGTGCTTCTTGAGGGTCAGACCTCTGTAACTCTGTATTTTCCTACAAATAATTGTCTCCCCTACAAAACGGAGAGCTCCCAGAGGACACGGACTATGTGGATAGAGTTGCAAAAACGTTATAGAATGAGCAGGACCCTATAATCTGTATCCATCACTTCCAACCATCTGAAAGTTTCCACCATCTTGTAGTTTATGTACTTGGTCCTAAGGACAGAAATTGTGTGGTAAGGAGAAGGGAGATTTTGGTATAATAAAAGAGACATAAGAATTTCCATGACACATGTTCTCAATATAGGACAGGAACCCTGTTAGGATCCAGAGAGAGTTCTGGTCATCTCCGTCAAAGGAAACTCCCCCAGACTGATCTAAACCAGTTCCTTTCCTCCTAGACAAGAGGAAGGAAAAGTCCCATTCATAACCACAGAGAAATGAAAGTCTTCCTCTCTGATTATATGCAATTTACAACAGAGTACTTCATTTGGTGCCCAAGAACCTGTAATAGCTGGAATTACCCTTGTTCCTCTTCCTCTTTGAAGGGTCAGAGCTGAGAAGTGCTCTGTGATTATGTGTCAAGGGATGGCATCTCCATGCCAAACTCGCCCAGCTCTGGTTTTGTGTGTGTGTGTGTGTGCATGTGTGTGTCCCACAGCCAAAATTTTCCCATCTCCTTGCACTGTTTCTCAATTCATCAGTAATGAATTCAAATGATTTTGCCATCTTGCCCATCCTTTTTGGGGAGAAGGAAGGAAGAAAGAGAGAGGAAAGAAAGGAAGGAAGGGATGCCTCCATCCCACAACTTCACATGTGGAGTGAGAACTCTAGTATGAACAAAGCAGAAAAACTGAAGTGGGGTGAGTTGTGATACACCGATGGTTATTGTGGGCCAGAAAATGAGAACCTGGAATGACAGACTCCCCAGATTGTGAAGGTGAATGCTGCCACATGGAGATATGTTGTGCCCAGTTCTCCCCAGGAGTTTTGCCACAGAAGCCCCAGGTAGGCTGGTACACAATATGAAATATTAGAAACGCTAACTCTGGTGGTGCAGACTTAAGTTTTGTGAGCCATATGGTTTCTGTTACCACCACTCAACTTTGCCATTGTACTGCAAAAGCAGACATAGACAATATGTAAACAAATAAACATGGCTATGGTGCAATAAAACTTTATTTACCAAAACAGGAAGAAGGTCCCACTTGGCCGACAGACTGTAATTTTCTGACTCCTGCTCTGAGTGATTGCAAGGACCTAGTTCTGAAAAATCTTGCAACTGTTAGAGTAACTGCAGAATCAGGAAGGATGGAGACAGAAAGGAAGAAGAGGAAGAGGCGGTCAGTAACTTTAGCTGTTTTCAGAACAGGGACGCCCTGACGCATCTGGATCTATGGCCTAGGTACACAAAGAGTAAAAATCCTAGTGTGAGTAATTTTTTGGATAAATTTAGGAAAGCCTCAAGTAGGGCTTTGAGTAATTGTAAGGAAAACAGTTGTGACTAAGAACTGAGGAATAAAACGTGGGTCCTAAGATAACAGAACTTGCTACCTGTATTAATTATCTATTTCTATGTAACAATTTTACCCAAAGTTAGTGACTTAAAAATAAATATTTATTATCTCTAATAGTTTCTATGGGTCGGGAATTTCAGAATGGCTTGGCCAGGTGGCCTGGCTCATGGTTTCTCATAAGGCAGAATCAGAGGTCAGCCAGACTGCAGTCATCTACAGGCTTGATTGAGCTGCAGGGCCTCCTTCACGTGCCTGACAAGCTGGGACTGGCTATGGTGAGACGCCTCAGTTCTTCTCCACATGGGCCTCTCCACAGGTTGCTTGAGTGTCCTCTCAACATGGTGGCTAGCTTCCCACAGGGAAGCAATTCAAGAGAACAAGTAGAAGCTTCAATGTCCTTCATCAACAAGCTTCGGAAGTCACACACCATCACTTCCGCCATAATCTATGGTCACAAAACCCATCCCTGATTCAGTGTGAAGGAGGCTAACAAAGGATGGAAATACCAGTAGGTAAGGATCATTGGGGCCCATCTTGGAAGCTGTATACCTAGCACCATAATATCAAAGAGAGCTAAAAGATGTAGCTCTCAGTACAGCATCTGTCTATTAGGATGGCTTAGGAATTTGTATTAGTTAGAATGTACTGGAAGAAAGGAAACAACAAAAAAAGACCCAACTTAATGTTGCTTAAGTGATGGTGTTTGTTCACTTAAAAAAGAATCTAAAGGTGGGAGGATTCAGGGTTGGTAAATTCAGCAGCTTGATAACAGGTTCTTATTAAATCTTTCTGCAGTTTTCTTGGCTTTTCCCTCTTCATCACAAGATGGTTGCCACAGCCCACATTTCATGCTTACGAAGTTGCTTGTCAAAGCAGAAAAAAGAAAGGAATCTCTGTGGGATAGCCAGCTAACAGTCTTGCCACAGAAACCCAATATATGAACATGAGGCTGAATTCAGTAATCTGAAACAGTACACTTGTAACTTCCCTAGAATCAGAGGATCTTAAAGATAACCAAGTCCAGCCTCCATCTGATGTTTGTGTCCCTTCTAGCACATCCGGGGAACATAGCTAACCACCAAGATTCCCTTTCACTGTAGTAAGTTAGCATGGACTCCCTGCATATGTGACAGAGCCTTTTGGTCTAAGTACAGAATTATAAGAAATGTAAAAAGTTGAGGCCAAGCTATTTGGAGGACAATCCCTGAGCCTCTAACTGGTAACAGGAACTATGCGAGCCCAATGGGGGTTTTTTTATTGGGAACTGCCTCCGTCACTCTCTGACTGCCATGTAGATGGGCAGCTCATCTCTCCTGTCCTTGAAGTGAATTCCAGGAGAGACATCCCCCAAATGACTTTTTCTCATAACAGTAAAATTCAAAATTGGATGACTAAGATCCAGGGGTAAAAGTTACCAGGAGAAAAAGATTCCCAGTTTAATCCTATTAATAATTTTTTTAACAATTAGTATAATCCAATAATGGATTTGCTTTGCCGAGTGATGGCTTCAAGTAGATCTCCACAATAACCTAATAAAAGAGTCTATAACAGGCATTCCTATATAGGATAAAAAGTTAGCATAGTATAACCACCAAGCTCCCTCCTCCAAAATCAGTTGTTCTATGTTTATTGCTGGGATTTCTTCCTCATGTCAAGCCTAAACCTGTTTTCCTAGGCTTTCAGCCTCTTTCCTGAAGTCATGGCGTATCAGAGCCGATGTAACCTTAGAGACTATGTGCCCCTGTGTTTCTCAAATATCTTCAGTCAGTGCTTCTAATTATATAGAATAAATATTGTCTGACCTTCCTTTGTTATTTGAAATTTCAAAATCATATTTTAATCAACTTTTTAAAAATATAATTTACATAGAATAAAATATAGTCATTTAAGTATACTATTTAACACATTTTGAAAAATGTGCAACCATCACAACAGTCAAGATACAGATTATTTCCATCACCCCAAAATGTTCCCATATGCCCCTTTGCATTCAATTCCCACCACTCCTGGCTCTGCACCACTAATCTGCCTTCTGTCAGTATTGGGTTTTTTGGGTTGTTTTTTTTTTTCCTATTCTAGCATTTTATTTCTTAAGAAATTGAATCATAAAGTCTGAACTCTCTTGTGTAGCTTGGGCCCAGCAAATGGTTTTGAGATGCCTACATGTTACTGCATATAACAGTGTTATTGTTCAGCAGTTGTCCATTGTATGGATGTACCACATTTTGTCAATCGTTCTCTGGTTGATGTACATGTGAGTTGTTTCTGGTTCAGAGCAATTATGTATATATCTGCTGTTAATTTTCATGTACAAGTTTACAGTTTTTGTATGAAATGAATGTCTCGGGCAAAGGCCTAGCATGAAATTGTTGAGCTGTATAGTAAGTATACTTGAAGCTTTATAAGAACTGCCAAGAGGTTGTACCATTTTACATTCCCACCAGCAGTGTTTGAGAGCTCCAAGTTGCTCCTCATCCTCATCCATACTTGGCATTCTCATATCTTTTAATTTTAGCTATTCTAGTGGATATGAAATAGCATCTCATTGTGGTATCGATTTGCCTTTTCCAGGCAAAATGCTGTTAAGCATCTTTTCATGTGCTAATTGACCATTTTTATATTTCTCTTATGGAGGGTCTGCTCGAATCTTTTGCTCAATTGAGTTGTGTCATATTATGGAGCTGCAAGAGTTCTTTATATATTCTGAACATCAGTCCTTTCTCACATATATGTACTGCAAATATTTTCTCCCAGGTTGTGGCTTGTTTTTTTATTTTCTTAACAACATTAATTTTATCAAAATTAAAAACTTCTGGCCGAGCGTGGTGGCTCATGCCTGTAACCCCAGTACTTTGGGAGGTTGAGGCAGGTGGATCACTTGAGGCCATAAGTTCAATACGAGCCTGGCCGACATGGTGAAACTCCATCTCTACCTAAAATACAAAAATTAGCTGGGCATGGCGACACGCACCTGTAGTCCCAGCTACAGGGGTGGCTGAGGCATGAGAATCGCTTGAACCTGGGAGATGAAGGCTGCAGTGAGTTGAGATGGTGCCAGTGCACTCAAGCCTGGGCAGCAGAGTGAGACTCTGTCTCCAAAAATAAATAAATAAATAAATATTAATTTAAAAAAACTTCTGGTCTTCAAAAGACACATCTAATTTAAAATTATTTTCTTTTATAGATCCTGCTTTTAGTATAGTACCTAAGTAACCGTCTCCTAACCAAAGTCATAAATATTCTTTTCTGGATACTCTAGAAGATAATCTCCATTTCTTTGCCTTTCCAGCTGCTAGATGCCACCCATATTCTACTCCTTGGCTCATGTCCTCTTTTCTCCATCTTCAGAGGCAGAAACACTGCATTCCTCTGTGCCTTCCTCTTGTAGTCACATCTTCCTCTCTTTCCTCCTTGTTTCTCCCATGTTTAAGGACTCTCATACTTAGATTGGGCTCACCTGAATAATCCAGGATAATCTCCCCATCTGAAAGTCCTTCATTTGATCATACATGCGACATCCTATTTTTTCATATAAGGTAACATCCTCATGTTCTAGGGATTAGAACATGGACATCTTGGGGGGGGGGATCGGTGAGCATCATTCTGTCTACCCCACCTGTGGATTGTTCCAGCATCATTTATTGAATTACCTTTTTGTTTTTGCTGAAAGTGGTTGTCTATGCATGTGTGAATCTCTGCCTGGACTCTATTCAGCTGCATTGATCTATACATCTGTCTTGCAACAGTATCACGCCCTCTTGATTTCTGCAGCTTTATAGAAATCTTCACATAAGTTTTCCGACTTTGTCCTTCCCTTTCAAAATTGTTTTCACTATTTTTGGACATTTCCACTTCCTATACATTTTAGAGTCAAATTGTCAATCTCGATAAAAAGCTCTCCTGTGTTTTTAGACAGCTTGATTGAAGTATAATTTGCATATTATAAAATTTACTTGTTTCAAATATAAAATTCCAAGAGTTTCAGTAAATTTACACTTGTGCAACCATCACCACAATTCAATTTTAAAACATTTCATCATCCCCAAAAGATCCCTCATGTTCATCTGGAGTAACCACCCTTTTTCACCTGTAGTCTCTGGCAACCACTAATTTACTTTCTGTCTCTATAGATTTGCCTTTTAGGGATATTTTATATAATAGAATCATATGATATGTGATTTTGGGGGCCTGGCTTCTTTAATTTAGCATAAAGCTTTTAAAGTTTTTCCATTGTATAGCATGCATTAGTATTTTGTACCATTTATTGCCAAATAGTATTCCCCATAAGGATAGAGCACATTTTGTTCATTCATTCACCAGGCATTTTATTGTTTCCACTTTGGAGTTACCATGAATAATGTTGCTGTGACCATTCCTATATAAACCTTTGTGTGGATACATGTTTTTATCTATTTTGGGTAGATATCTAGGAGTGGAAATGCTGGATCATACTGTAAATTTACACTTAGCTTTTTGAGGAGCCACTAAGCTATTCTTCAAGGGTGTGTCATTTTACCTTCTCTCCAGCAGTATATGGGGGTTTCAGTTTTTTCTTTTCCACAATCTCACAAACCCTTGTTATTGTCTATGTTTTTTATTATAGAGCCTTTCTAGTGGGTGTGAAAGGATATCTTATTGTAGTTTTTATTTGTATTTCTCTAATGACACCTCATCTATCACCTCATGCATTTATCATTTCTTTGTGGTGAGAACATTCAAAAGTCTCTCTTCTAGCTATTTTGCGATATACAGTATTTTACTATTAGCCATAATCACCCCACCATACAATAGAACACCAGAACTTATTCCTCCCATCAGTGGTGACTTTGCTCCCATTGACCAACCTCTCCTCATCTGCTTCTTCCCCTTCCCCTTCCCAGTCTCTGGTAACCACTGTTATACTCTCTGCTTCTATAATATCAACTCTTATGTTTTTAGATTCCATATATAAGTGAGATAATGCAGTATTTGTCTTTCTATGTCTGGTTCATTTTACTTCACATGGTGTCTTCCACGTCCATCCATGTTGTCATGAATGACAGGATTTCATTCTTTTTATAGCTGAATAGTATTTCATTGTGTGTGCGTATATATATATATATATATTTCTTTCTCCATTTATCTGTTGATGGACACTTACATTGATTCCGTATCTTCATATCTTGGCTATTGTAAATAGTGGTGCAATAAACATGAGAGTGCAGATATCTCTTTGGCATACTGATTTCATTTCCTTTGGACTTACACTTTGTAGTAGGATTGCTGCATAATATGGTAGTTCTACTTTTAATATTTTTAGGAAACTCCATGCTGTTTTTCATAATGGCTGTACTAGTTTACAATTCCACCAACAATGTGTAAGTGTTCCCTTTTCTCCACATCCTCACTAACACTTGTTTTCTTTCATCTTTTTTACAACAGCTATTCTAACTGGAGTGAGATGGTGGCTCACGGTAGTTTTGATTTGCATTTCCCTGATGATTAGTGATGTTGAGCATTTCTTCATATGCCTGTTGGCCATTGGTGTGTCTTCTTTTAAGAAATGTCTATTAAGGTCTTTTGCCCATTTTAAAATCAGACTTTTTTTGTTTTGCTTTGCTTTGTTGTTGTTGTTGTTGTTTTGCTGTTGAGTTCTTTGAATTCCTTATCTATTCTGGATATTAATCCTTGACAGATGTATACTTTGCAAATACCTTCTCTCATTCTGTAGGTTGTCTCAACTCTGTTTTTTTTTTTATTTTTGTTTTTGCTTTGGAAAAGCTTTTTAGTTGGATATAGTCTCATTTGTCCATTTTTGCTTTTGTTACTTGTGCTTTTGAGGTCTTATTTAAAGACTCCTTACCCAACCCAATTTGTGAAGTAATTCCCCTATGTTTTCTTATAGTAATTTCATAGTTCTGGGTTTTACGTTTAAGTCTTGAATCCATTTTGAGTTGATTTTTGTATACGGTCTTGTATACGTAGTTGGTTTTGTACATGTAGAGGTAGAGGTTTAATCTGAAGACCACCTGCTGCAGAATCCCTTCTTGCTCAGGGGAGGTCAGTCCTTTTGTTCTATTCTGGCCTTCCACTGACTGGGTGAGGCTCACTCACATTATGGAGGAGAGCATGCTTTATTCAAAGTTTACCCATTTAAATGGTAAACTTATCTAAAAACAGCCTCGCAGGGACATCCAGAATAATGTTTGACCTAATAGCTGCGCTCCGTAACCCAACAAAGTTGACACAAAATTAACCATCACAAATGACTATGCATTTATTTAGATCTTTTAACATTTCTCTCAGCAATCCTTTGTAGTTTTCAGTGTGTAAGTTTTGAATGTCTTTGGCTGAATTTATTCCTAAGTATTACATTTTTTTTGCTGCTATTGTGAATAGAATTATTTTCTTAATTTCACTTGTAGGCTGTTCGTTATACTACCAACTTTTTTGTGGTGGTGTTGTTGTTGTTGTTGTTAACTCCTTGGGACTTTCTCTCCAGAGAATCATATTCTCTGCAAATACAGTTTTTCTTCTTTCTCTCCAATATAGAAGACTTTTACTTCTTTTTCTTGCCTAATTGCACTGGTTAGAACCTTTAGTATAATGTCAAATAGAAGTAATGACAGCAAATATGTTTGACTTGTTTCCAATATTAGGGTGAAAGTATTTAATCTTAAACCATTAAGTATAATGTTAGAATAGGTTTTTCACAGATGCCCTTTACCAAGCTTAGGCATTTCCAGTTTGTTCTTGATTTTCTGAGAGTTTTCATTAGGAATGGATATTAATTCTGTCAAATGCTTTTTCTGTGTACATTGAGATTATCATAACCTTTTTTTGTTTGTTAAATGGTGAATTACATTGGTTTTTGAATGTTAAACTAAGATTGCATTTTTGGGAAAAATCCCATGAAGTTATGATATGTTATCCTTTTATATATTGTTGTAACTGATTTGCTAAAATTGTATTAAGAATGTTTGCATCTGGCCGGATGCAGTGGCTCACGCCTGTAATCCTAGCACTTTGGGAGGCCGAGGCAGGCAGATCATGAGGTCAGGAGATCGAGACCATCCTGGCTAACATGGTGAAACCCCGTCTCTACTAAAAATACACACGCAAAAAAATTAGCTGGGCATGGTGGCGGGCGCCTGTAGTCCCAGCTACTCGGGAGGCTGAGGCAGGAGAATGGCGTGAACCCAGGAGGTGGAGCTTGCAGTGAGGCAAGATTCTGCCACTTGCACTCTAGCCTGGGCAACAGAGCAAGACTCCGTCTCAAAAAAAAAAAAAAAGTTTGCATCTATGTTCATGAAAGATATTGGGCTATAATTGCTGTTGTTTGCTGTTATTATTTTAATTCTAACGTTTTTATCTGGGTGTGGTAAAAATGCTGGTTTAATTGAGAAGTATCCTCTTCATCAATTTTCTGGAAGAGTTCGTGTAGAACAGATATTATTTTTTCCTTAAATGTTTGGTAAAATTTACCAGTGAAGCCATGATCTACTTGGGTAAATGTACCATGTGCCCTTAAAAATAATGAGTATTCTGCTATTACTGGATGGAGAGCTCTTGAAATTCATATTAGATAAGATTTGTTGATAACCTCCATCCCTACTAATTTTCAGTTTACGTGTTCTATGACTTATTGAGACAGAGTATTGAAATCTCTGACTGTAGTTGTGGATTTGTCTATTTCTTTCTGTAATTATATCAGTTTTGCGTCATGTTTTCTAAAATTCTACTATCAGGTGCATAAATAGTTATGATCGTTATGCTCACTTCTATTATTTGACCCCTTTTCCATTATGAAATCACCTTCTTTGTTGCTTATAGCATTCTTTGCTTTGAAATCTATTTTGGCACTCCAGCTTTTAGACACTCAAGCTGTCTCTTGATTTATTTTTGAGATATTTGTATCTTTATATTTACAATGGCTTTGTTCTAGGCAACATACATCATCATTCTGTTTTATCTAATATGCCAATCTCAGCTGTTAATTGACATATTTGTACTATTTGTATTTAATGTGATTATTGGTATGACTGAGTTTAAATCTAACATCACTATTTTTCTATTTGTCTTATCTCTGTTCCCTTTTTCTTCTTTTTCTGCTTTTCTTTGAGTTAACTGAGTACTTTTAAACATCCCATTTTTGTTGACTTATTAACTGTAAGTCTGTTATTCTTTTAATAGTTGCTTTACAGTTTATAGCACATTTTTAACATCACAGTCCACCTTCAAGTGTCATTCTATTACTTCCTGTATAACATAAGAACTTTATAACATTTGTCTCTTCCTGAACTTTCTGCTATTGTCATAAATTCTATTTCTACATGTATTATAAACTCTACGCTACATTGTTATTATTTGTGTTTAATCAATTATGTCTTAAATATACTTAAATGACTTTTTAAAAAATCTTATATATTTGCCAACATATTTACCATTTTGGGTGCTTTTCATTCCTTTATGTAGTCTGCATTTCTATCTGGCATCATTTTTCTTCTTCCTAAAGGACTCACTTTAATATTTAACTCTTACTGGCCGCAAATGTCATCATTTTGCCTTTTTAAAATATATTTTGTTAGGCATAGAATTCTAGATTGACTGTTTTCTTGCAGTATTTTAACGATGTTGGTCCCTGTCTTCTTGCTCTCAATATATCCTACAAAAATGTATGGTCATCCTCAACTTTGTTTTTCCCTTTGGTTGCTTTAAGATTCTTTTTTTTTTTTTTTTTTTTTTTTGCAAGATGGAGTCTCGCTCTGTCGCCAGGCTGGAGTGCAGTGACACGATCTCGGCTCACTGCAACCTCTGCCTCCCAGGTTCAAGTGATTCTCCTGCCTCAGCCTCCCAAGTAGCTGGGACTACAGGTGCGTGCCACCACACCCAGCGAATTTTTATGTTTTTAGTAGAGACGGGGTTTCACCATGTTGGCCAAGATGGTCTCCATCTCTTGACCTCGTCATCCACCCGCCTCGGCCTCCCAAATGCTTTAAGATTTTTTTGTAAGAAAACATTGTATATATATACAATAGAATACGATTGAGCTATGTAAAATAATGAAATCCTGTCATTTGAAGCAACATGGATGAACCTGGATGACATTACGTTAAGTGAAATAAGCCAGGCACAGAAAGACAAACACAGTATGATCTCACTCACATGTGAAATCTAAGACTTGGTCTCATAGAAGTGCAGAATAGGATAGTGGCTGTTAGAGGTTAGGAGAGGGAGTGCAAACAAGGAAAGGCTGGTCAATGGGTATAAAGTTACAGCTAGGAAAAATAAGTTGGGATGTTCAATTACATAGCGTGGTGACTATAGCCAATAACAATGTAGAGTAAATTTCAAAATAGCTAGAAAAGAGGATCTTGAAAGTTATCACCACAATGAAATGATAAAGCTTCGAGGCAATAGACATGCTAACTACCCTGCCTTGATCATTATGTAAATGTGTACGTGTACTGAAACATCACATTGTACCCCACAAACATATATAATTATGTATCAATTATATATAAAATAAAAATAAATATATACAAAAAAGAAAAGTGAAACTTTTTAAAGATTTTTTTATCCAGTTTTTCAGCAATTGGATTATGTTACACCTCTTGGTTTTCTTTTTTTTTTTTTTTTTTTGAGACGGAGTCTGGCTCTGTTGCCCAGGCTGGAGTGCAGTGGCGCCATCTCGGCTCACAAGCTCCGCCTCCTGGGTTCATGCCATTCTCCTGCCTCAAGCTCCCGAGTAGCTGGGACTACAGGCGCCCACCACCATGCCCGGCTAATTCTTTGTATTTTTAGTAGAGACGGGGTTTCACTGTGGTCTCGATCTCCTGACCTCGTGATCCGCCCGCCTCAGCCTCCCACACTGCTAGGATTACAGGCATGAGCCACCGCGCCCGGCCCACACCTCATAGTTTTCTTTATGTTTCCTCTACTTGATCCGTGACTTTATGGTTTTCCTCAAATTTGGGATATTTGAGCCAGCATTTCTTCAAATATTTTTTCCATCCCTTCCCCTGTATTAGAGACTCCCATTACACATATATTAGGTTGCTTAAATGATGCTCTCTTCAACAGAAATGTTAGTTTTTTTCGGAGCAGTTTTAGGGTCACAGTACAGTTCCCATATATCACCTGTTCCTACATACATACAACCTCCCTCGCTATCATCATCCTGCATCACAGTTGTATTTCTGTTACAATTGATGAACCTCCTTTTACATGTCATTATCATCCAAAGTCCATAACTTACGTAAGAGTTCACTCCTGGTAGTGTACACTTTATGGCTTTTGAAAAATGTGTAATGACATGTATCCACTGTTTTCGTATCATACCAAATAGTTTCACTGCCCTAAAAATCCTGTGTTCTCTACCTATTCATCCTTCCCACCCCACAACCCCTAGCAACTACTAATCTTTTTACTGTCTTTATAGTTTTGCCTTTTCCAGAATGTCATATAGTTGGAATCATACAGGAGTGGCCTTTTCAGATTATGTTTTTACACTTAGTGATATAGTGATATGTGTTTAAGTTTCCTCTGTGTCTTTTCATAGATTGATAGCTCTTTGTTGTTGTTGTTGTTTGCTTGTTTGTTTACATCCCATTGTCTGGATGTACTACAGTTTATTCATCTATTTAACTTTTTTTTTTTTTTTTTTTAGAGCTGGAGTCTCACTTTTTCACCCAGGCTGAAGTGCAGTGGTGTGATCTCGGCTCACTGCAACCTCCGTCTCCCGAGTTCAAGCGATTCTCCTGCTTCAGCCTCCTGAGCAGCTGGGACTACAGGCATGCACCACCATGCCCAGCTTATTTTTGTATTTTTAGTAGAGATGGGGTTTCACCATATTGGCCAGGCTGGTCTCGAATCCTGACCTCGTGATCCACCTGCCTCGGCCTCCCAAAATGCTGGGATCACACGCGTTAGCCACCGCACCCAGCCTTATTTACCTATTAAAGAGCATATTGATTGCTTCCAAGTCTTAACAATTATGAATAAAGCTGGTATGGACTTTCACATGCAAGTTTTGTGTGGACATTAAGTTTTCACCTCATTTGGGTTAATACTAAGGAGTGTGATTGCTGGTGAGAATATGTTTTGTTCTTTTTAGAAACTTACAAACAATATTCCAAAGTAGCTATACCATTATGCATTTCTACCAGCAATGGATGAGTGTTGCTATTATTCCACATCCTCACCGGCATTTTGTGTGGTATTTTGGATTTTTGCCATGCTAATAGGTATGTAGGGATGGCTCATTGCTTTAATTTACAATTCCCTAATGACATATGATGTTGAACATCTGTTCATATACTAACTTGCCATCTGTATATCTTCTTTGGTGGGGTATCTGTTAAGGTCTTTGGTACATTTCTCATCCAGGTTGTTCATTTTCTTATTGTTAAGTATTAAGATTTCTTTGTGTACTTTGGATAACAGTCCTTTGTTAGATGTGTCTTTCGCGAGTATTTTCAGTCTGTGGCTTGTCTTCTCATTCTCTTGACATTGTCTTTCACAGAGCTGAAGTTTTTAATTTAATGAAGTCTAGCTTATCAATTATTTCTTTCACGGATTGTGCCTTTCCTGTTGCATCTAAAGAGTCACTGCCATATCCAAAATCATATTGGCTTTCTCCTATGTTATACTCTAGGAGTTTCATAGTTTTGCATTTTACATATAGATCTATGATCCATCTTGAGTAAAGTTTTGTGAAAAGTATAAGGTCTGTTTAGATTCATTTTTCTCCACATGGATGTCCAAGTATTCTAGCACCATTTGTTGAAAGGATTGCCTTTTCTCCATTATATTGCCTTTGCTCCTTTGTCAAAAGCGATTGACTATCTTTATGTCAGTCTATTTTTGAGCTCTCTATTCTATTCCGTTGATCTGTTTGTCTCTTCTTTCACCAGTACCACACTGTCTCAATTACTATAGCTTTATAGTGAGTCTTGATGTCCTGTCTATTCTCCGACTTTGTTCTTCTCCTTCAATATTTTGTCGGCTATTCTGGGTCTTTTGCTTTTCCATATAAACTTTAGAATAAATTTGCTGATATCTATAAAACAATTTACTGGGATTTTAATTGATATTGCATTCAATCTACAGATCAGGTTGAGAAGAATGGACATTTTGATAATATTGAGTCTTCCTATCCATGAATATCAAATGTCTCTCCATTTGTTATTTTTTGATACCTTTCATTAGAGTTTTGTAGTTTTCCTCATAAAGCTCTTATGCATATTTTGTTATGTTTATATCTAAGTATTTCCACTTTAGGGGTGCCAATGTAAATACTTTTTTTTTTCGAGACAGAGTTTTGCTTTGTCACCCAGGCTGGAGTGCAATGGCGCGATCTTGGCTCACTGCAACCTCTGCCTCCCAGGTTCAAGCAATTCTCCTGCCTCAGCATCCCGAGTAGCTGGGATCACAGGTGTCCACCAACACGACCGGCTAAGTTTTTTTGTATTTTTAGTAGAGACGGGGTTTCACCATGTTGGCCAGACTGGTCTCAAACTCCTGACCTCAGATGATCTGCCCGCCTCGGCCTCCCAGAGTGCTGGGATTACAGACGTGAGCCACCGCCCTAGTCGATAATGTGTTTTTAATTTCAAATTCCACTTGTTCATTGCTGACATATAGGAAAGTGATGAACTTTTGTACATTAACCTTGTATCCTGTAACTGTTATTACTGCTTGTTAGTTCTAGGAGACTTTTTGATTTTTTAAAGTTTTTCTCCACAGACAATAATATTATCTGCAAACAAAGACGGTTTTCTTTCTTCCTACCCAATCTGTATACCTTTTCTTTTCTTGTTTTATCGCATGAGCTAGAACTTCCAGTATGAATTGAAAAGCAGTGGTTAAAGGAGACATCCTTGCCTTATTTCTGACAGTAGTGGGAAAGCGTCTAGTTTCTCACCATTAAGTATGATGTAAACTCTTGGGCATTTGTAAATGTTCTTTATTAAGTTGAGAAAGTTCTCCTCCATTTCTAGTAAACTAAGAGTTTTCTTTATTGTGGATAGATGTTGGATTTTGTCAAATGCTTTTTTCTGCATTTAATGATATAATTATGTAATTTTTCTTTGTTAGCCTATTAATATGATGGATTACACTAATTGATTTTTGAATGTTGCAACAGACTTGCATACCTCAGATAAACTGCATTTGGTTCTGGTGTAAAATTCTTTTTATAAATTAATGGAATTCAATTTGCTAATATTTCACTGAGAATTTTTGCATCGATTTTCATGAGAGATGTTAGTATGTGATTTTCTTTTCTTGAATGTCCTTGTCTGGATTTGGTTTAGAGTAATGTGGGCCTCATAGAATGAATTAAAAAAGATTCCCTCTTTTTATCTTCTGGAAGAGTTTGTAGTGAATTGGTATAATTTCTTTCTGAAGTGTTTGGGAGAATTCACCAGATAAATCTGTAAGGGCCTAGTGCTGTTTTAGAAGATTATTAGTTATTAATTCAATTTCTTTTAGTAGAGATAGGCCTATTTAGGTTGTCTATTTTTTTTTTTTGTTTTAGTTTTAGCAGACTGTGTCTTCTAAGGACTTGATTAATTTTACCTAAGTTGTCAAATTTGTGAGCATAGAGTTGTTCATAATTTTCCTTTATTATCCTTTTAATGCCCTTGGAACTTGTAGTGATGTGCCCTCTTTCATTTCTTACATTAGGAATTTGTGTCTTTTCTCTTTTCTTCTTAGTTAGCTTGGCAAAAGGCTTATATATTTTATCAACCCATTCCAAAAATCAGCTTTTGATTTTGTTGGTTTTCTCTATTGATTTTCTCTTTTCAATTTCATTAATTTCTACTGTAATTTTTATTATTTTTTGCTCTTTATTTGGATTTTATTTTCTATTCTTTTTCTAGTTTCCTAAGGTGAAATCAATAATCCTAGATTATTGATTTTTAGATATTTCTTCCTTTCAAATACATGCATTCAATTCTGTAAATTTCCCTAAAGCACTGCTTTCACTGAATCCCACAAATTTCAGTAAGTTGTCTTTTCATTTTTATTTAGTTCAAAGTATTTTTACATTTATCTTGAAATTTTTTCTTTGGCCCATGTGTTATTTGGAAGTGCATTGTTTAGTCTCCAATTATTTGGGGATTTTCCATCTATAGTTCTGTTATTGATTTCTAGTTTAATTCCATTACAGTCTGAGAGCAGACATTATTTTATTTCTGTTCTTTCACATTTTTTCAGGTGTGTTTTATGGCCCAGAATTTAGTCTAACTTGGTGAATATCCCACGTATGTTTGAGAATAACGTGAAATTTGCTGTTGTTAGATGGAGTCGTCTATAGATGTAAATTATATTCAGGTGATTGATGTTGCTGTTGAGTTCAACTATGCCCTTACTGATTTTCTGCCTGCTAGAACTGTCTATTTCTGATAGAGGGGTGCTGAAGTCACTACCTATAATAGTGGATTCATTTATTAAGAATTGCTATGTCTTCTTAGAGTATTGACACCTTCATCATTCTATAATGTCCTGCTTTATCTCTGATAAGTTTTCTTGCTCTGAAGTCTGCACTGTCTGAAATAATATAGCTACTCCCATTTTATTTTGATTAGTGTTAATGAGTATTTCTTTCTCCACTCCTGTACTTTTAATCTATATATGTTTTTGTATTTAAAGTGGATTTCTTGTAGACAACATGTAGTTGGGTCTTGTTTTTGGATCCACTCTGGCAATCTTTGTTTTTTAATTAGTATATTTAGACTATTGAAGTTTAGAGTGATTATTGATATATTTGAATTAATATCTCTCATGTTTGTACCTTTATTTCTATTCATTGTCCTTGGTATTTGTTCCTATTTTTGTTGTCTGCTCTTTTTATGCCTTTTTTAGTTTTAATTGAATATTTTATATAATTCTCTTTTCTCTCCTTTCTTAGCATATCAACTATTTTTTTTTTTACTTTTTTTCCAGTGGTTGCACTAGTGTTGGCAATATGCATTGACAATAAATTCAAGCCCACTTTTACTTTTTGCTTTTCTTTGTTTATTTATTTAACTTTTTCTTTTTTTCTTTTTTTTAATACTGATGAGGTCTCACTATGTTGACTAGGCTGGTTTCAAACTCCTGGCCTCAAGCAGTCCTCTTACCTCAGCCTCCCAAAGTGCTAGAATTACAGGTGTGAGTCATCATGCCTATCCTCAAGTTCACTTTTTTTGTGGTTTTTTTTTTTTTTTTGAGATGGCGTCTCACTGCGTCACCCAGGCTGTAGTGCAGTGGCACCATCTCGGCTCACTGCAACCTCCACCTCCCAGGTTCAAGCAATTCTCCTGCCTCAGCCTCCTAAGTAGCTGGGATTACAGGCATGCACCACCACACCCGGCTAATTTTTGTATTTTTAGTAGAGACGGGGTTTCACCATGTTGGCCAGGCTGGTCTCAAACTTCCTGACCTTAAGTGATCTGCCTGCCTCATCCTCCCAAAGTGCTGGGATTACAGGCGTGAGCCACCACACCCGGCCAAGTTCACTTTTAAATAGCACAATACAACTTCACAGATAGTGTAAGTACCTTATAATAAAACATTTCTAATTTTTCCCTCCCATTTACTGTATAATAGTATAATTATTCATTTCATTTCTACATAAGTATACATAATTATCTTATACATACATAAACATACATAATTGAATACATTGTTGCTATTAATCATTTTTTTCTCATTGGCCATGAACCTTGTGATTTGTGAGGAAAGGTATCACATCTATTCGTTCCCACAGGAGCAGAGATAAGAATTATATCTGGCATCCTCAAAAAACATGCAAATAAGAGTGGAGTGAAATATTTAAAGTGTTGAGAGAAAAATCCACCAAACTAGAGTTCTGTACCCTGTGAAATTATCCTTTAAAAATGAAAGAAAAATTAAGACTTCAGAAATGAAGACACAAGGACTCAGGAGAAACTTTGTTTTTGTGCTTATGTGCAATGAAGAATGGACAGCCAAGTAGAAATGGAACTGGACTAAAAGGTGTGATCTAACGGTGATAGAGTGAAAAGGGGAAATGCGGCAATGCCTGTCTGTTCAGATTTTTCTTGGCCTCTCTGTGTAGCTTTCCTTCCTCCTAGGAATGGAGCAGGACCTCTCTGGAATGAGGGTCTTCAAGGGAGAAGAGAAAAGGGAGAGAGTGACCCTCCTCATTTTTATCTCTTGCTTTGGGGGAGAGGGGTTCTAGTTTCTATGACTCACCTTGGGGAAGAAGGATTCTTTTTCCTGGTAGGGGATAGGGAGTGCGGGATAGGGTCTCCCTTTGTCACCCAGGCTGGAGTGCAGGGGCACTATCTCGGCTCACTGCAACCTCTGCCTCCCAGGTTCAAGCAATTCTCCTGCCTCAGCCTCCTGAGTAGCTGGGATTACAGGCATGCACCACCACAGCCCGGCTAATTTTTGTATTTTTAGTAGAGATAGGGTTTCACCATATTGGTCAGGCTGGTCTTGAATTCCCAACCTCAGCTGATCTGCCCGCCTTGGCCTCCCAAAGTGCTAGGATTACAGGCGTGAGCCACCCTGCCCAGCTGGATTCTTTCTGGTTCCTATGACTCACTTTGTGGAGGGGCAGGAGATAGGAATGCAGAAGAAAGTCAGAAAGACCTTCCTCCTGAGACCTTTCCAACCTTCAGTTCAAAGTAATCAGCATGCCAAGGCACCATACTTCAGGGTATGCCCCAATACTGCTCTGTAAGTAAGGTGTTTTTTCCTCTGGCTCCTTTCAAGATTTTTTTTTATCTTCAGTTTTCTGAAATTTGAATATAATTTCCTACATGTAGTTTTTGCCATTTATTTGGCTTGGTGTTCTCTGAACTTTCTATATCTGTGGTTTGGCTTCTGACATCAACTTGGGGAAATTCTCGGTCATTATTGCTGCAAATATTGGTTCTATTTCTTTCCCATTGTGCATATGTTACATCTTCTGTAGCCCCAGAGTTCTTGGATATTCTGTTCTGTTTTTTTCATTCTTCCCTTTGCTTTTAAGTTTCAATTGTCAATCCTCAAGTTCAGAGATTCTTTCCTCAGCTACGTCCAGTCTACTAATGAGCCCATCAAAGGCATTCTTCATTTCTCTTACAGTGTTTTTGATCTAGATTTCTCTGATATCCACCATGAGAACCTAGTAGAGCTTCTGGAGGCAAAAGTCACAAAAGTGTACCGCCCCCAACCACCCTCCAATGGAGTTTTTATCACTCAGTATTGTTCACTGAGCCTCCAACAATTGAACAATTACAGCTCAGGTTTCTCTGCCCCAGCTCTGGTTTCCATGGAGGTTTCAGCTCCTGGGTGTCTGCTCCAGCAAGTTGTGATTCTTTGTATTCACCTGTCTGTCTCTCCAGTATTTCAAGCAACAGCTCATATGACATCATCTCTCTAACAAATTTGAGAAAAAGTGTTGATTATTTTTTAGTGTGTTTGGGCTTTTACTTGTTGTTAGGATCAAATGACAACTTTCAAGCTACTTATATACCGGACCATAACCCAGAAGTCTGTTCTGTTCATTTTTTAGATTATTTTTTTCTCTGTGATTCATGTTGAAAAGTTTCTATGGTTATGTTTTCACTTTCACTAATGCTTTCTACTGTAATGTCCAACCTGTCATTAAACCTGTCCAGTGTATTTTTCATCTCAAGCATTGTACTTTTTATCTTCAGAAGTTTAATTTGGATCTTTTTTACATCTTCCATGTCTCTACTTAACATTTCTTCTCTTTAACTTTTTGAACATATTAAATACAGTTATGATAACCGTTTTAATGTCTCTGTCTGCTAATTCTAACATCTGTGTTAATTCCAGGTTGGTTTCAACTTTATTATTATTCTCCTCATTATGACTCATATTATCCTACCTCTCTGCATGACTTGGCATTTTTTACTATATGTCAATTTAATATAAAAATTTTGCCCTGTTCAGGGCTGTATGTATTTTATTTCTATTTCCTTTTCTTTTTCTTTTTCTTTTTTTAGATGGAGTCTCACTCTGTCACCCAGGCTGGAGTGCAGTGGCATGATCTCAGATCACTGCAACCTCCGCCTCCCGGGTTTAAACAATTCTCCTGCCTCAACCTCCTGAGTAGCTGGGATTATGGCATACGTTACCACGCCAGGCTAATTTGTGTATTTTTAGTAGAGGTGGGGTTTCACCATGTTGGTCAGGCTGGTCCTGAACTCCTGGCCTTGTGATCTGCCTGCCTTGAGCCTCCCAAAGTGCTGGGATTACAGGCCTTAGCCACTGCACCCGGCCTGATGTTCTATAAATATTCTTGAATTTTTTCCTAGAGTGCATTTAATATACTTGAAAACAGATTGATCCTTTTTGTGTTTGCTTATAGTATTTGTTAGGTGGGATCAGAGCAGCATTTGGTCTGAGGATAATTATTCCCCACTAGCGAGGCAAGACTCAACCCAACACCCCAGGAATGAGGATATTTTCTAGCCTGGCTGGTGGGAACAGGTACTGTTTCCAGTCTTGTACGAGCTCCAGATACTGCTCCCTCTAATCTTTTTCCCTAGTTCCTTCTCCAGCCTCAGGTAGTGTACACATGTGCTAATCAGTACTCTGTGACCACTTGAGGGGGGTCCCTCAATGCATCTCTAGCTTCTTTTTTTGTGCAGCTCTCTCTTCTCTGGTACTCTTCCCTGAAAGCCCTCTTTGCCTTAGTCTTTCTCAGTCAGCTTCATCTCCTCAATTCAAGGTGTTTTCCAGGATCCAACAAGGTTTCTTCTCCCTGCATCATGCCTGAAATCTCTCTTAAATCAGTCAGCTGGTAGAAGTGTAGGATTCATCTCAGCTTCTCATTTCTCAAGAATCACTGTTCTTTGTTGCCTGGTGTCTAATGTCTTGAAAACTGTTCTTTGATGTGTTTTTGCGATGTTCTCGTTATTTGGGGCAAAAGAATAAATCCAGTTCCTGCAGAGCCTATTTATCCCTATTACCAAGACAGGACCCTTCTGGGGTCTGTACTGAATACTCTCCGCTGAGAACATCTAGTCCTCTCCACCTGGCTGGTCTGAACAAAGCTGCCCCGTGTGAGCACTCAGGATTGCTCACCTCACTGCTTTCTGGCAGTGCTTTTCCTAATTTCATGGAGTTTCATCCGTACTTGTGTGGCTTTGCTTTCAGCAACAAACACAAGAGCAAACCTATATACCGATTTCTGCAGCCCTTTCTCTACGCAGCTTCCTCTGCTTTGCAAATTGTGACTGCCTTAGCCTCGCCAAACTTCAGTCTCTGAACCCTCCACTCACGGTCACCACTGCACTCTGTGTAGGTTCTCCTTTCCTGCTCTGAGATCTGGAGAGTGCCTCCAGGCAGAAAGAAGATGCGATCATGGGGTCCATCTTATTTGTTTCCTTTTTTTCAGGGGTCAGAGTCCTGTGCTTCCTGTTATCCAATGTTTAAAAACTGCTGTTTCATTTGTCCCATTTTCTTCTTGTTTATTACGGGAGTGCAAGTGCAATACAAGTTTCTCCATCATAGTGAAAGCAGAATTCTTCAATGTAACTATTTTAAATGACAAAATGCAAATCATTATATTGAAAGTGCTTTTTTCAAATTAATATCCCACTCCTACCAAAATTCTGATCACTCCTCTACAGAGGGCTGGCCCTTGTTTGAGAATAACGCGTCTAGTGAAATCCATGGATTTAAAGCCTTTAATTCAACAACACTTATTCAAACATTTCATAAACTGTATTGCATGGCGGGCACGGTGCTCCGTTCTGAAGATACAGAGACAGGTAAGACGCCATTGGTGCCTTAAGGATTTCACTATCAAAGTCAGCACCTTGTCAGAGTGTTATAAACCCAGTAAGGGCAGTGACAGAGATAATCATGCGAAATATCAATGAGGCAGGGTTGTCAGAGTGTTATAAACCCAGTAAGGGCAGTGACAAACATAATCACGTGAAATATCAATGAGGCAGGGAAAGCAGGGAGGGGAACAGGCCACTGAATCCAGTTTAGAGACAGGTGGAAGGTTGTCAGGGATTACTTCCAGAGGTGACATTTAAGCTGACTCTTTAAAAGGGAAGCAATTCACCAGGCAAAGGGAGGACACTTTGAGCAAAAACAAGAGGCAGAAACAGCACACAGTATGCCTGGGAACAACAGGCCATTTGAGGTTGCTGAAGCAAAAATTCCCAGAGAGGGAGAGGCAGGGGATGGAGCTGGAGAGGCCGGGAGAGGTCAGGACAGGGAGGGCCTTTTTGTGTCACACTGGGGAGCCTGCCACTAAGGGCTGAGTCTTTTACATAACTTTGCATGGTGGCTGGCAGGGTGCATGCCCGCCTCAGCATGCAGCAGGTATTATTAGACGATGATCATGAGAGGCAAATCTGAGAAACCGCAAAACTCTGAGCGGAGCCAAAATCCCTTAGGTTCCGAAGTTCCAGAAAGTTATCTGACTCCTCTGCCCCTTTGCAGATTCAGCTGAGATGTGTGGCCGTGGTGGTCAGCCAGCCCTGAGGCGCTGCTTTCTTGGCAGTTGGCTGAGCCTCTAGACTTGCATCTATGGCTGGAGCATAGTAAGGAGGGGGAAGGGAAGAGCATGAGTGAGACAGAGAAGAAAGACAGCGCTAGGAGATAGGAAGTCATGCTGAGAGACACAGCCACATGGGGCTCAGATTGAAGGGATAGATCAAGAAGCACTTTAACGCAAGAAGATGACTGCTAGTGTGGAGAGGAGAATCTTTCTCCCAGAAAACTCTGCAAATACTTGGTGACCAACCAGACCACAAAGCTGCGTGTTCAGGGGCTCCTTCCCTCCCCATTGTAGGGGTCTCTGGGAGTGGGGCAGGGTCTCCAGTCTGAACTCAAGCCAGGATTCAGACACATATAGACAATGCAGATAGGCCGGCCCCAGCAGAAGTGTATTTGTCTGAGGGGTTGAGGGGCCTCCAGAAAAATAATCCACATGGAAGGAAATGGGAATCCCACCTGATCAGCTTAACCCATAACAAGACTGAGTCCTTTGCAGGGCAAGGAGTCTGAAAAGAACTTCAAATCAGCAGATTGCCAGGGCATGAGTAGTACTGGCCAGGTATTTCCTTAATAGGTATAACATGAAGACGGGGACTAAGGTATTCTTCCTGGCTTTGAAACAGAACATAAAGCAGTTCTGGCTCCTTGAGGGCTTCAGGTGCTGAGCTATAGTGAGAAAGGGAACACCCCCGGGCTGCCCAGCAGGAGGTGGAAAGGCTGGAGAACAGGGAGATCCACGCAGGTGCCTGGCAATGTGCCCAGGCAGAAGCAGTCACATGCTCGTGAACATATGTGAGACATGCTCTGAAACTGCAGAAATATCTTGGGGGTGGTTTGTAGTGGGGTGAAGTTCCACATGAGTTGGAAGAAGCAAGAACTAGGGAAATGTGGATTATAACTGTTAATGGCTCCCACTGTGTAAGTGGGTGAGGCCTGGGAAAAGTTGAGTTCTACTAGGAAAGTACAAAGTTTAGGTTTCCCCAGGGAATAGCTAGCAAGATAATGGCTGCCTTGTCTTTGCGGAAGTCCAACCTGGACACTGTTGATCAGTTGAAACTGTTTCTCTTGAATTCTCCCTCATGTAGCAAGTTTATGAGCTGCAAATGTCCCTCTTTGCTCAGGCCTAGGGCAGGAATCCTTCCTCGATCCTCATCTCTACACATGTCCATCTCATGCCGATTAAATCCTGTGAGCAATCTCTACCACTAAAAAAACCAGGGATAGGTGCAGAGCTGCCTGTCTGAGCAAGATGGGGAGGAGATACAGGGAGGCTTCAAGGCCGCTGTGCCAAGCTCACACAAAGACAGACTTTGAGACAAAAGAGACAAAGACACTAAGCACAAACAGCTATTTTGTTTTCCACCTTATCATTTTCCACATTTTCCAAATTATCTATAGAAAAAGGCAAATGCTAGTTTTTCAAAACCAAATGTAAAAAGTACAAGTAAGCACAGCTTTTCACAATCTACGTGGATGAGGCTCATCTGAGTTTTATGTGCTTTCCCTTTTGGTCACCCATCAGGCATTTGATCCTGATTATGTAACACACAGCAGTCACAGAGAGCAACCACCTGATGTGACGGAGGGAGTTCTGCCATGCAGATGATGCGGAAGGTTGGTGTGGCTAAGCATTGCCAAATCTGACAAATCTGTATTTTGTGGTATCCCCCTTGGGGACAAGGACCCTGTTGTGGGAGGAGATAGACATTAACGTATTTTCCCACTCACCTCCACTGGATCTTGGCTCATCCAGCGAGAGTGATTGACAATCCCCAAAGGCTGTTGGCCAACTATTTGCAAGAGGGGTCCATGGAGAGAGGCCTCTTCCACCTGTTACTCTTTTCTCTATCACTTCACATCCATAGGGGTCCCTAAGCCCCAAGAGAAGGGTCAAGTGCAAATCTGGTAAGCCAAGAAGACCTAGCAGTTGTCAACCTAATTAGCCTTCAGGAAAAATATATGGCTATATGAGCACAGTAAAGTTGCTATAGAGACAGGCAGGGGAGGTACATTCAGAACAGGGCCTCATCGCATCACCCGATAAAAATAAGACCCAGGCTTTTTAATAGCATGAATTACTTAAGTTTTAAATTTAACAGGGGACGACACCAAGGCTCTCACTGGTTTTCAGAACATTTGAGGAATCTGGGCTGCCTGCTTCTGCATATGTTAGCAGCCATCACAACATATGCTGTGGCGGATGGCAATGAAGAACTGGAAGCCCACGTGTCTCTCCCACACCGTGAGATGAGAGATGGTCTTTCTCACTTTGGGTTTGTCCTCTTTAATTGGGTGAGAGATTTTCAATGTGTTTCAGGGAAATTTCTGGGAAATAGCTATACTGCGCTCTGCACTGGCCAGTTGTATGTATTATTGCTAGTCACTGTAACAACCTTAGGAAGTAATGATATCATTTTGCAGATGACAAAATAAGCTCAGAGAGGTCCAGAACTTTCCTAAGGTCACACAGCTACTAAATGGTGGAGTTGAGATTCAAATCCAGGTGTCCCCATTCCAAAGCCCATTGCTTTATGAGACATCAACCAGAACCTCTGCACAGAGAGGAATCCAGGAAGAGATGAATCTAAGGAGCGTTACCATTTTTATTGGTATATGACATGGACCTTGTTATAGTTTAATCTCTCTCCTAAGGCAGTCCCAAAGTGGATGGGTTCCAAGAAATTCCACAGAGATTCTGAGCTCTGCTGGTGAGCACCTCTCCGATTATCCAAGGCAAGTGTTAACTTCAGACTGACTTCTCCTTACCATCCAACATGTTTCTGGACTGTCTCTTCCCTAAGTGAGGACCACCAGCATAATTAACACAAGATTCCAAACAACATCACTGAGAAAGTGTCCCCACTGCTCTTGCATCCATGAAAGCTTAACTATATGAAACCCAGCTGGAAATCCAAAGTGAAGTTCTTTTTGTTGACAACTTTGTCTTCGGATTATTCATGAACCTTTTACTTTGCAGAAGGATTTTTAAAAACAGTTTTCCAACAAAGGCCTACATAGTAGACTCAATCTGAGCCTATAAGGCATCATCTTTCCTCATGGGAAATGGCAGTGCTGGTGATGATGAGATTGGGTATGGGACAACGGCAGTGGAAGGGAGAGGAAGCCAATGGGGAAGTCAGGGGGCCGTGGTGACAGTAGGAACAAGTGGTGCCTATGTCCCTCCCCATTCAGTTTACCAGCTGAGGGTAAAGACAGACATCTGGGCTTCACAGGATTTCAGAAGGCATGTCTAGGGCAACACTAAACACATGGCTTGACAGAAATTTGAACCAAAGCATCGAACCCAGTGAACGAGGCAGAAGGGCAGAGAGAAGGCAGGTAGAAGCCACAGACCAGAGGCTGGGACCCAGGGCACAGCAGAAGGTTTAGAATCAGAGGGAAGGCGGTGGTGCCTCAGTAGAGTCCTTGGGCCATGGAACTCACCCCAGGAGCTTTTCCAGGCTGCCTGCAGCCTGCAATGTGGGTGTAGAGTGTGGCTAAGGGAGCTGCCTGCTGGGACCAGCTCTACTGCTCAGGACACTCAAATCCATCTGTATGCCACTGTCATCACCCCACACATACTCTCTCCAATCCCGGCAAAATCAGTGCTAATGTCTCACCAACAGATTAAGGCCTGGATTGAAGTACAAGAAACAGGATTTTTAACTCAAGTTAATTCAATTCCCCAGCGACCCTTGTTAACTTATTCACCCTCAGAGACGTATTAATAGTTCTGTCTTATATTGTATAGAAATTTGTGCAGTGAGTTTTCTGGTAGCTTTACATTTTTTTTCTCACTTCAGTTAGACATGTAATCTATTTAAAAGTAATATGGGAATAAGATAAATCAGTGTAGGAATAACTTCCTGGCAGAAATATTTTTACTAGTTTCTGAGTGTAATATCAGCCCAGCAAAAGTTATCTGCAAATATAGAAGTTCTCATGTACATCAAAGACACTCAAGTTTTTTTTAAGAAATAAATCATTTTATGCTACTGAAATAACTCTGTGATGTGCTATTGGCATTTAAGGAGCTAAACAGACTCTATGGGCCAGCCAACTTCTACTGCAAGCATTAGACATGCACAGGCTTTAGACTCAGGCACACCTTAGAAGTTCTGGCTTTGCTACTTATTAGCTATGGTAACTCGGGCAGGTCATTTATCCTCTCTAAGCCTCAACTTCCTCATCTGTGAAATGGGAATAATATCAGTCACATGCCAGGGATAAATCCAGGGAGAATGGCCAGGGGGCTGTGTCAAAGGCCAGACACAACTTCCACCCCAGGTGAATGTCGGGACCAGGACAGTGAGCAGGCAAACCTTGCCCTTGCCCTCCTTCCCTCCACAATCTTAAAGCTCCTTGAACAACCCCCATCCCCACCCCCTGAGAATGTCTGTGCCCTCCTGCTGAAAGGGTTTGGCCTTTCAGTGTTCCCCTCCACCATGAGCTGTTTCCATGAAAAGATCTCAAGGGTGACTTGAGGCTACGGTCATCACTACCACAAGCCTTTTCCCATCCCTGCCTCTACCTATTGCCCTCTAAATAAGGAAGCCAGCGCTGCCAGGCAAAGAACTTCTGCCCAATATGGGTCCTGGGTGGCCTCTCGCCTCTCTCTTTCCCTGGGCCCCCAGCCAGCTCCCCCCTCCCCCAGAGATGCTCCCTGCTCACTTCATTCCTGCCTCATAGTTGGAATGACAGTGGCTCCCAGAACCCCTGGGGAGTGTGGAGGGTGATGGGGGTCTGGGGAGGCAGCCAGGCCCAAGAGCAGGTTAATGTTACAGCCCTGGATAAGTGAGCTGGGCGGGTTGACGTCAGGGCGATGATGGGTGGAGGGGAGGGCCGGGCTGCTGAAGCAACTATAAAGATAGGTCAAATCAAATATCATCAACTAGGGACGGAGCAAGCGGGCGAGCTAGAGAGCGTCCCCGAGCCATGGTCTCTACCGGCCGCGGCTCAGCCTGGGTCCCTCTGCTCTCAACCCGAGTGCCCGATGGAGGCTTTGGTTTCATGTCAGCAGCCTTCATCTGCCTTCCAAAAATAAGCCCCTGCCGCCATGCCGGAGGGAGAAAAACAAGAAGGGCGGTATTTTTAGGGCCATTAATTCTGACCACGTGCCTGAGAGGCAAGGTGGATGGCCCTGGGACAGAAACTGTTCATCACTATGTCCCGGGGAGCAGGACGTCTGCAGGGCACGCTGTGGGCTCTCGTCTTCCTAGGCATCCTAGTGGGCATGGTGGTGCCCTCGCCTGCAGGCACCCGTGCCAACAACACGCTGCTGGACTCGAGGGGCTGGGGCACCCTGCTGTCCAGGTCTCGCGCCGGGCTAGCTGGAGAGATTGCCGGGGTGAACTGGGAAAGTGGCTATTTGGTGGGGATCAAGCGGCAGCGGAGGCTCTACTGCAACGTGGGCATCGGCTTTCACCTCCAGGTGCTCCCCGACGGCCGGATCAGCGGGACCCACGAGGAGAACCCCTACAGTGAGTGCCAGCTGCAGCCAGTCGGGACGCTTGGGGGTTTGGGCTCATGCAGGGCTAAAAGGTGAAGGGGCCCTGCTCTAGCGGACAGGATGCACGATAAAGGGGGCAGAAATGCTGCTCACCACTTAGATGATTCCACGTGACCCTGCCTGGGTGCAAGCTCAATATACTGCGGTCCAAGCATCCTGGTGTTCTTTGCCATCGCCTTGGTTAGATCCTCAGTGGCACTAACTATTTCAGCATTACTGGCCCATCTGATGCCTTGTAAGACCATTAGGAACCATTAGTCTGGGAAGCCCCCAAGGCCTGGGTAGGGAGAATCAGTTAGTATACTTGGATCAAATTTGACACAAGCTCATTTTTATTCAGCTTCTTTCTTGGAGAAGGAAGGGAAATTCAATTGCAAAATGTCCAACTGAAGCACATCCTTCTTTTTATTTCAGCGGCTCCCTCTGTCCCCAGGTTCTTATCCTGCAAGCTGCCTGCAAGCTGCCAGCTTGCTGTATGGTTAGTCTCCTATCCAAGAAAGGATGGGGGCTGCAGGATCCAAGAAAGCCATCAGCTATGGTGTGGCTGCTGTGTTTTCAAGATTAAGTGGGTTGAGATTTGTTGAAACATGTAGAGTACACATTAAGAAGAAGAAGAAGAATCAGAATTTATTTTTTTACTCAAGTCAAGGACCTCAAGTAATTATGTCACTGAAAGCCCAGATTCAAAGCTCATCTTAAACAGATAGCTAAGTGGTCACTGCAGCCCCTAACTCTGCTATCAGAACCTTCCCTTGCAGAACTGGATTTCTAACAGCACAATGGCAGCACTCGATGAGTCCAGCAGCCAGGGTCTCCTAGAGTTAGAGGGATCATGGATGGGGCAATGGAGAGTCTGGCTTTCTAGGAGAAGGGGGATGGACTGAGATGCCCTTGTCGGCTCAAGTTCCCACTCTGATTTGCACAAGCCTTAGGTAATGTGGCCCCCCTTTCCTTGTCAGGCCTGCTGGAAATTTCCACTGTGGAGCGAGGCGTGGTGAGTCTCTTTGGAGTGAGAAGTGCCCTCTTCGTTGCCATGAACAGTAAAGGAAGATTGTACGCAACGGTGAGTTCACCAGGCCGGGGAAGTGCCAGGTTTACAAGGCTTGATGCTTACACAGTTGAAGAAAATAATATGAAGTCCTGAGTAGAGAAGTGACTATCTAAATGGGAAAGGAAAGGCTGTGAGAGGAGCCTGTGAAAGGGAGGGGCCTTGCAGCTTGTGCTTCTTCAGCCTCACGGGTGATTGTCCTCTGCCCTGGCCCGTGCTTCTTCTGTTCCCACCTGCCGGCCGGAGCCCGTGTGCTTAAACGGAAACCACAGCTCAGGGAGCCCGTGGGCCAGAGGGAAACCCACATTCTGGCATCCAGGCTTGTGAGCAGGTGTGATTCCCTGCACTGGCGAGGCCCCGAGAGCAAGTCTGTCTCTCTGCCTGGGTGCGCTGCTCCATGACACGCGCCCTGCAAGATGCCCCAGCCTCGTGCGCAGCAGGAGGAGTGGAATGGGAGGCTATTTTCATCCTCATCAGTGTGCTGAGATTCTGCACTAGGGTTTTCAATCCTCTGGTCTCCGATCACGTACGCTAGAGAAGCAGCCTACCCGTTATACACTTTAGGCTGGTACCAGTCCCACCCATTCCCATCCCCACCCCCATAGGTCACCTCTGGGAGTGCCAATGCTGGCACTTGGGTTAATGCAACCAGCTTCTAAGCACATTGACGAAAACCTCTGCTCTCACTGACCTACTCTTTCCTGCAGCCCTCGGCCCATCATTTGGCTTATTCCAAAATATGGCGGGGCAAACATCCCGATGAGGCTGAAGAAATGGAGAGTTCCTTTGACAGAAATAAGCAAGCTAAAAAGGAAGACCTCAGAGCAGGCCTCAAAAAATATCAAAGTTATTTATGGGGAGGGTGTGGAGAGCTGATCTACTGCCCCTTGGAGGATAAACTGAGGACTGGGATGTGAAGAAATAGATCCAGGACTGGCACTGGGTCCCAGGGGAGCTGTCCCAACAGAGGAGGTCTATGAAATACAAGAACGGGTTCACCAGGTGGCCTCCACCCCATAATCTTTAGTGCTAACATCTCTCAGTCTGGGTTGGTTTATGTGGACATACGGCATGCACTACAATCAGTGGGTCTCCCACACGGGTCTGTGGACAGTTTGCATCTCTGTCACCTTGGAAACTTATTAAAAGTATGGATTTCCAGGTACCTACCTAGGAGATTCTTATTCAGCAGAGCTGGCGTGTGGGCCTGGAAATCCATTTGTTTTTGTATTTTAAATTTGCCAGGTGTTTCTGAGGAACAGGCAGGCTTGGGGGTCAGCAGGCTACATGGCCTCTGGAGGGCAGGGGACCACCCACTCCCCATGTTACACTGAACCTGAAAGCTGGAGGGCGAGTGAGATGAGACAGAAGAGACATATCCTTGTTACCGCTCTCTGGGAAAGTGATGGCGAGGACAGGAAGAGGCCTGGGACCAACCCAGGTTTTGATGGAGCAGGTTTCCCCTCTGTAGGGTGGGGCATCCCAAAGAACCCCTTCTTCCCAGCCTGCATAATGCCCGGAAGCCCATAGGGTCGGGAGAGCCGGGAATTTAGGCTGTTGGCTGTGGGACTCCATGCAAGCAAGGGACGTTTTAGCAAGTAAATCTCCTGGGAGAAAGCACAAATTTCATAAACTCTTCTTTCTCCTTGTCGCCTTTATCAACAAACCATTTATTACTTTTTTCTTCCTACCCAGAAAGGAATTTAATTGTGGGGAGGAGAAAATGCACAAATATAGAGGAAATTTACCCACTTCCCACTTTCAATCTCTTGGCCCTGGAAGGAGAAGCTGGGAAAGGCTCGGGAAGGGAATATACGATTTAACCATCAGAGAAAGCGCCACAAAGCGGGGAAGAGCATTCAGAATAGCAAAAAGGAAAGGAGGCTGACTCCTAATGCCTGAAACCCACCACCCCACCCCCAGCCCTCACTCTGCAGCACCGTTACTGGCTGATGACTTCAAAGGGGGTTAGGCAGGTTGATGAACTGCTGGGCTTACTAAACAAGCAGAGTCCAGGAGAAAGGAAGACTTCTGGGAAAAGACCCGGCGCCCTTCACCTCCACCCTCCCACCCCTCCTACCTTCACCCTCAGTAGCATTTGGCCAAAGAGCATCTTCTCCAGGGAGGGAGATTCTCCTCCCTGGACCTCAGGGCCAGCCGGGCCTGCACACAGAGAGTGGGGCTGGACAGCTGTGCCCCAAGCCTGGGGCACCTGACGTTTTGTGTGGCTCAGGACCAGATGCTCCTGAGCAACTTCTACCCCTCCCTCTCCGCCCCTCAGAGGCCGTTATCACAGTCTAAAAAAACAATTGCCAACTGATCCCCGGAGCCAGGAAGACTCCTGCTGGGTGATGATTTCATTCACACTATTTCCTTTTAAGCCCCCGGAGCTGCCTCATCTCCCAGGCTCAGCTGCTACTGCCAGTTCATGGGATTTCTCATGGGTGGGGGAGGGAAACTGGGCTGGGGCTGAGGTGTTGGTGAGGGGGACAAGGCAACGACTCGTGGGCAGAGAACAAGGGCCAAGGAAACCTGGCTAGAAGTGGCTTCACACATGTCTGTCTCCTGGAAAGAGGGGTGTGGAGGCTCAGGGCAGTTTGCCAGGCCCCCCTTTAGACAATATAAACAGCTGCCCTGCCCTGAGCACTAGCCTACTGCTTGTGCTCGGATTCACAGGCTGCAGAGGGCTTCACGAGCATGATCTCACAGCACCCCTAGGAGGTGCATTTGATCTTCATCCTCCCTGTGCAGCTGCGGACACCCGGTCTCCAGGGTCACACGTCCAGCCACAGCTGTGTGCAGCCCCGTCTCAGGGCTCCGCGACCCGAGTTCCAGTTCCTGGCCAACCTACCCTCCAGCTACTCGTCTTACTTTGGGCAACGTCACTGAACTTCTCTGGGCCTGGATCTCTGCTCTCTGAGGATGAGGCAGAAATCAGTGAATTCTAGCCCCCTTGGTCCCCTTTGAAATTCAGAAAACAAAATATCAAGGATCTCCACCTGACAGTGGTTCTATTAGAATCCTTTGGTTGAGAAAAATATATACTAGTAAAAAGATACCAGCAATTCGGTCGTGCTTTCAAGTGATTTCAGTTTTACTAAGAAGAGCCGCATTTACATGCTTTTCGTCAACAGTATGACAATGTGCAAAGGACAAAATTGATTTCCTCCAGAGACCTTTGATTATTATCTGGGGCATTACATTGGGGCATTATTATCTGGGGCATTGCATTATTATCTGGGGCATTACATTATTATCTGGGGCATTACAAGGCTGGGAGGACCAGCCTTGCCTTGGCTCAGCTGCCACTGTAGCAGAAAACAGCACTCCTGAGGGAATGGGATGAAGGACACCCACCATGAGGAAGTGCTGGGAGATGGGGCTGGAGAGCAGCGGGAGGTGCATGCCCTTATGCAGGGCCTGAGGCTCTGCATACAAATCCCCGCCTGCTACAAAGAGCTGCACTGGAGTGAGAAGAATGAAACACCTGATGAAAACACTTTCCAACATTCCTAAATCAACAGTTCAATTGTGTGCTAGGAAAAAGGGTTGGAAAATGCAGGCATCTTCAGAGCTGATGATATTTCAGCTAAAGACAGGAAAAGAAGCAGTCAGGGGCTACAGAAGAAAGTCTTAGGACAAAGAATTGGTTTATTTTTCCTTCTTGCCCACATCCTTCCACCCCATCCTTCTCCATCCAACACACACTGCCAGGAGGAACAGGGACAAATGGCCCCAGCGGTCACAGGGTGAAGATGTTTAAAAGCAGGATTAGATCCTCGTTGGTCCAAGTGACTTAGCTCTAAAGGCGAGAGGGTGGCTGTCTTGTCCACCTCACACTTTGGAGGCACCTCTACCCCATGGATATGCTTGCTCCTCTGAGAAATGCCCTTCTCCATAGTGAGTGCCAAATGCACATAAGTCTGAATAGACCTACATCAAATTGAAGATATTTTCATGCTGGGGCTTGAGCCTGGCAGGCCCAGGAAATGTGACCCAGTGGAATGATTTTCATTTATTCAAGTAATCATATACAGTAGCTGCTTTTATGAACATGGCGTTCACTTGGCTCGAGTGCGTTCTTCACCAGAGCTGAGGGGCCAACATTCCCAAGCCATGAGAACTCAAAGCTCAGGGCTCTGATGAAGATGAATTAAGGGGCTGGGTCTTGAGCATCACTCTGGGCATCGGGAAAATCCCATCAGCCTGAAGCATTCAGAAAAAATGCACTATCTCTCCTTCATGCCACAGGCCTCCTGGCCTTCCAAACCCCACAGATGTGGGTGCTGAGGGCGGAGGAGAGAGAGCAGCAAGGGGAAGGTTAGGGCTTCTAACACAAGCTTCCTCTACTAGTTGTCTTTTTTCACTTTAGTTTTGTACAGGATTCTGGGGAAGGCCAGGGATATGAGACAGGCTAGAGAAAAGGGCAGAATGGAAAGAAAAAAAAGTAGTAAACTTGAAAAAAAAATAGAAACAGAAAAAAAAAAAGTGTGTATGTTGAGGGGGAGTGGATTTGAATGATCCAAAATCGAATGACCAGAGAAGCAAAGTACAATCTACGCATCCATGGTCATGCATGCTTAAACAATCATGTTTTAGGAGATCCAGATGTTTAGGAGAGGCTGGGTTCTCAAATGGGCACATTCTAGGCACGGGGAAGTGGGCAATGGCTTGAGAGTTTCTTGTCCAAGTCACTCAGTTCCTCCCACTTCCCCTTCCTCCACCTCAAGATTTCATTTCCTCACTAGAGCTTGCAAACAACACACGAAACCTCTCCCTTAACCACCATCCAGATCAGAAATAAATTCTCTGGAACTGACTGGGCGGGTTACTCTCCAGGGACATACAAAGTTAGAACAGGGGGGAGGCTGGTGGGTGGAGAGGGGCCGTGACCCAACAAGAAGGAGACCACCAGTTTCTGATCAAAATGTTTTCTCGCTTCGTTTCCTGGCCCATTTGCTACCCTAAATTCCCTTCCCACTTTAAATAATTTACGTACTTGACTAGGTAACACAGGAACATGTTTTAAGGAGAAAAAAGTATCAAAGAATATTCTATGGAAAGTCTCACTCCCACCATTGTCTTGAAGCCACTGAGTTCCTCCCTAGAGGCAGCCCCAGTTACCAGTGTTTCATTCCAGTATATCGTTCCAGAAATAGCTAACGCACACGTGCACGCACCGGTATCATCTTTTTTAAAAAATCACACAAACAAGAGCGTACTATGCCAACACTTTTTCAAACCTTGTGTCTTCACTTAGCAATGTATCTTTGAGGCCATTTCATGTCATTACAGAGAGGCTTCTTATCTTTTCAAGGCTTATAGAATTCCATCATGTGGATCTACCATAATTGAGTTAGTTACTCCTCTTTTTTTTTTTTTTTTTTTTTTTTTTTGAGATAGAGTCTCGCTCTGTCACCAGGCTGGAGTGCGGTCTTGGCCCACTGCAATCTCCACCTCCCCGGTCCAAGAGATTCCCCTGCCTTAGCCTCCCAAGTAGCTGGGACTACAGGCATGCACCACCATGCCCAGCTAATTTTTTGTATTTTGGTAGAGATGCGGTTTCACCATGTTGACCAGGATGGTCTCAATCTCCTGACCTCGTGATCCACCCACCTTGGCCTCCCAAAGTGCTGGGATTACAGGCATGAGCCACCTCAGCTACTCCTCTCTTAATAGATACATTGTTTTTGGTCTTTTGTTATTTAATGCTGTAGTAACTTTTGTGCGTGTGTGGGAATATATCAGTAAGATAAATTTCTAGGAGTGGAATTGCTGATCAGTTGCTATATTCATCCTTTATTCTGGTAGATGCTGCCAAATTGCTCTTTATAGAGATTATAACAGTATACACATCAGAGGACATTAAATGAGAATTCCTAGTTTCTGTGCCCTCACTAATGAGAGCATAGTGTCAAACGCTTTTCTCTTTGAAATCTGGCCACTAAAAATGGGATCTCACAGTTATAACTTACATTTCTCTTATTAGGCATATTCTCTTCTGCTCAAATGCCATTGATAGTTCTTTTCCTGGGAATTTTCTGTTTTATAAATGCTGTTCATTCTCCAGTGAGTTTAGGGTTCTGAATATAGTAACAAAATGTATTCTTTGACATATGTGTATTGTATGTATTTTCATCCAGTTTACCATTTCTGTTCTTCTTTTAAGGTAATATTTTTCAAGTAGAAGACAATTTATTACTTTTTAAAAATGGTTTTAATTTTTTTTGTCCTGATTAGAAAGATGTTCCTGATTCTGAGTTTATTAAAAAAAACTTTTTCTGGATTTTAATGGTTCTTTTTTTTTTACATTTGAATCTTTACTCCCTTTGGAATTTATTTTGATGTAAGGGATAAAGTCATACACATCAAACTTTATTATCATTATAATAAAATACCATTCAGTTGTTCCAACACCATGTTTTCTCTAGTGATTTAAAATAACACTTTTACTTTATATTCATTTCAGATTAATTTCATTTTACATCCATGTATGTGTTGGGATCTACTGCTGGACTCTATGTTGTTCATTGACCTGTACTGGACTTCTCATTAGTGTAGCTTTACTTGGAATGTTTCAATCAGTTCTGAGCTGAATTTTTCCTGGTGCTGCTGCTCCCAAGCTTGCCCACCAACGACTGAAGTCCTGTGCACAGGGCAGGAAACCAGGGTCCAGAGAGGCTCCTAATGAGGGGTCTTGGTTCAGAGCCAGCGTCAGCCTCTGCCCTTCCTCTGGCTTCCTGCTCTTCCATGCAAGCTTACTGTCTCCCAGGCACTCCATCAAAAACCGCAGAGCTTAAAAGCTAAATTGTCCAGTAACCCCCAGCAAGTCTTATGGGACTGGTGATCCAGGGTAAGGCAGTCTTTCGAGGCTTTTAATGTAAAGTAGTTCATTATTTACTTGGAGAAGAATACTAGTACTACTAATTTGTTTTTAATTCTACTGTATAGCAAGCATTGTTCCCAGGACTTTCCATGCATAATTTCAATTAATGCTTACTCCAGTTCTATGACACAATTTTTCTTACTGTTCTTACTTCACAGATGAGGGAATTGAAGCTTTAGAGGTTAAATGATTTCCCCAGGCTCACGTAGCTAAGAGGCTATTGTCATCAGTCTAACCTTAAAGCTGTGGCACAAATATGTTCTTGACCTACATTGATTAGTTCATCCTTTTTACCTTTAAGACATCCCTTCATTCATCCATTCCACAAATATTCACTGAGCATCCTAACGAGGAAAACAGGAAAGCTTATGAAAAACCCACCCCCCGGTGTGGCATTAACCTGTTGACATGGCTAGTGAACGCCTTCACATTTATCTCAAGCAAGTTAACATCAGTGAAAGTGCTTTGTAAATAAGCTGCAAGCATGAGAGAAGAAGATGGGGAAAACATATGAGGGCAGTTTCACCGTGTTCCCATAGGCAAGGCTGTCCCCTCACCCACGCTCACATCACATTGAAAGAGCCACCCATGCAGGGGTCTCCTTATGTTTCTGTGCTGTCCTTATTTACTTATTTATTTATTCTTGAGACAGGGCCTCACTCTGTCACCCAGGCTGGAGTGCGGCGGAGCAATCATGGCTCACTGCAGCCTCGACCTCAAGCGGTTCTCCCACCTCAGCCTCCAGAGTAGCTGGGACTACAGGCATGCGCCATCATACCTGCCTTTTTTTTTTTTTTAAGCTTTTGTAGAGACAAGGTCTTGCTATGTTGCCTAGGTTCCTCTCAAACTCCTGGGCTCAAGTGATCCTCCTGCCTTGGCCTCCCAAAGTACTGGATTACAGGTGTGAGCCACTGAAACCAGCCATGTTGTCGCTATTAAACCACCATCCACTCAGCATCATGTACCAAGCAAGACACAGTCCTCATCTCAGGGATCTTGGAGTCTATTGGGAAAGAAAGTATGGCTGTTCTAAATGTTGCCAGAGAGGTCCACTGAAAGGGCTCTGGGAGTCTTGGGGCCCTGAGGAGCAAGCTACTAACCAGCCCTTCAGAACAGCAAGAGGTTCTCGTCCAGCTACACTGCCAGCAAGATGGGACACTAGCAGTACGATTCCTTTACAGAAGGTCAGAGGACACCTCTGGCACAGCCCAGTAGCCATCGAGCGGGTTTTTTTTTATACTCAAGCAAGAAGGAGTCAGAAGTTATCCTCCATCCATTTCTCATTCTATATTTCTTTTCAAGAGTAGATCCCGGGTCTCTGGCTCCCACCTCGCTCTCTGTTCTTCTAGCCCCGACCCAGCTGCTTCCCCACAAGAGCAGGAAATCCCCGCATACTCCCTTAGGGCAGCCACCCAGGCAGGTTGCAGAGGAAAGAGGAGGACTTGGGGTGATGTACTGGGAATGAATCTGTGCATGCGAGACAGGAAGTCCAGCGTTCATGTGACAGGAAGTCCAGTGTTCATGTGACAGGAAGTCCAGCGTTCATGTTCTGAACAGGTGGTCCACACACACTCTACAAAATTAGCATGGAAAGGGCCATTTTTTTGTTGGTCCCAGGCTCCTTGGCCTCACCTGTCACATTGGGAACCAGGTCCTTTTCCCCATAAAAATTCCTGCTCCTCACCATTTCTGTTCCTGCATGTCCCTGGAGAACTATGATTGTCTTGGACAGCAGTCCCCAGCCTTTTTGGCACCAGGGACCAGTTTCATGGAAGACTATTTCCATGGACAGGGTGAGTGATGGGGACATGGGGGGACGGTTTGGGGATGAAACTGTTCCACCTCAGATCATCAGGCATTAGTTAGATTCTCAGAAGGAGCAGGCAACCCAGATCCCTCACATGCAAAGTTCACAACAGGGTTCTTGCTCCTATGAGAATCTAATGCCACTGCTGATCTGACAGGAGGTGGAGCTCAGGTGGTCTTGCAGGCAATAGGGAGTGGCTGGAAAACAAATGAAGCTTCGCTCACCCACCGCTCACCTCCTGCTGTACAGCCCAGGTCCCGCACGGGTATGGGCCGCTGACTGGTATGGGTCTGCAGCCTGGGGGTCGGGGACCCCTGGTCTAGGAGGTACCAGACCTCTTCTAGACTCAAAGTCAAAACTGAGAATGGGCCTTTTTGAGGGATAGAAAACTTGAGACTTAAACCAGGAAAGACAGACTGAGGAACCACAAGCAGAAACAAAGAGACAGGCAGTGCTGGAAAGGGCTTAAGAGATCACTTGTGTCTCCTCCCCCTCCACCAACCGCCTCTCTCCTTCTTCCCCCACCACACACAGTCTGCAGAAAAGAGAACTGAGGCTGCAAGGGGAGGAACCTGCCCAAGGTCACACAATTAGGAAGTAGAAAAGTCACGAAATAGCACCCTGAGCTCTCATCCCTGCTCCAGTAGACTCCCTCTCAGAGTGGACTTGAGAAAACAGCTTGTGTCATTTCCTGGTCTGTTCTTTGAATGGAATAAGTTACCATCTAGGGACTTAGTAGAAACTACTCTGGAAGTCAGGACACCTGAGTGGTAGAGCCTCAGCTCTACCCCATGTGGCACAGACCATCCCCTGTGTCCCTGGGCCTTGGTTTCCTTATCGTAAAGGAGGGAAGGTGAGAGGAAACCATGAGAGCCTGCAGCCTCTTCCCATCCTAACCTTTCACCATTCTGTTCACCCAGGATGCTCAGACCTCACGGTGGTTGTCTCACAAAGAGAAGGGAAGGGCACCTGGCAGAGGGGCCTACTCTCTGCGGCCCAGCTGGCATCTGCAGCACTCCTCATTTGTAACCCAGTCTCTGCTGTTTGCCCATGTCTTCCACAGCCCAGCTTCCAAGAAGAATGCAAGTTCAGAGAAACCCTCCTGCCCAACAATTACAATGCCTACGAGTCAGACTTGTACCAAGGGACCTACATTGCCCTGAGCAAATACGGACGGGTAAAGCGGGGCAGCAAGGTGTCCCCGATCATGACTGTCACTCATTTCCTTCCCAGGATCTAAGGACCCACAAAAGAAGGCTCACAGATTTAAAGCATCATCTGTTCGATTGAAATTTTGCACCAGCGAAGAATTCCCCTTGCCCTCCATGGCTTCTGAATCAGGCTTATCCTGTGCTTGGGGAGACCTCAGTTGTTTTCCTTGGCCACTGGACCCCACGGCATGTAGCCCATTCAAACGAGGGCTAAAATCAGCAATTTTAGAATGGCAATTTATCCCATGCTCTGACCTCCCTCGAGGAGAGAAGGTATCGGTGACACTTGTGGAATGTGACCATGTGCATAGGAAAAGGCCAGGGTAGGAGTTTGTGTGCATTGTTGTATATCCATACAGCTTTATACACATTCTCAGAGCAATGGCATTTCAAAGCATCAGGTTTCTTTCTCCTAGCATCATCGCTGCAGGAATCTGCCTGTAAGAATGTCACTTGTCAAACCAGCAAGATTGATGTGTGCTCCCATTCTGCCTCTTTCCAATCATCTTTCCATTCAGAGGCCACTAACTACATGGGTTGCATAGGTCAGCAGGGAGCAGCTGTCCTCAAAGTGCAGAGACGGCAGAGTGAGAGGGTGTGAGGCTGAACTGCAAACCAGAAAGAGAGTGATCAGGCACTTCAAGCTTCCTGCCAGAGAGGGCTCTGGGGACACTGGGATGAACTGTCAGGGAGGCTGGGGGAGAAGCGGTTCCCTTCTTGGAGGAAAGGGGTAGAGCAGCATCTAGGGCAGCTGAGGAAGGCTTGTGGAGGCAGCAGAAGGGACTGGATGTTCTAGGAGAGCCACTCTGCCTGGAGAACTCAGGCTGTGCATGGCTCCAGGAACAAGCAGGGGCCAGGCTGCCTGCCCATAACGTTTCCTCACTTTGAACTGGTCTTATTTTAACCTCAGATGACAAGGATCCTAATAATGGCAACCTCTTTGGCGAGGAGTAGGGGGACAAAATAGGGCATGAAGGAAGTAGAGAGGCTTTGGACTACAGATGGTAATTCCTCTCCAACTATGTCCAAGAAACGCACCCAAGTTCTCATCTGATACCCTCACTTCCTTCTTGCTCATCCTCATCTCACATACGCGCTGTGCCTGGATGCAGCAGAATGGGCACCGTGACCTCCAGAGTTTGTGCTCTCTTCCTCCCTGCAGTAGAAGAGGAGTGATAATCCCACAGAGTCAAGCAGCCAAGCTGAAGCAGCTCCTTGCTGCACAGTGCCTTCTGCCTCCTGTCCTTTGAGAATATTTAAAGCAGAGGTTCCCCAAGTGACTATAAATGTTGTCTGCCCGGAGCCTTCAGATTCCTGAACCATTGGAATGTTCCTAAATCTGAAACCAGAGAGAGCCATATCAGAGTGCAAATATTTTTGGCATATGTGAACCATGGAGTTACAAAATGACCTGATGACCTCTGCGACTCTTGGGGGCCCCGGCCTGCAAGACAATCCTTCATCTGTTGCAAATACCTTCATCTTCAACATACCTCGCTATTTGCAGTTGCATCCATCTATAGATAGATCTGGGTTGAGGGATTCTGAGCTGAAGATGGGAGGTTGGCAATCGAAGGGGGAGACACCTTACCTGCCACCTCCTCTGCCCTGCAAATGTCAGGGAGGACATGTGCTGGGTGAGGAAGAAAAGGCCACACCCAGGTACATGAAGATGGAAGAGACTGTAGAAGCCTCGGAACACGTGTGCACATGGCCAACCCTTGGATGTTGTAGAAAAGGGAGAAAACTGGTCCATCTTGATTCCGTGGAATGTTGAAGTGTGGGTCTGCTTGGAGGCGGGGATAAAGCTCTCCACTGTTTTTTAGGGAGTCTTGTCCAGTGCAATCAGTCTCTTGAACAGGGTCCATCAGAAATGCAGGCACTCCAAACCTGAGGTGCATATCAGTTCCTAGTGGAGCTTGGAATGTGGGATGGCTGGCGGACGGCGTGACTGTGATCCAGAGAAAAAAGGAGAAGGAAGTTTTAGGTCCCATAGCATGCTTTCCTTTTTTCCAAGATCTTTCAGCTCACGTGGCAGGAAAGGAGCCATCTTCAAGAGAGTCTCCAAAGCCTTGGGCTGCCAGCCTTGTCCTTCATCTCTCTAGAGGATCATAACCTTGCTCAAATCCTGGCAAGGCATTTCCCCAAATGTCCACTTTCATTTTTCATGCTAGGAGTGGGAAGCAGAAGCTACGAAATGCCTATGATCAAGCACGCATGATATTGAGCCACTGCATAGCAGTTGCACCCGCACCGGTTAGGAGGGGCTGGGTGTCTGTCTAACTGGTACCAGGGCCCATGCTGTATCAATTGCTAAGTATTTGGGGGTTGTTTGTTTGTTTGTTTATGACAGGGTCTCGCTCTGTCACCCGGGCTGGAGTGCAGTAGTGTGATCTCGGCTCACTGTAACCTCCACCTCCCAGGCTCAAGCGATTCTCCTTCCTCAGCCTCCCAAGTAGCTGGGACTACAGGTCCAGCTAATTTTATATTTATTTTTGGAGAGATAGGGTTTTGCCATATTGGCCAGGCTGGTCTTGAACGCCTGTGCTCAAGCAATCCACTCGCCTCAGCCTCCCAAACTGTTGGAATTACAGGCATGAGCCACGACACCTAGCTGGTTGCTAAGTATTTTGAATACCACCTTTGGATGCAGGTATGTGTGGGTGACTCTTTAAAATCCTTCCCATGCAAAGGAATTCTCTCAAGGGCTTTCTGTTTTCCTGTAAGTGACTTAGACTTAAGAAAAGTCAATCCCCATCTACAGAAGTGAGCTAAGGGACAAGACCAGAATAAGATCAGCAGGATGCATTTCAGCCCCTTCTCTCCAGCTTCCGTTTCTGTGCCCGGGCATGGAGAGTTGTTTCCTATCTGGTCACATGTCCACTGAGTCCTGAATTCAGTTGTCAGGCCCATTGGCTCCCAAAGGCTGCAGAAGGCACTGCTATATGCAGGGGAGCCAGAGTGTACCCCACTTTCCCACTGAGGATGTACTGAGACTTGGGCCCTCCATCCCCCAAGTGCTGAGCAATGAGCCTGGTTTATAGAGTTTTGTAGCTAATTCACCTCTCTTTCGTCCTGAATCTTCTTTGGCAGCTCCATGCAAACTTGGAGTTCCAAGGGCCAAGAGGCTGTTTTATTCTCTCTTCAAGAGCAAATAATAAAGAGGAGAGCAGCATATCTGCACACTCTTCAAGATGCACTTCTCAGCTGCAGCCTTAGAGGTTAGCTTAGAAGCAATGGGGCAGCCTCGGGCTCCTTGTAAAACCTCCACCCGTTTCAGGGCAATGGATGAACCTCATAGGAAACCAGAAAACTCCAAATGCCTTGTTCAAGCTGTTGATTATGTTTGTTTCATCATTCACTGCCTTGTAACACCCCTTCCCTTCCCACTTCCCATACATTTTTGAACCTCTCGGGAAAGCAGCATGTAATTTTCTAATTCATACCCTACCATCATCCTCCACAGCCTTCCCCTCTGCTGCCACATCCCACAGTGCCCTAATACACATGCCAAGCCCTTGGTCAGGGCCAGTCTATGGCCTAACAAAAAGAACATTTTCTTCTGCCTTCTGATTCAGGGTACAAACCTCTCTCCTCTTTTTTTTTTTTTTTTTTGAGACAGAGTCTCGCTCTGTCACCCAGGCTGGAGTGCAGTGGCGTGATCTTGGCTCACTGCAACCTCTGCCTCCAGGGTCCACACCATTCTCCTGCCTCAGCCTCCCAAGTAGCTGGGACTACAGGCGCCCGCCACCACATCTGGCTAATTTTTTGTATTTTTAGTAGAGATGGGGTTTCACCGTGCTAGCCAGGATGGTCTCAATCTCCTGACCTCGTGATCCGCCCGCCTCGGCCTCCCAAAGTTCTGGGATTACAGGCGTGACCCACTGCACCCGGCCAAACCTCTCTCCTCTTTAGACATACAGATACCTCTCCTGCCCAGAAACCCAGGCCTGAAATTCTCTCCAGACCTCATCCTGTCCTGGGCAGTTTGCAATTCTCCTTCAACGCTGGCTCTGGGCCACTTTCTTGTCCTAGACCTCAGACCCTTCAAGTTCTTGTTCTATGCAAGTCCTGAGAGAAAAAAGAAATAGGAGAGTCCATGAGCTATAGTTCTCCTTTCTCCCCTTGTCCACTGCCTTTGCCCATTCTGTGCCACAGTCACTGGTGCAAACATATCTACTAAAATGCACATCTACAAATGTCCTCCAAGACACGAGGATCTCCCCTCTGCCCTCTATCTCCTTCTGTCCCTTTCATGTGGACACAAGCTAGAAAACTTCATTGGCCAGGTAGCGGTGGCTCATGTCTGTAATCCCAGCACTTTGGGAGGCTGAGATGGGCGGATCACGAGGTCAGGAGATCGAGACTACCCTGGCTAACATGGTGAAACCCCGTCTCTACTAAAAATACAAAAAAAAAAAATAGCTGGGCCTGGTGGCGGGCACCTGTAGTCCCAGCTACTCGGGAGGCTGAGGCAGGAGAATGGCGTGAACCCGGGAGGCGGAGCTTGTAGTGAGCCAAGGTTGCACCACTGCACTCCAGCCTGGGTGACAGAGCGAGACTCTGTCTCAAAAAATAAAAATAAAAAAAGAAAACTCCTTCATCCTTCTATCCCAATGTTTTTCCTCAAAGACTCTGGGTCAGCTGTCACTGAGGAAGCATTCTCTGCCACTTACCATGCCTGTGTCTACAAAGTGGGTCTCTAATACTTGCTCGTCCCCTGAAGGAACCAGCCACTCATTCTGCTACCTCCCTGCAAAACTCCAAAGAGAGGAATGTTTGGGACAAGGCCAGAAGAATAGAGAGAAATACTCCAGTCTCTGCTCACATCTGAGTTGATGCTTCCTCTTCCCAGAACAGGTGGAGGATGCGATTATGCCCCAAGCAGGTCCTGAATCTGGTCCATCATGCAGATAGCCAACGCAGAACCATGTTTGTATACCTCATTGAACGACTGAAATTCCGGCACCAGAGAGCTGTGTCCTGCGTGGTTTCCTCTTTCTGTAAATCGCTGAGTACCTCAGGCTGGTCCCAGGGTAGAGCTGCCCTCCAGCCTAGGCACAGCGCATAGCACAACCCAGATGCTGTTCGGTCATGTGGTTGTGAAATGTGATACGTCTTTTTTTTAAATATGTATGTGCCATGCACAAACCATATCATGTTCCAGCAAAAAGTAAAAGGTCTTTTTCTACATTTCTCTAAACTCTTTGACTCCACTCCTCCTATTAAAACTGACAACAAATCTCTGGGTTGCCGTTGATTTTCCTCTTGATTCTTTCCCCCCTTGCAGGAAGGCAGGCAAAGAGAACCCGAAAGCACCGATTCATGGTGCTCTTGATTATTAAGGCAGGAAGAAGTCCTGTGGCGTACTCAGTCCAACTACCCTGTAGCTTGCCAATGGGGAAATTGGCCCAGGAGGGTGAAGACAGCGATGGAAGACTATAGCGAGGCAGCATCCCTCTTCCTTTTCTGCCTTGGTCAAAACCAAATATACACATTCTGTGACTATAGAGTTCATTCATTCATTTATTCACCCATCAAGATATACTGAGTTCCTCAACCCTGCCCCGGACTAGGCTAGGTTTCTGGGATACACATGTGAACAAGGTAGATGCAGTCCCCATGCTCTCATTAACTTGCATTACAAAAAATCACCCAAGAGCACGTTAAGACATAGATCTCCAAGTCCCGCTCCCAGATTTTCTGACGATGCCCAGGAGTCTACACGTTTAATACACATCCCAGGTGGGTCTGACGTTGAAGAACCCATCTAGTAGGATGACTGGGATGGCAGGACATTTGAGCTGGGAGAGACTATAAATTATGCCATCTTTTTATAGGTTAAATAAAAAGAAAGAAGATGACTGGAGAGTTTACGTCAGGAGGACCCCACAGCCTCCCGAGTTTCCTCCCTCCCTTCACACTGCCCCTTCCTGAGCTTCCCGTCATCAGCCCTGTCATCTCCGTGCCACGTTCCTGCTGTGGCCATCCCCACTCTCTCGCCCCTTTCATGCCATCTCTGGGGGTGATCCCAATGTGCCTTCAGTCGAGCAACTCTGGGTTCCAAATAAATCTATGTTCTCTTGGAAGAAGAGCTGCCTGGTCCTTTGGACTCTGCACCTCATTCCTGTATTATTTATGCAATTAATATTTCTAACACCCTATTATGCAGCAGAAACCACTCAGGGCCCTGGGACTATCACTGTGAAAACTATATATGGGTTTATAAACTGGCAAGGAAGACAGACATTAAATAAACAATTACAGCAAAATAGGCCGGGCGCAGCGGCTCATGCCTGTCATCCCAGCACTTTGGGAGGCCGAGGTGGGCGGATCACATGAGGTCAGGAGTTCGAGACCAGCCTGGCCGACATGGTGAGAACTCATCTCTACTGAAAATACAAAAATTAGCCAGGCCTGGTGGTGGATGCCTGTAATCCCAGCTACTCAGGAGGCTGAGGCAGGAGAATCACTTGAACCCAGGAGGCAGGGGTTGCCGTGAGCCGAGATCATGCCACTGCACTCCAGCCTGGGTGACAGAGTGAGACTCCGTCTCAGGGTGGAGAAAATAAAAATAAAAAAATAAGGCCGGGCGCGGTGGCTCACGCCTGTCATCCCAGCACTTTGGAAGGCCGAGGTGGGCGGATCACCTGAGGTCGGGAGTTGGAAACCAGCCTGACCAACATGGAGAAACCCCGTCTCCACTAAAAATACAAAATTAGCCAAGCGTGGTGGCGCATGCCTGTTATCCCAGCTACTTGGGAGGCTGAGGCAGGAGAATTGCTTGAACCTGGGAGGCGGAGGTTGTGGTGAGCCAAGACCACGCCATTGGACTCTAGCCTGGGCCAGAAGAGTGAAACTCCGTCTAAATGAATAAATAAATAAAAATAAAAATAAATGAATAAATAAATAAAATAATTACAGCAAAACGTAATGAGCAGCACAAAAGAGAAACTTCAAGCCTATTACGGGAGCATAGAACAGGGTTAGGACCTCCTGTTGGTGGATGAGAGAATCCATCCTTGGGAAGGCTGAGCTCTGAAGGGTCTCAGCCAGATTTAGGGCAGGGGTGGGGGCTGGCAGGCAGGGGAAGAGTGTTGTGAGGAAGGAAGGACGCAGCAGGTGTTTGCCGGTAGAGCTGGGGAAAAACATGGTCCCTGCAAGGATTTAAGCAGCATCAGTATTGTATCCAGAATGAGAGGAGCATGGGCAGGATGGAGCTCAAGACAGGTGGACAGGAACTGTATCCCGGAGCACTGGGAAGCTATGTTAACACGCTTGAATTTTTAAAATTTTGCGTATCATCCAATTCAACCTTAGTGTATAACTCAATGAGTTTTAGGTAAAGTTACCATCACCATAAATCAGTTTTAGAGCATCTCATTACTCCTTTAAGACCCTTCAAGCACATTTTTAAAATTATGTACTTATTTATTTCAGAGACGAGGTGTCTCTCTGTGTCCCAGGCTGGAGTGCAGGGGCACAGTCATTGCTCAGTGCAGCCTTGACCTCCCAGGCTCAAGCAATCCTCCCGCCTCAGCCTCCTGCGTAGCTGGGACCACAGACACGCACCACCACAAACAGCTAGTTAAAAAAAAATTTTTTTTTTGAGATGAGGGCTCATTATGCTCTTCAAGCACATTGAATCCCCTCCTCCCTGCTTTCACCCGGCTACCACAGATCTACTTTCTGTTTCCGTCGTTTTCCCTTTTCTGGATATTTCCTGTAGTCACACAATATGCAGTCTCTTTAGAGGAGCTTGAATTTTAATCTGAAAACACTGAGAGGCCCTTAGTGAGGTTTAAGAAGTAACAAGACCAGGCCGGGCATGGTGGCTGATGCCTGTAATCCCAGCACTTTGGGAGGCCGAAGCAGAAGGCTCACTTGAGTTCGGGAGTTCAAGACCAGCCTGGGCCACATGGAAAAACTCTGTCTCTACTAAAAAGACAAAAATTAGCCCGGCAGGGTGGCAAGCACCTGTAATTGCAGCACTTTGGAGGCTGAGGTGGCGGATCACTTGAGGTCAGGAGTTCAAGGCCAACATGGTGAAACCCCATCTCTACTAAAAATGCAAAAAATTAGCCAGGTGTGGTGGCATGAGCCTGTGTCAGAGGTGTTTGAACCACAGTGATTCCCTCTTGAGTGAGGGCTAGGAAAATGAGGCTGCGACTGCTGGGCCGCATTCCTAGGAAGTTAGGTATTCCTAGCCTCCAGATGTTTATGGTTAAGGGAACAGATTGATATTTAATAAACACATACAGACTTTGGTCTATAGGATGTCTATAGGATGATTGGACTGTAGATGAATACAGTAGATATATTCATCTACAGTAGACTAGATGAATCAGAGTGTCCTGATATCCTGATATCTTGAGAACAAAAACATTCCTAATTTTGCTTTAAAGATAATAATATTGATTCTTGCAACATATAGTAATTAAGAAAACTAATCCTTCATCAGAAACCCTTGTAGCAGAACACATCTCCCCGTGATCTGTTTTTATCCTATGTATAACTGAGTATTGTACTTCGGGTGGACACGTTCCTCCTCGTACTTTTGGAAACACCCTACTCTGTCTATGGAGCAGCCGTCCTTTCACCACTTTACTTTCTTAATAAACTTGCTTTTGCTTTGTGGATTCACCCTGAATTCTTTCTTGGATCAGATCCAAGGACTCTGTCTTGGGGTTTTTATTGGGACCCCTTTCCTGTAACACCTGTAGTCCCAGCTACTCAGGAGGCTGAGGCACAAGAATCGCTTGAACCCGGGGGCAGAGGTTGCACTGAGCTGAGATCGCGCCCATTGCACTCCAGCCTGGGTGACAGAGCGAGACCCTGTCTCAAAAAAAAAAAAAAAACGTTAACAAGACCAGGTAGGGGTTCTAGAATAATCATCAGAACTGTCTCCCGTAAAATGATGTGGTGAGGTGAGCCTGTGTGCAGGGAGAACAATCTGGAGGCTCCCACACAGGAGTGTTCCAGGCTAGAGGAGACGGCGCTGGAGAGAGCAGCGATGCCTGGACGGAAAGAAGTCCACGTTTGTGGGCCGAGCGCGGTGGCTCATGCCTGTAAACTCAGCACTTTGGCAGACCAAGGTGGGTGGATCGCCTGAGGTCAGGAGTTCGAGACCAGCCTTGCCAGTATGGTGAAATCCTGCCTCTACTAAAAATACAAAAATTAGCCGGGCGTGTTGGCTCACCCTGTAATCCCGGCTACTCGGGAGGCTGAGGCTGAAGAATGGCTTGAACCCGGGTTTCAGTGAGCCGAGGTTACGCCACTGCACTCCAGCCTGGGTGACAGAGCGAGACTCCATCTCAAAAAAAAAAAAAAAAAGAAAAAAGAAAAAGAAGTCCGCATGTGTGGCTCACAGCACAGCCCTGACTCCAGGTAGTGCCTCTCGGGCTGAATCCGATTCTTCTAAAGCACACAAGAACCAGCCCCCTCCGTTTTCTGAGGGAGACCCCAAGAGCTTTCATATTCTTTGCCTGACCATTCACGTCCCCTAAAGGGACTAACAAGAAGCCTTCTGCTGCCCTGCTGCTATCCGTCTATTGTCAGGGCCCTGAGACTAAACACCATGGTGCTAAACACAAGCAGACGGACACCACGACCTCATTTCACACACAGATACTTGGCCAGGACAGCTGCTTTTCCTCCTTTCCTCCAGTTCTAGGAGGAAAAAAAGCCAAAATGCCAAGAAAACAAGCTAATAACAGATACCGTGAAAACAATACCCCAGGGACATTCTGGAATGTGTCCATGATCCATTAAGACTTCTATACTGTATTCATCTACAGTCCAATCATCCTATAGACAAATGATGCTCAGGATGAAAACGCTAAACCCACAAAATACTCACTTAACAAGCATGTTTATTTAAAAATGAATGCATAACTTCAAAAAGATTTTTCAACACAAAATTTTGGACACACCCCCCAACAAGTTTAATGCTGTTTGTTTTTTCAAAATCAACCAACCAGCATATTCCATTCCTTGAGCATTCCTACAGAGGTTTCCGTGAAGAGAGAAGGGAGGTTGGTGACTGCAGCATTGGGGAGGCTTAGGTCGCAGAGGAGGTTGGAGGGTCGCTAGGCTGGCCAATTGAAGGGTTGGTTGTAAATGTCAATATTAGCCATTCATTTTTCTTACAAAGAACACAAGAGCCCTCCCATCTGGTTTTGGTGGGACACATGGCGTCTAATAGAGCGGGCACACATCACCTTGAGGCACGGCTACTTGTGGTGCCAGGGACCCCTGGGGCCTGCCTCTGGTGGCACAGATGCCCATCCAGTGCCATCTCAGAGCTGGGGCCCCCGAGCAGTGTGCCACACACAGTGTCTTCAACAACAGACACCCATTTCCTCACAGTTCTGGAGGCTGGAAGTCCAAGATCGAGGTCTGGCAGGATGGATGTCCCGTGAGGCCTCTCTTCCTGGCTTGTAGAAGGCCACCTTCTCACCACATCCTTAATCAGCCTTTCCTCTGGGCATAAGCACAGACCCGGCACACCCAGGTGTCTTTCTCTTCCTATAAGGCCATAGTCCTACTAGATTACGGCCCCACCCTTACAACCTCATGTACTTCCTTACAGACCCTATCTCTCAATCCAGCCACAGTAGGGGTCAGAGCTTTCACATATGAACTTGGGGAGCACACATTCAGTCCAAACCGGTGCCTTGCTGCCATCTGGGGAAGGCTGCCCTCACACAGGGTGTCATTCTAACTTTCTGTGCCAAGACAGAAGTCAGCAGCTGGTGCATTTACCAGGCACCCAAGTGGTCGCTATCATCAAAAGTAGCCCTAGCTGGGGGGCCTATTCTTTTGGGTGTGATATGCAGTTGCCTTAAATGCAGCTATTCTCAACTGGGGGTAATTTTGACATCTACAGGACATTTGGCAACGCCTGAAGACACTTTTGGTTGTCACAACTGGGGATGGGGTGTGGGTAGTGGACAGCAGCTAGGGATGCTATGCAGTGAATGGTGGGTGGTGGCCGGGGACGCTGTGCAGTGGGTGGTGGGCGGCGGCTGTGGAGGCTGAGGGTTGGGTGGTGGGTGGCGGCTGGGGAGGCTGAGGGTTAGGTTGGGGGTGGTGGCTGGGGATGCTGTGCAGTAGGCGGTGGGTGGCAGCTAGGGATGCTCTCATGTGTGGCTCACGCCTGGTCTCTGGGAAACATGCAGAAAATCCGAGCCCCTGCAAACTCTGGGAATGAAGCCCAAGCCCAGGGCAGAGGCAGCCTGCCCTTCACTCTTAGCACTGCAGCAGCCGGAAACACACTCTCTCCTGCCTTGGAATTTTCCAGGTAGGCATCACACAGTGGTCCACGGTGCCCCTCAGCTTCAGAGACACATGTCAAGCCTTCCATGGGGTCTTACTGAAGTCTCTCTTCACTCGTGAAGCTATTCCAGGCCTTCCTAAAAGGTCCCCTGAAAAGTCTTTCCCTCAGAAAGACTTCTCAGAATCCTTTTATTTTCCAACCCTCGATATGGATGAATCCATGAATTTTTCTTATTTATTTATTTTTTTGAGATAGAGTCTCACTCTGCTACTCAGGCTGGAGTGCAGTGGTGCGATCTCGGCTCACTGCAACCTCCACTTCCTGGGTTTAAACGATTCTCCTGCCTTAGCCTCCAGAATAGCTGGGATTACAGGCACCCACCACCAAGCCTGGCTAATTTTTGTATTTTTAGTAGAGACAGGGTTTCGCCACATTAGTCAGGCTGGTCTTGAACTCTTGGGCTCAAGCAATCTGCCCACTTAGGCCTCCCAAAGTGCTGGGATTGCAGGTGTGAGTCACTATGCCTGGCCTTGAATCCCATGAATCCCATGAATTTTTAAGCATAGGCCCGTAAGGCCCGTCAATATTCTGTGTCCCTTCTCCATCCTTCTCCACCCAGCCCTGCTCCATCTTTTGCCAGAATTAGCTGCAGGTTCCATTAGGGCTAGAAAATAACATATCTCAAAATTTTTATGATTTTCCACTCCTTTTTAACTAGGAAAAAAAAACAGGCAAAACAGCAATAACAATGAGTGAAAATATAACTTGTAATCTCCATAAACAACAATTAGGAGGAAGGTGGAGAAAGAAAAATAGAAAATTTGAGGAAGCACAGTAGAAAATAGCATTAATTATTTTTAGCCCTCTTTATGGACGTAAATGTGAGTTTTCTTCAATAACACGGAATGTGTTATGTGTTTCTTAGTTTGCTAACAAAATTATGTTTAGGGAACTAAAGTTGTAAATGTTGTATGAAGAAAACCAAATAACACTCTGCAAGAAAAAAAAACTATATTCCCTATATTATCCGAACATTTTTAAAACTCCAAAAGTTTTCAAGAGCTTCCAAAAAACTGTGTTTTTTTCTAACTTTCTTCCAATTTTCCTCCCACGCTTCCCATTGCTGTTTACCTTTTGGTTGTGCACACTTCATTATATTAGACCTTGGTTCATCTGCCCCTCAGGGCCATCGTGTGAGTTGGAAGGGTCTTTGGAGCAGAACATCCCTCTCCCAGGTGGAACAGGGAGGGTAATCCATTCTCAGACCCGTTAGTACTGCCCCCTTGTGGCTATTTCCTTAATAATAATGTCATCACTAAACTTCATCCTGAGTTGTCTAAGAAAGAGTCACTGAACACCAGTTGTAAGTTGGGACTGGGATGCTGATTTTAGAGGAGAGGGATAGGGAGAGGTTTGTTAAAGGATACAAAATCCCATCAGGTAGGAGGAATCAGTTCTAGTATCCTACATCACTGTAGGATGACTATAGTTAACAGCAACGTATTATGTAGTTTCAAATAGGTAGCAGGATGTTAAATGTTCCTAACACAAACAGATGATAGAAATTTAGATGATGAATATGCTAATTACTCTCATTTATTCACTATTATATGTATTGAAACATCACCATGTATCTCCATGAACATGTACAATTATTCTTGAATATGTACAATTATTCAATTTAAAAATAAAGTAATTTTAAAAAATAAAGAATGAATTATAGTATTTGCCTAAAAAGAGCTCACAGACCCTTGTGGAGGACAGTCTCCTGCCCAGCTAATACTGCTTTATATCAGAATGCATTGTATTGCAGAGGAAAAAGTGGCTCACCAGAGTAGGTAGGATGGGAAGGCTCATGGATGAAAGGCCACTGAGGCAGGGACAGCAAGGAGGCAGGCACATGGAGAAGAAAAGGGTTATCCCAGCCCGAGCAAAGAACCCAAGCACGGGCCCCAGCCAAGGTGTAAAGGCAAAGTAAGTTCAACCTAACGTGGGACTTAGTGCACACACTTGGGGGCAGAAAGGTGGGGGTTCAAGTCCCAGGTGTGCCACTCAAGAGCTGCATGATCTTAGGTAAGTTATTTAAGCTTCAGTTTCCCTTTTCATTAAAATGGAGACAATAGTGCCTATTTCACAGAGTCCTTGTGAAGATTAAATAGAATAATACACGCAAAGTGCTTGGCAGTGCTTGGCCTACAGTAAGTGTTCAATCAATGTTAGCTGCTAATGGCAAGTGATGCAGGCTGTTTTGGAGTATGGATGGCATTTATGGGTGCAGAGCGGAATGGAAGTTGAAGACAGAGCCTGAATGCCAAGCTAAGCAGCTTAAAATTATCTTCTACACAGCAGTGAACCACAGTAGATTTTTGCAATGACGTGGCATGAGGTGATTCGACTATTTGAAGAGGAGAATTCTATGAAGAGGATAAAGGATTGGAAGCAAGGAGGCTGCTAATTCATTTATGAAATAAATATTTATTTTAAACCTACTAGCTTTAAACAACTATGCTGGTGCCTGTGAACAACAGTGAACTAGAGAGAAAGCGGACTGTTGTCTGCTGGGAGCTTTCATCCTAACAGAGAGTAGACACATCCATGAGTTTCCCAGGCAACAGTACAGCATTACTGCATGTCATGGGAGGGCTGGCAAGGAAATATACACAGGGATGAGATAGAGAATAACCTTGGATAAATAAATCACTTAAGCTCGTTCTGCCTCTATGTCTTCATCTCTTAAGTGCAGCTTATATTCCAGCCCTGCCTACCAAGCAGAATCAGTGTGTAGATTCAAATGAGATGATACGCTGGAAAGAGTTGTGTGAAGTGTAAATCACTTACAGAAGTCTGAATGAAAATGGATTCTTGGCTTGGCGCCATGGCTCACACCTGTAATCGCAACACTTTGGAAGGCTAAGGCAGGCTGATTGCTTGAGCCCGAAAGTTCGAGACCAGGCTGGGCAATGTGGTGAACCCTCGTCTCTGCAAAAAGTGGAAAAATTAGCCGGGTGTGGCGGCACATGCCTGTAGCCCAGCTACTTGGGAGGCTGAGCCCGGGAGTTCAAGGCTGCAGTGAGCTGTGATTGCACCACTGCACTCTAGCCTGGGTGACAGAGTGAGACCTTGTCTCAAAGAAAAAGAAAGAAAATGGATTCTTATGAGAATCCCTACTGTTCATGGATTCTTAGGAGATTAAATTTAAGGGGTACAAGCACGATTTTGTTAAATGGATATATTGCTTAGTAGCAAAGTCTGGGCTTTTAATGTATCCATAATGCAAATAATGTACATTGTACTCATTAAGTAATTTCTCATCGCCCAACCACCTCTCACTGTCCCCCTTCCAAGTCTCCAATTTCTATCAGTCCACACTCTATGTCCATGTGTACACATTATTTAACTCTCACTTAAAAGTGAGAACATGTGGTATTTGACTTTCTGAGTTGTTTCACTTAAGCAACGGCCTCTAGTTCCATCCATGTTGCTGCAAAGGACATGATTTCATTCTTTTTATGGCTGTATAGTATTCCATCGTGCACATGTACCACATTTTCTTTATCCAGTCATCCACTGATGTACATTTAGGTTGATTTCATATCTTTGTGCTATTGTGAATACTGTTACGATAAACATATGAGTGCCTCTATCTTTTTAATATAATGATTTTAGAAAATGGATTCCTAGTAAGATCTTTAGGGCCTTTGCCCTAGTGTTCCCTCATAGTCGACTCATCTGGTTTTTCCTGAGCCACTCCACACAGGAAGACAGAGTTATTTTCTGCCTTTCCTGGATCCCACTTCTTAGAATCATATGGAAAGATGAAAGGAAAAAAGGAAAAGGGAAGAAAAGGGAAAGGAAAGGAAAGGAAAAGAAAGGAAATGAAATGAAAGGAACATCTCTGTAAGGACTAGGCACTTTCAGCCCTGTTGCATCGGTGGATCTCGATGGAGCACTTCGGCAGTTCGGGAGGGTGTTTGGTTATCACAGTGACTGGGGATGCTGCTAGCATCAGTGAACAGAAGCCACAGATGAGAGGCATCTGCAACACAGAGGACAGTCTCCATCATGAAGAATTGTCCTGCAATTGCTCAGCTTTCAGAATGTCATGTAGGTAGAACACCTGTTTATAAATCTGAGCCTAGAATCAAACTGCTTTACATAAAGCAGAGAATGTTTTTCTCTGTCGCTTTAAAACGCAAAGTTTCCCAACGAGGGTATAAATCTAGGGAAGTCTGTATTTTGTGTGAAACCTTTCAAGCACAGTGCACCACTTTGAAAAACCCTAGCATGATAACCCGTCAGTTATCAGTACATTTGTAGCTCTCACAATCGCAGTGATTCTCTCACTATATGCATTTACACAGACATACCTAATCCTATCTCAAATGTCAAAAACGGCACATAATTTTTAGTGGAACACTTTCTTGCCATTCTTAAATCCAAATGTATTCATTACAACTAACTATGAGCATCTGAATCCTCCATTGTCTTAATGTGGCTGTGCCTGAGCATTTAGATCTTGAAATACAATCTTTTAAGTTACCTGCTCCCTTTTTTCTCTACAGTTAAGGCATTATATTAATTTTTTAAGTGATATGTGTAGGTACTATTATATTGACCATCAGTTTCACTTTAAATAGTAAAGATAGTGTTATAAAATATTTGTTATTAAAAGTGCAGTTTGGGGTGACGGGGAGAGAAGGACTGCAGTAGTTTGTTTAACTGGAGAAGGTCGAGCAAAAGCTCTCAGAAGCCCCTGGTGACGTGTGCCCACGGCAGATTGAGAACTCTCATTGAAATTGTTTACCCCACGCCTCTCTGGCCTTGCTGCTTCCTTGTAAGGTCTGTCTGAGAAGCAACTAACTCTGTCTGGTCTGAATTTAGCAGAGCCTGGGCCCCTAAAGCAAAGATCAGGGAAGATGTCCTAACAGCTGCTGATAAAAATTCATATTCTATCCAAAAGCCCATATTAATCCATGATCCTCCTAGGCAGTGACTGGGGGCAGGGAAAGCCCCTAAATTACAAAGAATAAACAGTATTCTCCGGATGGTTTCTCCTGGGGACAGCGCACAGGGCTGTCGCAGCCAGTGACCTGAGCCCAGTTTCTGGGGTTAAATTTAAGTCCCCCAGGGACCCCTTCCCCCCATCTGGATCCCTCCAGTGATCTGTTCCTCACCCCTGGAGTCCTGGTTAGCAAGAGGATGCTGTATTTATAGAGCATCTTTCTGAGAAGAGCTCTAAGCTCTTTTCGGAGATTAGCTCATTACACGGGTTGGAGCGGGAGGAGGAGCAGCAGGAGGGCTGTGTGTTCCTCTCCCTTTAAGGCAGAGGAATGAGCCCCACATGGAGGCTGGGAGACTTGGGTTCCCTGAGCCTCTGTCTGCAGTGTGACCTCCACCGAGCCACATAAACCTCTCCCGCTCCTGGCTGGCGCTGAATGCCTGGCCCCTGCACCCTGGATGCTGAGCAACAGGAGAAGCCTGAGCTTCATGTGTATTTCTGTGTTTCTCATGTCCAGGGCAACCCGGGGGCGAGCTGGCTGCTGCTCTCTAGAGAGCTCTTTTAAGGACAGGGCAGGACCTCGAACTGAAATCTTTCTGTGTATAATTGTGATGAAATATGCATAGCATAAAATTTGCACTTTTAATCTTGTTTAACTCTGCGGTGTCGTGGTGTTGCCTATATTCACAATGTGGTGTAACCGTCACCACCATCCCTCTCCAGAACTTTTTCATTTTCCCCAACTGAAATTCTGCCCCATTAAATACTAACTCGCCATTGCCCCTCACCCCCAACCCCCGAAAACCACCATTCCGCTACCTGTCTCTATGAATGTGCGTATTCCAGGTGCTTCACATGGATGGAATGATGCGACATCTGTCCTTTCGTGTCTGGCTCATTGCATTTAGCACCATGTCATCAAGGTTGCCTGCTGTGGCAGCACACTGAATTCTTAGGTCCCTCTCTCCTTCCCTCCAACTGACAGGTGAAGCCAGCTGGGCTTCCTGGGTCCAGTGGGGACTTGGAGAACTTTTCTGGAGCTAGCTAGAGGCTTGTAAAACGCACCAATCAGACCAGGCACGGTGGCTCACACCTGTAATCCCAGCACTTTGGGAGGCTGAGGCAGGCGGATCACGAGGTCAGGAGATCGAGACCATCCTGGCTAACACGGTGAAACCCCGTCTCTACTAAAAATACAAAAAAGTAGCCAGGTGTGCTGGCAGGCACCTGTGGTCCCAGCTACTCCGGAGGCTGAGGCAGTAGAATCACTTTAACCCAGAAGGCAGAGGTTGCAGTGAGCTCAGATTGTGCCACTGCACTCCAGCCTGAGTGACTAAGACTCTGTCTCAAAACAAACAAACAAACAAAAAAAAAAAATGCACCAATCAGCGCTCTGTAGCTAGCTACGGGTTTGTAAAATGGACCAATCAGCAGGACATGGGCAGGGACAAATAAGGAAATAAAAGCTAGCCACCCCCAGCCAGCAGCAGTAACCCGCTCAGGTTCCCCTTCCACACTGTGGAAGCTTTGCTCTTTCCCTCTTCACAATAAATCTTGATGCTGCTCACTCTTTGGGTCTGTGCCATTTTTAAGAGCTGTAACACTCACCGCAAAGGTCCGAGGCTCCATTCTTGAAGTCAGCGAGACCACGAACCCACCAGAAGGAACCAACTCGGGACACACAACCAGACCCCAGACCTGAGACATGCCATGGTTTCTCGTGCACACACACACTGGGGAGAGAAATGTGGACTTAGCTTGGCCGCGTACTTTGAATTCCATGAAGTCTGCTCTCAGGATCCTTTACTGTGGATCTTCTCATACTCCTTGCGTAGGGCTGCAGATCTAGCAAATAGAAACACAATACCTGAATTATGGAATTTCAGATAAACAATGAAAAATGTTTTAGTACAAGTATGCTTTCATGGAATATTTGGTACTTATTTATATTTTTAAAAATTCATTCTTTTTCTGAAATTCAAGTTTCCCTGGGTGTCCTGTGTTTCACCTGATAGACCTCTCCCCGACGCCCCTCTGCACCCTTCAGAAACTTCTTCCTTCCTGCTCTTCCTTCCCCATATCTGTTCTTTATCCTTACAAATTTAAGCATATCAATGTAAGTGAAAAGAATAGGAAATAGATAGAGAAGATGTGGTTTGAATCTCAGCTCCATGCCCAGCTGGTAGAAAGTCAGTTGGTCTCTCCAAGTTTCATTTACTTATATGGAATGAAGATGATAGTACCAACTGCACAGTGTGGATTTAAGGGTCAAATGATGTATGTGAATATTCCTGACGTGCATTAGTAATTTCTTTGCTCTAGCCATGGAGTGACAGATTCTGCTTACCCTCACTTCACCTGCATTTGTAGGAGTTATCTGCTTAAGTGATTGGAGAGAGAACAAGGACAAAGGGCAAACACAGACATTTTGAGAGCCCCAGAAATCATACTTGCTCTGAGCAGCTCATGCTCCTTCTGTGCTCGTCGTCCATGGCTGCAGGGAGACAGCTCCCTTCCCCCGTGTGCCCTCATTCTCCCACCCTTACAGTAGCTGTGAATAATTGGAAAGGAAGCTGCTGGGGAAAGCCCTGTGCAGCTGATGACATGCTAGCAAATGGTTGCCTGTCACCGGCTAGCCCACAAGATAAGCATCAGGCCAAACACGCGCACAATTCCTGTCACATTTAGTAGCGTGCTGTGGTTGATCGTAAACATTTCCCTTTCAGCCAACAGTTCTAGGAATCAACGGAATATTGAATCCTTGAGCTGGAAAGAACCGACAGGGGCCAACAAGCCTGCATCTCCCCTGGAGGCTGAGCATATCCCAAATACCTGCTCAGTTCTTAGCAGTTCTCAGGACGCTGCTCACAGCTGCCTTGGTGCACCTGTTCTGGAAGTCTCGCCAGTGAGGGAGTTCACCCACAGCCAGGCTCTTTTCCCTTTCCGTTCAGCCCACCCCAGTTCATTTTCTGACTCTGTGCCACTGTGTGCTCAGCACTGTTAGCTGCCGTGGGAGGACACCAAGGAGTATAGTGCCCAGTCCCTGCACCCAAGGCAAGGCCGGAGAGCTGGGGTGGTGTTCTGACTCTCATCTCTTAACCCTGTGACTTTGCACGGGTTAATTAACCTCTCAAGTCCTTGTTTACTCGCCTATAAAAATTACAGGTGGCTCACACCAGTAATCCCAGCACTTTGGGAGGCCGAGGCAGGTGGATTGTTTTGAGCCCAGGAGTTTGAGATCAGCCTGGGCAACACGGTGCAACCCATCTCTACAAAAAATACAAAAAATTAGCTGGGCGTGGTGGTGTGCACCTGTAGTCCCTGCTACTTGGGAGACCGAGGTGGGAGGATCACTTGTGCCCAGGAGTTTGAGGCTGCAGTGAGCTGTGATCACGTCACTGCATTCCAGCCTGGGTGACAGAGAGAGACCCTGTCCCCAAAAAAACCAAAACAAACAAATAAAAAATTGTCTTGGTCAGCTCAGGCTGCTGTAACAAATATCATACACTGGGTGGCTTTAACAATGGAAATTTGTTTCTTACAGTTGTGGAGGCTGGAAATCTGAGATCAGGATGCCAGCATGGTTAGGTTCTTGGTGAGGGTCCTCTTCCCAGTTATGTTCTCACAAGTAATCTCGTGTCTCTTCCTCTTTTTATAAAGGAATTAATCCCATCATGGGAGTTCTACCCTCAGGATTTCATCTAACCCCAGTTACCTCCCAAAGGCCCCACCCCAAACACCATTACACTGGGGATTAGGATTTCAATATATGAATTTGGGTGGGGAGGGGCCACAAATATTCAGTCCAGAGTAATAATAGAATACAGCCTGTTTCCTAGAGTGGTTGGGAGGATTAAATGAGGTAATACAGGCTGGGCATGGTGGCTCACGGCTGTAATCTCAGCACTTTGGGAGACGGAGGCTGGTGGATCATTTGAGGTCAGGAGTTTGAGACCAGCCCGGCCAATATAGTGAAACCCCGTCTCTACTTAAAACACAAAAATTAGGCATGGTGGTGTGTGCCTGTAGTCCCAGCTACTCGGGAGGCTGAGGCAGGAGAATCACTTGAACCTGGGAGGTGGAGGTTGCAGTGAGCTGAGATCGCACTGCTGCACTCCAGCCTGGGCAACAAAGCGAGACTCTGTCAAAAAAAAAAGAAAAAAAAAAGAAAGAAAAGAAAAGAAAAAAAAGAAAGAAAAAGAAAAAAAGGAGGTAATACAAACTATTTTAAAAAACTGAAACAAACAAACAAAAAACCAAAAAACCACAATGCCTGGCACACAGTAAGAACTTCATCAACTTTAGCTGCTACTATTTTGACACTACAGAGACAGAAGTGCCCGCGTGGGAAGAGAAGGTGGATCCACGCTATCTTCATTGTTAGCCATTAACAATATCAGAGGAGGAGAAAAGCGATCCCAGCATGGAAGCGTAGCTTTCTCTGTTCGGTAGAATCTCTCTGACAGGAGCTCGAGAGAGCTCCCAGAGCAATCTAAAAGAATTCACCTGGGACAACATCTTCTAGAAAAAGCAGCCATTCAGTAAAGATTTTGGGTGCGTAGATGATTTGATGGGCTAGAGAATTATTCCTGAAAGTTCCTTGCTTGCATTATTAACCAAATTATCAAGCCTTTCTTAAACCGGTTATACTTTTCTGGCCATACCATTTTCCAGGTCACAAGAAGCATATTCATGGGTACAACCCCACATGGAAAAGGATTAATGTAGCTAGACGGCCCAAGTTGAAATCAAGGCCCTCCGAACTTTTTAAAAAGTTCATCCTTGCCCATCATCAGTTATAAAATAAGTACATTCCTACAAGTATCCCTTCAGAGGTCCATTACAAACCGGAAAGAATGATTGCAATGCAGGTGCCGTTCGTTATTCAGCTGTCCATTAGCTCTAAAATTTGGAAGCTTTTGCTGTATGAGACCACAGAGATCACCTGGGTGGTGGTTGTCAACCTGGCTGCATTTAAGAATCACCTGTGGGGCTTTTAAAAAATACTGATGCCTGGTTTCCACTTGAGTCATTTGTGGCTTCTGAATCCAGAATCATTTTTCAATCATTCACCTGCGGTGCAGTCTGTTATATTGTTATATTTTGCAGCTGCCCAGGTGATATAATGTATAGCTTGAGTACAGAATAAATAGTCCCAGCCAGCCCTCTCATTTTGCATATGAGAAAAGTGAGCCCCAGAGGGCATAAATAACTTGAGGCCACTTCCAACTATGCAGGAACAATACTACTTTTCAGATCTCATAGGAACTACATCTGGTGCCCACATGTGAGCCTCTGAGGCAGTGTGTTGGCGCTGCCCCCAATATTCCCTATAATTATATGATAATGAGCTTCAACTTCCTCTTTGAACTCAAGGGAGGGCAGGAACTCTCCTGCCCTTTCACTATTTTCCCCTCTATGCAGCATCAAGCTAAATGTTACCCTTAATTTCTTCAAGCCCTCCACAAGGGAAGGAGAGAAAAGAGTTAGTACCAGTCATAATTTTATAAATACAAAAAATTGGAAGAGTCCAACATTCCCCATCTTAATAAAGCAAATTCCATCCCAAGTGCCAAAGGTTTCAGCTAAGCGTGGTCTACAATAGACTCATTCAACACTTGAGGCTTTCTTAGGAATCAGTCCAGATTCCTATATGATTTTTATGCTTGACCGTCCTCCTTAATTGAGCCAGGATGAGCAAATCTCTCAGAAATGGTCAAACTGATGGCCTTTACTCAGAAGACAAGAAAACTTGTTGAACAATCAAAACTAAATCAAACAGCTCATGTTAACCAGACACTAACAAAGAGACTTTCTTTTACGTTCTTTTACTCAGACCTCACTACATTGAATAAACTGGTCTTCATTGGCCTCTTGTATAGAGCCTCCATTATATTTATTTCTGTTGAAAACTTCACATCAGCAGATGTGTGCTCCAAAGAGTATCTCTTACACTTCTTAAGGTCTCCCAAAGTGTTGTACACATGATTTCTGAAGCTTCTACTTTTCCGTATGAGCCATACCTCTGCCTCTCTTCATTAGCAAGGAAACAGACAATTTACAACTAGTCCAGGTCTGCAGCGTAACATTCAAGACCTCTGGATGTTGCCTCTCTTTCCTTCTGTCCTACTGATTCAGACCCTTTCCAAGTTCCAAAGCTTCTTGGAATCTGAACCATACACTGGGGTACACTGCCGATGAGCATGCCTGGGAAAAAAGGGGAGAAGTTGGAGTAGGGGAAAAGTAAGGTGGTCAGAAAGACCCCTGGCCTCTGCACCTCTACATGGTTTTGTTTCCCAGGGCAATTGTATCCATGCCTGGGCAAAATATTTTCTGAGAAATAATCATCATTGCTGTCCTCTTTCCTGGACCAATTTTGGCAGATGCTGGCCGGAAACAAGTCTCTTCTTCTCTTTACTGGAATGGTATCCCTATTGCTGTTTCCAGAATTTGCATGTTATTTATGCCTCGCCATAAAGGAGGACAAGTCTCAGGCATTGGGCTGCCTCCATTCATTTAGCCCATTCGTGGGTAAACATTCATTAAGTATCTCCTGTGCTCAGACCAGTGTTACAGTTATGAAGGGGGATATAGCTACTACAGAAAGAGAGTGCACCCTTGTCCTCTACTGGTGGTCAGTTTCACCAGGAAGATGACATAAAAGGGGAGAAAAAGAGGACCGTTACCAGAAGTCAACGAAGCACAGATTAACACCAGCTTATGTATTAGCTGTCTTCATGAAAACTGCATCCAAAGATCATTTTGGTACACAAAAATTGTATTAGAAGTATACTAAATAAAGTCACTCTTTTAAGGTTTATGAGGCAGGTCACTTAACCAATACTCGAGAACAGTCATATCAGGTCCTTTCTGGCTTTAAAATTCCATAATTCTTTGAGATCAGCCAGATCATGTTCTAAGTTTAAAAAGATTTAAAAGAGAAAAAAGTGAGTACTAAGAAAACGGCAGAGATATAATGATATCAAAATCTGCAAAATAATTAAGGATAATAAGGGTAAATGCAGACTTTATACAGCAAATCTCAAAATATTAAAACTTAAGCTCCCCTCTCAAAACTTGTAAAAGTTTTAGAAAAATTAAAAATAAATAGGAGAATCATTTGAGCCCAGTAGCTTGAGACCATTCTGGGCAAGAGAGATCACATCTGAAAATAATAATAATACTAAATAAATTAAAAGGGCTTTAGCAGCCATAGGTTCAAGGTGTGGGGATTGCCCTACAGAGTAAAAATGCCATGGCTTTTCTTGGCCAAGATTAGGGTTTCTTTGACAGTATGGCTTTTAAAAGTTAGCAGGCTTCCATCAATTTGTTTCTGGTCAGTTCCATGGCTTATTAAGCATGGGTCAAAGACTTTGTCTGGATATATGTTCTTTGAGTCTCCTGGTCATTGGCCTCTGTGCTCTGCCCATCTCCCTGGAGCTACTTTAAAGACCTCTGCCTGGAGACAGTCCAAAATATTCTCAGGCAGGGAGTCCCCACCAACAAGCTGATCTTGACAAAGCCTGTCCAGTGTGTCAGTGGAGAAGCTTAAAGGAAGGTGTTTAAGAGAGACCTGGCCAGTAGGGATTTTCTGGGCCCCAATATCTCCTGCAGATAAGATTCCTGCTTTCTCTGCTCTAAGACAGGCATAAGTTTGTTTCTTTCTTACAGGACTCCACCAAAGGCCACCAAAATAATAGCCGGTGCACATTAATATCCTAAATGTTAAACCATTTCCCCTAGTGCTCTCAATGGGCACGTACTGTCCCCAAGTTCAAAGGAAAATAGTGGGATCCATTAATTCACAACCACATAACAGAGTCACCAGCTTCCCAGCCTGGAACAGCAGGCTTCTTGATTCCTGCTGCCTGCAGAGACACCTTCTCAATCCACCCCAGTCCCCATTTTAGGGTACGGTGCGTGTGGCACCTCTACTTCCTCATACCAAATTTTGCTATAACATGCCTTCTCCAAATCCATTTTCTATGTCACACAACAAGGGTGGACTCTAAGCACGGCCCCCGGCTTGGCCTGCACACCATCCCTAGTCTTTGCTTTTCACACGGGCTTTTGTCATCCTCAGGCTGGAAGAAAAATTGTTGAAGCATTTCCTGATGTCACGTACAGACAAAATAACATATATATTTCTTACGCTTTCCTTTGGGAGCAAAAATTCATTTTGACCAGCAAGGAATTAGGAGAGGATGCCGGTGGGCTTTGGGAAAATTCATGCTCCCAAAGGAAAGCATACTAGCCCACTCCTGCAGCAATTACTCGCAAAGGGAATGGGATCACCATGGCTGTTTCAAAGTGTGGTTTCAGGTCCCTGGAGATCCTTTAAGGGGGTCCATGAGGCCAAAATTATTTTCGTTTAACATTATCCCCTTTTTCTTCCTCATTCTCTCACAAAGAAGTTTTAGAGACTACGCAATGTGTGAGATCACGACAGATTGAATGTAGAAGCAGATATGAGAATCCAGCTGTCTTCTACTCAGCCAGGCAGTAAAAAGATTTGCAAAAATGCATAACAATACTGCTCTACTTACTAAAATTTTTTGAAAATATAGTTATTTTCATTAAAATATGTTAATCAGATTAACACATTATGGGCTTATATGTTGTTATCTTTTTTTTATTGAGACAGGATCTCGCTCCTATCACCCAGGCTGTAATTCAATGGCTGAATCTCTGCTCACTGCGGCCTTGGCTCTATGGGCTCAGGTGATCCTCCCACCTCAGGCTCCCATCTCAGCCTCCCGAAGTGGGAGGATCTATAGACATGTGCCACCAGGCCCAGCTAATTTTTTGTATTTTTAGTACAGACAGGGTTTTGCTATGTTGCCCAGGCTGGTCTCAAACTCCTGGGCTCAAGTGGTCCATACAGATGCCTCGGCCTCCCATATGTTGTTACCTTCAAATTAATTAATAGTTTTTAAATTTCTCAATTTTAGCATCAAATACAGTAAACATCAATGGATATAGCCCACATAAGCAAACCTTCTTCAGGTTTCTCAATAATTGTTAAAATTGTAAAGGGGTCTGAGGCCAAAAAGTCTGATCAGCTCTGCTGATATTAATCGGTGTCCACACGTCAAAGCGGAGGTCAGCACCTCCTGCAGCTCAAGGCTATGGAGAGGAGAGGTGCACATCTAAACAGATCAGGGTTCCGTTACAATGAAATAAAGAGGAGGTAATTACCAAAAAGGTAACCAGCTGAGCACGGTGGCACACACCTGTAATCCCAGCAATGTGGGAGGCTGAGGCTGGTGGATCACGAGGTCAGGAGTTGGAAACCAGCCTGGCCAACATGGTGAAACCCCATCTCTACTAAAAATACAAAAATTAGCCAGGCATGGTGGTGCACACCTGTAGTCCCAGCTACTCAGGAGGCTGAAGCAGGAGAATCGCTTGAACCTGGGAGGCAGAGGTTGCAGTGAGCCGAGATCGCACCACTGCATTCCAGCCTGGGCAACAGAGCAAGACTCCTTCTCAAAAAACAAAAAAAAGTAACCAACAGTGTCCACTACACTACACAATATTTTTTAAGTAAACTGAGAAATAAAGTGACTTACCTAATGTCACACACAAGTTCTGACATACTCAGAACTTAAAATCAGGATTTCTGACTACTAGTCAAAATTAGTTGAACTTCTGACTGCTATGCATTCTGCTAAGCCACATTGCTTTCTTGCAAAAGGGCTGAAAGAGATTCTGAAATCCTGGTGAGTGTGGAGTAAGTTGGGCATGCTTATAAAATGCTAGTCAGAGTATAAATGGTACAGTCCTTCCAGAAAGCAATTTGGCAATATGCATCAGGAGCTTTGAAAATGTTCATAGCCTTTAACCCAGTAATCCCACTTCTAGGAATCTACACAAAGAAAATAATCAGAAATGTGAATGAAATCCATGTATAAGGATATTCAACAAAATGTTGTCCTTAATAATGAAAAATTGGAAATAACCTGAATGTCCAATAACGTGGGAATAGTTCAAAAAATTCTGATAAAGTTCCTGACTGTTTATAGTGGTTTTCTCATGAGGCAGAAATATAGGGAATATTCATATGTTAAACATCAATGTTTTACAACAAGCATGTGTTACTATGGTGATCAGAAAAATGGTAAAAATTAAAAAATAATTATTGCTTTGAAAAACTTTAATGGCCTGGGAACATGCAATATACTATTGAGTAAAAAAGCATGATACAATCACAAACATATAATGTAATATCATTTATATATGTGTGGGAAAATTTCAGGAAGGAAATACTCTAAAATGCTAACATTTGTCATTATCTTTAGGTATAAGATTATAGATGATTTGCTCTCTATTTTTTCCTGAAATTTCTAGGGCTTTACAATGAGCATTTTCTTCCTCTGTAATCACAGGAGGAATGAAGGTTATTATATAAATAGGTTCGTGCAGAAAAAGGGAATGAAAATGCAGCAAAGCCAAACATCCCTGCTGACCAGGCAGGGGAGAAGGAGCAGCTGAGGCCCACCTATGGCAGGCACTGTTGGTTGCCTTGCTGATGGAACTCAGTTATGCTTGGGCCCGCAATGTGTCCAACTCCAGGTAAAAGTCACTTACTTAGCTTCTCTGTAGCCAGAGGTGGGCCCGTGACACACTTCTGACCAATGAGAAGAATTCTCAGGGCTGTGGGAAGCAACCTGTGTCCTCTCTTTTATTCCTGACTTGAAAAATGAATATGATGCCTGGTGCTAGAGCAGCCATCTTTCAACCACGGGGTAAAGAATCACAGTGATGTCAGCCACTAAACCATCACCAACAAACACCTATCTATGAATTTATTGTTATGTGAGAAAAATAGCCCCCTCTGTGTTTGAGCCATTGTTGTTGGGTTTCCTGATAATTGCAGCCAAATGCATTCCTGATACACCACGATGCACAAATATTAAGAGGATGAAGACTATAGATAGGAAAGTGTTTTGTAAATTGTAAAATACTCTCACACCCAGAGATAATGACAACCATTAAAAACTAGTGCAAAACAGGCAGGGCATGGTGGTTCATGCCTGTAATCCCAGCACTTTGGGAGGCCAAGGTGGGTGGATCACCTGAAGGTCAGGAGTTCGAGACCAGCCTGGCCAACATGGTGAAAGCCCGTCTCTACTTAAAATATAAAAAATTAGCCGGATGTGGTGGCGGGCACCTGTAATCCCAGCTACTTGGGAGGCTGAGGCAGGAGAATTACTTGAGCCCAAGAGGTGGAAGTTGCAGTGAGCCAAAATTGTGCCATTGCACTCCAGCCTGGGCAAACAAGAGTGAAACTTCATCTCAAAAAAAAAAAAAAAAAAAAAACTAGTGCAAAACAACAACAAAAAAATGTCTGAAGACACTTGTTGGACATCTTGTGGGCCAAACATCTGAGTGACTGGGTAAATTACCTTCACTTTCTAGCTGGCTGTTTTTTATAGACATGCATAGTCAATGTGTACTTCCCTGAATTAAATCTAAATATCTTATTAACCACATGACTATAGACAACACACTTCTCTTTGGGCCTCAGTTTCTCCATCTGAGAATGGGACTAAGCTCCCATTAGACCTTGAATATTCAGTTTTTGTTCTGGCTCCCAAATCCCTTGTACTGGCAGCCTAGAACCCAGCAGAGCGACTGGGTCAAGGGAGGTGGCTGCACTCCACAGGAACAATGAGCACATGTTCTAGATCTTCCAGGACAGTCCCAATCTTAAATACTCTGTCCACTGTCCCCACAAGTGTGTCCATACAGTTCAATGCCTCTTGATTTTTGTGTTTCCAGTGTTGTCACCAGAAATACAGGACATCTCCACAGCAACATATTATATTATACATAGCCAAAATATTGTGTACCTATTGGTCTATTAAAAATGCTCTTATTAAAAAAACAAAATCCCTCACCAGCTTTAAATTCTTTTTAGTATTTTGAAATAAGCTGACACTAAACATAAATTTTCTAAATACTAATGAAGAACTACCAGGAAATGAACCTAGAATGTGCCTTAAAGTCAAGCTTATAGAGCTCAGGCTTTCGGTTCTACCAGAGCTCATTAGCTCTTAGGCCTTGGGGTTCCTGATCTTGTCCTATTCCACATTCCGTCTGAGACCATCACACGAGAGCCTCAAGAGCCACAACAATTCTGCTGCCACCTTTCTGAGTCCCGAAGTCCCAGCACCTGGGTGTCTCCATGGGAACAATGTCATCCTACAGCCCATCTCCTGCCATCTACCAAATGTAGAGGAGTGTTTGGGATGGTCTCATTTAAAATACCGTACATGCTGGGTGGGACTTTTCCTGTTGTCCTTGAATTGTGGCTAATCCAGAGGTACAAGCAAGGAGCTCCAAGAACCTTCACACTTGAAAGAAAGCTTTTAATGAGTTGGGGCTTACACCCCCTGTATTAGTCCGTTTTCATGCTGCTGATAAAGACATACCCGAGACTGGGTAATTCATACAGGAAAAAGGATTTAATGGACTTACATTTCCATGTGGCTGAGGAGGCCTCACAATCACGGTGGAAGGCAAGGAGGAGCAAGTCACATCTTACATGGATGGCAGCAGGCAAAGAAAGAGCTTGTGCAAGGAAAACCCCTTTTTTTAGAACCATCAGATCTCATGAGACTTATTCACTGTCGCAAGAACAGCATGGGAAAGACCTACCCCCATGATTCAATTATCTCCCACTGGGTCCCTCCCACAACATGTGAGAATTATGGGAGCTACAAGATGACATTTGGGTGGGGACACAGAGCCAAACCATATCATTCTGCCCCTGGCCCATCCTAAATCTCATATCTTCACATTTCAAAACGAATCACGCCTTCCCAACAGTCCCTCAAAGTCTTAACTCATTTCAGCATTAACTCAAAAGTCCAGAGTCCAAAGTCTCATCTGAGACAAGGCGAGTCCCTTCTGCTCATGAGCCTGTAAAATCAAAAAGCAAGTTAGTTACTTCCCAGATACAATGGGGGTACAGGCATTAGGTAAATACAGCTGTTCCGAATGGGAGAAATTGGCCAAAACAAAGGGGATACAGGCTCCATGCAAGTCTGAAATCCAGTAGGGCAGTGAAATCTTTTTTTTTTTTTGAGACAGAGTCTCACTCTGTCGCCCAGGCTGGAGTGCAGTGGTGTGATCTCAGCTCACTGCAAGCTCCGCCTCCCAGGTTCATGCCATTCTTCTGCCTCAGCCTCCTGAGTAGCTGGAACTATAGGCACCCACCACCATGCCCAGCTCATTTTATATATATATATATTTTTTTAGTGGAGCCAGGATGGTCTTGATCTCCAGGCAGTGAAATCTTAAACCTCCAAAATGATCTCCTTTGACTCCATAGTCTAACATCCAGATCACACTGATGCAAGAGGTGGGCTCCCATGGCCTTGGGCAGCTCTGCCCCTGTGGTTTTGCAGGGTATAGCCTCCCTCCTGGCTGCTTTCATGAGCTGGTGTTGTGTTTCTGCAGCTTTTCCAGGCACATGGTGCAAGCTGTCAGTGGATGTACCATTCTGGGATCTGAAATGGTGGCCCTCTTCTCACAGCTCCACTGGGCAGCATCCCAGTGGGGACTCTGTGTGGGGACCCCACATTTCCTTTCCACACTGCCCTAGCAGAGGTTCTCCATGAGAGCCACCCCCTACAGCAAACTTCTGCCTGGACACCCAGGTGTTTCCTAATACATCTTCTGAAATCTAGGCAGAGGTTCCCAAACCTCAATTCTTGACTTCTGTATACTTGCAGGCTTAACACCATGTGGAAGCTGCTAAAGCTTGAGGCTTGCACCCTCTAAAGCCATGGCCCAAGCTCTATGTTGGATCCTTTCAGCCATGGCTGGGATGCAGGGCACCAAGTCCCTAGGCTGTACACTGCACAAAGACCCTGGGCCCAGCCCTTGAAACCACTTTTTTCTCCTAGGCCTCTGGACCTGTGACAGGAGGGGCTGCCTTCAGAGACCTCTGACATGCCCTGGAGACTTTTCCCCATTGTCCTGGGGATTAACATTTGGCTCCTTGTTACTTATGCAAATTTCTGTAGCCAGCTTGAATTTCTCCTCAGAAAATGAGTTTTTCTTTTCTATCACATTGTCAGGCTGCAAATTTTCTGAACTTTTATGCTCTGCTTCCCTTATAAAACTAAATGCCTTTAACAGCACCCAAGTTACCTCTTGAATGCTTTGCTGCTTAGAAATTTCTTTCTAAGTCGTCTCTCTCAAGTTCAAAGTTCCACAAATGTGGGGGACACAAAGCCAAACCATATCCCCACCACCACCACCAGCCCTCATTAAAGGCTTTAAAGAGGCAGCCAGAGCAGTCCCACTCTTGGTCTCCCCTCCCATCAATGTGGACTAAAAGTCAACTGGGAAGGAAGGGTGTGGTGGCCACCAGCACTTTAGGGAAGGCCAGGTGCACAGAGCGGGGCCAGAGGAGGATCTGGTAGCTCCTGAGGCTTCAAGGGGGAGAGCTCACAGGTCAGTGAGGAGTAGGAGGTGTGGGACAGCAGCCTGCTGGAAGATGGGACATCCCACCAGAGAAGCACTCGCTGGCAAGTGCTGCTGGTTGGGCCAAAAGAATACTTGATTTTTCCTAGGAAATTTTTAGGAGATTTCTCAGGGACAGGATGGTGGAGTGAACCTGAACACCATGGCAAGAACCACAACCACTCCACGGAGACCATCTTGCTACAGAGGGAGTCCACTACCAACACATAGGCCCACAGAAAGCTGGAGGAGGGCCAGGGACACCTGGCCACCATCTACATGGGGTAGACACACAAGGAGACCCCTGCCTCCAGGAGCTGAGCGGGCAGCATGGGAGAAGCAGACCCACCCCAACCCCTCAAGCTGCGGGTCCAGCCTGTGCTTGCAGGTGGGAGTGGGAGTGGCATGTTTAATTGGATAGGAGATCAAAGTTCTACACTTTTATTTTTCTATCCGTGTTTGCCATCTTGATGGGGTTTTCTCCCCACTGCAACCCGTCCTGTTGACAAACCAACCAAAGAGAAACCTTTTCCTGACATCTCTTCAGGAGAGGTGAGGCAGCTGACATTTCCCAAAGAAACTTTTCTAAGTCTTCAGGTGAAACAACAAGGAAGTAATGACAAAAAATAGAAATGGCATAAAGAAAGTGACTTTTCCAAAAGGAAAGTTTCTGTTTCCACGAATCTCAGGGGAGGCAGTGAAGAAAGAGCTCTACTCTTTTCCTCAGTCCGCCAGCCCTGGGGTTTCTGCACCTGCCAATACCCCTGGACTCTGCTGCCCCTCTTTCCCCACAGCTTCTTGGCTGTCCCCATACATTTTCAGGTGTTCTCTTTTTGGTTCTTAGGACCCTGTGTCCCCGTCTCTTGATAAAGGCAGGCCCTTCACAGCATCCTGTCCCCTCTCAGACCGCAAGGACCCTCGAAAGGAAAGCCCTTGAGCTCCCGTTTCACTGGAGATGGAGGTGGAGGGTTCTCCACAGAGTCCCCAGGCAGTGGAGGTTGACGCTACCATGAGCGAATGAGTGCTCCAGCCCTGAAGCAGCTCTCAAGGCTCCAGGGCCAGGGCAACTGAGCATCACTTTTTGGACAGAGGATTGGATCCCAAAGAAGGCTTCTGTGAAGCAGAGTAAAGAGACTAAATGGTGCTCAAATGGGTGGCTCTTCTGCTCCATGTGTCATCAGATGGGATCATTTACTTACTTGCATTTAGCTGGTAGCTGAAAGGTCCAAGAAGGTGTCACATGTCTGGCACTGTGGCTAGCTTGGATTTCCTCATGGCATGGTGGTCTCAGGCCATTTAGACTGTTTATGTGACAGCTGGCTCCCAAGAGGGAGCATTCCAAGTGTAAGAAAGCAGAAGCCGCATCTCTCTTGAGGCTAAGCTTTGGGAGTTAGGCGATGCCACTTAAGCCATAATCTCCCGACCAGAACAAGTCATAGGCCAATCCAGATTTGAGGGAGCAGAGATAGCCTTTGTCTCTTAACAGGAAGAACAGTGAAGAAAAAAAAACTATATATATATATATATATAATTTTTTTTTTTTTTTTTTGAGACTGAGTCTCGTTCTGTTGCCCAGGCTGGCATGCAGTGGTGTGTCTTAGCTCACTGCAACCTCCGCCTCCTAGGTTCAAGTGATTCTCCTGCCTGGCTCAGCATCCAGAGTAGCTAGGAATACAGGCGTGTGCCACCATGCCTGGGTAATTTTTGTATTTTCGATAGAAATGGACTTTCACCATGTTGGCCAGACTGGTCTCAAATTCCTGACCTCAGGTGATCCACCCACCTCGGCCTCCCAAAGTACTGGGATTACAGGTGTGAGCCACTGCACCTGGCCTGAACCAGATCTACTCCACCACAATAGTGTTACCCTGGTTTTTAAAAAAGGTTTTATACCTTGAAATCCAGAAGACAGAGTAACCCATGACACTAGAAACTTTACCAAATCTCAGAAGGGAAAGGAGAGTTAAATAATCCAATAGAAATCCAATAGATTCTGCAGAGCTTTCTTCAGCCTCATCTCTAAACCCAGAGCAAACGGAAGGTGGGCATGGAGCTGCCCAGGCACGAATAAGATACAAAGAAATAGCATGGAAAGTATGCAAAAATACTACAGAGGAAAGAAAGAAGGAAGGAAGGGAAAGAAGGGAAGGAAGGAAGGGAAAGAAGGGAAAGGAGGGAAGGAAGGAAGGAAGGAATAGAGGGAGTGAGAGAGGAAGAGAAAAAGCAAAGTAAAAGCAAAGAAGGAATCACAGCATGCAAAAAACAAAGAACCCATTCTGGAAGAAGACATAATCCAAGGAAAAGACGGAAATTCTTCACAAGTGTTTTACAATAGAAAATAAATCTTTAAAGGAACATGAATTTGATTAAAATGAAAACTCAAAGACAAGATGATAAAACAATAGAATAAGAACAAAAGAGAGAAAGACAGAGACAGAGAGGCAGAGAGAGAACCATAGAGGGGCGGAGCGGGGGAGAGAGGAGGAGAGGAAAATTATAGTGCTAAGGAAAGAAATAAGGAGGCAAAGCAATAAATAAAGAAGAAGCAGAACAATACACTTCATGTGAATGTATTTGCCAGTAGAAAGGCTTTAGCTAGTGCCAGTGGATGCAGAAGACAAAGACAAGAACTAAAAGCAATTAGAGAAAAAAACAATAAATCTAAAGGATGGTGAGAGACCACACAACATAAGGTATTTCACGTCCCTGAGGTAAAGAAGCCAAGACATGGACTAGAAACATTAAAAGTATATAATACAAGAATTTTCCTGGAAATACAGAAAGAATCAAATCTACACATACTGGTTTCACGAAAAACTAACATGGAAGCTTCAACACCAAGATATATCCAGTTAATGTACTGAACTTCAAGAATTCCTCAAGCATCTTGAAGATGATATAAAATGTTAAATTAATTACTATAACTCAAGTATTAAAAAAAAAAAGAGAACAGTGCCTGGCACTTAGTAAGGCCTTCCTAAAAAACAAACAAAAGAACAAAAGCTACGCACAAAAGCAATTAATGTACAAGGAGCAAAACCAAGCCGACCTCAGACTTCCAAAAGCAATATTTAATGTCAGAAAACAATGTAGTGATATTTACAAAGTTTCGAGGAAAAGAAAATGGTACCCAAAATTATAACCATCAAGAAGTCATTTAACACAAAGGCAAAAAGAAAAAATAATTTCTAAGTTCTTTCTCTAAAAAGATAGCACCCAGGAATCACACTTGGAGGAAAAATACCTACTTGATTATAAGATTTTATATATTAAACTATAAATCCAAATAAAAATTCAAGAAAGGAGAAACAGTCAAAAAAGTACTGGTGGTAAGAACTGAAACTATTAGATGCTGAAGGAAGACTGAACAATTGTGGAAATTATGATTACAGAACAAATTTCAACAACATAAACTTTGACAATTTTCTGGTAACTTTTGACAGTGTAAAATTAACAATATAATTAACAAAATTAGGGAGTTGTGAGGAGAGAGGACATGTGAGAAATGCTTATTATCTTATTTTTCATAGCGCTTACCCAATTTAAACTGTCTAAATAAGTTTCCAAAAATATATAGCCAATTATTCTAATCTCTTAATGGTTCTCACAATATTTTCATACCTGTTTTCTTAAATGTAGAAGGATTTTATTAAAACAATACCTCTTGTGCAAAGGACACATTTAATAGAAAAGACAAATTTAACTAAATTTCACCAGTTCCTTCAGTTTGATTTCCATTTCTTTTTCTTCTGTTAAATCCAAGTAACATTTAATTAAACATTTGTTTTAAAAAATAGCACAAATAGTATGATCCAATTTTTATAAGTGTGTCTGTTAACATTTTTACCTAATATTCTATCCATAAACATATATATATATGAAATAATGTTCATTCAAGGGTGGATATTTATGGGTGGTACTATGGTTTGAATGTGTTCCCCAGAAAGCATAGGCTGGAAACTTAATCCCCAGTGCAACAGTACTAGGAGGGCTCCATTCTCATAAATGGGTTAATGCCAATTATAAAAAAGCTTGAGGTGTGAGTTCAATCTCTCCCTCCCTCCATCCTTCCTGTCTTCCCTTCCTTTCTTCTTCCTCCCTTCCTCCTCTCTCTCTCTCTTTCCCTCTCTTTTTCTCTCTCCCTCCCCCTGCCCCATGCTCTCTTGCCCTCTTGCCTTTCTGCCTTCTACCATGGAATAACACAGCAAAACAACCCTCACCAGATGCAGGCTCCTCAACCTTGGACTTACCAAACTCCAGAATTATAAGAAATAAATACCTGTTTTTTATAAATTAACCAGTCTCGGGTATTCTGTTATAAGAGAACAAAACGGACTAACAAAGGCACTGAGTGGTTTTTTTTTTTTTTTTTTTTGAGATGGAGTCTCCCTCTGTCATTCAGGCTGGAGTGCAGTGGTGCGATCTCGGCTCACTGCAACCTCCACCTCCCAGGTTCAAGGGATTCCCCTGCTTCAGTCTCCTGGGTAGCTGGGACTACAGGCGTGTGCCACCACGCCTGGCTAATTTTTTGTATTTTTAGTAGAGAAGGGGTTTCACCGTATTAGCCAGAATGGTCTACATCTCCTGACCTCGTGATCCACCCACCTCGGCTTCTCAAAGTGCTGGGATTACAGGCGTGAGCCACCGCGCCCAGCCAAGTGAGTTTTTTTTTTACTTTGTTCTTTTTACTCTTTTTTCTTAAGGTATTATGAGTATTATTTTCACAAAAAATATTATTTAATAAATAAAGATCAGAAGAAAATAAACTAAGCTGTTATCAAATAATCATTAATGTTCAGAAAGATTATGGATTTTTTTACCCCTCTACTTTTCTATATTTTTCAGAGTTGTTCATCTTTCAGATGTCAGCTTAGATGTCATCATTTCTTCCTGATTCTTCACCGATTCCCCTGTCTGGATAGGACCCATTGCCACACCTTCTTATGGGGCTGAATTCTACCCCTATTATAACATTAATCACAGTTTAATGTTACTTATAGAATTGTCTTTCTTCCTTTCTACACATCAATCACTTTGAGAGCGGAGGCCACATCTGTCTTTTTCTTTTCATTGCTAAAGTATCACAAGGCAACTCTACCCAATACATATATACTAAATGAATATATATGCTGAAGTTGTATCACAGAGCAGAGACTACAGCAGCACACAGCAACTGCTTTCTTTTTTGGGGGCGGGGGGGTCAGAGTTTCTCTTTGTCACCCGGGCTGGAGTGCAGTGGTGCGATCTTGGCTCACTGCAACCTTCACCTCCTGGATTTAAGCAATTCTCATGCCTCGGCCTCTCGAGTAATCGGAACTACAGGCGTAAGCCACCACAACCAGCTAATTGTTGTATTTTTAGTAGAGATGGGGTTTCACCATGTTGGCCAGGCTGGTCTCAAACTCCTGGCCTCAAGTGATCCACCTTCCTTGGCCTCCCAAAGTGCTGGGATTATAGGTGTGAGCCACTGTGCCCAGCCTAAATATATATTAAGTGAATATATATATTGAAATTGTATCACAGAACAAAGACAACAAACAGCAGCACACGGCAACTGCTTTTTATTTTCTAAGTCGAATCCTCTGGTTTTGCCAAACCCGTCAGGCTATAAGGTACATGGGCCAGGCATGGTGGCTCATGCCTGTAATCCCAGCACTTTGGGAGGTCAAGGCAGGTGGATCACTTGAGCCCAGGAATTCTAGACAACCTGGCCAACATGGCAAAACCCCGTCTCTACTAAAAATACAAAAATTTGCTGGCTGTGGTGGTGCACACCTGTGGTCCCAGCTGCTCGGGAGGCTGAGGTAGGAGGACAATCTGAGCCTGGGGAGGGAGATGGAAGCTGTAGTGAGCCATGATAGCACCATCCTGAGCAACAGTAAAAACTTGTCTCAAAAAAAAAAAGTTACATGGACATTTTAAGGAGGAAATCATTTTTAAACTCAAAATGTAGTTCCTAGTTTTCCATTTCCCTGATTGAAAAGACAGTCATGAATTATCCTATAAACACTCCCGAAACCGACCCAAATAATTTTGGAAAAATGGAAGTAAATAAATGAAGCAATACTTCTCCAAAAAATTTCTTTTGGTGGTCTGATGATTACAGCATTTTTGAGTTTTTTAACTAATTATCTTGGAACATCACTCTATGTCCCTTCCTATTATTGTCTATTCCAGACTTCAAAAGCATGTCTGTACTCTGTATTTTAATTTTCTCATTCCTCATTCTGTCCTTAACCTACACAATCTGGCCTCCAATCCTACTTCATTGAAACAGCTCTTTGCAAAATCATAAATAAAAAATTATTTGGTCCTTTAGCTATGTCTCCTGTCTGCAGCATTTGACATGGTTGCTTATGTCCTCTTTCTGGAAATGTTGCTTCCTCTGGCTTCCCTAACACCCTACCCTCTTGTTTTCCTTTCCCCATTCCTTATAATTAAGGACACATTCTGAGCTCTAAAGAGAGCTTAAGACTTCTTAGCTCCACCTCCAGGGAATGGAGGCAATATGAGTCAATAGAAAAATGGGCCTCTTCCTTTTAGAGGTATACACTGGGGTCCTGATACCCTCAGCTGGAGCTTTTCAGTAGGGGGAATAAACGAACTTTACATAGAAGCGGCAGCAGGTAAATCTCACCATGCCCTCTTCTCAGCCACTAAGATCTCTTTTATTCCTTCCCTATCTCCTTAGAAGTCCAGCCCACTGTGATGGGGCTGGAGGGAAGGTAGACGGAGAAGAGGCTACATTAGATCTGCTCAAGCCTTTAGGAAAGAAGCCTTCAATCTTTCATTTATTTAAATATATGTATTCATCTCCTCCTTTGGCAATTGGAAAGGTTAAACCCCAAGGGTGAGGAGTAGAATAGAAGCTTGGAGGAAAGAGGTTGAGAAGCTGCCTTCTGTCTGTCTTTGGTCAGCATTTCAAATTAGTTGTGAGGCCCTTAGCATTCACACGCTACCCAGCAGAGCTCACCAGGCTAGAAGTTCTGCTCATGACAAAGGCAGCACGCTCGCCTGTGACATCTACTGTACATCTTCTCGCCTTCAGGAATCCACGGCAACCAACGTTAATCCAGGAATCAGGCACTCAGGTTTCTCAGCCGAAACTCTCTGAGCAACAATTCTTGGTCTCCTTTGCAGGTTCCTCTTCCTCCATCCTATTCTTAAATGTTGCTATTTCTCATCCTGGGTCCTCCTTTGTTAGTCCATGTGCTCTCCCTGGATTATCTCTTTTTAAGATCTCTTTAACTATCACCTCTATGCAAACAACTCATTCTCCCATTTCTCTACTACCAGGCCTGATCTCTACCCCAGAGCCACACATCTCTTAATGAACTCCAAGTCCAACCAAGCTGAACCCTTCATCCCTTCTTCCAGTTCTTCTCCTTTCTAGTATTTTGTAGCCTCCTGGAGGCACTCAACTCTGAGACCGGGGCTCATGTTTCACTCCTCCCTCTCTGCTCCCCCAACCCCATGTGCAATCAATCATTTATTCCCATGACTTCTTCTTTCTGAAGATCTCAGATAACCCTTTTATTCCAGCCTCAAATAACCCTGCTTTAGTTCAACCTGTTACCATCTTTCATCTAAAATATTTCAGAAAATTTCTAACTGGTCTCCCTGCATATAGTCATGTTTCCCTTTGAATTCATTCACCACACGGCTACCACAGTGATCATCTGAAACACAGGTCTAATCACAGTAATTCCCTGCTCAAAATTTCCAGGGTGTCCTTATAGGCTCAAGGTTACAATCTAAATCCCTTCACATGTCACATAAGTCCATGTGTAATTCAACTCTGTTCACCTTTCCCCCAATTTCCCAATACTCCATGCCTCCTTTTTTTTTTTTTTTTTTTGAGACGGAGTCTCGCTCTGTCACCCAGGCTGGGGTCCAGTGGTGCGATCTCGGCTCAATGCAAGCTCCACCTCCCAGGTTCACGCCATTCTCCTGCCTCAGCCTCCCAAGTAGCTGGGACTACAGGCATGTGCCACCACGCCCGGCTAATTTTTGTATTTTTAGTAGAGACAGGGTTTCACCATGTTGGCCAGGCTGGTCTCAAACTTCTGACCTCAGGTGATCCACCTGCCTCAGCCTCCCAAAGTGCTGGGATTACAGACATGAGCTACTGTGCCCAGCCTCCAAGCCTTCTTTTACACTGTGTTTATATTGAAATTGTTACAGATGTCCCAAGATGTCATATTCTTTCATGACTCTGTGCCTTTTCACATATGCTCTCCCCTTTTAAAATACTCTCCCTTCTATCATACCTTGCTTGTTTGGGCAACTCTTAGTCCTTCAAAACTCAGCTCGGCTGTTGGTCCCTCTGTGAAGCCCAACTTCACTTCCCCTGGCCATTTTAGTGGCTCTTCCTGCTGGGCTCCCAGAGCCCTTCAAACACCCGCTCCTTCACGGCACAGATCTCACTTAGAGTAATTATCTCTTTAGCAGGTGCTTTTCCCCATTATACTGTAAGCTCCCTGAAGGCAAGGACGGTGTCCTTTTTTCACCCACGTATCCCTGAATCTAGCACAGCATCTTGCCTATATACTAGGCACCAAGTGTAGACTCATTGAAAAATTGGATAAATCTTCTGTTCACCTTACCTTGAAAGACCTTTATGGTGAGATGGGGGAATGGAAATATGAATATGCACTTTTTAGGGATGGTTGGGTTCTTTGAGGAAATAGAAGGAAAGGGAGGAAATGTTGGGTACCTATGAGGGGCCAGATATGTTGCATATGAGGTAGATGTTATATCCCCATTTTATAGACATGTTAACTAAGCTCAGAGACATCACGTAGCTTCTCCAAGATGACAGCCAGTAAGAGGATTGGAATCTTCAAATCCATGACACATGAATTTGGAGCTCCCACATCAGGTGACACATCAGAAGAACCCTGTTACACCCCCGATGTCACCTTCAGGATCCCCCAGCCACAATGCACAGGAAACTGGAGACCTGGGCACAATGCGTTGGCTATGAGACCTTGGGTCTGTCAGTCACCCTTTTTAGGTGTCCATGACCTCACCTAGAAAATGAAGACAAAGTAAGACTAGGCTTACTTCCCTCAGAGAGCTGTGGTGAGGTTCAATCCAGATCAGGTGACTTTGCTTAGAAAGACACCAAGGGAGGGTGGAAGGTGCCCGGATGATTCTCATAAAGTTATGGCAAATAAGTGAATGAATTCCTCAAAAATATGAAAATACACTCAGAGGAAAAGTGTACGTCATTCTCAATGCCTCTGTACGGGGAGCATTTGGGTGATGAGTTGGATGGAGTTCTTGGATTTGGGTGAAGCTGGTGGGGGAAGGCTTCCTTAATGGGGTGAGTTGGCTCAGTTCCTTCAACTTGGAAGGAAGGGAGTCCCATGTTTTGAGGGAGAGAATAAAAAAGACGGAAGAGACCGTGGCACCATTAAGGCAAACCTCAGCGCTGGTGGAGAACATGGCAACGTGAAAGGAAGTCAAATAAAACAGATTTATCAGCCAGGCATGGTGGCTCACGCCTGTAATCCCAGCACTTTGGGAGGCTGAGGCAGGTGGATCACGAGGTCGGGAGATCAAGACCATCCTGGCCAACATGGCCAGGATACAATTTTGTATTTTTTAGTACCCCGTCTGTACTACAAAAATACAAAAATTAGCTGGGCGTGGTGGCACACGCCTGTAGTCCCAGCTACTCGGGAGGCTGAGGCAGGAGAATTGCTTGAACCCGGGAGGCAGAGGCTGCAGTGAGCTGAGATCGTGCCACTGCACTCCAGCCTGGTGACAGAGTGAGACTCCATCTCAAAAAAAAAAAAGAAAGAAAGAAAGAAAGAAAGAAAGAAAGAAAGAAAGAAAGAAAGAAAGAAAGAAAGAAAAAACAGATCCATCTTTCTGGAGTCGGGAATCTGAAATGTGAAATAGCTGAAGATGAAGAATAATCTGCCTTGAACTGCACTGCCCTGTATGGTTTAGAGAGCGGTGCCAACCCTGTGCACATTCGTCCTCCCAACCAGGAAAGAGGCCAGGTGGGAGCCAGGGCCTTAGGTGGGGGACTTAGGGACACCGAGTGAGCTTCCTCTGCCACATCACAACACTGGCCAAGTGGCGTGGCTGAGGACTAACCCAGGGTTTGTTTTTGGTTTTTGTCTTAATTGCAAGGTCAGTGTTCTTTCCAGCATATCAAACTAAGGGAAGAATTTATTCCTTCATTTGGTGAAAACTTATGGAGCACCTAAAATGTGCCAGGCATCTGAAATAACTCTGAAATAGCAGTAATTCTGATGGCCACCTGTGAGGAATCCTGCTGGGCGGTGAGAGGCTTGTTGGAATGACCTGAAGTTGTGATAGGAGGTTGGGGTTTGGAAAAGGAACAATAACAACTGCAACAGCAACAGCAACAAAACAACAATAAACATTTACCACTTACCCAGCAGGTTTCCGTGAGCACTTCATGTGACATGAAGCATTGTAAGTGTCATATTATTGAATCCTGTCAACAATATAATGAGGCAGGTACTGTTATTCCGTTTGCCACAGATCAGGAAACTGAGGCTCAGAGAAGCAAGGTGAGTTGACAAAGATGGTACACCTCATACAGGGCATAGTTTGGCTTCTGAGCCAGACTGTCTAACCCAGGGCCTGCATTCAACCACAGGGCTATTCACCATCTGCTCTACTAAAGACAAATAAATGATTCTTGCCAGGGAAAGGGCTGCTGAAGGTCAGAGACCTGCTAGAGGTGTGAGGAGGCTGAGATCTAGCCTCTCCCATAGACACCCAGCTCCTCCTGACCACGCGGCAGGAGCATCCTGTCTGTCCTCCACCCCCACATCTCAGCAACCCTGACCTCCAGCAGGCTGAGGGGATGCTGCCTCCGGAAGCCCCCACATCCTGCATTCTGCTGAACCCACAATGTGTCAGGCCACCCGTCCCAGCTGCAGCACACAGACGGCCGGAGCTGACAGGCTGGGGCTGAAAGACCGGCCCCTCAGCTAGAAATAGCCCTCCGAGAAGTGTGTGGTGGCTACGTGTCCACAGGGAAGGGAGGAGGCAGGGCAGGGGAGCCAAGGAGTCCCAGGATCCCGAGATAACACCAGTCCGGATGTGCAGAGTCCCAAACGTGGTGGGCTGGCCTGGGTCACCGGCTCCAACGAGGTGAGTGGGAACCAGGATGTCTGCTCCCTGATGTGGGCTGCGTGACAAGCCCCAGGCATCCTGAGAGGGTGGGCTGGGCCCTCTAGGGCAGCCTTTGAGCACCAATCAGACTGGACAGCCTGTGTGGACACACACAGACACACACACACACACACACACACACGCGGCTCCTCTGCAGTCCCAAGTTTCCATTGTTCCTTCCTTGGGCAGAATCCCAGCCTTGGAAGCATGGCTGCCTTCCCTCTGGTTTGGGATCAAGGAATTGAGTGGGCTCACAGGAGTAGACAGCAGCCTGGCTGAGCCCTGCAGGCAGAAGAACCAAAGGCTCTAACCATTGCTCCTTCGTCCCCCGCCCAGAAAAGAAATATCAAATCTCGCCCTGAATAGAACTTGTTCCCCATGTACCAAGTTCCCCTCCCTCCCCCAGTCCCTGCCCTTGGCCCGCCACGTGCCCATCCTGGTGGCTTCAGTCCTGAAGATACGTTCTTGGAAACAGGGACATTCATAGAAGAGGGCTGTGGGGTCACTGACAAAGATCTGAATTCAGAGTAAGAAAACCTGGATTTGACTCTCAGTTCTGCCACATACTAGGTGTGTGCTCTTTGGCAAGTCACAGATTGTTCCTCAGTTTCTTCAAATGAAAGATGAGGATTCTTCATATCTCATGGGGTTTGGGGAAGATAGAATAAAAGAACGCCTGTGAGAATGCTCTGTGAAAAGTGTACGGTTAGGAAAGTTATTTGCAAATGTAAGGGATGTCACTACACACGACTTACGGCGCAGGATCTAGTCCCGGCTTCAATGACAGGTCATCTTGGGCATGTGACTTAAACATGTCATGTTATGATACTGCCCCAGCCTGCGTCATGGGGTTATACGTAGCCCAGAGTGGGTCTGCAAAAGCACTTTGTCACTGTGGTTGTTATTATACCTGTAGCTAGTGTGTGGACCTTGGTTCAACAGCTTTTCAATCTTTTCACACCATGGCCCACACAGAAAATGAGAATGTTTTGGCCGAGCACAGTGGCTCACGCCTGTAATCCCAGCACTTTGGGAAGCCAAGGCGGGTGGATCACGAGGTCAGGAGATCAAGACCATCCTGGCTAACACGGTGAAACCCTGTCCCTACTAAAACTACAAAAAATTACCTGGGAGTGGTGGCGGGCGCCTGTAGTCCCAGCTACTTGGGAGGCTGAGGCAGGAGAATGGCGTGAACCCGGGAGGCGGAGCTTGCAGTGAGCCGAGATTGCGCCACTGCACTCCAGCCTGGGCGACAGAGCGAGACTCCGTCTCAAAAAAAAAGAGAGTATTTTTAGGGCACAGAGGCCACTCCTGACTCCAGAGGCGATCCATCAGCCCAGATTCCAGCAACTGCAGACTCAGAGAGTCACTGCCTGTGTGCATCTCTTACCCCCGTGGTGGCTTCCAGAACATACAGTTCAGGAAGCTCTACCTTAGAATTAAAAATAATAGTAATTCCCTCCTACCCCCAGAAAAAGTGAGATTAGTTTGAGGATAGTGGAGGTGTCTAGAAACTGTTGGAATGCCTCAACCAAGACACAAATTCTTAGACATCTGTAAAGAAAGCCATATATATATTTTTTAACTCTAGAAGCTCGATTTCTGGGTCTAGAGATGATAATGCTGAGGCAATGGTTAGTGCAGCCATGATGGGAGGCTGAGGCACACAGGTTTCAGAGCTGGATCTGCCTGAAGGAACACCTCTGCTAGTTGAATCCCTGTATTCAACAAAGGCCAGAAACGAGACCTACAGAGGGGAGGGTGAAGGCAGCTTCCAAGACTCGTGGCTCAGCTCCTGCCACTCCATGATGTGAGTTAGTATGGGAAAGACCAGGGCTGGAGACAAAACAATTGTGCAAGAAATGATTCCAAAACCTTCCTTGTAGGCACTAAAAGGAGTTCATACCCCTAAGATGAGGGCCATGAAGTTATGGGAAGTCAAGCTTCACTGCTCCCTGGGCAGTGCTAGGACTAAGGAGGGCAGGAGGGGTCTGTGTGCAAAGGGCTCCTCCAATGCCAAAGTGTGGCTTCCATGATCTTCACAGCACGCATATTCCAGGTGGCACAGATGAGGGGTGAGATGCCTGTATGGGGCAGATGAAAAGTCACCTGCTAGTCCTGAGGCAGGCTCAGAGCCCAGGTGGCTGATTCCCTTCCAGTGAGTGTGTTCAAATGAATTACTGCAGTGAGGGGTGCTGGAAGGGCATCTGTGCTCAGGGTCAGAAACCTGATTCTAATTCTAAGCTCTGCCCTCAACTTGGCCGTGTAACCTTGGGCAAATCACTCTGGAGACCTCAGTTTTCTTCTTGTATTAGATCACTACAAAAGTTGCAGTTTTTGCCATTACTTTTTTTTTTTTTTTTTTTTTTTGAGACAGAGTGTTGCTCTGTCGCCCAGGCTGGAGTGCAGTGGCCTGATGTCAGCTCACTGCAACCTCCTCCTCCCAGGTTCAAGCAATTCTCATGCCTCAGCCTTCTGAGTCACTGGGGCTACAGGCACCCGCCACCACGCCTGGCTAATTTTTGTATTTTGGGTAGAGACAGGGTTTCGCCATGTTGGCCAGGCTGGTCTCAAACATCTGATCTCAAGTGATCTACCCGCCTCGGCCTCCCAAAGTGCTGGGATTACAGGTGTGAGGCACTGCACCCTTTTAATTAATTAATTTTATTTAATTAAAAGTAATGGGAGAATTAAAAATAATTAATTAAAAGTAATGGCAAAAACCGCAATTACTTTTGCACCGACCTCATAAAAACAGGCAAGGATGATGATCGCCAGGGTTCCCAATGTCCAACTCTCAGATTCTGTTTTCATGGCTCATACAAAGAGGAGGATGGGGAGAAGAGACTCCAGGGTCACTCCGGTTTGGGTGCATTGGTAGGAAAGGAAGGAGAAGAAACAGAGGGAGGGGATACAAGTCTCCCAAGTTCAGAAAACTGGTGGGGTTCTGATTTGAAAAGGCCCAAAGAGGAGACATGTGGGGGGGCCCTGGGTGGGGACAGCGAGGCTGGGGCTCTTGGTTCCTCCAGTAAGCACCATAAATGCCCTAGTCTTGCCAGCCAAAAGGAGCTGTGGCTTCACAATGACTTGTAGGAAGAACAGCTTGGGGGGAAGTGCCTGTCCAAGTGGACTATTTCTATGAGACAACCATTATAAAAATATTTTGAAAAGCTAAAAAGCACCATTCTAATATAAAGTGAAAATACATTTTTCTTGGAGGGTAAAGAGTGATGGAGACAAAGAAAGGAGAGTTAAGGAGACTCCTGGAAGTAAGAATATTTGTAGGGTTTCAGGAGGGAGGAAACAAATGAACAAATCTTCCACTGAGAAACCTTCCTTCAAAGCTGTCCCCCTCTTCCCTGGCTTAGCTCTAAGTAGAACAGTCATAACCCTGTTCTTATCACCCAAAGTGAACCTTTTGTAAAATCACTCACACAGGCTTGGCCTCCCCCACCCGTGGGACACATGTCTTATCTCCCACAGGCTGTAGCAGTGGAGGCCAGGAGAGGGTTTCCAGGAAAAAGAGTGTGTTGGCGGAAAAGAGGAGGGGGTGAGGGGGTGAGGGGTTGAGAGGGAAGGAAAAGGGAGTTGAGGCTGCAGCTATTGATCAATGGCCTGGACTTCAATGGCCTTTGCTCTCAAGTTCTGCTATAACCTTCAGTTTTCTAGGATTCCCCAGCTGAGGGCACCTGAGGTGCTTTAACCTCTTTTTGTCCTGGCAAAATGAGCTTCTGGTTATGGGCACCAAAGTTGAGAGAGCAAGACCATGGATTTCATAATATTACAGAAGCCATGTGTATTTCCTATAGGGAAGTAGGGTGAAGGTTCTACTTACATATTTAGATTTGCTATTGAGGAAATCTGTTGCGCTATTATAGGTACCTGTAATGTTACATTATAAAAATATATAATCTAATAATATATATTAGATTAAAGGAATATGCCTTCCTTAAGTTTATCCCTAATCCAGTGTGGACATTTTAAGCAAAGCAGAGAGAGAGAAACAAATCTCCCAGCAGGGAATGTAAACACTTCCAGTCATCATGGACAAGGTGGGTAACTCCCGTGTAGATGATCAAGTGTAGCAGGTGATAAAGCAAACAGTTTGGGGAAGCTGGATGATGAGACAGCATCCTACCTCCAGACTGCAGCAGCTGAGAGGAGCTTCACAGATGATTTCATCCACATGTCCCACCTCCCCAATTCAAAGCTGGGAGAGCAAGTGCAAGAGGGAGTCACTTGCCTAAGGCTGCATATACAGATCTAAAAAAAAAAAACTTTTTGCCATTACTTTTAATGACTTATTTTTAATTTTTCCATTAGTTTTAATTATATAAAATCAATTAATTAAAAGGGTGCGGTGGCACACACCTGTAATCCCAGCACTCTGGGAGGCTGAGGCGGGTAGATCATGTGGAGGAGCTAACCCACGTGACATGGATGGGTGAGAAATTTTCTTTTGTCTTGTTTTAAAGGACTGAAAGGTAACTGGCTGTGCACAGTGAAATATATGCTGTTTCAGCACATCTCACGGATCTGATCCTGGAATGAATAATTCCAGGCAGCGATGAAATGTTGAACACCTATTGATCAAACACCATTTTGCTCATTTTGCTCACCATTTTGCTGAATTTTGCTCTCATTTTTTTGATAGACTTTATTTTTCAGAGCAGTTACTGGTTTACAGAAAAGGTAAGCATTGGGAGATATACCTAATGCTAGATGACGAGTTAGTGGGTGCAGCGCACCAGCATGGCACATGTATACATATGTAACTAACCTGCACAATGTGCACATGTACCCTAAAACTTAAAGTATAATAATAAAAAATAAATAAATAAATAAAATAAAAAAAAGATAAATAAAATACAAAAAAAAAAAAAGAAAAGTTAAGCAGAAAGTGTGAGGTCCCATATATTCCTTCTCCCTACTCTGCACACAATTTCCCCTATTAACATCTTGCATCAGTGTGGTGCATTTGTTATCACTGATGAAACACTATTGAAGCATTATTATTAACTAACGTCCACCGTTTGCATTAGGGTCTACTCTTTGTGTCGTACAGTTCTACGGGTTTTGACAAATGCATAGTGCCATGTACCCACAGCATCGTACAGAAGCGTGCCACTGCTCCAAACATCCCTGTGCCCCAGTCCTTGACTTTGTGTGCCCTCCCTGTGCTCAGTTCTCCTGTTGTGCAGCTGTCTCAGGCAGTGGACGAAGTGACAACTAACTACCCATGAATGACAGCCTATAGTGTATCAGCTGTATTCAGCTACAGCCCCTAACATCTTACAGGGCCACACTCACTGTGCACAGCACTTGCCAGTGATGCTCTTGCCTGTAATTATGTCATTGGCTAACGTAATTAGCTCCTGGCTGGCTTCTCTCATCTGCACCTGCTGTTGATTAGCCCTTTGGTTTCTCTGTTTCTGCTGGTTTCCAGGCATTCCCCCCAACTTTTTTTTCAACTTTTATTTTAGAATCGGGGGTTCGTGTGCAAGTTTGTTACAAGGTCATATTATGTGATGCTGAGGTCTGGGGAATGATTAAACCCATCACCCACGTAGTGAGCATAGTACTCAATAGGTAGTTTTTCAGGCCTTTCCTCCCTCCTACCCTCCCCTACTAGTAGTTCCCAGTGTCTGTTGTTCCCATCTCTATGTCCATGCATACCCAATGTCTAGCTCCCACTTATAAGTGAGAACATGTGGTCTTTGGTTTTCTGTTTCTGCATTAGTTTGCTTAGGATAATGGCCTCCAGCTGCATCCATGATGCTGCAACGGACATGAATTCATTCTTTTTTATGCAGCCATTCTTTTTGCATGGTTTTTGCATCAGTTTCTTTTCAGTTACCCTCTCTCTTCTAATGTTCTTCAGAATTCTGATACTCAGCATAGCTGTTTTATACTTTTGAACGACTTTAAACTTCTAAATAAATAAACACTCAGATATGCATATTTAAATACCCTCAAACATTTCCTATTCTTATAAAAACTTTATGCTCTGTATTAAGTTCAAAATAGGTTGCAAATTTTATATTACACGTTTGAAAATCGTAGCTTATTTTCCAAAGGCTTCGGTAAATAGCACTTCTATGCCCATCCTTGTCACCTTGTCATCAGCAGTCATTACCAGCTATCAGTGGCCATATTTATAAATTAACAAGTGTGGTCTTTATGAGATCACTGCAAGTGTGGAGATTTATTGGCCATAGTGGCAGAAGTGAAAACTATCACAGCTGAACCGTGGAGAAGCACCGCTACATCTTCTGTGGATTCAAACCCCTTTCCAAGCCTTGATGTCCCCCCGCTGCTGGAATTCCAGGCTTCCTTGCCCATTGGAGAAGGCTGCCCTGAAGACAAGCCCTCCCGTGGGCCTTTATTTTGGAAAGGCTGCCATGACAAAAATAAGCTGGAAATTTTGTCTTGGGGAGGAGAAATTGAACATGTCATTTGGAGGGAAAGAAGGGAACTGGAGACTGATTCTATGGGAGGTATTGGTTCTAGACTAAAAGGGGGTAAGTTCTTGATGTGGCAGAGAACTGCGGTAACCCCAGCCACCAGTGCCATCCCATGCAGGGCCATTATTATATGTATATGTGTGTATGTATCTGTTTATATGTATGTATGCACATGTATATAATGGGTGTGTATGTGTATATACACATACATGTAAACATAAAGTCCTGTGGCCTTGGGAACCACCACAAAAGCCTCTGGGGCAGAGCTTGGAAGGAAATGAAGCTTTCAGAAGAGCTGACCACTTTCAAATACAATGGAATGGAATAATTTAAAAGAATGAGGTAAAGATATGCATACTGACCTGGAAAGGTGGTCAAAATAGACTTCAGCGGACAAAGTGGGTATATATTATATACGGTATGCCCTCAATTTTGTCTTTTAAAAGTGCGTATTTTTCTGGCTGATAGATGCAAAATTTTTTTTAAATTTTAAAATAAAAGTGCATATTTAAATATATATACTTATATATAATATACACTTTAGTATTAATATATAATGTTAAATATGTACCTATTTAGAAATACATAAATATAAATATATACATATTTTATTAAATATTTATTAATACATTATATATTTTATTAACATGTATTATTGGCAATATATTAATGTATTTTATTATATTAAATATAATATATATTTTATATATATGCCCTAAAGCTATAATTTGTCTTTGATAACATTTTACCTCTAGAGGTTACAAACTATATTGTATATTCACTTTCTACTTCATACATTTCTGCATTGATCTACTTTTTAATAAAAACAGATTTTTTAAAGTCATGTTTTTTTTCTCTCTTTTCTTTAAATTCCTACGATAACAGAATGTGTGTATCAGGAGCCAGGATGCTCTTGGGAAAGTCGTCCCCGACACCCCCCAGACCTGCCCATAGGACTGTTTTGAGCCTCAGAAGAGACAATAGATATGAGTGTACTTTATGGGCTGTGAAGTGCTAGACAAATACAAAGAATATTCTGCCTAGTAGATTGCAAATTCCCTGAAGATCAGGACTGTACCTTTTCATTCTCAGACTTCTCTAAAGATTTTCTACAAGGTAGTAGCCATATAACAGGCTTTCCATAAAAAGTTATGTGTTGATTGCTTGGATGCATTAAAGCAAGAGAGAATCAGATTGGCTATAGGGAAGCACATTTTTGCTGTCAAGATGACACTGGGATGACATTTTCAGATGAGATACAGGAATGGCACCTCTCCAGAGAACTTCAAGAAGCCAAAAAAAAAAAATTTTTGTTCTAGATGGCTTAGATATCCATCTCCCTGAACGCTGGAGGTCTGGACGACATGTAATGCTCTGAGAAAGCAAGAGGGCAGGGACACCGTTACTGAAATGGTGGAGACAGACTCAGGAGGAGTGAAGGGACAGGGAGCAGAGGCCTGCCAGGTCCTTCCAGGATCTCAAAAAGAAAAGAAGGCTGCAAGCCACCGTGAGATCACCTTCTCTCCTATCTCCCAGCTTTTTTTTTTACCTTGATTCCTCTGACATTTTTTCATCATAGCTAAGGACAATGAAGTTGATGTTATTGTTTGAAAATTATTGCCCAGTCTTTACTTTGAGTGAACATGATCTGGGTGAGAATCTTCTTCAGTACCTTCTCAGAGCAGATGCTGATAAAAAGAAGTCAGGAGATGAAGGAAAGTAATGAACTTGCAGGAATACTTTTTTTTTTTTTTTTGACAGGGTCTTATTCTGTCACCCAGGATGGAGTGCAGTGGTGCAATCTCAGCTCACTGCAACCTCTGCCTCCCAGGTTCGAGCAATTCTCCTGCCTCAGCCTCTCGAGCAGCACGCTCGAGAGGCACGCACTCATGCTCGGCTAATTTTTGTATTTTTGTAGAGACAGGGTTTCACCATGTTGCCCAGGCTGATCTCAAATTCCTGACCTCAGGTGATCTGCCCGCCTCAGCCTCCCAAAGTGCTGGGATTACAGGCATGAGCCACTGCGCCCAGCCGGAATACAGATTCTTATAGGCCCTTATCTATACTAAGAGCCTTGATTCTATGAGCGTAAATGCAGGGACTAGACTTGATGCTTCCACACAGCTCCCGGGGCAAATTCTCTTAATGCCAGAGAAGTGGGTTCCAAACCAGGCTGGAGACAACAGGTTTCCCTGCCTGCCATGGGACCAGCCTATCTGCTGCATTCAGGTAGCTACCTGGGAACCAAGGACAGTGACGTCCAAACAGCACAAACCCAGGGCCTCCTCCCTGGGCTTCCTGTTCACAGCTGGTATCTATCTGTGTTTCTCTTTGGGCTCCTAAGGTCACACTGGTTCCCAGACCCTTGGACCTGAACTGTGACGGAGGAGTGCCCTCTAGGTGCAAAGGACAGGAACCGACATGTCCTGGCCTCTCCCTTCTCTTACCCACTGAAGCTTCAGAGGAGACCATGCACTGGACTCAAGGACAGGGTACTTGTCAGCACGAGGTACTGATTTAGCATTCAGTACTAAATTCCCTAGAAAGGCCCATTTACATCTTGACCTGCAGTTAGGATGGACATCCTAGAAGGGAACGGAAAGTTGAGCCTGCCACTGAAGAGGGCCTTAGTCTCTGTGTACTATTTCCAGTGCTTGATGTGTGGTTGGCGCTCAAAGCCTGTTTATTGATAAGTACTTTAGTATCAGCCACATCTGGTGTGGAGAATTAGAATCTCCCAGGTGGCTTTGAATAAAGTACAAATAACTGACTTTTGCCCCTGCAGATTCAGTAGGTCTAAGATTAGTCCTGGGGCAATTATGGCTTTAAAGCTCCACAGGTAATTCCAGTGAGCAGCCAGATTTGGAAGCCACTGGTAGGGAGTTCAGCCTGGAGCTGGACATTCTGCTGTCTCCGTGTTCCAATGGGCAAATCTTCATCTCCGCTCTCAGTGTTTCCCTATCTCAAATGGGGAGAATTAATCTGAGATTCTTGCGCCTTCCTTTACTCTCTCTAAGTGGGAAATGCTGCTTCTCCTCCCATCCTCCTTAAAAATAAGTCTACTCCTCTGGGCTGGACTCTGCCATTAGAGCCAGATGCTAAGCACACAGGGCTTCTTCTTGGAGGGGAGGCTTTGGACCTGGGTAAGCTGGCACAGGGCTCTCTTTCCTAATAAGACAAGCTGAGGTGGCCACGGAGGAGCCCCTTCCCCAGTCGCTCCAGGAGCTAGGGGAATGACCGAATGGCTGTGGACTTATCCCAAGACACCTGTGCTCCCTCTCCATCATGCTTGGCAGGTGCTGGGGAAAACCCTTCTCTGTGTATCCTACAAAGCTCCCTCAGTTCTCTCCTTCCCTCAAAGCCCTCCTTGACCACAGCATCTACCCACCATGACCTTTTTTTTTTTTTTTTTTGGTGACAGATCCTCGCCCTGTCATCCAGGCTGGAGTGCAGTGGTGCAATCTCAACTCACTGCAATCTCCACCTCCCAGTTCAAGTGATTCTCCTGCCTCAGCCTCCCAGGTAGCTGAGATTACACAATACGCCCAGCTAATTTTTTTGTATTTTTAATAGAGACAGGGTTTCTACTAAACGGGGTTTAGACAGGGTTTCACCGTGTTGGCCAGGCTGGTCTCGAACTCCTGACCTCAAGTGATCTGCCCACCTCGGCCCCCCAAAGTGCTGGGATTACAGGCATGAACCACCACGCCTGGTCAACATTTCTTTTTTGTGAAGGAGCTTGGTAAAAAAGTGCAGGCAGCAAAGCACTCCTCCATGATTCTCTCGGAAACCCAGGTCTTTACCCGGGGTGAATCTCTAGGGTACATAGTGCTTGTCTCCCCAGGGTTGTTTGGAAGATGTATGACATTAAATGTTTATGTATAAAGCAGGCTTCTTTAGTAATGGCCACAGAATGGTTTATAAATATAGTACCACATCTTCACTAATTTGCTCCTAGTAATGAAGCTCCTCCCACACAGTGCCTTGTATTGAACGAAGATGTTCCCTGCTCAGTTACACTGGGAGCCCCTAGAGGAGTTAGTCCTGCTTTGTAGTCCTACACCCTCCCTTTCATCTCTTACATGGAGAAGGTTCTCAATGGCTGCTGATTGCCTTATAATTACTTCCCATCTCTTTACCTTTCACAACCAGAATAAGAAATGCAGGGCAAATGTTCCTAAGTGATTTGCATCTCAATTCTGAAAGCTAGCTATTTCTTCAATTAGCTAAGACGTAGCATTATATTTATAATCCATTCTGTGGCTATTAGTAAAGAAGACTGTTTTACATATAAACATTTCATGTCATACTTCTTCCACTCAACCCTGGGGAGACAAGCACCATGTGTCCTAGAGATTCATCCTGGGTAAAAGCCTGGGTTTTTAGAGAATAACAGAGGACTGCTTTGCCACCTGCACTTTTTTACCAAGCTCCTGGCTCTCATGGCTTTAGCTCTAACATGTTGTATGGGTTTGGACACCTTGAAAAGTGCTTAGGAGGTCTTGGGGCCAGACCTGGATTCAAATCCAACCTCTTCCACATGTTACCTTTCTATCTCTAGGCAAGTTACTTAAACTGTGTGCATAGATCAGTTTCCTGATCTATATAAAGAAAATAACAGCATCTCCTCAAAGAGTTATTCTGAAGATGAAATGGGTTACTACAAGTAAAGCACTTAGAGCAGTAAGTGGAACAGTAAGCTCTCCATGAGCGTTAGTTCTTGCTGTGATTCTTTGGAGAAGCAGCCTAGGGAAGGAGAAGACCTTGTCCTGGCTCTACCATTTATTTGCTTTGTGCCTTTGGACATGGAAACACTAAGATTTCCATTTCTTCATGTAAAGTATTAAAATCTTGATAATGCATGGAGTGCCTATCTCACAGAGTGGCAGTGAGGTTCAAATAAGCTAATAGATGTGAAAATGCTTTGTAAACTATAAAAAAAAACTGTACAAATGTAGGGTAACAAATGCCATCTCTTTCTGTCTATACCTGTAAGCTTGCACTCATTTTGTATTATAGTTACTTATTTTTATCTGCCTCCTGCATTAGATTTGAGCTCCTCAAGATAGGAATCACATCTTGCTGTCTCCTATATCAACCTGTACATGAGTCTAGCTTGATGCCTGTACATGGCATATACTCAGTACAGGGAAACTGGAAGAATAGCAAACTCCTTGTGTGTTTTTTCGGGTGTGTGTTCCAGTAGCTTGCTCCCCTTTAGACTGTATGTGCCAGGACTATTCCACCCGACATCAGGTGTAGCTTCCCAGAGGGCTCACTGTGAACAGCATCTGCAGGCAGGCATCCAACACCAAGCTGAGCACTCATGTACAGACACTAAATGTGGGGACACCCTGTCCTGAGGCTCGGATCCCCAGTGCTCAGCCAGCAGCTGTTCCAATCCCCATGAGGTCTCTGAATGAGTCTCCTTACTACTGGAGAGACTACTAGTTTAGTTGCCCTCGATAGTCCAAACTAGGGAAATTGAGAAATTGAACCTTGGCATATTCAGTGAAGTCCAGACTAAGGAAGCTGAGAAACTGAACCTTGGCATGTTCACTGACCTCAAGGCCTTACTTCTTTTTCTTCCATTTCAAAATCTTCCCAAAATGGCAACTTTGGCTTTTGTGCCCCTGCTCCTAGCTCCCATCTTTCATGAAGTGGGTGTTCTTAGAGGATGCCATCTGCCTGATGGTGTCATGTATCTCTATATCCTGCAAGCTACCCACCAAATCCTGCTCACAGATTAAGCACTGGATACATACTTGCTGATTGGAATTTAAAGAAAACCAAAATAAGTAAACTCGACAGGAGATTAATTGCCTAGGAGTCGGTTGACTGCTTGACTGAAGCTGGATTTTTTTTGGGAACCGCTGGCTGCCTTCACATTTCCTGATGGAAGTGGGACAGGTCAACAGACAGCCCAGAGTGGCAGATAACTTTTGCCCACACGTCATTCATTTTTTGGAGCGTTGGCTTGAAATTGAGGGGTGTGTGTGTCTGGAACCGACGTGCCTTCCGTGCGCCTCCGGGGTCTTTGCACTTTCTTTCAATGGGCTGATTACAACACAGAGGATGTGGACAGTGGAGTTTTTCCTGTTTGATGTCACACTGCTACCCTTTAAAAGTCTGACGGCAAAAAGGAGGGAATCCAGTCTAGGATCCTCACACCAGCTACTTGCAAGGGAGAAGGAAAAGGCCAGTAAGGCCTGGGCCAGGAGAGTCCCGACAGGAGTGTCAGGTTTCAATCTCAGCACCAGCCACTCAGAGCAGGGCACGATGTTGGGGGCCCGCCTCAGGCTCTGGGTCTGTGCCTTGTGCAGCGTCTGCAGCATGAGCGTCCTCAGAGCCTATCCCAATGCCTCCCCACTGCTCGGCTCCAGCTGGGGTGGCCTGATCCACCTGTACACAGCCACAGCCAGGAACAGCTACCACCTGCAGATCCACAAGAATGGCCATGTGGATGGCGCACCCCATCAGACCATCTACAGTGAGTAGGGCTTCAGGCTGGGAAGAAGGGGAGCACCCTTGTTGTCCATCTACAGGAGGCTTGGGGAGGTTGGGGACTAGACTGGAGGGCTAATCCAACCCTCCTAGCTTTCTGCCCAGGAACCACTTATTGTCTTTGTGTGTGTGTGTGTTTGTGTGTGTGTGTGTGTGCGTGTGTATTTAAAACTTAGGGGAAGATTCTGTCACTCTCCTAATTAGCATTTGCTGGTTTTTCTCAATATGAATAATTTTTATTTCAACTAAAACCCTTCCCACAGTAGGAGCCATGTTCCCTTTGCCCCGTCAAAAGATTGAAAAAATGTACAGAAAGAAAGGCAAGGAGTCTAAGAGAAAAAGAAGCCAGGCAGATCAACAGACACTAAGTTTCAGCTCATGGACTTTGGACTGGGTTAACTAGGGAGGTTGTAAAGATTCCTGGGTCATACCCAGATTGTTATAGATAAATCTGGGGGCTCTTTCCAACTCTGGCCTTATAAAAATTCTTGGAAAAATGTATTAAAGACAGACTGTCCATGTATGTTGTCTTGGTGAGAATGGCCAAGTATACAACCCATCCACCCATTCATTTGTCCATGCATCCATCCATCCATCCATCCATCCATCCATCCATCCATCCATCCATCCATCCAACAGGTTTAATGGGTGTTTCAGACACCCAGGTACCCAGGTACCCAGTATGAGTTGGTGATTCTTCTCTGTGGAACTGAAAGGTGTCCAGTCAGTAGCAAGTCAAGCTAGTTAGAAACTTATTGGCAACATGAGACAACTGGAATGTTTTTAAAGATCAGGTTTGTGGAGAATTGGATCACAATCCACAATAATCAATCCATTAGCAATGATTCAAATGAGGGTCCCTTTGTGTGCACCTATATAAGGGGTAATGTGGTGAAAGCAGGGATAGATATTGAAAAAGACTGGATCTTCTATTTTAAGAAAACGTGAGAAAACACCTCAAAGCATACAGAAAAATGCAAACTGATCCAATATAGCTCAAATTAAAGGAAAGAAAAATTAGTTAGACAATCTCTAACTAAAGAAAACATAGGAATTATGATTTGCCCTTTATTGTTGTAATAAATAAATTAATTATTTTTGCTGTGACCTTGCTGTGTGTGAGGCATTTATTCTTCTAGGCTCCAAAGGTCCTTAAACCTGGTTGCAAGATATACAACATGCAAAATTAAGTTGCAAGATATATAACATGCGAAATTGACAGTTTAACCTCTTCAAGTACTAAATGCATATTGACAGGAGATAAAAGGAGAGAGGAAAGTTCTCTCCGAATACCAAACAGGTTCCAGAACTCCAGAGAATATAGTAAGACTCAGGAGTCAACATCTTGGAAACCAAGTTTGAGTCTCATGGCAAAAATTTCAATTAAATCTGGATACACTTGATGCACCCGAAGTGTTGTTCATTTTATTCAATGGATATTTAATAGGATCTACCATGTGCCTGGCATTCTACCAAGCGCTGTGGCTGAAAACTAAGACACAACCCTTCAAGGACCTCATGGTCTGTCGTCCTACCTTGTCAGCCAGCTCACTACCAGACTTTCAGGAAATGCAATTTTGCATGTCTCATGGAGGGGACACCCTTACTCTAATTCAAGACTATATGTGGGCCAGGTGTGGTGGCTCACGCCTGTAATCCCAGCACTCTGGGAGGCCGAGGCAGGCAGATCACGAGGTCAGGAGATTGAGACCATCCTGGCTAACACAGTGAAACCCCATCTCTACTAAAAATACAAAAAATTAGCCAGGCGTGGTGGCAGGCGCCTGTAGTCCCAGCTACTTGGGAGGCTGAGGCAGGAGAATGGCGTGAACCCGGGAGGCAGAGCTTGCAGTGAGCCGAGATTGCGCCACTGCACTCCAGCCTGGGTGACAGAGCGAGACTCCATCTCAAAAAAAAAAAAAAAAAAAAAAAAAAGACTATATGTGATTTAAAATGCAGAATAGTAGATTATGGTAAATTATTTTGATTCTCTTAGATGGAAAGGGCTGCATCCAACTAGAGAATGTTTATACAACTTGTCTCGAATCCTGGAATCCCGTTGCTGAAAGGAACTCCTTAAAGACGTTTCTTCCTGAACAAGAATTAGGGTAGAACAGAACAGGCCGGCTACGGTGGGGAGTGAGTGTGAAGAGTCAACCTCCTGGGCTGGCAGTCTGAACTTAGACCTTTTCCTTGAAAGCCCACCTCGTATCAGGCCCCAAGGGATCACTGAGTGCTAGTTAGAGTGAATTAAAATGACTGAGAAGCAGCAAAATAAATTGAACTGACTTCAGATTTTTAAAAATAGAAATGTGATTTTGTTTCCTTAGACATAGGCACTAGCTAAACATTGCATCTTTAAAGAGTTAAACATGAATGCGGGGAGGGGAACTTCGGGTCAGGGTAGTGGGAGGGAGATCTACTTTTCCTAGTCTATGTAGATAACTTTTTGTACTGTTCAATGAGTTGTCATGTGTATTATGGGAAAAAAAAAGTGCAGGAAAAAATTACACACTACAATTAAAAGTTACCCAAAAGAGGCCAGATGCGGTGGCTCACGCGTATAATCTCAGCACTTTGGGAGGCCGAGGTGGGAGGATCACTTGAAGTCAGGGGTTCGAGACCAGTCTGGCCAACATGGGGAAACCCTGTCTCTACTAAAAATACAAAAATTAGTGGGGTGTGGTGCCTGCCTGTAGTCACAGCTACTTGGGAGGCTGAGGCAGAAGAATCGCTTGTACCCCAGAGGTGGAGCTTGCAGTGAGCTGAGATCGCACCACTGTGCTCCAGCCTGGGTGACAGAGTGAGACTCCGTCTCAAAAAAAAAACGTTACCCAAAAGAAAGAGGAAAGATTAATGCATGTAGATAAGAAGCACAACTAATTAAATGTCTGGTGAAGGATTTGTAATGACCTCATCAGTGACTGTTAAGCAATGTTTTTACACTGATGGAAACCTAAAATGTGAGGGGTATTTTTTCCCCTCCTAATTATCCATTTCTATTGAATTCTGGTTTATCTTATTACTTTGCTGTAAGAAATTCTTAAGAGTTGAGTGCACAACCCATCTTTGGGTCACTGGACTTGACAAAATGAAGTTATCTCCTGCCTACCAGATTCTTCAAGCTCCCTTAGGACTCACAAGCGCTGCTGCCAGGTACCCCTCTGGTGTCCTTATCACCCGTTCCATGAACAAGGCCATCCTCTGACTCCCCTTTATCCTTATTATATGGAAACAGCAAGAGAGAGATGCTTATTGTCCCTGGTAATATCATTTCCTAGATCCTGCTATTTTCACTTCCTCCATCTTCCCCATAGGAACTATCTTTATTGAAGCTGAATTACCGCTGAGCTCCTTCAGCCTTTTTCATACGTTTTTCTTTTGAGGTGCTCAAAGCACTTCACTGCTATCATCTTATTTATCACTTACTGGCCACAAGAGTAGAATGGAGTAGATAATTTTCTACTTCTATAAGCAGAGGTTGAAGCAAAGTGGTAATAGTAAAAATTACTAGCACTTAGGAAGTGCTTTCTAAAGGATAAAAACATTATCTCATTATGTCTTCAAGATGACCAAATGAGGTAAATGTTTCTGCTGTCCTCATTTTATATGTGAAAAAACAAGAGTTAAAGAACTTAAATAACTGGCTGAAGGTCAGACAGGTAGTAAAAGACCTAGAGGACACCTTGACCCCAAATCCCAAGCTGTTCCAAGGTCACACGCACGGAGACACCTCCGTCATTGAAGGCAAAGTCCATTAAGCCTGCTCAGCTCCAACAGGCGGGGCTGGTTGCTCCGGCAGTCCATGGTTTGTTCCTTCCTTCTGCAAAATTCTCCCTTGAATCTGTGCAGACTGCGAAAAGATGCCTTTTGAAAGCACAAAGGAAAGAAACTCTGACTCTCTCACATTTTCTAAACTTTCACATTGGCTCACACTGTTTGATGGAAGAGTCTGTGTGCCCTCCGTAGCAGCTTCTCACAGTTCCTCAACCACCGCCGGATGTTTTCTAGGGGGACTGGCTCTGGAAACCAGGAGCGTGTGTGCCATACACACTGCCCACACTGACCCCAAGCATCAAGCCAGCACACCTGTCAAGGCATGGGCCCGGCATAAACAGCAGGTCAGAACACGCCACGTGATGTCCTCTGTTTGCTCGACACTTTCGAGTCACTTTTACCACCATTATCCCCTTCGATCATCACCCTATGAAGTAGGCAGGACAGCCATTGTTCTATTTCACAGCTGAGGAAACTGAGGCTAGTGCAAGGTCAGCAAGTGGCACAATTGGGACCAAAATCCAAGTCCCCTGGTTCTTGGCACCTGGCTCAGTGCCCCTTCCCCGAGCCCTTAGTGCTGCTGTGACTCCTTGTCCTCACTGCCTGCAGCATGTATTTTAGCATTTGATATTGTCTTCTCAGACTCTTAGTGATTTCTGCTGGAGGCTTGTTACCGGGTGGTGGGAAGATGTCTCTGACCTGAGTTTCAATCCTGTCTTAGTTTCCTTATCACTTAAATTAGGATATTGCTGCTACTACTACTACTAATAATAATAATAATCAGTACTAACAATATAAAATTTGTTTTGAGAATTTAAAATATGTAAAGTGCTTAGAGTGCAACCGCTCAAAGACCATTACTAAATGTAATTTTTTCCCAATTAGACTGAAAAGTCACCAGAACAGAAACCATTTCTTTTTTTTTTTTTTTGAGACGGAGTCTCGCTCTGTCGCCCAGGCTGGAGTGCAGTGGTGCAATCTCGGCTTACTGCTAGCTCCGCCTCCCAGGTTCATGCCATTCTCCTGCCTCAGCCTCCCGAGTAGCTGGGACTACAGGTGCCCACCAACACACCTGGCTAATTTTTTTTGTATTTTAGTAGAGAAGAGGTTTCACCGTGTTAGCCAGGATGGTCTTGATCTCCTGACCTCATGATCCACCCGCCTCAGCCTCCCAGAGTGCTGGGATTACAGGCATGAGCCACCGCACCCAGTCGAAACCATTTCTTACACGTTCCTTATATTTCTCCAAAGGTTTACCACAAAACTAGCCATACATTTGAGACACATAGGCAGACACCACTGTGGAGGAATTTAAGCATCCTTTGCGCCTGTCATACCCCAGTCCACTTTCTGGGAAGCTTTCCTCAAGGTTCCCCTCAGCCAAACTTTGAAACAAATTAACTTCTCTCTTTGGCCCTCTTCCTTTCTCACCTTTCTGGGGCTTGTCTCCACCCTCATTCCCTCTGTTCCGCGTCAGTCCAATTTCAGTCCCTATCATGATTTCTACTCAGCTAGTACCTAATTATTGCTGCTTATTTTCCTCAAAGGTCCTTGTATTGAGCCTGCATGGGATAGGAGAAGAGCTTTGGCCTTTAAATCACCCCCACAAGGCTCCATCACTTGCTAGGCACAAACATTGGGCATTTACAACCTCTCCAAGCTACAGTTGCAGAAGAGGAATTAGAATCCCTGCATGGGATTCTAGCTGCCTCCCTGGAGGCTATGAGGTCAGATGAGATGCACCTAGAAATTCTGTGATAGGCAACTGGAAGTAGCCCCAAAGACCTAAAGTAATGATTTTTAACAGAAAATGTCAGGTAATTAAATAACATGTGGGGAAGAAATCTCGCTGAATTATCACGCATGTTACACCAGTATATGATCTAATTGTGCCTTTGCCACAAAACAGTAATTTAAAGCCATTATCAATTACTTAAGAGGTAGGTCGTGTGAATGGGTTTCAGGCCCTTGTCGGAGACTAGTTTTTGAGAGGGGACACTGAAAGTCCATGAGGGGCTGCACCTGGAGAGGTCACCACCAAGTGAGAAAATGACAAAGAACCAACCCAAGAAGAGCCAAGAAGAAAATTCCATCCGTCACTTATATTGATTCAACATAAACAGTTATACCCTCTGCTCCTAAGCAGCTCACTCTAAGGAACGCACTGGATAGGTAAACTCAGCTAAAGCAAGTTAAATGGAATACATGCTGTAATAGAGGTGAAGGCATTGTCCTGAGGAGCTGAGAAGGAAGAACAACTGATTTTGAATGGAAAGATGAGGAAAGTCTTCATAGAGATGGTGACGCCTGAGCCTGGTCTTGAAGAGTGAGTGACTTCAATAAGTAGAGAAGGAAGAGGGAGATCAACTCTACTACCATTCTGTACACATACTGGGTGTTGACTGATGTATTAGACAATTACACAGACATCCAGGAGGAGAATCAGACTCTATGGCAAGCTGGATCCTTGAAAGACATCTCAGCATAGATTTAAAAATCACAAAGTAGAAGGCATGGAAGAATGTGACTATCACCACAAACATTCAAAGGTATTAGTAAGGCAAAAGGGAAAATAAAGACGGTCCAGGTAGAGAGAGAGAAACATGTGTTCAGCACAGGTAGAAGAATTCCAGGAGCTCAGAGTGCCCCATACAGGCAACAAGATGAAGCAGGAGGTGAATGACTGTATGTGTGTTGGGGGCAAGAGAGGATGTCAGAAGAAACGCTGAATATGCAGAAATGAGGCTGAATTTAAGAGTGCTGAAGTTATCACCACCCTTAAAATCAATCCAGGGAGGTTTCATGAAGGTAGGTTTTCAGGAGGTGCTTGAAGGTGGGAATTGGATGGCAATGAGTCTTTGCCCTGCCTGTTTTTCTCCATAGGTGCCCTGATGATCAGATCAGAGGATGCTGGCTTTGTGGTGATTACAGGTGTGATGAGCAGAAGATACCTCTGCATGGATTTCAGAGGCAACATTTTTGGATCAGTGAGTTTCTTTTTTGTGTTGGTCACCATTTGCAAACAATTAACCTAATTTCTTTGACACGACATAGACTTTTCTAGCTTAACAATTCCATTTGCAGTGTACCCTGGTGACCTGTTTCCACTGATACTTCATGCAGTCTAAGTATGAATTAAACGTGAATGCTCACGTTTAATAGCTGGGGTTTGAACTCAGGCAATCTGGCTCCAGATCCCAGGCTCTCAGCCCCTAGTCTGCACTGCCCATTGGAACCCACTTTTTTTTTTTATTATTATACTTTAAGTTTTAGGGTACATGTGCACATTGTGCAGGTTAGTTACATACGTATACATGTGCCATGCTGGTGTGCTGCACCCACTAACTCATCATCTAGCATTAGGTATATCTCCCAATGCTATCCCTCCCCCCTCCCCCCACCCCACAACAGTCCCCAGAGTGTGATGTTCCCCTTCCTGTGTCCATGTGATCTCATTGTTCAATTCCCACCTACGAGTGAGAATATGCGGTGTTTGGTTTTTTGTTCTTGCGATAGTTTACTGAGAATGATGGTTTCCAATTTCATCCATGTCCCTACAAAGGACATGAACTCATCATTTTTTATGGCTGCATAGTATTCCATGGTGTATATGTGCCACATTTTCTTAATCCAGTCTATCATTGTTGGACATTTGGGTTGTGGAACCCACTTTTGAATCTAGCACAGGCCCTGGTATGTAGTCGTAGGTCCTCAAGTCATGTCAATTCACGTTGTAAAGTACATTAGAAAGGGTGAAAAGCCATTGGTGTCTTCTTGATTCTGGGACTAGCTGTGACTTTGGGTAAATCTCCTCACTTCTCCAAACTTCAGCATTTTCACTTGGAAAAAGCGAAGTGGAATAGACCACGTGACCTGTGGAGCTCCCTCCAGTTAAAGATTTTTAATTAATAACCCCTGCCCCAATTGTGATAGCTATTCATTCGGATTGGTAAGCAAAGGATTTCCCAAACTAAAGGCTGCTGGCCTCTTTTGGAGGATTTTGAGATAGTAAAATAGTAGGACTGCTTATCTCAGGAGTCTCTGACCACCACACATGCCCACTAGAAACTCCACAAGAACAGAGACTTTCTGTTTTGCTTTCTGCTGCATCCCAGCCCCTACAATAGTGTCTGGCTAGAGTAGGTAAACAAACAAACAAAAAATCTGTTGAACCACTATTGAAATATAGATAACTAACTAAACATCCGTTAACCCCTCTAGGCATGTAGATAGTCCTGATCTGTAAACTGCTTACTTTGTGGAGCTTGAGGATTAAAAGAAATAACAGGCAAAGGCCTTCGTGGGGCACTCAGTAAAACCCAGTACTAGTGGTAGAGGATTCAAACCCAGCTCATCTGTCAGCAAAGTTCATGTCTCCAATCCCGTCAGTGCTCTCATTCATGTTTGACCCTATAAACTCCATCCCCTCTCCTTTCTCCAGTAAAGAGACAAACCCAAGCCAATTTTCAGCCAGCAGAGGCTTGGAAAAGATAGAGGGCAGGAAGGACAAGGTGGTGCCTACTCCAGGAAAACCACAGGCCAGGCCAGCCCGGGCCTCCAGGCAGTAAGCGGAGGCCCCAGTAGTCGTAGTCTCTGAAAGGGCGAACTATATAGTCAGGGCTTGAGCATTAATCAAAACCACTCTACCCCAGCAGGGAACAAAGGGGTGAAGGCTCAACGCCCTAAGAACTGCAGAGCTTCAGGCCGGCTGGCACAAGCATGTGGCCCCAGGAGGAGCTGGGGAGTGGGTGGGGCCCCCACTGCCAGCCTTCACGTGGTTCGCTCTTGTCCTTCCAGCACTATTTCGACCCGGAGAACTGCAGGTTCCAACACCAGACGCTGGAAAACGGGTACGACGTCTACCACTCTCCTCAGTATCACTTCCTGGTCAGTCTGGGCCGGGCGAAGAGAGCCTTCCTGCCAGGCATGAACCCACCCCCGTACTCCCAGTTCCTGTCCCGGAGGAACGAGATCCCCCTAATTCACTTCAACACCCCCATACCACGGCGGCACACCCGGAGCGCCGAGGACGACTCGGAGCGGGACCCCCTGAACGTGCTGAAGCCCCGGGCCCGGATGACCCCGGCCCCGGCCTCCTGTTCACAGGAGCTCCCGAGCGCCGAGGACAACAGCCCGATGGCCAGTGACCCATTAGGGGTGGTCAGGGGCGGTCGAGTGAACACGCACGCTGGGGGAACGGGCCCGGAAGGCTGCCGCCCCTTCGCCAAGTTCATCTAGGGTCGCTGGAAGGGCACCCTCTTTAACCCATCCCTCAGCAAACGCAGCTCTTCCCAAGGACCAGGTCCCTTGACGTTCCGAGGATGGGAAAGGTGACAGGGGCATGTATGGAATTTGCTGCTTCTCTGGGGTCCCTTCCACAGGAGGTCCTGTGAGAACCAACCTTTGAGGCCCAAGTCATGGGGTTTCACCGCCTTCCTCACTCCATATAGAACACCTTTCCCAATAGGAAACCCCAACAGGTAAACTAGAAATTTCCCCTTCATGAAGGTAGAGAGAAGGGGTCTCTCCCAACATATTTCTCTTCCTTGTGCCTCTCCTCTTTATCACTTTTAAGCATAAAAAAAAAAAAAAAAAAAAAAAAAAAAAAAAGCAGTGGGTTCCTGAGCTCAAGACTTTGAAGGTGTAGGGAAGAGGAAATCGGAGATCCCAGAAGCTTCTCCACTGCCCTATGCATTTATGTTAGATGCCCCGATCCCACTGGCATTTGAGTGTGCAAACCTTGACATTAACAGCTGAATGGGGCAAGTTGATGAAAACACTACTTTCAAGCCTTCGTTCTTCCTTGAGCATCTCTGGGGAAGAGCTGTCAAAAGACTGGTGGTAGGCTGGTGAAAACTTGACAGCTAGACTTGATGCTTGCTGAAATGAGGCAGGAATCATAATAGAAAACTCAGCCTCCCTACAGGGTGAGCACCTTCTGTCTCGCTGTCTCCCTCTGTGCAGCCACAGCCAGAGGGCCCAGAATGGCCCCACTCTGTTCCCAAGCAGTTCATGATACAGCCTCACCTTTTGGCCCCATCTCTGGTTTTTGAAAATTTGGTCTAAGGAATAAATAGCTTTTACACTGGCTCACGAAAATCTGCCCTGCTAGAATTTGCTTTTCAAAATGGAAATAAATTCCAACTCTCCTAAGAGGCATTTAATTAAGGCTCTACTTCCAGGTTGAGTAGGAATCCATTCTGAACAAACTACAAAAATGTGACTGGGAAGGGGGCTTTGAGAGACTGGGACTGCTCTGGGTTAGGTTTTCTGTGGACTGAAAAATCGTGTCCTTTTCTCTAAATGAAGTGGCATCAAGGACTCAGGGGGAAAGAAATCAGGGGACATGTTATAGAAGTTATGAAAAGACAACCACATGGTCAGGCTCTTGTCTGTGGTCTCTAGGGCTCTGCAGCAGCAGTGGCTCTTCGATTAGTTAAAACTCTCCTAGGCTGACACATCTGGGTCTCAATCCCCTTGGAAATTCTTGGTGCATTAAATGAAGCCTTACCCCATTACTGCGGTTCTTCCTGTAAGGGGGCTCCATTTTCCTCCCTCTCTTTAAATGACCACCTAAAGGACAGTATATTAACAAGCAAAGTCGATTCAACAACAGCTTCTTCCCAGTCACTTTTTTTTTTCTCACTGCCATCACATACTAACCTTATACTTTGATCTATTCTTTTTGGTTATGAGAGAAATGTTGGGCAACTGTTTTTACCTGATGGTTTTAAGCTGAACTTGAAGGACTGGTTCCTATTCTGAAACAGTAAAACTATGTATAATAGTATATAGCCATGCATGGCAAATATTTTAATATTTCTGTTTTCATTTCCTGTTGGAAATATTATCCTGCATAATAGCTATTGGAGGCTCCTCAGTGAAAGATCCCAAAAGGATTTTGGTGGAAAACTAGTTGTAATCTCACAAACTCAACACTACCATCAGGGGTTTTCTTTATGGCAAAGCCAAAATAGCTCCTACAATTTCTTATATCCCTCGTCATGTGGCAGTATTTATTTATTTATTTGGAAGTTTGCCTATCCTTCTATATTTATAGATATTTATAAAAATGTAACCCCTTTTTCCTTTCTTCTGTTTAAAATAAAAATAAAATTTATCTCAGCTTCTGTTAGCTTATCCTCTTTGTAGTACTACTTAAAAGCATGTCGGAATATAAGAATAAAAAGGATTATGGGAGGGGAACATTAGGGAAATCCAGAGAAGGCAAAATTGAAAAAAAGATTTTAGAATTTTAAAATTTTCAAAGATTTCTTCCATTCATAAGGAGACTCAATGATTTTAATTGATCTAGACAGAATTATTTAAGTTTTATCAATATTGGATTTCTGGTCATTCTAACCCTAAAGTGTTTTCTTTCTTTCTTTCTTTCTTTTTTTTTTTTTTAAGATGGAGTCTTGCTCTGTCACCCAGGCTGGAGTGCAGTGGCGCGATCTCGGCTCACTGCAACCTCTGCCTCCCAGGTTCAAGCGATTCTCCTGCCTCAGCCTTCCAAGTAGCTGGGATTACAGGCACCTGCCACTGCGCCTGGCTAATTTTTGTAATTTTAGTAGAGACAGGGTTTCACCATCTTGGCCAGGCTGGTCTCGAACTCCTGACCTCGTGATCCACCCACCTCAGACTCCCAAAGTGCTGGGATTACAGGCATGAGCCACCGCACCCAGCCGTGTTTTCTTTAAAGAGGGAATTTTTATTTGGAAAATACACACCATCACAACCACGTCAGTATCTCAGTAAACCAAATGCTATGCACTAAACACATACACAGTGTTACCGTCCCGTGAGATTTGATAGCAGGACACCAAGATAATGAATCTACATTCTGAGACTGGTGTTCCCAGAGTTCCTTCTTTCAGAAGGAACTATGAAAAGGAGAGACTTTACATATGGGCATGAGCATTCACTACAGGTCCTTCGCCAAAGACTGGGTAGCACATGCACGAGGTAAGATACGGTGAGTCCTACAAAGGTCACCTGCTACAGCAGCAGGAGATAGATAGTGAGTGATACCAGATGCTATGCAATGTTGAAACACGTTAGAAATTCAACCACACCTGGGTGAAGAGACCTTACTGAGTGCCTCAGAACTCAAAAGGCTGTTCTTATAAGACTAAGCCCCAGAGGCAGGGGGTATATCCTAAAACTAAATTCAAAACTGAAACAGACTTGCTCTAAGTGAGAATTATACCAATCCTGGCAAACTACAAGGATCTACCAATAATGTAACTGACCGCCAGAAGAGAACTTAACACCTTTTAAAGGAAGAGGACATGATTCAGACTTAATACATGGTATCCTACACAATCAGTAATAGTAAAATAACTGGACATGAGAAGAAATAGGAAAAAAACATGTGCACAATCAAGAGAAAATGCAGTCACTAGAAACTAGTAAGGTGATCTAAAGATAGAGCTAATATAAATTATCTTATCTGAGTAACAGAGAAGAAATAAGTTTTTTGAAAATGAGTAGAACCTCAATGATCTGTGAGACCTTATTAAGCTGTCCAACATATGAGTAAGTTGAGTCCCAGAAGGAAAGGAGCACAAAGAACTGGGGAGTAAAAAATATTTGAAGATATGGTGGCTGAAAATTTCCCAATTATTGGTTAAAAATAAGTGTACTAATACAAGAAGCTCAGAAAACTCCAAGCAAGACAAATGCAAAGATCACAGTTATGTATATTGCAGTCAAACTGTTAAAAATCAAAAATCAACAGAAAATCTGAAAGCTACTGTAGACAAATGACACTTTATATATAGAGGAACAGCTATAATAGTAGTGGATTTCTTCTCATAACCATGGAAACTAGAAGACAATGGAATGATGTATTGAAAAGGTTGAAAGAAAATAAAAAGCTACCTACCCAGAATTACACATACAGCAAAAATGTCCTTCAAAATTAAGATGGAATAAAAATGGAGAGAAATTATTGCCATGCTGAAAAGGAGTAACACCAGATGGACATTTAGAATTACAGAAAGAAAACCATCATTAAATGTGTGAATACATTTAAACTATATATATTGTATACCTTCTTCCCTGATTTCACTAACAGGCTGCTTAAGGCAAAAATTATAACACTGTATGCAGGTTTTGTAACATATATAGATGTAATATATAAGGCAAAACTCCCACATAGGATGGGAGGGATAAATGAAACAATATGGTTACAAGATGATAACACTGTATGTAAAAATCTTACAATATTAACTCTAGACTGTGATAAATTAAGGATGCATATTGTAATCCCCAAAGTGACCACTAAAATACTCACAATAAGAAGTCAGGAGTGGTGATATGCACCTGTAGTCATAGCTACTCAGGAGGCTGAGGCTGGAGAATCACTTGAGCCTGGGAAGCGGAGGTTGCAGTGAGCTATGATCGTGCCACTGCACTTCAACTTGGTGACAGAGTCAGACCCTGTCTCTAAAAACAAAACATTTAAAAATAATAATAATTCAAAGAGGTGTAGGTAAAAAGCCAATAGAGATATTAACATAGGATACTAAAAAAATTCAGTTATTCCAAGGAAGGGAAGAAAGGAGGAGCAGGAGAATAAAAATCAAATGGGACAAACAGAAAAATGATAGACTAAACCAAATTATATTAATAATTACATTAAATATAAATGGGCCAAACACTATAACTAAAGACAGGAGTGGTCAAATTGGATTTAAAAAACACCCAACTATTTGTTTTGTACAAAACACATACTTAAAGAAAAGAATGGAAAGATACACAGTGAAGACATTCAATATAAAAAATATGAACTTACTATATTAATATCATAGAGAATAGGCTTCAAGTGAAGGAATACCGCATAAATAGAGGAACAATTCATAATAATAAAAGGGCTAATTCATCAGGAAGACGTAAAAATCCTAATGGCTCATGTCCCTAAAAACAAAGCAATAAAATACATGAAGAAAACTGACAAAACTGAAAAAATAGACAAGTTCAAATCTTAGTTAGAAATGGGAACACCCCTCTCTCAGTAACTGATTAAACAAATACACAAAAAATTAGTAAGGATACAGATATCTGGACATCATTAACTAACTTCATTTAGTTGACATGTGTAGACCACTAAATCCAGCAACTACAGAATACATTCTCTTTCTGAGTACAAATTAAACATCCATCAAAACAGATCATATGCTTGGCTGAGAAGTCTCAATTAACTAAAAATTTCAAAATCTTACAGAATATTCTCTCCTACCATTTAATTGGAAATCACCAAGCTATTTGAAAAAAATCCTCAAATATTTTGAATCAAATAGCACATTTATAAATAATACATGAATCAAAGAGCAAATCAAAAATAGAAAGTACATCTAACTAAATGACAATAAAAATACAACATACCAAAATTTATGATACACAGCTAAAGCAGCACTTAGAAAAGCTCTATATTTTAAAAGCTTATATATAAAAAGAGAGAAGGTTAAAATCAACCTAAGATTATTCATTAAGACTCTAGGAGGACATAAAAAACAAATTAGGTCCAAAATAAGTAGACAGAAGATATAAGAACAGAAATCAATGAATTAGAAAAGAGACAAAAAACAGAAATGTTGGTTTCAAGAAAAAATTAATAGAACTGAAAAGTTATTTGCCAAGAATATTAAGGAAAAGAGAAAATACAAAATACCAATATGAAAAATGGCAGAGGGGGGAAGGTGTGGTGGCTCACACCTGCATAACGCAGCACTTTGGGAGGCTGAGGCGGGTGAATCACATGAGACCAAGAATTCGAGACCAGGCTGGTCAACATGGTGAAACCCTGTCTCAACTAAAATTACAAAAATTAGCTGGGCGTGGTGGTGGGCGCCTGTACTCCCAGCTACTTGGGAGGCTGAGACAGGAGAATCACCTGAACTTGGGAGGCAGAGGTACAGTGAGGTGAGATCATGCCCCACTGCACTCCAGGCTGGGCAACAGAGTGAGGCTACATCTCAAAAATAAATGAATAAATAAATATTTTTAAAAATTTAAAAAAGAAAAATAGCAGAGGCGATATCATGAAATTAAAAAGACAATAAGTGAACATTAAAAATAACTTTGTGACAATAAATTTGACAATTTCAATGAAAGATAAAGTACTTGAAAAATCTAAATTTATAAAAACTGACACAAGATGACACAGAAAATCTGAATACCTATTACAAAAGTTAAATTATCAAAAAATTCCCACAAACAAAATTCCAGATTCAGATAGTTTCAGTAGCAAATTCTACTAAACATTTCAGCCAATCCTACCCAAACTTTTCCAGAGCAGCATCACCTCTTAACCTGTTATATAATGACAAAACAACTTTGACTTCAAAACATGGCAAAGAAATGACAAAAAAAAAAACCCAACCAACTACAGATTAAAAACCTTTGCGAACATTAATACAAAAATATTTAACTAAATATAGCAAACCAAATTCAACAATATATAAAAATTTTAATAATACAAGTTGAGTTTATTCCAGGTAGTAAGAAAGATTGATTTAACATTTTAAAATGTAATTCAAGATATTAACAAAATAAAGAAGAAAGATAATATCAGTTCAATAAACACAGGAAAAAATTAGACAAAGTTTAGTATCTATTTATGATAAAAACTCTCAGCAAACTAGGAATGTAAGAGAACTTCCTCCACCTGATAAAATGCATCTATGAAAAACCTACAGCTAACATCATATCTTAAGACAGCTCACAACCTGATCTGAAATTAGGAATAAGCAAAAATGTTTTCTTTCATTATGGATTGAGTTTCCCTTTTCTGAAATGCTTGGGACCAAAAGCATTTTGAATTTTTTATTTTTTCAGATTTTATAAATACATAGAGATGTTCTTAGTGATGCGATCCAAGTCTAAACATGAAATTCATTTACGTTTCATATATTCCTTATACACTTACCCTGAAGGTAATTTTGCACAATATTTTGAATAATTTTGTTCATGAAACAAAGTCTGTATGCATTAAACCATCAGAAAGCAAAGGTATCACCGTCTCATGTCAGTGCTCAAAAAGTTTTGCATTTTGGAGCATTTAGGATTTCCAACTTTTGAATTAGGGATGCTCAACCTGTACTTTTATTTAATTCTGCTGGAGGTCTTAGGCAGTGCAATAAGGCAAGAAACAAATGGCATACAAATATAAAAACGTCTACTCTGAGAGGACATGATTGTCTATGTAGAAAGCCCTAGGGTATCCACAAAGCAATGACCAGAACTCAACTAAAGCTAAAAATAATATGCAAATTTAGCTACACACACACACACACACACACACACACACACACAAATTATATACCAGCAGCAAACACTGGAAAGTAAAATTTTAAATTAAAATGTAAAAATTCAATTTATAACAGGGTCATAAGCATAAAATAGGAACAAACGAAACCATAAAATAATTAGGGACAAATTTAATGTCAAACATAAATATTACACAACACTGATGAGAAAAATTCGTTGTATCGATACTGATTTGGAGGACTCAGTATGGTTAAAATGTCAATTATTCCACAAGTACGGTCTCAGCAGCCTTTTTAAAACAGAAATGAACAAGCTGACTTAAAAATGTATATGGAACAAAGTAATCTAACTATATTACATGTGTATAAAACAACCTCACTGGGGTGGTGGGGAAAGGTGCTGACTAACCTAAGTAATTTTGGAAATGAGTGAAGTCTGCAAGACTAAAGGCAAAAGGAACTGCACATAAGCGTTACATTGATGAATACAGATGGTCACATATAGAAATACTTATAGCTATGTATACATATGTGGATTAGTATACACACATATATTTCCTTGTTCTGTCAGCTGAGAGGGCCTAAAGAAACAATACCTTAATAGTAACCAGCACACCTAGCTCTCATCTTGGTTTTTAACATCATTCTCTAATAAAAGGAACCACGGTGCCTTGAAGAAATGGCTGGTTCTAGGAATGGGACATGAAATATGCAAGAGGAGCCTAGAGTGTCTAGTACTGACAGAAAGTACACCTGTGTTAAAACAACAGCAACAATAAAAACAAGCCAAGTTGATGGGGGTATTTCAAAGGAACACAAGAGCCAACTGAAAGAGCTCCAAATGGCTGAAGCTGGAGCAATTTGAGAAACAACAATAAAAAGTAGCATGGGATTATAACCCAAAGTATAAAATAACTATTCACAAGAACAAAATGATATAAATAAATGATTGAATAAATACATACATAAATAAGGTAATAAGAAAAAAAATCATCCATGAAGAATTCCAAATAACTTGTAGATACTCCCTCCTCAAAAAGAAGGATCATAAATCCCGACTCCTTGTGTGCACAGTGACTTCCTGACTTTCTTCCACAAGTACCGTATGGAAAGACAGAAAAAAAGAATAGCTTTACAACGGAGAAACCTGACAAACACTACTTTAGCCAAGTGATCAAGGTCAACATCAACAATCAAATGAAACAAGTCGTATTTATATCATCTACACTTGATATGATGTAATGAAAATGGAACTTTACAGGCCAGGCGCGGTGGCTCATGCCTGTAATCTCAGCACTTTGGGAGGCTGAGGCAGGTGGATCACATGAGGTCAGGAGTTCAAGACTAGCCTGACCAACACAGAGAAACCCCATCTCTACTAAAAATACAAAATTAGCCGGGTGGTGGCTCATGCCTGTAATCCCAGCAACTCAGGAGGCTGAAGCAGGAGAATCGCTTGAACCCGAGAGGCAGAAGAGTTGCGGTGAGCCGAGATCGTGCCACTGCACTCCAGCCTGGGCGACAAGAGCAAAACTCTGTCTCAAAAAAAAAAAAAAAAAAAAAAGAAAGAAAGAAAAGAAATAAAATGGAACTTTACTTTTCAATAACCCCAGTCTAATCATGAGAAAAATATCAAACAAATTCCAACAGACAGTCATCCTACAAAACGCCCGACTAGCACTTCTCAAACTCCCAGGGTCATTAAAAAAAAAACAAAGAAAGTCTGAGAAACTGTTACAGGCAAGAGGAGTCTAAGCACAGAAAGGCAAACACTGCATGATCTCGCTCATATGTGGGAGCTAACAAAGTTGATCCAATAGAAGGAGAGAGAACAGTGGTTACCAGGAGCTGGAAAGGGGAGGAGAACACGGACAGGGAGAGGCTGATTCATGGGCTCCAAATTATAGTGAGATAGAAGGAATAAGTTCTAGTGTTCTCTTGCACTGTATGGTGACTATGGTTAGCAATACTTCATTGCACATTTTCAAATAGCTAGAAAAGAGGATTTTGAATGTTCCCAACACAAAGAAATGAGCAACGTTTGAGGTGATGGATATGCCAATTACCCTAATTTGATCATTACATGTTGTATACATTTATCAAAACATCACTCTATACCCCATAAATATGTACAATTATGTGTCAATTTTTTAAAAAAGCAAGGGTAGTTGCACAACAGTGTGAATGGACTTAATGCCACGGAATTGTCTACTTAAAAATAGTTGATTTGGTAAATGCTGCTATGTATACTTTCCACATTAAAAAAGCAAGGGTAATGAAATGTATACACACACACACACACACAAGGAACCTAAGAAGACATGACAAGTAAGCATAATGTGGTATCCTGGATGGGATTCTGGAATAGAAACATGCCATTAGGTGAAAACTAAGGAAATCTGAATAAACTATGGGCTTTGGTTAATAATGTGTCAGTATCAATTCATTAACATAAGATGTTAATAACAGAGGACACTGGATGCAGGTGTATGGGAATTCTACATATTGTCTCAATTTTTCTATAAATCTAAAAACTGCTCTAAAAAGTATATTTTTAAAAAATTTATGTGGAAATACAAAGGACCTGCAATGAGCCAAAACAACAACCACCACCCTGAAAAAGAACAAGTACATAGGTGACTTATACACTGATTTCAAGACTTGCTATGAATGTAGAATAATCAGGACAGTGTGATATTTGCATATGGATAGACAAAAAGATAAATGGAATTAAATAAGGAGCCCAGCAATACACCAACACTTACACAATAAGTTGAATTATGACAAAAGAACCAAATAAATTCAAGGGAAAAGAAAAGTCTTTTCAACAAATGCTGCTAGAACAATTTGATATCCAGGTAAATAACCATAAGCCTGAACCTGCTACCTCATACCACACACAAAAATTCCAGATGGATCAAGACCTAAATATAAAACTTATAAATCACAAATCTTCTAGAAGAAAACAGAGTCTCCATGACCAGGGGATAGACAAAAATTTCTTTGACAAAAAAAAAGCAATAATCATAAAACAAACACAATGGTAAATCAGTCTTATGAAAATCAACAACTTAAAAAAATTGATAAATGGTAGAATAACATATTTTATAATAAATATACAGACTGGAATAAAATTATATATATGTAGATACATGTGTATATATACACACACACACACACACATACACACATACATACACACACACACATCTGACAAAGAACTTGTATACCCAAAACATATAAAGAACTCCTACAACTCAAAAATAAAAAGATGACACAATTTTTTAATGGATAAGATTTTAATACACATTTCACAAAGAAAGCTGTATGAATGATCAATAAGAATTGTACATTAAAAAGCATTCCATATCACCAGTTAAAATTGCAGGGATATACTACCATACAACAATCAGAATGGCTAAAATTTTAGAAACTGATAATAACAAATGTTGGCAAGGATGTGAAGCACCTAGAACTCATTGTTGATAAGCATGAAATGGTACAACCACCATGGAAAAAGATCTGGCAAGTGTCTTATAAAACTAAACATACACCAACATATAACCTATAACTCAGCAATTCCACTCCCAGATTATTTACCCAAGAGAAATGAAAACATACGTCCGCAAAAAGACTTGTAAAAATATTTATAGCAGCTTTATTCATAATAGCTCCAAACTAGAAATGGTCCTTGTGTTCCGTCAATGGAAGAATAAACAAACTGTTGTGTATCTATGCATTGGAATTCAATGCAGTAATTTTTTTAAAGGCACTATTAGCAATGAGCACCCTGGCACCGAGATCTTGGTTTCTAAATACCATGCACACCAGGCGTCTTTCATTTCATTTCCAAAGAACCAGGGCTCTTTAGAGAAAAAGCTGATTCTGGGGCTGGGGCTCGGGAAGAATGAGTCTGGAGCATATTGTTAATACCAGAAAGAAAGTACTTAAAGAAGGATGAGATTATGTCACCAGAACATAAGAGCCAGCCTGAAAGGGTTCCCACAGGACAAAGTTGGGACTGTGTAACCATAAAATAATAAGAGTACTGTATTATAAGCCCCTGAATAAGAACTTCTGAGCTCATACTGACATAAATAAGTAGGCAAGAAGGGTAAAGCTGTCTTAGTACAGAATGCCAACTAATAAACATAGAAGCAAAAGTAGAGTCATGGCGTGAGTTGGCTAAAGAAAAAAAAAACAGAGTCAGAAAATAAACAATAAAGGCTAAAAGAGTAGTTGCAAATTTAATGAGGAACCAGACATATTGATACAACGTCCTGTCCCTCCTGACATGACCAAGGACACATCCTTTCTGGGCTGCTTCTGACAAAAGTATACAATCCAAATCTAATAATGAGGATATGTCAGGAAAAAAAACCACAAGAACTCACCTATTTTTTAAAAAGTAACAAGATCAAGAAAGACAAAGTTCATCTGGTTAGATAGATGGTGGGAGAAAAAAAGAAGGGCAAAGGAAGGCAAAGGAGTAGACGGAAGGACATGAAGAAACATGACAACTAAATGCAACACAACACACAGTCCTGGATTGATTGGATTCTTGATTCAGAAAAAAAAAAAAAGCCACAGGTACATCAACAAAATAATTGACAGAATTTAAATTTGGTCTAAGGATTAGCTAATAGGCAATATCAATGTCAAATTTCCTGACTCAGATATTTATTCTGGGTTATATATAAGAACATTGTTGATCTCAGGAAACACACATTGAAATTTTATAGGGGAAGAGTATGAGGACTCAAAGTTACTCTCCAATGTTTCAGGGGAAAACAGAGGGAGAGAGAAAAAATGGCAAAGCAAGTGGGACAACAGGTAAGCAAGTGGTGAATAAGTGTGAAGAGTATACAGCCATTCCTTCTACTGTTCTTGCAACTTTTCTGTAGGTTTGATAAATCCAAGATAAAAGATTACCAAAACACACGCACATACACATTACTGTAATTATTCTCTATGAGGATACAGTAGCTCAGTGATTTTTCTTTTTCTTTTTTTTTTTTTTTGGAGACGCCCAGCTAATTTTTGTATTTTTAGTAAAGACAGGGTTTCACCATGTTGGCCAGGCTGGTCTTGAACTCCTGACCTCAGGTAATCCACCCACCTTGGCCTCCCAAAGTGCTGGGATTACAGGCCTGAGTCACCATGCACAGCCCATTATTTATCAAATGATTTTTTTTTTTTTTTTTTGAGACCCAGTCTTGCTCTGTCACCCAGGCTGCAGTGCAGTGGCGCGACCTTGGCTCACTGCAAGCTCCACCTCCCGGGTTCACGCCATTCTACTGCCTCAGCCTCCCAAGTAGCTGGGACTACAGGCGCCGGCCACCAGGCCTGGCTAATTTTTTCTATTTTTCAGTGGAGACGAGGTTTCACTGTGTTAGCCAGGATGGTCTCTATCTCCTGACCTCGTGATCTGCCCGCCTTGGCCTCCCAAAGTGCTGGGATTACAGGTGCGAGCCACCACGCCCAGCCACCTCAGCGATTGCTTGGTCACAAAATTACTAAGAACCAGGCCTTGAACCTGAATCCAGGCCTTCTGACAATAGATCTTTCCAGTGTCCCTGCCCTGTCACTTATCAATGAAGAAATCACCCCCTTAGGCCATATTGCTGAACAATGAACCAAGTGATTGAGAACTGTGGGGGGAAATCCTAAAGTTTTTAAAGCACTGGTAGTTACCTGTCATGACGACCTACTTAGCCATCTTGTTTGGACACAAAGGAACTGACACATACTTCAATCTGAAAGCTGTACTTCCAAATTGATGGGGCCCAAAGAAAGAGGGGTAAAAAGCAACATTTACATGAAACAAGGATGTTTTCTAGGAGCCCCATTCAATTTCCAAACTGGTAAGTGCTGCGTCTGATAGCAGGTACTCAGCCCAGCACCACCGCTCTACTGAATACTTCTTTCCTTTGCATCTCCTGTGTCTGTGCTTAACAGGGCTGATAATTATGCCAGGTGGATTCACCTAGGATGATCTATTTCAATTAAATTGTGACTGACCTTAATATAGTGAAGACATATAATAGAACCATTTAACTTACACGAATTCATCTACTTGTAAATGTAATATGCATGCAAGTATACATAATATAAGCATATGTACTTAAGTGATATGGCCAAATATTGCACTTCCTGCATAAGCCTAAGCCATGGAATGGGTGTGAGATGCACTGTTCTCTCAGGGATATCTTACTTTATGTGCTTCCCCTAATATGAGCATGTCCTTGCTGAGTATGACATAGCATTTAAAGAAATTAGAATAAAGATGCTAACTAAAACAGGTTTTTAGTTAAAAAGCAATAAAGGAGAATCCTCATCCAAAAATGGAAATGAATAGTAGGTGAGTGAGGAGTGGGAAGGACAGGAAAATAAGAGACAGGTGAATGGGAGCCATGGTTTCGACTCCAGGTGCAAGGGAGCCTAAGCGACAGGCTCTGCTTGAAGCTGCGAGCCTGGGGTGAAGCCTGGAACTGGAAACTTCTGCCCATTCCCTCTGCTAGGCCTCGGACTAAACCTAACAGAAACAGGCAAGACAAGGTGGGAAAGATGAGTACAGGGAACACAGAGGACTTTTAGGGCAGTGAAAATACTCTGCATGATACTATAATGGTGGAATACATGTCTTCATACGTTTGTCCAAACCCACAGATCATGCAACACCAAGAATGAACCCTAATGTAAACTATGGGTTTCAGGTGATGTGGATATGTCAGTGTAATGTGGGCTCACCGATGGTAACAGATGCACTGGTCTGGTGGGGGATGTTGATAGTAGGAGAAGCAATGCGTGTGTAGGGGCAGGGGATAGATGGGAAATCTCTCTACCTTCCTCTCACTTTTGCTGGGAAATTAAAGTTTCTCTTAAAAAATTAAGTCTCTTAAAAAATTCATTTGTTAAAAAACAATCAAAAACCGGGAAAATATTACAAATAAAATATCATTGCATAAAAGACTCAGGCAAAATGAGAGATCTATGACATTCACAGATGGGAGGATGAGAAATCCTAAGCTAACCTAGAAATTCAATGTCCAGGCTCCTTAGTTAGCCATTGGAGGCACTCTGGCCTGGTCCCTGCCAACATCCCTGGCCTTGCTTCTTCAAATGGCCCAACAGCCAGTGCTGCCATCTTCCCTGCCTCCAACCTTGTGCTCCTATAGCACCCCCTACAGCCTGCTCTCCACATTGCAAGCAGGATGGTCCTGCTGAAACAAGTCTGATCACATCACTGCCCAAACTGGCCAATGGCATCTCATCTCACTTGAGTAAAAGCCCAAGGCCTCAGCACAGGCCACCAGGCCATGTGGCCTGTCCTCTTCTCCCGTCACTCTCCCATCCCCCTTGCTCAAAGGAGTCAAGCCTGATCCTTCCTCATGGCCTCTGCACTCTACTCCTTCCATGCTGCTCCTCTCCCCAGAGCAGCAGATCTTACATCCTTCAGTGCTGACACCATCGAGTCCTCCCTGCCCATCCTGGATAAAGCAGCATTCCTCCCACCAGTCTCCATCCCCCTTACTCTGACCTATTTTGCTCAACAGCACTGACCACAATGTGAGCCAACACACTGTCTTCTCTGACAGAACAAATGTTCCACAAGGACAGAGACTTTGTTTTGGTTCATGGCTACATATTCACAGCTTTATCATAGTTGTAGTAGTTCTTAAAATAGCCTGGCATGTGTGTGCCATGCTCAAAAAATACGTATTGAATAGATGAAGAGATGCATGTGACTCCAATAAAATTTGTAACAGAATTTTTCTGGAAATTGACCAATTGATTCCAAAATTTATATGGAAGAATAAAAGTGCATAAATAGTTAAGACAACTTTAAAAATGAACAAGAGGAGGTATCCACCCTTTAAGACAGTCAGCTGCAAAGCCACAGTAACTAAGTATGACACTGATAAGGAAATACACAGATAACTAAAAGAGTCCACAGACTCTAGCAAATGAGGGGGTGTGAGGCCTGAGAGCACACACCACAAACCAATTGGGAAAGAACAGCCTTTACAATGGTGTTGGGATAACTGTTTCAACCACATGAAAAAAAAAATTAAATTCTTACCTTATACTATAAAAAGCAAATTTCAATTTCAAGATTTGACATTCAGAAGTTCTCAAAAACTGTAAGAAGACATTACTGTATGACCTCATGGTAGAGAAGTCTTCTTAAAGATACACACCAAAAAAACCCCATAAAGGATAAGGTATATTGGTTTGTCTTAAAAATTAAGAACACATATTAAAAAAATGCATCATAGGCCAGGCACGGTGGCTTATGCCTGCAATCCCAGCACTTTGGAAGGCCAAGGCAGGTGGATCACCTGAGGTCAGAAGTTCAAGACCAGCCTGGCCAACATGGCGAAACCCCGTCTCTACTAAAAAAAAAAAAAAGGCCAGGCGTGGTGGTGCATGCCTGTAGTCCCAGCTACTCAGGAGGCTGAGGCACAAGAATTGCTTGAACCCGAGAGGTGGAGGTTGCAGTGAGCCAAGATCACGCCATTGCACCCCAGCCTGGGCAACAGAGAGAGACTCTGTCTCCAAAAAAAAAAAAAAAGAAAAAAAGCAAAGAAAATAAAAACTGAATATACCTAAATGCCCACTAATAAACAAAAATGTGCTATATTTAATAGAATAGAGTGGTTATAATTAACTAGATCTATATATATCAACACAGAGATGCCTCCAAGACATAAGTAAAAATAAAGAACACAGATGGCTTGATATTTATTTTTAAAGCACCAAAACAGTACCATCTCCTTCCAGACACTAGGTGAAAATATAAGGAACAGATGAACATTGCAAGCAGATGAACAGGTGAACATATACACAGACTCACTGCAGTGGCTGCCTCTGGAGGGAACAGGACTGTGAGAGCTGGTTAAAGAGAACTCTACTTTTATCTTTATGTTTTGTTTCTTTAAAAAAAAAAGTGGAAAGATGACTTCAGTATGGTGGGAATGGAGATAATTATTGTCTGTCCTTTTTGCTTATTTTTCAAATTTTTATTTACAGTATACTTCCTCTGATGCTCAAACACGTGCCCTGTTTCAATACTGGTAGAAAACTGGTAGTGCTAGACACACTAAGAACAATATAATACTGAATTTTACATATGATTTAAAATGATGTCAAAGTAAATTTTGACTATATGTGACTATAGCCTTAACTGACAACTTTAGTATTAACCCTCTTTAAAGTTGAGACTCACAGCATTTAGCAACATGGTGACTTAAAAGCGAACTACATGTAGAACAGTTTCTTCATTTAGATAAAGATTTCTGAAAGACCAATCTTGTGTATAAAATTAAGTTAATCAAAATCCCTTTTCTCCAGTGCCATCTGGTGGAAAGAAGAGGCAACCTCACCTGTACCTGCCACAAAATAACCACAGCTGTGGTTATCAGAGCAACATTCTCTCCCCCCCAACCACCCCGCCTTCCCTGCCCGCAGAGCACCCTCTGTCATCCCCTCTGTCACCTAGGCTGGAGTGAAGTGGTGCGATCTCGGCTCACTGCAACCTCCACCTCCCGGGTTCAAGCGATTCTCCTGCCTCAACCTCCCAAGTAGCTGGGATTACAGGCGCCTGCTACCACGCCTGGCTTTTTTGTATTTGTAGTAGAGACAGGGTTTCACCATTGTTGGCCAGGCTGGTCTAGAATTCCTGACCTTGTGATCCGCCCGCCTCAGCCTCCCAAAGTGCTGGGATTACAGGTGTGAGCCACTGGGCCCGGCCCAGAGCACCATTCTTTACAAAGAAGGCCCCTCTTTTATTCTGATTACTGTGTGGTGTTCTGTTAACTGTTTACTTTCTTTAGAGCCTTCCTCAAACTGGAAATTCTTCAGCCTACAGGTTAGATAAGAAGCAAGTGGATATTCTTCATTTTTTTGGCTTTCCTGGTTTCCATTGACTTGACTTTGGCAAGGCATTATTTAGAAAAGGCTGTTCTTCTATCTTCTGCTCCAAGATTCTTTCTTTACTGTATTTAAATCAAATGTTTTAACTTCTTCCCCCAGACCATTCTGCAATCATAATCTGTATTCATCCACATTTCAAGCCCTCTAGAATAAAAAATTCCAATAGTTGATTTATACGTAAAACATGTTAGTGTTATTTTGCTTTACATAAACTTATAAGGATTTTTTATTTAAAGGATTTAAAAATATAACACAGTCAATATAAACATGTACTGGGAATTATAAACCATTCTTTCTTCTAAGCACTGGATGAGATACTAAAAACATACAGTATCTTACCAATAGCCATTAAAATAGGCTAAAATGAAAAAGAAACCGTTGTAACAAGGTTACTAATCCCCCAACTTTCAATGCTGAGTTCCTTCATCATCCATGTGCAATCCAGAGATGACATCTAGCAGGGTGGTAAAATTATTCTGGAAAATGCCAACTGTACTTGGACAAAATAAGTTAATTCTATATGGTTGTCCATTAAAGTTTTATGTGGCTATGGTTCCACTGGAGCTAAAAATTGGCTTTTAACTGTTTCCAAATCAGAACTAGCAGAGGAGAGAAGTAAATAAAGCCAATGGCACTCCCTTCAGAGGCTCAAAATGGTTAGATTTTGATGCAGATTTAACCTTAGCGAGTTTCAGTCAGTCCATTTAGATGATCCTGTAGGTTCATACAAATACACTGAACCGTTGGTTTAACTTCTCTTCCTTCCTCAAAGTTTATGATAAAGAGACTCATCCCTGTATTGGGAGTGACTGACATAAGTTCAGATCTGCTCAGAGTGGCTGGTAAGGAACACTTAAGGTCAGTCAGAAAATAATCAAACAGACTTCTCATGTAAGCACCGTGACTCACAACTAAGACACTGGCTGCTAATCCTGGAATACCGCTGTCTGAATTAACTTTAGAGCTGTGATTTTTTCCTAAAGGAAATATCTCTGCCAAAGAAGTTTCCAGACAGTTGCTTGGAGATCCTTGGGAAAACTGTTCTTTTTGATCCGCTTCTTTCAGGATTAGTTGACAAAGAAATTCAAAAAAGTCTATTCCACGCATTTTCACCTACAAGAAAAGAAATAAAAGTCAAAATAAAGTGACATTAATGACTTCCTTAAAACGTTAACATAGAACATAACTGACTGGATTTTTTTCTAATATTGAATGCCAAGTACTACACAAGCAGAAGAATATCAATCTACATTTCTATTCGTTCAATCAGTAGTTTCATGGACATATATAAGTATCCACCACATTTCTGGAATTACAAAAGCACCATGGAGACCAAGATGAAGAAGATCCAATTCCCAATTCCTGAGTTCAAAGCACTCACGGTCTAGTTAGGGAAATCTACAAGCCAACAGAAACTCATAAAACAGTGCTAACCAGGAAGCTGTCTCTGGCACTTCAGTGCCACTGGAACAACAGCAGCAACAAATCCTTCCCTTACTAAAGTAATGGAAAGTATTTTCAAGAAAATTAAGATAAAGATTAAGGAGGTGGTGGTGGGTTAGGGGGAATCACCAATATGCAATTCGAAGCAGAACACTCCAAAGAAATGCAAGCACAGGGATGCCACCATGAACAGAGCTGAGGAGGCAGCAGAGGCTTGAAGACTTCATGTTTTGAGTTATTTCACCTCGAGTGACTTGCCGATCACCCTCTTTGAACTCCACTCCCACCACTAAGCCACTGCTTCATATTCAAAGGTCTTTTTTAGAAGTACCATCTAATAACACCTTTCCTTAAGTCCATTATCAATAATGACAAAGGCAACTGAACAGTAAATAAGATTTTAAATAGAAAAGAATAATTTGCTAAGTAAATAGATAATTTAAAATGGAAAAGAGAATGAACCAAGCAACTTTCAAACTGCTTAGCTAAAATTCCAAAACATCTAATTTTGAGTCTTAATTCAACCATTCTGACATCGGCAGCGCCACATACCTGGTCCAGCGTCTCTCCTCCGGGCGGTGTAAACACAGGGCACTCTTCCCTGGCTGCTTTGGCCATGGCCCTCAGCTCACTTAGCGCTTTGCCTTCTACAACCCCGTATTTCTGAAACAGTCCAATAGATAACAGTTTCTCAAATGAAATTGCAATATAACAATTAAGTTTATGTTTATGGCAAATTTAGAACATTCATCCCAGGAATAAGCTAACTCTCCTCCACTTAATTGATTCTATCTCCTCTGAACTGATAATGAGAATGTACTCAGTAGAGGGCCATGAACCTTAGAAAATATAATTGAAATCTTAAGTTGTACACTATGTCCAAATGGGTTATTTTAGAAGAACTTGCTATTGCAAGCAGATGGTGGGAATTTATTGAACAAATACAGAGATTTGCACAGATTATAGGACTAGAGATTAACATGCACAAGGTACCAATTCAGCCATCTCCCATCCACACATACTACACCATTTGATCCCAATGACAGCACCATGAAATAGCTAAATAAATATATCACCATAGTTATAAGGAAGTTGAGTTTCAGAGACGCTAACATGAGAGATCTATTTCTTTTTTTTTCTTTTTTTTTTTTTTGAGACGGAATCTCGCTCTGTCACCCAGGCTGGGGTGCCGTGGCGCGATCTCAGCTCACTGCAACCTCCGCCTCCTGGGTTCAAACGATTCTCTTGCCTCAGCCTCCCGAGTAGCTGGGACTACAGGCGCGTGCCACCACACCCGGCTAATTTTTTGTATTTTTAGTAGAGATGGTGTTTTACCATGTTAGCCAGAATGGTCTCAATCTCCTGAACTCAAGTGATCTGCCCACCTTGGCCTCCCAAAGTGCTGGGATTACAAGCGTAAGCCACCACGCCAGCCACATGGCAACATTGTTAAGCTATTAAATTGGAAAATCACAGAGTCTAATAATACCAATTGTTGGTGTAAAAAAACAAAACTTTCTCCTAGGTCATTCATGGGACTATAAATTGGCACAGGTTTTCTGGAAGGCAACTTGGCAATATGTATATAAATGCCTTTAAAAAAGTACACACTCGCCGATGTCCATTTCTAGAAATATATAGGTCTACAATAAATTAACTACAAAGATGTTTATTTTGACATTATTTACATCAGTGGTAGTCTAGTGAAAATCTAGCTTTCCATCAGCGTAGCTAGGTTACATAAATTATGCAATATCCATATTTTTCACCTTTACTTTAAACTCTTCTATACTGTGTTAAGTTCTTATGAGCGTACCTTCTTTTATACCTTAAGATGCTTGTCTCGTTTGATTTTAATAATAAGATCCTATATACGAGGGTATGTAACAGTGACTGTCATATGGTAGATTCTTAAATATTTTCACTGATTCGAAATCCCTAGCAGAAATGCATTTAACTTTTAGCCAAGTGACAAACTGAGGTGGCTTACTGATAATTTATGGGGAAGAACAATATGTAAATAAGTTACTCACCCTTTCCCGAAGTCTTGAGTCATACTTTACCGTCATATCTTTGCAAAATTTGCTTCTCTCCAAAATTCCATGCATGGTCTGAAAATCAAGACAATTGTTTCTTTCTTTATAAAAATAATCACCATTCTGGTGGAAGCACTGAAAGAATCTATGTCATCTTAGTGAATAAAAAAGAACTAGAACCAGGCACGGTGGCTCACACCTGTAATCCCAGCACTTTGGGAGGCTGAGGCGGGTGGATCATGAGGTCAGGAGATCGAGACCATCCTGGCCAACATGGTGAAACCCTATCTCTACTAAAAATACAAAAAATTAGCCGGATGTGGTGGCACGCACCTGTAGTTCCAGCTACTCGGGAGGCTGAGGCAGAAGAATTGCTTGAACCTGGGAGGCGGAGGTTGCAGTGAGCTGAGATTGCGCCACTGCACTCCAGCCTGGGTGACAGAATGAGACTCCATCTCAAAAAAAAAAAACAAAACTAGAAATGATTTTCCTTTGCAAAAGTTGCCTCTCTGTGTACATCTGTGTACACATCTGTGTCTCTTCATTCCTGATTTTGATATTCTCTTCTAACCTATCTTTTAGTTCAGAAGTCAGCACAATCCAGACCATCATCTGCTTTTGCAAATAAAGTATTTTACTGGGACACAGCCACAGCATTCATTCATGCACAGTTGATGGCTGCTTTCTTGCTATTACCGCAGACTTGAACAGGTGTTAACAGAGACTGTATAGACTATAAACCCTAAAAAAAAATTACTATCTGGCTCTTTACAGAAAATGTTTACTAATCCCCATTCTAATTCCTTAATTCGCCATTCAAATGTGTCTAAATTGTTGTTAAACCCATCCATTGAGCCTTAATTCCAATTGTATTTTTAGTTCTAGAATTTGCATTTGGCTCTTTTTTACAGTTTATTACAGTTCTGTACTGAAATTCTACATCTTTCACCTATACAAAAATATAGTTATTTTAAAGCTCATGTCTGGTAACTCCATCGGGTAAGTCATGTGGCTGTTTCTGTTGTCTTTAGCTCATTTTTATTCACATTTCCTTCTCTCATTGTAAGTCTAGCAATTTTTGATTGACAAGCGACCCTGTCACATAGAAATAATTTAGGTCCATGATCTGCCTTTTTTAAAAACACATTTCCCAACAAATTAGACATCATCATCATACTGTTTTATATGTACTGTCAATATTTCCTTGTATTTTCCTAAACCTTTACCAACTTCTTTGCTCACTATTCTTTTCTGAAACTCAGATCTCCCTTCTGCAATTATTTTCCTTCTTTTTCATTTTTCCTTTCAAAGTTACTTCAGAATCTCTTTGTCTGAAATGTCATTTCACCTACACAGCAGAAAAAAATCTTGCTGGGTATAAAACTCTAGGTTAATCCTTGTTATTTCTCAGCACAATAAAGAAATCATCAATATGAACAAATTTGCTGACAGCCTAACTAATGGTCTTTAATAAAGGATGGTTTTTTCCTCATTCTTTGGAGTCTTGCAATTTTGCTATAATGAATGTAGATATGGGTTTCTTTACTTATCCTGGTTGGGATTTGGTACACTTCTTGGATCTTTCAACAATTCTGTAAATTCTGTAAAATTGTCAATATTCTGTAACCTCTGAATATCACCTCTTCCTCCCATTCTCTCTGCTATCTCTTTCTGAAAGACATTAGAACTTCTCATCATGCTCTTCATGTCTTCTAATGTCTCCTATTTTATTTATTTTTTAAAGGGACTTTTTTTTTTGAGACAGGGTCTCGCTCTGTCACCCAGGCTGGAGTGAAGTGACACAATCACGATTCACTGCAGCCTCAACTACCTGAGCTCAAGTGATCCTCCCACCCCAGCCTCCCAAGTAGCTGGGACTACAGGCAAGTGCCACCACACTCAGCTAACTTTTTTATTTTCTGTAGAGACAAGGTCTCCCTATGTTGCCCAGGCTGGTCTCAAACTCCTGAGCTCAAGTGATCTTCCCGCTTCGGCCTCCCAAAGTGCTGCAATTTCAGGCATCAGCCACTGTGCCCAGCTAAACTCTCATATTTTAAATCTATCATGCCGTGCTACATTTAGGTTATTATCATATATTTATCTATAATGATCACTTCAGCCGTGTGTGATCTATACTTCAGTACTTCCACTGAGGTTTTCATTTTTTGGCTTTTTTCTGTTTGTATTTTAATTTTTAATTTTTGTGGGTATACAGTAAATGTATATATTTATGGGGCACATGAGACACTTTGATACAGCCATGCAATGCATGACAATCACATCCTGGTAAGCAGGGTATCCATCCCCATAAGCATTTATCCTTTTTGTTACGAATGATCCAATTATATCCTTTTAGTTATTTTCAAATGTACAATTACATTGTTATTGACTATAGCCACCCTGTTGCGCTATCAAATACTAGGTCTTATTCATTCTTTCTTTTTGTACCCATTAACCATCCCCACTTCCCCAACACCTCCCCCTACTACCTTTCCCAGACTCTGGTAACCATCCTTCTACTCTCTATCTCCATGAGTTCAATTGTTTTAATTTTTTGCTCCAACAAATAAGTGAGAACATGACAAGTTTGTCTTTCTGTGCCTGGCTTACTTCACTTAACATAATGACCTCCAGTTCCATCCATGTTGTTGCAAATGACAGGATCTCATTCTTCTCTGTGGTTGAAAAGTACTTCATTGTTTGTGTGTGTACATTTCCTTTATCCATTCATCTGCTGATGGACATTTGGATTATTTCCAAATCTTGGCTACTGTAAAAAGTGCTGCAATATGGGAGTGCAGATATCTCTTCAATATCCTGATTTCCTTTCTTTGGGTACATACCTAGCAGTGGAACTTCTGGATCACATGGTAGCTCTATTTTTAGTTTTTTGAGGAACCTCCCTCCAAACAATTCTTCACAGTGGTTGTACTAATTCACATTCCCACCAACAGCATACAAGTGTTCCCTTTCCTCCATGGCCTTGCCTGCATGTGTTATTGCCTGTCTTTTGGATAAAAGCCATTTTAACTGGGGTAAAATACTCATTGTAGTTTGGATATGCATTTCTCTGATTACCAATGATGTTGAGCACTTTTTCATATGTCTCTTTGTCATTTTTTTTTAATATATATTTTTTATTATACTTTAAGTTCTAGGGTACATGTGCACGACGTGCAGGTTTGTTACATATGTATACATGTGCCATGTTGGTGTGCTGCATCCATTAACTCGCCATTTACATTAGGTATATCTACTAATGCTATCCCTCCCCCGTCCCCCCATCCCACAACAGGCCCTGGTGTGTGATGTTCCCCTTCCTGTGTCCAAGTGTTCTCATTGTTCAATTCCCACCTACGAGTGAGAAAACGCGGTGTTTGGTTTTTTGTCCTTGCCATGGTTTGCTGAGAATGATGGTTTCCAGCTTCATCTATGTCCCTACAGAGGACATGAACTCATCCTTTTTTATGGCTGCATAGTATTCCATGGTGTATATGTGCCACATTTTCTTAATCCAGTCTATCATTATTGGACATTTGGGTTGGTTCCAAGTCTTTGCTATTGTGAATAGTGCCGCAATAAACATACATGTGTATGTGTCTTTATAGCACATGATTTATAATCCTTTGGGTATATACCCAGAAATGGGATGGCTGGGTCAAATGGTATTTCTAGTTCTAGATCCCTGAGGAATTGCCACACTGTCTTCCACAATGGTTGAACTTGTTTACAGTCCCACCAACAGTGTAAAAGTGTTCCTATTTCTCCACATCCTCTCCAGCACCTGTTGTTTCCTGACTTTTTAATGATTGCCATTCTAACTGGTGTGAGACGGTATCTCATTGTGGTTTTGATTTGCATTTCTCTGATGGCCAGTGATGATGAGCATTTTTTCATCTGTCTGTTGGCTACATAAACTTCTTCTTTTGAGAAGTGTCTGTTCATATCCTTTGCCCACTTGTTGATGGGGTTGTTTTTTTCTTGCAAATTTGTTTGAGTTCTTTGTAGATTCTGGATATAAGCCCTTTGTCAGATGAGTAGATTGGAAAAATTTTCTCCCATTCTGTAGGTTGCCTGTTCACTCTGATGGTAGTTTCTTTTGCTGTGCAGAAGCTCTTTAGTTTAATTAGATCCCATTCGTCAACTTTGGCTTTTGTTGCCATTGCTTTTGGTGTTTTAGTCATGAAGTCCTTGCCCATGCCTATGTCCTGAATGGTATTGCCTAGGTTTTCTTCTAGGGTTTTTATGGTTTTAGGTCTAACATGTAAGTCTTTACTCCATCTTGAATTAATTTTTGTATAAGGTGTAAGGAAGGGATCCAGTTTCAGCTTTCTACATATGGCTAGCCAGTTTTCCCAGCACCATTTGTTGAATAGGGAATCCTTTCCCCATTTCTTGTTTTTGTCAGGTTTGTCAAAGTTCAGATAGTTGTAGATGTGTGGTATTATTTCTGAGGGCTCTGTTCTGTTCCATTGGTCTATATCTCTGTTTTGGTACCAGTACCATGCTGTTTTGGTTACTGTAGCCTTGTAGCATAGTTTGAAGTCAGGTAGCGTGATGCCTCCAGCTTTGTTCTTTTGGCTTAGGATTGACTTGGCAATGTGGGCTCTTTTTTGGTTCCATATGAACTTTAAAGTAGTTTTTTCCAAGTCTGTGAAGAAAGTCATTGGTAGCTCGAAGGGGATGGCATTGAATCTATAAATTACCTTGGGCAGTATGGCCATTTTCATGATATTGATTCTTCCTATCCATGAGCATGGAATGTTCTTCCATTTGTTTGTGTCCTCTTTTATTTCATTGAGCAGTGGTTTATAGTGCTCCTTGAAGAGGTCCTTCATATCCCTTGTAAGTTGGATTCCTAGGTATTTTATCCTCTTTGAAGCAATTGTGAATGGGAGTTCACTCATGATTTGGCTGTTTGTTATTGGTGTATAATAAGGCTTGTGATTTTTGCACATTGATTTTGTATCCTGAGACTTTGCTGAAGTTGCTTATCAGCTTAAGGAGATTTGGGGCTGAGACAATGGGGTTTTCTAGATATACAATCATGTCATCTGCAAACAGGGACAATTTGGCTTCCTCTTTTCCTAATTGAATACCCTTTATTTCTTTCTCCTGCCTGATTGCCCTGGCCAGAACTTCCAACACTATGTTGAATAGGAGTGGTGAGAGAGCTCCCATCAATATCTAATTTATTGAGAGTTTTTAGCATGAAGGGCTGTTGAATTTTGTCAAAGGCCTTTTCTGCATCTATTGAGATAATCATGTGGTTTTTGTCTTTGGTTCTGTTTATATGCTGGATTACGTTTATTGATCTGCATATGTTGAACCAGCCTTGCACCCCAGGGATGAAGCCCACTTGATCATGGTGGATAAGCTTTTTGTTGCGCTGCTGGATTCGGTTTGCCAGTATTTTATTGAGGATTTTTGCATCAATGTTCATCAGGGATATTGGTCTAAAATTCTTTTTTTGTTGTGTCTCTGCCAGGCTTTGGTATCAGGATGATGCTGGCCTCATAAAATGAGTTAGGGAGGATTCCCTCTTTTTCTATTGATTGGGATAGTTTCAGAAGGAATGGTACCAGCTCCTCCTTGTACCTCTGGAAGAATTCGGCTGTGAATCCGTCTGGTCCTGGACTTTTTTTGGTTGGTAAGCTATTAATTATTGCCTCAATTTCAGAGCCTGTTACTGGTCTAATCAGAGATTCAACTTCTTCCTGTTTTAGTCTTGGGAGGGTGTAGGTGTCGAGGAATTTATCCATTTCTTCTAGACTTTCTAGTTTATTTGTGTAGAGGTGTTTATAGTATTCTCTGATGGTAGTTCGTATTTCTGTGGGATCTGTGGTGATATCCCCTTTATCATTTTTTATTGCTTCCATTTGATTCTTCTCTCTTTTCTTTATTGGTCTTGCTAGCGGTCTATCAATTTTGTTGATCTTTTCAAAAAACCAGCTCCTGGATTCATTGATTTTTGGAAGGGTTTTTTGTGTCTCTGTCTCCTCCAGTTCTGCTCTGATCTTAGTTATTTCTTGCCTTCTGCTAGCTTTTGAATTTGTTTGCTCTTGCTTCTCTAGTTCTTTCAATTGTGATGTTAGGGTGCCAACTTTAGATCTTTCCTGCTTTCTCCTGTGAGCATTTAGTGCTATAAATTTCCCTCTACACACTGCTTTAAATGTGTCCCAGAGATTCTGGTATGTTGTCTCTTTGTTCTCATTGGTTTCAAAGAACATCTTTATTTCTGCCTTCATTTCGTTATGTACCCAGTAGTCATTCAGGAGCAGGTTGTTCAGTTTCCATGTAGTTGAGTGGCTTTGAGTTTCTTAATTCTGAGTTCTAGTTTGATTGCACTATGGTCTGAGAGATAGTTTGTTATAATTTCTGTTCTTTTGCATTTGCTGAGGAATGCTTTACTTCCAACTATGTGGTCAATTTTGGAATAAGTGCAGTGTGGTGCTGAGAAGAATGTATATTCTGTTGATTTGGGGTGGAGAGTTCTGTAGATGTCTATTAGGTGTGCTTGGTGCAGAGTTGAGTTCAATTCCTGGATATCCTTTTAACTTTCTGTCTTGTTGATCTGTCTAATGCTGACAGTGGGGTGTTAAATTCTCCCATTATTATTGTGTGGGAGTTGAAGTCTCTTTGTAGGTCACTAAGGACTTGCTTTATGAATCTGGGTGCTCCTATATTGGGTGCATATATATTTAAGATAGTTAGCACTTCTTGTTGAATTGATCCCTTTACCATTATGTAATGGCCTTTGTCTCTTCTGATCTTTGCTGGTTTAAAGTCCATTTTATCAGAGACTAGAACTGCAACCCCTGCCTTTTTTTGTTTTCCATTTGCTTGGTAGATCTTCCTCCATCCCTTTATTTTGAGCCTAGGTGTGTCTCTGCATGTGAGACGGATTTCCTGAATACAGCACACTGATGGGTCTTGACTCTTTATCCAAGTTGCCAGTCTGTGTCTTTTAATTGGAACATTTAGCCCATTTACATTTAAGGTTAATATTGTTATGTGTGAATTTGATCCTGTCATTATGATGTTAGCTGCTTATTTTGCTCATTAGTTGATGCAGTTTCTTCCTAGCATTGATGGTCTTTACAATCTGACATGTTTTTGCAGTGGCTGGTACTGGTTGTTCCTTTCCATGTTTAGTGCTTCCTTCAGGAGCTCTTTTAGGGCAGGCCTGGTGGTGCCGAAATCTCTCAGCATTTGCTTGTCTGTAAAGGATTTTATTTCTCCTTCACTTATGAAGCTTAGTTTGGCTGGATATGAAATTCTGGGTTGAAAATTCTTTTCTTTGAGAATGTTGAATATTGGCCCCCACTCTCTTCTGGCTTGTAGAGTTTTTACCAAGAGATCTGCTGTTAGTCTGATGGGGTTCCCTTTGTGGGTAACCTGACCTTTCTCTCTGGCTGCCCTTAACATTTTTTCCTTCATTTCAACTTTGGTGAATCTGACAATTATGCATCTTGGAGTTGCTCTTCTTGAGGAGTATCTTTGTGGCATTCTCTGTATTTCCTGAATTTGAATGTTGGCCTGCCTTGCTAGGTTGGGGAAGTTCTCCTGGATAATATGCTGCAGAGTGTTTTCCAACTTGGTTCCATTCTCCCTGTCACTTTCAGGTACACCAATCAGACATAGATTTGGTCTTTTCACATAGTCCCATATTTCTTGGAGGCTTTGTTCATTTCTTTTTATTCTTTTTTCTCTAAACCTCTCTTCTCACTTCATTTCATTCATTTGATCTTCAATCACTGATACCCTTTCTTCCAGTTGATCGAATTGGCTACTGAAGCTTGTGCATTCATCACGTAGTTCTCATGCCATGGTTTTCAGCTCCATCAGGTCCTTTAAGGACTTCTCTGCATTGGTTATTCTAGTTAGCCATTCGTCTGATCTTTTTTCAAGGTTTTTAACTTCTTTGCAATGGGTTCGAACTTCCTCCTTTAGCTCAGAGAAGTCTGATCATCTGAAGCTTTCTTCTCTCAGCTCGTCAAAGTCATTCTCCGTCCAGCTTTGTTCCGTTGCTGGTGAGGAGCTGCGTTCCTTTGGAGGAGAGGCGCTCTGATTTTTAGAATTTTCAGTTTTTCTGCTCTGTTTTTTCCCCATCTTTGTGGTTTTATCTACCTTTGGTCTTTGATGATGGTGACGTACAGATGGGGTTTTGGTATGGATGTCCTTTCTGTTTGTTAGTTTTCCTTCTAACAGTCAGGATCCTCAGCTGCAGGTCTGTTGGAGTTTGCTGGAGGTCCACTCCAGACCCTGTTTGCCTGGGTATCAGCAGTGGAGGCTGCAGAACAGCAAATATTGCTGAACAGCAAATGTTGCTGCCTGATCGCTCCTCTGGAAGTTTTGTCTCAGAGGGGTACCCGGCCGTGTGAGGTGTCAGTCTGCTCCTACTGGGGGGTGCCTCCCAGTTAAGCTACTCGGGGGTCAGGGACCCATGTGAGGAGGCAGTCTGTCCGTTCTCAGATCTCAAACTCCATGCTGGGAGAACGACTACTCTCTTCAAAGCTCAGTTGGAAATGCAGAAATCACCCGTCTTCTGCGTCGCTCACGCTGGGAGCTGCAGACTGGAGCTGTTCCTAATCGGCCATCTTGGAACCGCCCCCCCTCTCTTTGTCATTTGTATGTCTTCTTTTGAGAAACATCTATTCAGACATTTTGCCCATTTTTAGTTGGATTATTAGATTTTTTCCTATAAAGTTGTTTGAGCTCCTTATATACTCTGGTTATTAATCCCTTGTCAGATGGGTAGTTTACAAATATTTTCTCCCATTCTGTGGGTTGTCTCTTCACTTTGTTGATTGTTTCCTTTGCTGCACCAAAGCTTTTAAACTTGATGTGATCCCATTTGTCCATTTTTGCTTTGGTTGCCTGTGCTTGCAGGTTATTGCTCAAGAAATCTCTGGCCAGAACAATGTTCTGGAGAGTTTCCCCAATGTTTTCTTGTAGTAGTTTCATAGTTTGAGGTCTTAGATTTAAGTCTTCAATCCATTTTATTTGATATTTGTATATGGAGAAAGACAGGGGTCTAGTTTCATTCTTCTGTATATGGATATCCAGTTTTCCAAGCACTATTTATTGAAGAGACTCTCCCAATGTATCTTCTTGGCATCTTTGTCAAAAATGAATTTGCTGCAGATGCATGGATTTGTTTCTGGGTTCTCTATTCTGGTCTATTGGTCTATGTGTCTGTTTTTATGTCAGTACCATGCTATTTTGGTTTCTATAGCTCTTTGTATAATTTGAAGTCAGGTACTGTGATTCTTCCAATTTTGTTTTTGCTAAGGATGGCTTTGGCCATTCTGGGTCTTTTGCAGTTCCACATAAATTTTAGGATGCTTTTTTCTACTTCTGTGAAGAATGTCATTGGTATTTTGATAGAAATTGCATTGAATCTGTAGATTGCTTTGGGTAGTATGAACATTTTAACAATATTGACTCTTCTAATCTATGAATATAGAATATCTTTCCATTTCTTTGTTGTCCTCTTTAACTTCTTTCATCAGTGTCTTATAGTTTTCCTTGTGGAGCTCTTTCACTTCTTTGGTTAATTCCTGAGTATTTAATTTTATTTGTGGCTACTGTAAATGAGATTACTTCTTCTTTTTCAGATTATTCATTGTTGGCATATTCAAATGCTACTGATTTTTGTATCTTGCTTTGCATCCTGCAACTTTACCAAATGTATCAGTTCTAATTGTTTTTTGGTGGGGTTTTCAGGTTTTTCCAAATATAAGATCCTATCATCTGCAAACAAGGATAATTTGATTTCTTCCTTTCCGATTTAAATGTTATTCCTTTCTCTTGTCTGATTGCTCCAGCTAAGACTTCCAGTACTACGTTGAATAACAGTGGTGAAAATGGGCATCCTTGTCTTGTTCTAGATCTTAGAGGAAAGGCTTTCAGTTTCTCCTCACTCAGTATGACATAAGCTGTGGGTCTATTGCATACGGCTTTTATTGTGTTGAGGCTTTTACTGTACTGTTTTATATTGTTCCTTCCGTACCTAGGTTGTTTTTGGGTTTTCATCATGAAGGGATGTTAGATTTTATCAAATGCTTTTTCAGCCTCAATTGAAATGATCATATGGTTTCTGTCCTTTATTCTGTTGATATAATGTATCACATTGATTCACTTGTTTATGTTGAAACATCCTTGCATCCCTGGGATTAATCCCCCTCAGTCAGGTAGAATGATCTTTCTAATGGTATTGTTGAATTTGGTTTGCTAGTATTTTGTTAAGGATTTTTGTGTCAATCTTCATCAGGAATACTGGCCTGTAGTTTTCTTCTTTTAATGTGTCTGTCTGGTTTTGGTATCAGGATACTACTGGCCTCACAGAATAAGTTTGGAAGTATTCCCTCCTCCTCTATTTTATGGAATAGTTTCAGTAGGATTGGTATTAGTACTTTAGATGTTTGGTAGAATTCAGCAGTGAAGCCATCAGGTCCCAGACTCTTCTTTACTGGGAGACTTTTATAATGGCTTCAATCTTGGTACTTGTTATTATTCTGTTTAGGCTTTGGATTTCTTCCTGGTTCAATCTTGGTAGGTTGCACGTGTCTAGGAATTTGTGCATTTCCTCTAGATTTTCCAATTTTTTGGCATATAGTTGCTGATAGTAGCCCTTAATGCTCCTTTGAATTTCTGAGATATTGGTTGTAATATCTCCTTTTTCATCTGATATTACCTATTTGGATCTTTATCTTCTTAGTTAAATCTACCTAAAGGTCTGTCAATTTTATCTTTTCAAAATACCAATTTATCATTTCACTGATCTTTTGGAGTCTTCATTTCAATTTCAATTATTTGTGCTCTGATCATTATTATTTTTCTTCTAATAATTTTGGATTTGGTTTACTCTTGCTTTTCTAGTTCTTTCTGTCTTTTTTTTTTTTTTTTTTTTTGTGAGACAAAGTTTTGCTTTGTTGCCCAGGCTGGAGTGCAGTGGCACAATCTCAGCTCACTGCAACCTCTGCCTCCCAGGTTCAAGCAATTCTCATGCCTCAGCCTGCTAAGTAGCTGGGATTACAGGTGCCTGCCACCACGCCAGGCAGATTTGTTATTTCAGTGGAGACGGTGTTTCACCGTATTGCCCAGGCTGGTCTTGAACTCCTGAGCTCAGGCAATCCTCCCATCTCGGCCTCCCAAAGTGGCTTTTCTTGTTCTTTAAGATGCATTGTTAGATGTTTATTTGGAGTTTTTCTTCTTTTTTTGATGTAGGTACTTACAGCTAAAATTTCCCTAATATTTTTGCTGTATCCCACAGGTTTTGGTATATTGTGTTTCCATTATCATTTGTTTCAAGAAATGTTTCAATTTAAAGAAATTCTTGTACATATTTCTAGAGTTCTTTGTCTATCCACGTCTTTCTTCCATTACTCTGCCCCACAAATTTAAGTTATGTAAAAATTAACCTCCCCAAATTCCAAGTTTTGTCTCCTTAACTCACGGAGACCTCTAAGCACTACTTGGCTTCCCCTACCAGAGTCTGGAAATTGCTTCAGCCAGAAAACCAGGACACTCCCTAGGGCTCACCTTCTTTGTTCTACTTCATTCAGGCATCATAGGCCCACAGTGCCCAAAGTCTAATATCTGAAAACAGTGGTTTCACATATTTTGCCACATTTTCTAATTGTTTATAGGGGAGATGAAATTCCAACAATACCTCACTCACAGTTGGTCACAAAACTCTCCTTCCATGGAGTTTTTAGAAGTAGACTGGGTTCGTTTTTAATTTTACTTTTTTTTTATTTTCGAGACAAGAGTCTTGCTCTGTAGCCCAACCATGCAACGGCACGATCTTGGCTCACTGCAACCTCTGCCTCCTGTGTTCAAGCGATTCTCCTGCCTCAGCCTCCCAAGTAGCTGGGATTAAGGTGCACGCCACCACACCTGGCTAATTTTTGTATTTGTAGTGGAGATAGGGTTTCACCATGTTGGCCAGGCTGGTCTTGAACTCCTGACCTCAAGTGATCCACCTGCCTCGGCCTCCCAAAGTGCAGGGATCACAGGCATGAGCCACCATGCCCAACTGGTTTTTCATTTTTATAGTAATCTGTTCCCTGAAGATATTTCTAACAAGTCTTTTATTTCTTTACAGTGACATAGTGGTTTCTTACTCTATCTGGTAATCCTAATACCTGATGTCACAGTGGATTAATTTCTCCTGTCATTTTCCCTGCTCTCTCTCATAATAGCTTATTTATATTCTTGCTGGACTTTTTTTTCTAGGCTACTCTAATTTAAAAATTATTTTTTTTAAAAAGTACAAAATAAAATTAAAATAAATAAGTTCTGTTGAGGAAGGTCATGTCTGTTTGGGATTTAATTCCCTACAGACTCTGGTAGCAGATTTTTCAAGATTATACAATTGTTGAGACTTTTGGCACATCAGCCTAGACCTTGACTCTAAACTCACCTGTTGCTGGGCGTGGTGGCTCACGCCTGTAATCCCAGCACTTTGGGAGGCTGAGGCAAGTGGATCACCTGAGGTTAGGGGTTTGAGACCAGCAACATGGCAAAACCCCATCTCTACTAAAAATACAAAAATTAGCTAGGTGTGGTGGCACACACCTGTAATCCCAGCTATTGGGAGGCTGAGGCATCAGAATCACTTGAACCCGGGAGATGGAGGTTGCAGTGAACAGAGACTGCACCACTGCACTCCAGCCTGGGCATAGAGTGACGCTCTGTCTCAAAATAAATAAATAAATAAATGTACCTGCTTTGTCCTCATGAGATCACTGGAGAAAGCATGAGTAAACTTCACATTATTCAGAAATATACCAGCAGCTGCTGCTTGTTTAAATCCAGTTTCTGAAAGAGGTTCATCTACTCCTTGTCCTGTGATATATTAAGAAGAGGAACAATAACATTCAAAACTACATATCAGAGATGTATAAATCACATGTAGAAAATATAAGCTGCATTTATCTAAATTTTAATGAAAGATTTTTTAAGTACTCTTCCACGTAACTTTTCAGGGAGTTATTAGCAAGTAAAAATAAGTTTTAAGTCTTTAAAGGCTCAGGTATTCAATTATTTTCCAAAAGAATGCTTGCCTAATGGGAATTAGGTGATGATGAGATAGAAATGTCTTAGCTTTTCCCTCTTTTATGTTTGCCCCTCTCTTCATTAATTGGCTCTGATCTTACAGGTACTGTGTTGGGGCGGTAGGACCATCATCTAAAAGTTTTTTCCTTCTTTATTCCCATCATCCAAATGCTCAGTATTATAATGGTATTACTTTTCCTCTTTCCTTCCTCCCTCCATTTCTTTGTCTTTTTCATTTTAAAAATGCTTTGAAACCTCTATTTCCAGGATAACGGTTGGCTGGACACTCTGAAGGGACCTCCTACTAAAGATCTAAATGGTGTATGTGTGTGAGTGTGTGTGTGTGTGTGTGTGTGTGTGTGTGTGTGTGTGTGTGTGTGTGCTGCATTGCTGGGCCCACAGAACATACAAAAAATCTCCAAGGGACAAAGTAAAGCAACCCCAAAGCCCTGAGCTGAACTGTGAATACCGACATGAAAAAAATGAAGGTGGTGGACTATGAGGACACGCTGGTGGGGCTGGGAGAGGAGGCCTGCTGGAGGGGACGGCAAGCGGGAGGACTAAACACAACATTCTTGGGAGCGAGGGCTCCTGTAAGGAGACTTAATGCAGCCTCAGGCCTGTGGTAAAATAAAATGCAAATCCTTTTCAGAGCAAAGCATTCTCAAAAGAGGCTAACAGGTTTTCCACTAATTTAGAACAAATAATTGTTTAGCCAAAGATTCAACACACAAGAAAATAATCTACCATAAACCAAAGCCACCCATCAAGACTTCAGACATTGAAATCAGCAAATAGGGAATTTACAATAACTATGAATAAAACATAAAGACAGAGTCACAAAAATAAGCAAGTAACAGTAAGCATCAAAAATAAGTAGACAATTTTCTAAAATAACCAAATAGATCTTTTAATAATAAAAATCAGGATTGCTGGGGGCTGGAGGGCCCCTCAATGGATAAACAGAGATTCAGATGAAAGGAGGTTTAATGAACTCAAAGACAGAGCAGAAGATATTACCCAGTACACGGCACAGATACAAGGAGATAGAGCATAGCTCAGATATATTAGAGTTCTAAAGGAAAGAATGAGAACTCCTAACGATGCCTTGTCTTAGTTGCTGTAACAAAGTACTACAGACTGGGTGACTTGTTAACAACAGATATTTATTTCTCACAGTTCTGGAGGCTGGAAGTTTGAGATGAGGGTACCATCATGGTTGGGTTCTGGTGAGGGCCTCTCCACATTACACGCTACTGACTTCTCCTTCAGTGCTCCCATGGCACAAAGAGGAAAGAGCTCTCTGGTGTCTCTTGAATAAATTCCATTCATGAGGGCTGCACCCTTGTGACCTAATAACCACCCAAAGACCCCACCTCCTAATGTCATCATATTGGGAGTTATGATTTCAACATGTAACTTTTGGGAAGAAAAACATTCAGTCTATAACATGCATCTAATTGGAACTCTAAAGGAATAAAAAAAAAAAAATGGCCGGGCATGGTGGCTCACGCCTGCAATCCCAGCACTTTGGGAGGCTGAAGGGGGTGGATCACTCGAGGTCAGGAGTTCAAAGTCAGACTGGCCAACATGGCGAAATCCTGTCTCTACTAAAAATACAAAATTAGCTGGGCATGGTGGAGCACGCCTGTAATCCCAGCTACTTGGAAGGCTGAGGCAGGAGAATCACTTGAGCCCAGGAGGCGGAGGTTGCAGTGAGTCAAGATCACACCACTGCACTCCAGCCTGGGCAACAAGAGTGAAACTCCGTCTCAAAAAAATAAAAGAACAGAAAAAATGAAGGAGAGGAATATGAAAAGAAAATAGCTAAGAATTTCACAGAATAAGAAAACACATGTACATCAAGCAGGATACATTAAAAAAAAAATTCCTCCTAGATATATTATGAGAAACTAAAGAATATCAAAATTGAAGAGTTTAAAGGAAGTTACAGAGAAAGACATATTTCCTACCATGGAACACCATTTAGCTGATAGAAATCTCTTAACAGGAAAAATGGAACCAAAACTGCAGAATGCTATCTTCCAAGTGCTGAGAGAATCATCAGTTACAAGTGTGTACCGACTGAAGCCACTATGTTTACCACCAGCTGCTCTACACACACTAGAGGACTTTTCAAAGAACGTACTTCAGGAATGGTCTGAGACGAAAACAAATGAGGAGCAGAGAAACTTGCAAATATATTCATAAATTTAAATGCCATCTAAACAAATGAAGATAATAATGTCTACCTCAAGCAATTAAAAAAAGACAGGACTAAGCGACTAGACAAGTTCTTTGTATTTTTTGGAAGAGGGGATATTAATATTATACTTTATTAGGTATTGTCAGAGTAAATGTGTCCCCCCAAAATTCAAATGTTGACATCCTAACCCTCAATGTGATCGTATTAGGAGGCAGGCCTTTGGGAGGTGATTAGATCCTAGGGTGGAGCCCTCATGAACAGGATTAGTGTCCTTATAAGTGTTCTCAATCTATCTCTCTGCCATGTGAGGATATTAACCAGAAGACAGCAGTCCGCAAACCAGGAATCAGGTCCTCCACAGACACTGGATCTGCTGGCACCCTGATCTTGGAATTCACAGTCTCTAGAACTGTGTATTGTTTAAGCCACTGGGTCCATGATACTCTGTTACAGCAGCCTTGGCTAAGACAGGTATGAGGGTAAGAATTTTAAGATAACCTTGAAAAGAATGGAAATGGTACATCATTTGAAAGGTAGTGGGGAAAGTAAGAAAGTGTGGAACAGGAAAAAAACCAAGAACTTAAGAAGTAAAAGCAGGTAAGATTAAAAAAAGAAAGACTATAAAAAGAAGGGGAAAAAAAAAACAAAGAAAAAAAATCGAAACACATCAGTGACCAGAATAAAGGCAAACAGTCACTACTGCCAGTTAAAAGACAGATTCTAGGCCAAGCGTGGTGGCTCACGCCTGTAATCCCAACACTTTGGGAGGCCAAGGCAGATGGGTCACCTGAGGTCAGGAGTTTGAGACCTGCCTGGCCAACATGGTGAAACCCCGTCTCTACTAAAAATACAAAAATTAGGCCAGGCGCGGTGGCTAACGCCTGCAATCCCAGCACTTTGGGAGGCCGAGGTGGGTGGATCACCAGGTTAGTTCGAGACCAGCCTGACCAATGTGGTAAAACCCCGTCTCTACTAAAAATACAAAAACTAGCCGAGCCTGGTAGTGTGCACCTGTAATCCCAGCTACTCAGGAGGCTGAGACAGGAGAATCGCTTGAACCCGGGAGGTGGAGGTTGCAGGAGCCGAGATCACGCCATTGCACTCCAGCCTGGGCAACAGAGTGAGACTCCGTCTCAAAATAAATAAATAAATAAAAATTTAAAAAATGAGCCAGGTGTGGTGCCGGGAACCTGTAATCCCAGCTACTCGGGAGTCTCGGGCAGGAGAATTGCTTGAACCCGGGAGGCAGAGGTTGCAGTGAGCTGAGATCGCGCCATTGCACTCCACCCTGGGTGACAGAGCAAGACTCTGTCTCAAAAAAAAAAAAAGACAACTTATATATATTTTCAAAAGAGCCAAAATTTAGCTACATACTATTTATGAGATAACACTTAAACATGAGTATACACAAAGAGTGAAAGGAATGAGATGGAAAAATACATACCAGTGAAATTCCATCCCCAAAACAGCTCAAGTAGCTATATTACTGTCAGAAAAATAAGACTTTATGACAAAAGTCTCACTAAGGATTTGGGGACCACTATAAGAAAATCAGTGATCCAATTTACTCAGAAGATGTAATCATTTAAACTTGTATAAGCCTAATAAAGTAACCTCAGTCGATACAAAAGCAGAACATAGAAACCAAAAATGGATAGAATTCCAAGTATTAAAGGGCAAACTGGCCACTGCAGCAGGAAATTAAAAATACTGCACTCATAAATTGATATTTAGGACATGCAGGCAAACTAGTGCATTTATAAAGCTAATAAAGTGTGTAAGATTTGAAAAACAAAATCAAGAAGGCTGATTATTTTATATATAATTCCAGTCCCAACAATGACGGATTATACATTTTTCTGAAGCATACAATGGAAGAATTATAAAAACTGACCATAATTAACACATTTCAAAGAAGTATCATCAAATAAACCATACTGACAGAACACAAAAGCATTTATAATGGAAGTCACTCAATGGGAATTGAAAATACTTGGTGCTGAATGCTTACCACATTACCACGTGTCAAAACTACGGGCATGCAAACAAAAACAGTACTTAGGAATATATAAGCCTTGAGGCCGCGTGCGGCGGCTCAGGCCTGTAATTCCAGCACTTTGGGATGCTAAGGCAGGCATATCAACTGAGGTCAGGAGTTCAAGACCAGCCTGGCCAACATGGCAAAACACCACCTCTACCAAAAATACAAAAATTAGCTGGGCATGGGGGCACGTGCCTGTAATCCCAGCTACTCAGGAGGCTGAGACATGAGAAATCGCTTGAACCTGGGAGGCGGAGGTTGCAGTGAGCCGAGTTCGCACCACTGCACTCCAGGTTGGGCGGCACAGTGAGACCCTGACTCAAAAAAAAAAAAAAAAAAAAAAGAAATACATGAGCCTTGAATGCTTATACACAAAAGGCTGTAACTTAAAGAACTAAAGCATCCAACTGACAAGGTCAGGAAAAGAACACAAAAACTTTCTTGACGTTCCATTGTCAATGTCTTAGGAAAAAGAGAAATGAGCAATACCAAAGGCCAGGTGGTAAGAGGCTTCAGTCCAGAGGATAACCTGGGTGGGGCATATTTCGTCTGAAAACAAAGGTTCCTTTGAGAATCAGACCAGTTATTGTCCATAAAAGGGAGTCAGGCACACGGAATATGAAAATCAGTTTTTGTAAACCCCGGAAGTCCCTAACCAAAAAAATAAAACTAAATGCTTTTATAATCACAGCACAGAAATAGCATGTCTAGCCAAAAGTTCAAGATATTCTTAAAAAGCCAGACTAGCTGGATCACAGGGCAAATAAAAGATCTGAGTCCAAATTAACAGAAAAAGGGAGAAAGAATCTCTTCAGAATAAAGTAACGACCACATGTGAAAATAGTTCTTTTTTTAAACCTTTATTACTACTAAAATTAAAATAACCATCTTAGCAGAAAAAAATACCATTAACACCAGTCAGTAAACTTCATGTTTCCAAATATAAAATAATTTCAAATCCAGACATTTATATTTTAAGACACCCAGACCCAATATAATTAATCAGCTGACAGAGCCACTTTGAAGCCATACATAAAGAATAACTTGGAGACCTGTACTTCACACCCAGTTCACTTGAGAGATTTATTCCTCCTGGTTACTAACAGCCCTGATCATATTTCTGTGGTTATGATGCTTTGATTCTGTAATCCCAATTCACAATGGAGTGCTGCCCCCAGTCTACCCCACCCCACCAAATCTGCTTAACTCACACATCTTATTAACACAAGGGTGAGAGCTAAAATAACAATCGGATTATACCAACCTTGGATTATTTTCTCCTTGTTAAATCTTGTTTCTCCACTAAAATAGAAAGAGAAGGACAACCTTATTAGCCAAATTATACTGTTTTTGAGAGGAGGAAAAAAATGAGCAATCAAGTGTGGTGATACTCTAAAAATATCATGTGAAACTTGTAACACACTTCATAATCCAACCTGTAAAAACAATTTATTCTAAACTAATATTTGCAATTGTCTTCTTTAATGAAGAGCTAAGAATTTCAAACTACTCCAAACTAAAACGTGTAGATCAGGAACCAATCTTAAGTGAATTGCAGGTGGAAAATCCTACTAAAAAATATAATGCAAATAACATTTCAGCCAAATAATTTTGTTAAAAGAAATATATTGATCAAAACTACTCTTACTGGCAGCAGGAACAAAAACGTGAGAGTCAGTCTATTCATTGCTGGACTGAATGAGCAAGTGAAAGAGAATCTGAATGGAATGGGAGAGACGTGCACAAACCTTCAGAACCCCCTGCCTTCTCTTAGTTCCTAGGTCTTCAGCAGTTATTTTTTGTAGTACTGACAGCTATCTCGCAGACCAACTAACTGCACACTGAACTGAGGTTTGAGTACTACACTTTTAAAAACTAAAATACCAAAACAAATCAAAGCAATCTGAACCAACCGGAAGGGTAAAAGAACTGGAAACTTTGTCAGAAAATAACTGGGGTTACTGAGGCTGGAGGGGGAAAAGGGCGGGAAGTGCATGGGCAAGACTGGACAGACAGCAGGATAGGTTAACAATAATGCAACTTTCAAATACATGAAAAGTAGAATCAAAGAGAATTCAGCTGAAATTTCTTTGAGCACTAATTAAATGTTTGCTGACCCAACCTACCACTAGAATTGCTGGGCCATAAGGTATGCAAATACCAGCTTTATTAGGTAATGCCAGTGTCATAGCAGGTTACACCACCCTGTAGTGTGGTGTACCACCCTCAACAAGATTCAGTGATGGAAGGTTTCTTCAATTTGTACCAATCTGGTACCTGAACAATTCATCTCACTTTAATTTTAATTTGCATTTCCTTGATTTCGATGGAAAATGATCGCTCCATTGTTTTTAAGTGAAGCACTAGTTTATAATAATTAAAATGTCACATAGGACTGATTTACTCAGATCTAGAAAAAAAAATCTACCAGACCTGGAAGTCAGAATCACAAACTCAGGCCTCATCCTGGAATCTTGCCGCTTGTTTACAAAAACAGCTGTATGCCAACCTCTGCCAAGATACAGATTGCTGGATTTGGCCAATATGAATGTTCTTTAAGACCCAACACAAGACTGGTTCTTTTAGGTAGTCTCCCTCCCCAGTACCATTCCCCATCTACCTACTCTATTTAATACCCACACTCTATACTCCCATGGTCCCCTGGCACTACCAACATAAGTTTTCATCTGTGTGCTAATTGACTTTTTAGCTCTGTGTCTATCCTGGCTCCAGTTCCTTAAAGGCACAAGCAGGGATTGCATACCCTCAACATGCCCAGGGCCTGGAGAAAATGCTGGGAAATGACAGAACTTCAGTGAATGTGCTTTTACCTAGGGAGGGTCATCTGGAAATACCTATCAAAATGACAAATCTGTTTACCCTTTTATCCAATAACCCAATTACTGGGAATAACTGAATTCACTCATATTTAAAAGATTATTTGTGGCCAGACGTGGTGGCTCATGCCCGTAATTCCAGCACATTGGGAGTCCGAGGTGGGTAGATCACGATGTCAGGAGTTCAAGCCCAGCATGGCCAAGATGATGAAACCCCATCTCTACTAAAAATACAAAATTTAGCCATGCGTGGTGGCGGGCGTCTGTAATCCCAGCTACTCGGGAGACTGAGGCACAAGAATTGTTTAAACCCGGGAGGCAGAGGTTGCAGTGAGCTGCAATCACACCACTGCACTCCAGTATGGGTGAGAGAGCAAGACCCTGTCTCACAAAAAAAAAAAAAAAAAAAAAAAAAAGATCATTAGCTACAGTATTATTTCTAATAGCAACAGATTATAAACAACCCAAATGTCCATAACTCATTCCTTAACTATGGCCAGAATAACCATTATTTATATTAACAAATAAACAGTGACATATCTACCTAATGGAATCCTATGTAAATGTGTCCTTTAAAGAGAGAGATTATATGTAAAGATATGGAATGCTCACCAAGATATATGATTAAGTAGAAAAAGCAGGGTATAGAGTAATATAAAAAGAAAGCTACCCTTTTAGAAAGGAGGGAAATAAACATCTGGATCTGCACAAAGAAACAATGGAAGGATAAACATGAAACTAATAAATGTGGCCACCTATTGGTTGGGGGAAGAATAGGAAGACTACGGAGAATTGTTTTGATTTCTAAATATGTAGATGTATTAGCTTAAAAAATAAACGTATGATAAAGAAATAAAATTACACAGAACTGGCCAGGCACGGTGGCTCACGCCTGTAATCCCAGCACTTTGGGAGGCCGAGGTGGGCAGATCACGAGGTCAGGAGTTCGGGACCAGCCTGGCCAACAAGGTGAAACTCCGTCTCTGATAAAAATACAAAAATCAGCCAGGCATGGTGGTGAGTGCCTGTAGTCCCAGCTACTCGGGAGGCTGAGGCAGAAGAATCGCTTGAACCTGGGAGGTGGAGGTTGCAGTGAGCCAAGATCATGCCACTGCACTTCAGCCTGGGCAACAGAGCAAGACTCTGTCTCCAAAAAAAAAAAAAAATACATGGAACTATTTATACCTTGGTAAAAAACCAACAGCACTGATTTGCCATTATCATTGTTGTTAATATTAATAAAAGATTACCTAGGCCACATGCAGTGGCTCATGCCTGTAATCCCAGCACTTTGGGAGGCCAAGGAGGGCAGATCACCTGAGGTCAGGAGTCCGAGACCATCCTGGCCAACATGGTAGAATCCTGTGTCTACTAAAAATACAAAAATTAGCCAGGCGTGGTGGCAGGCACCTGTAATCCCAGCTATTCGGGAGGCTGAGGCAGGAGAATGACTTGAACCCAGGAGGTGGAGGTTGCAGTGAGCCAAGATCATGCCATTGCACTCCAGCCTGGGCGACAAAAGCAAGACCTCATCTCAAAAAAAAAGATTTCCTACACTCCAAAATTCATTCAGAATCTTATAAAATGGGCATGAAAGAGGATATTAGCCTCTACCATTCAGATGGATAAAGCAGAAGCATTCAGGGCAAACATGGGGAACCTGTCATTTTTAATCTAGAAAATAGTTACCATGTATTGGATTCACTTCCTGTCTCAGCCTCAAAATCTTGCTGAGACCAAGAATAAAATATCTGTTATTTCAATATAAGTAACATCCTCGGCTGGGCGCGGTGGCTCATGCCTGTAATCCCAGCACTTTGGGAGGCCGAAGCAGGCGGATCATGAGGTCAGGAGTTTGAGACCAGCCTGGCCAATATGGTGAAACCCCGTCTCTACCAAAAATACAAAAATTAGCTGGGCGTGGTGGTGTGTGCCTGTAGTCCCAGCGACTCGGGAGGCTGAGGCAGAAGAATCGCTTGAACCCAGGAGGCGGAGGCTGCAGTGAGCCGAGATTGCGCCCTCAAAAACAAAACAAAACAAGTAACATCCTCGCTAGACAGTGGCTTGTAGCCCTTAATTTAAACCTGGCCTAAAACTGCCTCCATGCCTAGGGAGCTGTCACCTAACTTAATATGCACACAAACTACAACATAATTTGAGAGTATATTCCTGTAATAAAAACCAAGTCTCAGCCAACCATGCATGGCAGCTGAGCTTTCAGCCAATTATGGGCTGCAAACTGCTCAGACATGTCCTAATAAGGCAAAGCAGAGCTGTATCCAATCAGGCTATCTCTATATGTCACATCCTTTCTTTCTTTTTTTTTTTTTTTTTCTGAGATGGGGTCTCACTCTGCAGCCCAGGCTGGAGTGCAGTGGTGTGATCTCGGCTCACTGCAATCTCCAACTCCAGGATTCAAGCGATTCTCCTGCTTCAGCCTCTCAAATAGCTGGGATTACAGGCAAGCGCCACCACGCTCAGCTAATTTTTGTATGTTTAGTAGAGACATGGTTTCACCATGTTGGCCAGGCTGGTCTCTAACTCCTGACCTAAGGTGATCCTCCTGCCTCGGCCTCCCAAAGTGCTGGGATTATAGGTGCGAGCTACTGCGCCTGGCCATGTCACTTCCTTTCTCTGTCTATAAATACTGCCTGCCTATGTCACTGGGTGAGCACTCTGAAGCTTTACTGGTTCAGGTGCTGCCTGATTTATGATTCATTTCTTTGCTCAAATAAACTAAGTCTAATTTGTCTAAAGTTTTTCTTTTTATAGGTTGCTAACACAATTTCCAGCCAAAGCCAAAGAAGCACCCTCATTTTGAAATGAGGGGTGAGAAGAAATTTAATAATTTGCCAACCAAGAAATCATGCAAGAGCCACCAAAAAAACTCAGAATTTACAAATCACAGAAATTTGGCAGAGATGATTACTTTTTGTATACTTGCTGAAGAGTAACTCAGCATTTTTATTTAATCAAAGTAGATAATGAAAGATTCAAATTAAAATAAAGGTTTACACTGTCAAAATGTCATTTTATAAAAAATGGAATCCCAGAAATTTGATAGTTTCATAAAAGTACTGCCCCACCATCTAACGATTTTCAGTGAAAGCAGCATAACCACTGTGATATAATGAAGGACTCATTTAGCCATATATCAACAGAGGCTGCTGTAGACTCAATAGTATTATTAACAATCACAGCATTCAGTTTAGTTCTATTTGGCATTTTTGCGTTCAAATCACTTTATAAATATTAAAGAGTAGGAATCCAAAAATAGATTTTTTTCCAAAAGCTTTCATAAATATTTAGTTGTACAGCTTTTATCAGCTTTATTAAGAGGTTTATATAAATCCTTGAAGTAACTGTTTAATTAGTACGTTTGGGGAATGGGAAAGGAAACTTGATGGCTAAAACAGTTTTACTATTAATCTATTTCCCTTAACCAAGTCTGACTTGTGATAGCAGCAGAGAAGGTGAACGGAGCTGAAAGGTCAGAGGGATATATTTTGAAGGAGTCAGGAATAACACCACTCATTTTCAAAATCTGCAGTGTGGTCCATTTCCAAAACAGAAACCTGACTCTGCAGGAATCCGAGTGCTTCTGCCAAGATGTTAAGTCTTAGGATCAGCCATTTATAGGCCCTACAAATATACATCATTCATTTTGTAGGTTATCTCACAGTTCTTAAAAGACATTATATCTTGTTAGCCTGGATTTATACGCTGCAGCATTTCTTCAAAAATCATACAGAAACCTCAATTTCCCTTAATTCCATTTAAGGAATTCAAATTCAACACACAATACTCAGCGTGCTACAAAGGAGGAACAAATCATGGGAAAGCTGTTCTTTAGTGTAAATGAAAATGTAAACCCTCACCTGATATCACGAATACAGCTTAGTCCTAATTCCTTTACACTAATACATTCATTTGCAAATATAGAAGATTTCAAGAGCTAGTAACACAAGACTTTTGGTGGTCTTTCTTTTTTTTTTTTTTTTTTGAGACGAGTTTTACTCTTGTTGCCCAGGCTGGAGTGCAACGGCGCAATCTGGGCTCACTGCAACCTCTACCTCCCGGGTTCAAGAGATTCTCCTGCCTCAGCCTCCCGAGTAGCTGGGATTACAGGCGAGTGCCACTACGCCCAGCTAATTTTTTGTATTTTTAGTAGAGACGGGGTTTCACCATGTTGACCAGGCTGGTCTTGAACTCCCGGCCTCAGGTGATCCACCCGCCTCGGCCTCCCAAAGTGCTGGGATTGCAGGACTTTCGGCTGTCTTTGATCTTTATAAAGTATCTGTACAAGGTATCTTTATACTTTTATAGAGCATTAAAATTTTATAAAAGTATTAGCTTTATAAAAATACTAAATTACAGATGAGCTAATAGTATTTTGCTTGCTTTATTAATATACAGAACAATTATTAGCATTACACAAAAAGTAACTGCCAATAAAAGTACAGTAAGAAAAATCAGTTTTGCTATCAGTAACTTTACTAATTCGGCCAGGTGGGGTGGCTCACGCCTGTAATCCCAACACTTTGGGAGGCCGAGGCAGGCGGATCACCAGAGGTCGGGAGTTCGAGACCAGCCTGACCAAAATGGAGAAACCCCATCTCTACTAAAAGTACAAAAGTAGCCAGGCATGGTGGCACATGCCTGTAATCCCAGCTACTCCGGAGGCTGAAGCAGGAGAATCGCTTGAACCCGGGAGGCGGAGGTTGTGGCGAGCGGAGATCATGCCATTGCACTCCAACCTGGGTGACAAGAGTGAAACTCCGTTTCGTCAAAAAAAAAAAAAAGCAAAAACAAAAAAACTTTACTAATTCATTTTTAAATCATTAAAAGTATATTAAATTTAGTTTGCCAAAAAATTTTAAAGCTTTACGAGCTGCCTAAAAATGGAAGTGAACTTTTCTGAGGATCCGACAAGATGGCCGAGGTAGAGCAGAAGAAGCGGACCTTCCGCAAACTCACCTACCGCGGCACAGACTTGGACCAGCTGCGGGACGGGACGTGTCCTGCGAGCAGCTGACGCAGCTGTACAGTGCGTGCCAGCGGCCGCAAGTGAACCCGGGCCTGCGGCGGAAACAGAACTCGCTGCTGAAGCGCCTGCGCAAGGCCAAGAAGGAGGCACCGCCCATGGAGAAGCCGGAAGTGGTGAAGACGCACCTGCGGGACATGATCATCCTGCCCAAGATGGTGGGCAGCATGGTGGGCGTCTACAACGGCAAGACCTTCAACCAGGTGGAGATCAAGCCGGAGATGATCAGTCACTACCTGGGCGAGTTCTCCATCACCTATAAGCTGGTGAAGCACTGCCGGCCCGGCATCGGGGCCACCCACTCCTCCCGCTTCATCCCCCTCAAGTAGTGGCTCAGCTAATAAAGGCACACATATTTCCAAAAAAAAAAAAAAAAAGGAAGTTAAATGGATGGTTTTGCCGGGGACTCACTGCAAACACCTACAACATTCCAAGGAACCAGACCCTTCAGTAGTGCTGGATAGGTGATGGTAATGCCAACCTACACGTGTTGGAGTTTTCAACAATGCTGTGCCATAAGCTCATGAGAAGTTATAGTCTGACAATGATGATAGACTTGAATTCTGGAATCTTGGGCAGTCTGTTCCAGAAATGATACACACTGGTACTTTCATTTCAAAGTATGAAGAAAGATAAACCACATACAGGAACAGCACAAGATTCCTAACAGGTTCTGTTGAACTTAAATTGCTTTAAAGATTTTTTTGCATTATCTGAAGAGGTAAGTCCAATAAAATTATCTAACTCTTCAAAAAGTCATTACATTTAACTATGGTGATAATGAGTCAAATTTAAAAATCACTTCTTTTCCTGAAAGAATCACCAGGTTTTGGTTTTGAGAACTCTGAAGGCAAGAAGCAGGAGGATCCAGACCGGAAAGCATTGAACCAGCCCTCTCACTCCATCTTCCTACACATAAAACAGAACAAAATAAACTATTGTCATAACTCCACACAATTATATTAAGAGACTAAAAAGTAGCCTCAAAAATGGCTGGTGATGTTCAAGTAATCTACAAATACCGGGTTTTAACAAATTAAGTAGGAAACAAAAGACGGTGAGTGGTAAAGTTGCTTTGGTTAAACTCCTACTTCCTCAACTTGCCATGTGACTTTAAGCAAGTTACAAGGCGTCTCTGTCTCAGCTGCCTCATGTGAAAAATGAGGATATCAGTCCTTAACTCACTAAACTGTCAGATTTTAATTACAACAGTGCCTGGCAAATAATCATTTATTAAGACTTATTTTTTAAATGATTCCTATGAGGGCCTCCGGAATCAAACCCTTTTTAAGCAGCAGAAAGGGAATAAAATCCATATTTATATGACTATTGTCTATTAGGAATCTAAATAGGAATCATCTTACTTTTTAGGGGTTGCCTTACCCCAAATATTCTACAACTTCTGAGTTTTCTTTTTTTTCTTTTTGAGACAGGGTCCCACTGTGTCGCTTAGGCTGGGGTGCAGTGGCCCAATCACAGCTCACTACAGCCCTCACTTCCCAGGCTCACATGATCCAAGTGATCTTCCTGCCTCAGCCTCCCTATTAGCTAGGTTCACAGGCATGCACCACCACAGCCAGCTTTTTTTTTTTTTTTTTGTAGAGAGGAGGTTTCACCATGTTGCCCAGGCTGGTCTTGAACTCCTGTGCTCAAGGGATCCACCCACTTCCGCCCCCCAACGTGCTAGGATTACAGGGGTGAACCACCTTGATGGTCTGAGTTTCAATTATAAATATGACACTGGGCTGGCTGGGTCAGGCGTCTAGAAAGTGCACTAACATTGGAAGAAAGGGTGATCAGGCCTCTAGTTCCTGTTCTGCTACCGATTAGCTGTGTGACCTTTAGTAAGTTAAGAATTCTCCCAAGGCATTCTATACAACCGAGAGGGGTGGGAGAAGAGATAGTGAGGAACTAGATTTCTAAGGTAGCCATTAAAATCCTGCTAATCCTAAACAGACAATTTTAGAGGATTCTTAAGATTATCTTTCTTATAAAGGAAGGACAGGCCAGAAAAGATAGCTGTTAAAGTCAATTGACAAAGTTAAATCATATTAATGTCCTTTGTGAGCTCCATGAATGCAGAAATGGTATGTTATTTATCTGTATGATCCAGTCTACTGGCACACATTACCTACTCAAAATGCTGGTGTGCTGAACTATACGTTCGTATTTGGGAATCAACTGCACTTTTATTGGAGCTTTCTTTATAGAAGTTATTTCTCAGATATATTTCTTTCCCTGTTGCATCATACACTTTACCTGTCCCCCATTTAATTCTCGCATTAAAGTAGTGAGATACGCACTATCATTTGCATATCAGGAAACTTAAGTCCAGGCTACCTGGCTCTTAGCTGGAGAACAGACTCCAACCGAGGTCTACCTTGCCTGAAAAATCTGTGCTCTTAGCAGGGCGCGGTGGCTCATGCCTGTAATCCCAACACTTTGCGAGGCCGAGGTAGTCGGATCACTTAAGGTCAGGAGTTCCAGACCTGCCTGACCAACATGGCGAAACCCTGTCTCTACTAAAAATACAAAAATTAGCCGGGCGTGGTGGCGCATGCCTGTAATCCCAGCTACTCGGGAGGCTGAAGCAGGAGAATCGCTTGAACCCCGGAGGCGGGAGGTTGCAGTGAGCAGAGATAGCGCCACTGCACTCCAGCCTGGGTGACAGAGCGAGGCTCCATCTCACAAAAAAAAAAAAATAAAAATAAAAATCTGTGCTCTTAACTACCCTGATTTTCACCTCCCGTTAACACTTGGCAAATACATAAAGACCTATCAGCATGCAGCTCCGTGTAACGTTATGATAATAAAAACATTTATTTGGGATGATACGGTCTGCTGAGATCAGAGCTGTGATCCTCTTTTCTCTCCCAGAACTGTAACCTCTGGGGAAAAGAAAGAAGTCTCATATATGTGCCTGGGGGGCTGACTGCCTGGGGAAACGAGGGGGAACCTCAGAAACTGAGAGGATAGCGGAAGGCAGCCGGCATCAAAAACATCAGCCATGGACGAGCAATTCTGCAAACTCTTTGCAATCTGCTGGGGAGCAAAATCGGTACCCAGACAAGTCTGTGGACATGTCTGGCACCGTTTTTGGTGCAGCCACCAAGTGCCTACGAACCCCGATCCCTTGCTCCTCCGGGCCTCACTTTATCTGAAACACGGAACGAAGCTATCTAAGACCTGCCGTCGTCCCTCGGGGCTGCTGGGGTGAGAGGAGGGGCGACACGGGACGGCCCCAGGGCAAGCGCCCCGGAAAAAGCGCTTCCAAGCCAGCCCTCCCGGGCTGGAGCGAGCAGGGAGGGGAGAGGGTGGTGGACCCGTTTTCCCTTCACCCGCTCCAACACACTCAAGGAAGAGAGAGAGAAAGACATCCTGCCACAGCCATACTCACTGCCGGACAACAGTCAGAGCGAAGCGAGCCATGTTCCCGGAGCCGCGTCCCGTCGGTGGCCCCGCGCCGCGCTGCCCCTGCACTGCGGGCTACCTCCCCCACACCACTTCCGCCAAGCAGCCGGCCGGCTCCGCCGCCATAGGCCGAGGCGGCCTCGCACGTCATCCCCGAAGGCCACTCAGGGCCGGGCGAGGCCGACGGGGCGGGGGAGACGAGGGAGCCACGGGGGCCCCGCCCAGGGCTGCGGCGCTTGCGCCCCTGCGCGCCGGCCTGTGATTGGCGCGCGGCAGGTGCGGGAGGCCCCGCCCGCGGAGTCCGCGGTAGGATTCCTTCCCTCGATAGCCGGCAGCCTGCGTTCGGGGCAGATAAGGAAGCCGGCGCACTGATTTGTGGTTGTTGCGATTGAGGCTGGAATGCAACCGTTCGTCTTATAGCTGGCCACTGTGATGAACCCCTCACGGGTGTACAGCGACCAACAGACTGTGTTCTATGAGGTCTGTTAGTCCCTAACCTTAGGGACGTAGCGTCGGCCAGGTCTGTAGACTTAGACCCACCCACCCCAACTCCGCCGGGACAGACGCCCTCCGTGACCAAACTTTAGTCGGGCTCCTTTGAGGCCTTTTCTATACTAGACGGCATCCTCGGCCTGCTGAGCCTGGTTTTACCAAAGAATCCTGCTAAGCCTGTTTATCAAGAGAGACCTCACTGTTGATGCTCTCTTCTAAGGCCCTTGATATCTAGTAAAGTTCCTCCTCCCCCTCCCCCAGATAGCTTACCACGTTCTGGTAATTTCCCATCTTCTCTTTCATCCCTTCCATCCCGCCCCCTGGCTATAAATCTCCACTGGTCCCGGTTGTATTCTAGAGTCGAATTCAGTCTCTCTCACCTATTGCAGTAGTCTTGAGTAAAGTCTTGCCGTTTTTAACAAGCCTCAGATGAATAATTTCTCTTTAATAGCCTTCAGAACGTTGAGGGAGTTGCTTCATGTTAGATATGAGTTCTAAATTTCTTTTCAAAGAATCAATATGTCAGTATGTTCAATTCTTTGCTTTTTACTTTTAAACTTAACTTCCTCCTAAAGCAACCTTCTCTTTTTTATTTATTTATTTATTTTTTTGAGATGGAGTCTGGCTCTGTCACCCAGGCTGGAGTGCAGTGGTGTGATCTCGGCTCACTGCAAGCTCCGCCTCCCGGGTTCACGCCATTCTGGCTCAGCCTCCCGAGTAGCTGGGACTACAGGCGCCTGCCACCACGCCCGGCTAATTTTTTGTATTTTTAGTAGAGACAGGGTTTCACCGTGTTAGCCAGGATGGTCTCGATCTCCTGACCTCGTGATCCGCCCGCCTCGACCTCCCAAAGTGGTGGGATTACAGGCGTGAGCCACCGCGCCCGGCCACAACCTTTTTCGATTACCTGCTGCACTCTGACTCCTTCCCATTACCTACTCCACCCTGACTCCTTCCCATTACCTACTCCACCCTGACTCCTTCCCATTACCTACGCCACCCTGACTCAGATTACCTGCTCTGTCATAACTGTTTTTCCCGCCAAACCACTCACCCCCATCACTCTCTTTAGATTAGCCAATCGGAATTAGTTTAGCCTGTGCGGTGGGGCACTACACAGCAGCAGGGGCCACGTGCGTCAGGGATAAGAACCCCTTCCCCTCCCTTGTCCAAGTGTGCGCTCACCATTGCTCCATCTGTAAGGACGCACCCTTCTATAGAAGTACCTTGCCTTGCTGAGAATTAAAAAGAAAATTTTATATTCGAGTGCTATTTCTTTTGTGGCACTGAAAGTTTATTTATAACATGAGCTTCTCTAACCCTGGGTTTTGTGACAGGTAAACTGGGATAGCAGTACCTAGCAATGTGACACAAGTAACAATAATGTTAGCTAGGTGACATTGTCTTCCATGCACTGTTACCTAAATTCTTGTATTTCATAATGCATTTATTTCCTTGAATCCCCACTTATATATGAAAAGATGTGTTTAGAGAAGAGATGAATGAGATACTTAGATTCATAGGCACACATTTCAAAACAGTCTTACATGTAATATCACATTTGGCCTTCTGAACAATTCTAAGGTAGACAGGATAGGCTACATTATCTTCACTTTAGAGATGAGAAATATGGCCGGGCATGGTGGCTCACGCCTGTAATCCCAGCACTTTGGGAGGCCAAGGCAGGTCAGGAGAATCTGCAGGTCAGGAGATAGAGACCATTTTGGCTAACACGGTGAAACCCCATCTCTACTAAAAATACAAAAAATTAGCCGGGCATGGTGGCACGTGCCTGTAGTCGCAGCTACTAGGGAGGCTGAGGCAGGAGAATCGTTTGAACCCGGGAGGCAGAGGTTGCAGTGAGCCGAGATTCCAACACTGCACTCCAGCCTGGGTGACAGAGCAAGACCCCATCTCAAAAAAAAAAAAAAAGAAATATGGCCGAGAGAGAGACAGCGATTTGTCTAGGCTCACACAACTGGTCAGCGGTGACACAGAACTAGTTTAGAGGTCCTCAAACCTATCTTTACATTAGAATCGTCTGGAGACCTTTGCCAGGCTACACCCCAGAAAAATCAAATCTGAACTTCTGGGGGAAAGACTCAGGCAGCAGTATCTGTATGCTTTTAATCCCCAGCTGTTTCCAACATACAAGTGGCTGTTCTGAGAGCTAGCAGTTTAAAGCAATGCTTCACAAACTCGAACGTGCACACAAAGCAGTTGGGCATAGTGTTAAAATGTAGATTCTGGAGTTAGTAGATTGGAGTGGGGACCAAATTCAGCATCTCTAACAGCTTGCAGGTCAACAGGAGGCATTTTCAGGATGAGAGTGGAGGGATAATTCAGAGGGCCCTAACAGTGGGGCCCAGATATCGTGTGTGTGTGTGTGTGTGTGTGTGTGTGTGTGTGTGTGTGTGTGTGTGTGTGTCCGTGTCCGTGTTCTGAATGCCCAAATGAATGAATCATCCCAGCAGATTCTCCTGGAAGTTTGAGCTGAAAAAATGAAATTAAGTAGTTATCTGTGAGGGGTGAAGCAGAAAGAAAGCACAGAAAGAAATCATAGGATAGAGTTAGGGCTATGAAGGGGCATGGTGATTGAAGCTGTGAAGAAACAGAAGCCATAAATAATACAAGTGAGAGAACAGAGGAGAGGGTACGAAGAAGCAAAGTCAATGGAAGAAGCAAAGAGACACACAGAGAGACACAGACACAAGTGAGTAATGCAAGGAGTACCCAGTCACTGGTCGCTCAAACTGCCATAGTCCCAGATACCTTGAAAGTTCCGGTTTGTATAGTAAAACCTCTTTCACTTTAAGGTGGTCCAAGTGCATTTCTAACGCCTAAATAAAAACAGCTTCCCATTTTGTCTTATTTAATACACACAGTAACTCTGCAAGGTAGGAGTTATTTCCATTTCACAGATGAAGAATTAAGGCACATACAGGTTAACTAATTTCCCATTTCTTGGGCCAGGCACAGTGGCTCACGCCTGTAATCCCAGCACTTTGGGAGGCCGAGGCGGGCGGATCACTTGAGCTCAGGAGTTGGAGACCAGCCTGGCCAACATGGTGAAACCCCTCCTCCACTAAAACACAAAAAGTAGCCGGGCGTGGTGGTAGGTGCCTGTAATCCCAGCTATTCGGGAGGCTGAGGCAGGGGAATTGCTTGAACCCGGGAGGCAGAGGTTGCAGAGCCAAGATCATGCCACTGCACTCCAGCCTGGGCGACAGAGTGAGACTTCATCTCCAAAAACAAACAAACAAACAAAAACTAATTTCCCATCTCTCAAGATCTCAGAACTGAGTTTGAGACCAGATAAGTATACTCCAGGTTTCAAAACTATAAATCATGAGGGTAACTACTGGCTCTATTTCATTACTTCCTTGGTTCCTAAGAAAATGTTTGGAACACAGTGGAGATTCCATTAAAATCTGTCAAATGAATGAAGAATACCTGTTATGATCAGTTTGTCTAATGAAGCATACATATTTAAAAAAGCTGACATATTGGAGAGGATTATTGTTTTAGGAGAAATTTAGAAAGTTGCAAGGCATCCACCAATGTTATTTCTTTTAATTATCTAAGGAATAAATTAAAAAACAATTCTTCATAAATTTTAAGAATCAGGGGCCAGGCGCGGTGGCTCATGCCTGTAATCCCAGCACTTTGGGAGGCTAAGGCAGGCAGATCACTAGGTCAAGAGATCAAGACCATCCTGGCCAATATGGGCAAACCCCGTCTCTACCAAAAATACAAAAATTAGCTGGGAGTGGTGGTGTGCACCTGTAGTCCCAGCTACTCAGGAGGCTGAGGCAGAAGAATCGCTTGAACCCGGGAGGCAGAGGTTGCAGTGAGCCGAGATCGTGCCACTGCACTTCAGCCTGGCGACAGAGCGAGACCACGGCTACAAAACAAAAAAACAAAAAAAAAAACAGCAACGAAAAACTAATCAGGGGCAAAAACCAGGTTGAAAAATGAGGTGTCTTCAAAATAGTGGACATTGTCCTGCATTATTCACTCAGTGGTTCAGGGATTGCCCTTCCACTTATAAAATGAACAGGGAGTTCACTTAAACTGTATTTCAGATAGAAGCTAGAAACACCCATATATGTATGTATGTGTATATATGTGTGTGTGTGTGTGTGTGTGTATCCATATATATTCAGAGAGAAGCCAGAAATACCCCTATATATATATTTCCAGGTTCTATCTGAATTAGTTTACGTGAACTCCTTGTTCATTTTATAAGCAGGATGTGTGTACATATATGTATATATGTATATACATGTATTTGTGTGTATGTGTGTGTATACGTATATAAATACATATATAAAAAATATGTGTATATATGTTTGTTTTTTTTTTTTGAGACAGGGTTTCACTCCCATTGCCCCAGGCTGGAGTGCAGTGGTGTGCTCTCAGCTCACTACAACCTCTGCCTCCCAGGCTAAAGTGATCCTCCTGCCTCCCGCCTCCCGCCTCCCGGGTTCAAGCAATTCCCCTACCTCAGCCTCCTGAATAGCAATTCCCCTGCCTCAGCCTCCCGAGTAACTGGGACTACAGGCCTGCACCACCATGTCTGGCTAATTTTTGTATTTTTAGTAGAGATAGGGTTTCACCATGTTGGTAAGGCTGTTCTCGAACTCCTAACCTCAAGTGATCTGCTTGCCTCGGCCTCCCAAAGTGCTGGGATTACAGGCATGAACGACCACACCCAGCCATCCACCAATATATTTTGTTGACAGCCTCTCAAATCACATAACGCCTTTTTAAAAAAATGAAAAATGGTGCTTTGTTGAAGCGCATCATATGATGGCATTCTGGATTAGGCCACGTTATGCCGAGGTAACAAATTAACTCTGGAATTTCCATGGCTTCACACACAAGTGTTTGTTTTTCTTTCATGCTATATGTCTGACGTGGATCAGAAAGGGTCTTAAAGCCACATACTCATTCAGGACCTAGGGTTGACAGACATGTTAACTTCAGAAACATAAGAATTCACGATTTTTGAGGCAGGAGATGAGAATAGTTGAGGGTCTTGAACCAGTCCTTAGATGCTTCCTTCATTCATTGTCCAGAGCCACTCACGTGGCCCTACCAAATTGCAGAGGTGATGGGAAACGTGAGGTACACATGAATTGTTGGGGGGTAGACAATCCCATAAACCCTGTGCATGTTGGAGTATTGAGGATTCTGCCCTTGGCTCTCTTCTCTACTCAACTGTGCAGTCAGCTAGATGATCTAATCCAGTGTATAGATCTTAGTTATATCCCCAGCCTGGCCTTTCCCTTGAGCTCCTCATTCGTTTATCTGTTATAGTTGCCTACTCAACATCTACGCTTGGGTCTATAGTTGACATCTCAGGCTAACTTTGTCCACACAGAACCTTCCATTTTTACCCCTAAAAACAGCTGGTCTTCAAGTCTTTCTCATCTCAGTAAATGGTAACACCCTCCACTTGACTGCTCATGAAACCCTTGATTCTTTACCTATCCTAATATTCCCTGTCAAATTCATCATAGATTTCTGTAGGCTCAATAATGCAGTGAGTGCTGGATTTTACTCGTTTTCTTGCTTTTTTTTTTTTTTTTTTTTTTTTTTTTTAAGACAGAGTCTTGCTCCGTCACCCAGGCTGGAGTGCAGTGGCGTGATCTCAGCTCACTGAAACCTCCACCTCCCAGGTTCAAGCGATTCTTCTGCCCCAGGCTCCTGAGTAGCTGGGATTACAGGTACCCGCCACCACGCCCAGCTAATTTTTCTATATTTTTAGTAGAAATGGGGTTTCACCATGTTGGCCAGGCTGGTCTCAAACGCCTGACCTCAGGTGATCTGCCTGCGTCTGCCTCCCAAATCTTGTTTTCAAATAAAGATTAATTACTGTCTTCACCGAAGATGAGCCAAGTGTAAAATGCCTGATCTATTTGGAATGTAGGGTAGGGGAGGAGATTGTGGGTTGGAGCCAGTTCCCCAGGCATTTAAATATTTTCAGCAATGCATTAAGAGTGAAATTAATTACATTGTGACCAAAAGCTGGTTAGCTGGAGTCTGTGAAATTTATATTATTCTTGTTTATCTTTTTTTTATTGAAAGGGTTTTTTTTTTTCCTTAGGGGCTATTCTTGGTAGTAAGACTAAGATAGTTGCAGACTTAAATCTCCAGGACTTCAGAGATTTTCAAGGGTATACATTTTTGAAATTTACAGAGACTTGCTTTGTGGACTAGTCCACAGGCATTTCACAGAAATGTTTCGTGTGTCCTTGTGAAGAATGTGGATTCACTCATTATTGGATACAGAGTTCTATATATACGTCTGAAGCAAGCTTATTTATTGTGTCGTACATATCTTCAATAATAAATAAATGATAAAAGCTATCTATCCAAAACCTTTAAAAAAAGTTTATGGGGTCTATCACCAAATTATGTCCTGAATCCACCACTTCTGGAGTCTCACTGTGTCCCAGGCTGAGCCTTCATCACCTCTCGTCTGGATTACTGTGATAGCCTGTTGGCATAGCTCTGCTGCCTCTACTCTGGTACTCAGCCATTGAAGAGATGTCCCTATTGTGTCACTCCCTTGCTGGAGAATTCTCTATTGAATTCTCATTGCAGTTAGAATGAAGTCCCAACTCCTGCAAGGCCTATGTGGCATGGCCCCTCTTGGCCCTCCAGTTACAATTCTCTCTTCGCTGCCCCTCCTCATCCAGCTCCAGCCGTCAGGGCTTCTCTCTGTTCGTAGACCACGTCATGCTCATTCCTACCTCCGGATCTTTGCATTCTCTGTTCCTTCTGCTCACAGAGCTCTTTCCCAAGATATTTGCATGGCTGCCTCCTTCTCAGCCTTCAGGTATCAACTCAGAAGTCCCACTCTCAAGAGGTCTTCCCTCAAGCAAAGTAGGCTGCCCAGTCACTATCCATCATCCGATTTTATTCTGAAATTATATCATTTATGAACATTTTTGTAGGTTCATTGCTTGTCTTTCTTCAGCAGGATATATATTCCTTGACCGTGGGGACTGGCTTGTTCCCTTCTGTGTCTTCAGCACCTCAAGTAGTACTAGATATATTGTAGGAGCCCAAACAATTCATTAGAATCTATGGTTTTTTTTCTTTTTTTTTTTTTGGTTTGTTTCTTTTTTTTTTTTTTTTTTTTTTTTGAGACGGAGTCTTCTCTGTCACCCAGGCTGGGGTGCAGTGGCGCCATCTCAGCTTACTGCAACCTCCGCCTCCAGGGTTCAAGCAACTCTCCTGCCTCAGCTCCCACATAGCTGGGATTACAGGCATGTGCCACCACGCCCAGCTGATTTTTGTATTTTTAGTAGAGATCGGGTTTCACCATGTTGGCCAGGCTGGTCTCAAACTCCTGACCTAAGGTGATCCTCCTGCCTGGGCCTCCCAAAATGCTGGGATTACAGATGTGAGCCACCGTATCCAGCCCTAGAAATCATGTTCTTACAGAATATTTAATGGTATGATAACATTCCCCTGATAGGAGATTACATGAAAAAAGAGTAGAAAGCCATTCGTTTATGAGCCTGATTTTTAAGAAAAAATACATACATATTTTTAAAAGACAAGAAAAAATGTGTAATTTATGTCAAGAGTTTCTCTAGTTGGTAGTTATCATGTTAAAAATGCTTGTTCTGCTCTATTACTAAAGAATTTATTTCCTGAGACACATGCATACAAATAAGCAAGGTGTCTTTCACAAAGAAAATTATCCAGAGGGTGGGTGATGGAGAACATATAAACTGTTCTATGTGGCTACTCACACATACTAAAGCAAGGCAACTTACTATTTTTACTATGTAATAGAATACAGCTGAGAATTTTTTTTTTAAAAAAAACCTTAGTTGAGGGGTAGTATGTTCCTGGTATTTGTTCTGTTTATTTTTAATTAGGTCACTTTATGATTCTAAGATAAAGCTCTTTAAGACTTACCAGAATAGAGGCAGGGTGCAGTGGCTCATGCCTGTAATCCCGGCACACTTTGGGAGGCCAAGGCGGGCAGATCACTTGAGGTCAGGAGTTTAAGACCAACCTGGCCAACATGGCGAACCCCTGTCTCTACTAAAAATACAAAATTAGCTGTGCATGATAGTCCCAGCTACTTCGGAGGCCGAGGCAGGAGAATTGTTTGAACCTGGAAGGTGGAGGTTACAGTGAGCCAAGATCGTGCCACTGCACTCCAGACTGGGTGACAGAGCAAGACTCTGTCTAAAAATATACGTATATTATTAAGACTTACTAGAATAGAGACAAGAGGATTTTAAGTTTCAGAATAAAAATGGACAGACAAAACTGACATCAGATAGTACAGACTGAGAGTGTTTGGGACCAACTGAGAACTGTGGTTTTTGTGATTACCCAAGTTATTTATAACACCACTACTTTGCTTTTTTCTTCTATTGCTTTGAAGTTGGAAATTGTAGTGGTTTATGCAGACTTAATAAAAGAGAAAGTCTTGGGCTTTTACTGGCAGGGATTTTCTTGCACCACCCACTGTCATAATTGATTACATGCTGTACCCTGATGGAAGAACAGAATTTCTAGGCCAACAGAAAATCACAAATACATGGTAAACCATCTGCTTTGTCCAGCGACTGAGAAATAATAATGTGACCAATGACCCAAGTGCGAAGGGACTCCCAGTCCCCATCAGCTTGATGTCTGAAGGTGGAGGGAGACTTGTTTTGGCAGCTGCTCTGCCAACATCTGACATCTGTCACCAATAGCTCCCCATTATTGCTGGTTCCAAAAAAATTATATCTGCCAGTCAAACAGCTTTCCTACTGATGGACAGTCGAAAGATGCCTTCTCAGCCTGCCGTGCTTCTGGGGAACTCCCCTTTATTTGAATACATGCATCCTCTAATCCCTTTTCATGCCTTGCCTGTTAGCCTGTTACTTAGTGGGGAAGAGAACGCTCCCCAAGCCCAAGTTCATTGCTGTCTGGAAGAAGGGCGGCAGCACCAAGGGGATATTATGAGAGTTGTAAATGCTTTTGTTTCACTGCTGTGCTCTTGATAGTAGTCTCATCAGGATCCACAGAAAACCCATATCCACCTCCACCCCTGACTTTTTGGGAAAATAACATTGCATCTACAATGCCTTCAAAAGCAATGAACACGGTCCTTGGTGTGTTTGCATATGTTCAGACTAGCTGATTCTTGTTAAAGCTTTCTATGTATTAGGCACTTTACATAGACTACCTCATTTAATCCTTCTAATAATCCAGAGAGATTTTATAAAAGAATAGCAGAGACTCAGAGCTTGTAAAGCTAAGTGGCAGCCCTGGGATTCAAAGTCAGATCATCTTATTACCTAAGCCTTTTTCCACCACAGCATCCTGACTCTGTCACAATGATTGTATGTAATACAGAAATGTATGATACAGTCCATAATATTCCAGGCAAGTAGCAAGCACTGGGGGGGACATTGGCTAGAAAGGCCAATCCTCTTGTTCTTGCCAGAGCCCTGACAGAATGCTAAGGAAAAGAGAAGACCGCTAGGCCCTAAAATCCTAGGTGTCCTGGCCCTAATACCTAGGCAGTGCCATATGGAAGCAAATCTTCCATAGTCCCTTCATGATGAGCTTACAGTGACATATGAAAAACATAAGTGAGTGACTGCTTTTAAAACCTGTGGTGCTTCAAGATTTTCTGAGGGTATTCACCAAGATGTCCAGAGGCTCACAGAGCTGAGCAATGAATGGAAGCCTGCAGAGGCCAGCAGTTGTCCTTCATTGTTCATTTGTACATTGCTGGGTGACCCTCAGTGTGGCATTCACCCTTGCAGGGCCTCAGGCCATTGCATCCATGGTAAAATAATATTTTTGGAAATATTAATCAGCATTTTTTCCTACAGTATTTTTCCTCTACGTTTTTGGGCCCTTCCTCCTGTGTCCCTTTTTTCGGGGCAAGGAAGGTGGCCACGAAAAACCAAGAAAAAGAATATCTCTTCCTATAGGATAACAAAAGGAATCTTTAAATAGCAAAGGCTTGGGAGGCTGATGATACAAGCAAGGCTTCCCTGCCTCTGGACTGAGATTCTCTGGGCTTGGTGGGGGAAGGAGGGAGCGTTGGGGGAGAAATAATAATAACACAGATATTCGTGGGTCCCTGAAGAATAGGGACAAACTAGATATGTGATTTTGTTTGTTTGTTTGTTTGTTTGTTTTTGTTTTTTTTTTTTAGATGGAATCTTGCTGTGTCACCCGGGCTGGAGGGCAGTGGCGCAATCTCGGCTGAATGCAACCTCCGCCTCCTGGGTTCGGGTGATTCTCCTGCTTCAGCCTCCCGAGTAGCTGGGACTACAGGCACATGCCACCACGCCCAGCTAATTTTTTGTATTTTTAGTAGAGATGGGGTTTCACCATGTTAGCCAGGATGGTCTTGTTCTCCTGACCTCATGATCCGCCCACCTCGGCCTCCCAGAGTGCTGGGATTACAGGTGTGAGCCACCGCGCCTGGCTGTGATTCTTGTTTTAATTGACATAGGTTTGGGGATTTGGGAGGAAAGCAGAACCCATGGCTCCTTCCCAGGAGTTTATGAGCAACGCATTTATAACCTGAATGGAATGAGCATGAAGAACAGCCAAGGGGCAAGGCAAAGACGCTGGAAAGAAAAGGCTACTTCCTTGGTGTACATTCACTGACAAACTCCTCCTTAGATGACAAGGCCCTTTACTTTCTTCATTGACTTTGTCTTCATTAAAAAACTATCCCCTGATGATTTCACTAAGTGATGTCATCATCCAACCCCCCCCACCCCCTGCAACCTTCCTGCCCACACTGGGCTAAAAGTCTCACTCTTTCAGCTCAATGCTCAGTAAGCAAAATATGGATCAATAAAGTAGCCCAGTGTAGCAGAAGATGCATGATATTTGAATTCAGACACATCTGGGATCCAGTCCTAGCCTAACTCTTTGTGATAAGCCAAGTGAGCCGTGTGACCCTCCATTCACTTAGCTACAAAACAAGGTACCAAATTCACCAGAGTTATAAAAGGATTATAGGAGAGGCTTGTGGAAAGCTCTTTCAAAACTACAAAACCCCATTTCACAGATGAAAAAACTAAGTCACTGAGTTTACTGTGAGTTGCTGGGTGGCTAAGTAATGAGCCCAAGGTTACAAAGCGAGTGGGTGGCCGGGGGGGCATTCCAGAGCAGAGCATAGAGCACTTGTATTCTGGGCCAACCACCAAGTAGCAGTTGTCTTTTTATCTGTCTCTGTCTTTAGCCTTTGAGATCAAGGAGAGCAGAGATCTCATCCCTGGAAAAGCAAGTACTGAGACACATTTGTTGAATGAGGGGTCCCATACGGAGCACCAGGCACGTACCCAGCCCTCATTTGTTGAATAAACGAGCAGTGCCCAGGAGCCCTGTGTGGGAAGGGGATGATGAAGAGTAGCGATTTTCAGTGAATGGGTTGACCGAAACATAGCCACAGAGATTTGCACTTTTTCAACAAATATAGAAATCTCACAGGTTTGTCTTCTCATGGAATCTCCATGGTGCCAGGAGCACTAAAAATGACTCTCCAGACAAACAAAAGCAGGAAAAGCTGTCTGGACACAGTGGCTCACACCTGTAACCCAGCACTTTGGGAGGCTGAGGTGGGAAGGATCTTTTGAGGCCCAAAGTTTGAGAGCAGCCAGGGCAACATAGTGAGACACTGTTTCTATAACACATTTTTTAAAACAATCTAGATGTAGTGGTGCATGCCTGTTGTCCCAGCTACTTGGGAGGCTGAGGTGGGAGGATCACTTGAGCCTGGGAAGTTGAGGCTGCAGTGAGTTGTGATCACGCCACTGCCCTCTAGCCTCAGAGACAAAGGAAGACCCTATCTCCAGAAACAAAAGAAAAGAAAACCAAAAAACAAAAAGCAGATCTTTACCACCCCACCTTATTTGGGCCTACCTGCAGACCTGGGCGTGGGGCTGAATGTTGGGATCTCAAAGGAATTTCAAAAATCTGGCCCAGCCCCGGGGTAATCTGATAACTAAAAACTCATAAAGACATAAAGAGATCTTAATGCTTACTGAGGCAGTACGGTCTTTCTTCGTCTGAGAAGGAGAGGTTATGGTCCACAAACTGAAAGAAGTATTCCAGGTCTGTTTGTGGTGGAGAGGGTTGGAGGAGGATGACTCCACTTGGGACTTACTGGGCCCTCCTTCCTGGCCAGGGAGGTAAAACAGACACAGGTTAGGCTGCAGAGCTGTAAGCCCTAAGCCGACTGGCAGGCGCCGTAAAAGAGAGCAGCGGGTTCAGTCGGTTGTGGGGTGGGCAGAGGGTAGAGAAAGGGGCCAGTCACACTCAGCTGCAGCCCTCGCGGCCTCGCGGGCCTGTGGTTGCCAGGACTTAAATCTCCCAAGAGTCGTTACAATCCTGACTTTTATGTGAAAGCTCTCATCTTGTATTGGCAAGTAAATCCAAGACAGTTTCAATCACTGTGGGAGTCAAGCTAATTATGTCTGCAGGCTGGATTTGGTCTGTAAGCTGCCAGTGTGCCATCTCTGGATTAGTCACTGAAGAGTCAGGGAAGGTGATGAACCAGCACCAGCCACCCCAGATGGAGTCACGATGTGGCGGTAGTGAGAGAAGCAGGTGAGGGAACTGCGCCAGGTGTGGACGGGAAAGGCCTGACGTTCCTTCCCCAGGCTGCCCTGGGGAGATGGCGGAGGCGGGGGTGCTGCTCCAGTGCTGTCTGCTGGAGGGAGGTGTTCCCTTCCGTGCAGGGCAGAGGCAACCTACACCCGGCTGGCTCTGGGTTTCCTTGTGAGTGATCCTGTCCGTGGCATTAGTACCACCTAGTGGACTTCGCAGGAAGAACTGCATGTTGAAACCATGCGGACAGTCATTTACCAGAGCGGCGGCGGTGAGCGCAGCAGAAGGGCCAGGGTCCTCCGAGCGAATCAGCATGAAAGAAACCATAATAATGAGTAAACTCAAAGCTTGAAGCATAAACTCAAAGCTTCAGGGGGACAATGAGACAGAGGCAGGGGCGCTGGTCTTGCTTTCTCAGGCCGCCCAGTTCTGTTTGACTGAGCCTGTGGTCCGAGCGGATGGAATCCGCCCCTCCAGCACGGGGAGGCCCCCAGAGCCCAAAGACAAGGAAAGCCACCAGTCATATTGAAGCGTCCAGCCTTCTTTCTTTAAGCCTCATGAGAAATTAGGTGGGTGGTAATCCCAAATCAATGTTTGTGGCTGTGCTTATCCTGTTTCACAAGCCTAACATCTGTGTTTATATTGTTTAAAATCTATTAAATTGTGTGGAATATTTTCCCTTCATTTAAAAAAAAATTACTTCCCATCCCTTTTATTTTTGGAAAAGGTCACACTCTGTTTCCGTTTCCAAACTATGCTGACCCACATGATCTTCCTAACAAAAGTGTTTTCCTAAAACTCACTTGCTTGAGGAAACCTGTTCCTCTGCAAGGGCCCCCTCCCACACCTTAGCATCGATTTCCCCCCAGACTCATTTGCATTTGCTGTTGTTTCTCTCTGCTATTTCATAGGCCTGTGTGTCCTGTTTTTTTCTGTGCTTTTCCTTAAAGGCTCAGTACAGGCCCCACATAACACATCGGCTGTGAGTACTAGGCTTACCTTGATACTCTGAATCTCCCTACTCTGTCCACAGCATTTTTGCTGTTGCTGTAATTGCCAGGAGAGCAGGGAAGTAATCTGGTGTAATATTCAGCTTTTGAGTACTTGCTTCGTGTCAGTATTTTGACAGTATTACTGCTAAGCCAACTGGGAAGGTGAATTTTGGGGATACCTCTGCATACTAAATAAAAGCTCCAAATCTTAGAAAGTCATTAGAGATACAAAAGCACTCCCTTGAACACGCACAAAAGATCGGGGATTTCCAGGTCTTCATTGCATTTTTAATGGCCACTTTCAGGAAAGGCACTTCCAAGTTTGAGATTTTCCAGTTATAAGATGATCTGGGTCTGAAAGAGCGTAGATGGGACAGTCAGATTTCTCACTGCTCGGCTGTGTGCTTCATCTGCTCTTCCCGCCCTTAAAACATCCATTGTTCAGAATGGGGGAAGCCCAGCAGTGTTGCTGGGTGGCATTTGAGAGAGGGAGTGGAGTTGTCATGCTATAAACAGATATAGCATTGATCCTACAGAGCAAAAAGATAGGGAAAGGGAGGGAGAGGAACCCAGTTGGACATTATGTCATGCCAAAGAGAATTCCAAGGATGGTTAAGAATGGCAACCAGAGGCCCTTGAAACTCCCAGGAGGCCAGCAGACTTCACTAGGCAGAAACCCAAGAAAAAAGTTACCCCCATTTGTCGCTAAGAATGGCGGATGTCAAGGGGAATGGGAACAAAGGGGAATTTCTAGGGTCCTTGTAAGCTTAAAAGTCCTATTAAGTGAAGTTACTTGAGATCAGCCTGGAATATCTTAATCTGGACTTCCCCAACGGCCAGTTTTAAATCTTGTTTACAACTCAGGTCAGAATTAAAATGGAAAACAGCCTTCGATGACTTCCAGACAAGGAACTTTGGAAAAAATTAATTTTACAGTAACATCAAAATGTCTGTTATAGCTTGTGCAACAAAGCTATACAAAAAATCTGTACAAAAAATAAAAAAATTAACTGGGCGTGGTGGTGGGCGCCTGTAATCCCAGCTACTTGGGAGGCTGAGGCAGGAGGATTGCTTGAGCCCAGGAGTGTGAGGCTGCAGCAAGCTGGGATTGTGCCACTGCACTCCAACCTGGGGGACACAGCAAGACCCTGTTTCTAAACAAAACACACAAAAAAGTGTTCATTAGGCCCTTGTCTTCTGCACACCCATCACTCTCGGGAAAGAAGCTGGTCTGAGCTAAGGTCCAAGAGCAGCTGGGCCTAGGGCCTGGCAATTCATTTCAGCAGTACGGAGACTGTCACATCCCATTCCCAGGCTCTGCTTCTCCAGACTCCAGCAAAGGTAGTTGTGGCCTGTGTCTCAGAAGAGGGGTGCAGGAAGGATCAGAAATCAGGTGGGAGCCACGAAGAACAGCAGGCAGGAGCCAGGAAAGCTGCAGGGGCAGGGTTCCCAGAGACTCCCTAGACTCTGGAGATGGCACCGCAGGCTTCTGGTACCTCTCATGCCAGGAGATGCTTCCTCACAGCCCAGAATGAGTAGCTGGCAACAATCAGGGACGATCCTCTGAGGACCAGTCATAGTGTCTGTGATGTACCCACCTTCTGAAGGTGGACTGAGGCTTCTAGCTTATAAGCTGGCTGCATAGGCACCCCTCGTCCCCTAGCAATGTCAACAATGACTTGTACCGCCATAACACAGAGGCACATGTAGATTCCATTCCAGGTTAGAATGTGTCTTTTATGCCACTGCCAAATGTTGCAGCGGCATGAAACAGTTCTGACATGAGACAAGTGTATTCCATTCTGAGGACTGCTGGTTTATAAATAAGTCAAAAACGGCCAGATAATTTAGGTCAAGGTGAGTTTATTGTCCAAATAGCATAACCTAATTGCATTCAAAACCATTTTCAAATCCATCTTTAAACTAGTCAGAAAACAGGTTATTATTTTTTTAAATCACTTAACACTGAACAGATAAGACCTCTTAAAAGGCAGCTGACTATATCATGTCACCATCATAGCCAATACAACATTTTTGCCATACTTCCTAAAAACCTTTTCGCATACACTGATCATGCTACTTATCAGCACTTTCTAACATCCTGACCAAACAGACACCCACACCTCTTATAGAGTACACTGTGAGAGAATAACATGGACTTGATATGGCATCACACTTGTTTTAAAGCAAAAAAAAAAAGAAAAAGAAAAGAAAAAAAAAAGTCCAAGACAAGAAACTACATAACTGAGAGAGAGGAGAGAGAGAGAGATCTGAGGTACATGATATAAGGGTGATGAACATAATGGAAAAAATCCAATGGCCCGATGATTTGCTGGGGATGTAAGAGTTGGCCAGCAGTTAAGAACTAAACCAATTAAAAATAAAAATAGAAACTTTGTTTTTCAAGGACAGGCACCTGTCAAAAGACATTGGATACTGTAATGGCTACAGTCAGTAAGGCACTTTATTTCCCCAAAGTAGGCTGCAGGCGAAGGGATGCAGGCTGCAGCTACAGCATGCACGTACACATTTGCTGATGGCTTCTCAAAACCTGAGCCGAGAATAGGGTCTGATAGCCCAGCCAAGTTTAAAAGCAGACACACACGAATGTAGTATCGTTGTGCCTGAAATGACCATTCTGGGTTGTTTAGAATCCAGAATCATCAAAAGCCATGTGGTATGAGGAAGTAATAAATATCCTCTTGAATCTTCTTACCCTATTTTGCACAAATGGATGGCTGCATGAACAGCTCTTGTAAATTGCTCTGAGTCCACACCAATAGAAACCTGCACTCATTCTATAGCTACAGAGGGTTTGTTGGCTTAAGGGGACTTTATCATCTCAGCATTAATTTCCCTTTTAAAGCTATTCTCAAGGTTGGACTGTCTCAGAGATAAACAAAGAGGAATCCTTTTGGCTTAGAAGCCAACTGGCTTACTCAGACTTCCTCCCCTTCCTACCTCCAATTCCCACACTACCAATATTATCTTCTTGAACTAGAAAATCAATTATTTACATGACATAAGGTGCAAGTCTATTTCTTCTCCCAGCCCTGTCCCCTGTGGCCCATGGAGAGAAAATTCCCCTGCCCTCTTGGAGAGAGTCATCTGATCCTGCCTTATGTTCTTAACCTTTCAGTCCCAGAGCTCCCAGGGCACAGTCTGGAGAGGCCCTAGAGGTGCTAGACTGCAGGGAAGCGCAGCTCCGTCTGAAGAGTTGCCAATCCTGCTAGCAATGGGATGCAGCGTGATGCTGTCAGGGTTGTCTTCTCCTCTGGCTTTGTCACTTAAGCCATGTGTGCCCCTGACCTGGCTGATAAGAGGCAGAACAGAGCCTCCAGTACAGAGCACATAGACCAAGGATGACCCAGTAGTAAGGCATGCTGTGCTCTCCAGTGGGGTCCTGAGGCAGTTCAAAATAAGGCCTCCTGGAAGAACAGCCCCTTCTTCAAGGAGCTCGCCTCTCAGCACGCATGGGGTGTTCTGCGGAGGGAACTGCCCTTGGCTTTCTCCTGCAGGCTTCTTGGCTGTTATGGACCCGCATGGAGTTTAATTATGCTTAGCATATATTTTTGGCATACTAGGATTTCTTCCCCCTAGGATTTGGCCAAAAGAGGGGAAGGATCAAAATTTGGCAGGCTGGGGGAACAACTCGGCCCCCACTGATGGAGAAAAAAACAAACAGATGGAAGTAAAGACGAGATAGAAACACAACAAGGTAGAAAAAGACCAGGATAATTTGGAACCCCTTTAGTGGGAGGTAAGAAAAAGAAGAGAAAGAACAACAACAACAAAAAGAGCAAGTTCAAATCCAAGGGGGAGAGCTCCTCTGGAACAAAACTCCTACCAAAGAGACTAAGAGCTAAGGAGAGGGCAAAATCCAGGATTCCTTCTTGTGTTTAAGCAGGAGCAGGCAGAAAAGCCTAACAACCCCCGACTTTCCCATCGGCAGCCCCACACCCATCATCACACAAGGCCCCAAGGATGGGAAAGAGAAAAGCTAGAAGGACCCAGGGGCCTCGGGACTACAGGAAGAGTGGAAAGTTACAGACTGTAAATAGAGTCGGGTAGGCTTGTGCCCTTCCTTATTTGTCCGGTTCTTTCATTTGCTGCTTCTGTTTAAGCTCAAGGGTCAGTCACCATGAAATGAATTTGCACCTCGGTTTCTCTTTAGGCTCCAAGATTCCCAAGAACTCCAGGGTTCCCGCTTTCCCCATTCCGTGGGACTCCTTGGGGCCCAGGAGAGTGTGCTGAGCAAAGCTGGCTCTTGAGAAAACTCTGGCTAGCTTACTTGCTGGCTGCTCCACTTCCCTCTCCAAAACTTCAGAATTCACCACCCATTGTCCCACCAGAAATCCCCTAGAATTTTAGGGTCATGCTAACTCACAAAGTCCTGAACCCTTCTAAACACACTTCCCAAGAGACTGACTCATCTGGAATTTCACCTCTGTAGAGAAGCAGCCTCTTCACCTCCCTTCAACTATCATCCCATACTTATCTGACCTATTTTTCTTATCCTGCCAATTCAGTGTGATTGAAAACCCGACCGTTTAGTACCGCTCAGCAGAGGGCCTGGGCTTGCATAGTGCTTGCCTGCGCAGTTTGAGACAGAGGAGGGAGAAGGAAGCACCATAAACGCTGCTTGCTGCAGGTTCATCTACTCGCAGATTCAGACCTAGGAAACCTGCAGAGATGATCCTAAACACAAGGTGTCCATGCCAGGGGAGGGGAAAGACGGAGGGGAAAAACTTCAAGATGAAAGGGCCCTTTGCAGATGAAGCCCCGCTTTTGAAAAAGCTCCAAGATGAGGATCTCCAAACAGCCTGGTGGAATTCTTTTTAGTCTGTTTCCTGACACCTGGTACCTAAGTGCAAATTACGACATCTGAGCCTACCGCATAAATGTTTGTACTGAACGTCTGCCTTGAAGGGGAGGGAGGATCCCTTGGTTCAATGTATTTTTTCCATCATGATGAGGATACCAGGGTCTAACTGGGAGCCCGATGGCCTCCATGACCAAAAAGGTCCCTGGGAGTGAGACCGCCCTGCCTTCCACCTGAGAGGGAGTCAGCCCTGCTCACACTGCTTCTGTATTCCTCATGCGAATGGGCTCCCAAGCAGAAACTGTACGGTTGTGAGGTATTATGAAAACAAAAGCGTGAATCATTGCCTTTTGTAGTTATTGATTTTGTCCAGTAAACCTGAGGTAAAGAATACTCCGTCTTTGAAGAATGTGATCAGAGGAAAAAAAAAAAACCAAAAAACCAAAAAAGAAAAAAAAAAACAACCATGAATATGCTACCAGAAGAAAACAAACTACGGAAGGGCTTTTCCAGTACGAAGAACTCATATCTCAACCATCTACTTCAGGACTTGGAATTTAAGCAGTAAAATAATATATTATAAAAATGTTTATAAAATAGCAGCACACTCTGTGAAACATTACAGCTAGGTACTGTCAACGTGAATAAGGATGGATGACTTTAGCTTCTTAGCAGCGCAAAAAAAAAAAAAAACCAAACTGAACAAAACAAAATTAAAAAAATGAGAGACCCTTAGATTGTTTTCCGTCTTCAACCCTCATACTATGAAACAAGGCAGAATCTGTGTATAAAATAATTCTTCAAATAGCCCTGTTCTGATTTTTCTTTTTTACTTAAAAAGGCAAATATTTTAACAAATAGCTTCATTACCTGTCAATTACAATTGTGCAAAAAAAAAAAAAAAAGTTGTTGCTCCAACCTCTTTGCTAACTGAATGCCTCTAAGAAGTGGAGAGGAAGAAAAATTCAAGTACGCTGAATACAACTTTGCAATAAAATTAACAACAACAATAAAAAAAAAAAAACGGAAAAGGGAACAAAATGCCACACCCTGATGTTCAGCCATCTATCTTTGCACCAGCAATAACTTTTCTTTCCATGTCCAAAGGAGAAGTATAGAGATGGGAATTAAGATCCTTCTGTGCCATCAGAATGGTAACAGATTTTAGTTTACAGGCTTGTCTGAGGAATGTTGTGATGGGAATGTCAGCAGGAAGGGGTGTCTCTTGAGTCCTGGTAGGAACACCAGAACTGTGTACCAAAGAACGCCAGATACCAGAAGCGAAGAGTAACCCAGACTGGGGGCAGGAAGGGAGGGGGCAAAAGAGAAGAGGGGAGGAGTATTCAGCATGACTTGCATAAACCATCCCATCTATCGCTCGGGAACAATTTTTCAAAGTGCTTTTCGAATGGAATGGTTTATAACAATGCTAAACTGTGAACCAGACATGCCAATCAGCACCAAAAATTAGTTTTTTTCTAAGAAGAAATGCCAAGGCCACATTACCCTTTTAAATACAATAACAGAAAAGACTCCATTCTGGATCCCACCCTTGGTCTCCATCTGCCTCCGTTTCATGTGAGTTTTGGTTATGGCCCATAGCTACATTTCCCCATTAGATAGCAATATGGTGGTGTCTGCAATGAACTGCATTTGGAAGAAGAAGCAGGATGTCACAGAACATGAAACCCAGGAGCCAATCACCTGTGTCCAACTGGCAAAATAAAACATCTTTTTTTAGGTAGCAGCTACTGTAGACAGCAAGAGGACATTAATGTAGAGATCCAACTACACTCCTGACTTAGTAACAGGTGGCTGAGAGCAAAGGTGCTTCTCCATCCCAAATGGTTCAATCATGTTGAGAGATTGTTTTGTACTCCTTCCCCATCATGTCCCTCCTTATTTCAATTCCTTCTTGAGTTCATTGCTTTGCAATCTAATCATGCCATAAATGGCGTACACAGTTCCTTGAAATTATACTACAAGGGGGTGTATGTGCTAGCTCATAACATGAAAAAAAAAAGTCTCCTCTAATTTGTTCCCATATTGCAGGCATACATATTCTCTAACTACTCTGCAGGTTTTCCTGTAAGCATTTTACTATTACTTTTACATAATCAAACAATAACTGTTCGCATATACAAGGGATTCCCTTATGCTGTACTTCAAATAGGCACCAAATGCTTTTTATTATTCCGTTTTCGTAGGACCTTTTTCTCTCACTTCTAAAAGATCTTTAAATATGATCTAGGTGGGGGCAGAATTTTTTTTTTAAGTTTCACCCTAAAACACAAAGAACAAAAACAACCAGAAAGAAGAAGAGACCAGATTATGGACGCGTCTCTCTCTTTCGGCCCAACTGGCATCCTCACAGGTCGATATCCCGCACGTCTGTAGGGGTGCTGGCTTGGTCCAGTTCATCCTCCGACTTGGATCCGTCACGTTGGTCCTGACGGTACTGCTGCAGGCTATTGAGGAGCACCGCCTCAATCTGCTCCTGGCAAGCTTTGAGACAATCCTAGAACAATGGTCCAGACCAGAGTTGTTAGTAAGAGGAACAGGACATAGAGCATCCTACGGAGAAAACATGCGTAATTTAGCTTGCATAAGTCTGTGCTAGTTTCCAGTAGAAATAAATGTGAAGTAAAGGAGGGATGTTCTTAAAGTGCCAAGGAACCTCACTACTCCAGGTGGGGTCCATGGGCTGGCAGCATCAGCATCACCTGCGAGCTTGTTGGAACCGCAGAATCTCAGTCAACCCAGGCCGAGCTATTCAGAACCTGCCTTTTAGTGGAGCCCAGGTGATTGGCATTCTGAGAAGCACTGGCCTAAATGATGGTCACTTATGGATGCCTGGTAATCAAGGGGCCGACCAGATGCTTTCTGCCTGGGGAAGCTGGGAAGTGGCAGAGAAAAGGGGAAGGCTACTAGAAGTGCTATGACATTAGCAAACTCAGCCCGAGAACTAGATAAGAAGGAAGCCAATGAACCAACGTACTGACCCTCACATAAACTGTAAATACTTTTTCTCACTCTGTCCCCCAGGCTGGAGTGCACTGGCACAATCTCGGCTCACTGCAACCTCCACCTTCCGGGTTCAAGCGATTCTCCTGCCTCAGCCTCCCAAGTAGCTGGGACTACAGGCACCCGCCACCGCGCCTGGCTAATTTTTGTATTTTTAGTACAGACAGGGTTTCACCATATTGGCCAGGCTGGCCTCGAACTCCTGACCTTGTGATCCGCCCGCATCGGCCTCCCAAAGTGCTGGGATTACAGGCATGAGCCACCGCGCCTCACTGTAAATACTTAAAAAAAAAAATCCCCAACTTTTTCTGCTTCTTTACCATTTCCTTAACTCTCATAAAGATATAATGCAGAATGTCTACAACATTCTGGAACCTTGAGCCATCCAATTTGGGAATAAGCAAGAATATGCAGCCTTGCTTTAGTATCAGTCTATATTGTAGGGGTAATTGACAGTGTGTCTGCCCCAGGCAGGAGCTTCTCTTAGGCAGATGACATGCAATGCAATGACAAGTCATGGGTATCACTAGACAGGGACCGTTGCTGGTGCTAGTAAGAGGGTGCAAACCGTAGACTTGCTTCTAACGGGCATTTTCTAGCCTCTCTCCTCTGCAAAGGTGCCTTTGTGCACTCTCTTAAGAAGCACATACATAAGGCAAATATGTTAAATTGAACCTCCCTGTGTCTTTTCATAGTTTAATATAAACTTCCCTTTTGTTTCTTTTACTGTGCAATTCTCCCCACCCAGAGGTTTCTATTTTGCCAAGCCCAAAAGCATTCTCTTTATTTCCCAAAGATCTAAAACACAGCTGGCCAGGCATATTGGCTCATGCCTGTAATCCCAGCACTCTGGGAGGCTGAGGCGGGAAGCTGAAACCAGGAGTTCGATACCAGCCTGGACAACACAGCAAGCTCCCGATCTTTAAAAACAAACATATAAATAAACAAAATAAAGCTGGAACTAACCACTAAGGAACAAAATTTCCATACCCCTAAATTTTCCTTTCCTATCTCTCATCTATCCCACATTTCAAACTACAGCTTTCAATGAAAACTAAGATTAGGAACAACCACAGACTAAAGGCCAAAGGCAGAGACGAAATATCACCTGGAACAATGAAATGAGGAAGGGTGGTATCTGCTGCCCACCCACTATACTTGCAGGTGGCACCTAAGTTATTTAACTTTTCTGATCTCAGTTTCCCCACAAAATAATCAGAGTAAAGGGCAACTGAGATGATACTGATATATGTGCAGTGCTAAGTGGAGCTCAATAAATGATCGTGATTATGTATAACAATAAACTGGTCCTGGAACCTAAAGAATTCAGATTTCTTTGAAATGAGGTATAGATTCGCATTTAGTCAAGACTAATGAAGCGTGTGTCAAGATCCTGACAATCTTTAGTCAAGACTGTGTGTCTGGGAAGAGTGCTGAACATGACAGACGTGACGCAGCAGCAGGAGTCTCCGTGCCACCCTGAACGAGGCTGAAATGGAGTCGGGCGCTGGCCTCTGGGACTTGCTAACACCTCTCAGACGTTCCTGTGGCATCTCCTGGTTACATCCCTTACCCTTACCCTGTCCGACCTGTTGAGCTGAATGAATGACGATAAATCACATGGGGCTCACCTGCCTCATCCCTGTTCGGCTCTTCCCCAAGTTCTTCCCTCAAGGACCATGTGGCAGCATTATCCTCATAGGTTATCACTCACTAGGTGCGAAAAGTTAAGGTATAATGTTTCTTTTCTTTTCTGTTTTTTTTTTTTTTTTTTTTTTTTTTTGAGACAGAGTGTTGCTCTGTCGCCCAGGCTGGAGTGCAATGGCACAATCTTGGCTCACTGCAACCTCCACCTCTCGGGTTCAAGCAATTCTCCTTCCTCAGCCTCCCGAGCAGCTGGGATTATAGGCACGTGCCACCACGCCCAGCTGATTTTTGTATTTATAGTTGAGATGGGATTTCACCAGATTGGCCAGGCTGGTCTTGAACTCCTGACCTCAGGTATCTGCCCGCCTTGGCCTCCCGAAGTACTGGGATTACAGGCATAAGCCACTGAGCCCGGCCTGAAAGTATAATGTTTCTAGGGGCACTTGCATTTCAGTAGATGTTTGAAAACCTTAAATCCTAATAATCTAAAAAATTTAATACTAAATATAGAATCAAAATGAATGTGGGGGTTAAGGCACAAAGTGACAACGGTCAGAACTGCTGTGGAATGTCCCTTAGGCAGGTTCTACATCAGAGAGGAATGGCAAGTCTCATACCATCAGTTTTTCTTCTAAGCTGGGATAGACATGGACAGCCCTTTCTCCACTTGAGCACCGTGTGAAGGAGTTCACTTAAATGCCAGAATCATCGTGGTGTGAGATGCTCACTCCACGGTACATGGGCAGGAGCTGAGACCCAGAACAGCAGCTTCAACCCCACATTCCAGCCATCCTCCGTCACCCCCTGTGCTCACTCACTGAGTGAAACGTTGGACCTAACAGTCTAAATTGATATTTTCTTCTTTCTCTGTTTTTTTGTTTTGTTTTTTTTCTTGCAAAGAAGAATCCATTGAATCCAGGAAGTTCACGTGTAATGTTCCTCCACTGTACAGGGACTTGAGAAGCTGCTGAAGGGGATGTTTACAATTTTTTTTTTTTTTTCCCCAAGAGGCAGAGGGACTAAATCGGAGTATCTCCATACCATAGAGGCAGTGACTATATACTTGTTCCCAACTGAATACCTGTCCATGGAAGACAAATCCTACCCAAAGCATAAGGCCTAAGAGCTTTTGTTATCTAAAAGAGATGGCAGGATTCTCGGCTGACTGAGGGAACTTGCGTGTGTGTGCGTGTGCACACGAGGCGTGGTAGACAATAGCTCTGAACCATTACATTAAAAAAGAAATGCCCGTTAGGCGTAGCGATGCGGTTCCTTTAAAGAGGGTTTCGCATGGCACAGCCCTTGGTGAATACTTTCCAAGTCGCAGTTCCTGTGGAAGACCTTGCTCCTCAACAAAATCCCTCTCGCCTCCCGGCCGATCCTGCCTTGCTCTCCTTCCTCACGGGCTCTATTCTGGCCCCCGGCAAGGTCATCTGGGTTAATGTATCTTTTACCGCAATAATATGGCCAACTTGGGACTCCATGGCCATCGGTGAATTAACCATTGCCAGCCATGCCAGCATGACCCTCCACATAGGGAGACCAGGCTCCAGAAAGCGAAAGAACTCGGTTTCAGGCCATGCGCGTCTTCCCTTTGGAGTTCCCAGTGTCCCCACTTTTTCTGCTATCAGCCCTCCCTTCCAGCAGCCTGAGACCTTAAAGGAACAGTTCTGAGAAAACCCTACAGGGAGGACTGGGATGTCTGGCTGTCACTTCTACTGGACTTTCAGAGCCACGGGACTTGAGGTGACATGTGCGTGCACAGTAGTGTTTTATGTAAGTTCCAGCCAAGAGTGGGTGCCCAGGTGTCCCACATAAAACAGAGGAAGGTTTCATAGATAGACAAAACTGCATACTCTCTCTTTAGTCACATTTTAATTTCAATCCAAATCATCACTGACTTGACTACGGCCAGCTTTTGTTTTGTTTTTTGAGACGGAGTCTCACTGTCACTCAGGCTGGAGTGCAATGGTGCGATCTCGGCTCACTGCAACCTCCACCTCCTGGGTTCAAGCAATTCTCCTGTCTCAGCATCCCAAGTAGCTGGGATTACAGGTGCACGCCATCACCCCCAGCTGATTTTTGTATTTTTAATAGAGACAGGGTTTCACCAGATTGGTCAGGCTGGTCTCGAACTCCTGACCTCAGATGATCCACCCGCCTTGGCCTCCCAAAGTGCTAGGATTACAGACATGAGCCACCACACCCAGCCTGGCCAGCTCTTGACTGATGACCCCTCTGACTGGAAGATAAAAGGATGACCAAGGCAGGTACACTCCATGAATGAAGAATTCTGAACTCCCTTCCCCACCCTCTTCTAGACTTACCTTGTGGTAAGGCAGGACGCTAACCCTCTCTGCAGTCTCCACCTAACCTTCCTTCAGGTTCCACTTCCACGAAACTTGACAATGATCAGCTTGACTTTCGACTACACAAATCCCTCATTCTAGTTCAGCAAGACTAAAAGGGCAAAAGCCTGTCTTGTATAAATGATGTTGAACGCTACTCTCTGATGGTGGAAAGAGAACTTGGCCTCTCCCTTCCATGAGACAGAGCTCATGCCTTGCATATGAATACCTTTGTTTAGCATGGCAGGGGCCCTTTTTGGACTTGGGAAGGGCATATAAATTCTGTGTGCTGGTGGGAAGTGAAGGCAGAGGAGATGGTGCAGTGGTGCTGATACCTGCAACTGGACATGCCAACTCCACATCGCCCGGGTCTTGCCCAAAGCAGGAGGGCAGGAGAATGCATGGGATTGGGGTGGGGGTAGAGATGAGGGCAGCCACCTGGAGAGAGGAAGACCTCCACCTTAAATCCAACCAGGTTGCTTCTATTAGAGGATCAAGCTGAGAGAAGAGTGGAGTTAGTGCTTCCAAAGGGGCTGGATTATAAGAAGACATACACAAATAATCACAGACTTGGAGAATTTGGAGGTCCAAAGGGCCTCTGGAAATCAAATAGCCAAATGCCCTCGTTTCCCAGCTAGGGAATGGAGCGTGGAGAGTTGACGTGGCTTGTCCCAGTGACATCTGGCTGAAAGCTCAGACTGGCTTTAGAAAGGGCAAGCCTCCAATTTCAGAACTCCTTTTTCCTATATACCTTGACTTCTAAGCTCTAAGTAAAGACATACAGACCAGAGAATCTCCAAGAAAAAGAGACAGAGCCCAAGTGGCTGGAAAAACACGAAAGCGCCTCTAATCAAAAGGTGTTACACGCATGTCAAGTGTGGCGGCTCTAGGACATCAGCTTTCCTGCAGCCTCCAAAGCACCAGCCATTGTGTTAAGATGCCCCAAATTAAGCTGATTAAAAGGGAAGCCATAATGCTCGTCTGTCAGCCTGGACAGGTGGTACCCTACCGCGCTGGCGGTCGGGCAGACCTCCAACTTCTATGATGATAGGCCCCCTCCCTTGCCCCCTTCCCTCCTGGCTGCCCCCGCCCCCAAGCCTGGAGCCCTCACAGCAGTGTTTGTGATCTTCAGCTCGTTACAAGGGCCTCTGACTTCCTCTGCTTGCTGGCTCGAGCTCCGCGCCCTGCACCCTCCTCTGCCTCCATGAATGGGCTGACGGAACTCCTACCATTAGCCCTCAGTGTAACTGCACCACCTCATTGTCACCACACACGCACTGCACTCAACAGGGGGACAAAGGGCTGAATGAGCCCCAGACCCGCGGCCAACTCAGGCAGAGACAACTTAGGAAACTATCTCATTCTTCCTTTCTTCACAGGCTGTTTGGCTTATTTCCTTGCATACCAAATGAGGCCCACAGAAAAATGAGGCAGGAGAGGGAGGCATCAGCCCCCGATTCTATTCCACCTCCCCACCCCCAGCTTCCAGCAACACTTCACAAGGTTCCTGACCACAGGCCCTGAAGAGTCCACAGAAGACAGAATCTGTAACAGTGGAGGCTTGAAAATGACATGTGGGGCGAGGGTGGCGGCACTTCCAGCTACGGAGCAGAAACACACAATGCTAAACCCCATGAATCACACACATGTGGTCGAAACTGAGACTTCTTCCACGGCGCCTCCACCTCCCTGCTTTTTAATAGCTCATTGATAACCAGGACCGTAAAATGCCAGGATGACCCTAAGGAAGGGATATCCTGGAATCTTCTCTGGGCAATATTTAAGAATGTGTCTAGGGACAGGGACGAGAGTTGAAACACTCCCTATTGGGTACTGTGTACACTGTCTGGGTGACGGGTTCGACTGAAGCCCAAACCTCAGCATCACACGATATATCCACGTAACAAACCGCACATGGATCCCCTGAATCTAAAGTTTTGTTTTTTGCTTTTTGTTTTTAAAGAATGTGACAAAGAGTTTTGATGTGACTTAGACAAAAAAGGATAAATATAAGGAACAGATGACTAGAGTCTTTCTTCTGTTAAGTATCTTGCAATAACTTCACAACACCTTTATGGCCTGTGAGCCTCCATTCCATTTTTTAGTTAGTGAATTTGTGCAACTGTGTCATATGAAAATGAAGCCACTTCATTTAACCTACTCTAAGATAAGGTTGGGGAAAACTCAGAAGGCTCGGAAGGCCCTGACACAGAATTGAAGTTAAAGAAAAGACACAGCTTTTCAAAGGACATGGACAGACCAGTGAATCGGAAACCCACTGGAAACCCATCTGCCTGCCTTTGTCCTTTGCTCCTTCCTTCCTCTTCCCTTCCTCTCTTAAGCATCACTCCCAATGACTCTGCCAGGGGCTCTGGATAAAGAGCTGAGGAAAAGCTGGGCCTTATTCAAGAGGTTCTATAGACAAGGAAGCAGTGAGATCAATGCTGGCACGCAGCCCGACTAGTGTGCAGAGGGGATGGAAGAGGACCCCGATTCAGCCCAAGGAAGCAGGGCCATGGTCACCGGGGACCCAGGCCAGTGGCACCCTCCCCTCTCAAACCTACCCAGGCACTGGACACCCCCAATAGACGTCCCCCCTACAGCCAAACTGCCTCTCTGGCTGTTTTTAGCAACTCTTACGATTGGAAGGAAAAAGTATTTAAAATATACCACTCTCTGAGACGTTTATTCCCTATAAAACTGTCAGGCCCCTCACTCAGCTTTCTCTTTGGAATGAAGCGTTCTGGTTTATTTTGGCAACCAGACGGAGCAACAAAGGCCGACTTTCTCAGAGCCGCATGCGTCCCTCATATCAAAGCTATCTGCTCCTGGCCAATGAACCACAGAGACTCGCCTGGCCATCTCACAAGAATCAGGGGGACCCTCTTTCCACAGCTCGATCCCCGACAACCCACGACCTAACCCCCAAAGTAACAGAGAGCATTGCAAGCTTGAAGAAATCAGAAACAGCAAGGTGTGTAGGAGCTGACATATAACTTCAGGGGCTCTGGGGGAAACTGTCAGCTCTTCCTGATTCCCGTTTGTCAATGCACTAGGGCCAGGGGGCAAAATGTGGTCCTGTGTATTTCACTTTTCCAGGGAAGAGCTCAACATCAACCTATGGGCATTTCATAGCGTGGCCCGAGAATGTTTCAGACATACATACATACATATATATATATCCATTTATGTATGTGTGTGTATATACATATATACACACACACATTTTACTATCATAAATACACATAATGTCAAATTTCCCTTTTCAGCCACTTTTAAATGTACAGTGGCATTAAGTACATTCACACTGCTGTGTGGCCATCAGAACTCTCCATCTACAGAATTGTTTTCATCATCCCAAACTGAAACTCCGTACGCATTAAACACTAACTCCCCATCCTCTCCTCTCCCCAGACTCCTGGGAACCTCTATTCTACTTTCTGTCTCTACGAATTTGACTATTCCAGGTACCTGGTATAAGTGGAATCATACAGTATTTGTCTTTTTGTGTCTGGCTCGTTTCACTTAACATAGTATTTTCAAGGTTCGCCCATGTTATAACATGGATCGGAATTTCATTTCTTTTTAAGGTTGAATAATATTCCATTGCGTGCCCATACATTTTGTTTCTCTACTCTAAGAACAGTTTCTATCACCAAGTTTTCTCTGCTGGGAGGCCGGCATTCTACGTTAGGCCTGATGAGCTCCTTCTTTTGGGTTGATTTCCTACTGCATTTAGGGTTCGTAACACGTTACGTAGCACACCTTTGTTTACGTTCTTAATTTGCTAGGGTTTTGCACGCTTTACTCTTGCTTCATCATACAACTGCTAAGTTCCTTGAAGGCAGGAATCTCATCCTCTATTTCCCAGATGCCACCATCCACCCCAACTTCTAGCAACAACTGGGCCTTCAGTAAAGACTTCCAGAAACGAATGAAGGAAATACACCACTTCGTGACTCGTGAAATGGTAAACAGAGCTCAGGAAGCACAACTCACCTCCCTCCAAACACTAATGTGTTCTAAATTCTAGTCCTTTTATTTTTCTTCCCTCTGAGCGTCAGCTTTTCAGAGAACACAGGCTGATGGATGGGAGGAGATTTAGCACTTGGAAAGGTGCATAAACACACACACACACACACACACACACAGCCTAGCCCAGAGCTGCTTGAACCTTTCCACTAAAAACATTTTCAGGGAGAGCGAACCAGCCTCCGGGGTGCCAGAGGTAAGCCTGGAACTTCCTGAGGGCTCAGATTTTTCTTTGAAAAAGTGTTATGAATTGTACATTTCACCGCGTTCACTCTTGGTTTTTAAATATGAACATGTTCAACCCAGGTCCACCGGTGTGAATGAGGCACACACAGGCAGCCCCAGTTAGGAAACACGGCGTGTGCCCATTATAGAAATGAGGTATCAACTTGACCAACAGTTAGGATTTATAGGAGGACACCCCTAAACCAGCTTCGTACCCACTTCATATCCATTTAACAGAGTTGGCCAGCTGACTTAAATGGACTGGCTACGTAGTATCAGAAAAAGGCAAACAGTTTCCCCAGATGAGATGACGGACTGACTTGCCTGCGGTCTCGAAAAGCCAAGAGACTCAGCAGCAACTCCCAGGAGGGAAATTTCCACCACTGTCCATGTGAGATCAGTAACGGGGGACAAAGGGAGGTGGGAAAAGGCTGGAGCCGGTAGGGTGGTCAGCCCATCAGAGCAGGTCTATCAACATCGGGGGAAAAGGTTACAATGCCTGGGGGCAGGAGGAGGGGGGTGGCCGCTTCCAACTCCTGTCACTGACATTTTTGTCTCCAGGCATTGAGGAAGGGCTTGTCTTAAACTGGCTGAGAGTCCTATTTGTAAGGCAGCCTTAATTGGAGACATTCAGAAAAGGAGGAAAGCGTACCATTTCTATAAACGTTAAGTCCCGTCCACGATTTTCCTCTGGAGGATTAGAAAAGCATTCTTCATGCTGCACTGGAGGGAGGTTTTCAGTCTGTGTTCTGGAGTCCTCGTTTAAAAAGCGTATGTTTGGAGCCCGCATTTTAAAACCATATCTACGAACTATCTCAGAGGAGGACCCCGGATTTGCTCCGTCAGCATCTCCCTGCGCCATTTCTCTGAGCTGGGAACAAATGCCAGGGAAAATCCAGGTGGGCGGGCGAGGAGGCCGGCGAGCTGCAGCCGTGGGCTCTCTGAGGTTTAACCTGTCCCGTATCCCTCGTGCAGGCCTCAGCCATAGGCCTATAAACCACATGATCCCTTAACTCAATAAAAGCCCGCAGAGGGCATCTGAATCCCCCCGGACCATCCAGAGGGTGTCATCGTGAAGTGCCCAGCATTCTTCAGCCTCTCCATGGTGATGCATGAGGGCTCAGGGCCAACACCCCTCTCTCAGGTTGACTTTAAACCCCAGGGTTTTTTTTCAAACCAAAAGATCCCAGGAGCGGCAACAAGGGTGGAGTGGGAAGTTTCCAGGGGGCAGTCGGAGCCTGGGGGTTCTAGCCCCAGCTCAGCCACTGCCCACCCCGCTCCTGGCTGGTTACTTCAGTCCCTGTCCTGCCCGTGGAAAACGAAGGAATGGCCTCTCTGACCTCTTGGCACCATCCTGTCTCGGACGGGCTAGGACTGCAGCTTCCTGCTGATTGAATTCAGAGGCTCACTTGACCCTGGTCTCTCTCAAAACCTTTCTTCTCAGGAGCTCCAAATTCTGGCAACAGGAAGTTAACAGCCTCTGGGCCGTCCACAGGGCACACAGAATGGGGAAGCTCCGTAGCTAATAATAGTTTCTTGAGTTTGTATGGCACTTTGTCTTTTGAAAGCACTTTGTAATCCATTACTGCATTGAACAAAAGGGAAGAGAGAGCGGGGAGGGGTCGAGAGGTTTGCCAGGGACGGACACCGTTCTCACAGTGGGGCACCTCTTGTGTGTCTGCTCCATCCACTGCAGCTGAGTCCTGGCTCTCCTTTCTCCTCTGTGCGCCTTACAGCCTCAGCGTGTGAAAGCAGACACGGCAGCTCTTCGCTGCCGGGCAGAGGCAGCCTGGCAGCGTGTACAAATATGGCAATGAAGCAACAATTCAGACCCACTGAGAAGCCCACGCCATAAAGGAACATCGGTAAACAGCCCTCCCACCCCCACCCCCTTCATCTGCTTGCTGAGTTTTCTTCCGTATTTTCCCGTGCACAGCTTTTCAGAACCTTAAGAGGGGGTGTCACCTGCTGAACTTTGCACTCCCTTGGATGTCGATCTTAGGAAACAAACCAGAAAAATACCTCTGACACAACATAATCAAATCCGTCGTCTCCTTCCCTGAGCTGAGAAGAGACATCTGGACTTAGCCAAGAAGGTGGTGGCCACCTACCACGTCTGTGTTGGTGATCTTAGCCAGCAGCTCAGTCAGGGCATCACAAGTGAGCGAGCTCACTTCCTCATCCTGCTGGAGCCCACAGATGGCTGCTCCCACACTTCCAGTTGCGATCATCGACGGTGGGTACATGGCAAACTTAAAGTCTGCAAGGAATGAGAGGCAGAAGGTCAGGGCACAGAACGAATTTGGATCCTGGAGCTCCCGAGACTGCAGAGACTCAGAAACAGGACGGCAGCAGGTCAGCGGCGCGAGTGACCCCGTGCCCTACAGGCATGTCCTCCCTCGAGTTCTTTCACAAGGAGCCTGTGTTTATTTGCCATCACCATGGCTGTTCCAGATTAAACGAAGGAGACTGAGGCAGGGAAGGAAGACAGCTTATCTAAGCGCACACAATGAATGCACAGAGGATTCAAGGTCCCCAATCCCCAGATCCCAGTCATATTAAGCATGTCTGAGTTAACATTCTTGACCCTGGTGGGGGGAGCAAGGTGAGCGAGTCATAGTCTCCTCTAGAGGTGATGGTGGGAACAGAGCAGAGAATGCCTGAGACCAGTGCAGACAAGGTACCCCATGGGCCATGCAAGCAGGACAGACCAGGGGCTCCAGATGTGAGAAGGAGGGAAAGTACAAGGAGATGGGAGAAACGGGCAAAATCTATGCATAATGCTAATTCAGATGGGATCTTGTTATAGTCTCTGGACAGGCATTGAGGATTAATATGACCCCCACCCAAAAAAAAAAAAAAAAGGTTTGATCTAAAAAAGGAAATGAGAGAAGCAGCAATGCAGGGAGTGGGCGAGTGGGGGCTGAGTTCCACCCAGTTCCCAACCTCTGGCCCAACAGCAAGAACCCTCAGAACATTAGGGCAGAGGATTCTAACCCTAACATAGGGCTCTAACTAAGCACTGAAGATTAATCATTGCATCCGAATCAGATGGGTGACTCGGTTTCGATGTTATGACTCATGAGACTGAAGGCCCCATTTTATTGCTAAGAGAAAAAAATGTGACTTGCTACAGGGAAGTGCAGAATGAGGATAATAAATCAGAGGGGCTTGAACCCCGTCCACTGCCATGCTAGAGGGCTCCTCTTGGAAGACCAGCCCCCTTGTGTTCCTCCGAGCACTCCTTCAGAGGGGCTGGGTGGCCATGATCCAGCAGCTGCTTGGTCCATCGAGGGGAAATAAAGACAGCCAACTTCTCCTGTTACAGCTGCTGACAGCTACCAATGACCACCACATGCAGTACGCTACACATTACGTCCTGTTTAATTTACCCATCAGCCACAGAAGATGCACACGAGCGTCACCCTAATGGTATGGGTGAGAACCCTGAGACTTTTGAGAGTTTAAGTTGCCCCTGCTCGTGTTGACAGATATTAGGGTGGGTATAGTTGCAGCCATCACGCTAGTGACGGTCCTGGAGTGCAGCAAGTCTTCCAAAGCGTACTCTTTCTCGTTTTAGCATTGCTCTAGTGAGCTTACTGTGTGTAGACATGGAAGGGGCACGTGGGGGCAGGAGACACAGCATACAGGGAACCGTGGGTCACCCTTCAACTTACAGCAAAAACAATCAGGTTAAATCTACAAAAACCAGCCCCTCTCCTATTTCCCCTTCCTCCTGTACACACTCTATTACAAACACACTTTCTACAGCAGCTCTTTTAATGGTCAGCCCATTGCCCCAGCATCAAGTTAGCAGCATTGTTAGACACCGTGGATCCCTGAGCCAAGCACAGCCCTCCCCTCCCATCATGAACGCAGAGCAAACCTGGCCATCTGCCTGTCTCCTTGGCTTTTTCTCCATTGCCCTCTCACCATCTCCACCTCTTGAGGGACGTATATAATGGTGCTGCGCCCACGCCTGCTGTCCACCCGCCCCTCCTACGCCTTCTCTGTCGCCATGAACAGTGTGACAAAGCCAGCCTCCCTGCCTCTTGCTCTGCTGTAGGTCTCTTCCACATGGGTCACAGGAGAGTGTTTCTCTGCCCAATAACCTCGTTAGCTCCCCCCTGTGACATTCATAACACAAGCGGGGCAGCCGGCCCATGGCCCTGGGCCCACAAAGGCCCGGGTGGGAGCATCTGCCAGGGAAGAGGCAGGCAAGTATCCCCGGCCCTCCCTTCCCTCTGCCATAGGCCTCAGACCGGGAAGCACACCTCACACATGCCCATCTCTGCTGTCCCACTGCTAGCAAAACCAACTCTTATTATTGGCATACGAATGAACTTCTGGAAGCCAGCAGGCATAGGGGGAACAGGTGCACCGGTTGCACAGGGAGACTCTACCTCCCTTTTTGTTTTACTAAGAAGATTTTCAGGGGAGTCCTCTTGGGGACACTGTCCAATCCCACAGAATTGGGGAGCACTATGTGCATGAACTTGACTGCCTCTCAGCAGCTCAGAGTGGCACCAAAGGAGCAGTGTGTTCCCACAGCCAGAGGAGAGACGCCGCTGGAGACGAGGACGGCGGCCGTGCTGCCCTCTGTTGCCCGCTACACAGAAGACGAGCATCTTCCTCGGGATCCCTGAGCATGCCCCACCTCTCCTCCAGGTTAGTCAAATACTGAGGCAACATCAGCCCTCCAGCTAGGTCCAGACGTGGGACTGTGGGCAAGTCACTTCCTCTTTCCAAGGGCTTGGTTTCCCATTTGTCTAATAACGGGTTGGGTGAGATAAGTGTTTTTCTAACTTCTAGCTGCAACTCATTAATGGGTCATGAAATGCATTTGTGGGTCGTGACCAGCACTTTCTGTTGTTGTTCTCCTTTAACCAAATAGAGTAGGATAGAAAGTATCAGGCTCACCGTATGTCGTTAAGAGTAAATATTGTTCGGAGAAACTTTTGTATCAGTTTGATATACTTGTACAAGTATCCTGAGTTGTGTTATAAAATGTGTTTCTTCCTACATGGCTTAGGTCAAGAGTTTAAAGATAGTAAGCAGGATAACCTCCCAGGTGCCTTACAGGTCTACTTTGCTCTTACTTGAGGATCTGGAATGGGAATGACTCCCAAGGAGAAGAACAATGAGGAGACAATAGAATGGATCACGGTGTCTACCAGCCGGCAAATTCACAAAGCAGCCCTCTCCACAGAGCGGCGCTACTTCCCCGTGGCACCAGGGCTGCCCCAGGACCACTCTCAAGGACATCCCCCTCTCTACTGGTAGGGGATACTGAACAGAGAGAAAAACAAAAAAATCAAACATCATTTCATCTGTGCACTAGCTTCCTAGCTGTAATTAGCCAACCCCCACCCTCAACTGTGGAAAGCTCCACCTACCCAATGCAGCCATTCCTGGAAACCATCAGCTTTGTCGCTATGACAGGATGGAGAAATGGTCACAATATCCACTCAGAAGAAGGAAGCGGAAAACCAAATTGCATGCATGCATGCGACGATGAAGATTACAACCATGGGTAAATACATACATATATGCCTATGGATGAACTGGAAGGATGCACGGAAAATAAAAGCTGTTCTGTTAGGTGGGAGAAACACAGATGAGTTTGTAAAATTTGTACGTAATATTATTTTAACAAATAAAAACCAGGTACAAATTTCTCAGCAGTCTGTTAAGTCTCTTGATCAAAAATGCCAACAAGCAATATGCTGGTGCAGAAGGCACGCTCAGGGGTGAGGGTGTGCCCTCGCCATCGTTAATTGCCCACCTGGAGAGGTGAGATGCTGGTGACTTCCTGAGATCCTTCCTCCTGCAGCAGAGAGAGAGGCAATGAACCGATCAGCGATCCATTCTGATCGACTCATGACAATGTGCTCCTCCCTGTTCCAGGCAGCATGGAGGACTCCCCCCAAAACGTACAATATTCAGACTTCTTAAGGCTGGGCATCAATGCATTAGATAGTAGAGGATGGTGTGCTATAATGGCTAGGTCTGTACTACTATATGGATAACTTCTGAAGAAACTTCTCAAAGAAAGGGGGCTCTTGAAGGCTGGGCGCAGTGGCTCACAGTGTAATCCTAGCACTTTGGGAGGCCGAGGTGGGCAGATGACCTGAGGTCCGAAGTTCGAGACCAGTCTGGCCAACACGGTGAAACCCTGTCTGTACTAAAAATACAAAAATTAGCCAGGCATGGTGGCACGCGCCTGTAATCCCAGCTATTCTGGAGGCTTGGGCAAGAGAATCACTTGAACCCGGGAGTTGGAGGTTGCAGTGAGCAGAGATTGTGCCATGCACTCCAGCCTGGGTGACAGAGCAAGACTGTCTCAAAAAAAAAAAAGAAAAAGAAAAGAAAAAAAAAAAGAAAGGAGGCTCTTGAGTGAAGAGGAGCATTTGAGACACTTCTCAGAAGACTCTTCAGGGAGATGGGAAGGATTTGGAGAGTAGACTCAAAAAGCTCCAAGCTGGAACGTGGAGTGCACGGAGCTTGGGCAGCCTCCACTCCTGCCCCAGTCCCCACCAGACCCAGGAGGGCCTTTCTCCAGGTTGCTGCATCTGGAGATCTGAAGAGAGCAGGAGCAGCCACACGCCTTGCCATGGGCAACAGAGGCCGTCCCAGGGCCTAGGGCTCCAGCTCCCCTCCAACCAAAGCAGACCTCTGGAGAACACAGCTCACTGGTTCAGAGTATTAGCTCTGGAATCAGAAGGAGGTGGAATCTCCATCCCACCACCTACCAAGTGTGTGAAGATGAGCAAGTTACCTGACCTCTCTGAGTTTTCATTTTCTGATCTGCAAATAATGACAACAGCAATACCCACGTTGTAGTGCTGTTCTGAGGATTCACTTAAAATAATCCTTGTAAAAGCACAGTGCCTGGTTCAAGGTAAGCAATGAATGTCAGCCAGCATCCTCCCCAACCTGCCCCTCCTCTGCTCTCACTCCTAGTACTTCCTGCAGGACTGTGGTGGGGAGTTCCGACTGGAGATGCTCTCCAGCGTCTGGAGGGATGAGGAGAAAGGCGCCCAGCATCCCTGGATTGCAGGCAGATGCAGGGAGCAGGCCAAGCAGGCCAGGAAGAATGAGGGCTCTGTGCTTCCTGGAGAATCTGTCACTATCCAGTTGTGTATGTGTCCCAGAAATGACATCATCGAGTCCCCAAAGCCTCCTGCTGCTTTGCAGAACTGGGAGAAAGTGCAGCCCCACAGGGGAATGAAAAGAACCCCATGAACACTCAGCGAATGGAAGAGAGAAGTTGGCAACTCTAACCCAGCACATTCCACAATTCATTGAGATGCAGTTCACCCGAGCCAAGGAACGATGCCCAGATAACCAGGAACACCCGACATTCCCGCCTCCCTCCTGGCAAAATGGTGGAGGCAAAGGACACACCTTAGGGGAATCCCAGCTGGACCCACAGGCGCCAGGGGCAGCTCTGCTGTGGGCTGCATGCTTGCTTATGACGGCGGTGATGATGGTGAGGTATTAATAAAAAGGAGCTTGAAATTCATCTGTTTCAAACATCTCCTTTTACAGGTGAATCAATGAAGTCTTGGGAGATGAAGTGATCTGGCTGATGTCACTCACTGTGAGTGTTGGGCCTGGGATCCGGATGAGACTTTGAGACTCTGGATGCAGAGCTCTTCGTAACTTACTGGAAGCTGACCAGCTCCTCAAAGTCACCTCCCATATACCACTCAGGAGGACAGGGCAGCCTTTCACGTCGGAAGTGGGAGAAGAGCCCCAAAGGTGGCGCTCTGGCTCAGGAATCAAAGGAATTGGGTCCCAGCCGCAGCCCCGGCACCAGCAAGCACAAAAGGCTTATCCTCCCAAGGATGCCCTGGGAGCCTCTGGGGGTCCCGCTGGGCTCCCTCACCTGGGCATGGGCCCTGAGAAGTGCTCCATTTCATCAACTTGGTATCTGCACTTCTTGGTAGGATTTTACCAAATAAAGAGTTCAGAGCTAAGTAAGTTTAAAACCACGGAATACATGGTCCTGCCCAGTACATTTAGCACCCATCATTTTGGCTATGGTGGCCGAGGTCTTGGGGTGCAGGGGTGATGGCTTTGCTTCTGTTCACCAATAGGGGGAGAGAGATACGCACTCTGACGCTGAAGAAGAAAGGGAAGGCCAGGTCAGGCTTTCCCCATCTCTCTTCTCCAACCTGCAGTCAGGTGGAAGTTCAAAGGGCCAGAACCAGAGTGTTCACAGGCCAGGGACGTCACTGGGCACGCACCTCATCTGCCACCCCCATAAGAGGACCAGCATACCCTGTCCTTGTGGGGCAGGGCTGCCATGGCAAGGGAATGCCCATGCAACTGCAAGGCCTGCTGGGAGGAGCTGGGGAGGGGGCTGGTTGGAGGGCGATGAGCAGCCTGCTACCCATTCATCTTACAGCCAGAGGGAAGAGCGATGGCAAGCACCACACTGCCTGGCTGCTTGTCCCCACAGGGCATGCTAACGACTCCCCCTCAGTCCCATGACCTCGCGGCTTCAGGGGTAGCTCAGAGACTTGCAGATGGAAAGACGGGTTTCCATTCTTCCTTCCCAGCACCCATCAAGGCGAAATCTCCCACTCTAGATCAAGGGCCAAGTCATCGAACTTCTCTGGGCCACCACTGTCTCCCTCTCACTTGGCGATGGAATCTGAGGGAACACCTGTAGGTAAAGCCAGGGAAGGGGCTAGGACAGCACAATGGGTTCTAGTCAACAATGGGGCTCTGGCCTTGGCGTGGGGAGGCCTGGGGGTGGCTACCGTGTGTGGCACAAATACCAAGGTGCAGCATCTTAGGGTGGGCTTCTAGTGAAGAAAGAGGGGATGTGGGTGCCTGGAGAGGGAGGGTGAGCACCTCCCCCTACCCGGTGCCAGGTGTAAACTCAATGCCATTGGCTCTGCTAGACTAACTGGAATCATCCACCGAGCATGGTATCACATCTCAACAATCTCCCAGTGCCAGAGTGCGAACCCAGGTCATCTCCAATGGCCTTCTTTCCTCGCTTGCAGACCTGGGTGTTCTATCAGCAGAGCGGCAACCAGGGAAGCTATGGCTCAGTTCTGCTTCCCCAGTTTTGGAAACTCCAGGAACAGGAATGCTAGGAGCTGTAGTCAGGAAGATCCCCCGCCCAACCCACCCATGCCTGCACTGCCCAGGACCTGCTGCAGAGGGATACCAGCAGCTTGCGGCCCTTGCTCTTCCAGAAGCCATTTTAGGCTGAGCAGGGAAGGAAGGAGGGCTCCTCTCCGCCTTGCCACCATCTTAATCCAGAGCCCCATAAAGCAAGACCGCCACTTCGCCACACTTACGCGGCCCCTCTATGTTCTCCTGCTCTCCCTTCCCCTTTCACACACAAATACGCTCCCCACACACTGCAGAACCACTGCCAGCTCTTTCACAACCAGCTTTTCCCATCAAATAGCTGCACGGCCTGAGGGTTGGCGGCCATCTCTCGGGACCCCCACCCTCCACCCACTGTGGACCTCCGAGACCCTGGCCGCAGGTGTTTCATCAGCTCCAGGACGGAACATCCAGGACTGCGAGAAAAGGAGGGAAGTGTGCGATTTGAGGAGCAGGTGAGGGCAACAGCTCGGGTTGGGGAATCTGCATCTCCTACCTCTGCCTCTCAGTCACTCTGTGCCCGCTACTGGCCAGAGTCCTGGGTCCTTGCCCATTCATCACACCCTGGCCCCACAATGCACAATCGCCTCTCCATGGAAGGTGTTTCCTTCAAGAAAAGCGGCCTTCGGTGTTTGTACTGTGAGGCCGACTGTTGTAAAACTCCACGCAGCCAGGATTCTATGTGACTCAGTCAGTTGCACAAACCCAAGTGCAGATGAGGGAAAGCAACTTCTTTCGATACAGGCCCCTCCTTTCCAGACCCAGGAAACTGCCGAGGACCTACCTGTGCTCTGCCCTGTCAACGCCTGAGGCTTAGTGCCTAGCACACCATTTTCATGTGGTTTGGGGGTGTCCTTTCCTAGTCCCTGACCAAAGCTAGTTCAAGGCCCCCAAAACACAGTCTTTATAACTGCCTCTGTATCCCTCTGGGCCTCTGTCCTCAGTCTCTGAATCCCAGGCTCCCTACTCTGGCCCCGGAGCTGGCAGCCAGCCCAAAGATCTGGGCAAGAAGGCCACGGGTGGGGGATGGGATCCCCGGTTTTCGAGAATGGGTCTAGACGGAATCTGGGGATCTGCCCACACCCCGGTAACTCCACCCAGCACCCCTACCCCAATCAGAGATCAGAGAGGAGGAAGGGGCAGTTAGACCCCAAAAGATCTGTTAGTCAAGAGACAGTGTTGAGCAGAGCTCTGGCTATCAACAGCTGGGCAGTGGGGGAGTTTAGGGTCGGGGGTCAGCTGTCCTTGGGCCAGAGAGAAAGAACTGGCTGACCCCTCCCCCACAGTGAATCATGATGAGAGAGGAAGGAGACAGCCGAGCCTGGGAGACAAAATGACAGGTCACTGGAGGACTGACCTCTCGGGCCCGGGCCAGACAGCAGAAGGGAAGGAAGCCAGAGTGACCACTATCCAAAAGGCAGCAGGGGTCCACAGGGGTCCTAAGAACCGCCCCCAGGGCTGCAGGAAGGATAACGGACTCTCCCACCAAGGGGCACAGGGCGCATGTGCACGCCATGAGGCCTGGCCTGCATCCAGGAGAACAGGACTACAGAAAACCAGCAAGGGGAAACCTGTGCCCTAGATGAACAGGCAGGGGGCCGGGAGGACTCCACACTCAAGCCTGCAAGTGCAGAACACACAGGTCCTGCTAGAAACACGTAAGGGCAGCCAGAAAAGGAAAGCCATCATATCCACTTTAGTCGGAACAGTTAAAATCAGGGTGAAAATCGGAGATGGTAGCATTTTCACAATTAGTGAAGGTCCAACCTACACTTCGGTTTACAAAGCACGTCCACGTGCATCACCTCTTTCTGATTTTAATTTTCCTAGCTGCTCTGAAAAGGCTGTAGGATGATGTATCAATAGGCTTGTTTTGGAGATGAAGAAGCTCGGGTTCAGAGAGGTTAAGCAGCCAATTAAAGGTCACTCACTGATATGCAGCAAAGCCTGACTTTTTGACTGTGAGCACAGGGCATATGCACTACATCGTACGTTATATAATCATCCGTTCCGTAGAACTCACCAGTAACATGTAACAACATCCTGAAAAAAGTTACCACGTGAGTCCACCTAGCGATTTAACTACTCTTGGCAAATTTGAGGTGAAGCACACCGAAAGGTCTTCCCAAGTGATCAGCTTTTTACCTAAGGTTTCTGATTGTCAAAACATGAACTCCTGACATCTCTCCCTTGGATGAGTAAGGTTCCAGGGTCTCTGCCATGGCCACTACCAAGAAAAAAAAAAACAAAAAACCAGTAGACACTGGCCAAGGCTGTTTAATAAGACAACAGCAAACCACTGCCTTTGGTTTATTAGGAAACTACAAAACAAATGGGCCAGTAGGAATGATGTATCAATTGTGGGATCCACGTGGTAGGCGGAATTGCAACGTTAAAGGCTGCGGCCAAAATCAAAACACCTCCACATGAACTGAGGGCATCAGAACCCAGCGCTCAGAAAGTAAAGCCTCACCGAAAGCCAACCAGGTTCCCTCCCGCGCCCAGTGGGGCAAACAGCTAGAGAAGCAAACAGCTAGAAGGCCATAAATGCCCTACAGTAAAAAAAAAAAAAAAAGAATTTCTTTGGTCTCCCTTACCACTAATCAAGGCAGGCAGCATATTTATCTTGACGTTGTTCCTTTAACCTGTATTTGCCCCCATCCCCCTCGAGATTTCCTCTTGGGCTTATCTCCAAGCCATCCTTTTCCTTAAAAGATTAAAGATTTGAACACAACCAGTGAGCAGTATATGTAATCTTCAAAGAGCACTTTAGCCATCATAAAGAATATTTTAACAGGCACTAATTTTTTTTGCCTTAACCACACCTGTCCTCATAAACCATTTATGAGTTTAGCAGAGAAAGCGAATATATAAAGCTCAGATAAAGAAAAAGCAACCCAGGAATGAAACTTCAGACTTTAGACTACTCAAGACCACCCCTCCTCCAAACTCCTGAACTAAAATGAAAGTTCCTACGGCCTTTTGCCTCTCCCCGGACATCTCCCAAAAGAGCTCCCCCATCTCCCTCCCCGGCTCAAGCCTCATCTTACCGGTGGCACACAGAGCAATGAAGGTCTGAGCATGCTTGCGGATCAGAGACAGCTTCTCCCGCTGCTGGGGCAGCTTGCGCAAGATGTGCTCAATGAAGTCATGAGGAGTGACAGCTGCCAGGTTCCACTTCAACTTCCCCAGCACCACCAGTTCCCACTCCTGGAGGGGAAGGCAGGAAGAGAAGAGGAGAATCTAAATTCCACAGGCTGACCTGGTGTAGGGGGCTGGGGGTTGGGCTCCAGACCAGTTTTAAGGCCGCTCATTAGGACGTGGCTGCTAGATTGTAAGGCGGGCCCATTTGTCAATGTGCCCCTGAAGCTTTGAAGTTGTTGACAGCTCTTCTTATGCTTCAAATGTCAGGCTCCACTGAAAATAATGAGAGCCCAGGTAGCTGTTGCCAAGATTCTATTTTCTTCTACTTCGTTTCCACTCCAGCTCCCCTTACCCCCTCCCAACCCTGACTTGCAGGCAATACTGCTTCCCGCCCACCCAGAAAGCTGAACCTACAATGAGATACGGCCAAGGTCATTGTGGCCCTTTCATGGTAATTTATTGTATATGTCTCTATCACCGAATTAATAGTCTTTTTAATCTTCATGGAAAAATGATGCACACAGATAAAGCTCAAAATAAGGTTCCTTGGCCCAACTCCTTGGCAACCAATTAGCTTGCTTTTACTTAGTGCCAAAAAGTGCCTTTATCTCTCTGCTGCTCAAACTCCCCTTTTACATATCAGGCAGAAATTCTGGGGATGTGACACTCAGCCCTTTCCCCTAAATGTTTCACAGGCCATTGTCATCATGACTAAAGGACCACATGGTCATTAGCAACCTCATTTTGCAGATGGAGGTGATCTGGGGCAAGGTGAGGGTGCCTGCTCAGTGTCACAGCATCCCTCAGTGCAAGTGTGGGGACCACACAACCCTGTCTCTTGGGTCTCTCACCAGCAACCCACCTGAAAAAGAACCTTGTTTCCCTCTTTCACTGAGATACTTACGGGAAACTGTGCTCAAAGGGAAACGGTCCAAAATAAAACATTAAAAATATCGTATGTGCTACCAGAAAATATGCCTATCCACTGAGCTGTCATCAGAAGAATGAGAGGCAGGGCCTGTTTGCCAATGCACCCTCTCTCCCATTCACCTGGAGAACCTGGAATCTCTTTCATTTGCTAAACCAGCAACCAGAGCACCAGTCCCACAGCTGTGGGGCTGGGGGTGATTCCCTTTCCCTCCCAGGCCTCAGCCTTCTCATTTGTAAAATAGGACTCTTCCAAATCCCAACTTCTGGGATAAAGGGAATAGGAAAAAGCCAAGTTTGTTTGTAGCAATATATTGCTTGGCTAGTCCTGGAAAGATTTGGGTGTCCTGAAGAACATCTCAATTCACCATCCTCTCGAAACAAATGAACCATATGAAGATGATTTTTCCTGCTCTCTCATGAGAAAAACAAATTGGTTCCCAATTCTAACAATGTTTTCTTCATAAGCTTTAAAATCTGCCTTGGCTTTCTGTGTACAGCCGGGGTAAAGCACCCCAATAAACTACTAAACCACCATCATCTTCAAAGATGGCTTGAAATGCCAGCCCTTCCTCTTCACAGGGTAATGCGAGTACGAACCACTGGTCTTGCACCGTTATTAAAGGAAGCAGATCTCCCAGAAGAAAGCACCTTTCTAGGCCTCTCGGACCAAACCAGAAGCAGCTAAAACCTGGCAGCGGTTCAAAGGTGAAGTCATTCAGGCCCCTCTCCACATTCTCGGCAATTCCTCCCCCAACCTTGTGCATGTCTTCCACTAGATGGCAGCAGAGCCCCAGAAAGGAAGGCTCCTCACAAAGAGCTCAGTTCAAGAAGCCAGCCTCAGCCCTGTGGACTTTGTGCGGGCCCTACCAGTGAGGAGGGGGAGGGGCGGGAAGGAGGGGGTGCTTTTCTGAACAGTGCAAAGAGGGGTGTGCAAACCACCGAAGGTGGGCCTTGGAGCCGCTATTCCATGCGGTACAGCTGCAATATGGTCGTCTTATATGTCAAGCTGCAGGGAAAAGGAGTTAGATCAGGTGGGAAAAAGGTTCCCTGGTAGAAAAGCAGAGATAAGACAGGATCCCTGGGGTTGTACAGAGGTCACAGTCCCACTGGAGGTAGGAACCCAGGCCTCGGACTCCTTCAGTGAAAGGCCACATTTTGACTTTGCTCAAAAGTCAATGAACTGATATTTAGTGAACAGCTATTATGTGTTGGTATCTTGAGACTTTGTAGATATAGAGGGCATTACCTTTGAACTCCAAGTTTTTAGGAGACACCACAGCCACATACCTATCATGTGAACACGTTCTCAGACTATTTTTGGAAATTTGGAATTTAATTAAAATATTATCACTGTTAATTAAAATATTCCATGCGTCCCCTACACACATGCATACACAATTGCAAATGAGTCTCACCAACCCAAATCTCCATGAGGATCTTATTCACAGATGTAGCCTCAGTGCTGGGCACGGAGCCTGGGCACATAGTAGGAACACACAAAAAATAAACAGTGGTTTCCTATTAAATGAGCTATCGCCCATAAGTGGGTAAATTCTATTGGTGGGGTCATTCTGGATCCCAAGAATTTGCTCTGGCAGTGGTGATAGAAGGCATATTGTTGGCCAGGGGAAAGCGGGAATCGCAGAAAGGAAGGGAGGAAGGGGCCGGTCATTACCAGCAGCTCCTGAGGCTTGATGGAGTTGTCGGTGTAAATGCACAGCTTCTCCGCGGTCAGCGGGCTGGTCTCTTTGAGTTTGGAGGCCAGGAACATGCAGACAGCACCCAGGAGTTGCAGATGGGACTTCGGAGTCGGGACCCCAGCCAAGAAACGGTCCAGGTAATTCATGGCCAGAGGGAAGACCTCTTCTTCGCACTTCTGTTCCTCACAGACCTATAATGGGAGTGGGAAAGGGTTGGGGGGCGGGGGTGGAGAGCATAGCATCAGCAAAAGAGAAAAAGAATAAAAAAGCGTAATCTATCGAAACAAAAAAAATTAATTTTTTTTTGTGGGAGGGGGAGGGGACCAGAATGCGTGATAAGAATAAAGAACAAAGATGAGGAAACTGGAGTGAATCAGAATAGCCCATCAGTGCTTTGGTATTCCCAGGGATCCTATAAAAGGGGGTGAACTACAGCTCCAAAACGGGGAGTCGGAGAAGTGCGCAGCAGCCGCGGCAGCTCCGCGACGCTCCCTTTGGCTACTCCTTCGCGCACTCTAACTCACTCACTCTTTTTTGGATTTCGTCATCTTTTCAAAAAATCAATAAAAATATTCTGGAGGCTCCGGGGGTCCACTTCTTGGTCTCATCCGGATCCCCAGATCCTCCTCTATCATTCCCGACAATTGGAAAAAATGTCTGGGGGGGTCCCTGCGGCCCAGGGGCCGCTTTTGGGGGGGCGGGTGAGGAGAGGTGGGGAAGAGAGGGGGAGGGAGGAGAGGAGGAAGAGCGCCGCAGCCTCGGCAGCTGGAGTCGGAGCAGGGGGGGATGGTTTCAAAAAATAATTAAAAATCGAGGAAATATCCTAGAAAAGCCCTTTTGGCGTGAAAACCCCAAAGAAGAGCCAGGCTTCCCGAAACAGAGGTTTCGGGTGCCAGAAAGGTCTGTATTCCGACCCCTGGGGCTTTGGATCCCGGGAGGAAACTTGAAGGGGTGAGCGCCGCGGCGGGAGTGTCCGGCTGCGGCCCACAAGGACAGAAACTAGGGAACGCGGTGACGAGCGAGGGGAAAGACGGGAGCAGAGAGCCCTGGAAAGAGGCACGGGGGGCTCCCACCTCTCCTTCAGGGGTGACCCGGTATCCCCCCTACACACACCCCCTCCCCCCCTTCCTACCCCACCCAAATCTCCGCACCGAGGAAGCTGGAAAACCAAACTGTAAGTAATCTTCGTGAGGTGGGGGGTGGGGGAGAGGGCACGATTAGAAGTGGGGTGGCCGGGATAATGGGGTGCGAGGGTAAGCGGGCGACGTTTCCCAGCCTTTCCAAAGGGAGTTTGCAAAGCAACATGGCGAAACCACGGCAGGTCCAGAGCTGTGCATACGTGGGCACACGGCTCGCTGGGCAAAGACTTGGAGTGAGGGGCAAGAAGCGGTTCTTTTGGGTTCCCCTGAAACACGCGTTTCTTCAATGGGACTTCCGGGGCTCCCGAATTCCCCGTTTCTCTCCTTCTCCCTCCTCCCTCCACCTCCCCGGTGAAGTGCCAGCGCGGAGTCGCGACCACAGGCGGGGACCTGAGGCCAAGACGAATTTGCTCTGGCCTTTTGGGGGGGGTTGCCTTTCTACTCGGGGTCCCGATTTCAGGCCCCGACTCTCTTCCTGGCCGCAGCGCAAGCAGCCGCGGCGGCTTCGCAAAAGACAGGTCGCGAGGGGGGTGGGAAGAAGAGGCAGCCACATGCAGGAACACGCGCGCGGGATGCTCCCCTACCCCCGCCCAGGACAGCCTCGCTTCTCCCAGATTTTCCTCCCCCCTCTGCCTCCCCAGTTTATCTGGAGAGGAACAGAAATAAAGCCACGCGTCTCGCCAGAAGGCGCGCGGTAAACTCCCGCACAGGAGCCGGGAGGCCGGCGCGGGGATTGCCCTCTCCCAGGTTTAGGGCTCCGGCCGGGGACCCGAGCATCCGGAGGGGTCCTGGCTCCTGGCGAGCGCCACCCCCCGACCTACCTCCAGCATCCAGGTGGCCACCATTCTGCGCATGTAGGGTTGGATGTCCTTCTGCACGCACTTGAAGTAGGAGCACTGCGGAAGGTAGCGCTCCTCGATGGTGAGCAGGTTCTGCAGGACGCGGTCGTCTCGGAGCAGGTTGCGGTCCCGCACGGCCCTGCGGACCGGGTCCACCTCGTGGCACAGCAGCTCCATGGCCAGCCCGGCGGCCCCTCTCCCTCCTGCTTTCCCCGGCCTGGAAAAAGGTTTTTCTGTTTTTGTTTTTTGGAAGGGGAGGGGAGAGCGTTCCCCTGACCTCCTTCCTTTGGCTAAATAGGGGGTTTTCGGGGGAGAGGTGAGGGCAGAGAGAGAAGGTGGAGCAGAAGGGAGGCGAGGATTGGGTGGTGGGCGAGCAGAGCCTCGGGGCTGCCTCACTCGCACCGGTCCTCCCCTTAAAACTGGTCTCGCTCTCCCCTGCTCGCTCTTCTCCGCTCTGAAGCGGTGACGCAAGCTGGCTGGGCAGTTAGCTCTCCTCCCTCTCCCCGCGCTCCCCGCTCTGGTTCCTCCTCCCCTTTCCTCCCCTCCCGGTCCTCCCCTCCTCCTTTCAATCTCTCCCTCCCTCCCTCCTTTTCCCCTCTCGTTATTAAGGAGAACAGCAGCTGGCCCGACCCAACTTCAAACGCGGTCCCCCGCCACCCCCCACCCCTCTCCCTCCATCCAGCCCTGCATGCCAGGGGCCCCGGACAGGGCAACCCACAAAAAACTACCGACTCCTATTTCTGCCCTCTAATTTCACTCATTCTGTAGGTGTAGCACGCCAAAATACGACCCTCCAACTTTGGCTTCTTCAAAACGGATCCTAATCCTCCTGCCCTTGTATTTAAGATCCAGGAATGTAGGGTAGATTATCTGAAGATGGGGTGACCTCAGACAATTTAGAAATAGGTCCCTTAAGTGAAAAATAAGGGAGGGGGTGATTTTAGAAAATAGCAACCTCGCATACCCAGAGATAAAGGTCATGTCCCTGAAGTCTGTGTTCCTGATAACTTCGAAGCTGTTTCGAAAGCCCCGATTAAAGGGACCAGAACAACGTCCCTTCTGCCCCCCCCTGCAGAGTGTGTGCAGAGGAAGAAGAGGGAGGGAGAGGTGGGTATTAGGAAGGAAGGGGGGTGCTTCTCTGGAGGGATAGAATGTGATCCTCGAGCAGAAACCATCGTGTTTCTGGGGGCTCTTCGGGCGCCGTGGGGCGACGCGGTGCAGCGTCTAGGGCCGCCGCAGGCCGGGGGCAGGGCTCCCAGCGGTTCCCCCGCGGCCAGCGGCCACGCAGGAAAAACCCGCTTCCTCGCCCCTGCATCTGCTGACAAGCCGCCCGAGGTGTCTGCGCTGAGCGTGGCCACACCGATGCAGCTTTCTAGGAAATGGCCCGGGAGGGGGAGGGGGCGAGTGAGGGATTAGGTCCGGCTCCCCCTCGCTCCCCCTGCGCAAACACCACCACCCCTTCCTTTCCCCGGAGGCATGAGGCCTCCACGCTCGGTCCTTCGCCCGCATCCTCGCCGACCCCTCCGGTTTCGCGCCTCACTCGCCAGGCTTTCTCCCTGGGAGCCGACTGCGGTGAAGTCGCCGCCAGCACGGTCGGCCCTGACACGTGCTCTAACGCATGCTTGAGTCAAGGCTGTCTTTACAGGAGATACGATCTGGTGGCGTTTCTTCACCTCCTTCCTCCCGTCACCCCCCACCCCCACCGCGCCCTTTGGTGTATTTCACTCCAGGAGGAAGGGGAGAGACCAGCGCCCTGATGTGCTGGCCAAGCTGGCACGTGCAGCGGGCATGGCGTGGCTCGAGCTCTCTGGGCACACCGAGGCCGACTGAGTGCCTCCCTCACCGAGAGAGGGGGCCCGGGCAGGGGCGCGGAGAGCCAGCAAGGCGGGGTGGGGCGCGGGCTGGGTGAGCCGTACACTAGGTTCCCTGCAAGGCGGAGGAGGGGAGCGAATAAACTAGAGGTGCAAGCGATTAACTCAGGCCCCGGAGCCAGCCTCTTTAAACGAGGGTGGGGCGGAAGGGGTGGTGGGGGGGAAAGGAGGGGATATCGCTTTAAAAGGGTGAGGAAGAGTTTGGGGCGCCGTCTCCCCTCCCTCTATTTGCATAGCCAATAGCTCTGGGGCTCCTGCTACTGCGCGCTGATTGTTACCGGGCAGATTACTTTTTTTTTTTTTTTTTTTTTTTTTTTTTAGTAGGACGCGTTCCCCACTACATCAAAAGGAAGCCAAGGGAGGGCGGAGGGAGAGCGGGCGCTGGGGCGGGCGAAAGCTGGGGAGAGGCCCGGCCGCCTCCGACCTTATCAATAGCAGCGGGAATGAGTATCCCATCTCCTATATGTAAAGAAAGGGGAGGGAAGGGGCGGGCGAGGAAAATGTCTAATTGCTGTGGAAGCCATTAGCTTTCAGGAAGAAAAAAAGCTCGCTGAAAAACCCAAGTTGCAAACTCAAAATGAAACAGTCCAGCGCCGCGGATGACACCCGGGCCGAATACCGTGTACACCCGCACACAGTCGGCCCCGAACAATCACCTATTGGTTTTAGTCACGTTGGGCTTCCCGACTTAAGCTTTTGAGTCACCCCGGATAAGGACATTCACTTACATTTTAAGACCCCCATAAGGGAATTACTCCAATTTCACCTAAGCCACCTTTGAGCGGATCAAAGAAAGTTGCAGCGGGGAGAGGCGAGAGAAGGAGGGAGGGCGGGAGGTATTTTTAAAGTATAAATCTAACCCGACAGGCAAGGGACAGAGGCCGCCGGGGCTCCCAGCCTCTGGACATCACTTGATATAGCTCTGCGAGCAAGGTCTCTTCCACCCCGACTCCGCACACCCCCCCTTCTCCGGGGAAAGGCATCCAGAGCTCTGGGTCTCCCGAAGTGGGGGCAGCGGGGGCGAGGAAGAAGCGGGTGGTCGTCCCGGGGCCCAGCCCACCCCGAGGAGAATGCCTGGGTGGCGAGTCCTCACGTCTCGGGAGTGAGCCGAGGGCCCTCTCGCCCCTTCCCTCTCCCCCTCCCCCTACTCCGTCTTGCTTTACAGAGAAATTCCAGCGGGGAGGGGGGCAGCGAATGGGAGGGGCAGAGAGGGTCGCGGCCGGATGCCCCCCCTTCCCGGCGCCCTCTGCATTCATGGAGACCCGCAAGTTCGGGCGCTTCCCGCGTGGCAGGCTCGCCTCTTGAAGTTCCCCTGTCCACTTCCCCTTCCGATTACTGACTGTTCCCGAGCGTGAAGCTCGCCATCGAATCCAATCCCCGGTGGTTTTGCAGACTCTCACACGTGGGGTGGGGCGTGAGAGGGTGCGGAGGTTGGCAGGAATGTCTCTAGGAGGCTTGGACTGGAAACTGAGTTTTCCCTTTTGGTCGCCACTCCAGCCATGTGTTAAAACCCTAATGTCTTGTTAAAATGCACTCCACCTAGCACGCGGGAAAACGCATGTTGCCTTCTAGGCAAAAGTGCACACTTTCTTTCAGTGTAGACTTCGGTTTCAAGAAAAAGCGCAAGAGCCTGTGCTCTGGCTTTGAAGTCCAAACTGATCACCGTGGCGCGGGGGTGGGGGGCGGCGGGAGGGGGTAGATTGTTGGTTCTTCCTTATCTCCTTTTCACCCTTCACGGAAAAAAAAATACATATATATATATCCCATGTAGGACTGGTGATAAACTTTAGCGAACGCCAGTTTTATTGGACTTTTATTCTTTTTCCGGCCGGCTCCCCACCCTCTACGCTAGCGTTTTGGAGTTTCGGTTGGAAAGTGTACAAAGCCTGGAGGTGGAGGGTGCAGCAGGGTGTTGGGTGTTTATAGGCACTTTTCTGCAGGAGCCTGCAGCACTAAGCACACATACTCCCAAGCTTACCTGGAGGATGCCTCCCAGCCAGGTGATTCCGCGGTCGGCTCAAGGCCCGGGAGCAGCGCGAGTTCGAGTCCCGCCTTCTCCGCGCAGGGGCGCCTAGGCCAGGTGGGGAGCGGGTAGTGACTGAGTTCAGGCTCAGAAATGGGAGCCACTGCCTTCCCCTCGGCTCCCCCAAAGAGTGGAGCTGTGTTTGTGTTTCTCCGTGGAGGGATGGACGGTCAATCAAAACCGAAAACCCGACTGGCAAAATGCGAGGGGACACATAAATCCGAGGGGACACATAGGAGGCACATCAAGAGGAAGGAGGGAGTGCAGGCAAAGTAGAAAAATGCGGACAAGGAGAAGAGGAAAACGTCGGGAAGCGGAGAGCACGGGGGAGCAGGGTGGGTGGGGACGGGCAGTGCGATTGCAGGTGTTCACTCGCTTCCGGGACCCTCTGGTCGCAGCCGCGCCCGCCGGGGCGCTGGGCCGCTGCGTTCTGGAGGGGGGCAGAGTCCGCCAGGCCTGTGCATCCGCACTCCCTTCGGCGAATTTCGGCTTGGACGGGGCTGGATTACTGAGGCGGCAGATGCGACAGGCGTGAGTTAAGAAGGCGAGCGCCTGCCGTCTGTCACCCACCTAGCATCTCACTCCCCTCCCTTCGGAAAAAAAAAAAATTAAAAGACCCGAACTTCCCCCTCTTCCTGTCTGATTCAGCTTAGGACACGCCTCACGCGGCCGAAAATAGCTCTGGAAATACATTTGCTTTACAAAAGTGAATTTTCCAATAAGCTTTGGGGCGGGGGGCGTCCGGCGGTCGGCGTCGGGGGGTCCTGCCTCCCGGGAGGAGAAGGAACCGGCCGCCTCCGCCCTTCTCCCCCTCCAGGCGCCCCCGGGAGGGGGCCGCTGGGCGGCGGAATCGCGCCTCCGCTCGGGGAGCCACCACGCGGCTTTTTCGCGGAATTTTGACGTCATCCACACGTGGGGGAAGGGGCTGGGAGAGCAAGAGGAAGCGGCGGGGGAGGGGGCCGCGGCTGGGAGAGCGCGGCGGCGGCGCGGCGGGTCTGGCACCCTCGCGGTGGGCGCAGCGCCGGGCAGGGTCCGGGCCCTGGGCAGCGCGGCAGAGGAGGCCGTGCCGCGGACCCCGGAGCCAGCGCCGCGACCCGCCTCCCTCCCCGCCCCCCGCCCCTCGCCATCTTCCACCCCCAAGCAGTTTATTTTTTCTACTTTGAAATCGGGGCCGCTCTTTGCTCCGGAAAAAGCTCATTTCTTTAGGTTATGGTCCTGTTCCGCTGGGTACTGAGATCAGACTGAAATCCCGATCACTGGTCGCGACCCCCGCCACTTGACTTTCTATCCTCTCTCCACTTGAGAGTCGTGAATGTCTTTTTCGGTTCCTCGGGGAGTGAGTTCTGCATTGACTTTTACACCCGGAGTTTTTCATGCGCGACATATTCCTCCCTGCTCCCCCGCCCCATTCACCATCTCAGTATCAGCTGGGTTGGTTAATACGATGGCTATTACATGTAAGATAACCCGTGCATGCATTGTGAGCGATATCGGATGAATTTTGCTGCATTTGGAACAAATGGATCTAGAAATACCCTTTCAAAACAGTTTTACAAATCGATGTGAAAACATGTAGGGCGACTCCCTTCCCACTCGCTGGATACCCTCGTGGCATCCGTGCTCATGCAGAATCTTCTAAACTGCAAGGGCTGAAAACTGCAGCTGCAGAGTGAGCCCACGCACCTTCATTTCCCCTAAATTTGGGCAAAGTCCTTTTAATCTTTCAATCTGGGGGGTTATAGCTGAAATGTGTCATTATTTTCTAAACCCACGGTGACAGTTCTGAGTTTATGCTGAAATTTACAAGGAGCTTCAGTGGGGATGTTTGGGAGAGAAATACTGTGAACTGACTTTTACCTCTTTGAGGTAAAGGGGCTGTTGTAGGAATCAGATGCAGAAAGCTAGGGGTGTCTGAAAATGTGGATTTGAAGTGGAATTATTTGTTTCAAAAGTAGGAGAGAAGCTTTCTGTCTGAATCAGATATTAAGTGTGGAAATGTTTCTTTTTTAAGGTGACACAGTTTGGTTATGAACAGTACTTTTTCCTTCTTTTTAACACATTCCCTCTATTTTTAACTTATTATTTATTTCTTTTTCGTTTTATGATTGCTGGTCTGACCCAAGAGACTTGGTTTTGTTTCTTCTGGGGGAAAAAATGAGCTATAATTAATAAAAATGTCAGTAATTACTGTCATGATTAGCCTGAGTGAACTGTATTTAAGAGTGCTTGCTTTTTGGTGCCTGATTTGATGGACACTTGGTTTGTCTGCATAAAGGTAGAAAAAATAGGATAAATTATTAAAAGAAAAGGAAGGAGCCAAAGGAAGTGTTTAAAAAACTAAAAAAGCAAAATGTCCTTTAAATTTAGCTTCACCTTCATTTCAGACAGTTAAGTAGTGGAGGTTAAGTTAAGCACTTTAGAGATGTAAATTCTTTGTAAAATGTCAAGACTATCCTCACCAGAATTTTTTTTTGAACAATAGTCAATTTTATTTGTTTTCTAAGCACTTTAATTTTGTCCAAATTCAAACATTCATTCCCCTTAAAAATGTCCACTTTCCCAATGTGATTAAATATTCTTTCGATTTCATGGTTTTATTCAGCTGTGTATCAGTTGCAGCCAATTGAAGCAATATAAAGTATTTCTAATAAATATTTCATATTTTAATTTTCAATCTTTAAACTTAAGAATTACTAGCATCTATTAGTACAGTTTATAACATAATTCCATAACATGCTAAATTCATATTTACCAAACTTAAAAAAACAAATTAATAAAAAAAACAGAGAAATAGTTCTCTTCTTGAGGCTTTTTTTGGTTTGTTTTCCTTGTGGCAAATTTCAGGAGGCAGATTTAAAATTTTTCTAAAATCATTTTCTTGTTGTTCTTTTGTTGGCATTAAAAGGAATGAGTTCTGAAATGTGAAACAGGTTGACTGTAAAGTTTTATAATCTTCAAAATGTGTACCTCTGGAGAGATATGTTCTATTTTAGAATTGACCTGAAAATAGGTAGTTCGTGTAAGTGTGCTAGACAATCCAAGCCAGTTGGATGTAGATGCCTATAAGGAATGCATTTCCTCTTTACTCAGCCTTAAATAAGGGCATCTGCTCTTACAAGAACTTGAAACAAAGTCTGCACCTATGCATGATGCAAACAACTCAAAAAGCACAAATCCAGAGCAAAGGGGGTTTATGTGGAAGGTGCAATTAGAGCAAAAAAAATCCAAATTTATTTCTGCTCTTAGCTATCTCAAATCATACTTTCGTTGTGGTCTCATCAGTTGTAAACCAAATAATTATTTCTTTGTGATGTATAAAGGTGAGTTCCTTCAAGCTTCATTGGTAATAATAGTAATTATGATGATGATAATAATAAAAATTATCTTCCTTATTCTTTCGGTGAGTGTGTGTGGGGGGATGTTCACTTTATTTCTTTAAACATTGTCATCAAATTGTAAAAAAAAAAAGTATGGATGCCAAAGTTAGGTTATTGTTCTGAGAAATAACACAAAAAACATTTAATTTTGTGCTTTTGAAAATAAAAAGTCACCAACATTTAATATACCTATTGCCTAGGGGAAGCAAAAAAAAAAAGACAGGATTAAAAAGGAAAAGAAAATTTCTTTGCATAATTTCCAAAGCCTTTCCTTCATCGTGCCCACATATGTTTCCATTTTTGAGAGCAGCCAGTCAGTCCATCAGGCAAATGCAAACCCAGGACCCAAACTCTTTCCTGGTGTCAAGGAAGATATTCTGAAGCAAATGGTTTGGGTTAGTTTACATAAGGTTTCAGATGAAATGTCTCACATCTGGCATCCCATGGCCACCAATTATTTCAGGATCGTGAACCATTATTTTAAAAAAATATTTTGAGAGAGGCGAGCCTAGATCATGGATTAGGGCTGTGCAGGCCGTTTTGTGTGGGGGTCTCACTGAAATCATTTAAACTCAGGAAATTTAGTTGTATCAAGTAGCAGCACATCATCCCCATTGTGTAGTTCCAGTAAACTAGTGACTTGCAACCTTTTCTACCCCCCTACTTTCTTCTGAATATATATTCTTCTAATGTTTCTCTTTTTAAATAAAATGGCATATTTAATTTAAAATTTCCCTAACAAAATATTGAATAAGGCTCAAATTTACTTGCTTTTGTACAAGAAAACTTCATATAATCACTCTTTGTAGTGTAATTACCAGCAATTTTATGTCATCTAGCAAATGATTTAAGTAAGTCGGTAATGGAACGCCAGTGAAATTTGCTACACTTGGGATGAAAACCATACTTACCTCAAGAAATCAAAGTCTGACCTTCCATTCAGACACTTAAGACTTTACCAAGGCAGACTGTATGTTTCATTTAGTGGAAACCTTTCCCATTCAGGAAAGCATCATTCTCAACCATAGATTAGATGCAGTCTTGCTTGGAGCCAGGGGAATGGACTGCAGGACCTCATGCCATTTTGGCCAGTCACAGAATACGCCTTCTGTGTCTGGAAGTTTGCGACTGAAACTCTATATAGTATTCATTAAGGTTATTCATGCTGAGAGATCACATATGTGTTAAACTGATAACATCACAGGTCTGTGCAGAGATACATCAGAACATGTCAGGGGTATGATTCCAATCTGTAAGGTAGAATTTAAGTGGTTTTAATGGAAGAGTTAAATATGCTGAGATTTTTGTGCTTTGGAGAATGCCTTTGGGTTTTGCAATTTATCCATTCATTTATTTGATTAAAATTGAGTCCTTACCACATACCAAACACTATGCTAGGCATTGGGGATATCGTGGACATAGACAATGTTTTGGAAGGTAGACAGGAAGGAGAGTTGAATCACACAGTCCGCGTCCCTGGGAAGCACATTGTCTAGTGATGAAGCATAGGAAATAATACCCCGGATAAGTACATGTTCTTAAAAAATAATAAAATCATAGAACAAAAGGCATAGGAAGATATGCTATTTTATCCACCTTCCACAACATACCTTAAACCAGGGAGGTGGAAATTTATCTTTTCTTTAAAACTCAGTCTAGTCAAGTAACTGTTACTTGGATTGCATAGTGATTTTAAGAATTATGTTCCTAAATTATGTTCTTAATTTGTTTATATTCTATGGGAACGAGTTGGTTGGATGTCTGATTCACATATCACATATATGGGACTCAGTCCCTTTAAAGTAGCCAAAGATAGAGCCGTTTCCTTGGTCCATCATACTGAGAGCGTTCCTTTCTTTGAGTAGCTGTATTTCCCACAGCATCTGTTTCTCGTCTGAACGAGCCCTCCCTGTATCTGACAGGGCATTGATTAGTGTTTCACTCCTTTGGCTAGGGAATTTGAGGTCACAATAGCTCATTTTCTTGTCCTGGGACACCCAGACATTAAGAGCAGAATATAGACCTCTGATTATTAGCTTGACTGTCTCCTAGAATTGATGCAGAAAATCCTGTCCTTTTTATTAGCATCATGTTGGTGAAACAGCTCTAGCCTAGAAGTCAGAATACAGCCATCCCTCAGTGTCTGTGGGGATATTGGTTCAAAGACTCCCACCCCACCACCAAAATCCAGGATGTAAAAATCCGATATAAAATGGTGTAATATTTGCATATAGCCTATACACTTCTCCCATACACTTTAAATTATCGCTAGATTACTTACAGTACCTAATATAAAGTAAATGCTTTGGAAGCGGTTATGCTGTGTTTTTATTTGTATTACTTCTCATTGTTGCATTTGTTATTTTTTTACTGTGTTTTTTTCTCTGAATATTTTTGATCCGTGGTTGGGTGTATCTGTGGATACGGAACCCATGCATAGAGAGGGCCGACTGTACCCTCTTTCTTGCTTCTACTCTGCACTAACCAGCACTGTGACCTTGGGGATAGATTATGTGTTTCCAAGATTGAGTTTCCTCAGCTACAAAATTAACTGGCTGTAGTAAATGATCGTTAAGTTCCCTTTCAGCTCAAAATCTATAAAATTCCAGTGACTTTATTATCATCATCAAAATCGGAATCAATTTATTATATACTTTATGTTTTAAACAAGGATTCTTAAATTGTGGGTTTAGGTATGCTCTCACTTCCCAGGTATCTGGGAGAATTAATCTATCAAGAGTTGGAACTTTTAACATTTAGTTCCTCATATAGATGGGCACTTGGTACATGTCGGCTGAGGAAAAATGCTGTTTTCCTTGTCCTAAGGAACAGAACTGCCTAAGTTAATAGAATAGCGGTCTTCAAAAATATAGAGAGCATAAGAATATATGGACTATAACACTGCTCCAGGGTGCTTAAGGAAATCTTAGCAGGTTAGTTTAACCTAAAGCTTAAACTAACCTAAAGCTTATTCCTACAATTCAAACAGAGCCCCCATCAGAGCGCATATAGACACGGTTTGGAATGGACCCTAACTTGCAGATCCTTCTTTAGGTGACAGTCCATGGACCTGGTGAGCCTCTTTAAACAAAGCTCGTTCTGAGCTACCCAGAACCATGGAGCATCAGCTTGCTCCTTTAGTGAAAAGGGAATTAAGCAAATTTTGCGGAGTTGCAATCTTTGGACAAGACATCCCCTTTTGTTTCCTGGCAAGTCTTGATAACCAGAAACAAGCAAGGAAAGATTTCTGCTGTATCCCACTTTTCTCCCTCACTTTTCATTGCTTTGAACATGGGAGAAACATCATCTATTGAGATTACATGCACTCCAGTAAAGTCCACTTACATGCAAATTATTTGCTTTACAGAATGATATGTTTGTAGACACGTTTCCTTTTTAAGGTGTGGCTCCTACAAAAGAGAAATTCATAGTAATTAATGAATAATTATATCTGAGATGGTTTTTAAACAATGTGCTAGATAATTTGTAAAATGTATGGTATATGGCATGGAGAGAGTGCTAGATAATTTGTAAAATGTATGGTATATGGCATGGAGAGAGTGCTGGATTTGGGGTTAGGAGAGATGTATTCTAGTCCTCATTCTGCCACAAGCTGTGTAACTTGGGGCAAGACTTAAACAAGATCACAGCAACTTATGATTATAAGGAAACTTCATAGGTCTCCGAGGTCATACTCCCATCTATCATGGCAGTACCTATTCAGTTAAATGATTTACTAAAGGTCACACAGCTAGTTAGGGGCCCAAACATCCTACCTCCTGGCAATTTTTACCCTTAAGTGCTGTCTCCAGCCACTGAAACGAGGCAGAACAAGCCATCTCCCTCATTTATACTGACAGCTGCTCAGATATTTGAAAGCGCCATCTCTTCATCTTCTGTCCCTTAGACTGAATTACCCTTTCTCTTTAGCTGTTCAGCTGGACATTAGACCACCAGCAGGCTGCCCTCCTCTGGATCCTGACTAGTTCACTGGTATCCATCTTAAAGTGTTGTGTCCTTCTTAATGTGTGGCTAATGAGAGAGAGCAATTTGGAGCAACTTCAGAAACCTCGGACCATCAAGGCAGTTACAGAAGAATACAATAGGGCGTGACTGCCATCTTTGCATTCTCCACCCCAGGCTCCTGGAACAAGCCTCCTCCAGTACCACTGGGGATACTGGTCTAGAGAGGAAAGATAAAATAGTTATCTCTTCTTCTGGAAGCTGATCTCATTAATGAAACCCCAGGTTGCACTCCATTTTCTCATCTGTAAATCAGGTGAACTAAATGAGGGATCATTTTACCTCATCTGTATTCTGTGGCCCCAAAGAATAAAACTAGTGTCACTGATTAAACATTAGAAGACAAATTTCTGGGCCCAGCGTGGGGGCTCACACCTGCAATCCCAGCACTTTGGGAGGCCGAGGGGAACAAATCACTTGAGGTCAGGAGTTTGAGACTAGCCTGGCCAACATGGTGAAACCCCGTCTCTACTAAAAAAACAAAAATTAGTTGGGTGTGGCGGCGCAGCCTGTAGTCCCAGCTGCGTGGGAGGCTGAGGCAGGAGAATCACTTGAACTGGGAGGTGAAGGTTGCAGTGAGCTGAGAACACGCCACTGCACTCCAGCCTGGGCAACAGAGCGAGACTGCGTCTCAAAAGAAAAGACAGATTTCTGTTTGTATAATGAGCTTCCTCTGCAAGTCATCCCTGCACAGTGGGGTTGACTTCAGGAATCAGGTAAAGTGCCTATGGCAACTCATTAGGATGTTATGAGGGGACCGAATAGTCATTTATTTGCTCTTAGCCTTGGTTTCCTCATCTGTAAAACTGGAATAATAATACCTACCAAGCAGGGTGATTGTAATGAGTAAATGTTTATAGTATGTTTAATACAGTGCCCTGGCATAGTAAGCACTGAAACAAAGCTAAGTGGGTTTTTTAAACTTTAAAGTAATTAAAGTCTATTGTGTTGTGTTCTTTCAGAACCAATTTACCTCTAGGAGTGTGTGGAATTATTAATGTATGTCATATACTGTGTGAAGCTATGGGACTTTCTGTACCAGATCTCAGCTCTGGGGGGTTTTTACTTTTTCACTTCACCATGGATCAGTCACTCAATGACTGTGGCCAACATGCTGTAATCTCAAACCAGTCTATTCTGAACTCCAGATTACTACATGCTCACTGACATGTACTAAGAGGTAACCTTCCAACTTGAGTAGAAGGCACAGGAAAAACTCATCCACAGAATCCCAGAAGTGCAAAGAACCTTAGGCATCCAATCCAATGTTTCCCAAAATGAGGAAGGATATATTAGTTCATTTTTGCACTGCTATAAAGACATATCCGAGACTAGGTAATTTATAAAGAAAAGAGGTTTAATTGACTCAGTTCCATGTGGCTGAGGGGGCCTCAGGAAACTTAGAATCATGGTGGAAGGCAAAGAGGAATCAAGGACCTTCTTCCCATGGCAGCAGGAGAGAGAAGTGCAAGCAAGGGAAATGCCAGACACTTATAAAACCATCAGATCTCACGAGAACTCACTCACTATCATGAGAACAGCATTGAGGAAACTGCCTCCATGATCCAATCACCTCCCACTGGGTCCCTCCCTTGACACGTAGGGATTATGGGTATTAGAATTCAAGATAAGATTTGAGTGGAGACACCGCCAAATCATATCAGAGGAGGTATATGGAGGAGCATGCATTTTGCATTTTAGTAATTTGAGGTTTATTCTAATGAGTATTAGGAAAAAAGTAACATTTAAACTCATAATTTCACAGATATTATGATGGTATTTAACTTTATAAAGGGAATTGATTTTTAAAAAATTAATTTGAATAAGTGATACGTAGATACAGGTTTTTTAAATCAGGAAGGTTGTATGCAAATAACTAAGATTTAGGAAACATTGCTTCCTTAAAAAACTCCAGATCAGAGAGGGACAGCAGCTCACATGCACCCAGGATCACACAGCCTTTTAGTGACAGAGCTGGGACTAAATTAGCGTGCCTCACTACTAAAACTACGGAAGTTAAGACTTTGCAGGGATTCTTCTCATTTAAGCAGTATTGTTACAATTTTTTCATTCTTTCTGTTTTCTGACAATATTTCATTCACTTATTGTTTCACAAATGAATTCTGCCCTATGAATGACATTAGATACTTCTTATTGCTTACTTTTGCTTTAATGATGCTCCCTACTTTGGGTTTTTGGATCGGGTACCTTGCTTTTCACCAGACCTGTGACTTTTGCGTCCCTAGGTGGGTTTGCATCTGTTTTCTCACCTTCTCAAATTTCTCTGCCTTTTCAAAGTCACTTTTGAACTTATCTTTCAACTACCTGAAGTGGTGATACCAGTTGGTGCTACCAAGAGGCTGACTAGAAAAAGGAAAAAGAAGAACAGGTGAATGTGCTGTCCATCAGGGACTTTGAAAAGCTCTAACATATTCTTGACAATCTAGAAAATCACATGTGTGTCTATGGCTCTGTGCATGCCCAAGAAAGACCTGAGAAGGTGCTACTCTTTCACCAAACCAGCTGACCTGGAGGCTCTGTGCAGGTAGAAAGTGACAGTGGACAGAACTTTAAGCTTCCCACCAGATTGTTGAAGGCATGCTCCAACAGATACAGAGTCCTCCAGCAAAGGCTGGGAAATGTATTGGTTTAAAGCATTTAAGGAAATCTCTGTCTAATCATTAGCTGACCAGGAAGCAAATCAAACAGAGAATTTAGTGGTTGCACACGACCAAATATACAGACTTTATAGAATTAGTCCAGGAAAATCACTAAGTAAACAACAACAATAAATTCAGCAGGATGTTGGGGGATTCTGATTTCCAGAGTTGCTACCTTGTATTATTTTAAATGTTTGGTTTTCAATAAAAAATTATGAGGCACACAAAGAAAGAGGAAAATATGGCCTATGCATAGGGGAAAAAAGCAATTAATTGAAACTGTACCTGAGGCAGCCCAAATGTTGCACTTACTAGACAAAGACTTTAGCTATTACAAATATAAATATGTTCAAGGCACTAAATGAAACAATCTCTAAAGAATTAAAATATAAGAAATAGAGAATGTCAGTAAAGAGGAAGAAATTCTTTAAAAGAACCAAATAGAAATTCTGAAATCAAATAGTAAAATAACTAAAATAAAAAATTCACGGCCGGGTGCGATGGCTCACACCTGTAATCCCAGCACTTTGGGAGGAAGAGGCAGGTGATCACGAGGTCAGGAGATCGAGACCATCCTGGCTAATACAGTGAAAACACGTCTTTACTAAAAATACAGAAAATTAGCTGGGCATGGCAGCATGCACTTGTAGTCCCAGATACTCGGGAGGCTGGGGCAGGAGAATGGCATGAACCTAGGAGATGGAGGTTGCAGTGAGCCGAGATTGCACCACTGTACTCCAGCCTGGGCTACAGAGTGAGACTCTGTCTCAAAAAAAAAAAGAAAAGAAAAGAAAAAAAATCACTAGGCAGGGGCTCAATAGCAGATTTGAACTAGCAGAAGAAAGAATCACCTAACTTGAAGCTGTGTTAATTGAGATCATCCAGTCTGAGAAACAGAGAAAAAAGAATAATGAAGAAAAATGAACAGAGTCTTAGAGACCTGTGGGGCACCATCAAGCCTACCAACATACACATAATTGGAGTGTCAGAAGGAGGAGAGAAAAAAAGTGCAGAAAGAATATTTAAAGAAATGATGGCTGAAAAATCCCAAATTTATTTAAAACATTACACATACAAAAAGCTCATCAAACTCTAAGTAGATTAAACTCAAAGAGAGTCACGCCTAGACACAACATAGTCAAACTTTCAAAAGAAAGAGAGAAACTTGAAAACAGCAAGACAAAAAGCAACTCATCACATACAAGGAATCTTCAATGAGTTAAACAGTTGACTTCTCATCAGAAACCATGGAAGCCAGAAGGTAGTGGGCTATCATGTTCAAAGCACTGAAAGAAAAATACAGTCAACCAATAATTCTATATCTGGCAAAATTATTCTTCAAAAATGAAGGCACAATTAAGACATTTCCAGATTTTTTTTAAAAACAACAGAGATTGCATTGCTGGTAGACCCTTCCTACAAGAAATACTAAAGGGTGTTCTTATGGCTTAAATGAAAGGATGCTAGACAGTGACTCAAATCCATATAAATACATAAAAAGCACTGCTAAATGCAACAACACAGGTAAATATATAAGGCAATATGAATGTAAGTTTTCTTTTTTTTGTAATTGTTTTTCTCTATCTGATTAAAAGACAACTAACTACATAAAGCAATAATTTTAAATGTGTTGATGGACTTATATACAGGTGTAATTTTATGACAATAATAACACAGGAGAGGGGAGGGAGCTAAGCTTGGAGTCAAGTTTTTATATAGTGCTGAAATTAAGTTGGTGTTAATCCAAACTAGATTGTTTAAAATTTAAGTGTTAATTGTCATCCCCAGAGCACCCAGTAAGAAAATAATTTTGAAAATATAGGAAATGAAAAAGAATCTACATGTCACACTAGATAATAGACATTTAACACAAAAGAAGACAGTAACAGAGGAACAGAACAACAAAAAAGACATAATGTATATAGAAAACAAATAGCAGAATGGCAAACATAAATTCTACCTGATAGATACTTACATTAAATGTAAATGGACTAAACACTCTAATCAAAAGGGAGAAAATAGATAAAAGAAAATATGATCCAACTATATGCTGTCTGTAAGAGACATACTTTAAAAAGCAAATAAGTTTAAAGATGGAAAAAATACATACTATGAAAATAATAACCAAAAGAGAGCTGGAGTTGCCACGCAAATACCAGACAAAATAGACTTTAAGACACAAATTGTTACTAGAGATAAAAAGAATGTTTTATAATGATAAAAGGGTCAGTCCATCTGAAGACCTAACAATTATGAACATATATGCACCTAATAGCAGAGCTCCAAAATACACGGAAAAAAATCTGTTCTGTATTGGACAGAAACTTGCCTCTGTGTTGCTTTTACTCCTGGATCTTATTCCTGTTATCTGGAGCCTCACACAACATATACCTGACACATATATGACTAGAAGCTTTTCCAGATATTTGAAGCCAACTCTCATGCCTTTTCTTACTTTCAGTTTTTTATGTGGCCTTGTCCCTATACATTTTTTTCCTAGAATGTATTTATATCTTTTATAAAGAAGGCTACTGCAATGTTAAGAGAGGAACCTACTTTCATAGAATTTCAGAGTTGGAAGGAAACCAAGATGATCTTATTCAAATCTCTACTTTTATAGATGAGTAAACTGGGGCCTGAGCTGGTTAAGTCATTGAGCCAGTTAATGGCAGACCAAGATTCATAATCTTGGTTTTCAAACTACTTGTTCAGTGTTTATTCCAACATTTTCCTTCTTTGATAGTTTTTCCTACTTTAGGTTGCTATTTCTTCTCCCTTCTTTCAGTGGCATCTGGCACCTTTCATCAGAGAAAAAAGCTCAGAGTGATGAAGAAACTGCACTAGACATTAAAAGACATGGATTCTTATCTTTTTTGGTCACTAATCAACTTTCGAGGCCTTGGATAAGTCCCTTATGAAAATAATAACTATTATTCACCAATAATATTTTACACTATTGAGTACCTACTGTTTATGAGGCACTGTGCCAGGCACTTTGCCTATATGCCTCTTCATATAAGTGTTCAAAATGTGTCTCCTTTCTTATCTATACAATAAGCAGGTTGTCTGTTGTCCTATCCAGCTCCGGAATTGGATGATTGTAAAAAGCTATCTTTATTAGTATAGTCTTATAATGCCTGAGGCTTCATCTTTATCTTCCTCTTTCTTGTTTCCTGGGCTGGCAGGAAATTGTAAGGAAGATTAGAATACTTTCTCTAGATTTGTCACTATAGCGAATCCTTTGTATGTGTACCCTTCCAAGGGACTTTCTATTTTCCCATAGGACTTGGCTTGACTTTTACTGGTCCTGTTCAGGGTTTCCAGGATCCTATTCTCAGCCTACTTCTCACTTTAGATTTTCCCGTGGGCCTTTGATTCACTCTCATGGCTTCTTATTTCACTTATGAGCTCAGAGAAGTGAATAATTTGATGAAGTTCACTCAGCTATTAGCAGCAAACTTGACAGTCTGTCTGATCCCACTGTGTTTGTTATTTCTGCTACATGATTCCCATCTCTGAAAGTTCACTTGATCTTACTTTCCCACCCTTGCTTAAGACCTAGCTCAAGCCCTAACCTGTCATCATCACACCAGGCCAAGTGCTCCTCCCTCCCAATTTACCCAGAGAGTGATGTTTGCACTGCACATCAGCCATCACCTTGGGACTTGCCCCTTGGCAGACTTTGTGGTCTAGTGGTTATGAATGTGGGGTCTGGAGACAGAGGGCCAAAGTATGAATCCTGGCTCTACCACTTATTGGCTGTGCAACCACAGAAAAGTTACTTAACCTCTCTGGGCCTCAGTTTCTTCAACTATAATCAGGAACTGCTAGTAGCACTTACTTCATAGGGTTGTTACGAGGATAAATGTGATAATCCATGTAAAGGCAAGTAGCACAATGCCTGACACATGAAAGAAGCACACATTAAATTGACTCCTTCACCAGATCTTGGGGTAATCCCTGATTGGCCCAGGATGATCAACATAATCCCATCCATCTTGCAGAGTGATTGAGTCAGAGTTGGGTACATGCACTTGACTAGTTTAGAGTGGCTTGCAGGATGCAGATGACGTGGCCTCAGGTATGAAGCTTGGAATTGGAATTGCCAAGGTTTTTTTTTTTTTTTTTTTTTTTAACTAGAGGGAAGTCAACTTGAGGACAAAGCTGACACATGTAGTAAGAAAGAACTGAGAAGAGCAAAGGAACTAGAACCAGAGGCTTGATCGGCTATCTCCTGAAGTCCCATTGACCTTTGGAATTTTCGTTGCTTGAGCCAATTAAAAATTTGGGGAGCCAAGCACGGTTGTGCATGCATATAGTTGCCTGTAGTCCCAGCTACTGAAGAGGCTGAGGTGGGAGGATCACTTGAGCTCAGGAGTTTGAGTCCAGCCTGAGCAACATAGTGAGATCTTGTCTCTAAAAAAATAAATAAAAATGCATACTTTTTTTTTTTTTTTTGAGACGGAGTCTCGCTCTGTGGCCAGGCTGGAGTGCGGTGGCGTGATCTCGGCTCACTGCAAGCTCCACCTCCTGGGTTCATGCCATTCTCCTGCCTCAGCCTCCCGAGTAGCTGGGACTACAGGCGCCCGTCACGACGCCCGGCTAATTTTTTGTATTTTTTAGTAGAGACGGGGTTTCACCATGTTAGCAGGATGGTCTTGATTTCCTGACCTTGTGATCCGCCCGCCTCGGCCTCCCAAAGTGCTGGGATCATAGGCGTGAGCCACCGCGGCCGGCCAAAAAAAATGCATACTTTTAAGTCAGGTGGGGTGGCACGCACCTGTAGTCCCAACTACTCAGGAGGCTGAGGCAGAAGGATTGCTTAAGGCCAGGAGTTTGAAGATATAGTGCACTATGATCATACCTATGAGTAGCCACTGCACTCCAGCCTAGGCAACATACGAAGCCCTGTTTCAAAAAATAAATTGGTACTTAAGCTAATTTGTTAGTTTTTTAAATCATCTGTAACTGAAAATATCCTCGATATCCTCATTGATACTGTATATTATTATTACTATCATCTTCCCATGTATATCAAACCTTTGTCATTAGATCATAATGTCCTTTGGAACAAAAATGAACTAAAATGAACTTACTGAGCAGTATGCTGCCATTCCACCTAGTACAGATCTGGCATATAGCAGGTTCTCGTCCATTCACACTTCATATTGGATACTAATTTCACCCTGGTATCTATGGATTTTCAGCATTTTTTTTTTTGAGATGGAGGAGTCTCGCTCTGTCGCCCAGGCTAGGTTGCAATGGTGCAATCTTGGCTCATTGCAACCTCCACCTCCTGCGTTCAAGTGTTCTCCTGCCTCAGCCTCCCAAGTACCTGAGACTACAGGCATGCACCACCACGCCAGCTAATTTTTGTATTTTTAGTAGAGACTGGGGTTTCACCATGTTGGCCAGGCTGGTCTCAAAGTTCTCACTTCGGGTGATCCGCCCACCTCAGCCTCCCAAAGTGCTGGGATTACAGCGGTGAATCACCGTGCCCGGCCCAGACTTTGAGCATCTTTAAGGCAGAAAGAGGAGGTGGCCAGAGTCCCAGGTAGGATGATGGCCTGCTGCTGCTTTGTCTTTTTACTGTCCTATAATGAGCGGAAAGTAAAATAGTTAATAGACTAGTTCATCCTTATTGAGCACCAGGGATTGTACACACCGGATCATCATTCTTCCTATCAGTTACCTGTGGGTATATTATTAATGCCCTGTGTTGCAGATTGGAAATTTATGCTCAACAATGATATTTAACTTATGTAGATCACACAGCCTCTACATAGCATAATTTAGGATCCTGTGCTCAAATTACTGTATCCATAACTTTTTGTCATCCCACTTTAAAGAAAATGAAATTAGAAGTCTTAGACAATGCATTCTGAGTATGGCTTACATACTCAGTAAAATGGTATACAGCTCTAATCAACAGACCCAGACTCAAAAAGCTTTGGACTGCTACCAAGAGATTGGTAAATAAATGTACATTAACTTTAAATAAAATGTGTATGGTATGTATGATTCATTTTTTATGATTTCTCACTTTCCCAACATTTTCAGATAACTCATCGTT